>NC_000023.11:62462542-63712542 GCF_000001405.40 Homo sapiens
GATCCCGTTTCCAGTGAAATCTTCAACGAGGTCCTCATATCCCCTTGCAGATTCCAAAGAAAGAGCGTTTCAAAACTGCTCCATCAAAAGGATTGTTTAACTCTGTGAGTTGAATGCAGTCATCACAGAAAACTTTCTGAGAATGCTTCTGTCTAGGTTTGATGTGAAGATATAGACGATTCAAACGAAGGCTACAAAGTGGTCAAAATATACACTTGCAGATTCTACTACAAGGGTGTTGCAAACCTGAACTATCAAAGGAAGGTTCAACTCTGTGAGTTGAATACAAACATCACAAGGAATGCTCTGAGTTTGCTTCCGTTCAGTTATGGGAAGTTGATCCCGTTTCCAACGAAATCCTCAGAGAGGTCCAAATATCCCCTTGCAGATTCTACAAAACGTGTGTTTGGAAACTGCTCCATCATAACGAATGTTCAGCTCTCTGAGTTAAACTCCATCGTCACAAAGAATTTTCTGAGAGTGCTACCGTCTAGTTTTTCTATGAAGTTCTTTCCTTTACTACCACAGGCCTCAAAGCGGTCCAAATCTCCACTTGCAGATTCTACAAAAAGAGCATTTGAAAACTGCTCTATCAAAAGGAATGTTCAACTCTGGGAGTTGAATGCAATCATCACAGAGCAGTTTCTGAGAATGCTTCTATGTCGTTTTTAGGAGAAGATATTTCCTTTTCCAACACAGTCCTCCAAGCCCGCTAAATATCCACTTGCACATTGTAGAAAATGTGTGTCGAAGCTGCGCTATCAAAGGGAAAGTTCAACTCTGTGAGGTGAATGCAAACATCCCAAAGAAGTTTCTGAGAATGCTTCCGTTTAGCTTTTAGGTGAAGATTATCCCGTTTCCAACGAAATCTTCAAAGAGGTCCAAATATCCCCTTGCGGATCCCACAGAAAGAGTGTTTCGAAACTGCTGTTTCAAAAGGAATCTTCAACTCTGTGAGTTGAATGCAATCATCACAAAGAAGTTTCCGACAATGCTTCTCTCTCGTCTTTCTGTGAAGATAAAGGAAAAGGCTTTCAGGCCTTTTCCACCACAGGCCTGAAAGCGCTCCAAATGTCCACTTGCAGATTCTGCCAAAAGAATATTTCAAAACTGCTCTATGAAAAGCAATGTTAAACTCTGCGGCTCGAACACAAACATCACAAAGCAGTTTCTGAGAATGCTTCAGTTCAGTTTTTCTGTGGAAATATTCCCTTTTCCAAAGAAATCTTCAAAGAGGTCCACGTATCCACTTACAGATTCTACAAAAAGACAGTTTCAAAACTGCTCAATCAAAAGGAGGGTTCAACTGTGTGACTTGAATGCAATCATCACTCAGAAGTTTCTGAGAATGCTTCTCTTTAGTTTTTACGTGAACATATACCCGTTTCGAACGAAGGCCACCCAGTGGTCCAAATATCCACTTGCAGATTCTACAGAAAGTGTGTTTCGAACCTGAACTCTCAAAGGCAGGTTCATCTCTGCGAGATAAATGCATTCATCATGAAGAACTTTCTCAGCGTGTTTGTGTTTAGTTATGGGAAATTATTCCCGTTTCCAACGAAATCCTCAGAGAGGTCCAAATATCAACCTGCAGATTCTACCAAAAGTGTATTTGGAAACTGCTCCATGAAAAGGCATGTTCAGCTCTGTGAGTGAAACTCCATCATCACAAAGAATATTCTGAGAATGCTTCCGTTTGCCTTTTATATGAAGTTCCTTCCTATACTACCATAGGCCTCAAAGCAGTCCAAATCTCCATTTGCAGATTCTACAAAAAGAGTGATTCCAATCTGCTTTATCAATAGGATTGTTCAACTCCATGAGTTGAATGCCATCCTCACAAAGTCGTTTCTGAGAATGCTTCTATCTAGTTTTTATGTGAAGATATTTCCTTTTCCACCACAGGCCTCAAAGCTCTCCAAACGTCCACTTGCAGATTCTCGAAAAAGAGTGTTTCCTAGCTGCTCTTTCAAAAGGAAAGTTCAACTCTGGGAGTTGAATACAAACATCACAAAGTAGTTTCCGAGAATGCTTCTGTTTAGTTCTTATGTGAAGATGATCCCGTTTCCAGGGAAATCTTCAAAGAGGTCCACATATCCCCTTGCAGATTCCAAAGAAAGAGGGTTTCAAAACTGCTCCATCAAAAGGATTGTACAACTCTGTGAGTTGAATGCAGTCATCGCAGAAAACTTTCTGAGAATGCTTCTGTCTAGGTTTGATGTGAAGATATAGACGTTTCAAACGAAGGCTACAAAGTGGTCAAAATATACACTTGCAGATTGTACTAAAAGGGTGTTGCAAACCTGAACTATCAAAGGAAGGTTCAACTCTGTGGGTTGAATACAAACATCGCAGAGAATGTTCTGAGTTTGCTTCCGTTCAGTTATGGGAAGTTGATCCCGTTTCCAACGAAATCCTCAGAGAGGTCCAAATATCCCCTTGCAGATTCTACAAAACGTGTGTTTGGAAACTGCTCCATCATAACGAATGTTCAGCTCCCAGAGTTAAACTCCATCGTCACAGAGAGATTTCTGAGAGTGCTACCGTCTAGTTTTTATATGAAGTTGTTTCCTTTACTAACACAGGCCTCAAAGCGGTCCAAATCTCCACTTGCAGATTCTACAAAAAGAGTGTTTCCAAACCGCTCTATCAAAAGGAATGTTCAACTCTGGGAGTTGAATGCAATCATCACAGAGCAGTTTCTGAGAATGCTTCTATGTCGTTTTTAGGAGAAGATATTTCCTTTTCCAACACAGTCCTCCAAGCCCGCTAAATATCCACTTGCACATTGTAGAAAAAGTGTGTCAAAGCTGCGCTATCAAAGGGAAAGTTCAACTCTGTGAGGAGAGTGAAAACATCCCAAAGAAGTTTCTGAGAATGCTTCCTTTCAGCTTTTAGGTGAAGATTATCCCGTTTCCAACGAAATCTTCAAAGAGGTCCAAATATCCCCTTGCGGATCCCACAGAAAGAGTGTTTCGAAACTGCTGTTTCAAAAGGAATCTTCAACTCTGTGAGTTGAATGCAATCATCACAAAGAAGTTTCCGACAATGCTTCTCTCTCGTCTTTCTGTGAAGATAAAGGAAAAGGCTTTCAGGCCTTTTCCACCACAGGCCTGAAAGCGCTCCAAATGTCCACTTGCAGATTCTGCCAAAAGAATATTTCAAAACTGCTCTATGAAAAGCAATGTTAAACTTGGCGGCTCGAACACAAACATCACAAAGCAGTTTCTGAGAATGCTTCAGTTTAGTTTTTCTGTGGAAATATTCCCGTTTCCAAAGAAATCTTCAAAGAGGTCCACGTATCCACTTACAGATTCTACAAAAAGACAGTTTCAAAACTGCTCAATCAAAAGGAGGGTTCAACTGTGTGACTTGAATGCAATCATCACTCAGAAGTTTCTGAGAATGTTTCTCTTTAGTTTTTACGTGAACATATACCCGTTTCGAACGAAGGCCACCCAGTGGTCCAAATATCCACTTGCAGATTCTACAGAAAGAGTGTTTCGAACCTGAACTCTCAAAGGCAGGTTCATCGCTGCGAGTTAAATGCATTCATGATGAAGAACATTCTCAGCGTGTTTGTGTTTAGTTATGGGAAATTATTCCCTTATCCAACGAAATCCTCAGAGAGCTCCAAATATCCACCTGCAGATTCTACCAGAAGTGTATTTGGAAACTGCTCCATCAAAAGGCATGTTCAGCTCTGTGAGTGAAACTCCATCATCACAAAGAATATTCTGAGAATGCGTCCGTTTGCCTTTTATATGAAGTTCCTTCCTGTACTACCGTAGGCCTCAAAGCAGTCCAAATCTCCATTTGCCGATTCTACAAAAAGAGTGATTCCAATGTGCTCTATCATTAGGATTGTTCAACTCCATGAGTTGAATGCCGTCCTCACAAAGTCGTTTCTGAGAATGCTTCTATCTAGTTTTTATGTGAAGATATTTCCTTTTCCACCACAGGCCTCAAAGCCCTCCAAACGTCCACTTGCAGATTCTCGAAAAAGATTGTTTCATAGCTGCTCTTTCAAAAGGAAAGTTCAACTCTGGGAGTTGAATACAAACATCACAAAGTCGTTTCCGAGAATGCTTCTGTTTAGTTCTTATGTGAAGATGATCCCGTTTCCAGTGAAATCTTCAACGAGGTCCACATATCCCCTTGCAGATTCCAAAGAAAGAGGGTTTCACAACTGCTCCATCAAAAGGATTGTTCAACTCTGTGAGTTGAATGCAGTCATCGCAGAAAACTTTCTGAGAATGCTTCTGTCTAGGTTTGATGTGAAGATATAGACGTTTCAAACGAAGGCTACAAAGTGTTCAAAATATACACTTGCAGATTCTACTACAAGGGTGTTGCAAACCTGAACTATCAAAGGAAGTTTCAACTCTGTGAGTTGAATACAAACATCACAAAGAATGCTCTGAGTTTGCTTCAGTTCAGTTATGGGAAGTTGATCCCGTTTCCAACGAAATCCTCCGAGAGGTCCAAATATCCCCTTGCAGATTCTACAAAACGTGTGTTTGGAAACTGCTCCATCATAACGAATGTTCAGCTCTCTGAGTTAAACTCCATCGTCACAAAGAATTTTCTGAGAGTGCTACCGTCTGGTTTTTATATGAAGTTATTTCCTTTACTACCACAGGCCTCAAAGCGGTCCAAATCTCCACTTGCAGATTCTACAAAAAGAGTGTTTGCAAACTGCTCTATCAAAAGGAATGTTCAACTCTGGGAGTTGAATGCAATCATCACAGAGCAGTTTCTGAGAATGCTTCTATGTCGTTTTTAGGAGAAGATATTTCCTTTTCCAACACAGTCCTCCAAGCCCGCTAAATATCCACTTGCACATTGTAGAAAAAGTGTGTCGAAGCTGCGCTATCAAAGGGAAAGTTCAACTCTGTGAAGTGAATGCAAACATCTCAAAAGAAGTTTCTGAGAATGCTTCCGTTTAGCTTTTAGGTGAAGATTATCCCGTTTCCAACGAAATGTTCAAAGAGGTCCAAATATCCCCTTGCGGATCCCACAGAAAGAGTGTTTCGAAACTGCTGTTTCAAAAGGAATCTTCAACTCTGTGAGTTGAATGCAATCATCACAAAGAAGTTTCCGACAATGCTTCTCTCTCGTCCTTCTATGAAGATAAAGGAAAAGTCTTTCAGGCCTTTTCCACCACAGGCCTGAAAGCACTCCAAATGTCCACTTGCAGATTCTGCCAAAAGAATATTTCAAAACTGCTCTATGAAAAGCAATGTTAAACTCTGCGGCTCGAACACAAACATCACAAAGCAGTTTCTGAGAATGCTTCAGTTTAGTTTTTCTGTGGAAATATTCCCGTTTCCAAAGAAATCTTCAAAGAGGTCCACGTATCCACTTACAGATTCCACAAAAAGACAGTTTCAAAACTGCTCCATCAAAAGGAGGGTTCAACTGTGTGACTTGAATGCAATCATCACTCAGAAGTTTCTGAGAATGCTTCTCTTTAGTTTTTACGTGAACATATACCCGTTTCGAACGAAGGCCACCCAGTGGTCCAAATATCCACTTGCAGATTCTACAGAAAGAGTGTTTCGAACCTGAACTCTCAAAGGCAGGTTCATCTCTGCGAGTTAAATGAATTCATCATGAAGAACTTTCTCAGAGTGTTTGTGTTTAGTTATGGGAAATTACTCCTTTTCCCAACGAAATCCTCAGAGAGGTCCAAATATCCACCTGCAGATTCTACCAAAAGTGTATTTGGAAACTGCTCCATCAAAAGGCATGTTCAGCTCTGTGAGCGAAACTCCATCATCACAAAGGATATTCTGAGAATGCTTCCGTTTGCCTTTTATATGAAGTTCCTTCCTATACTACCATAGGCCTCAAAGCAGTCCAAATCTCCATTTGCAGATTCTACAAAAAGAGTGATTCCAATCTGCTTTATCAATAGGATTGTTCAACTCCATGAGTTGAATGCCATCCTCACAAAGTCGTTTCTGAGAATGCTTCTATCTAGTTTTTATGTGAAGATATTTCCTTTTCCACCACAGGCCTCAAAGCTCTCCAAACGTCCACTTGCAGATTCTCGAAAAAGAGTGTTTCCTAGCTGCTCTTTCAAAAGGAAAGTTCAACTCTGGGAGTTGAATACAAACATCACAAAGTAGTTTCCGAGAATGCTTCTGTTTAGTTCTTATGTGAAGATGATCCCGTTTCCAGGGAAATCTTCAAAGAGGTCCACATATCCCCTTGCAGATTCCAAAGAAAGAGGGTTTCAAAACTGCTCCATCAAAAGGATTGTACAACTCTGTGAGTTGAATGCAGTCATCGCAGAAAACTTTCTGAGAATGCTTCTGTCTAGGTTTGATGTGAAGATATAGACGTTTCAAACGAAGGCTACAAAGTGGTCAAAATATACACTTGCAGATTGTACTAAAAGGGTGTTGCAAACCTGAACTATCAAAGGAAGGTTCAACTCTGTGGGTTGAATACAAACATCGCAGAGAATGTTCTGAGTTTGCTTCCGTTCAGTTATGGGAAGTTGATCCCGTTTCCAACGAAATCCTCAGAGAGGTCCAAATATCCCCTTGCAGATTCTACAAAACGTGTGTTTGGAAACTGCTCCATCATAACGAATGTTCAGCTCCCAGAGTTAAACTCCATCGTCACAGAGAGATTTCTGAGAGTGCTACCGTCTAGTTTTTATATGAAGTTGTTTCCTTTACTAACACAGGCCTCAAAGCGGTCCAAATCTCCACTTGCAGATTCTACAAAAAGAGTGTTTCCAAACCGCTCTATCAAAAGGAATGTTCAACTCTGGGAGTTGAATGCAATCATCACAGAGCAGTTTCTGAGAATGCTTCTATGTCGTTTTTAGGAGAAGATATTTCCTTTTCCAACACAGTCCTCCAAGCCCGCTAAATATCCACTTGCACATTGTAGAAAAAGTGTGTCAAAGCTGCGCTATCAAAGGGAAAGTTCAACTCTGTGAGGAGAGTGAAAACATCCCAAAGAAGTTTCTGAGAATGCTTCCTTTCAGCTTTTAGGTGAAGATTATCCCGTTTCCAACGAAATCTTCAAAGAGGTCCAAATATCCCCTTGCGGATCCCACAGAAAGAGTGTTTCGAAACTGCTGTTTCAAAAGGAATCTTCAACTCTGTGAGTTGAATGCAATCATCACCACGAAGTTTCTGACAATGCTTCTCCCTCGTCTTTCTGTGAAGATAAAGGAAAAGGCTTTCAGGCCTTTTCCACCACAGGCCTGAAAGCGCTCCAAATGTCCACTTGCAGATTCTGCCAAAAGAATATTTCAAAACTGCTCTATGAAAAGCAATGTTAAACTCTGCGGCTCGAACACAAACATCACAAAGCAGTTTCTGAGAATGCTTCAGTTTAGTTTTTCTGTGGAAATATTCCCGTTTCCAAAGAAATCCTCAAAGAGGTCCACGTATCCACTTACAGATCCTACAAAAAGACAGTTTCAAAACTGCTCCATCAAAAGGAGGGTTCAACTGTGTGACTTGAAAGCAATCATCACTCAGAAGTTTCTGAGAATGCTTCTCTTTAGTTTTTACGTGAACATATACCCGTTTCGAACGAAGGCCACCCAGTGGTCCAAATATCCACTTGCAGATTCTAGAGAAAGAGTGTTTCGAACATGAACTCTCAAAGGCAGGATCATCTCTGCGAGTTAAATGTATTCGTCATGAAGAACTTTCTCAGCGTGTTTGTGTTTAGTTATGGGAAATTACTCCCGTTTCCAACGAAATCCTCTGAGATGTCCAAATATCCACCTGCAGATTCTACCAAAAGTGTATTTGGAAACTGCTCCATCAACAGGCATGTTCAGCTCTGTGAGTGAAACTCCATCATCACAAAGAATATTCTGAGAATGCTTCCGTTTGCCTTTTATATGAAGTTCCTTCCTATACGACCGTAGGCCTCAAAGCAGTCCAAATCTCCATTTGCAGATTCTACAAAAAGAGTGATTCCAATCTGCTCTATCAATAGGATTGTTCAACTCCATGAGTTGAATGCCATCCTCACAAAGTCGTTTCTGAGAATGCTTCTATCTAGTTTTTATGTGAAGATATTTCCTTTTCCACCACAGGCCTCAAAGCCCTCCAAACGTCCACTTGCAGATTCTCGAAAAAGAGTGTTTCATAGCTGCTCTTTCAAAAGGGAAGTTCAACTCTGGGAGTTGAATACAAACATCACAAAGTAGTTTCCGAGAATGCTTCTGTTTAGTTCTTATGTGAAGATGATCCCGTTTCCAGTGAAATCTTCAAAGAGGTCCACATATCCCCTTGCAGATTCCAAAGAAAGAGGGTTTCAAAACTGCTCCATCAAAAGGATTGTTCAACTCTGTGAGTTGAATGCAGTCATCGCAGAAAACTTTCTGAGAATGCTTCTGTCTAGGTTTGATGTGAAGATATAGACGTTTCAAAAGAAGGCTACAAAGTGGTCAAAATATACACTTGCAGAATGTACTACAAGGGTGTTGCAAACCTGAACTATCAAAGAAAAGTTCAACTCTGTGGGTTGAATACAAACATCGCAGAGAATGTTCTGAGTTTGCTTCCGTTCAGTTATGGGAAGTTGATCCCGTTTCCTACGAAATCCTCAGAGAGGACCAAATATCCCCTTGAAGATTCTACAAAACGTGTGTTTGGAAACTGCTCCATCATAACGAATGTTCAGCTCCCTGAGTTAAACTCCAACGTCACAAAGAGTTTTCTGAGAGTGCTACCGTCCAGTTTTTATATGAAGTTCTTTCCTTTACTACCACAAGCCTCAAAGCGGTCCAAATCTCCACTTGCAGATTCTACAAAAAGAGTGTTTGCAAACCGCTCTATCAAAAGGAATGTTCAACTCTGGGAGTTGAATGCAATCATCACAGAGCAGTTTCTGAGAATGCTTCTATGTCGTTTTTAGGAGAAGATATTTCCTTTTCCAACACAGTCCTCCAAGCCCGCTAAATATCCACTTGCACATTGTAGAGAAATGTGTCGAAGCTGCGCTATCAAAGGGAAAGTTCAACTCTGTGAGGTGAATGCAAACATCCCAAAGAAGTTTCTGAGAATGCTTCCGTTCAGCTTTTAGGTGAAGATTATCCCGTTTCCAACGAAATCTTCAAAGAGGTCCAAATATCCCCTTGCGGATCCCACAGAAAGAGTGTTTCGAAACTGCTGTTTCAAAAGGAATCTTCAACTCTGTGAGTTGAATGCAATCATCACAAAGAAGTTTCTGACAATGCTTCTCCCTCGTCTTTCTGTGAAGATAAAAGAAAAGGCTTTCAGGCCTTTTCCACCACAGGCCTGAAAGTGCTCCAAATGTCCACTTGCAGATTCTGCCAAAAGAATATTTCAAAACTGCTCTATGAAAAGCAATGTTAAACTCTGCGGCTCGAACACAAACATCACAAAGCAGTTTCTGAGAATGCTTCAGTTTAGTTTTTCTGTGGAAATATTCCCGTTTCCAAAGAAATCTTCAAAGAGGTCCACGTATCCACTTACAGAATCTACAAAAAGACAGTTTCAAAACTGCTCAATCAAAAGGAGGGTTCAACTGTGTGACTTGAATGCAATCATCACTCAGAAGTTTCTGAGAATGCTTCTCTTTAGTTTTTACGTGAACATATACCCGTTTCGAACGAAGGCCACCCAGTGGTCCAAATATCCACTTGCAGATTCTACAGAAAGAGTGTTTCGAACCTGAACTCTCAAAGGCAGGTTCATCTCTGCGAGTTAAATGCATTCATCATGAAGAACTTTCTCAGAGTGTTTGTGTTTAGTTATGGGAAATTATTCCCGTTTCCAACGAAATCCTCAGAGAGGTCCAAATGTCCACCTGCAGATTCTACCAAAAGTGTATTTGGAAACTGCTCCATCAAAAGGCATGTTCAGCTCTGTGAGTGAAACTCCATCATCACAAAGAATATTCTGAGAATGCTTCCGTTTGCCTTTTATATGAAGTTCCTTCCTATACGACCGTAGGCCTCAAAGCAGTCCAAATCTCCATTTGCAGATTCTACAAAAAGAGTGATTCCAATCTGCTCTATCAATAGGATTGTTCAACTCCATGAGTTGAATGCCATCCTCACAAAGTCGTTTCTGAGAATGCTTCTATCTAGTTTTTATGTGAAGATATTTCCTTTTCCACCACAGGCCTCAAAGCCCTCCAAACGTCCACTTGCAGATTCTCGAAAAAGAGTGTTTCATAGCTGCTCTTTCAAAAGGGAAGTTCAACTCTGGGAGTTGAATACAAACATCACAAAGTAGTTTCCGAGAATGCTTCTGTTTAGTTCTTATGTGAAGATGATCCCGTTTCCAGTGAAATCTTCAAAGAGGTCCACATATCCCCTTGCAGATTCCAAAGAAAGAGGGTTTCAAAACTGCTCCATCAAAAGGATTGTTCAACTCTGTGAGTTGAATGCAGTCATCGCAGAAACCTTTCTGAGAATGATTCTGTCTAGGTTTGATGTGAAGATATAGACGTTTCAAACGAAGACTACAAAGTGGTCAAAATATACACTTGCAGATTGTACTACAAGGGTGTTGCAAACCTGAACTATCAAAGGAAGGTTCAACTCTGTGGGTTGAATACAAACATCGCAGAGAATGTTCTGAGTTTGCTTCCGTTCAGTTATGGGAAGTTGATCCCGTTTCCAACGAAATCCTCAGAGAGGTCCAAATATCCCCTTGCAGATTCTACAAAACGTGTGTTTGGAAACTGCTCCATCATAACGAATGTTCAGCTCCCTGAGTTAAACTCCATCGTCACAGAGAGATTTCTGAGAGTGCTACCGTCTAGTTTTTATATGAAGTTGTTTCCTTTACTACCACAGGCCTCAAAGCGGTCCAAATCTCCACTTGCAGATTCTACAAAAAGAGTGTTTCCAAACCGCTCTATCAAAAGGAATGTTCAACTCTGGGAGTTGAATGCAATCATCACAGAGCAGTTTCTGAGAATGCTTCTATGTCGTTTTTAGGAGAAGATATTTCCTTTTCCAACACAGTCCTCCAAGCCCGCTAAATATCCACTTGCACATTGTAGAAAAATGTGTCGAAGCTGCGCTATCAAAGGGAAAGTTCAACTCTGTGAGGTGAATGTAAACATCCCAAAGAAGTTTTTGAGAATGCTTCCTTTCAGCTTTTAGGTGAAGATTATCCCGTTTCCAACGAAATCTTCAAAGAGGTCCAAATATCCCCTTGCGGATCCCACAGAAAGAGTGTTTCGAAACTGCTGTTTCAAAAGGAATCTTCAACTCTGTGAGTTGAATGCAATCATCACCACGAAGTTTCTGACAATGCTTCTCCCTCGTCTTTCTGTGAAGATAAAGGAAAAGGCTTTCAGGCCTTTTCCACCACAGGCCTGAAAGCGCTCCAAATGTCCACTTGCAGATTCTGCCAAAAGAATATTTCAAAACTGCTCTATGAAAAGCAATGTTAAACTCTGCGGCTCGAACACAAACATCACAAAGCAGTTTCTGAGAATGCTTCAGTTTAGTTTTTCTGTGGAAATATTCCCGTTTCCAAAGAAATCCTCAAAGAGGTCCACGTATCCACTTACAGATTCTACAAAAAGACAGTTTCAAAACTGCTCAATCAAAAGGAGGGTTCAACTGTGTGACTTGAAAGCAATCATCACTCAGAAGTTTCTGAGAATGCTTCTCTTTAGTTTTTACGTGAACATATACCCGTTTCGAACGAAGGCCACCCAGTGGTCCAAATACCCACTTGCAGATTCTAGAGAAAGAGTGTTTCGAACATGAACTCTCAAAGGCAGGTTCATCTCTGCGAGTTAAATGTATTCGTCATGAAGAACTTTCTCAGAGTGTTTGTGTTTAGTTATGGGAAATTACTCCCGTTTCCAACGAAATCCTCTGAGAGGTCCAAATATCCACCTGCAGATTCTACCAAAAGTGTATTTGGAAACTGCTCCATCAACAGGCATGTTCAGCTCTGTGAGTGAAACTCCATCATCACAAAGAATATTCTGAGAATGCTTCCGTTTGCCTTTTATATGAAGTTCCTTCCTATACGACCATAGGCCTCAAAGCAGTCCAAATCTCCATTTGCAGATTCTACAAAAAGAGTGATTCCAATCTGCTCTATCAATAGGATTGTTCAACTCCATGAGTTGAATGCCATCCTCACAAAGTCGTTTCTGAGAATGCTTCTATCTAGTTTTTATGTGAAGATATTTCCCTTTCCACCACAGGCCTCAAAGCCCTCCAAACGTCCACTTGCAGATTCTCGAAAAAGAGTGTTTCATAGCTGCTCTTTCAAAAGGGAAGTTCAACTCTGGGAGTTGAATACAAACATCCCAAAGTAGTTTCCGAGAATGCTTCTGTTTAGTTCTTATGTGAAGATGATCCCGTTTCCAGTGAAATCTTCAAAGAGGTCCACATATCCCCTTGCAGATTCCAAAGAAAGAGGGTTTCAAAACTGCTCCATCAAAAGGATTGTTCAACTCTGTGAGTTGAATGCAGTCATCGCAGAAAACTTTCTGAGAATGCTTCTGTCTAGGTTTGATGTGAAGATATAGACGTTTCAAACGAAGGCTACAAAGTGGTCAAAATATACACTTGCAGAATGTACTACAAGGGTGTTGCAAACCTGAACTATCAAAGGAAGGTTCAACTCTGTGGGTTGAATACAAACATCGCAGAGAATGTTCTGAGTTTGCTTCCGTTCAGTTATGGGAAGTTGATCCCGTTTCCAACGAAATCCTCAGAGAGGACCAAATATCCCCTTGCAGATTCTACAAAACGTGTGTTTGGAAACTGCTCCATCATAACGAATGTTCAGCTCCCTGAGTTAAACTCCATCGTCACAAAGTGTTTTCTGAGAGTGCTACCGTCCAGTTTTTATATGAAGTTCTTTCCTTTACTACCACAAGCCTCAAAGCGGTCCAAATCTCCACTTGCAGATTCTACAAAAAGAGTGTTTGCAAACCGCTCTATCAAAAGGAATGTTCAACTCTGGGAGTTGAATGCAATCATCACAGAGCAGTTTCTGAGAATGCTTCTATGTCGTTTTTAGGAGAAGATATTTCCTTTTCCAACACAGTCCTCCAAGCCCGCTAAATATCCACTTGCACATTGTAGAGAAATGTGTCGAAGCTGCGCTATCAAAGGGAAAGTTCAACTCTGTGAGGTGAATGCAAACATCCCAAAGAAGTTTCTGAGAATGCTTCCGTTCAGCTTTTAGGTGAAGATTATCCCGTTTCCAACGAAATCTTCAAAGAGGTCCAAATATCCCCTTGCAGATCCCACAGAAAGAGTGTTTCGAAACTGCTGTTTCAAAAGGAATCTTCAACTCTGTGAGTTGAATGCAATCATCACAAAGAAGTTTCTGACAATGCTTCTCCCTCGTCTTTCTGTGAAGATAAAGGAAAAGGCTTTCAGGCCTTTTCCACCACAGGCCTGAAAGTGCTCCAAATGTCCACTTGCAGATTCTGCCAAAAGAATATTTCAAAACTGCTCTATGAAAAGCAATGTTAAACTCTGCGGCTCGAACACAAACATCACAAAGCAGTTTCTGAGAATGCTTCAGTTTAGTTTTTCTGTGGAAATATTCCCGTTTCCAAAGAAATCTTCAAAGAGGTCCACGTATCCACTTACAGAATCTACAAAAAGACAGTTTCAAAACTGCTCAATCAAAAGGAGGGTTCAACTGTGTGACTTGAATGCAATCATCACTCAGAAGTTTCTGAGAATGCTTATCTTTAGTTTTTACGTGAACATATACCCGTTTCGAACGAAGGCCACCCAGTGGTCCAAATATCCACTTGCAGATTCTACAGAAAGAGTGTTTCGAACCTGAACTCTCAAAGGCAGGTTCATCTCTGCGAGTTAAATGCATTCATCATGAAGAACTTTCTCAGAGTGTTTGTGTTTAGTTATGGGAAATTATTCCCTTTTCCAACGAAATCCTCAGAGAGCTCCAAATATCCTCCTGCAGATTCTACCAAAACTGTATTTGGCAACTGCTCCATCAAAAGTCATGTTCAGCTCTGTGAGTGAAACTCCATCATCACAAAGAATATTCTGAGAATGCTTCCGTTTGCCTTTTATATGAAGTTCCTTCCTGTACTACCGTAGACCTCAAAGCAGTCCAAATCTCCATTTGCAGATTCTACAAAAAGAGTGATTCCAATCTGCTCTATCAATAGGATTGTTCAACTCCATGAGTTGAATGCCATCCTCACAAAGTCGTTTCTGAGAATGCTTCTATCTAGTTTTTATGTGAAGATATTTCCTTTTCCACCACAGGCCTCAAAGCCCTCCAAACGTCCGCTTGCAGATTCTCGAAAAAGAGTGTTTCATAGCTGCTCTTTCAGAAGGAAAGTTCAACTCTGGGAGTTGAATACAACCATCACAAAGTAGTTTCCGAGAATGCTTCTGTTTAGTTCTTATGTGAAGATGATCCCGTTTCCAGTGAAATCTTCAAAGAGGTCCACATATCCCCTTGCAGATTCCAAAGAAAGAGGGTTTCAAAACTGCTCCATCAAAAGGATTGTTCAACTCTGTGAGTTGAATGCAGTCATCGCAGAAAACTTTCTGAGAATGCTTCTGTCTAGGTTTGATGTGAAGATATAGACGTTTCAAATGAAGGCTACAAAGTGGTCAAAATATACACTTGCAGATTCTACTACAAGGGTGTTGCAAACCTGAACTATCAAAGGAAGGTTCAACTCTGTGAGTTGAATACAAACATCACAAAGAATGTTCTGAGTTTGCTTCCGTTCAGTTATGGGAAGTTGATCCCGTTTCCAACGAAATCCTCAGAGAGGTCCAAATATCCCCTTGCAGATTCTGCAAAACGTGTGTTTGGAAACTGCTCCATCATAACGAATGTTCAGCTCTCTGAGTTAAACTCCATCGTCACAAAGAATTTTCTGAGAGTGCTACCGTCTAGTTTTTATATGAAGTTCTTTCCTTTACTACCACAGGCCTCAAAGCGGTCCAAATCTCCACTTGCAGATTCTACAAAAAGAGTGTTTGCAAACTGCTCTATCAAAAGGAATGTTCAACTCTGGGAGTTGAATGCAATCATCACAGAGCAGTTCCTGAGAATGCTTCTATGTCGTTTTTAGGAGAAGATATTTCCTTTTCCACCATAGTCCTCCAAGCCCGCTAAATATCCACTTGCACATTGTAGAAAAAGTGTGTCGAAGCTGCGCTATCAAAGGGAAAGTTCAACTCTGTGAGGTGAATGCAAACATCCCAAAGAAGTTTCTGAGAATGCTTCCGTTTAGCTTTTAGGTGAAGATTATCCCGTTTCCAACGAAATCTTCAAAGAGGTCCAAATATCCCCTTGCGGATCCCACAGAAAGAGTGTTTCGAAACTGCTGTTTCAAAAGGAATCTTCAACTCTGTGAGTTGAATGCAATCATCACAAAGAAGTTTCTGACAATGCTTCTCTCTCGTCTTTCTGTGAAGATAAAGGAAAAGGCTTTCAGGCCTTTTCCACCACAGGCCTGAAAGCGCTCCAAATGTCCACTTGCAGATTCTGCCAAAAGAATATTTCAAAACTGCTCTATGAAAAGCAATGTTAAACTCTGCGGCTCGAACACCAACATCACAACGCAGTTTCTGAGAATGCTTCAGTTTAGTTTTTCTGTGGAAATATTCCCCTTTCCAAAGAAATCTTCAAAGAGGTCCACGTATCCACTTACAGATTCTACAAAAAGACAGTTTCAAAACTGCTCAAACAAAAGGCGGGTTCAACTGTGTGACTTGAATGCAATCATCACTCAGAAGTTTCTGAGAATGCTTCTCTTTAGTTTTTACGTGAACATATACCCGTTTCGAACGAAGGCCACCCAGTGGTCCAAATATCCACTTGCAGATTCTACAGAAAGAGTGTTTCGAACCTTAACTCTCAAAGGCAGGTTCATCTCTGCGAGTTAAATGCATTCATCATGAAGAACTTTCTCAGAGTGTTTGTGTTTAGTTATGGGAAATTATTCCCGTTTCCAACGAAATCCTCCGAGAGGTCCAAATATCCACCTGCAGATTCTACCAAAAGTGTATTTGGAAACTGCTCCATCAAAAGGCATGTTCAGCTCTGTGAGTGAAACTCCATCATCACAAAGAATATTCTGAGAATGCTTCCGTTTGCCTTTCATATGAAGTTCCTTCCTATACTACCGTAGGCCTCAAAGCAGTCCAAATCTCCATTTGCAGATTCTACAAAAAGAGTGATTCCAATCTGCTCTATCAATAGGATTGTTCAACTCCATGAGTTGAATGCCTTCCTCACAAAGTCGTTTCTGAGAATGCTTCTATCTAGTTTTTATGTGAAGATATTTCCTTTTCCACCACAGGCCTCAAAGCCCTCCAAACATCCACTTGCATATTCTCGAAAAAGAGTGTTTCATAGCTGCTCTTTCAAAAGGAAAGTTCAACTCTGGGAGTTGAATACAAACATCACAAAGTAGTTTCCGAGAATGCTTCTGTTTAGTTCTTATGTGAAGATGATCCCGTTTCCAGTGAAATCTTCAAAGAGGTCCCCATATCCCCTTGCAGATTCCAAAGAAAGAGGGTTTCAAAACTGCTCCATCAAAAGGATTGTTCAACTCTGTGAGTTGAATGCAGTCATCGCAGAAAACTTTCTGAGAATGCTTCTGTCTAGGTTTGATGTGAAGATATAGACGTTTCAAACGAAGGCTACAAAGTGGTCAAAATATACACTTGCAGATTCTACTACAAGGGTGTTGCAAACCTGAACTATCAAAGGAAGGTTCAACTCTGTGAGTTGAATACAAACATCACAAAGAATGTTCTGAGTTTGCTTCCGTTCAGTTATGGGAAGTTGATCCCGTTTGCAACGAAATCCTCAGAGAGGTCCAAATATCCCCTTGCAGATTCTGCAAAACGTGTGTTTGGAAACTGCTCCATCATAACGAATGTTCAGCTCTCTGAGTTAAACTCCATCGTCACAAAGAATTTTCTGAGAGTGCTACCGTCTAGTTTTTATATGAAGTTCTTTCCTTTACTACCACAGGCCTCAAAGCGGTCCAAATCTCCACTTGCAGATTCTACAAAAAGAGTGTTTGCAAACTGCTCTATCAAAAGGAATGTTCAACTCTGGGAGTTGAATGCAATCATCACAGAGCAGTTCCTGAGAATGCTTCTATGTCGTTTTTAGGAGAAGATATTTCCTTTTCCAACACAGTCCTCCAAGCCCGCTAAATATCCACTTGCACATTGTAGAAAAAGTGTGTCGAAGCTGCGCTATCAAAGGGAAAGTTCAACTCTGTGAGGTGAATGCAAACATCCCAAAGAAGTTTCTGAGAATGCTTCCGTTTAGCTTTTAGGTGAAGATTATCCCGTTTCCAACGAAATCTTCAAAGAGGTCCAAATATCCCCTTGCGGATCCCACAGAAAGAGTGTTTCGAAACTGCTGTTTCAAAAGGAATCTTCAACTCTGTGAGTTGAATGCAATCATCACAAAGAAGTTTCTGACAATGCTTCTCTCTCGTCTTTCTGTGAAGATAAAGGAAAAGGCTTTCAGGCCTTTTCCACCACAGGCCTGAAAGCGCTCCAAATGTCCACTTGCAGATTCTGCCAAAAGAATATTTCAAAACTGCTCTATGAAAAGCAATGTTAAACTCTGCGGCTCGAACACCAACATCACAACGCAGTTTCTGAGAATGCTTCAGTTTAGTTTTTCTGTGGAAATATTCCCATTTCCAAAGAAATCTTCAAAGAGGTCCACGTATCCACTTACAGATTCTACAAAAAGACAGTTTCAAAACTGCTCAATCAAAAGGCGGGTTCAACTGTGTGACTTGAATGCAATCATCACTCAGAAGTTTCTGAGAATGCTTCTCTTTAGTTTTTACGTGAACATATACCCGTTTCGAACGAAGGCCACCCAGTGGTCCAAATATCCACTTGCAGATTCTACAGAAAGAGTGTTTGGAACCTGAACTCTCAAAGGCAGGTTCATCTCTGCGAGTTAAATGCATTCATCATGAAGAACTTTCTCAGAGTGTTTGTGTTTAGTTATGGGAAATTATTCCCGTTTCCAACGAAATCCTCCGAGAGGTCCAAATATCCACCTGCAGATTCTACCAAAAGTGTATTTGGAAACTGCTCCATCAAAAGGCATGTTCAGCTCTGTGAGTGAAACTCCATCATCACAAAGAATATTCTGAGAATGCTTCCGTTTGCCTTTTATATGAAGTTCCTTCCTATACTACCGTAGGCCTCAAAGCAGTCCAAATCTCCATTTGCAGATTCTACAACAAGAGTGATTCCAATCTGCTCTATCAATAGGATTGTTCAACTCCATGAGTTGAATGCCTTCCTCACAAAGTCGTTTCTGAGAATGCTTCTATCTAGTTTTTATGTGAAGATATTTCCTTTTCCACCACAGGACTCAAAGCCCTCCAAACATCCACTTGCAGATTCTCGAAAAAGAGTGTTTCATAGCTGCTCTTTCAAAAGGAAAGTTCAACTCTGGGAGTTGAATACAAACATCACAAAGTAGTTTCCGAGAATGCTTCTGTTTAGTTCTTATGTGAAGATGATCCCGTTTCCAGTGAAATCTTCAAAGAGGTCCACATATCCCCTTGCAGATTCCAAAGAAAGAGGGTTTCAAAACTGCTCCATCAAAAGGATTGTTCAACTCTGTGAGTTGAATGCAGTCATCGCAGAAAACTTTCTGAGAATGCTTCTGTCTAGGTTTGATGTGAAGATATAGACGTTTCAAACGAAGGCTACAAAGTGGTCAAAATATACACTTGCAGATTCTACTACAAGGGTGTTGCAAACCTGAACTATCAAAGGAAGGTTCAACTCTGTGAGTTGAATACAAACATCACAAAGAATGTTCTGAGTTTGCTTCCGTTCAGTTATGGGAAGTTGATCCCGTTTGCAACGAAATCCTCAGAGAGGTCCAAATATCCCCTTGCAGATTCTGCAAAACGTGTGTTTGGAAACTGCTCCATCATAACGAATGTTCAGCTCTCTGAGTTAAACTCCATCGTCACAAAGAATTTTCTGAGAGTGCTACCGTCTAGTTTTTATATGAAGTTCTTTCCTTTACTACCACAGGCCTCAAAGCGGTCCAAATCTCCACTTGCAGATTCTACAAAAAGAGTGTTTGCAAACTGCTCTATCAAAAGGAATGTTCAACTCTGGGAGTTGAATGCAATCATCACAGAGCAGTTCCTGAGAATGCTTCTATGTCGTTTTTAGGAGAAGATATTTCCTTTTCCACCACAGTCCTCCAAGCCCACTAAATATCCACTTGCACATTGTAGAAAAAGTGTGTCGAAGCTGCGCTATCAAAGGGAAAGTTCAACTCTGTGAGGTGAATGCAAACATCCCAAAGAAGTTTCTGAGAATGCTTCCGTTTAGCTTTTAGGTGAAGATTATCCCGTTTCCAACGAAATCTTCAAAGAGGTCCAAATATCCCCTTGCGGATCCCACAGAAAGAGTGTTTCGAAACTGCTGTTTCAAAAGGAATCTACAACTCTGTGAGTTGACTGCAATCATCACAAAGAAGTTTCTGACAATGCTTCTCTCTCGTCTTTCTGTGAAGATAAAGGAAAAGGCTTTCAGGCCTTTTCCACCACAGGCCTGAAAGCGCTCCAAATGTCCACTTGCAGATTCTGCCAAAAGAATATTTCAAAACTGCTCTATGAAAAGCAATGTTAAACTCTGCGGCTCGAACACCAACATCACAACGCAGTTTCTGAGAATGCTTCAGTTTAGTTTTTCTGTGGAAATATTCCCATTTCCAAAGAAATCTTCAAAGAGGTCCACGTATCCACTTACAGATTCTACAAAAAGACAGTTTCAAAGCTGCTCAATCAAAAGGCGGGTTCAACTGTGTGACTTGAATGCAATCATCACTCAGAAGTTTCTGAGAATGCTTCTCTTTAGTTTTTACGTGAACATATACCCGTTTCGAACGAAGGCCACCCAGTGGTCCAAATATCCACTTGCAGATTCTACAGAAAGAGTGTTTGGAACCTGAACTCTCAAAGGCAGGTTCATCTCTGCGAGTTAAATGCATTCATCATGAAGAACTTTCTCAGAGTGTTTGTGTTTAGTTATGGGAAATTATTCCCGTTTCCAACGAAATCCTCCGAGAGGTCCAAATATCCACCTGCAGATTCTACCAAAAGTGTATTTGGAAACTGCTCCATCAAAAGGCATGTTCAGCTCTGTGAGTGAAACTCCATCATCACAAAGAATATTCTGAGAATGCTTCCGTTTGCCTTTTATATGAAGTTCCTTCCTATACTACCGTAGGCCTCAAAGCAGTCCAAATCTCCATTTGCAGATTCTACAAAAAGAGTGATTCCAATCTGCTCTATCAATAGGATTGTTCAACTCCATGAGTTGAATGCCTTCCTCACAAAGTCGTTTCTGAGAATGCTTCTATCTAGTTTTTATGTGAAGATATTTCCTTTTCCACCACAGGCCTCAAAGCCCTCCAAACATCCACTTGCAGATTCTCGAAAAAGAGTGTTTCATAGCTGCTCTTTCAAAAGGAAAGTTCAACTCTGGGAGTTGAATACAAACATCACAAAGTAGTTTCCGAGAATGCTTCTGTTTAGTTCTTATGTGAAGATGATCCCGTTTCCAGTGAAATCTTCAAAGAGGTCCACATATGCCCTTGCAGATTCCAAAGAAAGTGGGTTTCAAAACTGCTCCATCAAAAGGATTGCTCAACTCTGTGAGTAGAATGCAGTCATCGCAGAAAACTTTCTGAGAATGCTTCTGTCTAGGTTTGATGTGAAGATATAGACGTTTCAAACGAAGGCTACAAAGTGGTCAAAATATACACTTGCAGATTCTACTACAAGGGTGTTGCAAACCTGAACTATCAAAGGAAGGTTCAACTCTGTGAGTTGAATACAAACATCACAAAGAATGTTCTGAGTTTGCTTCCGTTCAGTTATGGGAAGTTGATCCCGTTTCCAACGAAATCCTCAGAGAGGTCCAAATATCCCCTTGCAGATTCTGCAAAACGTGTGTTTGGAAACTGCTCCATCATAACGAATGTTCAGCTCTCTGAGTTAAACTCCATCGTCACAAAGAATTTTCTGAGAGTGCTACCGTCTAGTTTTTATATGAAGTTCTTTCCTTTACTACCACAGGCCTCAAAGCGGTCCAAATCTCCACTTGCAGATTGTACAAAAAGAGTGTTTGCAAACTGCTCTATCAAAAGGTATGTTCAACTCTGGGAGTTGAATGCAATCATCACAGAGCAGTTCCTGAGAATGCTTCTATGTCGTTTTTAGGAGAAGATATTTCCTTTTCCACCACAGTCCTCCAAGCCCGCTAAATATCCACTTGCACATTGTAGAAAAAGTGTGTCGAAGCTGCGCTATCAAAGGGAAAGTTCAACTCTGTGAGGTGAATGCAAAATCCCAAAGAAGTTTCTGAGAATGCTTCCGTTTAGCTTTTAGGTGAAGATTATCCCGTTTCCAACGAAATCTTCAAAGAGGTCCAAATATCCCCTTGCGGATCACACAGAAAGAGTGTTTCGAAACTGCTGTTTCAAAAGGAATCTACAACTCTGTGAGTTGAATGCAATCATCACAAAGAAGTTTCTGACAATGCTTCTCTCTCGTCTTTCTGTGAAGATAAAGGAAAAGGCTTTCAGGCCTTTTCCACCACAGGCCTGAAAGCGCTCCAAATGTCCACTTGCAGATTCTGCCAAAAGAATATTTCAAAACTGCTCTATGAAAAGCAATGTTAAACTCTGCGGCTCGAACACCAACATCACAAAGCAGTTTCTGAGAATGCTTCAGTTTAGTTTTTCTGTGGAAATATTCCCGTTTCCAAAGAAATCTTCCAAGAGGTCCACGTATCCACTTACAGATTCTACAAAAAGACAGTTTCAAAACTGCTCAATCAAAAGGCGGGTTCAACTGTGTGACTTGAATGCAATCATCACTCAGAAGTTTCTGAGAATGCTTCTCTTTAGTTTTTACGTGAACATATACCCGTTTCGAACGAAGGCCAGCCAGTGGTCCAAATATCCACTTGCAGATTCTACAGAAAGAGTGTTTCGAACCTGAACTCTCAAAGGCAGGTTCATCTCTGCGAGTTAAATGCATTCATCATGAAGAACTTTCTCAGAGTGTTTGTGTTTAGTTATGGGAAATTATTCCCGTTTCCAACGAAATCCTCCGACAGGTCCAAATATCCACCTGCAGATTCTACCAAAAGTGTATTTGGAAACTGCTCCATCAAAAGGCATGTTCAGCTCTGTGAGTGAAACTCCATCATGACAAAGAATATTCTGAGAATGCTTCCGTTTGCCTTTTATATGAAGTTCCTTCCTATACTACCGTAGGCCTCAAAGCAGTCCAAATCTCCATTTGCAGATTCTACAAAAAGAGTGATTCCAATCTGCTCTATCAATAGGATTGTTCAACTCCATGAGTTGAATGCCATCCTCACAAAGTCGTTTCTGAGAATGCTTCTATCTAGTTTTTATGGGAAGATATTTCCTTTTCCACCGCAGGCCTCAAAGCCCTCCAAACGTCCGCTTGCAGATTCTCGAAAAAGAGTGTTTCATAGCTGCTCTTTCAAAAGGAAAGTTCAACTCTGGGAGTTGAATACAAACATCACAAAGTAGTTTCCGAGAATGCTTCTGTTTAGTTCTTAAGTGAAGATGATCCCGTTTCCAGTGAAATCTTGAAAGAGGTCCACATATCCCCTTGCAGATTCCAAAGAAAGAGGGTTTCAAAACTGCTCCATCAAAAGGATTGCTCAACTCTGTGAGTTGAATGCAGTCATCGCAGAAAACTTTCTGAGAATGCTTCTGTCTAGGTTTGATGTGAAGATATAGACGTTTCAAACGAAGGCTACAAAGTGGTCAAAATATACACTTGCAGATTCTACTACAAGGGTGTTGCAAACCTGAACTATCAAAGGAAGGTTCAACTCTGTGAGTTGAATACAAACATCACAAAGAATGTTCTGAGTTTGCTTCCGTTCAGTTATGGGAAGTTGATCCCGTTTCCAACGAAATCCTCAGAGAGGTCCAAATATCCCCTTGCAGATTCTGCAAAACGTGTGTTTGGAAACTGCTCCATCATAACGAATGTTCAGCTCTCTGAGTTAAACTCCATCGTCACAAAGAATTTTCTGAGAGTGCTACCATCTACTTTTTATATGAAGTTCTTTCCTTTACTACCACAGGCCTCAAAGCGGTCCAAATCTCCACTTGCAGATTCTACAAAAAGAGTGTTTGCAAACTGCTCTATCAAAAGGAATGTTCAACTCTGGGAGTTGAATGCAATCATCACAGAGCAGTTTCTGAGAATCCTTCTATGTCGTTTTTAGGAGAAGATATTTCCTTTTCCAACACAGTCCTCCAAGCCCGCTAAATATCCACTTGCGCATTGTAGAAAAAGTGTGTCGAAGCTGCGCTATCAAAGGGAAAGTTCAACTCTGTGAGGTGAATGCAAACATCCCAAAGAAGTTTCTGAGAATGCTTCCGTTTAGCTTTCAGGTGAAGATTATCCCGTTTCCAACGAAATCTTCAAAGAGGTCCAAATATCCCCTTGCGGATCCCACAGAAAGAGTGTTTTGAAACTGCTGTTTCAAAAGGAATCTTCAACTCTGTGAGTTGAATGCAATCATCACAAAGAAGTTTCTGACAATGCTTCTCTCTCGTCTTTCTGTGAAGATAAAGGAAAAGGCTTTCAGGCCTTTTCCACCACAGGCCTGAAAGCGCTCCAAATGTCCACTTGCAGATTCTGCCAAAAGAATATTTCAAAACTGCTCTATGAAAAGCAATGTTAAACTCTGTGGCTCGAACACCAACATCACAAAGCAGTTTCTGAGAATGCTTCAGTTTAGTTTTTCTGTGGAAATATTCCCGTTTCCAAGGAAATCTTCCAAGAGGTCCACGTATCCACTTACAGATTCTACAAAAAGACAGTTTCAAAACTGCTCAATCAAAAGGCGGGTTCAACTGTGTGACTTGAATGCAATCATCACTCAGAAGTTTCTGAGAATGCTTCTCTTTAGTTTTTACGTGAACATATACCCGTTTCGAACGAAGGCCAGCCAGTGGTCCAAATATCCACTTGCAGATTCTACAGAAAGAGTGTTTCGAACCTGAACTCTCAAAGGCAGGTTCATCTCTGCGAGTTAAATGCATTCATCATGAAGAACTTTCTCAGAGTGTTTGTGTTTAGTTATGGGAAATTATTCCCGTTTCCAACGAAATCCTCCGACAGGTCCAAATATCCACCTGCAGATTCTACCAAAAGTGTATTTGGAAACTGCTCCATCAAAAGGCATGTTCAGCTCTGTGAGTGAAACTCCATCATCACAAAGAATATTCTGAGAATGCGTCCGTTTGCCTTTTATATGAAGTTCCTTCCTATACTACCGTAGGCCTCAAAGCAGTCCAAATCTCCCTTTGCAGATTCTACAAAAAGAGTGATTCCAATCTGCTCTATCAATAGGATTGTTCAACTCCATGAGTTGAATGCCATCCTCACAAAGTCGTTTCTGAGAATGCTTCTATCTAGTTTTTATGTGAAGATATTTCCTTTTCCACCACAGGCCTCAAAGCCCTCCAAACGTCCACTTGCAGATTCTCGAAAAAGAGTGTTTCATAGCTGCTCTTTCAAAAGGAAAGTTCAACTCTGGGAGTTGAATACAAACATCACAAAGTAGTTTCCGAGAATGCTTCTGTTTAGTTCTTATGTGAAGATGATCCCGTTTCCAGTGAAATCTTGAAAGAGGTCCACATATCCCCTTGCAGATTCCAAAGAAAGAGGGTTTCAAAACTGCTCCATCAAAAGGATTACTCAACTCTATGAGTTGTATGCAGTCATCGCAGAAAACTTTCTGAGAATGCTTCTGTCTAGGTTTGATGTGAAGATATAGACGTTTCAAACGAAGGCTACAAAGTGGTCAAAATATACACTTGCAGATTCTACTACAAGGGTGTTGCAAACCTGAACTATCAAAGGAAGGTTCAACTCTGTGAGTTGAATACAAACATCACAAAGAATGTTCTGAGTTTGCTTCCGTTCAGTTATGGGAAGTTGATCCCGTTTCCAACGAAATCCTCAGAGAGGTCCAAATATCCCCTTGCAGATTCTGCAAAACGTGTGTTTGGGAACTGCTCCATCATAACGAATGTTCAGCTCTCTGAGTTAAACTCCATCGTCACAAAGTTTTTTCTGAGAGTGCTACCGTCTAGTTTTTATATGAAGTTCTTTCCTTTACTACCACAGCCCTCAAAGCGGTCCATATCTCCACTTGCAGATTCTACAAAAAGAGTGTTTGCAAACTGCTCTATCAAAAGGAATGTTCAACTCTGGGAGTTGAATGCAATCATCACAGAGCAGTTTCTGAGAATGCTTCTATGTCGTTTTTAGGAGAAGATATTTCCTTTTCCAACACAGTCCTCCAAGCCCGCTAAATATCCACTTGCGCATTGTAGAAAAAGTGTGTCGAAGCTGCGCTATCAAAGGGAAAGTTCAACTCTGTGAGGTGAATGCAAACATCCCAAAGAAGTTTCTGAGAATGCTTCCGTTTAGCTTTCAGGTGAAGATTATCCCGTTTCCAACGAAATCTTCAAAGAGGTCCAAATATCCCCTTGCGGATCCCACAGAAAGTGTGTTTCGAAACTGCTGTTTCAAGAGGAATCTTCAACTCTGTGAGTTGAATGCAATCATCACAAAGAAGTTTCTGACAATGCTTCTCTCTCGTCTTTCTGTGAAGATAAAGGAAAAGGCTTTCAGGCCTTTTCCACCACAGGCCTGAAAGCGCTCCAAATGTCCACTTGCAGATTCTGCCAAAAGAATATTTCAAAACTGCTCTATGAAAAGCAATGTTAAACTCTGCGGCTCGAACACCAACATCACAAAGCCGTTTCTGAGACTGCTTCAGTTTGGTTTTTCTGTGGAAATATTCCCGTTTCCAAAGAAATCTTCCAAGAGGTCCACGTATCCACTTACAGATTCTACAAAAAGACAGTTTCAAAACTGCTCCATCAAAAGGCGGGTTCAACTGTGTGACTTGAATGCAATCATCACTCAGATGTTTCTGAGAATGCTTCTCTTTAGTTTTTACGTGAACATATACCCGTTTTGAACGAAGGCCACCCAGTGGTCCAAATATCCACTTGCAGATTCTACAGAAAGAGTGTTTCGAACCTGAACTCTCAAATGCAGGTTCATCTCTGCGAGTTAAATGCATTCATCATGAAGAACTTTCTCAGAGTGTTTGTGTTTAGTTATGGAAAATTATTCCCTTTTCCAACGAAATCCTCCGAGAGGTCCAAATATCCACCTGCAGATTCTACCAAAAGTGTATTTGGAAACTGCTCCATCAAAAGGCATGTTCAGCTATGTGAGTGAAACTCCATCATCACAAAGAATATTCTGAGAATGCTTCCGTTTGCCTTTTAGATGAAGTTCCTTCCTATACTACCGTAGGCCTCAAAGCAGTCCAAATCTCCATTTGCAGATTCTACAAAAAGAGTGATTCCAATCTGCTCTATCAATAGGATTGTTCAACTCCATGAGTTGAATGCCATCCTCACAAAGTCTTTTCTGAGAATGCTTCTATCTAGTTTTTATGTGAAGATATTTCCTTTTCCACCACAGGCCTCAAAGCCCTCCAAACGTCCGCTTGCAGATTCTCGAAAAAGAGTGTTTCGTAGCTGCTCTTTCAAAAGGAAAGTTCAAATCTGTGATTTGAATACAAACATCACAAAGTAGTTTCCGAGAATGCTTCTGTTTACTTCTTATGTGAAGATGATCCCGTTTCCAGTGAAATCTTCAAAGAGGTCCACATATCCCCTTGCAGATTCCAAAGAAAGAGGGTTTCAAAACTGCTCCATCAAAAGGATTGTTCAACTCTGTGAGTTGAATGCAGTCATCGCAGAAAACTTTCTGAGAATGCTTCTGTCTAGGTTTGATATGAAGATATAGACGTTTCAAACGAAGGCTACAAAGTGGTCAAAATATACACTTGCAGATTCTACTACAAGGGTGTTGCAAACCTGAACTATCAAAGGAAGTTTCAACTCTGTGAGTTGAATACAAACATCACAAAGAATGTTCTGAGTTTGCTTCCGTTCAGTTATGGGAAGTTGATCCCGTTTCCAACGAAATCCTCAGAGAGGTCCAAATATCCCCTTGCAGATTCTGCAAAACGTGTGTTTGGAAACTGCTCCATCATAACGAATGTTCAGCTCTCTGAGTTAAACTCCATCGTCACAAAGAATTTTCTGAGAGTGCTACCGTCTAGTTTTTATATGAAGTTGTTTCCTTTACTACCACAGGCCTCAAAGCGGTCCAAATCTCCACTTGCAGATTCTACAAAAAGAGTGTTTGCAAACTGCTCTATCAAAAGGAATGTTCAACTCTGGGAGTTGAATGCAATCATCACAGAGCAGTTTCTGAGAATGCTTCTATGTGGTTTTTAGGAGAAGATATTTCCTTTTCCACCACAGTCCTCCAAGCCCGCTAAATATCCACTTGCACATTGTAGAAAAAGTGTGTCGAAGCTGCGCTATCAAAGGGAAAGTTCAACTCTGTGAGGTGAATGCAAACATCCCAAAGAAGTTTCTGAGAATGCTTCCGTTTAGCTTTCAGGTGAAGATTATCCCGTTTCCAACGAAATCTTCAAAGAGGTCCAAATATCCCCTTGCGGATCCCACAGAAAGAGTGTTTCGAAACTGCTGTTTCAAAAGGAATCTTCAACTCTGTGAGTTGAATGCAATCATCACAAAGAAGTTTCTGACAATGCTTCTCTCTCGTCTTTCTGTGAAGATAAAGGAAAAGGCTTTCAGGCCTTTTCCACCACAGGCCTGAAAGCGCTCCAAATGTCCACTTGCAGATTCTGCGAAAAGAATATTTCAAAACTGCTCTATGAAAAGCAATGTTAAACTCTGTGGCTCGAACACCAACATCACAAAGCAGTTTCTGAGAATACTTCAGTTTAGTTTTTCTGTGGAAATATTCCCGTTTCCAAAGAAATCTTCCAAGAGGTCCACGTATCCACTTACAGATTCTACAAAAAGACAGTTTCAAAACTGCTCAATCAAAAGGAGGGTTCAACTGTGTGACTTGAAAGCAATCATCACTCAGAAGATTCTGAGAATGCTTCTCTTTAGTTTTTACGTGAACATATACCCGTTTCGAACGAAGGCCAGCCAGTGGTCCAAATATCCACTTGCAGATTCTACAGAAAGAGTGTTTCGAACCTGAACTCTCAAAGGCAGGTTCATCTCTGCGAGTTCAATGCATTCATCATGAAGAACTTTCTCAGAGTGTTTGTGTTTAGTTATGGGAAATTATTCCCGTTTCCAACGAAATCCTCAGAGAGGTCCAAATATCCACCGGCAGATTCTACCAAAAGTGTATTTGGAAACTGCTCCATCAAAAGGCATGTTCAGCTCTGTGAGTGAAACTCCATCATGACAAAGAATATTCTGAGAATGCTTCCGTTTGCCTTTTATATGAAGTTCCTTCCTATACTACCGTAGGCCTCAAAGCAGTCCAAATCTCCATTTGCAGATTCTACAAAAAGAGTGATTCCAATCTGCTCTATCAATAGGATTGTTCAACTCCATGAGTTGAATGCCATCGTCACAAAGTAGTTTCTGAGAATGCTTCTATCTAGTTTTTATGTGAAGATATTTCCTTTTCCACCACAGGCCTCAAAGCCCTCCAAACGTCCACTTGCAGATTCTCGAAAAAGAGTGTTTCATAGCTGCTCTTTCAAAAGGAAAGTTCAACTCTGGGAGTTGAATACAAACATCACAAAGTAGTTTCCGAGAATGCTTCTGTTTAGTTTTTATGTGAAGATGATCCCGTTTCCAGTGAAATCTTCAAAGAGGTCCACATATGCCCTTGCAGATTCCAAAGAAAGAGGGTTTCAAAACTGCTCCAGCGAAAGGATTGTTCAACTCTGTGAGTTGAATGCAGTCATCGCAGAAAACTTTCTGAGAATGCTTCTGTCTAGGTTTGATGTGAAGATATAGACGTTTCAAACGAAGGCTACAAAGTGGTCAAAATATACACTTGCAGATTCTACTACAAGGGTGTTGCAAACCTGAACTATCAAAGGAAGGTTCAACTCTGTGAGTTGAATACAAACATCACAAAGAATGTTCTGAGTTTGCTTCCGTTCAGTTATGGGACGTTGATCCCGTTTCCAACGAAATCCTCAGAGAGGTCCGAATATCCCCTTGCAGATTCTACAAAACGTGTGTTTGGAAACTGCTCCATCATAACGAATGTTCAGCTCTCTGAGTTAAACTCCATCGTCACAAAGAATTTTCTGAGAGTGCTACCGTCTGGTTTTTATATGAAGTTCTTTCCTTTACTACCACAGGCCTCAAAGCGGTCCAAATCTCCACTTGCAGATTCTACAAAAAGAGTGTTTGCAAACTGCTCTATCAAAAGGAATGTTCAACTCTGGGAGTTGAATGCAATCATCACAGAGCAGTTTCTGAGAATGCTTCTATGTGGTTTTTAGGAGAAGATATTTCCTTTTCCACCACAGTCCTCCAAGCCCGCTAAATATCCACTTGCACATTGTAGAAAAAGTGTGTCGAAGCTGCGCTATCAAAGGGAAAGTTCAACTCTGTGAGGTGAATGCAAACATCCCAAAGAAGTTTCTGAGAATGCTTCCGCTTAGGTTTTAGGTGAAGATTATCCCGTTTCCAACGAAATCTTCAAAGAGGTCCAAATATCCCCTTGCGGATCCCACAGAAAGAGTGTTTCGAAACTGCTGTTTCAAAAGGAATCTTCAACTCTGTGAGTTGAATGCAATCATCACAAAGAAGTTTCTGACAATGCTTCTCTCTCGTCTTTCTGTGAAGATAAAGGAAAAGGCTTTCAGGCCTTTTCCACCACAGGCCTGAAAGCGCTCCAAATATCCGCTTGCAGATTCTGCGAAAAGAATATTACAAAACTGCTCTATGAAAAGCAATGTTAAACTCTGTGGCTCGAACACAAACATCACAAAGCAGTTTCTGAGAATACTTCAGTTTAGTTTTTCTGTGGAAATATTCCCGTTTCCAAAGAAATCTTCAAAGAGGTCCACGTATCCACTTACAGATTCTACAAAAAGACAGTTTCAAAACTGCTCAATCAAAAGGAGGGTTCAACTGTGTGACTTGAAAGCAATCATCACTCAGAAGATTCTGAGAATGCTTCTCTTTAGTTTTTACGTGAACATATACCCGTTTCGAACGAAGGCCACCCAGTGGTCCAAATATCCACTTGCAGATTCTACAGAAAGAGTGTTTCGAACCTGAACTCTCAAAGGCAGGTTCATCTCTGCGAGTTCAATGCATTCATCATGAAGAACTTTCTCAGAGTGTTTGTGTTTAGTTATGGGAAATTATTCCCGTTTCCAACGAAATCCTCAGAGAGGTCCAAATATCCACCGGCAGATTCTACCAAAAGTGTATTTGGAAACTGCTCCATCAAAAGGCATGTTCAGCTCTGTGAGTGAAACTCCATCATCACAAAGAATATTCTGAGAATGCTTCCGTTTGCCTTTTATATGAAGTTCCTTCCTATACTACCGTAGGCCTCAAAGCAGTCCAAATCTCCATTTGCAGATTCTACAAAAAGAGTGATTCCAATCTGCTCTATCAATAGGATTGTTCAACTCCATGAGTTGAATGCCATCCTCACAAAGTAGTTTCTGAGAATGCTTCTATCTAGTTTTTATGTGAAGATATTTCCTTTTCCACCACAGGCCTCAAAGCCCTCCAAACGTCCACTTGCAGATTCTCGAAAAAGAGTGTTTCATAGCTACTCTTTCAAAAGGAAAGTTCAACTCTGGGAGTTGAATACAAACCTCACAAAGTAGTTTCCGAGAATGCTTCTGTTTAGTTTTTATGTGAAGATGATCCCATTTCCAGTGAAATCTTCAAAGAAGTCCACATATCCCCTTGCAGATTCCAAAGAAAGAGGGTTTCAAGACTGCTCCATCAAAAGGATTGCTCAAATCTGTGAGTTGAATGCAGTCATCGCAGAAAACGTTCTGAGAATGATTCTGTCTAGGTTTGATGTGAAGATATAGACGTTTCAAACGAAGGCTACAAAGTGGTCAAAATATTCACTTGCAGATTCTACTACAAGGGTGTTGCCAACCTGAACTATCAAAGGAAGGTTCAACTCTGTGAGTTGAATAGAAACATCACAAAGAATGTTCTGAGTTTGCTTCCGTTCAGTTATGGGAAGTTGATCCCTTTTCCAACGAAATCCTCAGAGAGGTCCAAATATCCCCTTGCAGATTCTACAAAACGTGTGTTTGGAAACTGCTCCATCATAACGAATGTTCAGCTCTCTGAGTTAAACTCCATCGTCACAAAGAATTTTCTGAGAGTGCTACCGTCTAGTTTTTATATGAAGTTCTTTCCTTTACTACCACAGGCCTCAAAGCGGTCCAAATCTCCACTTGCAGATTCTACAAAAAGAGTGTTTGCAAACTGCTCTATCAAAAGGAATGTTCAACTCTGGGAGTTGAATGCAATCATCACAGAGCAGTTTCTCAGAATGCTTCTATGTGGTTTTTAGGAGAAGATATTTCCCTTTCCACCACAGTCCTCCAAGCCCGCTAAATATCCACTTGCACATTGTAGAAAAAGTGTGTCGAAGCTGCGCTATCAAAGGGAAAGTTCAACTCTGTGAGGTGAATGCAAACATCCCAAAGAAGTTTCTGAGAATGCTTCCGTTTAGCTTTTAGGTGAAGATTATCCCGTTTCCAACGAAATCTTCAAAGAGGTCCAAATATCCCCTTGCGGATCCCACAGAAAGAGTGTTTCGAAACTGCTGTTTCAAAAGGAATCTTCAACTCTGTGAGTTGAATGCAATCATCACAAAGAAGTTTCTGACAATGCTTCTCTCTCGTCTTTCTGTGAAGATAAAGGAAAAGGCTTTCAGGCCTTTTCCACCACAGGCCTGAAAGCGCTCCAAATGTCCACTTGCAGATTCTGCGAAAAGAATATTTCAAAACTGCTCTATGAGAAGCAATGTTAAACTCTGTGGCTCGAACACAAACATCACAAAGCAGTTTCTGAGAATGCTTCAGTCTAGTTTTTCTGTGGAATTATTCCCGTTTCCAAAGAAATCTTCAAAGAGGTCCACGTATCCACTTACAGATTCTACAAAAAGACAGTTTCAAAACTGCTCAATCAAAAGGAGGGTTCAACCGTGTGACTTGAATGCAATCATCACTCAGAAGTTTCTGAGAATGCTTCTCTTTAGTTTTTACGTGAACATATACCCGTTTCGAACGAAGGCCACCCAGTGGTCCAAATATCCACTTGCAGATTCTACAGAAAGGGTGTTTCGAACCTGAACTCTCAAAGACAGGTTCATCTCTGCGAGTTAAATGCATTCATCATGAAGATCTTTCTCAGAGTGTTTGTGTTTAGTTATGGGAAATTATTCCCGTTTCCAACGAAATCCTCAGAGAGGTCCAAATATCCACCTGCAGATTCTACCAAAAGTGTATTTGGCAACTGCTTCATCAAAAGGCATGTTCAGCTCTGTGAGTGAAACTCCATCATCACAAAGAATATTCTGAGAATGCTTCCGTTTGCCTTTTATATGAAGTTCCTTCCTGTACTACCGTAGGCCTCAAAGCAGTCCAAATCTCCATTTGCGGATTCTACAAAAAGAATGATTCCAATCTCCTCTATCAATAGGATTGTTCAACTCCATGAGTTGAATGCCATCCTCACAAAGTCGTTTCTGAGAATGCTTCTTTCTAGTTTTTATGTGAAGATATTTCCTTTTCCACCACAGGCCTCAAAGCCCTCCAAACGTCCACTTGCAGATTCTCGAAAAAGAGTGTTTCAAAGCTGCTCTTTCAAAAGGAAAGTTCAACTCTGGGAGTTGAATACAAACATCACAAAGTAGTTTCCGAGAATGCTTCTGTTTAGTTTTTATGTGAAGATGATCCCGTTTCCAGTGAAATCTTCAAAGAGGTCCACATATCCCCTTGCAGATTCCAAAGAAAGAGGGTTTCAAAACTGCTCCATCAAAAGGATTGTTCAACTCTGTGAGTTGAATGCAGTCATCGCAGAAAACTTTCTGAGAATGCTTCTGTCTAGGTTTGATGTGAAGATATAGACTTTTCAAACGAAGGCTACAAAGTGGTCAAAATATACACTTGCAGATTCTACTACAAGGGTGTTGCCAACCTGAACTATCAAAGGAAGGTTCAACCCTGTGAGTTGAATACAAACATCACAAAGAATGTTCTGAGTTTGCTTCCGTTCAGTTATGGGAAGTTGATCCCGTTTCCAACGAAATCTGCAGAGAGGTCCAAATATCCCCTTGCAGATTCTACAAAACGTGTGTTTGGAAACTGCTCCATCATAACGAATGTTCAGCTCTCTGAGTTAAACTCCATCGTCACAAAGAATTTTCTGAGAGTGCTACCGTCTAGTTTTTATAGGAAGTTCTTTCCTTTACTACCACAGGCCTCAAAGCGGTCCAAATCTCCACTTGCAGATTCTACAAAAAGAGTGTTTGCAAACTGCTCTATCAAAAGGAATGTTCAACTCTGGGAGTTGAATGCAATCATCACAGAGCAGTTTCTGAGAATGCTTCTATGTGGTTTTTAGGAGAAGATATTTCCTTTTCCACCACATTCCTCCAAGCCCGCTAAAAATCCACTTGCACATTGTAGAAAAAGTGTGTCAAAGCTGCGCTATCAAAGGGAAAGTACAACTCTGTGAGGTGAATGCAAACATCCCAAAGAAGTTTCTGAGAATGCTTCCGTTTAGCTTTTAGGTGAAGATTATCCCGTTTCCAACGAAATCTTCAAAGAGGTCCAAATATCCCCTTGCGGATCCCACAGAAAGAGTGTTTCGAAACTTCTGTTTCAAAAGGAATCTTCAACTCTGTGAGTTGAATGCAATCATCACAAAGAAGTTTCTGACAATGCTTCTCTCTCGTCTTTCTGTGAAGATAAAGGAAAAGGCTTTCAGGCCTTTTCCACCACAGGCCTGAAAGCGCTCCAAATGTCCACTTGCAGATTCTGCGAAAAGAATATTTCAAAACTGCTCTATGAGAAGCAATGTTAAACTCTGTGGCTCGAACACAAACATCACAAAGCAGTTTCTGAGAATGCTTCAGTTTAGTTTTTCTGTGGAAATATTCCCGTTTCCAAAGAAATCTTCAAACAGGTCCACGTATCCACTTACAGATTCTACAAAAAGACAGTTTCAAAACTGCTCAATCAAAAGGAGGGTTCAACCGTGTGACTTGAATGCAATCATCACTCAGAAGTTTCTGAGAATGCTTCTCTTTAGTTTTTACGTGAACATATACCCGTTTCGAACGAAGGCCACCCAGTGGTCCAAATATCCACTTGCAGATTCTACAGAAAGGGTGTTTCGAACCTGAACACTCAAAGACAGGTTCATCTCTGCGAGTTCAATGCATTCATCATGAAGAACTTTCTCAGAGTGTTTGTGTTTAGTTATGGGAAATTATTCCCGTTTCCAACGAAATCCTCAGAGAGGTCCAAATATTCTCCTGCAGATTCTAACAAAAGTGTATTTGGAAACTGCTCCATCAAAAGGCATGTTCAGCTCTGTGAGTGAAACTAAATCATCACAAAGAATATTCTGAGAATGCTTCCGTTTGCCTTTTATATGAAGTTCCTTCCTGTACTACCGTAGGCCTCAAAGCAGTCCAAATCTCCATTTGCAGATTCTACAAAAAGAGTGATTCCAATCTGCTCTATCAATAGGATTGTTCAACTCCATGAGTTGAATGCCATCCTCACAAAGTCGTTTCTGAGAATGCTTCTGTCTAGCTTTTATGTGAAGATATTTCCTTTTCCACCACAGGCCTCAAAGCCCTCCAAACGTCCACTTGCAGATTCTCGAAAAAGAGTGTTTCATAGCTACTCTTTCAAAAGGAAAGTTCAACTCTGGGAGTTGAATACAAACATCACATAGTAGTTTCCGAGAATGCTTCTGTTTAGTTTTTATGTGAAGATGATCCCATTTCCAGTGAAATCTTCAAAGAGGTCCACATATCCCCTTGCAGATTCCAAAGAAAGAGGGTTTCAAGACTGCTCCATCAAAAGGATTGCTCAAATCTGTGAGTTGAATGCAGTCATCGCAGAAAACGTTCTGAGAATGCTTCTGTCTAGGTTTGATGTGAAGATATAGACGTTTCAAACGAAGGCTACAAAGTGGTCAAAATATACACTTGCAGATTCTACTACAAGGGTGTTGCCAACCTGAACTATCAAAGGAAGGTTCAACTCTGTGAGTTGAATAGAAACATCACAAAGAATGTTCTGAGTTTGCTTCCGTTCAGTTATGGGAAGTTGATCCCGTTTCCAACGAAATCCTCAGAGAGGTCCAAATATCCCCTTGCAGATTCTACAAAACGTGTGTTTGGAAACTGCTCCATCATAACGAATGTTCAGCTCTCTGAGTTAAACTCCATCGTCACAAAGAATTTTCTGAGAGTGCTACCGTCTAGTTTTTATATGAAGTTCTTTCCTTTACTACCACAGGCCTCAAAGCGGTCCAAATCTCCACTTGCAGATTCTACAAAAAGAGTGTTTGCAAACTGCTCTATCAAGAGGAATGTTCAACTCTGGGAGTTGAATGCAATCATCACAGAGCAGTTTCTGAGAATGCTTCTATGTGGTTTTTAGGAGAAGATATTTCCTTTTCCACCACAGTCCTCCAAGCCCGCTAAATATCCACTTGCAGATGGTAGAAAAAGTGTTTCAAAGCTGTGCTATCAAAGGGAAAGTTCAACTCTGTGAGGTGAATGCAAGCATCCCAAAGAAGTTTCTGAGAGTGCTTCCGTTTAGCTTTTAGGTGAAGATTATCCCGTTTCCAACGAAACCTTCAAAGAGGTCCAAATATCCCCTTGCGGATCCCACAGAAAGAGTGTTTCGAAACTGCTGTTTCAAAAGGAATCTTCAACTCTGTGAGTTGAATGCAATCATCACAAAGAAGTTTCTGACAATGCTTCTCTCTCGTCTTTCTGTGAAGATAAAGGAAAAGGCTTTCAGGCCTTTTCCACCACAGGCCTGAAAGCGCTCCAAATGTCCACTTGCAGATTCTGCGAAAAGAATATTTCAGAACTGCTCTATGAGAAGCAATGTTAAACTCTCTGGCTCGAACACAAACATCACAAAGCAGTTTCTGAGAATGCTTCAGTTTAGTTTTTCTGTGGAAATATTCCCGTTTCCAAAGAAATCTTCAAACAGGTCCACGTATCCACTTACAGATTCTACAAAAAGACAGTTTCAAAACTGCTCAATCAAAAGGAGGGATCAACCGTGTGACTTGAATGCAATCATCACTCAGAAGTTTCTGAGAATGCTTCTCTTTAGTTTTTACGTGAACATATACCCGTTTCGAACGAAGGCCAGCCAGTGGTCCAAATATCCACTTGCAGATTCTACAGAAAGGGTGTTTCGAACCTGAACTCTCAAAGGCAGGTTCATCTCTGCGAGTTAAATGCATTCATCATGAAGAACTTTCTCAGAGTGTTTGTGTTTAGTTATGGGAAATTATTCCCGTTTCCAACGAAATCCTCAGAGATGTCCAAATATCCACCTGCAGATTCTACCAAAAGTGTATTTGGAGACTGCTCCATCAAAAGGCATGTTCAGCTCTGTGAGTGAAACTCCATCATCACAAAGAATATTCTGAGAATGCTTCCGTTTGCCTTTTATATGAAGTTCCTTCCTGTACTACCGTAGGCCTCAAAGCAGTCCAAATCTCCATTTGCAGATTCTACAAAAAGAGTGATTCCAATCTGCTCTATCAATAGGATTGTTCAACTCCATGAGTTGAATGCCATCCTCACAAAGTCGTTTCTGAGAATGCTTCTATCTAGTTTTTATGTGAAGATATTTCCTTTTCCACCACAGGCCTCAAAGCCCTCCAAAAGTCCACTTGCAGATTCTCGAAAAAGAGTGTTTCATAGCTGCTCTTTCAAAAGGAAAGTTCAACTCTGGGAGTTGAATACAAACATCACAAAGTAGTTTCCGAGAATGCTTCTGTTTAGTTTTTATGTGAAGATGATCCCGTTTCCAGTGAAATCTTCAAAGAGGTCCACATATCCCCTTGCAGATTCCAAAGAAAGAGGGTTTCAAAACTGCTCCATCAAAAGGATTGTTCAACTCTGTGAGTTGAATGCAGTCATCGCACAAAACTTTCTGAGAATGCTTCTGTCTAAGTTTGATGTGAAGATATAGACGTTTCAAACGAAGGCTACAAAGTGGTCAAAATATACACTTGCAGATTCCACTACAACGGTGTTGAAACCTGAACTATCAAAGGAAGGTTCAACTCTGTGAGTTGAATACAAACATCACAAAGAATGTTCTGAGTTTGCTTCCGTTCAGTTATGGGAAGTTGATCCCGTTTCCAACGAAATCCTCAGAGAGGTCCAAATATCCCCTTGCAGATACTACAAAACGTGTGTTTGGAAACTGCTCCATCATAACGAATGTTCAGCTCTCTGAGTTAAACTCCATCGTCACAAAGAATTTTCTGAGAGTGCTACCGTCTGGTTTTTATATGAAGTTCTTTCCTTTACTACCACAGGCCTCAAAGCGGTCCAAATCTCCACTTGCAGATTCTACAAAAAGAGTGTTTGCAAACTGCTCTATCAAAAGGAATGTTCAACTCTGGGAGTGGAATGCAATCATGACAGAGCAGTTTCTGAGAATGCTTCTATGTCGTTTTTAGGAGAAGATATTTCCTTTTCCAACACAGTCCTCCAAGCCCGCTAAATATCCACTTGCACATTGTAGAAAAAGTGTGTCAAAGCTGCGCTATCAAAGGGAAAGTTCAACTCTGTGAGGTGAATGCAAACATCCCAAAGAAGTTTCTGAGAATGCTTCCGTTTAGCTTTTAGGTGAAGATTATCCCGTTTCCAACGAAATCCTTCAAAGAGGTCCAAATATCCCATTGCGGATCCCACAGAAAGAGTGTTTCGAAACTGCTGTTTCAAAAGGAATCTTCAACTCTGTGAGTTGAATGCAATCATCACAAAGAAGTTTCTGACAATGCTTCTCTCTGGTCTTTCTGTGAAGATAAAGGAAAAGGCTTTCAGGCCTTTTCCACCACAGGCCTGAAAGGGCTCCAAATGTCCACTTGCAGATTCTGTGAAAAGAATATTTCAAAACTGCTCTTTGAGAAGCAATGTTAAACTCTGTGGCTCGAACACAAACATCACAAAGCAGTTTCCGAGAATGCTTCAGTTTAGTTTTTCTGTGGAAATATTCCCGTTTCCAAAGAAATCTTCCAGGAGGTCCACGTATCCACTTACAGATTCTAAAAAAAGACAGTTTCAAAACTGCTCAATCAAAAGGAGGGTTCAACTGTGTGACTTGAATGCAATCATCACTCAGAAGTTTCTGAGAATGCTTCTCTTTAGTTTTTACGTGAACATATACCCGTTTCGAACGAAGGCCACCCATTGGTCCAAATATCCACTTGCAGATTCTACAGAAAGAGTGTTTCGAACCTGAACTATCAAAGGCAGGTTCATCTCTGCGAGTTAAATGCATTCATCATGAAGAACTTTCTCAGAGTGTTTGTGTTTAGTTATGGGAAATTATTCCCGTTTCCAACGGAATCCTCAGAGAGCTCCAAATATCCACCTGCAGATTCTACCAAAAGTGTATTTGGAAACAGCTCCATCAAAAGGCATGTTCAGCTCTGTGAGTGAAACTCCATCATCACAAAGAATATTCTGAGAATGCTTCCGTTTGCCTTTTATATGAAGTTCCTTCCTATACTACCGTAGGCCTCAAAGCAGTCCAAATCTCCATTTGCAGATTCTACAAAAAGAGTGATTCCAATCTGCTCTATCAATAGGATTGTTCAGCTCCATGAGTTGAATGCCATCCTCACAAAGTCGTTTCTGAGAATGCTTCTATCTAGTTTTTATGTGAAGATATTTCCTTTTCCACCACAGGCCTCAAAGCCCTCCAAATGTCCACTTGCAGATTCTCGAAAAAGAGTGTTTCATAGCTGCTCTTTCAAAAGGAAAGTTCAACTCTGGGAGTTGAATACAAACATCACAAAGTAGTTTCTGAGAATCTTCTGTTTAGTTTTTATGTGAAGATGATCCCGTTTCCAGTGAATTCTTCAAAGAGGTCCACATATCCCCTTGCAGATTCCAAAGAAAGATGGTTTCAAAACTGCTCCATCAAAAGGATTGTTCAACTCTGTGAGTTGAATGCAGTCATCACAGCAAACTTTCTGAGAATGCTTCTGTCTAGGTTTGATGTGAAGATATAGACGTTTCAAACGAAGGCTACAAAGTGGTCAAAATATACACTTGCAGATTCTACTACAAGGGTGTTGCAAACCTGAACTATCAAAGGAAGGTTCAACTCTGTGAGTTGAATACAAACATCACAAAGAATGTTCTGAGTTTGCTTCCGTTCAGTTACGGGAAGTTGATCCCGTTTCCAACGAAATCCTCGGAGAGGTCCAAATATCCCCTTGCAGATTCTACAAAACGTGTGTTTGGAAACTGCTCCATCATAACGAATGTTCAGCTCTCTGAGTTAAACTCCATCGTCCCAAAGAATTTTCTGAGAGTGCTACCATCTAGTTTTCATACGAAGTTCTTTCCTTTACTACCACAGGCCTCAAAGCGGTCCAAATCTCCACTTGCAGATTCTACAAAAAGAGTGTTTGCAAACTGCTCTATCAAAAGGAATGTTCAACTCTGGGAGTTGAATGCAATCATCACAGAGCAGTTTCTGAGAATGCTTCTATGTCGTTTTTAGGAGAAGATATTTCCTTTTCCAACACAGTCCTCCAAGCCCGGTAAATACGACTTGCACATTGTAGAAAAAATGTATCAAAGCTGCGCTATCAGAGGGAAAGTTCAACTCTGTGAGGTGAATGCAAACATCCCAAAGAAGTTTCTGAGAATGCTTCCGTTTAGCTTTTAGGTGAAGATTATCCCGTTTCCAACGAAATCTTCAAAGAGGTCCAAATATCCCCTTGCGGATCCCACAGAAAGAGTGTTTCGAAACTGCTGTTTCAAAAGGAATCTTCAACTCTGTGAGTTGAATGCAAAAATCACAAAGAAGTTTCTGACAATGCTTCTCTCTTGTCTTTCTGTGAAGATAAAGGAAAAGGCTTTCAGGCCTTTTCCACCACAGGCCTGAAAGCGCTCCAAATGTCCACTTGTAGATTCTGCGAAAAGAATATTTCAAAACTGCTCTATGAAAAGCAATGTTAAACTCTGTGGCTCGAACACAAACATCACAAAGCAGTTTCTGAGAATGCTTCAGTTTAGTTTTTCTGTGGAAAGATTCCCGTTTCCAAAGAAATCTTCAAAGAGGTCCACGTATCCACTTACAGATTCTACAAAAAGACAATTTCAAAACTGCTCAATCAAAAGGAGGGTTCAACTGTGTGTCTTGAATGCAGTCGTCACTCAGAAGTTTCTGAGAATGCTTCTCTTTAGTTTTTACGTGAACATATACCTGTTTCGAAAGAAGGCCACCCAGTGGTCCAAATATCCACTTGCAGATTCTACAGAAAGAGTGTTTCGAACCTGAACTCTCAAAGGAAGGTTCATCTCTGTGAGTTAAATGCATTCATCATGAAGAACGTTCTCAGCGTGTTTGAGTTTAGTTATGGGAAATTATTCCCGTTTCCAACGAAATCCTCAGAGAGGTCCAAATATCCACCTGCAGATTCTACCAAAAGTGTATTTGGAAACTGCTCCATCAAAAGGCATGTTCAGCTCTGTGAGTGAAACTCCATCATCACAAAGAATATTCTGAGAATGCTTCCGTTTGCCTTTTATATGAAGTTCCTTCCTATACTACCGTAGGCCTCAAAGCAGTCCAAATCTCCATTTGCAGATTCTACAAAAAGAGTGATTCCAATCTGCTCTATCAATAGGATTGTTCAACTCCATGAGTTGAATGCCATCCTCGCAAAGTCGTTTCTGAGAATGCTTCTATCTAGTTTTTATGTGAAGATATTTCCTTTTCCACCACAGGCCTCAAAGCCCTCCAAACGTCCACTTGCAGATTCTCGAAAAAGAGTGTTTCATAGCTGCTCTTTCAAAAGGAAAGTTCAACTCTGGGAGTTGAATACAAACATCACAAAGTAGTTTCCGAGAATGCTTCTGTTTAGTTTTTATGTGAAGATGATCCCGTTTCCAGTGAAATCTTCAAGGAGTTCCACATACCACTTGCAGATTCCAAAGAAAGAGGGTTTCAAAACTGCTCCATCAAAAGGATTGTTCCAATCTGTGAGTTGAATGCAGTCATCACAGAAAACTTTCTGAGAATGCTTCTGTCTAGGTTTCATGTGAAGATATAGACGTTTCAAACGAAGGCTACAAAGTGGTCAAAATATACACTTGCAGATTCTACTACAAGGGTGTTGCAAACCTGAACTATCAAAGGAAGGTTCAACTCTGTGAGTTGAATACAAACATCACAAAGAATTTTCTGAGTTTGCTTCCGTTCAGTTATGGGAAGTTGATCCCATTTCCAACGAAATCCTCAGAGAGGTCCAAATATCCCTTTGCAGATTCTACAAAATGTGTGTTTGGAAACTGCTCCATCATAACGAATGTTCAGCTCTCTGAGTTAAACTCTATCGTCACAAAGAATTTTCTGAGAGTGCTACCGTCTAGTTTTTATATGAAGTTCTTTCCTTTACTACCACAGGCCTCAAAGCAGTCCAAATCTCCACTTGCAGATTCTACAAAAAGAGTGTTTGCAAACTGCTCTATCAAAAGGAATGTTCAACTCTGGGGGTTGAACGCAATCATCACAGAGCAGTTTCTGAGAATGCTTCTATGTCGTTTTTAGGAGAAGATATTTCCTTTTCCAACACAGTCCTCCAAACCCGCTAAATATCCACTTGCACATTGTTGAAAAAGTGTGTCAAAGCTGCACTATCAAAGGCAAAGTTCAACTCTGTGAGGTGAATGCAAACATCCCAAAGAAGTTTCTGAGAATGCTTCCGTTTAGCTTTTAGGTGAGATTATCCCGTTTCCAACGAAATCTTCAAAGAGTTCCAAATATCCCCTTGTGGATCCCACAGAAAGAGTGTTTCGAAACTGCTGTTTCAAAAGGAATCTTCAACTCTGTGAGTTGAATGCAATCATCACAAAGAAGTTTCTGGCAATGCTTCTCTCTCGTCTTTATGTGAAGATAAAGGAAAAGGCTTTCAGACCTTTTCCACCACAGGCCTGAAAGCGCTCCAAATGTCCACTTGCAGATTCTGCGAACAGAATGTTTCAAAACTGCTCTATGAAAAGCAATGTTAAACTCTGTGGCTCGAACACAAACATCACAAATCAGTTTCTGAGAATGCTTCAGTTTAGTTTTTCTGTGGAGATATTCCCATTTCCAAAGAAATCTTCAAAGAGGTCCACATATCCACTTACAGATTCTACAAAAAGACAGATTCAAAACTGCTCAATCAAAAGGAGGGTTCAACTGTGTGACTTGAATGCAATCATCACACAGAAGTTTCTGAGAATGCTTCTCCTTAGTTTTTACGTGAACATATACCCGTTTCGAACGAAGGCCACCCAGTGGTTCAAATATCCACTTGCAGATTTTACAGAAAGAGTCTTTCAAACCTGAACTCTCAAAGGAAGGTTCATCACTGTGAGTTAAATGCATTCATCATGAAGAACTTTCTCAGAATGTTTGTGTTTAGTCATGGGAAGTCTTTCCCATTTCCAACGAAATCCTCAGAGAGGTCCAAATATCCACTTGCAGATTCTACTAAAAGTGTATTTGGAAACTGCTCCATCAAAAGGCATGTTCAGCTCTGTGAGTTAAACTCCATCATCACAAAGAAAATTCTGAGAATGCTTCCGTTTGCTTTTTATATGAAGTTCCTTCCTATACTACCGTAGGCCTCAAAGCAGTCCAAATCTCCATTTACAGATTCTACAAAAAGAGTGTTTCCAATCTGCTCTATCAATAGGATTGTTCAACTCCGTGAGTTGAATGCCATCCTCACAAAGTAGTTTCTGAGAATGCTTCTATCTAGTTTTTATGTTTTTTATGTGAAGATATTTCCTTTTCCACCACAGGCCTCATAGCCCTCCTAATGTCCACTTGCAGATTCTCGAAAAAGACTCTTTCATAGCTGCTCTTTCAAAAGGAAAGCTCAACTCTCGGAGTTGAATACAAACATCACAAAGTAGTTTCCGAGAATGCTTCTGTTTAGTTTTTATGTGAAGATGATCCCTTTTCCAATGAAATGTTCAACGAGGTACACGTATGCCCTTGCAGATTCCAAAGAAAGTGGGTTTCAAAACTCCTCCATCAAAAGGATTGTTCAACTCTGAGAGTTGAATGCAGTCATCGCAGAAAACTTTGTGAGAATGCTTCTGTCTAGGTTTGATGTGAAGATATAGCCGTTTCAAACGAAGACTACAAAATGGTCAAAATATACACTTGCAGATTCTACTACACGGGTGTTGCAAACCTGCACTATCAAAGGAAGTTTCCACTCTGTGAGTTGAATGCAAGCATCACAAAGATGTTTCTGAGAATGCCTCCGTTCAGTTATGGGAATTTGATCCCGTTTCCAACGAAATCCTCAGAGAGGTCCAAATATCCCCTTGCAAATTCTACAAAAAGTTTGTTTGGAAACTGCTCCATCAAAATGAATGTTCAGCTCTCTGAGCTAACTCAATCGTCACAAAGAATTTTGTGAGAGTGCTACTGTCTAGTTTTCATGTGAAGTTCTTTCCTTTACTACCACAGGCCTCAAAGCGGTCCAAATCTCCACTTGCAGATTCTACAAAGGAGTGATTGCAAACTGCTCTATCAAAATGAATGTTCAACTCTGGGAGTTGAATGCAATCATCACAGAGTAGTTACTGAGAATGCTTCTGTCTTCTTTTTATATGAAGATATTTCCTTTTCTACCATAGACCTCAAAGCACTCTAAATACACACTTGCAAATTCTACAACAAGAGGTTTTCAAAACTGCTCTATCGATAGAAAATTTAAACTCTGTCAGTTGAATGGTCACATCACAAATTTGTTTCTGGGACTGATTCTGTCTATTTTTTTTATGAAGATATTGCCTTTTCTACCGTAGGATTCAAAGCGCTCTAAATATCCTCTTGGAAATTCTGCAAAAAGAGTGTTTCAAATCTGCTCTATCAAAAAGAAGTTTCATCTCTGTGAGTTGTATGCACACATCACAGAGAAGTCTCTGAGAATTCTTCTGTCTAGTTTTATATGAAGAAATCCCGTTTCCAACGAAGGCCTCAAATTGGTCCAAATATCCACTTGCAGATTCTACAAAAAGAGTGATAGCAATCTGCTCTATGAAGAGGAATGTTCAACTCTGTGTGTTGAATGCACATATCACAAAGTAGTTTCTGAGAATGCTTCTGTCTGTCTAGTTTTTATGTGAAGATATTTCGTTTTCCACCAAAGGCTTGAAAGCGCTCTAAATGAACACTTGAACATTCTACAAAAAGAATGTTTCAAAACTGCTCTATGAAAAGAAGTGTTCCATTCTGTGAGGTTAATCCACACATTAAATAGCAGTTTCTGAGAATGCTTCTGTCTAGTTTTTATGTGAAGATATTTCCTTTTCCATCATAGGCCTCAAATCGCTCCAAATATCCACTTGCAGATACCACAGAAAGAATGTTTTGAAACTGCTCTCTCAAAAGGAAGGTTCCTTCAACTCTGTGAGCTGAAGGCACACATCACAAAGCAGTTTCTGAGAATGCTTCTGTCTACTCTTTATGTGAAGATATCCGGTTTACAATGAATTCCTCTAAGAGCTCCTAATATCCACAAGCAGAACCAACAAAAGCAGTGTTTCAAAACTGCTCTATCAAAAGAAAGGTTCAATGCCGTGAATTGAACACAAACATCACAAAGTTTTTTCTGAGAATGCTTCTGTCTAGTTTTTATGTGAAGATATTTCCTTTTCCACCATAGGCTTCAAAGCCCTCCAAAGGAAAACTTGCAGATTCTACAAATAGACTGTTACAAGACTGCTCTATGAAAAGAAGGGTTCCCCTCTGTGAGGTGAATGCACACATCACAAAGCAGTTTCTGAGAATGCTTCTTTCTAGTTTTTATGTGAAGATATTTCCTTTTGCATCATAGGCCTCAAATCGCTCCAAATATCCACTTGCAGATACCACAAAAGACTGTTTCAAAACAGCTCTCTGAAAAGGAAAGTTCAATTCTGTGAGTTGAATGCACACATCACAAAGCAGTTTCTGAGAATGCTTCTGTCTAGTTTGTGTGTGAAGATATCGCGTTTAAAACGAATTCCTGAAAGAGCTCCAAATATCCACAAGCAGATTCTACAAAAGCAGTGTTTCGAAACTGCTCTATCAAAAGAAAGTTTCAACCATGTGAATTCAACACGCACATCACAAAGGTGTTTCTGAGAATGCTTCTGTCCAGTTTTTATGTGAAGATATTTCCATTCGATCAGAGGCCACAAAGCACTCCAAATGAAACCTTGCAGATTCTACAACAGGTGGGTTCCAACACTGCTCTATCAAAAGTAAGGTTCAACTCTGTGAGCTGAATGCACACATCACAAGTACTTTCTGAGAATGCTTGTATAGTTTTTATGTGAAGATGATACCCATTTCCAACGAACTCCTAAATGAGTGCCAAATATCCACAAGCAGATAATACAAAAGGAGTGTTTCTATACTGCTGTATCAAAAGACAAATTCAACTCTGTTACTTGAATGCACACATCACAAAGAAGTTCTTGAGAATGCTTCTGTTTCGTTTTTATGTGAAGATATTTCCTTTTCCACCATAGGCTTCAAAGCGCTCCAAATGAACACTTGCAGATTCTACAAAAAGACAGTTTCAAACCTGCTCTATGAAAAGAATGGTTCCACTCTGTGAGGTGAATGCCCACATCACAAAGCAGTTTCTGAGAATGCTTCTGTCTAGTTTTTATGTGAAGAGATTTCCTTTTCCATCATAGGCCTCAAATCGCTCCAAATATCCCTTGCAGATACTACAAAAAGACTCAAAAGTGCTCTCTCAAAAGGAACGTTCATCTCTGTGAGTTGAATGCACACATCACAGAGCAGTTTCTGGGAATGCTTCTGTCTAGTTAGTATGTGAAGGTATTTCCTTTTCCATCATAGACCTCAAATCCCTCCAAATATCCACTTGCAGATACCAGAAAAAGACTGTTTCAAAACTGCTCTCTCAAAAGAAGTGTTCAACTCTGTGAGTTGAATGCACACATCAAAAAGCAGTTTCTGAGAATGCTTCTGTCCAGTTTGTATGTGAAGATATTTCCTACTCCATCATAGGCCTGAAATCGCTCCAAATATCTACTAGCAGATACTACAAAAATACTGTTTCAAAACTGCTCTCTCCAAAGGAAGGTTCAACTCTGTGAGTTGAATGCGCACATCACAAAGCAGCTTCTGAGAATGCTTCTGTCTGGTTTGTATGTGAAGATATTTCCTTTTCCATCATAGGCCTCAAATCTCTCAAAATATCTACTTGCAGATACTACAAAAGACTTTCAAAACTGCTCTCTCAAAAGGAAGGTTCATCTCTGTGAGTTGAATGCACACATCACAAAGAAGTTTCTCAGAATGCTTCTGTCTACTTTGTATGTGAAGATATCCCGTTTACAACGAATTCCTCAGAGCTCCAAATATCCACATGCAGATTGTGCAAAAGCAGTGTTTCAAAACTGCTCTATCAAAAGAAAGCTTCAACTCTGTGAATTGAACACACGCATCACATAGTTGTTTCTGAGAATGCTTCTGTCTAGTTTTTATGTGAAGATATAATCCCATTTCCACCATAGGCCACAAACCGCTCCAAATGAGCACTTGTAGATTCTACAAAGAGACTGTTTCAAAACTGCTCTATGAAAAGAAAGGTTCCACTCTGTGAGTTGAATGCACACATCAAAAAGAACTTTCTGAGAATGCTTGTGTCTAGTTTTTATGTGAAGATACCCGTTTCCAAAGAATTCCTCAAGGTGTTCCGAATATCCACAAGCAGCTTCTACAAAAGGCGGGTTTCAGTACTGCTCTATCAAAAGACAGATTCAATTCTGTTAGTTGAATGCACACATCACAAAGAAGTTCCTGAGAATGCTTCAGTCAAGTTTTTATGTGAAGATATTTCCTTTTCCACCATAGGCATCAAATCGCTCCAAATATCCACATGCGGTTTCTACAAAAATACAGTTTCAAAACTGATCTCTCAAAAGGAAGGTTGGAACTCTGTGAGTTGAATGCACACATCACAAAGCAGTTTCTGAGAATGCTTCTGTCTAGTTTGTATGTGAAGATATTTCCTTTTCCATCATAGGCCTCAAGTTTTCAAAATATCCACTTGCAGATACTACAAGAAGACTGTTTCAAAACTGCTCTTTCCAAAGGAGGGTTCAACTCTGTGAGTTGAAGACACACATCACAAAGCAGTTTCTGAGAATGCTTCTGTCTAGTTTGTATGTGAAGGTATTTCCTTTTCCATCATAGGCCTCAAATCACTCCAAATATCCACTTGCAGGTACTCCAAAAAGACTGTTTCAAAACTGCTCTCTCAAAAGGAATTTTCAACTCTGAGTTGAATTCACACATCACAAAGCAGTTTCTGAGAATGCTTCTGTCTAGTTTGTATGTGAAGATATTTCCTTTTCCACCATAGGCTTTAAAGCGCTCCAAATGAACAGTTGCGGATTCTACAAAAAGACTGTTTCAAAACTGCTCTATGAAAAGAAGGGTTCCACTCTGTGAGGTGAATGCACACATCACAAAGTTGTTTGTGAGAATGCTTCTGTCTAGTTTTTTGTGAAGATATGTCCTTTTCCGTCATAGGCCTCAAATCGCTCCAAATATCCACTTGCAGATACTACAAAAAGACTCTTTCAAAACTGCTCTCTCCAAAGGAAGGTTCAATTCTGTGAGTTGAATGCACACATCACAAAGCATTTTCTGAGAATGCTTCTGTCTACTTTGTATATGAAGGTATTTCCTTTTCCATCATTGGCCTCAAATCGCTCCAAATATCCCCTTGCAAATACTACAAAAAGATTGTTTGAAAACTGCTCTCTCTAAAGGAAGGTTCAACTCTGTTAGTTGAACGCACACATCACAAAGTAGTTTCTGAGAATGCTTCTCTCTAGTTTGTATGTGAAGATTTCCCGTTTAGAACGAATTCCTCAAAGAGCTCCAAATATCCACAAGCAGATTCTACAAAAGCAGTGTTCCAAAACTGCTCTATCAAAGGAAAGTTTCAACGCTGTGAAGTGAGCACACACATCACAAAGATGTTTCTGAGAATGCTTCTATCTAGTTTTTATGTGAAGATATTTTCTTTTCCACCATAGGCCCCAAAGCGCTCCAAATGAACACTTGCAAATTCTACAAAAGGTGTGTTTCAACACTGCTCTATCAAAAGAAAGCTTCAACACTGTGAGTTGAATGGACACATCACAAAGAACTTTGTGATAATGCTTCTCTCTAGTTTTTATGTGAAGACAACCGTTTCCAACGAATTCCTCAAAGACTTCCAAATATCCACAAGCAGATTCTGCAAAAGAAGTGTTTCAATACTGCTCAATAAAAAGACATATTCAACTCTGTTAGTTGAATGCACACATCTCAAAGAATTTCCTGAGAATGCTTCTGTCTAGTTTTTACTTGAAGATATTTCCTTTTCCCCCACAGTCTTCAAAGCGCTCCAAATGAACACTTGCAGATTCTACAAAAAGACTGTTTCAAAACTGCTCTATGAAAAGAAGGGTTCCACTCTGTGAGGTGAATGCACACATCACAAAGTTGTTTGTGAGAATGCTTCTGTCTAGTTTTTATGTGAAGATATTTCCTTTTCCATCACAGGCCTCAAATCGCTCCAAATATCCACTTGCAAATACTACAAAAATACTGTTTCAAAACTGCTCTCTCAAAAGGATGTTTCAACTCTGTGAGTTGAATGCACACATCACAAAGCAGTTTCTTGGAATGCTTCTGTCTAGTTTGTACGTGAAGATATTTCCTTTGCCATCATAGGCTTCACATCGCTCCAAATATCCACTTGCAGATACTACAAAAAGACTGTTTCAAAACTGCTCTCTCAAAAGGAAGGTTCAATTCTGTGAGTTGAATGCACACATCACAAAGCAGTTTCTGAGAATGCTTCTGTCTAGTTTGTATGTGAAGGTATTTCCTTTGGCATCATAGGCCTCACATCGCTCAGAATATCTACTTGCAGATACTACAAAAAGACTGTTTCAAAACTGCTCTCTCAAAACGAACGTTCAATTCTGTGAGTTGAATCCACACATCACAAAGCAGTTTCTGAGAAGGCTTCTGTCTAGTTTGTATGTGAAGATATCCCGTTTACAACGAATTTCTCAAAAATCTCTTAATATCCACAAGCAGATTCTGCAAAAACAGTGTTTCAAAACTGCTCTATCAAAATAAAATTTCAACTCTGTGAATTGAAGACACACATCACAATGATGTTTCTCACAATGCCTCTGTCTAATTTTTATGTGAAGATATTTCCTTTTCCACCGTAGGCACCAAAGCACTCCAAAAGAGCACTTGCAGATACTACAAAAGGTGTGTTTCAATAGTGCTGTATCAAAAGAAAGTTTCAACTCTGTGAGTAGAATGCACACTTCGCAAAAAACTTTCTGAGAATGTTTCTGTCTAGTTTTTATGTGAAGATGCCCGTTTCCAACGAATTCCTCAGAGAGTTCCAAATATCCACAAGCAGATTCTACAAAGGAGTGTTTCAATACTGCTCTATCAAAAGACAGATTCAATTATGTTAGTTGAATGCAGACATCTCAAAGAAGTTCCTGAGAATGCTTCTGTCTAGTTTTTATGTGAAGATATTTCATTTTCTACCTTAGGCTTCAAAGCGCTCCAAAAGAACACTTGCAGATTCTACAAAAAGACTGTTTCAAAACTGCTTTATGAAAAGAAGAGTTCCACTCTGTAAGGTGAATGCACACCTGACAAAGCAGTTTCTTAGAGTTCTTCTATCTAGTTTTTATGTGAAGATATTTCCTTTCCCATCATAGGCCTCAAATCGCTCAAAAGATCTACTTGCAGATGCTACAAAAAGACAGTTTCAAAACTGCTCTCTCAAAAGGTTGGTTCCACTCTGTGTGGTGAATGCACGCATCACAAAGCAGTTTCTGAGAATGCTCCTGTCTCGTTTTTATGTGAAGATATTTCCTTTTCCACCACAGGTCATAAAGCCCTCCAAATGAACATTTGCAGATTCTACAAAAGGTGTGTTTCAACACTGCTCTATCAAAAGAAAGCTTCAACACTGTGAGTTGAATGCACACATCAAAAAGAACTTTCTGAGAATCCTTCTCTGTAGTTTTTATGTGAAGATAACCTTTTCCAACGAATTCCTCAAAGATTTCCAGTTATCCACAAGCAGATTCTTCAAAAGGAGTGTTTCAATACTGCTCAATCAAAAGACAGATTCAACTCTGTTAGTTGAATGCACACATCTCAAAGAATTTCCTGAGAATGCTTCTGTCTAGTTTTTATGTGAATGCATTTCCTTTTCTACCATAGGCTTCAAAGTGCTCCAAATGAACACTTCCAGATTCTACAAAAAGACTGTTTCAAAACTGTTTTAAGAAAAGAAGCGTTCCACTCTGTGAGGTGAATGCACACACCACAAAGCTGCCTCTGAGAATGCTTCTCTCTAGTTTTTATGTGAAGATATTTCCTTTTCCATCATAGGTCTCAAATCGCTCCAAATATCCACTTGCAGATACTACAAAAAGACTCTTTCAAAACTGCTCTCTCAAAAGGAAGGTTCAACACTGTGAGTTGAATGCACACATCACAAAGCAGTTTCTGAGAATGCTTCTGTCTACTTTTTATGTGCAGATATCCCGTTTACAACGAATTCCACAAAGAGCTCTAAATATCCACAAGCAGATTCCACAAAAGCAGTGATTCAAAACTGCTCTATCAAAAGAAAGGTTCAACTCTGTGAATTGAACGCACACAACACAATGGTGTTTCTGAGAATGCTTCTATCTAGTTTTTATGTGAAGACATTTCCTTTTCCATCACAGGCCTCAAAGCACTCCAAATGAACACTTGCAGATTCTACAAAAGGTGTGTTTCAACACTACTCTATCCAAAGAAATGTTCAACTCTGTGAATAGAATGCACACATCACAAAGAGCTTTCTGAGAATGCTTGTGTCTAGTTTTTATGTGAAGATACCCGTTTCCAACGAATTCCTAAAGAGTTCCAAATATCCACAAGCAGATTCTACAAAAGGAGTGTTTCAATACTGCTCTATCAACAGACAGATTCAACTCTGTTAGTTGAATGCACACATCTCAAAGAAGTTCCTGAGAATGCTTCTGTCTAGTTTGTATGTGAAGATATATATCCTTTTCGACCATAGGCTTCAAAGCGCTCTCAATGAACACTTGCAGATTCTACAAAAAGCCTATTTCAAAAGTGCTCTATGAAAAGAAGGGATCCACTCTGTGAAGTGAATGCACACATCACAAAGCAGTTTCTGAGAATGCTTCTGTCTCGTTTGTATGTGAAGATATTTCATTTTTCCATCATAGGCCTCAAATCGCTCCAAATATCCACTTGCAGATACTTCAAAAGGACTGTTTCAAAACTGCTCTCTCAAAAGGAAAGTTCAGCATGGAGAGTTGAATTCACACATCACAAAGCAGTTTCTGAGAATGCTTCTGTCTAGGTTGTATGTGAAGATCTTTCCTTTTCAATAACAGGCCTCAAATCGCCCAAAGTATCCACTTGCAGATACAACATAAAGAGTGTTTCAAAACTGCTCTCTCAAAAGGAAGGTTCAACTCTGTGAGTTGAATGCTCACATCACAAAGCAGTTTCTGAGAATGTTTCTGTCTAGTTTGTATGTGAAGATATATCCTTTTCCATCATAGGCTTCAAATCGCTCCAAATATCTACTTGTTGACACAACAAAAAGCCTGTTTCAAAACTGCTCTCTCAAAAGGAAGGTTCAACTCTGGGAGTTGAATGCACAGATCACAAAGCAGTTTCTGAGAATGCTTCTGTCTAGTTTGTATGTGAAGATTTCCCGTTTGCAACGAATTACTCAGAGCTCCAAATATCCACAAGCAGATTCTACAAAAGCAGTGTTTCAAAACTGCTCTATCGAAAGAAATGTTCAACTCTGTGAATTGAACACACACATCACAAAGTTGTTTCTGAGAATGCTTTTGTCTAGTTTTTCTGTGAAGATATTTCCTTTTGCACCTTAGGCCCCAAAGCGCTACAAATGAACACTTACAGATTCGACCAAAGGTGTGTTTCAACACTGCTCTATCAAAAGAAACTTTCACCTCTGTGAGCTGAATGCACACATCACAAAGAACTTTCTAAGAATGCTTCTGTCTAGTTTTTATGTGAAGATAACCTTTTCCAAAGAATTCCTCAAAGAGTTCCAAATATACACAAGCAGATCCCACAAAAGGAGTGTTTCAATACTGCTCTATCAAAAGACAGATTTAACTCTGTGAGTTGAATGCACACATCTCAAAGAAGTTCCAGAGAATGCTTCTGTCTAGTTTTTATGTGAAGATATTTCCTTTTGCACCATAGGATTCAAAGCACTCCAGTGAACACTTGCAGATACTACAAAAAGACTGTTTCAAAACTGCTCTCTCAAAAGGAAAGTTCAACTCTGTAAGTTGAATGCACACATCACAAAGCAGTTTCTGAGAATGCTTCTGTCTAGTTTTTAAGTGAAGATATTTCCTTATCCACCATAAGCTTCAAAGCAATCCAAATGCCCACTTGCAGATCCTACAAAAAGAGTGTTTCAAAACTGCTCTATCAAAAGAACGCTTCAAATCTGTGAGGTGAATACACACATCAAAAAGTAGTTTCTGAGAATGCCTCTGTCTAGTTTTTGTGAAGATATCCCGTTTCCAACGAAGGCCTCAAAGAGGTCCTTATATCCACTTTTAAATTCTACAAAAAGAGTGTTTCAAAACTACTTTGTGAAAAGGAATGTTGAAGACTTTGTGTTGAAAGTAAACATCAGAAAAAAGTTGTTGAGAATGCTTCTGTGTAGTTCTTATGTGAAGATATTTCCTTTTTCATCACAGGCCTCAAAACGCTCCAAATGTCCACTTGCAGATTTTACAAAAAGAGTGTTCCAATGTGCTCTATCAAAGGAAAGCTTCAACTCTGTTAGTTGATTACACACATCACAAAGAGATTTCTGAGAATGCTTCTGTCTAATTTTTATGTGAAGATATTTCGTTTTTCATCATAGGCCTGAAAGCGTTACAAATGTCCACTTGCAGATCCTACAAAAAGAGTTTTTCAAAACTGTTCTATCGAAGGAAAGGTTTAACTCTGTGAGTTGAATGCACACATCACAAAGAAGTTTGTGAGAATGCTTCTGTCCAGTTTTTATGAAGATATCCCTTTTCCAACGAATGCCTCAAAGCGGTCCAAATATCCTCTTGCAAATTCTACAAAAAGAGTGTTTCCAAACTGCTCTATGAAAAGGAATGTTCAGCTCTGTGAGATGAATGCAAACATCACAAAGAAGTTTCTGAGAACACTTCTGCGTAGTTTTTATGTGAAGATATTTCCTTTTTCACCATAGGCCTCAAAGCGCACCAAATTTCCAGTTGCAGATTCTGCAAAAAGAGGGTTTCTAAACTGCTCTATCAAAAGAGAGTTTCAATTGTAGGAGTTGAACGCATACATCACAGAAAAGTTCCTGAGAATGCTTCTGTGTTGTTTTTACATGAAGATAATTCCTTTTCCTCCATAGGCCTCAAAACGTTCCGAAAGCTCACTTGCAGATTCAACAAAAAGAGTGTTTCACAACAGCTTTATCAAAAGAAGGCTTCAACTCTGTGAGTTGAATGCACACATCACAAAGAAGTTCCTGAGAATGCTTCTGCCAATTTTTTGTGAAGATATCCCTTTTCCAGCGAAGGTCTCAAAGCGTTCCAAATACCCACTTGCAAATTAAAAAGAGTGTTTCAAAACTGCTCTATGAAAAGGAACGTTCAACTCTGTTAGCTGAAAATAAACATCACAAAGAAGTTTCTGAGAATGCTTCTGTGTAGTCTTAATGCGAAGACATATTTCCTTTTTCACCTCAGGCCTTGAAGTGCTCCAAATGTCCACTTGCAGATTCTACAAAAAGAGTGTCTCAAAACTGCTCTATCAAAAGAATCGTTCAACTCTGTGAGTTCAATACACACATCACAAAGAGGTTTCTGAGAATGCTTCTGTCTAGTTTTTATATGAAGATATTTCCTTTTTCACCATAGGCCTCAAAGTGCTACAAAATGTCCATTTGCAGATTGTACAAAAAAGAGTGTTTCAAAACTGCTCTATCAAGGGAAAGGTTCAAGTCATTGAGTTCAATGCACACATCAGAAAGGAGATTCTGAGAATGCTTCTGTCTTGTTTTTGTGAAGGTATCCCTTTTCCAACGAAGGCCTGAAAGCCGTCCAAATATCCACTTGCAAATTCTACAAAAAGAGTGATTCGAAATTGCTCTATGAAAAGGAATGTTCATCTTTGTGAGTTAAAAGCAAACATCAGGGGGAGGAGCCAAGATGGCCAAATAGGAAAAGCTCTGGTCTACAGCTCCCAGCGTGAGCGACACAGAAGGGTGATTTCTGCATTTCCAACTGAGGTACCGGGTTCATCTCACTAGGGAGTGCCAGACAGTGGGTGCAGGTCAGTGGGTGCGCGCACCGTGCGCGAGCCGAAGTAGGGCGAGGCATTGCCTCACTCGGGAAGTGCAAGTGGTCAGGGAGTTCCCTTTCCGAGTCAATTAAAGAGGTGACAGAGGGCACCTGGAAAATCGGGTCACTCCCACCCGAATACTGCGCTTTTCCGAGGGGCTTAAAAAACGGCGCACCACGAGAGTATATCCCGCACCTGGCTCGGAGTGTCCTGCGCCCATGGAGTCTCGGTGATTGCTAGCACAGCAGTCTGAGATCAAACAGCAAGGCGGCAGCGAGGCTGTGGGAGGGGCGCCCCTAATGCCCAGGCTTGATTAGGTAAACAAAGCAGCCGAGAAGCTCGAACTGGGTGGAGCCCAACACAGCTCAAGGAGGCCTGCCTGCCTCTGTAGGCTCCACCTCTGGGGGCAGGGCACAGACAAACAAAAAGACAGCAGTAACCTCTGCAGAAGTAAATGTCCCTGTCTGACAGCTTTGAAGAGAGCAGTGATTCTCCCAGCACACAGCTGGAGATCTGAGCACGGGCACACAGCCTCCTCAAGTGGGTCCCTGAATCCCGAGCAGCCTAACTGGGAGGCACCCCCCAGCAGGAGCACACTGACACCTCACACGCCAGGGTATTCCAACAGACCTGCAGCTGAGGGTCCTGTCTGTTAGAAGGAAAACTAACAAACAGATTGGACATCCACACCAAAAACCCATCTGTACATCACCATCATCAAAGACCAAAAGTAGATAAAACCACAAACATGGGGAAAAAACAGAACAGAAAAACTGGAAACTCTAAAAAGCAGAGCGCCTCTCCTCCCCCAAGGTAACGCAGTTCCTCACCAGCAACAGAACAAAGCTGGATGGAGAATGACTTTGACGAGGTGAGAGAAGAAGGCTTCAGACGATCAAATTACTCTGAGCTACTGGAGGACATTCAAACCAAAGGCAAAGAAGTTGAAAACTTTGAAAAAAATTTAGAAGAATGTATAACTAGAATAACCAATACAGAGAAGTGCTTAAAGGAGCTGATGGAGCTGAAAACCAAGGCTCGAGACCTACGTGAAGAATGCAGAAGCCTCAGGAGCCGATGCGATCAACTGGAAGAAAGGGTATCAGCAATGGAAGATGAAATGAATGAAATGAAGCGAGAAGGGAAGTTCAGAGAAAAAAGGATAAAAAGAAATGAACAAAGCCTCCAAGAAATATGGGACTATGTGAAAAGACCAAATCTACGTCTGATTGGTGTACCTGAAAGTGATGGGAGAATGGAATCAAGTTGGAAAACACTCTGCAGGATATTATCCAGGAGAACTTCCCCAATCTAGCAAGGCAGGCCAATATTCAGATTCAGGAAATACAGAGAACGCCACAAAGATACTCCTCGAGAAGAGCAACTCCAAGACACATAATTGTCAGATTCACCAAAGTTGAAATGAAGGAAAAAATGTTAAGGGCAGCCAGAGAGAAAGGTCGGGTTACCCACAAAGGGAAGCCCATCAGACTAACAGCGGATCTCTCGGCAGAAACCCTACAAGCCAGAAGAGAGTGGGGGCCAATATTCAACAAACTTAAAGAAAAGAATTTTCAACCCAGAATTCCATATCCAGCCAAACTAAGCTTCATAAGTGAAGGAGAAATAAAATACTTTACAGACAAGCAAATGATGAGAGATTTTGTCACCACCAGGCCTGCCTTACAAGAGCTCCTGAAGGAAGCACTAAACATGGAAAGGAACAACCGGTACCAGCCACTGCAAAATCATGCCAAAATGTAAAGACCATCGAGGCTAGGAAGAAACTGCATCAACTAATGAGCAAAATCACCAGCTAACATCATAATGACAGGATCAAATTCACACATAACAGTATTAACTTTAAATGTAAATGGACTAAATGCTCCAATTAAAAGACACAGACTGGCAAATTGGATAAAGTCAAGACCCATCAGTGTGCTGTAACTGAGGAAACCCAGCTAACGTGCAGAGACACACAAAGGCTCAAAAAAAGATAAACGGATGGACGAAGACCTACCAACAAAATGGAAAACAAAAAACGGCAGGGGTTGCAATCCTAGTCTCTAATAAAACAGACTTTAAACCAACAAAGATCAAAAGAGACAAAGAAGGCCATTACATAATGGTAAAGGGATCAATTCAACAAGAAGAGCTAACTATCCTAAATATATATGCACTCAATACAGGAGCACCAAGATTCATAAAGCAAGTCCTGAGTGACCTACAAAGAGACGTAGACTCCCACACATTACTAATGGGAGATTTTAACACCCCACTGTCAACATTAGACAGATCAACGAGACAGAAAGTCAACAAGGATACCCAGGAATTGAACTCAGCTCTGCACCAAGTGGACCCAATAGACATATACAGAACTCTCCACCCCAAATCAACAGAATATACATTTTTTTCAACACCACACTACACCTATTCCAAAATTGACCACATAGTTGGAAGTAAAGCTCTCCTCAGCAAATGTAAAAGAACAGAAATTATAACAAACTATCTCTCAAACCACAGTGCAATCAAACTAGAACTCAGGATTAAGAATCTCACTCAAAACCACTCAACTACATGGAAACTGAACAACCTGCTCCTGAATGACTACTGGGTACATAACGAAATGAAGACAGAAATAAAGATGTTCTTTGAAACCAATGAGAAAAAAGACACAACATACCAGAATCTCTGGGACGCATTCAAAGCAGTGTGTAGAGGGAAATTTATAGCACTAAATGCCCACAAGAGGAAGCAGGAAAGATCCAAAATTGACACCCTAACATCACAATTAAAAGAACTAGAAAAGCAAGAGCAAACACATTCAAAAGCTAGCAGAAGGCAAGAAATAACTAAAATCAGAGCAGAACTGAAGGAAATAGAGACACAAAAAACCCTTCAAAAAATTAATGAATCCAGGAGCTAGTTTTTTGAAAGGATCAACAAAATTGATAGACTGCTAGCAAGACTAATAAAGAAAAAAAGAGAGAAGAATGAAATAGACGCAATAAAAAATGATAAGGGGGATATCACCACCAATCCCACAGAAATACAAACTACCATCAGAGAATACTATAAACACCTCTACACAAATAAACTAGGAAATCTAGAAGAAATGGATAAATTCCTGGACACATACACTCTCTGAAGACTAAACCAGGAAGAAATTGAATCTCTGAATAGACCAATAACTGGCTCTGAAATTGTGGCAATAATCAATAGCGTACCAACCAAAAAGACTCCAGGACCAGAAGGATTCACAGCCGAATTCTACCAGTGGTACAAGGAGGAACTGGTACCATTCCTTCTGAAATTATTCCAATCAATAGAAAAAGAGGGAATCCTCCCTAACTCATTTTATGAGGCCAGCGTCATTCTGATACCAAAGCCAGGCAGAGACACAACCAAAAAAGAGAATTTTAGACCAATATCCTTGATGAACTTTGATGCAAAAATCCTCAATAAAATACTGGCAAAGCGAATCCAGCAGCACATCAAAAAGCTTATCCACCATGATAAAGTGGGCTTCATCCCTGGGATGCAAGGTTGGTTCAATATACGCAAATCAATAAATGTAATCCAGCATAAAAACAGAGCCAAAGACAAAAAACCACACGATTATCTCAATAGATGCAGAAAAAGCCTTTGACAAAATTCAACAACCCTTCATGCTAAAAACTCTCAATAAATTAGGTATTGATGGGACGTATTTCAAAATAATAAGAGCTATCTATGACAAACCCACAGCCAATATCATACTGAATGGGCAAACACTGGAAGCATTCCCTTTGAAAACTGGCACAAGACAGGGATGCCCTCTCTCACCACTCTTATTCAACATAGTGTTGGAAGTTCTGGCCAGGGCAATTAGGCAGGAGAAGGAAATAAAGGGTATTCAATTAGGAAAAGAGGAAGTCAAATTGTCCCTGTTTGCAGACGACATGATTGTATATCTAGAAAACCCCATTGTCTCAGCCCCAAATCTCCTTAAGCTGATAAGCAACTTCAGTAAAGTCTCAGGATACAAAATCAATATACAAAAATCACAAGTATTCTTATACAACAACAGACAAACAGAGAGCCAAATCATGAGTGAACTCCCATTCACAATTTCTTCAAAGAGAATAAAATACCTAGGAATCCAACTTACAAGGGACGTGAAGGAACTCTTCAAGGAGAACTACAAACCACTGCTCAAGAAAATAAAAGAGGATACAAACAAATGGAAGAACATTCCTTGCTCATGGGTAGGAAGAATCAATATTGTGAAAATGGCCATACTGCCCGAGGTAATTTATAGATTCAATGCCATCCCCATCAAGCTACCAATGCCTTTCTTCATAGAATTGGAAAAAACTACTTCAAAGTTCATATGGAACCAAAAAAGAGCCCGCATCGCCAAGTCAATCTTAAGCCAAAAGAACAAAGGTGGAGGCATCACACTACCTGACTTCAAACTATACTACAAGTCTACAGTAACCAAAACAGCATGGTACTGGTACCAAAACAGAGATATAGATCAATGGAACAGAACAGAGCCCTCAGAAATAACGCCACGTATCTACAACTATCTGTTCTTTGACAAACCTGAGAAAAACAAGCAATGGGGAAAGGATTCCCTATTTAATAAATGGTGCTGGGAAAACTGGCTAGCCATATGTAGAAAGCTGAAAGTGGATCCCTTCCTTACACCTTATACAAAAATCAATTCAAGATGGATTAAAGACTTAAATGTTAGACCTAAAACCATAAAAACCCTAGAAGAAAACCTAGGCTTTACCATTCAGGACATAGGCATGGGGAAGGACTTCATGTCTAAAACACCAAAAGCAATGGCAACAAAAGCCAAAATTGACAAATGGGATCTAATTAAACTAAAGAGCTTCTGCACAGCAAAAGAAACTACCATCAGAGTGAACAGGCAACCTACAAAATAGGAGAAAATTTTCACAACCCACTAATCTGACAAAGGGCTAATATCCAGAATCTACAATGAACTCAAACAAATTTACAAGAAAAAAACAAACAACCCCATCAAAAAGTGGGCAAAGGACATGAACAGACACTTCTCAAAAGAAGACATTTATGCAGTCAAATAACACATGAAAAAATGCTCACCATCACTGGCCATCAGAGAAATGCAAATCAAAACCACAATGAGATACCATCTCACACCAGTTAGAATGGCAATCATTAAAAAGTCAGGAAACAACAGATGCTGGAGAGGATGTGGAGAAATAGGAACACTTTTACACTGTTGGTGGGACTGTAAACTAGTTCAACCATTGTGGAAGTCAGTGTGGCGATTCCTCAGGGATCTAGAACTAGAAATACCATTTGACCCAGCCATTCCATTACTGGGTATATACCCAAAGGACTGTAAATCATGCTGCTCTAAAGACACATGCACACGTAGATTTATTGCGGCATTATTCACAATAGCAAAGACTTGGAACCAACCCAAATGTCCAACAGTGATAGACTGGATTAAGAAAATGTGGCACATATACACCATGGAATACTATGCAGCCATAGAAAATGATGAGTTCATGTCCTTTGTAGGGACATGGCTGAAATTGGAAATCATCATTCTCAGTAAACTATCGCAGGAACAAAAAACCAAACACCGCATATTCTCACTCATAGGTGGGAATTGAACAATGAGAACACATGGACACAGGAAGGGGAACATCACACTCTGGGGACTGTTGTGTGGTGGGGGGTGGCGGGAGGGATAGCAGTGGGAGATATACCTAATGTTAGATGACGAGTTAGTGGGTGCAGTGCACAAGTATGGCACATGTATACACATGTAACTAACCTGCACAATGTGCACATGTACCCTAAAACTTAAAGTATAATAATAAAAAAAAAGAAAGAAAGCAAACATCACAAAGTAGTTTCTGAGAATGCTTCTGTGTAGTTTCGTTGAGAAGATATTTCCTTTTACACCACAGGCCTCAAAGTGCTCCAAATGTCCTCTTGCAAATTCTACAAAAAGAGTGTTTCAAAACTGCTCTATCAAAAGAAAGCTTCAACTCTGTGATTTGAGTGCACACATCACAAAGAAGTTTCTGAGAATGCTTCTGTCTAGTTTTTATGTGAAGATATTTCCTTTTTCACCGCTGGCTTCAAAGCGCTCCAAATGCCCAACTGCAGATTCTACAAAAACAGTGTTTCAAAACTGCTCTATCAAAAGAACGCTTCAACCCTGCGAGTTGAATGCACACATCACAAAGAAGTTTCTGAGAATACTTCTGTCTAGCTTTGTGAATATATCCCGTTTCCAACGAAGGCCTCAAAGCGGTCCAAATATCCACTTGTAAATTCTACAAAAAGAGAGTTTCAAAGCTTCCCTATGAAAAGGAATGTTGAACTCTGTCTGTTGAAAGCAAACATCACAAAGAAGTTTCTGAGAATGCTTCTGTGTGGTTTCGTTGACAAGATATTTCCTTTTACACCACAGGCCTCAAAGTGCTCCCAATGTCCTCTTGCAGATTCTACAAAAAGAGTGTTTCAAAACTGCTCTATCAAAAGAAAGCTTCAACTCTGTGATTTGAGTGCACACATCACAAAGAAGTTTCTGAGAATGCTTCTGTCTAGTTTTTATGTGAAGATATTTCGTTTTTCACCATTGGCTTCAAAGCACTCCAAATGCCCACTTGCAGATTCTACAAAAACAGTGTTTCAAAACTGCTCCATCAAAAGAACGCTTCAACTCTGTGAGTTGAATGCACACATCACAAAGAAGTTTCTGAGAATACTTTTGTCTAGCTTTGTGAAGATATCCCGTTTCAAACAAAGGCCTCAAAGCGGTCCAAATATCCACTTGTAAATTCTACAAAAAGAGTGTTTCAAAACTGCTCTATGAAAAGGAATGATGAACTCCGTGTGTTGAAAGCAAACATAACAAAAAGTTGCTGAGAATGCTGTGTGGTTCTAGGGGAAAATATTTCCTTTTTCATCTAAGGTCTCAAAACGATCTAATTGCCCACTTGCAGATTGTACAAAAAGAGTGTTTCAAATCTGCTCTATCAAAAGAATGGTTCAACTCTGTGAGTTGAATGCACACATCACAAAGTGGTTTCTGAGAATTCTTCTGCCTAGTTTTTATGTGAAGATATTTCGTTTTTCATCAAAGGCCTCAAAGCGTTACAAATGTCCACTTGCAGATCGTACAAAAAGAGTTTTTCAAAACTGCTCTATCAAAAGAAAGGTTCAACTCTGTGAGTTGAATGCACACATCACAAAGAAGTTTGTGAGAATGCTTCTGTCCAGTTTTTGTGAAGATATCCAGTTTCCAACGAATGCCTCAAAGCGGTCCAAATATCCACTTGCAAGTTCTACAAAAAGAGTGTTTCCAAACTGCTCTATGAAAAGGAATGCTCAACTCTGTGAGTTGAAAGCAAGCATCACAAAGAAGTTACTGAGAATGCTTCTGTGTACTTTCGTTGTGAAGATATTTCCTTTTTCACCACAGGCCTCAAAGCGTTCCCAATGTCCTCTTGCAGATTCTACAAAAAGAGTGTTTCAAAACTGTGATTTGAGTGCACACATCACAAAGAAGTTTCTGAGAATGCTTCTCTCTAGTTTTTATGTGAAGATATTTCCTTCTTCACCATAGGCTTCAAAGCGCTCCAAATGCTCACTCGCAGATTCTACAAAAACAGTGTTTCAAAACTGCTCTATCAAAAGAACGCTTCAACTCTGTGAGTTGAATGCACACATAACAAAGTAGTTCCTGAGAATGCTTCTGTGTAGTTTTTGTGAAGATTTTCCGTTTCCAGCGAAGGCCTCAAAGCAGTCCAAATATCCACTTGCAAATAATAGAAAAAGAGTGTTTCAAAACTGCTCTATGAAAAGGCATGTTCAACTCTGTGAGTTGAAAGCAAACAAAGAAGTTTCTGGAATGCTTCTGTGTAGCTTTTTTGTGAAGATATTTCCTTTTTCGCCATAGGCCTTAAAACTCTCCCAATGTACACTTGCAGATTCTACAAAAAGGAGATTTCAAAACTGCTCTATCAAAGGAGAGGTTCAGCTCTGGGAGTTGAATGCACACATCACAAAGTAGTTTCTGAGAATGCTTCTGTGTAGTTTTTCTATAAAGATATTTCCTTTTTCATAATAGACCTCAAAGCGCTCCAAATGTCCAGGTGCAGATTCTACAAAAAGAGGGTTTGTAAACTGCTCTATCAAAGAGAGGTTCAACTGTAGGAGTTGAATGCATACATCACAGAAAAGTTCCTGAGAATGCTTCTGTGTTTTTTTAATATGAAGATATTTCCTTTTTCACCATAGGCCTCCAAACGCTCCAAATGCGCACTTGCAGATTCTACAAAAAGAGTGTTTCAAAATAGCTCTATCAAAAGAATGCTCCAACTCTGTGAGTTGAATGCACACATCACGAAGAAGTTCCTGAGAATGCTTCTGTCTAGTTTTTGTGAAGATATCCCTTTTCCAGCGAAGGCCTCAAAACGGTCCACATATCCACTTGCAAATTAAAAAGAGTGTTTGAAAACTGCTCTATGAAAAGGAAGGTTCAACTCTGTGAGCTGCAAATAAACATCACAAAGAAGTTTCTGAGAATGCTTCTGTCTAGTGTTTATGTGAAGATATTTCCTTTTTCACCATAGACTTCAAAGTGCTCCAAATGCCCACTTGCAGATTCTACAAAAACTGTTTCAAAACTGCACTATGAAAACAACGCTTCAACTCTGTGAGTTGAATGCACACATCACAAAGAAGTTTGTGAGAATGCTTCTGTCCAGTTTTTGTGAAGATATCCCACTTCCAACGAAGGCCTCAAAGCGGTCCAATATCCACTTGCAAATTCTACAAAAAGAGTGTTTCAAAGCTGCTCTATGAAAAGGAATATTCAACTCTGTGAGTTTAATGCAAACAACACAAAGAAGTTTCTGAGAATGCTTCTGTGTAGTTTTTAGGTGAAGATATTTCCTTTCTCACCATAGGCCTCAAAGCTCTCCAAATGTCCACTTGCAGATTCTACAAAATTGAGGTTTCAAAACTGCTCTATCAAAAGAGAGGTTCAACTCTGTGAGTTGAAAGCACTAAACACAAAGAAGTTTTTGAGAATGCTTCTGTGTAGTTTTTATGTGAAGATATTTCCTTTTTCACCGTAGGCCTCAAAGCGCTCCAAATGTCCACTTGCAGATTCTACAAAATGAGTGTTCCAAATATCCAGTTGCAAATTAAAAAGAATGTTTCAAAAGTGCGCTATGAAAAGGAATGTTCAACTCTGTGAGTTGAAAACAAACATCACAAAGAAGATTCTGAGAATGCTTCTGTGCACTTTTAATGTGAAGATAATTCCTTTTCCACCTCTGGCCTCAAAGCACTCCAAACGTCCACTTGCAGGTTCTACAAAAAGAGTGTTTCAAAACTGCTCTATCAAAAGAAAGGTTCAACTCCATGAGTTGAATGCACACATCACAAAGTGGTTTCTGAGAATGCTTCTGTCTAATTTTTTGTGAAGATATTTCCTTTTTCATCATAGGCCTCAAAGTGTTATAAATGACCACTTGCAGATCCTACAAAAAGAGTTTTTCAAAACTGCTTTACCGAAAGAAAGGTTCAACTATGTGAGTTGAATGCACACATCACAAAGAAGTTTGTGAGAATGCTTCTGTGTAGGTTTTATGTGAAGATATTTCCTTTTTCACCATAGGTCTCAAAGCGCTCCAAATGCCTACTTGCAGATACTACAAAAAGAATGTTTCAAAACTGCTCTTTCTAAAGAACGGATCAATTCTGTAAGTTGAATGCACACATCAGAAAGATGTTTCTGAGAATGCTTCTGTCCAGTTTTTGTGAAGATATCACGTTTCCAAGGATGGCCTCTAAGTCTTCCAAATATCCAATTGCAAATTATGCAAAAAGAGTGTTTCAAAACTGCTCTATCAAAAGAAATGTTCAACTCTGTTAGTTGAGAGTAATCATCACAAAGAAGTTTCTGAGAATGCTTCTGTGTAGTTTCATTGTGAAGATATTTCCACTTTCACCATAGGCCTCAAAGCGCTCCAAATGTCCACTTGCAGCTACTACAAAAAGAGTGTTTCAAAACCGCTCTATCAATAGAAAGGTTCAACTCGGTGAGTTGAATGCACACATCACAAAGAAGTTCCTGAGAATGCTTCTGTCTAGTTTTGGTGAAGATATCCCTTTTCCAACGAAAGCCTCAAAGCCGCCCAAATATCCACTTGCAAATTCTACAAAAAGAGTGTTTCAAAACTGCACTATCAAAAGAAAGCTTCAACTCTGTGATTTGAGTGCACACATCACAAAGAAGTTTCTGAGAATGCTTCTGTCTAGTTTTTATGTAAAAAAATTTCCTTTTTCACTGTAGGCTTCAAAGCGCTCCAAATGCCCACTTACAGACTCAACAAAAACAGTGTTTCAAAACTGCTGTATCAAAAGAACGCTTCAACTCTGTGAGTTGAATGCACACATCACAAAGAAGTTTCTGAGAATGCTTCTGTCTAGTTTTTGTGAAGATATCCCGTTTCCAACAAAGGCCTCAAAGCCTTCCAAATATCCACTTGCAAATTCCACAAAAAGAGTGTTTCAAAACTGCTCTATGAAAAGGAATGTTCTACTCCGTGAGTTAAAAGCCATCCTCACAAAGAAATTACTGAGAATGCTTCTGTGTAGTTTCGTTTTGAAGATATTTCTACTTTCACCGTAGGCTTCAAAGCACTCCAAATATCCATTTACAGAATCTATTAAAAGAAGGTTTCAAAACTGCTCTATCAAAAGAGAGTTTCAACTCTGTGAGTTGAATTCACACATCCTAAAGAAGTTTCTGGGAATGCTTCTGTGTAGTTTTTATATGAAGATATTTCCTTTTTCACCATTGGTCTCAAAGCCCTCCAAATGCCCACTTGCAGATTCAACAAAAAGAGTGTTTCAAAACTGCTCTTTCAAAAGAACGGTTCAATTCTGTGAGTTGAATGCACACATCAGAAAGAAGTTTCTGAGAATGCTTCTGTTCAGTTTTTGTGAAGATATCCCATTTCAAATGAAGGCCTCAATGCGGACCAAATATCCACTTGCAAAACCTACAAAAAGAGTGTTTCAAAACTGCTGTATGAAAAGGAATGTTCAACTCTGTGAGTTTAAAGCAAACAACACAAAGAAGTTTCTGGTAATGCTGGTTGTGAAGATATTTCCTTTTACACCACAGGCCTCAAAGCGCTCCAATGTCCACTTGCAGATTCTACAAATAGAGTGTTTCAAAACTGTTCTATCAAAAGGAAGCTTCAACTCTGTGATTTGAGTACACACATCACAAAGTAGTTTCTGAGAACGCTTCTATCAAGTTTTTATGTGAAGATATTTCCTTTTTCATCATAGGCTTCAAAGCCCTCCAAATGCCCACTTGCAGATTCTACAAAAACAGTGTTTCAAAACTGCTCTATCATAAGAACGCTTCAACTCTGTGAGTTGAATGCACACATCACAAAGAAGTTTCTGAGAATGCTTCTGTCTTGTTTTTGTGAATGTATCCCGTTTCCAACGAAGGCCTCAAAGCCTTCCAAATATCCACTTGCAAATTCTACAAAAGGAGTGTTTCAAAACTGCTCTATGAAAAGGAATGTTCAACTCTGTGATTTGAAAGCAAACTTCACAAAAATGTTTCTGAGAATGCTTCTGTGTACTTTCGTTGTGAAGATATTTCCTCTTTCACCATAGGCCTTCAAGCGCTCCAAATGTCCACTTGCAGGTTTTACAAAAGGAGTGTTTCAAAACTGCTCTATCAAAACAAAGCTTCAACTATGTGAGTTAAATGCACACATCACAAAGATTTTTCTGAGAATGCTTCTGTCCAGTTTTTGTGAAGATATCCCGTTTCAAATGAAGGACTCAAAGCGGTGCAAATATCCACTTGCAAATTCTACAAAAAGAGGGTTTCAAAACTGCTCTATGAAAAGCAATGTTCAACTCTGTGATTTGAAAGCAAACAACACAAAGAAGTTTCTGAGAATATTTCTGTGTAGTTTTTATGTGAAGATATTTCCTTTTTCAACATAGGCCTCAAAGATCTCCAAATGTCCACCTGCAGATTCCACAATAAGGAGGTTTCAAAACTGCCCTTTCAAAAGAGAGGTTCAACACTGTGAGTTGAATGCACACATCACAAAGAAGTTCCTGAGAATGCTTCTGTGTTGTTTTTATACGAAGATATTTCCTTTTTCTCTATAGGCCATTTGAAGCGCTTTGAGGCCTGTGGTGTAAAGGAAATATCTTCACATAAAAACTGCACAGAAGCATTCTCAGAAACTCCTTTGTGTTGTTTGCTTTCAACTCACAGAGTTGAACATTCCTTTTCATAGAGCAGTTTTGAAACACTTTTTTTTGTAGAATTTGCAAGTGGATATTTGGACCACTTTAAGGACTTCATTCGAAACGAGGTATCTTCACATAAAAACTAGACTGAAGTATTCTTACAAGTGTCTTTGTGATGTGTGCATTCAATTCACAGAGTTGAACCTTTCTTTTGATAGAGCAGTTTTGAAAGACTCCTTTGTAGAACCTGCCACTAGACATTAGGTGCGCTCTGAGGCCTATGGTGAAAAATGAAATGTCTTCATATAAAAACTACACGGAAGCATTCTCAGAAACTCCTTTGTGATGTGTGCATTCAACTCACAGAGTTGAACATCTCTTTTGATAGAGCAGTTTCGAAACCCTGTTTTTGTAGAATCTGTAAATGGATATTTTGAGGGTTTTGAGTCCTACGGTGAAAAAGGAAATATCTTCATATAAAAACTACACAGAAGCATTCTCAGAAACTTCTTTTTGTTGTTTGCTTTCAACTCAAAGAGGTGAACATTCTTTTTCATAGAGCAGTTTTGAAACACCTTTTTTGTAGAATTTGCAAGTGGATATTTCGACCGCTTTGTGGACTTTGTTCGAAGCGGGATATCTTCACATAAAAACTAGACAGAAGCATTCTCAGAATCTTCTTTGTGACGTGTGCATTCAACTCACAGAGTTGAACCTTTCTTTTGATAGAGCAGTTTTGAAACACACTTTTTGTAGTTCCTGCAAGTGGACAATTGGAACGCTTTGTGGCCTACGGTGAAAAAGGAAATATCTTCACATAAAAAGTACACAGAAGCATTCTCAGAAACCGCTTTGTGATGTGTGCATTCAACTCACAGACTTGAGCTTCTCTTTTGATAGAGCAGTTTTGAAACCCTCTTTTTGTAGAATCTGTAATTGGATATTTGGAGTGCCATGAGGCCTATGGTTAAAAGACAATATCTTCACATAAAAGCTACAGAGAAGCATTCTAAGAAACATTTTTGTGATGTTTGCTTTCAACTCATAGTGTTGAACATTCCTTTTCATAGAGTAGTTTTGAAACATTGTTTTTGTAGGGTTGGCAAGTGGATATTTGGACCGTTTTGAGGCCTTCTTTGGAAACGGTATATCTTCCCAAAAACTGGACAGAAGCATCCTCAGAATTTCCTTTGTGATATGTGCATTCAACTCACAGAGTTGAATATGTATTTGATAGAGCAGTGTTGAAAAACACTTTTTTTAGGCTCTGCAAGTGGACATTTGGAGCGCTTTGTTGCCTATGGTGAAAAAGGTAATATCTTCACGTAAAAACTACACAGAAGCATTATCAGAAACTTCTCTCTCATGTGTGCATTCATCTCACAGAGTTCAACATTCCTTTTCATAGAGTGGTTTCTAAACACTCTTTTTGTAGTATTTGCAAGTGGATATTTGGACTGCATTGAGGCCTTCATTGGAAACGGTATACCTTCACTTAAAAACTTTACAGAAGCATTCTCAGAAACTTCTTTGTGATGTGTGCATTTAACTCACTGAGTTGAACCTTTCTTTTGATAGAGCAGTTTTGAAACACTCTTTTTGCAGAATCTGCAATTGGATATTTGGAACACTTTGAGGTCTATGTTGAAAAAGGAAATATCTTCACATAAAAACTAGACAGAAGCATTCTCAGAAACTTCTTTGTGATGGGTGCATTCAACTCACAGAGTTGAAAATTTCTTTTGATACAGAAGTTTTGAAACACTCTTTTTGTAGAATTTGCAAGTGGATATTTGCAAAACTTTGAGGACTTCGTTGGAAACGGGCTATCTTCACATAAAAACTAGACAGAAGCATTCTCAGAAACTTCCTTCTGATGTGTGCATTCAACTCACAGAGTTGAAACATTCTTTTGATAGAGCAGTTTTGAAATACTCTTTTTGTAGAATCTGCAAGAGGACATTTGGAGTGCTTTGGGGTCTGTGGTGAAAAAGGAAATATTTTCATATAAAAGCTACACAGAAGAATTCTCAGAAACTTCTTTGTGATGTGTGCATTCAACTCAATGAGTTGATTCTTTCTTTTGATTGAGCAGTTTTGCAAAACTCTTTTTGCAGAATTTGAAAGTGGACATTTGGAACGCTTTGATGCCTATGGTGAAAAAGGAAATATCTACACATAAAAACTACGCAGAAGCATTCTTAGAAACTTCTTGGTGCTGTTTGCTTTCAACTCACAGAGTTCAACATTCCTTTTCATAGAGCAGTTTTGAAACACTCTATTTGTAGAATCTACTCGTGGACATTTGTAGGTCTTTGAGGCCCATGGTGAAAAAGGAACTATCTTGGCATAAAAACTACACAGAAGCATTCTCAGGAACTTCTTTGTGATGTGTGCATTCAACTCACAGAGTTGAACCTCTCTTTTGATAGAGCAGTTTTGAAACCCTCGTTTTGTAATATTTGTAAACGGATATTTGGGGATTTTTGAGTCCCATGGTGAAAAATGAAATATCTTCACATAAAAACTACACCGAAGCATTCTCAGAAACTTCTTTGTGTTGTTTGCTTTCAACTCACAGAGTTGAATAATCTTTTTCATAGAGCCGTTTTGAAACACCCTTTTTGTAGAATTTGCAAGTGGATATTTGGACTGCTTTGAGGACTTCGTTCAAAACGGTTTATCTTCACATAAAAACTAGACAGAAGCATTCTCAGAAACTTCTTTGTGATGTGCACATTCAACTCACATAGTTGAACCTTACTTTTGATAGAGCAGTTTTGAAACACTCTTTTTGTGGAATCTGCAAGTGGAAATTTGGAGCGTTTTGAGGCCTATGGTGAAAAAGGAAATATCTTCACTTAAAAACCAGAAGGAAGCATTCTCAGAAACTGCTTTGAGATGTGTGCATTCAACTCACAGAGTTGAAACTTTATTTTGATAGAGCAGTTTTGAAACACTCTTTTTATAGAATCTACAGGTGCATATTTGGACAGGTTTGAAGCCTTCGTTGGAAAAGGGATATCTTCACAGAAACTACACAGAAGCATTCTCATAAACTTCTTTGTGTTGTCTGCATTCAACTCATATAGTTGAATATTTCTTCTGATAGAGCAGTTTTGAAACTCTGCTTTTGTAGAACATGCCACTGGACATTAGGAGAGCTTTGAGTCCTATGGTGAAAAAGGAAATATCTTCACATAAAAGCTACACAGAAGCTTTCTCAGAAACTTCTTTGTGATGTGTGCATTTAACTCACGGAGCTGAACCTCTCTTTTGATAGAGCAGTTTTGAAACCCTGTTTTTGTAGAATCTGTAAATGGATATTTGGAGCACTTTAAGGCCTATGGGGAAAAATGAAATATCTTCTCATATAAACTACACAGAATGATTATGAGAAACTTCTCTGTGATGTGGGCATTCAAATCACAGAGTTGAACCTTTCTTTTGATAGAGCTGTTTTGAAACGCTCTTTTTGTAGAATCTGCATGTGGACATTTGGAGCGCTTTGAGGCCTACGGTGGAAAAGGAAATATCTTCACATAAAAACTACACAAAAGCATTTTCACAAACTGCTTTGCTATGTGTGCATTCAGCTCACAGAGGTGAACCTCTCTTTTGATAAAGCAGTTTTGAAAGCCTCTTTTTGTACAATCTGCAACAGGACATTTGGAGCGCTGTGAGGCCAATGGTGGAAAAGGAAATATCTTCACATAAAAACTACACAGAAGCATTCTCAGAAAGTTCTTTGTGTTGTTTGCTTTCAACTCACAGATATGAACATTCCTCTTCATAGAGCAGTTTTGAAACACTCTTTTTGTGGATTTTGCAAGTGGATATTAGGACCGATTTGAGGCCTTCATTAGAAAAGGGATATCTTCACAAAAACTAGACAGAAGCATTCTCAGAAACTTCTTTGTGATGTGTGCATTCAACTCACAGAGTTGAACCTTTCTTTTGATAACGCAATTTTGAAACACTCTTTTCATAGAACCTGTAAGTGGACATTTGAAGCTCTTTGGGGCCTATGGTGGAAAAGGAAATATCTTCACATAAAAACTAGACAGAAGCATTCTCAGAAACTTCTTTGTGATGTGTGCACTCCACTTACAGAGTTGAAACTTTCTTTTGATAGAGCAGTTTTGAAACACTCTTTTTGTAGAATCTACAAGTGGATATTTGGACCGGTTTGAGGTCTTCGTTGGAAAAGGGATATCTTCACAGAAACTAGACAGAAGCATTCTCAGGAACTTCTTTGTGATGTGTGCATTCTACTCACAGAGTTGAACATTACTTTTCATATAGCAGTTTCTAAACCCTCTTTTTGTAGAATTTGCATGTGGATATTTGAACCGCGTTGAGGCCTTCGTTGTAAACGGTATATCTTCAAATAAAAACTATAGAGAAGCATTGTCACAGACTTCTTTGTGATGTGTGTGTTCAACTCACCGGGTTGAACCTTTGTTTTGATAGAATGGTTTTGAAATACTATTTTTGGATAATCTCCAAGAGGATATTTAGAGCGCTTTGAGGACTATGGTGAAAAAGGAAATATATTCACATAGAAACTACTCAGAAGAATATCCCTAGAAACACCTTTGAGATGTATGCTTTGAAGTCACAGAGTTGAACCTTTCTTTTGATAGAGCAGTTTTAATACCCTCTTTTTGTAGAATCTGCAACTGGACATTTGTAGCGCTTTGAGGCCTACGGTGGAAAAGGAAATATCTTAACATAAAAAGTACACAAAAGCATTCTCAGAAACTTCTTTGTTATGTGTGTTTTCACCTCACAGAGTTGAACCTCTCTTTTGATAGATCAGTTTTGAAACTCTCTTTTTGAACAATCTGCAACTGGACATTTGGAGCGCTTTGAGGCCTATGGTGAAAAAGAAAATATCTTCACATAAATACTACACGGAAGCATTCTCAGAAACTTCTTTGTTTTGTTTGCTTTCAACTTACAGAGTTGAACATTCCTTTTCATAGAGCAGTTTTTAAACACTCTTTTTAAGGAATTTGCAAGTCAGTATTTGGAATGCTTTGAGGCCTTCTTTGGAAAAGGGATATCTTCACAAAAACTAGACAGAAGCATTCTCAGAAACTACTTTGTGTTCTGTGCATTCAACTCACAGAGTTGAACCTCTCTTTTGATGGAGCAGTTTTGAAACCCTCTTTTTGTAGAATCTGTAAATGGATATTAGGAGTGCTTTGAGGCCTATGGTGAAAAACGAAATATCTTCACATATATCTACACACAGTTTTGAAAAACTCTTTTTGTAGGATCTGCACATGGACATTTTTAACGCTTTGAGGACTATGATGAAAAATGAAATATCTTCACATAAAAAACACACAGAAGCATTCTCAGAAACTTCTTTGTGTTGTTTGCTTTCAACTCAGAGGATTCAACTTTCCTTTTCATAGAGCAGTATTGAAACACATTTTTTTGTAACTTGTAGGTGGATATTTGGACTGCTTTGAGGCTTTGAGGCCTAAGGTGAAAAAGGAAATATGTTAACATAAAATCTACACAGAAGCATTTTCTCAAACTTCTTTGCACTCAACTCACAGAGTTGAACTTTCTTTTGATAGAGCAGTTTTGAAACACTGGTTTTGTAGAATCTGCAGGTGGACATTTGGAGTGCTTTGAGGCCTGTGGTGAAAAAGGAAATATCTTTACAAAGAAACCACACAGAAGCATTCTCAGAAACTTCTTTGTGATGTTTGCTTTCAACTCACAGAGTTGAACATTCCTTTTCATAGAGCGGTTTTGAAACACTCTTTTTGTAGAATTTGCAAGTGGATATTTGGACTGCTTTGAGGCCTTCGTTGGAAAAGGGATATTTTCACAAAAACTGGACAGAAGCATTCTCAGAATCTTCTTTGTGATGTGTGCATTCAACTCGCAGAGTTGATGCTTCCTTTTGATAGAGCAGTTTTGAAAAACACTTTTTATAGTATCTGCAAGTGGACATTTGGAGCGCTTTCGGGCCTATGGTGAAAAAGGAAATATCTTCACATAAAAACAAGAGAGAAACGTTCACAGAAACTATTTTGTGATGTGTGCATTCAACTCAGAGAGTTGAACCTTTCTTTTGAGGAGCAGTTTTGAAACACTCTTTTTGTAGAATCTTCAAGTGGACATTTGGAGCGCTTTAATCCTATGGTCAAAAAGGAAATATCTACCCATAAAAACTAGAAAGAAACATTCTCAGAAACTTCTTTCTGATGTGTGCATTCAATTCACAGAGCTGAAACATTCTTTTGATAGAACAGTTTTGAAACACTCTTTTTGTAGAATCTGCAAGTGGACATTTGTAGAGTTTTGAGGCCTATGGTGAATAAGAAAATATCTTCACATAAAAACTACACAGAAGAATTATCAGAAACTTGTTTGTGTTGTTTGCCTTCAACTCACAGAGATGAACATTCCTTTTCATAGAGCAGTTTTGAAACACTCTTTTTGTAGAATTTGCAAGTGGTTATTTGGACAGCATTGAGGCCTTCATTGGAAACGGGATATCTTCACATAAAAACTAGACAGAAGCTTTCTCTGAAACTTCTTTTTGATGTGCGCATTCAACTCACAGAGTTGAACCTTTCTTTTGATAGAGCAGTTTCGAAACACTATTTTTGTAGAACCTGCCACTGGACATTAAGAGCGCTTTAAGGCCTGAGGTGAAAAAGGAGATATCTTCACATAAAAATTACAGAGAAGCATTCTCAGAAACTACTTTGTGATGTGTGCATTCAACTCATATAGTTGAACCCCCCTTTTAATAGAGAAGTTTAGAAACCCTCTTTTTGTAGAATCTGGAACTGGACATTTGGAACGCTTTGAGGCCTATGGTGAAAAAGGACATATCTTCATATAAAACTACACAGAAGCATTCTCAGAAACTTCTTTATGTTGTTTGTTTGCTTTCAACTCACAGAGTAGAACATTCCTTTTCCTAGAGCAGTTTTGAAACATTGTTTTTGTAGAATTTGCAAATGGATATTTGGACCACTTTCAGGCCATCGTTGGAAAGGGGATATGTTCACATAAAACCTAGACAGAAGCATTCTCAGAAACTTCTTTATGATGTGTGCTTTCAACTCACAGAGTTCAACATTTCTTTTTATAGAGCAGTTTTGAAACACTCTTTTTGTAGATCCTGCAAGTGGACATTTGGAGAGCTTTAAAGCCTATGGTGAAGAAGGAAATATCTTCAGATAAAAACTAGACAGAAGCATTCTCAGAATCGTCTTTGTGATGTGTGCACTCAACTCACAGAGTTGAAGCTTTTTTTTGATATAGCAGTTTTGAAAAACTCTTTTTGTAGAATCTGCAAGTGGACATTTGGAGAGCTTTGAGGCATGAGGTGAAAAAGGAAATATGTTTACATTAAAATTACACAGAAGCATGCTCAGAAATTTCTTTGTGATGTTTGCTTTCAACTCTCAGAGTTGAACATTCCTTTTCATAGAGCAGTTTTGAAACACTCTTTTTAATTTTAATTTGGATATTTGGACCACTTTGAGGCCTTCGCTGGAAATGGGATATCTTCAGAAAAACTAGACAGAAGTATTCTCAGGAACTACTTTGTGATGTGTGCATTCAACTCACAGAGTTGAACCGTTCTTTCAATAGAGCAGTTTTGAAAAACTCTTTTTGTAGGATCTGCAAGAGGACATTTGTAACGCTTTGAGGCCTAAGGTGAAAAAAGGAAATATCTTCATATAAAAACAACTTAGAAGCATTTTCAGGAACTTTCTTTAGATGTATGCATTCAACTCATAAAGTTGAACCTCTCTTTTGATAGAGCTGTTTTGAAACCCTCTTTTTGTAGAATCTGCAACTGGACATTTGGAGTGCTTTGAGGCTTATGGTGAAAAAGGAAATATCTTCACAAAGAAACTACACAGAAGAATTCTAAGAAACTTGTTAGTGTTGTTTGCCTTCAACTCACAGAGATGAACATTCCTTTTCATTGAGCAGTTTTGAAACACTCTTTTTCTAGAATTTGCAATTGGATATTTGGACAGCATTGAGGCCTTCATTGGAAACGGGATATCTTCACATAAAAACTAGAAAGAAGCATCCTCTGAAACTTCTTTTTGACGTGTGCATTCAACTCACAGAGTTGAACCTTTCTTTTGATAGAGCAGTTTCAAAACACTATTTTTGTAGAACCTGCCCCTGGACATTAGGAGCGCTTTGAGGCCTGTGGTGAAAAAGGAGATATCTTCACATAAAAACTACAGAGAAGCATTCTCAGAAACTACTTTGTGATGTGTGCATTCAACTCATATAGTTGAACCCCCCTTTTAATAGAGTAGTTTTGAAACCCTCTTTTTGTAGAATCTGAAACTGGACATTTGGAGCGCTTTGAGGCCTATGGTGAAAAAGGACATATCTTCACATAAAACTACAGAGAAGCATTATCAGAAACTTCTTTGTGATATGTGCATTCAACTCACAGAGTTGAACCATTCTTTTCATAGAGCAGTTTTGAGACAGTCTTTTTGTAGAATTTGCAAGTGGATATTTTGGCCGCTTAAATGCCTTCGTTGGAAACGGGCTATCTTCACATTATAACTAGACAGAAGCATTCTCAGAAACTTCTTTTTGATGTGTGCATTCAACTCACACAGCCGAACCTTTCTTTTGATACAGCAGTTTTGAAACACTCTTTTGTAGAATCTGCAAGAGGACATGTGGAATGCTTTGAAGCCTGTGGTGAAAAAGGAAATCTCTTCACATAAACACTAGACAGAAGCATTCTCAGAAACTTCTTAGTGACGTGTGCATTTAACTCACAGAGTTGAACCATTCTTTTCATAGAGCAGTTTTGAGACACTCTTTTTGTAGAGTTTGCAAGTGGATTTTTGGACCGCTTTGAGGCCTTTGTTGGAAACGTGATATCTTCATATAAAAACTAGACAGAAGCATTCTGAGAATCTTCTTTCTGATGTGTGCGTTCAACTGAGAGAGTTGAACCTTTCTTTTGATAGAGGAGCTTTGAAACACTCTTTTTGTAGAATCTGCAAGTGGACATTTGGAGCACTTTGTGGCCTTCGTTGGAAACGGTATAACTTCACATAAGAACTATACAGAAGCATTCTCAGAAACTTCTTTGTGATGTGTGCATTCAAATCACAGAGATGAACCTTTCTTTTGATAGAGCAGTTTGAAATACTCTTTCTGTAGAATCTGCAATTGGAGATTTGTAGCGCTTTGAGGCCTATGGTGGAAAAGGAAATATCTTCACATAAAATGTACACATAAGTACTCTCAGAAACTTCCTTTTGATGTGTGCGTTCAACTAACAGAGTTGAAAATTTCTTTTGATAGAGCAGTTTTGAAAAACACTTTTTGTAGAATCTGCAAGTGGACATTTAGAGTGCTTTGAGACCTGTGGTGGAAAAGGATATATGTTCACATATAAACTGCACAGAAGCATTCTCAGAAACTTCTTTGGGATGTTTACTTTCAACTCACAGAGTTGAACATGCCTTTTAATAGAGCAGTTTCGAAACACTCCTTTTGCAGAATTTGCAAGTAGATATTTGGACCGCTTTGAGGCCTTCTTTGGAAACGGTTATTTCTTCACATAAAAACTATACAAAATCATTCTCACAAACTTCTTTGTGATGTGTGCATTCAACTCACAGTGTTGAACATTTCTTTTGATAGAGCAGTTGTGAAACACTCTCTTTGGAGAATCTGCAAGTGGACAATTAGAGCGCTTCGAGGCCTATGGTGAAAAAGGGAATATATTCACATAATAACTACACTGAAGTATTCTCAGAAACTTCTTTGTTATGTGTGCATTGAACTCACAGAATTGAAACTTTCTTTTGATAGAGCAGATTTGAAACACTCTTTTTGTAGTATCTGCAATTGGACACTTGGAGCGTTTTGAGGCCAATGGTGTAAAAGGAAATATCTTCACATAAAAACTAGATGGAAGCATTGTCAGAAACCTCTTTGTGATGTTTGCTTTCAACTCACAGAGTTGAACATTCCTTTTCATAGAGCAGTTTTGAAACACTCTTTTGTAGAATTTGCAAGCGGATGATTGGATCGCTATGAGGTCTTCATTGGAAACGGGATACCTTTACATAAAAACTAGACAGTAGCATTCTCAGAAATTTCTTTGGGATGTGGGCATTCAACCCACAGAGGAGAACTTCATTTGATAGAGCAGTTTTGAAACACCCTTTTTGTAGAATCTACAGGTGGACATTTAGAGTGCTTTGAGGCCTGTGGTGAAAAAGGAAATATCTTCACTTAAAAACTAGACAGAAGCATTCTCAGAAACTTCTTTGTGATGGGTTCATTCAACTCACAGAGTTGAACCTTTCTTTTGATAGAGCAGTTTTGAAACACTCTTTCTGTAGAATTTACAAATGGATATTCAGACGGCTTTGAGGCCTTCATTGGAAAGGGGATGTCTTCACATAAAAACAAAACAGAAGCATTCTCAGAAGCTTCGTTGTGATGTGTGCATTCACCTCACAGAGTTGAACCTTTCTTTTGATAGAGCAGTTTTGAAACACTCTTTCTGTAGAATATGAAAGTGGACATTGGGGGCACTTTGAGGCCTGTGGTGAAAAAGGTTATATCTTCCCGTAAAAACTACACAGAAGTCTTCTCAGAAACCTCTTCATGGTGTATGCTTTCAACTCACAGAGTTGAACATTACTTTTCATAGAGAAGTTTAGAAACACTCTTTTTGTACAAATTGCAAGTTGATATTTGGACCACTTTGATGCCCTCGTTGGATATGGGATATCTTCACATTAAAACTAGACAAAAGCATTCTCAGAAACTACTTTGTGATGTGTGCATTGAACTCACAGTGTTGCACCTTTCTTTTGATAGAGCAGTTCTGAAACTCTCTTTTTGCATAATCTGCAAGGGGACATTTTGTTCGCTTTGAGGCCTATGGTGAAAAGGAAATAACTTCACATAAAGAATTCACAGAAGCATTCTCAGAAACTTCTCTGTGATGTGCACATTCAACTCACAGAGTTGAACCTTTCTTTAGATAGAGTAGTTTTGAAACGTTCTTTTTGTAGAATCTGCAATTGGACATTTGGAGCGGTTTGAGGCCTATGGTGAAAAAGGAAATATCTTCACATAAAAACTAGACAGAAGCATTCTCAGAAACTTCTTTGTGATGTGTGCATTTAACTCACAGAGTTGAACCATTCTTTTCATAGAGGAGTTGTGAGACACTCTTTTTGTAGAATTTGCAATGGATATTTTGACCTCTTAGAGGCCTTCGTTGGAAACGGGCTATCTTCACATTAAAACTAGACAGAAGCATTCTCAGAAACTTTCTTTGTGATTTGTGCATTCAACTCACAGAGATGAACCTTTCTTTTGATAGAGCACTTTTGAAGCACACTTTTTGAAGGACCTGCAAGTGGACATTTGGCATGCTTAGAGGCTTATGGTGAAAAAGGAAATATCTTCACATAAAATCTACACAGAAGTATTCTCAGAAACTTCTTTGTGATGTGTGCATTCAATTCACAGTGTTGAACATTTCTTTTCATAGGGCAGTTTTGAAACACTCTTTTTGTAGAATTTGCAAGTGGATATTTGGACCGCTTTGAGGCCTTCATTGGAAACGGTATATCTTCACATAAAAACTAGACAGAAGCATTCTCAGAATCCTCTTTGTGATGTGTGCATTGAACTGTAAGAGTTGAACCTTATTTTTGATGGAGCAGTTGTGAAACACTCTTTTTGTAGAATCTGCAAGTGGACATTTGAAGTGCTTTGCGGCCTATGGTGAAAAAGGAGATATATCTTCACATAAAAAATACAAAGAAGCATTCTCAGAAACTTCTTTGTGATGTTTGCATTCAACTCACAGAGTTGGAACTTTCTTCTGATAGACCAGTTTTGAAACACTCTTTTTGTGGAATCTGCAATTGGACATTTGGAAAGCTTTGAGGCCTATAGTGAAAAAGGAAATATCTTCACATAGAAACTACACAGAAGCATTCTTAGAAACTTCTTTGTGATGTGTGCATTCAACTCACGCATTTGAAAATGCCTTTACATAGAGCAGTTTTTAAACATTCTTTTTGTAGAATTTGCAAGTCGATATTTGGACCGCTTTGAGGCCTTCATTGGAAGCGGTATGTCTTCACATGAAAACAATACAGAAGCATTCTCAGAAACTTCTTTTTGATGTGTGCATTCTACTCACAGCGTTGAACCTTTCTTTTGATAGAGCAGTTTTGAAGCAGTCTTTTTGTAGAATATACAAGAGGACATTTGAAGCACTTTGAGGCCTGTGGTGAAAAAGGAAATATCTTCACATAAAATTTACACAGAAGTATTCTCAGAAACTGCTTTGTGATGTGTGCATTCAAATCACAGAGTTGAACCTTTTTTTGATACAGCAGTTTTGAAACAATCTTTTTGATGAATCTGCAAGTGGACATTTGGAGCGCTTTGAGGCCTATGGTGAAAAGGGAAATATCTTCACATAAAGACTACACAGAATCCTTCTGAGAAACTTCTTGGTGATGTTTACTTTCAACTCACAGAGTTGAACATTCCTATTCATACAGCAGTTTTGAAACACTCTTTTTGGAGAATTTGTATGTTGATATTTGGACCGATTTGAGGCCTTCTTTGGAAACGGGATATCTTCACACTAAAGCCAGATAGAAGCATTCTCAGAAACTTCTTCGAGATGTGTGCATTCAAGCCACAGAGGTGAACCTTTCTGTTGATAGAGCAGATTTGAAACACTCTTTTTGTAGTATCTGCAAGTCGACATTTAGAGCTCTTTGAGTCCTATGGTGAAAAAGGAAATATCTTCACATAAAAACTACAGAGAAGCATTCCCAGAAACTTCTTGGTGATGTTTGCTTTCACGTCACAGAGTTGAACATTCCTTTTCATCGAGCAGTTTTGAAAGAATCTTTTTGTTGAATCTGCAAGTGGACATTTGCAGCGCTTTGAGGCCTATGGTGAAAAAGGAAATATCTTCACATAAAAAATTCACAGAAGCATTCTCAGAAACTGCTTTTTCATGTGTGCATTCAACTCACCGAGTTGAACATTCCTTTTCATAGAGCAGTTTTGAAACACTCTTTTCATAGAATTTGCAAGTCGATATTTGGACGGCTTTGAGGCCTTCATTGGAAACGGTATATCTTCACATAAAAAGTACACAGAGGCATTCTCAGACACTTCTTTGTGATGTGTGCATTCAACTCACAGAGTTGAACCTTTCTTTCAATAGAGCAGTTTTGAAAGACTCTTTTGGTAGAATCTGCAAGTGGACATTTGGAGAGCTTTGTGGCCTATGGTGAAAATGAAACATCTTCACATAAAAACTACACAGAAGCATTCTCAGAAACTTCTTTGTGATGTGTGCATTCAACTCACAGAGTTGAACCATTCTTTTGATAGAGCAGTTTTGAGAAACTTTTTTGTAGAATTTGAAAGTGGATATTTTGGCCGCTTAGAGGTCTTCGTTGGAAACGGGCTATGTTCACATTAAAGCTAGACAGAAGCATTCTCAGAAACTTCTTTGTGATGTGTGCATTCAACTCACACAGCTGAATATTTCTTTTGATAGACCAGTTTTGAAACACTCTTATTGTAGAATCTGCAAGAGGACATTTGGAACGCTTTGAGGCCTGTGGCGAAAAAGGAAATATCTTAACATAAACACTAGACAGAAGCATTCTCAGAAACTTGTTTGTGATGTGTGCATTCAACTCAAAGAGTTTAACCATTATTTTCATAGAGCAGTTTTGAGACACTCTTTTTGTACAGTTTACAAGTGGATATTTGGACCGCTTTGAGGCCTTCATTAGAAAGGTGATATCTTCATATAAAAACTAGACAGAAGCATTCTGATGAACTTCTTTGTGATGTGTGCATTCAACTGAGAGAGTTGAACCTTTCTTTTGATAGAGCAGTTTTGAAACACTCTTTTTGTAGAATCTGCAAGTGGACATTTGGAGCACTTTGTGGCCTTAGTTGCAAACGGTATTTCTTTGCATAAAAACTACACAGAAGCATTCTCAGAAACTTCTTTGTGATGTGTGCATTCAAATCACAGAGTTGAACATTTATTTTGATAGTGCAGTTTCGAAACACTCTTTTTGTAGAATCTGCAAGTGGAGATTTGCAGCGCTTTGTGGCTTATGGTGAAAAAGGAAATATCTTCACATAAAATGTACACAGAAGTATTCTCAGGAACTTCTTTTTGATGTGTGCATTCAAGTGACAATGTTGAAACTTTCATTTGATAGAGCAGTTTTGAAACACTCCTTTTGTAGAATCTGCAAGTGGACATTTGGAGTGCTTTGAGGCCTTCGTTGGAAATGAGATATCTTTACATAAAAACTAGACAGTAGCATTCTCAGAAACTTCTTTGTGATGTGTGCATTCAACCCACCGAGGTGAAACTTTTTATAGAGCAGTTTTGAAACACTCTTTTTGTAGAATCTACAATTGGACATTTGGAGCGCTTTGTGGCCTATGGAGAAAAAGGAAATATCTTCACTTAAAAACTAGACAGAAGCATTCTCATAAACTTCTTTGTGATGGGTGCAATCAACTCACGGAGTTGAACCTTTCTTTTGATAGAGGAGTTTTAAAACACTCTTTTTGTGGAATCTGCAAGTTGACATTTGGAGCTCTTTGAGTCCTATGGTGAAAAAGGAAATATCTTCACATAAAAACTACACAGAAGCCTTCTCAGAATCTTCTTTGTGATGTTTGCTTTCAACTCACAGAGTTGAACACTACTTTTCATAGAGCAGTATTGAATCACTCTTTTTGTTGAATTTGCATGTGGATATTTGGACCACTTTGTATCATTCATTGGAAATGAGATATCTTCACATAAAAACAAGACAGAAGAATTCTCAGAAACTTCCTCGTGATGTTTGCTTTGAACTCACAGAATTGAACATTCCTTTTCATAGAGCAGTTCTGAAACACTCTTTTTGTACAATTTGAATGTGGAAATTTGGACCGCATTGAGGCATTCATTGGAAAAAGGATATCTTCACTAAAACTGGATAGAATTATTCTCAGAAACATCTTTGTGATGTGTGCATTCAACTCACAGAGTTGAACCTTTCTTTTGATAGAGCTGTTTTGAAACACTCTTTTTGTAGAATCTGCAAGAGGACATATAGAACGCTTTGAGGCCTGTGGTGAAAAAGGAAATATATTGACATTAAAACTAGACAGAAGCATTCTCAGAAACCTATTTGTGATGTGTACATTCAACTCACAAATTTGAACCTTTCTTTTGAAAGAGAATAGTTGAAACACTCCTTTTGTACAATCTGGAAATGGACATTTATAGCGATTTGAGGTCTGTGTTGAAAAAGGAAACATCTTCACATAAGAACTATACAGAAGCATTCTCAGAAACTTCTTTGTGATGTTTGCTTTCAAATCACAGAGTTGAACATTTCTTTTCATAGAGCTGTTTTGAAACACTCTTTTTGTAGAATTTACAAGTGGATATTTGGAACTCTTTGAAGCCTTCATTGGAAACGGGATATCTTCACAAAAACCAAACAGAAGAATTCTCAGAAACTTCTTTGTGATTTGTGCATTCAATGCAAAAAGTTGAACCGTTCTTTTCATAGAGCAGTTTGGAAACACTATTTTAGTAGAATCTGCAAGTGAGCATTTGCAGTACTTTGAGGCCTATGGTGAAAAAGGAAATACCTTCATATAAAAACAACACAGAAGCATTCTCAGGACCCTGTTTTTGTAGAATTTGTAAATGGATATTTGGATCGCTTTGAGACCTATGGTGAAAAAGTAAATATCTTCACATAAAAACTACACAGAAGCATTCTCAGAAACTTCTATGTGATGTGTGCATTCATCTCACAGAGTTGAACCATTTTTTTGATAGAGCAGTTTTGAAACACTCTTTTTGTAGAATCTGCAAGTGGACATTTGGAGCGATTTGGGTCCTGTGGTAAAAAAGGAAATATCTTCACATTAAAACAACGCAGAAGCATTCTCAGAAACTTCTTTGTGGTGTTTGCTTTCAATTCACAGATTTGAACATTCCTTCTCATAGAGCAGATTTGAAGCACTCTTTTGTAGAATTTGCAAGGGGATATTTCAACTGCTTTGAGGCCTTCGTTGGAAATGGGATATCTTCACAAACACTAGACAGAAGCATTCTCAGGAACGTCTTTGTGATGTGTGCGTTCAACTCACAGAATTCAACTGATATTTTGATAGAGCAGTTTTGAAACAATCTTTGGAGAATCTGCAAGTGGGCATTTGGAGCGCTTTGAGGCCTACGGTGAAAAAGGAAATATCTTCATATAAAAACAACACAGAAGCATTCTCAGGAACCACTTTGTGATGTATGCATTCAAATCATATATTTGAACCTCTCTTTTGATAGAGCAGTTTTGAAACCCTTTTTTTGTAGAATCTGAAACTGGACATTTGGAGCACTTTGACGCCTACGGTAAAAAAGGAAATATCTTCACATAAAAACAACACAGAAGCATTCTCAGAAATTTCTCTGTGATGTCTGCATTCAACTCACAGAGTTGAACCTTTCCTTTGATAGATCGGTTTTGAAACACTATTTTGTAGAACCTGCCGCTGGACATTAGGAGCCCTTTGCGTCCTACAGTGAAAAAGGAAATATCTTCACATAAAAACTACACAGAAGCATTCTCAGAAACCTCTTCTTGATGTTTGCATTCAACTTACAGAGTTGAACCTTTCTTTTGGTAGAGCAGTTTTGAAAAAATCTTTTTGTAGGATCTGCAAGTGGACATTTGTAACGTTTTGAGGCCTATGATGAAAAAGGAAATATCTTCACATAAAAACTAGACAGAAGCATTCTCAGAAACCTCTTTGTGATCTGTGCTTTCAATTCACAGAGTTGAACCATTCTATTGATAGAGGAGATTTGAAACACTTTTTTTGTACAATCTGCAAGTGGACATTTGGAGAGCTTTGAGGCCTGTGGTGAAAAAGGATATGTCTTCACATATGAACTATACAGAAGAAGTCTCAGAAACTTCTTTGTGATGTTTGCTTTCAACAGACAGAGTTCAACATTCCTTTTCATAGAACAGTTTTGAAACAGTCTTTTTGTAGTATTTACAACTGTATATTTGAACCACTTTGAGGTCTTCGTTGGAAACGGGATATCTGCAGAAAAATTAGACAGAAGCATTCTCACAAACTCCTTTGTGATGTGTGCATTCAAGTCACAGATTTGAACCATTCTTTTGATAGAGCAATTTTCAAACACTGTTTTTGTAGAATCTGCTGGTGGGCATTTGGAGCGCTTTGAAGCCTATGGTGAAAAAGGAAATATCTTCACATAAAAACTATACAGAAGCATTCTCAGAAACTTCTTTGTGATGTGTGCACTCAACTCACAGAGTTGAAGATTTCTTTCGACAGAGCAGTTTTGAAACACTCTTTTTGTATAATCCGCAAGTGGATATTGGTAGCGCTTTGAGGCCTGTGGTGAAAAAGGAAATATCTTCACAACGAAACTACACAGAAGCATTCTCAGAAACTTATTTGTAATGTTTGCTTTCAACTCACAGAGTTGAACATTCCTTTTCATAGAGCAGTTTTGAAACACTGTTTTTGTAGAATTTGCATGTGGATATTTGGAAGGCTTTGAGGCCTTTGCTGGAAAAGGGATATCTTCACAGAAACTCGACAGAAGCATTCTCAGAAACTTCTTTCTGATGTGTGCCTTCAACTCACAGAATTGAACTATTCTTTTGAAAGAGCAGTTTTGAAACCCTCTTTTTGCAGAATCTGCAAGTGGACATTTGTAGCACTTTGATGCCAATGGTGAAATATTAAATATCTTCACATAAAAATTAGAAGCATTCTCAGAAACCACTTTGTGATGTGTGCATTCAACGCACAGAGTTGAAACTCTCTTTTGATAGAGCAGTTTTGAAACCTCCTTTTTGTAGAATCTGCAAGTGGACATTTGGAAAGCTTTGAGGCCTGTGGTGAAAAAGGAAATATCTTCACATAAAAACTACACAGAACCATTCTCAGAAACTTCTTTGTGTTATTTGCTTTGAACTCACAGAGTTGAACATTCCTTTTCATAGAGCAGTTTTGAAACACTCTTTTTGTAGAATTTGCAAGTGGATATTTGTACCACTTTGAGGCTTTGAGGCCAAAGGTGAAAAAGGATAAACCTTCACATAAAGTCTATACAGAAACATTCTCAGAAACTTCTTTGTGATGTGTGCACTCAACTCACAGAGTTGAAACTTCTTTTGATTGAGCAGTTTTGAAACACTCTTTTTGTAGAATCTACAAGTGGATATTTGGAGCGCTTTGAGGCCTGTGGTGAAAAAGGGAATGTCTTCACAAAGAAACTACACAGAAGCATTCTAAGAAACATCTTTTTGATGTTTGCTTTCAAGTCACAGAGTTGAACATTCCTTTTCATAGGGCAGTTTTGAGACACTCTTTTTACAGTATTTGCCAGTGGATCTTCGGTCCGCATTGAGGACTTCTTTGGAAACGGGATATTTTCACAAAAACTGGACCGAAGCATTCTCAGAACCTTCTGTGGGATGTGTGCATTCAACTCACAGATTTGAGCCTCTCTTTTGATAGAGCAGTTTTGAAATCCTCTTTTTGTAGGATCTGTAAAGGGATATCTGGAGCGCTTTGAGGCTTATGATGAAAAAGGAAATATCTTCACATAAAAACTACACAGAAGCATTCTCAGAAACTACTTTGTGTGGTTTGCTTTCAACTCACAGAGTTGAACATTCCTTTTCACAGAGCAGTTTTGAAAAACTATTTTTGAATTACCTGCCATTGGACATTTGGAGCGCTTTGAGGCCCATGGTGAAAAAGGAAATATATTCACAACGAAACTACACGGAAGCATTCTCAGAAACTTCTTTGTGATGTTTGCTTTCACCTCACAGAGTTGAACATTCCTTTTCATAGAGCAGTTTTGAAACACTATTTTTAATTTGAAAGTGGATATTTGGACCTCTTTGAGGCCTTCGCTGGAAACGGGATATCTTCACAAAAACTGGACAGAAGCATTCTCAGGAACTTCTTTTTGATGTGTGCAATCAACTCACCGAGTTTAACCTTTCTTTTGATAGTTCAGTTTTGAAACAGTCTTTTTGTAGAATCTGCAAGTGGGCATATGGAGCGCTTTGATGCCTATGGTGAAAAAGGAAATATCTTCACATAAAAACTAGACAGAATCATTCTCTGAAACTTCTTTGTGATGTGTGTTCTCAACTCACGGAGTTGAACCTTTCTTTTGATAGAGCAGTTTTGAAACACTTTTTTTAGAATCTGCAAGTGGATATTTGGAGAGCTTTGAGGTCTGTGGTGAAAAAGGAAATATCTTCACAACGAATCTACACAGAAGCATTCTCAGAAACTTCTTTGTGATGTTTGATTTCAACTCACAGAACTGAACATTCCTTTTCATAGAGCAGTTCTGAAACATTCTTTTTGTACAATTTGAAAGGGGTAATTTGGACCGCTTTGAGGTCTTCGTTGGAAAAGGGATATCTTCACAAAAACTGGACAGAAGAATTCTCAGAAACTACTTTGTGATGTGTGAATTCAACTCCCAGAGTTGAACCTTTCTTTCGATGTCGCAGTTTTGAAAAACCCTTTTTGTAGAATCTGCTTGTGGATATTTGGAGCGCTTTGTTGCCTATTGTGGAAAAGGAAATATCTTCACATAAAAACTACACAGAATAATTCTCAGAAACTTCTTTGTTATGTGTGCATTCAACTCACAGAGTTGAACCCATATTTGATTGAGCAGTTTTGAAACTCTCTTTTTGTGGAATCTGCAAGTGGATATTTGGAGCACTTTGCTGCCTGTGGTGGAAAAGGAATATCTTCACATAAAAACTACACAGAAGTATTCTGAGAAACTTCTTTGCAATGTGCTCTTTCAACTCATAGAATTGAACCTTTGTTTTGATTGAGCAGTTTTGAAACACTGCTTTTTAGCATCTGCAGGTGGATATTTGGAGCGCTTTGGGGCCAATCGTGGAAAAGGAAATACCTTCACTTAAAAACTGCACAGATGCATTCTGAGAAACTTCTCTGTGTTGTGTGCATTCTATTTACAGAGTTGAACTATTCTTTTGACTGAGCAGTTTGGAAACAGTGTTTTTGTAGTATCTGCAAATGGATATTTGGAGACATTTGAGGCCTACGGTGGAAAAGGAAATATCTTCACATAAAAATTAGACAGAAAAATTCTAGAAACTTCTTTGTAATGTATGCATTGAACTCACAGAGTTGAACCTTTCTTTTTATTGAGTAGTTTTTAAACACTCTTTTTTTTGGAAACTGCAGAAGGATATTTAGAGTGCTTTGCAGACTATAGTGGAAAAGGAAATATCTTTACATAAAAACTAGACTGAAGCAATCTGAGAAACTTCTTTGTTATCTGTGCATTCATCTCACAGAGGTGAACCTTTCTTTTGATTGAACCATTTTGAAACACTCTTTTTGTGGAATCTGCAAGTGGATATTTGGAGCACTTTGAGGCCTACAGTGGAAAAGGAAGTATTTTCACATAAAAACTAGCAGAAGAATTCTGAGAAACTGCTTTGTGATGTGTGCATTCAACTCACAGAGTTGAACTTTCTTTGGATTGAGCAGCTTCGAAACACTCTTCTTGAGGAATTTGCAAGTGTATATTTGGAGCACTTTGCGGCCTCTACAGGAAAAAGGAATATCTTCACATAAAAACTAGACAGAAGCATTCTGAGAAACTTCTTTGTGAAGTGTACATTCATCTCACAGAGTTGAAACTTTCTTTTCGTTGAGCAGTTTTGAAAAACTCTTTCGTAGAATCTGCAATTGGATATTTGGAGTGCTTTGAGGCCTATGGTGGAAAAGGAAATATCTTCACCTAAAAGCTATGCAGAAGCATTCTGAGAAACATCTTTGTGATGTGTGCATTCATCTCTCAGAATTGAACCTCTCTTTTCAATGAGCAGTTTGGAAACACACTTTTTGTAGTAACTGCAAGTGGATATTTCGAGTAATTTGTGGCCTCTGGTGGAAAAGAAAATATCTTCAAATAAAAACTAGACAGAAGCATTCTGAGAAACTGCTTTGTGCTGTGTGCATTCATTTCACAGGTTTGAAACTTTCTTTTGATTGAGCAGTTTTGAAACACACTTTTTGTAGAATCTGCAAGTGGATATTTGTAGTGATTTGAGGCCTACGGTGGAAAAGGAAATTTCTTCACAAAAAAACGACACAGAAGCATTCTGAGAAACTACTTCGTGAAGTTTACATTCTACTCACAGAGTTGAAGTTTCTTTTGATTGCACAGTTTGAAACACTCTTTGTAGAATCTGTAAGTGGATATTTGGTGAGCTTTGCGTCCTCTAGTGGAAAAGGAAATATCTTCACATAAAAACTAGACAGAAGCATTCTCAGAAACTTCTTTGTGATGTGTGCACACATCTCACAGAGTTGAACATTTCTTTTGATTGAGCTGTTTGGAAACATTCCTTTTGAAGAATCTGCAAGTGCATATTTGGAGCAATTTGATTCCTATGGCAGAAAAGGAAATATCCTCACATAAAAACTACACAGAATCATTCTGAGAAACTTCTTTGTGATCTGTGCATTCAGCTCACGTAGCTGAACCTTTCTAATGATTGAGCAGCTTGGAAACTGTGTTTTTGTGGTATCTGCAAATGGATATTTGGAGAGGTTTGAGGCCTATCGTGGAAAATGAAGCATCTTCACATAAAAATTTTACAGAAGAATTCTAAGAAACTTCTTTGTGATGTGTGCACTCAACTCACAAAGTTTAACAACTTTCTTTTGATTGAGCAGTTTTGAAACACACTTTTTGTAGAATCTGCAAATGAATATTTGGAGAGCTTTGAGGCCTAAGGTGGAACAGGAAATATATTGACATAAAAACTACACAGAAGCATTCTGAGAAACTTCTATGTGATGTGTGCGTTCATCTCACAGAGTTGAATATTTGTTTCGATTCAGCAGTTTTGACATACTCTTTTTGTAGAATCTGAAAGTGGATATTTAGAGCGCATTCTGGCCTATGGTGGAAAAGGAAATACTACACAGAAGCATTCTGAGAAACTTCGTTTTGAACTATACATTCAACTCACAGAGTTGAAATTTTCTTTTGATTGAGCAGTTTTGAAACACTCTTTTTGTAGAATTTGCAAGTGGATATTTGGAGAGATTTGTGGCCTAGAGTGGAAAAAGAAATATCTTCATATAAAAACTAGACAGAAGAATTGTGACAAATTTCTTTGTGATATGCGCGTTAACCTCACAGAGTTGAAATTTTCTTCTCATTGAGCAGTTTGAAACACTTTTTGTAGAATCTGCAAGTGGATATTTGGTGCACTTTGCAGCCTTTGGTGGAAAAGGAAATATCTTCTCATAAAAACTACACAGAAGCACTTGGAGGAACTTCTTTGTGATTTGTGTGTTCTTCTCACAGAGTTAATCCTTTCTTTTCATTGAGCAGTTTTGAAACACTCTTTTTGAAGAATCTGCAAGTGGAAACTTGGAGCGCTTTGAGGCCTATTGTGGAAAAGATAATATCTTCACATAAAAACTACACAGAAGCATTCCGAGAAACTTCTTTTTGATATTTCCACTAAACTCACAGAGTTTAATCTTTCTTTTGATTGAGCAGTTTGGAAACAGTCTTTTCAAAGTATCTGAAAGTGGATATTTTGAGAGGTTTGAGGCCAATGGTGGAAAAGGAAATATCTTCACATAGAAACTAGAAAGAAGCATTTTGAGAAACTTCTTCTTGATGTGTGCATTCATCTCTCAGAGTTGAACCTTTCTTTTCATTGAGCAGATTTGAAATACTCTTTTTATAGAATCTGCAAGAGTTTAGTTGAAGCGCTTTGAGGCTTGTAGTGGAAAAGGAATTATCTTCACATACAAATTACACAGAATCATTCTGAGAAACTTCTTTGTGATGTCTGCATTCATCTCACAAAGTTGAAGCTTTCTTTTGTTTGAGCAGTTTTGAAAAACTCTTTTTGAAGAATATGCAAGTGGTTATTTGAGCTCTTTGAGGTCTATTTTGGAAAAGGAAATATCTTCACATAAAAACTACACAGAAGCATTCTGAGAAACCTCTTTGGGATGTGTGCACTCATCTCACGGAGTTGAACCTATCTTTTCAATGAGCAGTTTTGAAACTCTCTTTTTTTTAGAATCTACAAGTGGATATTTGGAGCCCTTTGCGGCCTTTGGTGGAAAAGGAAATATCTTCACATAAAAACTAAACAGCAGCATAGTGAGAAACTTCTTTGTGATGTGTGCATTCATCTCACAGATTTGAAGCTTTCTTTTGATCGAGCAGTTTTGAAACACTCTTTTTGTGGAATCTGAAAGTGGATATTTGGGAGCTTTGAGTCCTACTGTGGAAAAGGAAATATCTTCACATAAAAAAGACAGAGAAGCATTCTGAGCAACTTCTTTGTGATGTGTGCATTCATCTCACAGATTTGTACCTTTCTCTTGATTAAGCAGTTTGGAAACACACTTTTATAGAATCTGCAAGTGGATATTCGAAGCACTTTGAGGTCTGTGGTGGAAAAGGAAACATCTTCACATAGAAACTACACAGAGGCATTTTGAGAAACTTGTTTGTGCTGTGTGAATTCAGCCCACAATGTTGAACTTATCTTTTCATTGAGCAATTTTGAAACTTTCTTTTTGTACAATCTGCAAGTGGATATTTGGAGCCCTTTCCGGCATATGGTGGAAAAGGAAATATCTTCATATAAAAACTACACAGAAGCATTCTGAGAACCTTCTTTGTGATGTGTGCCTTCATCTAAGAGTTGAACCTTTCTTTTGATTGAGCAGTTTTGAAACACTCTTTTTGTAGAATCTGCATGTGGAAATTCGGAACGCTTTGGGGCCTATTGTGGAAGTGGAAATATCTTCACATAAAAACTACACAGAAGCATTGTGAGAAACTTCTTTGGGATGCGTGCATTCATCTTACAGAGTTGAACCTATCTTTTGATTGAGCAGTTTGGAATCACTCTTTTTGTAGAATCTGCAAATGGTTATTTGGAGCCCTTTGCGGCCTATTTTGTAAAAGGAAATATCACCACATAAAAACTACACAGAAGCATTCTGAGAAACTTCTTTGTGATGTGTGCATTCGTCTCACAGAGTTAAACTTTTCTTTTGATTGAGCAGTTTTGAAACACTCTCTTTATAGAATCTGCAGTTGGATATTTGAAGAGCTTTGAGGCCTATTGTGTAAAAGAAAATATCTTAACATAAAAACTACACAGAAGCATTCTGAGAAACTTCTTTGTGATGTGTGCATTCATCTCACAGACTTGAAATTTTCTTTTGTTTCACCAGTTTTGAAAGACTCTTTTTGTAGAATCTGCAAGTGGAGATTTGGAGCTCTTTGAGGCCTATTGTGGAAAAGGAAATATCTTCACGTAACAACTACACAGAAGCATTCTGAGAAACTTTTTTGTGATGTCTGCATGGAACTCTCAGAGTTGAACCTGTCTTTTGATATAGCAGTGTTGAAACTCTCTTTTTGTAAAAACTGCAAGTGGACATTGGGAGTCCTTTTTGGCTTATGGTGGATAATGAAATATCCTCACGTAAAAACCACACAGGAACATTTTGAGAGACTTCTTTGTGATGTGTGCATTCATCTCACAGAGGTGAACTTTTCTTTTGATTGTGCAGTTTTGAAACACTCTTTTCGTAGAGTATGCATGTGGATATTTGGAGCGATTTCAGGCCTATTGTGGATAAGGAAACATCTTCACATGTAAACTACACAGAAGCATTCTGAGAAATTTCTTTGTGATGTGTGCATTCATCTCACAGTGTTGAACCTTTCTTTTGATAGAGCATTTTTGAAACACTCTTTTTGGAGAATCGGCAATGGATATTTGGAGCGCTTTGAGGCCTACTGTGGAAAGGGAGATATCTTCCCATAAAAACTACACAGAAGAATTCTGAGAAAATTCTTTGTGATGTGTGACTTCAACTCACAGAGTTTAAACTATCTTTTGATTGAGCAGTTTTGAAACTCTCTGTTTTTAAATTTGCAAGTTTATGTTTGGAGACCTTTGCAGCCAATGGTGGAAAAGGAACTATCTTCACATAGAAACTACACAGAAGCATTCTGAGGAACATCTTTGTGATGTGTGCATTCAACTCACAGTATTGAACCTATCTTCTGATTGAGCAGTTTTGAAACTCTCTTTTTGTAGAATCTGCAAGTGGATATTTGGAGCCCTTTGCGGCCTATTGCAGAGTAGGAAATATCTTCACATAGAAACTATACAGAAGTATTCTGAAAAACTTCTTAGTGATGTATGCATTTATCTCATAGAGTTGAACTTTTCTTTCTTTTGATTGAGCAGTTTTGAAACACTCTTTTTATAGAATCTGCAAGTTCATACTTGGATTGCTTTCAGGCCTATTGTGGAATAGGAAATATCTTCACATAAAAACTACACAGAAGCATTCTGAGAAACTTCTTTGCGATGTGTGCATTCATTTCACAGAGGTAAAGCTTTCTTTTGATTGAGCAGTTTTGAAACACTCTTTTTGTATAATCTGCTAGTGGATATTTGGAGCACTTTGAGGCCTATGTTGGAAAAGGAAATATCTTCACATAAAAACTACACAGAAGGGTTCTGAGAAACTTCTTTGTGATGTGTGCATTCAACTCACAGAGTTGAACCTATCTTTTGATTGAGCAGCTTTTAGTCTCTCTTTTTGTAGGATCTGCAAGTGGATATTTGGAGCACTTTGCGGCCTATTGTGGAAAAGGAAATATCTTCACATAACAACTACACAGGGGGTTGGAGCCAAGATGGCCAAATAGGAATTGCTCTGGTCTACAGCTCCCAATGTGAGTGATGCAGAAGACTGGTGATTTCTACATTTCCATCTGAGGTATTTTGTTCATCTCACTAGGAAGTGCCAGACAGTGGGCGCAGGAGAGTGGGTGCAGCACACCACGCATGAGCCGAACCAGGGTGAAGCATTGCCTCCCTCGGGAAGTGCAAGGGGTCTGTGAGTTCCCTTTCCTAGTCAAAGAAAGTGGTGACAAAGGGCACCTGCAAATTCGGGTCTCTCCCACCCTAATACTACGCTTTTCCAATGGGCTTAAAAAACGGTGCACCAGGAGATTATGTCCCACACCTGGCTCAGGGGATCCTACGCCCATGGAGTCTCGCTGATTGCTAGCACAACAGTCTGAGATCAAACTGCAAGGCAGCAGCGAGGCTGGTGGAGGGGTGCCCGCCATTTCCCAGGCTTGCTTATGTAAACAAAGCGGGCAGGAAGTTTGAACTGGGTGGAGCCCACCACAGCTCAAGGAGACCTGCTTGCCACTGTAGGCTCCACCTCTGGGGGCAGGGCACAGGCAAACAAAAAGACAGCAGTAACCTCTGCAGACTTAAATGTCCCTGTCTCACAGCTTTGAAGAGAGCAGTGGATCTCCCAGCGTGCAGCTGGAGATCTGAGAATGGGCAGACTGCCTCCTCAAGTGGGTTCCTGAGTCCTGGCCCCTGAGCTGCCTAACTGGGAGGCACCCCCCAGTAGGGGCAGACTGACACCTCACACGGCCGGGTACTCCTCTGAGACAAAAGTTCCAGAGGAATGATCAGACAGCAGCATTTGCAGTTCACTAAAATCTGCTGTTCTGCAGCCACCGCTGCTTGTACCCAGGCAAACAGTGTCTGGAGTGGACCTCTAGCAAACTCCAACACACATGCAGGTGAGGGTCCTGTCTTTTAGCAGGAAAACTAACAAACAAACAGAAAGGATATCCACACCAAAAACCCATCTGTACATCACCATCATCAAAGACAAAAAGTAGATAAAACCACAAAGATGATGGGGAAAAAAACAGAGCAGAAAAACTGGAAACTCTAAAAAGCAGAGCACCTCTCCTCCTCCAAAGGAATGCAGCTCCTCACCAGCTTCAGAACAAAGGTGGATGGAGAATGACTTTGACGAGTTGAGAGAAGAAGGCTTCAGATGATCAAATTACTCTGAGCTACAGGAGGAAATTCCAACCAAAGGCAAAGAAGTTAAAAACTTTGAAAAAAATTTAGACGAAGGTATAACTAGAATAACAAATTCAGAGAAGTGTTTAAAAGAGCTGATGGAGATGAAAGCCAAGGCTCGAGAACTACGTGAAGAATGCAGAAACCCCATGAGCTGATGCGATCAACTGGAAGAAAGGGTATCAGTGATGGAAGATGAAATGAATGAAATGAAGTGAGAGGGGAAGTTTAGAGAAAAAAGAATAAAAAGAAATGAACAAAGCCTCCGAGAAATATGGGACTATGTGAAAAGACCAAATCTATGCCTGATTGGTGTACCTGAAAGTGATAGGGAGAATGGAACCAAGTTGGAAAACACTCTGCTGGATATTATCCAGGAGAACTTCCCCAATCTAGAAAGGCAGGCCAACATTAAGATTCAGGAAATAAAGAGAACGCCACAAAGATACTCCTCGAGAAGTGTAACTCCAAGACACAGAATTATCATATTCACCAAAGTGGAAATGAAGGAAAAAATATTAAGGGCAGCCAGAGAGAAAGGTCCGGTTACCCACAAAGAAAAGCCGATCAGACTAACAGCGGATCTCTCAGCAGAAACTCTACAAGCCAGAAGAGAGTGGGGGCCAATATTCAACATTCTTAAAGAAAAGAATTTTCAAACCAGAATTTCATATCCAGCCAAACTAAGCTTCATAAGTGAAGGAGAAATAAAATACTTTACAGACAAGCAAATGCTGAGAGATTTTGTCACCACCAGGCCTGCCCTAAAAGAGCTCCTGAAGGAAGCACTAAACATGGAAAGGAACAACCGGTACCAGCCACTGCAAAATCATGCCAAAATGTAAAGACCATCGAGGCTAGGAAGAAACTGCATCAACTAATGAGCAAAATAACCAGCTAACATCATAATGACAGGATCAAATTCACACATAGCAGTATTAACTTTAAATGTAAATGGACTAAATGCTCCAATTAAAAGATGCAGACTGGCAAATTTGATAAAAAGTCAAGACCCATCAGTGTGCTGTATTCAGGAAACCCATCTCACATGCAGAGACACACATAGGCTCAAAATAAAGGGATGGAAGAAGATCTATCAAGCAAATGGAAAACAAAAAAAGGCAGGGGTTTCAATCGTAGTCTCTGATTAAACAGACTTTCAACCAACAAAGAACAAAAGAGACAAAGAAGGCCATTACATAATGGTAAAGAGATCAATTCAACAAGAAGAGCTAATAATCCTAAATATATATGCATCCAATACAGGAGCACCCAGATTCATAAAGCAAGTCCTGAGTGACCTACAAAGAGACTTAGACTCCCACACAATAATAGTGGAGACTATAACACCCCACTGTCAACATTAGACAGATCAACGAGACAGAAAGTTAACAAGGATATCCAGGAGTTGAACTCAGCTCTGCACCAAGCGGACCCAATAGACATCTGCAGAACTCTCCACCCCAAATCAACAGAATATACATTTTTTCAGTACCACACCACACCTACTTCAAAATTGCCCGCATAGTTGGAAATAAAGCTCTCCTCAACAAAAGTAAAATAACAGAAATTATAACAAACTGTCTCTCACACCACAGTGCAATCAACCTAGAACTCAGGATTAAGAAACTCACTCAAAACCGCTCAACAACATGGAAACTGAACAACCTGCTCCTGAATGACTACTGAGTACATAACGAAGTGAAGGCAGAAATAAAGATGTTCTTTGAGACCAACGAGAACAAAGACACAACATACCAGAATTTCTGGGACACATTCAAAGCAGTGTGTAGAGGGAAATCCATAGCACTAAATGCCCACAAGGGAAAGCAGGAAAGATCCAAAATTGACACCCTAACATCACAATTAAAAGAACTAGAAGAGCAAGAGCAAACACATTCAAAAGCAGGCAGAAGGCAAAAAATAACTAAAATCAGAGCAGAACTGAAGGAAATAGAGACACAAAAAACCCTTCAAAAGATTAATGAATTCAGGAGTTGTTTTTTTGAAAGGATCAACAAAATTGATAGAACGCTAGCAAGACTAATAAAGAAGAAAAGAGAGAAGAATCAAATAGACGCAATAAAAAATGATAAAGGGGATATCACCACAGATCCCACAGAAATACAAGCTACCATCAGAGAATACTACAAACAACTCCACACAAATAAACTAGAAAATCTAGAAGAAATGGATAAATTCCTCGACACATACACTCTCCCAAGACTAAACCAGGAAGAAGTTGAATCTCTGAATAGACCAATAACAGGCTCTGAAATTTTGGCAATAATCAATAGCTTACCAACCAAAAAGAGTCCAGGACCAGGTGGATTCACAGCCTAATTACACCTGAGGTACAAGGAGGAACTGGTACCATTCCTTCTGAAATTATTCCAATCAATAGAAAAAGAGGGAATCCTCCCTAACTCATTTTATGAGGCCAGCGTCATCCTGATACCAAAGCAGGGCAGAGACACGACCAAAAAAGAGAATTTTAGACCAATATCCTTGATGAACATTGATGCAAAAATCCTCAATAAAATACTGGCAAACTGAATCCAGCAGCACATCAAAAAGCTTATCCACCATGATCAAGTGGGTTTCATCCCTGGGATGCAAGGCTGGTTCAATATATGCAAAACAATAAGTGTAATCCTGCATATAAACAGAACCAAAGACAAAAACCACATGATTATCTCAATAGATGAAGAAAAGGCCTTTGACAAAATTCAACAACCCTTCATGCTAAAAACTCTCAATAAATTAGGTATTGATGGGACGTATCGCAAAATAATAAGAGCTATCTGTGACAAACCCTCAGCCAATATCATACTCAATGGGCAAAAACTGGAAGCATTCCCTTTGAAAACTGGCACAAGACAGGGATGCCCTCTCTCACCACTCCTATTTAACATAGTGTTGGAAATTCTGGCCAGGGCAATTAGGCAGGAGAAGTAAATAAAGGGTATTCAATTAGGAAAAGAGGAAGTCAAATTGTCCCTGTTTGCATATGACATGATTGTATAGCTAGAAAACCCCATCATTTTAGCCCAAAATCTCCTTAAGCTGATAAGCAACTTCAATAAAGTCTCAGGATACAAAATCAATGTACAAAAATCAGAAGCATTCTTATTCACCAATAACAGACAAACAGAGAGCCAAATCATGAGAGAACTCCCATTCAGAATTGCTTCAAAGAGAATAAAATACCTAGGAATCCACCTTACAAGGGACGTGAAGGACCTCTTCAAGGAGAACTACAAACCACTGCTCAATGAAATAAAAGAGGATACAAACAAATGGAAGAACATTCCATTCTCATGGGTAGGAAGAATCAATATTATGAAAATAGCCTTAGTGCCCAAGGTAATTTATAGATTCAATGACATCCCAATCAAGCTATCAATGACTTTCTTTACAGAATTGGAAAAAAACTACGTTAAAGTTCATATGGAATCAAAATACAGCCCGCATCACCAAGTCAATCCTAAGCCAAAAGAACAAAGCTGGAGGCATCACACTACCTGACTTCAAACTATACTACAAGGCTACAGTAACCAAAACAGCATGGTACTGGTACCAAAGCAGAGATATAGACCAATGGAACAGAACAGAGCCCTCAGAAATAATGCCGCATATCTACAACTATCTCATCTTTGAGAAACCTGACAAAAATAAGAAATGGGGAAAGGATTCCCTATTTAATTTATGGTGCTGGGAAAACTGGCTAGCCATGTGTAGAAAGCTGAAACGGAATCCCTTCCTTACACATTATACAAAAATTAATTCAAGATGGATGAAAGACTTAAACGTTAGACCTAAAACCATAAAAACCCTAGAAGAAAACCTAGACATTACCATTCAGGACATAGGCATGGACAAGGACTTCATGTCTAAAACACCAATAGTAATGGCAACAAAAGCCAAAATTGACAAACGGGATCTAATTAAACTAAAGAGCTTCTGCACAGCAAAAGAAACTACCATCAGAGTGAACAGGCAACCTACAAAATGGGAGAAAATTTTCCCAACTGACTCATCTGACAAAGGGCTAATATCCAGAAAATACAACGAACTCAACAAATTTACAGGAAAAAAACAAACAACCCATCAAAAAGTGGGCAAAGGACATGAACAGACACTTCTCAAAAGAAGACATTTGTGCAGCCAAAAAACACATGAAAAAAATGCTCACCATCACTGGCCATCAGAGAAATGCAAATCAAAACCACAATGAGATACCATCTCACACCAGTTAGAATGGCAATCATTAAAAAGTCAGGAAACAACAGGTGCTGGAGAGGATGTGGAGAAATAGGAACACTTTGACACTGTTGGTGGGACTGTAAACTAGTTCAACCATTGTGGAAGTCAGTGTGGCGATTCCTCAGGGATCTAGAACTAGAAATACCATTTGACCCAGCAATGCCATTACTGGGTATATACCCAAAGGACTATATATCATGCTGTTATAAAGACACATGCACACGTCTGTTTATTGCGGCACTATTCACAATAGCAAAGACTTGGAACCACCCCAAATGTCCAACAATGATAGACTGGATTAAGAAAATGTGGCACATATACACCATGGAATACTATGCAGCCATAAAAAATGATGAGTTCATCTTTTTTGTAGGGACACGTTTGAAATTGGAAATCATCATTCTCAGTAAACTATCGCAAGAACAAAAAACCAAACACCGCATATTCTCACTCATAGGTGGGAATTGAACAATGAGAACACATGGACACAGGAAGGGGAACATCACACTCTGGGGACTGTTGTGGGGTTGGGAAAGGGGGGAGGGATAGCTTTAGGAGATATACCTAATGCTAAATGACAAGTTAACGGGTGCAGCACACCAGCATGCCACATGTATACATATGTAACTAACCTGCACTTTGTGCACATGTACCCTAAAACTTGAAGTATAATAATAATAAAATTTAAAAAAAAATGAAAAAGAAAATCAGGGAAGCATAGACAGGTGAGCACTAGTTTTGTGCCTTCAGTGTCCCTTGAGATATAAGCAGCTTCAGAAATAGAGGCCCAGGCCTGAAAATCTGAAAGAAAGGAGGGGTCAAGAGGACTCGGAGTCCAGCAGAGCTTTAAAAATATCTCATATGGCCACAGGTGAAAAACTGTCCCTAACCACTACAGAAAATGAGGGATCCTGACACATACTGAGGTCTTGAGGTGAAATATTGCTACGGAAGCATAACAGGAGGAGGAAGCTCCAGGAGTAGCATGGCACCACCATGCTGATACCAAGGCCCAAAGTAGGGCATTTTTTGATGGCATTAACTAGGTACAGCCCTAGCATTTCATTCTGGCAGAATAAGAAGTAAATCCTCTCTGGAGTGTAAAATTATTCCACAGCCCAAAATTGCTTCTAAAATGTTGTAGGGCAAGTATCAATTTAAATCTACATAGATATTAAGTGTATTAAACATAGTGTGATTTCAATCAACAAAAACAAAACACACAAAATGGAGAGAAAAAAAAGCCAACAGAAAAGGACCAAAATAATTGGCGGATATTGGGCCACTAATATATGATATGCTGAATGCATTCCATGACAAGGTCAAGAAATTTAGCAGAGAACCAGAAACTATAAAAAGAAATCAAACAAATGTCATATATACAGTAATTCAAACCAATAACTCAATGGATGAATGTAACAGTAAATTTGACAGTTAAATTTGCTCTTGCAAGTGATCCGCTGGAAGTTTGGTCAGGCCATGAGGCAATTTGTAATAAGTGAAAAGAATAAAATCATTTCTAGACAAAACAAAAAACGACAAAAAAAGAGAAACACTTTTTGTAGGATCTGCAAGTGGATAGTTGAAGCACTTTGAGGCCTGTTGTGGAAAAGAAAATATCTTCACATAAAAACTACACAGAAGCATTCTGAGAAACTTCTTTGTGATGTGTGCATTCATCTCACAAAGTTGAAGCTCGCTTTTGTTTGAGCAGTTTTGAAACACTCTGAAAAATCTACAAGTGGATATTTGAAGCGCTTTGAGGCTTATTGTGGAAAAGGAAATATCTTCACATAAAAACTACACAGAAGCATTCTGAGAAACTTTTTGTGATGTGTGCATTCATCTCACAGATTTGAACCTTTCTTTTGTTTAAGCAGTTTTGAAACACTCTTCTTGTAGAATCTGCAATTGGATATCTAGAGCGCTTTGGATCCTATGGTTGAAAGGGAAATATCTTCACAATAAAGCTACACAGAAGCATTCTGAGAAACACCTTTGAGATGTGAACATTCATCTCACAGAGTTGAAGCTTTTTGATTGAGCAGTTTTGAAACACTTTTTTGTAGAATTTGCAAGTGGATATTTAGAGGAATTAGGGCCTATTGTTGAAAAAGACATATCTTCACATAAAAACTACACAGAAGCATTCTGAGAAACTGCTTGTGAAGTGCGCATTCATCTCACAGTGTAGAACGTTTCTTTTGATTAGCAGTTTTGAAACACTCTTTTTGTAGAATCTGAAAGTCGATATTTGGAGCGCTTTGAGGCCTATTGTTAAAAAGGAAATATCTTCACATAAAAACTATACAGAGGCATTCTGAGACACTTCTTTATGATGTGTGCATTCATCTCACAGAGTTGTACATTTCTTTTGATTTAGCAGTTTGGAAACACTCTTTTTGTAGGATCTGGAAGTGGATATTTGAAGCGCTTTGAGGCCTATTGTGGAAAAGGGTATATCTTCACATAAAAACTACACAGAAGCATTCTGAGAAACTTCTTTGTGATATGTGCATCCATCTCACAGAGTTGAACCTATCTTTTGATTGAGCAGTTTTTAAACTCTCTTTTTGTAGAATCTGCAAGTGGACATTTGGAGAACATTACAGCCTATGGTGGAAAAGGAAATATCTTCACATAAAAACTACACAGAAGCATTCTGAGAAACTTCTTTGTGATGCATGAATTCAATTCAAAGAGCTGAAACTATCTTTTGATGGAGCAGTTTATAATCTCTCTTTTTGTGCATTCTGCAAGTGGATATTTGGAGCCCTTTGCAGCCTATTTAGGAAAACGAATTATCTTCATATAAAAACTACACAGAAGCATTCTGAGAAACTTCTTTGTGATGTGTGCATTCAAATCACAGAGTTGAACCTTTGTTTTGATTGAGTAGTTTTGAAACTATCTTTTTATATAATCGGGAAGTGGATATTTGAAGTGCTTTGAGGCCTATGGTGGAAAATGAAATATCTTCACATAAAAACTACACAGAAGCATTCTGAGGAACTTCTTTGGGATGTGGGCATTCATCTCACAGAGTTGAACATTTCTTTTGATTGAGCAGTTTTGAAACACTCTTTTTGTGAAATCTGCAAGAGGATATTTGGAGGGCTTTGGGGCCTATTGTGAAAAAGGAAATATCTTCACATAAAAAGTACACAGAATCATTCTGAGAAAGTTCTTTGTGATGTGTGCACTCATCACACAGAATTGTACTTTTCTTTTGATTGAGCAGTTTGGAAACACTGCTTTTGTAGGATCTGCAAGAGCATATTTGGAGCACTTTGAGGCCTATTGTGGAAAAGGAAATATCTTCACATAAAAACTACAAAGAAGCATTCTGAGAAATGTCTTTGTCATGTGTGCACTCAACTCACTGCATTGAACCGATCTTTTGATGGAGCAGCTTTGAAACTCACTTTTTGCAGAATCTGCAAGTGGATATTTGGAGCCCTTTGTGGCTTAATGTGCAAAACGAAATACCTTCACATAAAAACTAGACAGAAGCATTCTCAGAAACTACTTTCTGATGTGTGCATTAAACTCATAGTGTTGAACCCATCTTTCGATTGAGCAGTTTGGAATCTCTCTTTTTGTAGAATCTGCAAGTGGATATTTGGAGACTTTTGCAGCCTATTTTGGAAAAGGAAATATCTTCACATAAAAATTACACAGAAGCATTCTGAGAAACTTGTTTGTGATGTGGGCATTCAACTGACAGGTTTGAACCTGTCTGTTGATTGATCAGTTTGGAAACTCTCTTTGTATAGAATCTGCAAGTGGATATGTGGAGCCCTTTTCAGCCTATGGTGGAAAAGGAAATATCTTCACAAAAAAACTACACAAAAGCATTTTGAGTAACTTCTATGTGTTGTGTGCATTCATCTCAAAGAGTTGAACCTTTCTTTTGTTTGAGCAGTTTTGAAACACTCTTTTTTTAGAATCTGCAAGTGGATATTTGAGCACTTTGAGGCATAATGTGGAAAAGGAAATATCTTCACATAAAAACTACACAGAAGCATTCTGAGAAACCTCTTTATGATGTGTGCATTCATCTCACAGAGTTGAACCTTTCTTTGGATTGAGCAGTTTTAAAACACTATTTTTGTAGAATCTGCAACTTTATATTTCTAGCGCTTTGAGGCCTATGGTGGAAAAGGAAATACCTTCACATAAAAACTCCACAGAAGCATTCTGAGAAACTTCTTTGTGATGTGTGCATTCATCCCACTGAGTTTAACCGTTCTTTCAATTGAGCAGTTTTGAAACACACTTTTTGTAGAATCTGCAAGTGGATATTTGGAGAGCTTTGAGGCCTGTTGTGGAACAGGAGATATCTTCACATAAAAACTACACAAAAGCATTCTGAGAAACTTCTTTGCAATGTGTGCATTCACCTCATGGAGTTGAAGCTTTCTTTTGATTGAGCAGTTTTGAAACACAGTTTTGTAGAATCTACAAGTGTTTATTTGGAGCGCTTTGAGGCCTAATTTGGAAAAGGAATTATCTTCATATACAAACTACACAGAAACATTCTGAGAAACTTTCTTGTGTTGTGTGCATTCAACTCACAGAGTTGAACCAATCTTTTGATTTAGAAGATTTGAAACTCTCTTTTTGTAGAATCTGCAAGTGCATATTTTGAGCCCTTTGTGGCCTATGGTGGAAAAGGAAATATCTTCACATAAAAACTACACAGAAACATTCTGAAAAAATACTTTGCGATGTGTGCATTCATCTCACAATGTTGGACCTTTGTTTTGATTGAGCAGTTTTGAAACTCTCTTTTTGTAGAATCTTCAAGTGCATATTTTGAGCCCTTTGTGGCCTATGGTGGAAAAGGAAATATCTTCACATACAAACTACACAGAAACATTCTGAGAAACTTCTTTGTGATGTGTGCATTCAACTCACAGAGTTGAACCTTTCTTTCGATTGAGCAGTTTTGAAACAATCTTTTTATAATATCTGCACGTGGATATTTGAAGCGCTTTGAGGCCTATTGTGGAAAAGGATACGGCTTCACATAAAAACTACAAAGAAGTCTTCTGAGAAACTTCTTTGCTATGTGTGCATTCATGTCACAGAGTTGAAGTTTCTTTTTGTTTGAGCAGTTTTGTAACACTCTTTTTGCGGAATCTGCAAATGGTATTTAGAGCGCTTTGAGGCCTATTTTGTGGAAAAAGAAATATCACAAAAACTACACAGAAGCATTCTGACAAACTTCTTTGTGATGTGTGCTATCATCTCACAGGGTTGAACCTATCTTTTGAATGAGCAGTTTTGAAACTCTATTTTTGTAGCACCTGCAAGTAGATATTTGGAGCCCTTAGCGGCCTATGGTGGAAAAGGAAATATCTTCACGTGAAAACTACACAGAAGCATTCTGAGAAATTTCTTTGTGATGTGTGCATCATCTCAAAGAGTTGAAGTTTTCTTTTGATTGAGGAGTTTTGAAACTCTCTTTTGTGGAATCTGCAATTGGATATTTAGAGCGCTTTGAGGCCTACTGTGGGAAAGGAAGTATCTTCACCTAAAAACTACACAGAAGCATTCTGAGAAACCTCTTTGTGATGTGTGCGTTCATCTCGCAGAGTTTTACTTTTCTTTTGATGCAGCAGTTTGGAAACACTCTTTTCGTAGAATCTGCAGGTTTATATTTGGAGCACTTTGAGGCCTATTGTGGAAAAGGAAATAACATAAAAACTACACAGAAGCATTCTGAGAAACTTCTTTGTGATGTGTGCATTCATCTCACAGGGATGAAGCTTTCTTTGATTGAGCAGTTTGGAAAAACTCTTTTTGTAGAATCTGCAAGTGCATATTTGGAGCGCTTTGAGTCCTACTGTGGAAAAGGAAATATCTTCACTAAAAATTACATGGAAGCATTCTGAGAAACTTCTTTGTGATGTGTGCATTCAACTCACAGAGTTGAACCTATCTTTTGATTTAGCAGCTTTGAAAATCTCTTTTTGTAGAATCAGCAAATGGATATTTGGACCCTTTCAGTCCTAAGGTGGAAAAGGAAATATCTTCACATAAATACTACCCAGGAGCATTCTGAGAAACTTATTTGTGATGTGTGCATTCATCTCACAGAGTTGTACCTTTCTTTTGATTGAGCAGTTTGGAAACACACTTTTTGTAGAATTTGCAAGTGGATATTTTGAGCGCTTTGAGGCCTATGGTGGAAAAGGAAATATCTTCACATAAAAACTACACAGAAGCATTCTGAGAAACTTCTTGGGGATGTGGGCATTCATCTAACAGGGATGAACGTTTCTTTTGATTGAGCAGTTTTGAAACATTATGTTTGTGAAATCTGCAAGAGGATATTTGGAGGGCTTTGAGGCCTATTGTGGAAAAGGAAATATCTTCGCTTAAAAACTACACAGAATCATTCTGAGAAACTTCTTTGTGATGTGTGCACTCATCACACAGAATTGTACCTTTCTTTTGATTGAGCAGTTTGGAAACACAGTTTTTGTGGAATCTGCAAGTGGATATTTGGAGCACTTTGAGGCCTAATGTGGAAAAGGAAATATCTTCACATAAAAACTACAGAGAAGCATTCTGAGAAACTTCTTTGTCACGTGTGCATTCAACTCGCTGCTTTGAACCGATCTTCCAATTGAGCAGCTTTGAAACTCACTTTTTGTAGAATCTGCAAGTGGGTATTTGGAGCCCTTTGCGGCCTAATGTGCAAAACGAAATACTTTCACATGAAAACTAGACAGAGCATTCTCAGAAACTTCTTTCTGATGTGCGCATTAAACTCATAGAGTTGAACCCATCTTTCTATTGAGCAGTTTTGAATCTGTCTTTCTCTAGAATATGTAAGTGCATATTTAAAGACTTCTGCGGCCTATTTTGGAAAAGGAAATATCTTCACATAAAAATTACACAGAAGCATTCTGAGAAACTCCTTTGTGAGGTTTGCATTCATCTCACAGAGTTAAAACTTTCTTTTGTTTTAGCAGTTTTGAAACAGACTTTTTGTAGAATCTGCAAGTGGATATTTGGAGTTCTTTGAGGCCTATGGTGGAAAAGGAAATATCTTCACATAAAAACTACACAGAAGCATTCTGAGAAACTTCTTTGTGATCTGTGCAATCATCTCACAGGGTTGAACGTATCTTTTGAATGAGCAGTTTTGAAACTCTATTTTTCTAGGATCTGCAAGTAGATATTTGGAGCCCTTAGCGGCCTGTGGTGGAAAAGGAAATATCTTCACATGAAAACTACACAGAAGCATTCTGAGAAACTTCTTTGTGATGTGTGCATTCATCTCACAGAGATGAAGCTTTCTTTTGATTGAGCAGTTTGGAAACACTGTTTTTGTAGAATCTGCAAGTGCATATTTGGAGAGCTTTGAGGCCTATTGTGCAAAAGGAAATATCTTCACTTAAACACTACATAGAAGCATTCTGAGAAACATGTTTGTGATGTGTGCATTCATCACACAGAGTTGAACCTATCTTTTGATTTAGCAGCTTTGAAAATATCTTTCTGTAGAATCTGCAAATGGATATTTGGAGCCCTTTCTGGCTTAAGGTGGAAAAGGAAATATCTTCACATAAAAACTACCCAGAAGCATTCTGAGAAACTTCTTTGTGATTTGTGCATTCATCTTAAAGAGATGTACCTTTCTTTTGATTCAGCAGTCTGGAAAAACACTTTTTGTAGAATTTGTAAGTAGATATTTGGAGCGCTTTGATGCTTGTGGTGGAAAAGGAAATATCTTCACAAAAAACTACACGGAAGCATTCTGAGAAGCTTCTTTGTGAGGTGGGCATTCATCTCACAGAGTTGAAACTTTCTTTCATTTTAGCAGTTTTGAAACCCTCTTTTTGTAGAATCTGCAAGTGGGTATTTGGAGTGCTTTGAGGCCTATGGTGGAAAAGGAAATATCTTCACATAAAAATTACATAGAAGCATTCTGAGAAACTTCTTTGTGATGTGTGCATTCAACTCACACAGTTTTACCTATCTTTTTATGGAACAGTTTTTAATAGCTTTTTTTGTAGAAACTGCAATTGGACATTTGGAGCCCTTTGTGGTCTGTTTTGGAAAAGGAAAAACCTTCACATAAAAACTACAAGGAAGCATTCTGAGAAACCACTTTGTGATGTGTGCATTCCTCTAGCAGAATTGAAGCGTTCTTTTATTTGAGCAGTTTTTAAACACTCCTTTTGAAGAGTCTGCAAGTGGATATTTAGAGCCCTTTTTCGCTTACAGTGGAAAAGGAAATGTCTTCAAATAAACACTACACAGAAGAATTCTGAGAAACTGCTTTGTGATGTGTGCAATCAGCTCACAGAGTTGAAACTTTCGTTTGATTGAGCAGTTTTGAAACACTCTTTTTGTGGCATCTGAAAGTGGATATCTGAAGCGCTTTCAGGCCTACTGTGGAAAAGGAAATATTCTTCACATCAAAACTACGCAGAAGCATTGTGAGAAAAATTTTTGATATGTGTGCATTCAACTCACAGAGTTGAACCTATCTTTTGATTGAGCAGTTTTGAATCTCTCTTTTTGTATAATCTGCAAGTGGATATTTTGTGCTATTTGTGGCCTGTTTTGGAAAAGGAAGTATCTTCATATAAAAACTACACAGAAGCATTCTGAGAAACTTCTTTGGGATTTGTGCATTCATCTCACAGAGTTGAATCCTTCTTTTGATTTAGCAGTTTTGAAGCGTTCTTTTTGTAGAATCTGCAAGTGGATATTTGGAGTGCTTTGAGGCCTATTGTGGAAAAAGAAATATCTTCACACAAAAACTACCATTAAAGTCAGAGAGTGCAACCTATCTTTTCATTGAGCAGTTGTGAATCTCTCTTTTTGTAGAATCTGGAGGTGGATATTTGGAGCCCTTTGCGGCATATGGTGGAAAGGGAAATATCTTCACATAAAAACTACATAGAAGCATTCTGAGAAACTTCTTTGTGATGTGTGCATTCATCTAACAGAGTTGAACCTTTCTTTTGATTGAGCAGTTTGTAAAAATATTTTTTTTGTAGAATCTGCAAGTAGATAATTGGAACACTTTGTGGCCTGTGGTGGAAAAGGAAATATCTTCTGATAAAAACTACACAGAAGCATTCTGAGAAACTTTTTTCTGATATGTGAATTCACCTCACGGATTTGAACCTAACTTTTGATTGAGCAGTTTTGAAACTCTCTTTTTGAAGTATCTGCAAGTGGATATTTAGAGCCCTTCTCGGCCTATGGTGGAAAAGAAAATATCTTCACTAGACAGAAGGATACTGAGAAACTTCTTTGTGACGGGTGCATTCATCTCACAAAGTTGAAGCTTTCTTTGATTCAGCAGTTTCAAATCACTCTTTTTTTTGGATAATATTTTTTTTTATTATACTTTAAGTTTTAGGGTACATGTGTACATTGTGCAGGTTAGTTACATATGTATACATGTGCCATGCTGGTGCACTGCATCCACTAACTCGTCATCTAGCATTAGGTATATCTCCCAATGCTATCCCTCGCCCCTCCCCCCACCCCACAACAGTCCCCAGAGTGTGATATTGCCCTACCTGTGTCCATGTGATCTCATTGTTCAATTCCCACCTATGAGTGAGAACATGCGGTATTTGGTTTTTTGTTCTTGCGATAGTTTACTGAGAATGTTGTTTTCCAATTTCATCCATGTCCCTACAAAGGACATGAACTCATCATTCTTTATGGCTGCATAGTATTCCATGGTGTATATGTGCCACATTTTCTTAATCCAGTCTATCATTGTTGGACATTTGGGTTGGTTCCAAGTCTTTGCTATGGTGAATAATGCCGCAATAAACATACGTGTGCATGTGTCTTTATAGCAGCATGATTTATAGTCCTTTGGGTATATACCCAGTAATGGGATGGCTGGGTCAAATGGTATTTCTAGTTCTAGATCCCTGAGGAAACGCCACACTGACTTCCACAATGGTTGAACTAGTTTACAGTCCCACCAACAGTGTAAAAGTGTTCCTATTTCTCCACATCCTCTCCAGCACCTGTTGTTTCCTGACTTTTTAATGATTGCCATTCTAACTGGTGTGAGATGGTATCTCATTGTGGTTTTGATTTGCATTTCTCTGATGGCCAGTGATGATGAGCATTTTTTCATGTGTTTTTTGGCTGCATAAATGTCTTTTTTAGAGAAGTGTCTGTTCATGTCCTTTGCCCACTTTTTGATGGGGTTGTTTGTTTTTCTCTTGTGAATTTGTTTGGGTTCATTGTACATTCTGGATATGAGCCCTTAGTCAGATGAGTCGGTTGCGAAAATTTTCTCCCATTTAGTAGGTTGCGTGTTCACTCTGATGGTAGTTTCTTTTGCTGTGCAGAAGCTCTTTAGTTTATTTAGATCCCATTTGTCAATTTCAGCTTTGGTTGCCATTGCTTTTGGTGTTTTAGACATGAAGTCCTTGCCCATGCCTATGTCCTGAATGGTAATGCCTAGGTTTTCTTCTAGGGTTTTTATGGTTTTAGGTCTAACGTTTAAGTCTTTAATCCATCTTGAATTGATTTTTGTATAAGGTGTAAGGAAGGGATCCACTTTCAGCTTTCTACATATGGCTAGCCAGTTTTCCCAGCACCATTTATTAAATAGGGAATCCTTTCCCCATTGCTTGTTTTTGTCAGGTTTGTCAAAGATCAGATAGTTGTAGATACGTGGCGTTATTTCTGAGGGCTCTGTTCTGTTCCATTGATCTATATCTCTGTTTTGGTACCAGTACCATGCTGTTTGGTTACTGTAGCCTTGTAGTATAGTTTGAAGTCAGGTAGTGTGATGCCTCCAGCTTTGTTCTTTTGGCTTAGGATTGACTTGGTGATGCGGGCTCTTTTTGGTTCCATATGAACTTTAAAGTAGTTTTTCCCATTCTGTGAAGAAAGGCATTTGTAGTTTGATGGGAATGGCATTGAATCTGTAAATTACCTTGGACAGTATGGCCATTTTCATGATATTGATTCTTCCTACCCATGAGCATGGAATGTTCTTACATTTGTTTGTATCCTCTTTTATTTCCTTGAGCAGTGTTTTGTAGCTCTTTTTATAGAATCTGCAGGTGGATATTTAAAGCTCTCTGAGGCCTATTGTGGAAAAGGAAATATCTTCACATTAAAACTACACAGAAGCATTCTGAGAAACATCTTTGGGATGTGTGCATTCATCTCACAGAGCTGAAGCTTTCTGTTGATTGACCAGTTTTGAAACAGTCTTTTTGTAGAATCTGCAAGGGGATATTTGGAGCCATTTGTGACCTATTTTGGAAAAGGAAATATCCTCACATAAAAATTACACATAAGCATTCTGAGAAACTTCTTTGTGATGTGTGCATTCATCTCACAGAGTTGAAAGTTTCTTTTGATCGAGCAGTTTTGAAACACTCTTTTTATGGAATCTGAAATTGGATATTTGAAACGCTTTGAGACCTATTGTAGAAAAGGCAATATATTCACATAAAAACTACACAGAAGCATTCTGAGAAACTTCTTTCTGATGTGGGCATTCATCTAACAGAGCTGAAGTTTTCTTTTGTTTGAGCAGTTTTGAAACAATCTTTTTGTAGAATCTGCAAGTGGATATTTGGAGGGCTTTGTGGCCTATTTTGGAAAAGGAAATATCTTCACATAAAAACTACATAGAAGCATTCTGAGAAACCTCTTTGTGATGTGTGCATTCAACTCACAGAGTTGAACCTATCTTTTGATTGAGCGGTATTGAAAATCTCTTTTTGTCGAAACTGCATATGGATATTTGGAGACCTTCACGGCCAATGGTGGACAAGGAAATATCTTCACATAAAAACTACACAGAAGCATTGCGAGAAACAGCTTTGTGAGCTGGGCATTCATCTCACAGAGATGAACCTTTCTTTTGTTTGAGCAGTTTTGAAACACTCTTTTTGTATAGTCTGCAAGTGGATATTGAGAGCGCTTTGAAACCTATTATGGAAAAGGAAATATCTTCACATAAACACTACACAGAAGAATTCTGAGAAACTTCTTTGTGATGTATGCATTCAACTCACAGAGTTGAAGCTCTCTTTTGATTGAGCAGGTTTGAAACACTCTTTTTGTAGAATCTGCAAGTGGATATTTGCAGCACTTTGAGGCCCATTGTGGATAAGGAAATATCTTCATATGAAAACTACGCAGAGGCATTTTGAAAAACTGCTTTGTGATGTGTGCATTAATCTCCCACAGTTGAACTTTTCTTTTGGTTGAGCAGTTTGCAAACACTCTTTTTGTAGAATCTGAAGGTAGATATTTGGAGCGCTTTGAGGTCTATGGTGGAAAAGAATATATTTTCACATAAAAACTACATAGAAGCATTCTGAAAAACTTCTTTGTGATGTGTGCATTCATCTCACAGAGTTGAAGCTTTCTTTTGAGTGAGCAGTTTCGAAACTCTCTTTTTGTAGAATCTGCAAGTGCATATTTGGAGCGCTTTCAGGCCTATAGTGGAAAAGGCTGTATCTTCACATAAAAACTACACAGAAGCATTTTGGAAACTTTTTTGCGATGTGTGCATTCACCTCATAGATTTGAAGCTTTCTTTTGATTGAGCAGTTTTGAAACACTTTTTTGTAGAACCTGAAAGTGTATCTTTAGAGCACTTTGAGGACTATGGTGGAAAAGGAAGTATCTTCACATAAAAACTGCACAGAAGAATTCTGAGAAACTTCTTTGTGATGTGTGCATTCAACTCACAGAGTTGAACCTATCTTTTCATTGAGGAGTTTTGAATCTCTCTTTTTGTAGAATCTGCAAGTGGATATTTAGAGCCCTTTGCGGCCTATTGTGGAAAAGGAAATATCTTCACATAAAAACTACAGAGAAGTATTCTCAAAACTTCGTTCTAATGTGTGCATTCATCTCAAAGAGTTGAACTTTTCTTTTGTTTGAGCACTTTTGAAACACTCTTTTTGTAGAATCTGCAAGTGCATATTTGGAGGGCTTGGAGGCCTATTGTCAAAAAGGAAATATCTTCACATATAAACTACACAGAAGCATTCTGAGAAACTTCTTTGTGTTGTATGCATTCAGTTAGCAGAGTTGACCATTTCTTTTCATTGAGCAGTTTCAAAAATTTTTTTTTTTTTTTTGTAGAATCTGCAAGAGGATATTTGGAGTGCTTTGCATTGTATGTTGCAAAAGGAAATACCTTCACATAAAAACTAGACAGAAGCATTCTGAAAAACTTCTTTGTGATATGAGCATTCGTCTCACAGAGTTGAAACTTTCTTTTGATTCAGCATTTTTGAAACACACTTTTTGTAGTATCTCCTAATGGATATTTGGAGCTGTTAGAGGCCGACCATTGAAAAGGAAATATCTGCACATAAATAATACACAGAAACATTATGAGAAACTTCTTTGTTATATGTGCATTCATCTCACAGAGCTGAAATGCCCTTTGATTGAGCAGTTTTGTAACAGTGTTTTTGTGGTATCTGCAAATGAATATTTGGAGAGGTTACATGCTTATTGTGGAAAAGGAAATATCTCCACATAAAAACTACACAGAAGCATTCTGAGAAACTTCATTGTGATGTGTGCATTCATCTCACAGATTTGAACCTTACTTTTGATTGAGCAGTTTTGAAACACTCTTTTTGTTAGAATCTACCAGGGAATATTTTGAGCCCTTTTGTGGCCTATGGTGGAAAAGGAAATATCTTCACATAAAAACTACATAGAAACATTCTGAGAAACTTCTTTGTGATGTATGCTTTGAACTCACAGATTTGAAACTTTCTTTTGATTTTGCAGTTTTGAAACACTGTTTTTGTAGAATCTGCAAGTGGATACTTGGAGCACTTAGCGGCCTATTGCACAAAAGGAAATATCTTCACATAAAAACCTAATGGAAGCATTCTGCGAACCTTCTTTCTGATGTGTGTATTCATCTCACCGAGTTGAACTTTTCTTTTGTTTGAGCAGTTTTGAAACTCTCTTTTTCTAGAATCTGCAAGTGGATACTTGGAGCACTTTGTGGACTACAGTGGAAAAAGAAATATATTCACATAAAAACTATACAGAATAATTCTGAGAAACTCCTTTGTGACGAGTGATTTCATCTGACAGAGTTGAACGTCTCTTTTGATTGAGCAGTTTTGAAACAATCTTTTTGTAGAATCCGCAAGTGTATGTGTGGAGCGATTTGAGGCCAATGGTGGAAAAGGAAATATCTTCAGATAAAAACTAGACAGCAGCATTCTGAGAAACTTCTTTGTGATGTGTGCATTCATCTCACAGAGTTGAACCTTTCTTTTGATTCAGAAGTTTTGAAACACTCTTTTTGTAGAATCTGCAAGTGGATATTTGGAGCGCTTTGAGGCCTATGGTGGAAAAGGAAATATCTTCAAATTAAAACTAGACAGAAGCATTCTGAGGAATTTTTTTGATGCGTGCATTTATCTCACACTGTTTTACATTTCTTTTCATTGAGGAGTTTAGAAACACTCTTTTTGGGGAATCTGCAAGTGGATATTTGGAGCGCTTTGAGGCATATTGTTGAAATGGAAAAATCTTCACATAATAACTAGACAGAAGCATTCTGAGAAACTTCTTTGTGAGGTGTGCATTCAACCCACAGACTTTAACCTTTCTTTTGATCGAGCAATTTTGAAACACTCTTTTTGTAGAATTTGTACATGAATATTTGGAGAGGTTTGAGGCCTATGGTGGATAAGGAAATATCTTCACAAAAAAACTACAGAGAAGCATTCAGAGAAACTACTGTGTGATGTGTGTGTTGAACTCACAGAGTTTTAATTTAATTTTGATTGAGCAGTTTTGAAACACTCTTTATGTAGAATCTGCAAGTGGATATTTGGAGCGCTTTTAGGCCTATGGTGGAAAAGGAAATATCTTCAAATAAAAACTAGACACCAGCATTCTGAGAAACTTCTTTGTGATGTGTGCATTCATCTCACAGAGTTGAAGCTTTCTTTTGATTCAGAAGTTTTGAAACACTCTTTTTGTAGAATCTGCAAGTGGATATTTGGAGCGCTTTGAGGCCTATGGTGGAAAAGGAAATATCTTCAAATTAAAACTAGACAGAAGCATTCTGAGAAATTTTTTTGATGTGTGCATTCATCTCACACTGTTTTACATTTCTTTTCATTGAGGAGTTTAGAAACACTCTTTTTGGGGAATCTGCAAGTGGATATTTGGAGTGCTTTGAGGCATATTGTTGAAATGGAAAAATCTTCACATAAAAAATAGACAGAAGCATTCTGAGAAACTTCTTTGTGATGTGTGCATTCAACTCACAGAGTACAACCTTTCCTTTGATTGAGCAGTTTGGAAACAGGGTTTTTGTAGTACCTGCAAATGGATATTTGGAGAGATTTGAGGCCTATGGTGAAAAGGAAATATCTTCACATTAAAACTACACAGAAACATTCTGAGAAACTTCTTTGTGATGTAGGCATTGAACTCACGGAGTTGAACCTTTCTTTTGATTGAGGAGTTCTGATACGCTCTTTTTGTAGTATCTGCAAGTTGATATTTGGAGCCCTTTGTGGTCTATAGAGGAATAGGAAATATCTTCACATAAAAACTAGACAGAAGCATTCTGAGAAACTACTCTGTGATGTGTGTATTCATCTCACAGAGTTGAACCTTTCTTTTGATTGACCAGTTTTGAAACACTCTGTTTGTGGAATCTGCAAGTAGATATTTGGACTGATTTTCGGCCTCTAGAGAAAAAGGAAATATCTTCACGTAAAAACTAGACACAAGAATTCTCAGAAACTTCTTTGTGATGTGAGCATCCAACTCACAGCGTTCAAACTTTCTTTTGATGGATCAGTTTTGAAACCCTCTTTTTGCACAATCTGCAAGTGGATATTTGGAGAGCTTTGAGGCCTATGGTGGAAAAGGAAATATCTTCACTTAAAAACTACACTGAAACATTCTGAGAAACTTCTTTGTGATGTGTGTATTCAACTGATAGAATTGAAGCTATCTTTTGATTGAGCATTTTTGAATCTCTCTTGCTGTAGAATCTGCAACTGGGTACTTGGAGCCCTTTGAAGCCTATTTTGGAAAAGGAAATATCTTCATATAAATCTACCAAGAAGCATTCTGAGAAACTTTTTGTGATGTGTGCCTTCACCACACAGAGTTTAAACTTTCTTTTGTTTGAGCAGTTTTGAAACACTCCTTTGTACAATCCGCAAGTGGGTATTTGGAGCTCTTTGGGGCCTAATGTGGAAAAGGAAATATTTTCACATTAAAAACTACACAGAAGCATTGTGAGAAACTTCTTTGTGATGTGTGCGCTCATCTCACAGAGTTCAAGATTTCTTTTAATGGAACAGTTTTGAAACACTCTTTTTGTAGAATCTGTGAGTGGATATTTGGCGTGATTTGAAGCCTCTTGTGGAAAAGGAAATATCTTCACATAAAAACTACACAGAAGCATTCTGAGAAACTTCTTTGTGAAGTGTGCATTCAACTTACAGAGTTCAACCTAACTTTTGATTTAGCAGTTTTGAATATCTCTTTTTGTAAAATCTGCAAGTGGATATTTGGAGATCTTTGCGGCCAATTTTGGAAAAGGAAATATCTTCACATAAAAACTACACAAAAGCATTCTGAGAAACTTCTTTGTGATGTGTGCATTCATCTCACAGGATTGAAGCTTTCTTTTGACTGATCAGTTTTGAAACAGTCTTTTACAGGATCTGCAAGTGGTTATTTGGAGCGCTTTGAGGCCTATGGTGGAAAGGAAATATGTTCACATAAAAACTACGCAGAAGCATTCTGAAAAACTTCTTTGTTATGTGTGTATTCAACTCATGTAATTGAACCAACCTTTTTATTGAGCAGTTCAGAATCTCTAGTTTTGTAGAATCTGCAAGTTGATATTTGGAAACATTTCAGCCTATTTTGGAAAAGGAAATATCTTTACATAAAAACTACCCAGAAGCGTTCTGAGATACTACTTTATGATTTGTGCATTCATCTCACAGAGTTGAACATTTATTTTGTTTGATCAGTCTGAAACACTCTTTTCTTAGAATCTGCAAGTGGATATATGGGGCGCTTGGGTCCTACTGTGGAAAAGGAAATACCTTCACATAAAACTACACAGAAGCATTCTGAGAAACCCCTTTGGGATGTTTATATTCATCTCACAGAGTGGAAGATTTCTTTTGATGGAGCAGTTTTGAAACACTCTTTTTGTAGGATATGCCAGTGGATATTTTGAGTGCTTTGAAGCCTATTGTGGAAAAGGAAATATCTTCACATAAAAAACACAGAGAAGTATTCTGAGAAACTTCTTTGCGATGTGTCTGTTGATCTCACACAGTTGAATCTTTCTTTTCTAAGAGTAGGTTGAAACACTCTTTTTGTAGAAACTGATAGTGGATATTTGGAGCTCTTTCGGTCCTTTTGTGGAAATGGACATATCTTCACATAAAAACTACACAGAAGCATTCTGAGAAACTTCTTTGCAATGTGTGTATTCCTCTCACAGAGTTGAGCCTTTCTTTTGATTGAGCAGTTTTGAAACAATCTTTTTGTAGAATCTGCAAGTGGATATTTGGAGCATTTTGAGGCCTATGGTGGAAAATAAGATATCTACACAAAAACTGCACAGAAGCATTCTGAGAAACTTCTTTGTGATGTGTGCATTCAACTCACAGAACAGAACCTATTTTTGCACTGAGCAGTTTTGAATCTCTCCTTTTGTAGAATCTGCAAGGGGATATTTGGAGACCCTTGCGGCCTATTTTTGAAAAGGAAATATCTTTACATAAAAAACACACAGAAGCATTCTGAGAAACTCCTTTGTGATGTCTGTATTCATCTCACAGAATTGAAACTTTCTTTATATTGAGCAGTTTTGAAACACTCTTTTTATAGAATCTGCATGTTGATATTTGGCGCGCTTTGAGGCCTACTGTGGAAAAGGAAATATCTTCACATAAAAACTGCACAGAAGCTTTCTGAGAAACTTCTTTGTGATGTGTGCATTTATTTCACAGAGTTGAAACTTTGCTTTGATTAGGCAGTTTGGAAACTCTCTTTTTGTAGAATCTGCAAGTGGATATTTGGAGCGCTTTCAGGCCTATGGTGGAAAAGGAAATATCTTCACATAAAAACTACACAGAAGCATTCTGAGAAACATCTTTGTGATGTGTGTATACAACTCAAAGAATGGAACCTATCTTTTGATTGGGCAGTTTTGAATCTCTCGTTCTGTAGAATCTGCAGCTGGATATTTACAGCCTTTTGTGGCCTATTTTTGAAAAGGAAATATCTTCACATAAAAACTACACAGAAGGATTCTGAGAAACTTCTTTGTGATTTGTGTATTCAACTCATAGAACTGAACATATCATTTTATTGAGCGGTTTTGAATCTCTAGTTTTGTAGAATCTGCAAGTGGATATTTGGACTTGGCGGCCTATTCTTGAAAAGGAAATATCTTCACATAAAAACAACCCAGAAGCATTCTGAGAAACTTCTTTGTGATTTGTGCATTCACCTCAGAGTTGAGCCTTTCTGTTGTTTGAGCAGTTTTGAAACAATCTTTTTGTAGAATCTGCAAGTGGATATTTGGAGCGCTTTGGGGCCTGCAGTGGAAAAGGAAATACCATCACATAAAAACTACACTGAAGCCTTCTGAGAAACTTCTTTGGGATGTGTGCATTCATCTCACAGAGTTGAATATTTCTTTTGATGGAGCAGTTTTGAAACACTCTTTTTGTAGGATCTGCTAGGGGATATTTCGGGTGCTTTGAAGCCTATTGTGGAAAAAGAAATATCTTCACATGACAACTACACAGAAGCATTCTGAGAAACTTCTTTGTGGTGAGTGGATTCAACTCACATAGTTGAACCTATCTTTTGATTGAGCAGTTTTGAAACTCTCTTTTTTGCAGAATCTGCAAGTGAATATTTAGAGCCCTTTGCGGCCTGTGGTGGAAAGGAATTATCTTCACATAAAAACTACACAGAAACATTCTGAGAAACTTCTTTGTGATGTGTGTATTCAACTCATGGAATTGAACCTATCTTTTGATTGAGCAGGTTTGGTAGAACCGGCAAGTGGCTATTTGGAGCCCTTTGTGGCCTTTTTGGAAAAGGAAATATCTTCACATAAAAACTGCACAGAAGCATTCTGAGAAACTACTTTGTGATGTGTGCATTCATCTCACAGAGTTGAAGCTGTCTTTTGATTGAGCAGTTTTGAACACTCTTCTTGTAGAATCTGCAAGTGAATATTTGGGGTGCTTTTAGGCCTCTTGTGGAAAAGGTAATATCTTCACGTAAAAACTACAGAGAAGAATTCTGAGAAACTTCTTTGCGATGTTTACATTCAACTCACAAAGTTGAACCTATCTTTTGTTTGAGCAGTTTTGAAACACTCTTTTTGTAGAATCTGCAAGTCGATATATAGATCCCTTTGTGGCCTACGGTGGAAAAGGAAAGAGCGTCACATAAAAATACACAGAACAATTCTGAGAAACTTCTTTGTGATGTGTGTATTCAACAAATAAAATTGAACCTATCTTTTGATTGAGCAGTTTTGAATCTCTCTTTCTGTAGAATCTGCAAGTGGATATTTGGAGCCCTTTGTGGCTTATTTTGGACAAGGAAATATCTTCACATAAAAAACATACAGAAGCATTCTGAGAAACTTCTTTGTGATGTGTGCATTCGTCTCACAGAGTTGAATATTTCTTTTCATGGAGTAGTTTTGAAACACTCTTTTTGTAGCATTTGCAATTGGATATTGGAGCGCTTTGAGGCCTATTGTAGAAAAGTAAATATTTCACATAAAAACTACAGAGAAGAATTCTGAGAAACATCTCTGTGAGGTATGCATTCATCTCACGGACTTGAAACTTTGTTTTGATTGAGGAGTTTGGAAACACTATTTTTGAAGAATCAGCATTGAATATTTGGAGCGCTTTGAGGACTAAGCTGAAAAAGGAAATATCTTCACATAAAAACTTCACAGAAGCATTCTGAGAAACTTCTTCATGATGTGTGCATTCAACTCACAGAGTTGAACCTATTTTTTGATTGAGCAGTTTTGAAAATGTCTTTTTGTAGAATCTGCAAGTGGATATTTGGAGCCATTTGCTGCCTGTGGTGGAAAAGGAAATATCTTCACCTAAAAACTACACAGAATCATTCTGAGAAACCTCTTTGTGATGTGTGCATTCAACTCACAGAGTTGAACCTATCTTTTGGTGGAGCACTTTGGAAACACTCTTTTTGAAGAATCTGCCAGTGGATATTTAGAGCCCGTTACTGCCTTTGGTGGAAAAGGAAATATCTTCACATAAAAACTACACAGAAGTATTCTGACAAACTTCTTTGTGATGTGTGCATTCAGCTCTCAGAGTTGAAGCTTTCTTTTGATTGAGCAGTTTTGAAACACTTTTTTGCGTAATCTGCAAGTGGATATTTCGAGTGCTTTGAGGCCTATCGCAGAAAAGGAAATATCTTCACATAAAATCTTCACAGAAGCATTCGGAGAAACTTCTTTGTGATGTGTGCACTCAACTGACAGAGTCGAACCTGTCTTTCGATTGAGTAGTATTGAAACTTTCTTTTTGGAGAATCTGAATGTGGATATTTAGAGCCCTTTGCGGCCTATTTTGGAAAAGGAAATATTTTCACATAAAAACTATCCAGAAGCATTCTGAGAAACTTCTTTTTGATGTGTGCATTCCTCTCACAGAGTTAAATCTCTCCTTTGTTTGAGCAGTTTTTAAAAACTTTTTTTTGTAGAATCTGTAAGGGGATATTTGGAGAGCTTTGAGGCCTACTCTGGAAAAGGAAATATCTTCACATAAAAACCAGACAGAAGCATTCTGAGAAACTTCTTTGCAATGTGTGCATTCGTCTCACAGAGTTGAAGATTTCTTTTGATGGAGCAGTTCTGAAACACTCTTTTTGTAGAATCCGCAAGTGGATATTTGGAGCGCTTTGAGGCCTATTGTGGAAAAGGAAATATCTTCACATAGAAACTACAGAGAAGCATTCCGAGAATCTTCTCTGGGATGTGTGCATTCATCTCACAGAGTTGAAACTTTGTTTTGATTGAGCAGTTTGAAAACACTCTTTTTGTACTATCTGCAAGTGGATATTTGGAGCGCTTTGTGACCTGTAGTGGAAAAGAAAATATCTTCACATAAAAACTACACAGAAGCATTCTGAGAAACTTCATTGTGATGTAAGCATTCAACTCACAGAGTTGAACATATCTTTTGATTGAGCAGTTTTGAAACACTGTTTTTGTAGAATCTGCAAGTGGATATTTGGAGCCCTTTGCTGCCTACGGTGGAAAAGGTAATATCTTCACATAAAAACTACACTACCCTGAAGCATTCTGAGAAACTTCCTTCTGATGTGTGCATTCATCTCACAGAATTGAACTTTTCTTTTGTTTGAGCAGTTTTGTAATACTCTTTTTGTAGAATCTGCAAATGGATATTTGTAGTACATAGGGGCCTACTGTGGAATAGGAAGTGTCTTCACATAAAAACTACACTGAAGCATTCTGAGAAACTTCTTTTCGATGTGTGCAAGCATCTCACAGAGTCAAAGATTTCTTTTGATGGAGCCGTTTTGAAACACTCTTTTTATAGAATCTGGAAGTGGATATTTGGAGTGCTTTGTAGTCTATGTTGGAAAAGGAAATATCTTCAAATAAAAACTACACAGAAGCATTCAGAGAAACTTCTTTGTGATGTGTGCATTCAACTCACAGAGTTGAACCCACCTTTTGATTGAGCAGTTTTGAAACTCTCTTTTTGTAGAATCTGCTAGTGGATATTTGGAGCCTTTTGCTGCCTATTGTGGAAAAGGAAATATCTTCACATAAAAACTACAGAGAAGTATTCTGAGAAAATTCTTTGTGATGTGTGCATTCAGCTCTCAGATTTGAAACGTTCTTTTGATTGAGCAGTTTTGAAACACTGTTTTTGTAGCATCTGCAAGTGGATATTTGGAGCGCTTTGAAGCCTCTTGTGGAAAAGGAAATATCTTCAGATTAAAACTGCACAGAAGCATTCTGAGAAACTTTTTTGCAATTTGTGCTTTCATCTCACAGAGTTGAACCTTCCTTTTGTTTGAGCAGCTTTGAAACACTCCTCTTTTTGTAGGATCTGCAATTGGATATTTGGAGCTCTTCCAGGCCTATTGTGGAAAAGGAAATGTCTTCACATAAAAACTATACAGAAGCATTCTGAGAAACTTCTTTGTGATGTGTGCATTCAACTCAAAGAGTTGAAGATATCTTGTGATGGAGCAGTTTGGAAACACTGTTTTTGAAGAATCTACAAGTGGATATTTGGAGCCCTTTACTGCCTGTGGTGGAAAAGGAAATATCTTCACCTAAAATCTACACAGAAGTATTCTGACAAACTTCTTTGTGATGTGTGCATTCAGCTCACAGAGTTGAACTTTTATTTTGATTGAGCGGTTTTGAAACACTGTTTTTGCAGCATCTGCAAGTGGATGTTTAGAGCTCTTTGAGGCCTATTATGGAAAAGGAAATATCTTCACATAAAAATTACACAGAAGCATTCTGAGAAAATTGTTTGTGATGTGTGCATTCAAGTCACAGAGTTGAACCTATCTTTTGTTTGAGCAGCTTTGAAACTCTCTTTTTGTAGAATCTGCAAATGTATATTTGTAGACCTTTGCTGCCTATGGTGGAAAAGGAAATATCTTCACATAAAAGCTACAGAGAAGTATTCTGAGAAACTTCCTTGTGATGTGTGCATTCAACTCACAGAGTTGAACCTTTCTTTTGATTGAGCAGTTTTGAAACACGGTTTTTGTAGGATCTGCAAGTGGATATTTGGAGTGTTTTGAGGCCTATTGTGGAAAAGGAAATATCTTCACATAAAAACTACCCAGAAGCATTCTGAGAAACTTCTTTACGGTGTGTGGATTCAACTCACATCGTTGAACCTTTCTTTTGATTGAGCAGTTTTGAAACTCTCTTTTTGTAGAATCTGCAAGTGGATGTTTATTTCCCTTTGAGGCCTATGTTAAAAAATGAAATATCTTCACATAAATACTAGACAGAGGCCTTCTCAGAAACTTCTTTGTGATGTGTGCATTCAAGTCACAGAGTTTAACCTTTCTATTCATAGAGCAGTTTTGACACACCCTTTCTGTAGAATCTGCAAGTGTATATTTTGAGGGCTTTCAGGACAATGGTCAAAAACGAAATATCTTCACATACAAACTAGACAGAAGCATTCTCAGAAACTTCTTTGTGATGTGGACATTCAACTCACACACTTGAACCTTTCTTTTGTTTGAGCATTTTTGAAACCCACTTTTTGTAGGATCTGCAAGTGGATATTTGGAGCGCTTTGGTACCTACTGTGGAAAAGGGTATATCTTGACATAAAAACACACAGAAACATTCTGAGAAACTTCTTTCTCAGATGAGTGCATTCATGTCACACAGTTGAAGATTTCTTTTTATGGAGCAGTTTTGAAACACTCTTTTTGAAAAATCTGCAAGTGGATATTTCGAGTGCTTTGAGGCCTATTGCAGAAAAGGAAATATCTTCACAAAAAAACTACACAGAAGCATTCTGAGAAACTACTTTGGGATCTGTGCCTTCATCTCACAGATTTGAAACTCTGTTTTGATTGAGCAGTTTGGAAACACCCTTTTTGTAGAATCTACTAGTGGATATTTGGTGCGCTTTCAGGACAATTGTGGAAAAGGAAATATCGTCACATAAAAAATACACAGAAGCATTCTGAGAAACTTATTTGTGATGTGTGGATTCAACTCACAGAGTTGAAACTATCTTTTGTTTGAGCTGTTTTGAAACTCTCTTTTTGTAGAATCTGCAAGAACATATTTGGAGCCTTTGCTGCCTTTCATGGAAAAGGAAATATCTTCCCATAAAAACTACACAGAAGTGTTCTGAGAAACTTATTTGCGATGTGTGCATTCCACTCAGAGTTGAACCTTTCTTTTGATTGAGCAGTTTTGAAATACTCTTTGAGTAGCATCTGCAAGTGGATATTTGGAGCCCTTTGATGCCTCTTGTGGCAAAGGAAATATCTTCACTTAAAAAGTACACAGAAGCATTCGGAGAAACTTCTTTGCGATGTATGCATTCATCTCACAGAGTTGAACCTTTCTTTTGTTTGAGCAGTTTTGAAACACTCTTTTTGTAGAATCTGCAAGTGGATATTTCGAGCTCTTTCTGGTCTATTGTGGAAATGGAGATAACTTCACATAAAAAGTACACAGAAATATTCTGAGAAACTTATTTGTGATGTGTGCATTCATCTCACAGTGTTGAAGCTTTCTTTTGTTTGAGCAGTTTTGAAACAATCTTTTTGTAGAATCTGCAAGTGGATATTTGGAGCGCTTTGAGGCCTGTTGTGGAAAAGGAAATATCTTCACATAAAAACTACTCAGAAGCATTCTGAGAAACTTCTTTGGGATGAGTGCATTCAACTCACAGAGTTGAAACTATCTTTTGATTGAGCAGCTTTGAAACTCTGTTTTTGTAGAATCTGCCTGTGGATATTTACAGCCCTTTTGTGGTCTATGGTGGAAAATTAAATATCTTCACATAAAAACCACACAGAAGCATTCTGAGAAACTTCTTTGTGATGTGTGTATTCAAATCATAAAATTGAAACTATTTTTTGATTGAGCAGTTTTGAATCTCTCATTTTGTAGGACCTGCAAGTGGATATTTGGAGCCCTTTGCAGCCCATTGTGGAGAAGGAAATATCTTCACATAGAAACTACACAGAAGCATTCTGAGAAATTTCTTTGGGATGTGTGCATTCATCTCACAGAGTTGAAACTTTCCTTTGTTTAGGCAGTTTTGAAACACTCTTTTTGTAGAATCTGCTAGTGGATATTTGGAGGGTTTGGGGCCTACTGTGCAAAATGAAATATCTTCAAATAAAATCTACACAGAAGCATTCTGAGAAACTTCTTTGTGATGTGAGCATTCATATCACAGAATTGAACCTTTGTTTAGATTGAGTAGTTTTGAAACACTCTTTTTATAGAATCTGCAAGTGGATATTTGGAGAGCTTAGAGGCCTATTGTGGAAAAGGAAATATCTTCACATAAAAACTTCCCAGAAGCATTCTGAGAAATTTCTTTGCAATGTGTGCATTCATCTCACAGAGTTGAAGCTTTCTTTTGATTGAGCAGTCTTAAAACACTTTTTGTAGAATCTGCAAGGGGATATTTGGAGTGCGTCGAGGCCTATTGTGGAAAAGATAATATCTTCACATAAAAACTGCACAGAAGCATTCTGGGAAACTCCTTTGTCATGTGTTCATTTAACTCACAGAGTCAAACCTATCGTTTGATGGAGCAGTTTTGAAATTCCTCTGTTTTTGTAGAATCTGCAAGTTGATTTTTAGAGCCCTTTTGCCGTCTATGGTGGAAAACGAAATATCTTCACATAAAAACTACACAGAAGCATTCTGAGAAACTTCTTTGTGATGTGTGCATTAAACACACAGAGTTGAACCTATCTTTTGATTGAGAAGTTTGGAAACAATCTTTTTGTAGAATCTGCAAGTGGATGTTTAGAGTGCTTTGAGGCCTTTAGTGGAAAAGGAAATATCTTCACATAAAAACCACACAGAAGCATTCTGAGAAACTTCTTTGTGATATGTGCATTCAGCTCACAGATTTGAACCTATCTTTTGATTTAGCAGTTTTGAATGTCTCTTTTTGTCGAATCTGGAATTGAATACTTGGAGACCTTTGTGACCAATTTTGGAAAAGGAAATATCTTCACATAAAAACTACACATAAGCATTGTGAGAAATTTCTTTGTGATGTGTGCATTCATCTCACAGAATTGAACCTTTCTTTAGATTGAGCAGTTTTGAAACACTCTTTTTATAGAGTCTGCAAGTGGACATTTGGAGTGCTTTGAGGTCTATTGTGGAAAAGGAAATATCTTCACATAGAAACTACACAGAAGCATTCTGAGAAACTTCTTTGTGATGTGCACATTCATCTCACGGAGTTGAAACTTTCCTTTGATTGAGCAGTTTTGAAACAGTCTTTTTGTAGAATCTGCAAGAAGATATTTGGAGAGTTTTGTGGCCCACGGTGGAAAAGGAAATATCTTCACATAAAAACCACACAGAAGCATTCTGAGAAACTTCTTTGCGATGTGTGCATTCCACTCACAGAGTTGAACCTATCTTTTGATTGAGCAGTTTTGAATCTCTCTTTCTGGAGAATCTGCAAGTGGATATTTGGAGAACTTTGTGGCCAATTTTGGGGAAGGAAATATCTTCACATAAAAACTACACAGAAGCATTCTGAGAAACATCTTTGTGATGTGTGTATTCAACCCATCGAATTCAACCTATATTTTGATTAAGCAGTTTTGAATCTCTCGTTTTGTAGAATCTACAAGTGGATATTTAGTGCCATTTGCTGCCTATTTTGGAAAAGGAAATATCTTCACATAAAAACTACACAGAAGCATTCTGAGACATTTCTTTGTGATGTGTGCATTCCTCTCACAGAGTTGAACCTCTCTTTTGTTTGAGCAGTTTTGAAACACACTTTAGGTAGAATCTGCAAGTAGATATTTGGAGCACTTTGGGGCCTATTGTGGAAATGGAAATATCTTCACATATAAACTACACAGAAGCATTCTGAGAAACTTCTTTGTGATTTGTGCATTCAACTCACAGAGTTGAACCTTTCTTTTGATGGAGCAGTTTTGAAACTGACTTTATGGAAAATCTGCAAGTGGATATTTGGAGCACTTTGAGGCCTATGTTGGAAAAGGAAATATCTTCACATAAAAACTACACAGAAGCATTCTGAGTAACTTCTTTTTGATGTGTGGATTCCCCTCACAGAATTGAACCTTTCTTTAGATTGAGCAGTTTAGAATCACTCTTTTTATAGAATCTACAAGTGGATATTTGGAGCACTTTGAGGCCTACTGTGGAAAAGGAAATATCTTGCCATAAAAACTGCACTGAAGCTTTCTGAGAAACTTCTCTGGGATGTGTGCATTCAACTCATAGGGTTCAAACTTTTTTTGATTGAGCAGTTTGGAAACACTTTTTTTGTAGAATCTGCAAGTGTATAATTGGAGCACTTTGAGGCCTATGGTGGAAAAGGAAATATCTTCACATAACTACACAGAAGCATTCTGAGAAACTTCTTTGCAATCTGTGCATTCGTCTCACAGAGTTGAACCTTTCTTTTAATGAGCAGTTTGGAAACACTGTTTTTGCAGAATCTGTAAGTGGATATTTGGAGCACTTTGAGGTCTATTGTGGAAAAGGAAAGATCTTCACATAAAATCTACACAGAAGCATTCAGAGAAACTTCTTTCAGTTGTGTGCATATATTTGACAGAGTTGAACCCATATTTTGACTGAGCAGTTTTGAAACCCACTTTTTGTAGAATCGGCAAGTGGATATTTAGAGCCCTTTGCAGCCTATGGTTTAAAAGTTAATATCTTCACATAAAAACTACACAGAAACATTGTGAGAAACATATTTGTGATATGTATATTCAAATCATAGAATAGGACCTATCTATCTTTTTATTGAGCAGTTTTGAATCTGTCATTTTGTAGAATCTCCAAGTGGATATTAAGAGCCCTTTGCGGCCTATTTTGGAAAAGGAAATATCTTCACATAAAAACTACCCGGAAGCATTCTGAGAAACTTCTTTGTGATTTTTGCACTCATCTCACAGAGTTGAACCTTTCTTTTGTTTGAGCATTTTTGAAACCCTCATTTTGTAGAATCTGCAAGTGGATATTTGGAGTGCTTTGGGACCTACTGTGGAAAAGGATATACCTTGACATAAAAACTACACTGAAGCATTCTGAGAAACTTCTTTGAGATGTGTTCATTCATCTCACAGAGTTGAAGATTTCTTTTGATGGAGCAGTTTTGAAATAATCTTTTTTTTAAATTTTTTTTATAATACTTTTAGGGTACATGTGCACATTGTGCAGGTTAGTTACATATGTATACATGTGCCATGCTGGTGCGCTGCACCCACTAACTCATCATCTAGCAGTAGGTATATCTCCCAATGCTATCCCTTCCCCCTTTCCCCACCCCAGAAAAGTCCCCAGAGTGTGATATTCCCCTTCCTGTGTCCAAAATGATGAGTTCATGTCCTTTGTAGGGACATGGATGAAATTGGAAATCATCATTCTCAGTAAACTATCGCAAGAACAAAAAACCAAACACCGCATATTCTCACTCGTAGGTGGGAAGTGAACAATGAAATAATATTTTTGTAGAATCTGCAAGTAGATATTTGGAGCGCTCTGAGGCCTGTTGTGGAAAACGAAATATCTTCACATAAAAACTACATGGAAGCATTCTGAGAAACTTCTTTGGGATGTGTGCATTCATCTCATAGATTTGAAACTTGGTTTTGAGTAATCAGTTTGGAAACAATCTTTTTGTAGAATCTGCAGTGGATGTTTAGAGTGCTTTGAGGCCTTTGGTGGAAAAGGAAATATCTTCACATAAAAACTACACAGAAGCATTCTAAGAAACTCCTTTGTGATGTGTGCATTCAACTCACAGAGTTGAATCTATCTTTTGATAGAGCAGTTTTGAAACTCTCTTTTTATAGAATCTGCAAGTGCATATTTAGAGCCCTTTGCTACCTATGGTGGAAAAGGAAATGTCTTCACATAAAAACTACAAAGAAGCATTCTGAGAAACTACTTTGTGATGAGTGTATTCAACTCATAGAATTGAACGTATCTTTAGATTGAGCAGTTTTGAATCTCTCATTTTGTAGAATTCGCAAGTGGATATTTGGAGCAATTTGTGGACTATTCTGGAAAAGGAAATGTCTTCATATAAAAACTACCCAGAGGCATTTTGAGAAACTTTTTTGTGATGTGTGCATTCATTCCACAGAGTTCAACCTTTCTTTAATTTGGGCAGTTTTGAAACACTCTTTGTGTAGAATCTGCAAGTTGATATTTGGAGTGGTTTGTGGCCTACTGTGGAAAAGGAAATATCGTCACATAAAAACTTCACAAAAGCATTCTGAGAAACTACTTCGTGATGTGTGCATTCATCTCACAGAGTTGAACACTTATTTTGATGGAGCAGTTTTGAAACACTTTTTTGTAGAGACTGCAAGTGGATATCTGCAGCCTTTTGCAGCCTATGGTGTTAGGAAATATCTTCACATAAAAACTAGATGGAAGCATTCTCAGAATTTCCTTTGAGATGTGTGCATTTATCTCATAGAGTTGAAGCTTTCTTTTGATAGAGTAGTTTTGAAACACTCTTTTTGTAGAATTTGCAAGTGGATATTTGAAGTGCCTTCAGGCCTATGGTGGAAAAGGAAATATCATCACATAAAAACTAGACAGAAGCATTCTCAGAAACTTCTGTGTGAGGTGTGCATTCAACACACAGAGTTGCACATTTCTTTTGGTAGAGCAGTTTTGAAAGACTGTCTTTGTAGAATCTGCAAGTGGATATTTCTAGGGCTTTGAGGCCAAGAGTGGAAAAGGAAATATCATCACATAAAAATTAGACAGAAGCATTCTCAGAAACTTCTTTGTGATGAGTGCATTCAACACACAGAGTTGAACCTTTCTTTTGATAGAGTAGTTTTGAAACACTCTTTTTGTAGAATCTGCAAGCAGATATTTGGAGCACTTTGTGGGCCATGGTGGATAAGGAAATATCTTCACATAAAAACAAGACAGAAGGATTTTCAGGAACTTCTTTGTGATGTGTACATTCAACTCACAGAGCTGAACCTTTCTTTTGATAGAGCAGTTTTGAAACACTATTTTTGTGGAATCTGCAAGTGGCTACTTGGAGAGATTTGGGGCTTTTGGTGGAAAAGGAAATATCTTCACATAAAAACTAGACAGAAGCATTGTCAGAAACTCCTTTGTGATATGTGCATTCAACTCATGGAGGTGAAATTTTCTTTTGATAGAGCAGCTTTGAAACACACTTTTTCTAGAATCTCCAAGCAGATATTTCCAGCGCTTTGAGGCCAGTTGTGGAAAAGGAAATATCCTCAAGTAAAAACTAGAATGAAGCATTCTCAGAAACTTCTTTGTGATGTGTGCATTCAACACACAGAGTTGAACCTTTCTTTTGCTAGAGCAGTTTTGAAACACTCTTTTTGCAGAATCAGCAAGTGGATATTTGCAGTAGGTTGAGGCCTATATTGGAAAAGGGAATATCTTCACATAAAAACTGGACACAAGTATTATCAGAAACATCTTTGTGATGTGTGCATTCAACTTACATAGTTGAACATTTGTTTTGATAGAGCAGTTTTGAAGCACTGTTTTTGTAGAATCTGCAAGTGCATATTTGAAGTGCTTTGAGGCCTACGGTGGAAAAGGAAATATCTTCACATGAAAACTAGACAGAAGCCTTCTCAGAAACTTCTTTGTGATGTGTGTTTTCAACGCACAGAGTTGAACCTGTCTTTTGAAAGAGTAGTTTTGAGACACACTTTTTGTAGAATCTGCAAGTAGATATTTGGAGCGCTTTGAGGCCTATGGTTTAAAAGGAAATATCTTCACATAAAAACTAGACAGAATCATTCTCAGAAACTAATTTGTGATGTGTGCATTCAACTAACAGATTTGAACCTATCTTTTCATAGAGCAGTTTTGAGAGCCTCTATTTGTAGACTCTGCAAGTGGATATTTTTAGCACTTTGAAGCCAATGGCAGAAAAGGAAATATCTTCACATAAAAACTAGACATAAGCCTTCTCAGAAATTTCTTTGTGATGTGTGCATTCAACACTCAGAGTCCAACCTGTCTTTTGATTGAGGAGTTCTAAAACCCTCTTTTTGTAGAATCTGCAAGTGGATATTTGGGGTGATTTGAGGCCTGTGGTGGAAAAGGAAATATCTTCACCTAAAAACTAGACAGAAGCATTCTCGGAAACATCTTTGTGATGTGTGCACTCAACTCACAGAGTTGAACCTTTCCTTTGATAGAACAGTTTTGAGACACACCTTTTGCAGAATCTTCAAGTGGCCTCTTACAGCACTTTGAGGCCTATGGTGGAAAAGGATATATCTTCACCTAAAAACTAGACAGAAGCATTCTCAGAAACTTCTCTGGATGTCTGCATAAAACTCACAAAGCTGAACGTTTCTTTTGATTGAGCGGTTTTGAAACTCTCTTTCTGTAGAATCTGCAAGTGGATATTTGGTGCGCTTTGAGGCCTATGCTGGAAAGGAAATATCTTCACATAAAATCTAGACAGAAACATTCTCAGAAACTTCTTTCTGTTGAGTGAATTCAACTCACAGAGTTGAAACTTTCTTTTGATTGAGCAGTTTTGAAACACTCTGTTTGTAGAATCTGCAGGTGGATATTTGGAGCGTTTTGAGGCCTTTGGTGGAAAAGGAAATATCTTCACATAAAAGCTAGACAGAAGCATTCTCAGAAATTTTTGAGATGTGTGCATTCAACTCACAGAGTTGAACCTTTCTTTTGATTGGGCAGTTTTGAAACACTCTTTTTGTAGAATCTGCAAGTGGATATTTGGAGCGCTTTTATGCCTACGTTAGAAAAGGAAATATCTTCACAGAAAACCTGGACAGAAGCATTCTCAGAAACTTCTTCGTGATGTGTGCCTTCAACTCACAAAGTTGAAACTTCCTTTTGATTGAGCGGTTTTGAAATACTCTTTTTGTCGAACTTGTAAGTGGATATTTGAAGCGCTATGAGGCCTATGGTGGAAAAGGTATATTTTCACATAAAAACTAGACAGAAGCATTCTCAGAAACTATTTTGTGATGTGTGCATTCAACTCACAGAGTTGAACCTTTCCTTTGATTGAGCACTTTTGAATCACTATTTTTGTAGAATCTGGAAGTGGATAATTGGAGTGCTTTGAGGACTGTGGTGGAAAAAGAAATATCTTCCTATAAAAACTAGACAGAGGAATTCTCAGAAACTTCTTTGTGATGTGCGAATTCAACTCACAGAGTTCAACTTTATTGTGATAGAGCATTTGGAAACACTCTTTTGGTAAAATCTCAGGTTCAACTCACAGTTGAACCTTTCCTTGGAGCAGTTTTGAAACACTCTTTTTGTTGAATCTGCAAGTGGATATTTGGAGCACTTTGAGGCATATGGTGGAAAGGGGAATATCTTCACAAAATAACTAGACAGAAGCATTCTCAGAAACATCTTTGTGATGTGTGCATTAAACTCAGAGAATTGAACCTTCCTTTTGATAGAGCAGTTCTGAAACACTGTTTTTGTAGAATCTGGAAGTGGACGTTTGGAGTGCTTTGAGGCCTATGGTAGAAAAGGAAATATCTTCATATAAAAACGAGACAGAAGAATTCTCAGAAAATACTTTGTGATGTTTGCATTCAACTCACAGCGTTGAACATACCTTTTTATGGAGTAGTTTTGAAACACTCTTTTTGTAGAATCTGCAAGTGTATATTTGGAGCGATTTGAGGCCTTCGTTGTAAACGGGAATATCTTCACATAAAAACTAGACAAAAGCATTCTCAGAAACTTCTTTGTGATGTGTGCATTCAACTCATAGAATTGAACCTTCCTTCTGATAGAGCAGTTTTGAAACACTCTTTTTATAGAAACTTCAAGTGGATATTTGGAGCGCTTTGAGGCCTTCGGTGGAAACGGGAATGACTTCACATAAAAACTAGACAGAAGCCGTCTCAGAAACTTCTTTGTAATGTGTGCATTCAACACACAGAGTTGTGCCTTTCTTTTGATAGAGCAGTTTTGAGACACTCTTTTTGTAGGATCTGCAATTGGAAAGATGGAGAGCTTTGAGGCCTGTGGTGGAAAACAAATTATCATCTTCATACAAAAACTAGACAGAAGCATTCTCAGAAACTTCTTTGTGATGTGTGCATTCAACTCACAGAGATGAACCTTCCTTTTTACATAGCTGTTTTGAAACACTCTTTTTGTAGAATCTTCAAGTGGATATTTGGAGCCATTTGATTCCTAGGCTGAAAAAGGGAATATCTTAACATAAAAACTAGACAAAAGCATTCTCAGAAACTTCTTTGTGATGTGTGCATTCAACTCAGAGAGCTGAACCTTCCTTTTGATAGAGCAGTTTTCAAACACTCTTTTTGTAGAATCTGCAAGTGGATAATTGGAGTCCTTTGATTCCTTCGGTGAAAAAGGGAAGATCTTCACGTAAATACTGGACGGAAGCATTCTCAGAAACTTCTTTGTGATGTGTGCATTCAACTCACAGAGCTGAACCTTTCTTTGGATAGAGCAGTTTTGAAACACTCTTTTTGTAGAATCTGCAAGTGGACATTTGGAGCGCTTTGAGGCCTGTGGTGGAAAAGGAAATATCTTCATATGAAAACTAGACAGAAGCATTCTCAGAAACAACTTTGTGATGTTTGCATTCAACTCATAGAGTAGAACATTCCTTTTGATAGAGCAGCTTTGAAACACTCCCTTTGTAGAATCTGCAAGTGGATATTTGGACCGCTTTGTGGCCTTCGGTGGAAACGGGAATATCGTCACGTAAAAACTAGACAGAAGTATTATCAGAAACTTCTTTGTGATGCATGCATTCAACTCAGAGGGTTGAAACTTCCTTTTGATAGAGCAGTTTTGAAACAATCTTTTTGTAGAATCTGCAACTGGATATTTGGAGCGGTTTGAGGCCTATGGTAGGAAAGGAAAAGTCTTCATATAAAAACTGGACAGAGGCCGGGCGCGGTGGCTCACGCCTGTAATCCCAGCACTTTGGGAGGCTGAGGCGGGCAGATCACGAGGTCAGGAGATCGAGACCATCCTGGCTAAAACGGTGAAACCCCGTCTCTACAAAAAATACAAAAAAATTAGCAGGGCATAGTGGCGGGTGCCTGTAGTCCCAGCTACTTGGGAGGCTGAGGCAGGAGAATGGCGTGAACCCTGGAGGCGGAGCTTGCAGTGAGCCGAGATCCCGCCACTGCACTCCAGCCTGGGCGACAGAGTGAGACTCCGTCTCAAAAAAAAAAAAAAAACTGGACAGAAACATTCTCAGAAATTATTTGTGACTTGTGCATTCAACTCACAGGGTTGGACCTTTCTTTTGATAAAGCAGTTTTGAAAACATTCTTTTTTTAGGATCTGCAAGTGGACATTTAGAGCGCTTTGATGTGTATGGTGAAAAATGAAATATCTTCACATAAAAACTAGACACAGGTATTCTCAATAACTCCTTTGTGATGTTAGCATTCAACTCATAGTGTTGAACATTCCTTTTGATAGAGCAGTTTTGAAACACTCTTTTTGTAGAATCTGCAAGTGGACATTTGGAGCACTTTGAGGCTTGTGGTGGAAAAAGAGATATCTTCATATAAAAACTAGTCAGAAGCTTTATCAAAAACTCCTTTGTGATGTGTGCATTCAACGCACAGATTTGAACATTCCTTTTTATAAAGTAGTTTTGAAACACTATTTTTGTAGAATCTGCAAGTGGATATTTGGAGCGCTTTGAGGCCTTCGGTGGAAACGGGAATATCTTCATATAAAAACTAGACAGAAGTATTCTCAGAAACTCCTTTGTGATGTGTGCATTCAACTTAGAGAGTTGCACATTCCTCCTGATAGAGCAGCTTTGAAACACTCTTGTAGAATCTGCAAGTGGATATTTGGAGCACTTTGAGGCCTTCTGTGGAAACGGGAATATCTTCACATAAAAACTAGACAGAAGCATTCTCAGAAACTTCTTTGTGATGTGTGCATTCAACTCACAGTGTTGAACCTTCCTTTTGACAGAGCAGTTTTGAAACACTCTTTTTGTAGAATCTGCATGTGGATATTTGGAGCGCCTTGAGGCCTTCGGTGGAAATGGGAATATCTTCACATAAAAACTAGACAGAAGCATTCTCAGAAACTTCTTTCTGATGTGTGTATTCAAATCACAGATTTGAACCTTCCTTCTGATAGAGCAGTTATGAAACACTCTTTTTGTAGAATCTGTATTAGAACATTTGGAGTGCTTTGAGGCCTGTGGTGGAAAACGAAATATCTTCACATAAAAAGTAGACAGAAGCATTCTCAGAAACTTCTTTGTGATGTGTGCATTCAACTCAGAGAATTGAACCTTCGTTTTGATAGACCAGTTTTGAAACACTGTTTTTCTAGAATCTTGAAGTCGATATTTGGATCGCTTTGTGGTTTATGGTAGAAAAGGAAATATCTTCATATAAAAACTAGACGGAAGCATTCTCAGAAACTACTTTGTGATGTTTGCATTCAAATCACAGAGTTGAACATTCCTTTTGATAGAGCAGTTTTGAAACACTCTTTTTGTAGAATCTGCAAGTGGATATTTGTAGCTTTTTGAGGCCTATGGTGGAAACAGCAATATCTTCACCTAAAAACTAGACAGAAGCATTCTGAGAAACTTCTTTGTGATTCATGCATGGAACTCAGAGAGTTGAAACTTCCTTTTGATTGAGCAGTTTTGAAATACGCTTTTTGTAGAATCTGCAACTGTATACTTGGAGTGCTTTGAGGCCTACAGTAGGAAAGGAAATATCTTAATATAAAAACTACACAGAAGTATAATCAGAAACTACTTTGTGATGTCTGCATTCAACTCAGACTGTTGAACATTTCTTTTGATAGAGCACTTTTGAAACACTGTTTTTGTAGAATCTGCAAGTGGACGTTTAGAGCGCTTTGATGCCTATGGTGAAAAAGGAAATATCTTCACATAAAAGTTGGACAGAAGCATTCTCAGAAACTTCTTTTTGATGTGTGCATACAACTCACAGAGTTGAACATTGCTTCTGATAGAGCAATTTTGAAACCCTCTTTTTGTAAAATCTGCAAGTGAATATTTTGACCACTTTGAGGCCTTCATTTGAAACGGAAATATTTTCATATAAAAACTAGACAGAATCATTCTCAGAAACTTCTTCATGATGTTTGCAATCAACTCACAGAATTGAATCTTCCTTTTGATAGAGCAGTTTTGAAACACTCTTTTTGTAGAATCGGCAAGCACATATTTTGAGCCCTTTGAGGCCTTCAGTGGAACAGGGAATACCTTCACATAAAAACTAGACAGAAGCATTCCCAGAAGCTTCTTTGTGCTGTGTGCATTCAACTCACGGAGATGAACCTTTCTTTTGATAGAGCAGTTTTGAAGCACTCTTTACGTAGAATATGCAAGTCGACATTTGGAGTGCTTTGAGGCATGTGGTAGAAAAGGAGATATCTTGATATAAAAACTAGACAGAAGCATTCTCAGAAACAACTTTGCGATGTTTGCATTCAACTCACAGAGTTGAACATTCCATTTGACAGAGCAGTTTTGTAACACTCTTTTTGTAGTATCTGCAAGTGGATATTTGGACTGCTTTGAGGTCTTCGGTGGAAACGGGAATATCTTCACATGAAAACTAGACAGAAGCATTCTCAGAGACTTCATTCTGACTTTTGCATTCAACTCACAGAGTTGAACCTTCCCACTGATAAAGCAGTTTTGAAACACTCTTTTTGTAGAATCTGCAAGTGGATATTTGGAGAGCTTTGAGGACTTCGGTGTAAACGGGAATATCTTCACATAAAAACTAGTCAGAAGAATTCTCAGAAAATACTTTGTGATGTGTGCATTCAACTCACAAGTTGAACATTCCTTTTTATAGAGCAGTTTTGAAACACTCTTATTGTAGAATCTGCAAGAGGATCATTGGAACTCTTTGAGGCCTATGGTAGAAAAGGAAATATCTTCATATAAAAACTACACAGAAGCTTTCTCAGAAACTTCTTTGTGATGGCTGCATACAACTCACAGAATCGAACCATTCTTTTAGCAGAGCCGTTTTGAAACACTCTTTTTGTAGAATCTGCAAGTGGACATTTGGTGTGCATTGAGGCCTGCGGTGGAAAAGGAGATATCATCACATAAAAACTAGACAGAAGCATTCTCAGAAACTACTTTGGGATGTTTGCGTTCAACTCACAGTGTTGAACATTGCTTTTCATAGATCAGTTTTGAAACACTCTTTTTGTAGAATCTGCAAGTGGATATTGGGACTGCTTTGAGGACTTCGGTGGAAACGGGAATCTCTTCACATAAAAACTAGACAGAAGCATTCTCAGAAACTTCTTTGTGATGTGTGCATTCAACTCACAGAGTTGAATGTTCCTTTTGATAGAACAGTTTTGAAACACTTTTTTTGTAGAATCTGCAAGTTGATATTTGTAGAGCTTTAAGGCCTTCAGTGGAAACGGGAATCTCTTCAGATAAAAACTAGACCGAAGCATTCTGAGAAATTTCTTTGTGATGTATGTATACAATTCACCGAGTTGAACATTTCTTTTAATAGAGAGGTTTTGAAACACTGTTTTTGTAGAATCTGTAAGTGGACATTTGGAGCTCTTTGAGGCCTGTGGTGGAAAAGGAAATATATTCACATAAAAACTAGACAGAAGCATTCTCAGAAACTTCTTTGTGATGTGTGCATTCAACTCAGTGAATTGAACCTTCCTTTTAATAGAGCAGTTTTGAAACAGTGTTTTTGTAGAAGCTGGAAATAGATATTTGAGCCCTTTGAGGCCTATGGTAGAAAAGGAAATATCTTCATATAAAAACTAGACAGAAGGATTCTCAGGAACTACATTGTGATGTTAGCATTCAACTCATAGTGTTGAACATTCCTTTTGATAGAGCAGTTTTGAAACATGCTTTTTGTAGAATCTGCAACTGTATAATACGAGCGCTTTGAGGCCTATACTAGAAAAGGAAATATCTTCATATAAAAACTAGACAGAAGCATTCCCAGAAACTACTTTCCGATGTGTGTATTCAACTCACAGAGGTGAACATTTCCTTTTATAGAGCAGTTTTGAAACACTGTTTTTGTAGAATCTGCAAGAGGACATTTAGAGCACTTTGATGCCTATGGTGAAAAAGGAAATATCTTCACATAAAAACTAGACAGAAGCATTCTCAGAAACATCTTTCTGATGTCTGCATTCATCTCACAGAGTTGAACCTTCCTTTTCATAGAGCAGTTTTGAAACACACTTTATAGAGTCTGCATGTGGATATTTGGAGCGCTTTGAGGCCTACGGTGGAAACGGGAATATCTTCCCATAAAACCTACACAGAAGTATTCTCAGAAACTTCTTTGCATTGTGTGCATTGAACTCCGAGATATGAACCTTCCTTTTGATACAGCAGCTTTGAAACACACTTTTAGTAGAATCTGCAAGTGGATATTTGGAGCTCTTTGAGGCCTAAGGTAAAAAAGGGAATATCTTCATATAACAACTAGACAAAAGCATTCTAAGAAACTACTCTGTGATGTCTGCATTAAACTCACAGTGTTGAAACTTTCTTTTGATAGAGCAGTTTTGAAACACTCTTTTTGTAGAATCTGTATGTGGACATTTGGAGCTCTTTGATGCCCATGGTGAAAAAGGAAATATCTTCCCATAAAAACCACACAGAAGCATTCTCAAAAGCTTCTTTGTGTTGTGTGCATTGAATTCAGATTGTTGAACCTTCCTTTTGATAGAGCTGTTTTGAAACACTCTTTTTGTAGAGTCTGCAAGTGCATATTTGGAGCACTTTGAGGCCTTCAATGCAAACGGGAATATCTTCACATAAAAACTAGACACAAGCATTCTCAGAAACTTCTTTGTGATGTGTGCATTGACCTCAGAGTGTTGAACCTTCCTATCAATACAGCAGTTTTGAAACACTCTTTTTGTAGAATCTGCAAGTGGATATTTGGAGTCCTTTGACGCCTATGGTAGAAAAGGAAATGTCTTCATATAAAAACAAGACAGAATCATTCTGAGAAACTTCTTTGTGATGCCTGCATTCAACTCACAGAGTTGAACCTTCCTTTTGATAGAGCAGTTTTGAAACACTCTTTTTGTAGAATCTGCAACTGGATATTTGATGCGCTTGTAGGCCTATGGTAGGAAATGATATATCTTCATATAAAACTAGAAAGAAGCATTCTCAGAAACTAGTTTGTGACGTGTGCATTGAATTCACAGAGTTGAACATTTCTTTCAATAGAGCAGTTTTGAAACACTCTTTTGGTAGAATCTGCAAGTGGATATTTAGAGCGCTTTCATGCCTACGGTGAAAAAGGAAATATCTTCACATAAAAACTGGACAGAAGCATTCCCAGAAACTTCTTTGTGATGTGTGCATTGAACTCAGAGTGTTCAACCTTCCTTTTGATAGAGCAGTTTTGAAACACTCTTTTTATAGAATCTGCAAGTGGATATTTGGAGCGCTTTGAGGCCTTCTGTGGAAACGGGAATATCTTTACATAAAAACAACACACAATCATTCTCAGAAACTTCTTTGTGATGTGTGCATTGAACTCAGAGAGTTGAACCTTTCTTTTGATAGAGCAGTTTTGAAACACTCTTTTGGTAGAATCCGCAAGTGGATATTTGGAGCGCTTTGAGGCCTATGGTAGAAAAGGATTTATCTTCATTAAAAAAAATTGACAGAAGCATTCTCAGAAACTTCTTTGTGATGCCTGCATTCAACCCACAGAGTTGAAACTTTCTTTTGATAGAGCAATTTTTGAAACACTCTTTTTGTATAATCCGCAAGTGAACATTTGGAGAGCTTTGATGCCTATGTTGAAAAAGGAAATATCTTCACATAAAAACTAGACAGATGCATTCTCAGATACTTCTCTGTGATGTGTGCATTCAACTGACAGAGTTGAACATTTCTTTTGATAGAGCAGTTTTGAAACACTCTTTTTGTAGAATCTGCAAATGGACATTTGGAGCACTTTGAGGCCTATGTTGAAAAAGGAAATACCTTTACATAAAAACTAGACAGAAGCCTTCTCAGAAACTACTTTGTGATGTTTGCATTCAACTCACAGAGTTGAACATTCCTTTTGATAGAACAGTTTTGAAATACTCTTTTTGTAGAATCTGCAAGTGGATATTTGGAGCACTTTGAGGCCTTCGGTGGAAACGGGAATATCCTAACATAAAAACTAGTCAGAAGCATTCTCACAAAGTTCTTTTTGATGTGTGCATTCAACTCACAGTGTTGAGCCTTCCTTTTGATAGAACAGTGTTGAAACAATCTTTTTGTAGAATCTGCAAGTGGATATTTGGAGTGCTTTGAGGCCTTCGGTGGAAAAGAAAATATCTTCACATAAAAAGTAGACAGAAGGAGTCTCAGAAACTACTTTGTGATGTTTGCCCTGAACACAGAGAGTTGAACCTTCTTTTAGATAGAGCAGTTTTGAAACACTCTTTTTGTATAACCAGTAAGGGTACATTTGGAGGGCTTTGAGGCCTTCCGTGGAAACGGGAATAGCTTCACATAAAAACTAGACAGAAGCATTCTCAGAAACTACTTTGTGATGTGTTCCTTCAACTCACAGAGATGAAGCTTCCTTTTGATAGAGCAGTTTTGAAACACTATTTTTGTAGAATCTGCAATGGATATTTGGAGCACTTTGCGGCCTTTGGTGGAAACGGGAATATCTTCACATAAAAACAAGACACAAGCATTCTCAGAATCTTCTTTGTGATGTGTGCATTGAACTCAAAAAGTTGAACCTTCATTTTGATAGAGCAGTTTTGAAACACCTTTTTGTAGAATCTGCAAGTGGATATTTGGAGCGCTTTGCGACCTATGGTAGAAAAAGAAATATCTTCATATAAAAACTTGACAGAAGCATTCTCAGAAGCTTCTTTGTGATGCCTGCATTCAACTCACATAGTTGAACCTTTCCATTGACAGAGAAGTTTTGAAACACTCTTTTTGTACAATCTGCAAGTGGACATTTGGAGCTCATTGATGCCTATGTTGAAAAAGGAAATATCTTCACATAAAAACTAGACAGAAGCATTCTCAGAAACTTCTCTGTGATGTGTGCATTCAACTCACTGAGTTGAACATTCCTTTTGATATAGCAGTTTTGAAACACTCTTTTTGTATATTCTGCAAGTGAATATTTGGAGCGATTTGAGACCTATGTTAGAAAAGGAATTATCTTCCTATAAAATCTAGACAGAAGCATTGTCAGAAACTTCTTTGTGATGCCTGCATTCAACTGACAGGGTTGAACCTTTCTTTCGATAGGGCATTTTGGGAACACTCTTTTTGTAGAGTCTGCAATTGGACATTCGGAGCACTTTGAGGCCTGTGGAGGAAAAGGTAATATCTTCATATAAAAAACTAGACAGAAGCATTCTCAGAAACTACTTTGTGATGTTTGCATTCAACTCATAGAGGTGAACATTCCTTTTGATAGAGCAGTTTTGAAACACTCTTTTTGTAGAAACTGCAAGTGGATATTTGGAGCACTTCGAGGTCTGTGGGGGAAAAGGAAATATCTTCACATAAAACCTAGACAGAGGCATTCTCAGAAACTTGTTTGTGATTTGTGCATTCAACTCAGGGAATGGAGCCTTCCTTTTGATAGAGCAGTTTTGAAACACTCTTTTTATAGAATCTGCAACTGGATATTTGGAGCGCTTTGTGGCCCATTGTAGGAAAGGAAATACCTTCATATAAAAACTAGACAGAAGCATTCTCAGAAACTACTTTTTGATGTGTGCATTCAACGGATGGAGATGAATCTTTCTATTGATAGATCAGTTTTGAAACACTCATTTTTAAAATCTGCAGGTGGACATTTAGAGCGCTTTGCTGCCTAAGGTGAAAAAGGAAATATCTTCACATAAAAACTAGACAGAAGCATTCTCAGAAACTTCGTTGTGTTCTGTGCATTGAACTCCGAGAGTTGAACCTTCCTTTTGATACAGCAGCTTTGAAACACGTGTTTTGTAGAATCGGCAAGAGGATGTTTGGATCGATTTGAGGCCTATAGTAGAAAAGGAAATATCTTCATATAAAAACTAGACAGAAGCATTCTCAGAAACTACTTTGTGATGATTGCATTCAACTCACAGAGTTGAAAATTCCTTTTGATAGAGCAGTTTTGAAACCCTCTTTTTGCAGAATCTGCATGTGGACATTTGGAGCGCTTTGATGCCTGTGGTGGAAAAGGAGATATCTTCATAAAAAACTAGACAGAAGCATTCTCAGAAACTACTTTGTGATGTTTGCATTCAACTCACAGAGTTGAACATTCCTTATGATAAAGCAGTTTTGAAACAGTCTTTTTGTAGAATCTGCAAGTGGATATTTGGAGCACTATGAGGCCTACGGTGGAAACAGGAATATCTTCACAAAAAAACTAGACAGAAGCCTTCTCAGAATCTTCTTTGTGAGGTGTGCATTCAACTCACAGAGTTGAACCTTCCTTTTGATAGAGCAGATTCGAAACACTCTTTTTGTGGAATCTGCAACTGGATATTTGGAGCACTTTGAGGCCTTCAGTGGAAACGGGAATATCTTCACATAAAAACTAGACAGAAGCATTCTCAGAAACTACTTTGTGATGTTTGCATTCAACTCACAGAGTTGAACATTCCTTATGATAAAGCAGTTTTGAAACAGTCTTTTTGTAGAATCTGCAAGTGGATATTTGGAGCACTATGAGGCCTACGGTGGAAACAGGAATATCTTCACAAAAAAACTAGACAGAAGCCTTCTCAGAATCTTCTTTGTGAGGTGTGCATTCAACTCACAGAGTTGAACCTTCCTTTTGATAGAGCAGATTCGAAACACTCTTTTTGTGGAATCTGCAACTGGATATTTGGAGCACTTTGAGGCCTTCAGTGGAAACGGGAATATCTTCACATAAAAACTAGACAGTAGCATTCTCAGAAACTTCTTTGTGTTCTGTGCATTGAACTCCGAGAGTTGAACCTTCCTTTTGATAGAGCAGTTTTGAAACACGTGTTTTGTAGAATCAGCAAGAGGATATTTGGATCGATTTGAGGCCTATAGTAGAAAAGGAAATATCTTCATTTAAAACTAGACAGAAGCATTCTCAGAAACTACTCTGTGATGATTGCATTCAGCTCACAGAGTTGAAAATTCGTTTTGATAGTGCAGTTTTGAAACCCTCTTTTTGCAGAATCTGCATGTGGACATTTGGAGCACTTTGATGCCTGTGGTGGAAAAGGAGAGATCTTCATAAAAAACTAGACAGAAGCATTCTCAGAAACTACTTTGTGATGTTTGCATTCAACTCACAGAGTTGAACATTCCTCTTGATAGAGCAGTTTTGAAACACTCTTTTTCTAGAATCTGCAAGTGGATATTTGGACGGCTTTGAGGCATTTGGTGGAAAGGGGAATATCTTCACAAAAAAACTAGACAGAAGCATTCTCAGAATCTTCTTTGTGAGGTGTGCATTCAACTCACAAAGTTGAACCTTCCTTTTGATAGAGCAGTTTTGAAACATTCTTTTTGTGGAATCTGCAACTGGATATTTGGAGCGCTTTGAGGCCTTCAGTGGAAAAGGGAATATCTTCACATAAAAACTAGACAGTAGCATTCTCAGAAACTTCTTTGTGATTTCTGTATTCAACTCAGATTTGAACTTTTTTTTGATAGAGCAGTTTTGAAACACTCTTTTTGTAGAATCTGCAAGTGGATATTTTGACCGCTTTGAGGCCTATGGTAGAAAAGGCAATATATTCATATAAAACCTAGACAGCAGCATTTTCAGAAACTTCTTTGTGATGTCTGCATTCAACTCACGGAGTAGAACCTTTCTTTTGATAGAGCAGTTTTGAAACTCTCTATTTGTAAAATCTGCAAGTGGATATTTGGAGCGTTTGAGGCTTTCGGTGGAAACAGGAATATCCTCTCATAAAAACTTGACAGAAAAATTCTCAGAAACTGCTTTGTGATGTGTGCATTCAACTCAGAGGGTTGAACCTTCCTTCTTATAGAACAGTTTTGAAACACTCTTTTTGTAGCATCTGCAAGTGGATGTTTGGACCTCTTTGAGGCCTTCAGTGGAAACCAAAATATCTTCACATAAAAAGTAGACAGAAGCATTCTCAGACACTACTTTGTGATGCCTGCATTCAACTCACAGAGTTGAACCTTCCATTTGGTATAGCAGTTTTGAAACACTCTTCTTTTAGAATTTGAAAGTGGATAGTTGGAGCGCTTTGAGGCCTTCTGTGGAAGCTGAAATATCTTCACATGAAAACTATACAGAAGCATTCTCAGAAACTGCTTTGTGATGGGTTCATTGAACTCACAGAGTTGAAACTTGCTTTTGATAGAGCAGTTTTGAAACATTCTTTTTGTAGAATCTGCAAGTGGACTATTGGAGCGCTTTGAGGCCTGTGGTGTAAAATGAGATATCTTCATATAAAAACTAGACAGAAGCATTCTCAGAAACTATTTTGTGATGTTTGCATTCAACTCACAGTGTTGAACGTTTCTTTTCATAGAGCTGTTTTGAAAGACACTTTTTGTAGAGTCTGCAAGTCTATATTTGGAGTGCTTTGAGGCCTACAGTGGAAACGAGAATGTCTTCACATAAAAACTAGACAGAAGCATTCTCCGAAACCTCTATGTGATGTATGCATTCACCTCACTGAGTTGAACCTTTCTTTTGATAGAGTAGTTTTGAAACGCTCTTTTTGTAGAATCTGCAAGTGGATATTTAGAGTGCTTTGATGCCTATGGTAGAAAAGGACATATCTTCATATAAAACTAGACAGAAGCATTCTCAGAAACTTCTTTGTGATGTTTGCATTCAACTCACAGAGTTGAACATTCCTTTTGATAGAGCAGTTTTGAAACACTCTTTTTGTAGAGTCTGCAAGGGGATATTTGGGCCGTTTAGAGGCCTTCGGTGGAATCGGGAATATCTTCACATAAAAACCAGACAGAAGCATTCTCAGAAACTTCTTTATGATGTGTGTATTCAACTGAAAGAGTTGGACCTTTCTTTTATTACAGAGGTTGAAACAGTCTTTTTGTAGAATCTGTAAGTGGACATTTGGAGCGCTTTGATGCCTGGGGTGGAAAAGAAGATATCTTCATATAAAAACTAGACAGAAACATTCTCAGAAACTACTTTGTGATGTTTGCATCCAACTCACAGAGTTGAAACTTCCTTTGATAGAGCCGGTTTGAAAGACTCTTTCTGTAGAATCTGCAAGCCTATATTTTGAGCACTTTGAGGCCTACGGTGGAAACGGTAATATCTTCACATAAAAACTAGACAGAAAAATTCTCAGAATCTTCTTTGGGATGTGTGCATTCAACTCAGAGAATTGAACCTTCCTTTTAATAGAGCAGTTTTGAAACACTGTTTTTGTAGAATCTAGAAGTGGATATTTGGAGCGCTTTGAGGCCTATGGTAGAAAAGAAATATCTTCATATAAAAACTAGACAGAAGCATTCACAGAAACCACTTTGTGATGTTTGCATTCAACTCACAGAGTTGTACCTTCCTTTTGATAGAGCAGTTTTGAAACACTCTTTTTGTAGAATCTGAAAGTGGACATTTGGACCACTTTGAGGCCTTTGGTGGAAACGGGAATATCTTCACATAAAAACTGGACAGAAGCATTCTCAGAAACTCCTTTGTGATGTGTGCATTCAACTCACAGAGTTGAACCTTCCTTTTGATAGAGCAGTTTTGAAACCCTCTTTTGGTAGAATCTGCAAGTGTACATTTGGAGCGCTTTGAGACCTGTGCTGGAAAAGGAAATATCTTCACATAAAAACTAGACACAAGGATTCTCAGAAACTTCTTTGGGATGTGTGCATTCAACTCACATAAGTGAACCTTCCTTTTGATAGAGCAGTTTTGAAACACTCTTTTTGTGGAATCTGCAAGTCGACATTTGGAGCGCTTTGATGCCTGTGGTGAAAAAGAAGATATCTTCATATAAAAACTAGACAGAAGCATTCTCAGAAACTACTTTGTGATATTTGCATTGAACTCACAGAGCTGAACATTTCTTTTGATAGAGCAGTTTTGAAACACTCTTTTTGTGGTATCTGCAAGTGGATATTTGGAGTGCTTTGAAGTCTTCGGTGGAAAAGGGAATATCTTCACAAAAAAACTAGACAGAATCATTTTCAGAAACTTCTTTGTGATGGGTGCATTCAACTCACAGAGTTGAACCTTTCTTTTGATAGAGCAGTTTTGAAACACTCTTTTTGTATAATCTGCAAGTGGACATTTTGAGAGCTTTGATGCCTATGTTGAAAAAGGAAATATTTTCACACAAAAACTAGAAAGAAACATTCTCAGAAAGTGCTTTGTGATGTGTGTGTTCAATTCACAGAGTTGAACATTCCTTTTGATAGAGCAGTTTTGAAAGACTCTTTTTGTAGAATCTGCCAGAGGATATTTGGAGCACTGGGAGGCCTTCGGTGGAAACGGGAATACCTTCACATACAAATTAGAGAGAAGCATTCTCAGAAACACCTTTGTGATGTGTACATTCAACTCACAAAGTTGAACCTTTCTTTTGATATAGCAGTTTTCAAACAATCTTTTTGTAGAATCTGTAACTGGATATTTGGAGCGCTTTGAGGCCTTCAGTGGAGATGGGATTATATTCACATAAAAACTAGAAAGAAGCATTCTCAGAAACTTCTTTGTGATATGTGCATTCACCTCACCGATTTGAACCTTTCTTTAGAAGGAGCAGATTTGAAACACTCTTTTTGAAGAATCTGCAACTGGATATTTGGAGAGCTTTGAGGACTATCTGGGAAAGGAAATCTCTTCATATAAAAACTAGATAGAAGCATTCTCAGAAACTACTTTGTGATGTGTGCATTCAACTCACTGAGGTGATCCTTTCTTTCGATAGAGCAGTTTTGAAACACTCATTTGTAGAAACTGCAAGTGGACATTTAGAGGGCTTTGCTCCCTATGGTGAAAAAGGAAATATATACACATAAAAACTAGACAGAAGCATTCTCAGAAACTTCTTTGTGATGTTTGCATTCAACTCACAGAGTTGAACATCCCTTTTGATAGAGCAGTTTTGAAACACTCTTTTTGAAGGATCTGCAAGTGGATATTTGGTTCCCTTTGAGGCCTATGCTTGAAAAAGAAATATCTTCATATGAAAACTAGACAGAAGCATTCTCAGTAACTGCTTTGTGATTTGTGCATTCAAGTCACAGTGTTGAACCTTTGTTTTGATAGAGCAGTTTTGAAACACGCTTTTTGCAGGATCTGCAAGTAGATATTTCGTTCTATTGGAGGTCTATGTCAGAAAACGAAATATCTTCACATAAATACTAGACAGAAGCATTCACAGAATCTTCTTTGTGATGTGTGCATTCAACTCACCGAGTTGAACCTTTCTTTTGGTAGAGCAGTTTTGAAATACTCTTTGTAGAATCTACAAGTGGATATTTGTTCCACTTTGAGGCCCACGTTGGAAAAGGAAATATCTTCACGTAAAAACTAGACAGAAGCATTGTCAGAAGCTGATTTGTGATGTGTGCATTCAACTCACAGAGTTGTACCTTTCTTTTGATAGAGCAGTTTTGAAACACTCTTTTTGTAGAATCTGCAGGTGGATATTTGTAGTGCTTAGAGGCCTATGGTGGAGAAGGAAATATCTTCACATAAAAACAAGGCAGAAGCATTCTCAGAAACTTCTTTGTGATGTGTGCATTCAACACACAGAGTTGAACATTTCTTTTGATAGAGCAGTCTTGATACACTCTTTTTTTAGAATCTGCAAGTGAATATTTTGTTCCCTTTGAGGACTATGATGGGAAACGAAATATCTACATATAAAAACAGACAGAAGAATTCTCAGAAACTTCTTTGTGATGTGTGCATTCCACCCTCAGATTTGAACTTTTCTTTTGATAGAGCAGTTTTGAAACAGTCTTTTTGTAGAATCTGCAAGTGGATATTTGGTGTGCTTTGAAGTCTATACTGGAAAATGAAATATTTTCACATAAAAACCAGACAGAAGCATTCTCTGAAACTTCTTTGTGATGTGTGCTTTCAACTCACAGAGTTGAACTTTTCTTTTGAAAGAGCAGAATTGAAACACTTTTTTTGTGGAATCTGCAAGGGGATATTTCTTTCCCGTTGAGGCCTATGTTGGAAAACGAAATATCTTCACATAAAAACTACACTGATGTATTCTCAGAAACTTCTTTGTGATGTGTGCATTCAACCCACAGAGTTGAACTTTTATTTTGATAGAGCAGTTTTGAAACAATCTTTTTGGAGAATCTGCAAGTGGATACTTCATTCCCTTTGAGGCTTATGGTGAAAAAGGAAATATCATCACAAAAAAGCTAGACACAAGCATTCTCAGAAACTTCTTTGTGGTGTGTGCATTCATCTCACAGAGTTGAACCATTCTTTTGATAGACGAGTTTTGAAACACTGTTTTTGTAGAATCTGCAAGCGGATATTTGGAGCGACTTGAGGCCTATGGTGGAAAAGGATGTATCTTCACATAAAAAGTACATAGAAGCATTCTCAGAAACTACTTTGTGATGTTTATATTCAATTCACAGTGTTGAATATTCCTTTTGATAGAGCAGTTTTGAAACACTCTTTTTATAGAATCTGCAAGTGCACATTTGGACAGCTTTGATGCCTTCGGTGGAAACGGGAGTATCTTCAAATACAAACTAGAGAGAAGAATTCTCACAAACTTCTTTGCAATGCGTGTATTCAACTCAGAGAGTTGAAACTTTCTTTTAATAGAGTAGTTTTGAAACACTGTTTTTGTAGAATCTGCAAGTGGACATTTGGAGCGCTTTGATGCCTGTGGTGGAAAGGAAGTTATCTTCATATAAAAACTAGACAGAAGCATTCTCTGAAACTACTTTGTGATGTGTGCATTCAACCCACAGAGTTGAACCTTCCTTTTGATAGAGCCTTTTGAAAGACTCTTTTTGAAGAATCTGCAAGTCTATATTTGGAGGACTTTGAGGCCTACTGTGGAAACGGATATATATTCACATAAAAACTAGACCGAAGCATTCTCAGAATCTTCTTTGTGATGTGTGCATCCAACTCAGAGAATTGAACTTTCCTTTAAATAGAGCAGTTTTGAAACATTGTTTTTGTAGAATCTGGAAGTGGACATTTGGAGCGCTTTGATGCCTGTGGTTGAAAAGGAGATATCTTCATATAAAAACTATACAGAAGCATTCTGAGAAACTACTTTGTGATATTAGCATTCAACTCACAGAGTTGAACATTCCTTTTGATAGAGCAGTTTTGAAACACTCTTTTTGGAGAATCTGCAAGTGGATATTTGGACCGATTTGAGGACTTCACTGTAAATGGGAATATCTTCACTTAAAAATTAGACAGAAGCATTCTCAGTAACCACTTTGTGATGTGTGCATCCAACTCACAGTGTTGAACCTTCCTTTTGATAGAGCAGTTTTGAAACACTCTTTTTGTAGAATCTGCAAGTGGATATTTGGAGTGCTTTGAGGCATTCGGTGGAAAAGGGAATATCTTCACATAAAAACTAGACAGATGCATTCTCAGAAACTTCTTTGTGATGTCTGTATTCATCTCCAGAGTTGAACCTTTCTTTTGATAGAGGAGTTTTGAAACACTCTTTTTGTAGAACCTGCAAGTGGATATTTGGAGTGCTTTGAGGCATTCGGTGGAAAAGGGATATCTTCACATAAAAACTAGACAGGTGCATTCTCAGAAACTTCTTTGTGATGTCTGCATTCATCTCCAGAGTTGAACCTTTCTTTTGATAGAGGAGTTTTGAAACACTTTTTTTGTAGAATCTGCAAGTGGACATCTGGAGCCCTTTGAGGCCTGTCGTGGAAAAGGAAATAACTTCATATAAAAACTGGACAAAAGCATTCTCAGAAACTACTTTGTGATGTCTGCATTCAACACACAGAGTTGAACATTCCTTTTGATAGAGCCGTTTTATAACGCTCTTTTTGTAGAATCTGCAAGTGGATATTTAGACCACTTTGAGGCCCTCGGTGGAAATGGGAATATATTCACATAAAAACTAGACAGAAGCATTCTCAGAAACTTCTTTGTGATGTGTACATTGAACTCAGAGAGTTGAACCTTCCTTTTGATAGATCAGTTTTGAAACACTTTTTGGTAGAATCTGCAAGTGGATATTTGGAGAGCTTTGAGGCCTACTATGGTAAATAAGGAAATATCTTCATATAAAAACTAGACCGAAGCATTCTCAGAAACTTCTCTGTGATGCCTGCATTCAATTCACAGAGTTGAACCTTTCTTTTGATAGAGGAGTACTGAAACACTCTTTTTGTGGAACCTGTAAGTGGACATTTAGAGCACTTTGATGCCTATGGTGAAAAAGAAAATATGTTCACATAAAAACTAGACAGAAGCATTCACAGAAACTTCTTCATGATGTTTGCATTCAACTCACAGGGTTGAATATTCCTTTTGATAGAGCAGTTTGGAAACACTCTTTTTGTAGAATCTGCAAGTGGATATTTGGAGCGCTTTGAGGCCTTCGGTGGAAACGGGAATATCCACACATAAAAACTAGACAGAAGCACTCTCACAACCTACTTTGTAATGTGTGCATTCAACTCACAGAGTTGAACTTTTTTTTTGATAGAGTAGTTTTGAAACACTTTTTTTGTAGAATCTGCAAGTGGTTATTTGGAGCGCTATGAGGCCTACTGTGGAAACCGGAATATCTTCACATAAAAACTAGACAGAAGCATTCTCAGAAACTTCTTTGTGTTGTGTGCATTGAACTAAGAGAGTTGAACCTTCCATTTCATAGAGCAGTTTTGAAACACTCTTTTTGTAGAATCTGAAGTTGGGTATTTGTAGCTTTTTGAGACCCTTCCTGTAAAAGGAAATATCTTCACATAAAAACTAGACAGAAGCATTCTCCGAAACTTCTTTGTGATGTGTACATTCAACTCACAGTGTTGAATATTTCTTTTGATAGAGCAGTTTTCAAACACTCTTTTTTTAGAAACTGCAAGTGGATATTTGGAGGGCTTTGAGGCCTGTGGGGTAAAAGGAAATATCTTCACATGAAAACTAGATGCAAGCATTCCCAGAAACTTCTTTGTGATGTGTGCATTGAACTCACAGAGTCGACCCCTTCTTTTGATAGAGCAGTTGTGAAACACTTTTTTTGTAGAATCTGCAAGTGGATATTTTGTTCCCTTTGAGGCCTATGGCGGAAAACGAAATATCTTCAGATAAAAACTAAACAGAAGAATTCTAAGAAACTTCTTTGTGATGTGCTCATGAAACTCACAAAGTTGAACATTTCTTTTGATAGAGCAGTTTTGTAATGCACTTTTCGTAGAATCTGCAAGTGGATATTTGGAGCACACTGTGGCCGATGGCGGAAAAGGAAATATCTTCACATAAAAACTAGACACAAGCATTCTCCAAAACTGTTTTGTGATGTGTGCATTCAACTCACAGAGCTGAACCTTTCGTTTGATAGAGCAGTTTGAAACACCTTTTTGTAGAATCTGCAAGGGGATATTTGGTTCCCTTTGAGGCCTATGCTTGAAAAAGAAATATCTTCATATAAAAACTAGACAGAAATATTCTCAGTAACTGCTTTGTGATGTGTGAATTCAACTCACAGTGTTGAACCTTTGTTTTGATAGAGCCGTTTTGAAACACCCTTTTTGTAGGATCTACAAGTAGATATTTGGTTCCATTGGAGGTCTATGTTGGAAAACGAAATATCTTCACATAAAAACTAGACAGAAGCATTCACCGAAACTTCTTTGTGATGTGTGCATTCAACTCACCGAGTTGAACCTTTCTTTTGGTAGAGCAGTTTTGAAATACTCTTTGTAGAATCTGCAAGTGGATATATTTTCCCCTTTGAGGCCCACATTGGAAAAGGAAATATCTTCACATAAAAACTAGACAGAAGCATTGTCAGAGCTGATTTGTGATGTGTGCATTCAACTCACAGAGTTGAACCTTTCTTTTGATAGAGCAGTTTTGAAACACTCTTTTTGTAGAATCTGCAGGTGGATATTTGGAGCGCTTGGAGGCCTAAGGTGGAGAAGGAAATATCTTCACATAAAAACTAGGCAGAAGCATTCTCAGAAACTTCTTTGTGATGTGTGCATTCAACACACAGAGTTGAACATTTCTTTTGATAGAGCAGTCTTGATACACTCTTTTTTTAGAATCTGCAAGTGGATATTTTGTTCCCTTTGAGGGCTATGATGGGAAACGAAATATCTACATATAAAATTAGACAGAAGAATTCTCAGAAACTTCTTTGTGATGTGGGCATTGAACTCAGAGACTTGAATCTTTCTTTTGATAGAGCAGTTTTGAAACACTCTTTCTGTAGAATCTGCAAATGGATATCTGGAATGCTCTGAGGCATATGGTGGAAAAGGAAATATCTTCACATAAAAAATAGACAAAAGGATTCTCCGAAACTTCTTTGTGCTGTGTGCATTTAGGTCACAGAGTTGAACATTTCTTTTGATAGAGCAGTATTGAAACACTCCTTTTGTATAATCTGCAAGTGGATATTTTGTTCCCTTTGAGGACTATGTTGGAAAATGTAATATCTTCACATAAAAACTAGACAGAAGCATTCCCCGAAACTTCTTTGAAATCTGTGCATTCAACTCACAGAGTTGAAACTTTCTTTTGATAGAGCACTTTTGAAACACTCTTTTTGTAGAATCTGCAAGGGGATATTTTGTTCCCTTGGAGACCTGTGTTGGAAAACGAAATAACTTCACATAAAAACCAGACAGAAGCATTCTCAGAAACTTCTTTGTGATGGGTGCATTAAACTCACAGAGTTGGGCCTTTCTTTTTATAGGGCAGTTTTGAAGCACTCTTTTTGTAGAATCTGCAAGGGGATATTTGGTTCCATTTGAGGCCTATGGTGGAGAAGGAAATATCTTCACATACAAACTAGACAGAAGAATTCTCTGAAACTTCTTTGTGCTGTGTGTATTCAACTGATGGAGTTGAACCTTTCTTTTGATAGAGCAGTTTTGAAACACTCTTTCTGCAGTATCTACAACTGGGTATTTTGTTCCCTTTGAGGCCTACGATGGAAAATGAAATATCTTCATATAAAACTAGACAGAAGCATTCTCGGAAACTGCTTTGTGATTTGTACATTCAACTCAGAGATCTGAACCATTCCTTTGATAGAGCAGTTTTGAAACACTATTTTTGTAGAAATTGCAAGGGGATATTTTGTTCCCTTTGAGGCCTATGTTGGAAAACAAAATATCTTCACATAAAAACTAGACAGAAGCATTCTCAGAAACTTCTTTGTGCTGAGTGCATTCAACTCACAGAGTTGAACTTTTCTTTTGATAGAGCAGTTTTGAAACCCTCTTTCTGTAGAATCTGCAAGTGGATATTTGGAATGCTTTGAGGCCTATGGTGGAAAAGGAAATATCTTCACATAAAAACTAGACAGAAGCATTCTCCAAAACTTCTTTGTGATGTGTGCATTCAACTCACAGAGTTGAACCTTTCTTTTTGTAGAGCAGTTTTGAAACACTCTTTTTGAAGAATCTGCAAGGGGATATTTTGTTCCATATGAGGCCTATGTTGGAAAACGAAATATCTTCAAATAAAAACTAGTCAGAAGCATTCTCAGAAACTTCTTACTGATGTGTGCATTCAACTCACAGAGTTAAACCTTTCTTTTGATAGAGCAGTTTTGGAACACTCTTTCGTAGAATCTGCAAGTGGATATTTGGAACTCTTTGAGGCCTCTTGTCTAAAAGGAAATATCTTCATAAAAAAACTAGACAGAAGCATTCTCTGAAATTTATTTGTGATGTATAAACTCAACTCACAGTGCTGAAGCCTTCTTTTGATAAAGCAGCTTTGAAACACTCTTTTTGTAGAATCTGCAAGTGGATATTTGGAGCGCTTTGAGGCCTATGGTGGAAAAGGAAATATCTTCACATAAAAACTAGACAGAAGCATTCTCCGAAACTACTTTGTGCTGTGTGCATTCAACTCGCAGAGTTGAATCTCTCTATTGATCTAGCATTTTTGAAACACTCTTTTTGTAGTATCTGCAAGTGTATTTTTTTTTCTGTTTGAGGCCTATGGTGGAAAAGGAAATATCTTCACATAAAAACTAGACAGAAGCATTCTCCGAAACTTCTTTTTGCTGCATGCATTCAACTCGCAGAGTTGAATCTTTCTATTGATGGAGCAGTTTTGAAACACTCTTTTTGTAGTATCTGCAAGTGTATATTTTTTTCCTTTTGAAGCCTACGTTGGAAAACGAAATATCTTGAAATAAAACTAGACAATAGCCTTCTCAGCAACTGCTTTCCGATGTGTGCATTTAACTCAGAGAGTTGAACATTTCGTTTGATAGAGCAGTTTTGAACCACTCTTTTCGCAGTATAAGCAGGTGAATATTTGGAACGCTTTGAGCCTTATGGTGGAAAAGGAAATATCTTCACATTAAAACTAGAGAGAAGAAGTCTCAGAAACTTCTTTGTGATGTGTGCACTCAACTCAATGTTTTGAACCTTTCCTTTGTTAGAGTACTTGTGAAACACTCTTTTTGCAGAATCTGCAAGTGGATATTTGGAGTGCTTTTAAGACTATGTGGTAAAGGAAATATCTTCACATAAAAACTAGTCAGAAGCATTCTCCGAAACTTCTTTTTGATGTGAGCATTCAACTCACAGATTTGAACATTTCTTTTGATAGGGCAGTTTAGAAACACTCTTTTTGTAGAATCTACAAGAGGATATATGGTTCCCTTAGAGGACTCTGGTGAAAAAGGAAATATCTTCACATAAAAACTAAACACAAGCTTTCTCATATACTTCTTGGTGATGTGTGCATTGAACTCACAGTGTTGATCCTTTTTTTATAGAGAAGTTTTGAAACACTCTTTTTGAGGTATCTTCACGTGGATATTTGGAACGCTTTGAGCCCTACTGTGGAAAAGGAAACATCTTCACATAAAAACTGGAGAGAAGCATTCTCGGAAACTTCTTTGTGATGTGTGCATTCAACTCACAGAGTTGAAACTTTCTTTTGATAGAGCAGATTTGTAACACTCTTTTTGTAGAATCTGCAAGTGCATATTTGGAGCACTTTGAGGCCTATGGTGGAAAAGGAAAGATCTTCACATAAAAACTAGACAGAAGCACTCTCAGAAACTTCTTTGTCATGTGTGCATTCAACTCAGAGTTGAAACTTTCCTGTTATACAGCAGTTTTGTAACACTCTTTTTGTAGAATCTGCAAGTGCATAGTTGGAGCACTTTGAGGCCTATGGTGGAAAACGAAATAACTTCATATAAAAACTAGACAGAAGCATTCTTTCAAATTTCTTTGTGATGTGTGCATTCAACTCACAGAGTTGAACCTTTCTTTTGATAGAGCAGTTTTGAAACATTCCTTTTGTAGAATCTGCGAGTGGATATTTACAGTGCTTTAAGGCCTATAATGGAAAAAGAAACATCTTCATATAAAAACTAGAAGAAGCATTCTCAGAAAACACTTTGTGATGTGTGCATTCAACTCATAGTGTTGAACCTTTCTTTGGATAGAGCAGTTTTGAAACACTCTTTTTGTAGAATGTACAAGTGGATATTTTGTTCCCTCTGAGGCCTATGTTGGAAAACGAAATATCTTCCCATAAAAACTAGACAGAAGCATTCTCCGAAACTTCTTTGTGATGAGTGCATTCAACTCACAGAGTTGAACCTTTCTTGTGGTAGAGCAGTTTTGAAATACTCTTTTTGTAGAATCTGCAAGTGGATATTTGGAGCGCTTTAAGGCCCATGGTGGAAAAGGAAATATCTTCAAATAAAAACCAGGCAGAAACATTCTCAGAAACTTCTTTGTGATGTGTGCATTCAACTCACAGTGTTGGAACTTTCTTTTGATAGAGCAGTTTTGAGACACTCTTTTTGTAGGATCTGCATGTGGATATTTGGAGTGCATTGAGGCCTATGGTCGAAAAGGATATGTATTAGCATAAAAACTAGACAGAAGCATTCTCCGAAACTTATTGATGATGTGTGCATTCAACTCAATTAGTTGAACCTTTCTTTTGATAGAGCAGTTTGAGTCACTCTTATTGTAGAATCTGCAGGTGGATATTTAGTTCCCTTTGAGGCCTATGTTACAAAACGTAATATCTTCACATAAAAAATAGACAGAAGCATTCTCAGAAACTGCTTTGGGATGAGTGCGTTGAATTCAGAGAGTTGAACCTTTCTTTTGGTAGAGCAGTTTTGAAACACTCTGCTTGTAGAATCTGCAAGTGGATATTTGGAGAGCTTTGAGACCTATGCTGGAAAAGGACATATATCACATGAAAACTAGACAGAAGCGTTCTCCGAAAATTCTTTGTGCTGCGTGCATTCAACTCACAGTGTTGAAACTTTCTTTTGATAGAGCAGGTTTGAAAGTCTCTTTTTGTAGAATTTGCAATGGATATTTTGTTCCCTTTGAGGCCTATGTTGGAAAACGAAATAACTTCCCTCAAAAACTAGACAGAAGCATTCTCCAAAACTTCTTTGTGATGTTTGCATTCAACTCACAAATTTGAAACTTTCTTTTGATAGAGCAGTTTTGAAACACTCTTTTTGTTGTATCTGCAAGGGGATATTTTGTTCCCTTTGGGGCCGATTTTGGAAAACGAAATATCTTCCCATAAAAACTAGAAAAAAGCATTCCGCGAAACTTCTTTGTGGTGTGTGCATTCAACTTACAGAGTTAGTACTTTCTTTTGATAGAGCAGTTTTGAAACAGTCTTTTTGTAGAATCTGCAAGGGGATATATCGTTTCCTTTGAGGCCTATAATGGAATACGAAATATCTTCACATAAAAAGTAGACAGAAGTGTTCTCAGAAACTTCTTTGAGATGTGTGCATTCAACTCACAGAGTTGAACTTTCCTTTTGATAGAGCAGTTTTGAAGCACTCTTTTTGTAGTATCTGCAAGTGGATTTTTGCAGCACTTTAAGGCCTATGGTGGAAAAGGAAATATCTTCACTATAAAACTGGACAGAAGCATTCTCCGAAACATTTTGTGATGTGCGAATTCAACTCAGAGTTGAACCTTTCCTGTTATACAGTACTTTGGAACATTCTTTTTGTAGAATCTGCGAGTGGATATTTGCAGTGCTTTAAGGCCTATTGTGGAAGATGAAATATCTTCACATAAAAACTAGACAGAAGCATTCTCAGAAAATTCTTTGTGATGTGTACATTCACCTCACAGTGTTGAACCTTTCTTTTGATAGAGCAGTTTTGAAACACTCTTTTGTAGAATCTGCAAGTGGATATTTGGAGCGCTTTGAGGCCTATGGTGGAAAAGGAAATATCTTCACATAAAAACTAGACAGAAGCATTCTCCAAAACTTCTTTGTGATGTGTGCATTCAACTCACACAGTTGAACCTTTCTTTTGATGGAGGAGTTTTGAAATGCTCTTTTTGTAGAATCTGCAAGTGGATATTTGGAACGCTTTGAGACCAGTATTGGAAAACGAAATGTCTTCACATAAAAACTAGACAGAAGCATTCTCCGAAACTGCTTTGTGATTTGCGCATTCACCTCACAGACTTGAACCTTTCCTTTGATAGAGCAGTTTTGAAACAGTCTTTTTGCAGAATCTGCAAGTGGTATTTGGATCGGTTTGAGGCCTATGGTGGAAAAGGAAATATCTTCACATAAAAACTAGACAGAAGTATTCTCCAACACACCTTTGTGATGTGCGCATTCAACTCACACAGTTGAATTTTTCTTTTGATAGAGCAGTTTTGAAACAGTCTTTTTGAAGAATCTGCAAGTGGATATTTGGTTCCCTTTGAGGCTAATGTTGGAAAACGAAATATCTTCACATAAAAACTAGCAGAAACATTCTCATAAACTGCTTTGTGATGTGCACATTCAACTCACAGAGATGCACATTTCTTTTGATAGAGCACTTTTGAATCACTCTTTTGGTAGAATCTGCAAGTGGATATTTGGAGCGCTTTGAGGCCTATATTGGAAAACGAAATGTATTCCCATAAAAACTAGACAGAAGCATTCTCACAAACTGCTTTGTTATTTGTGCATTCAACTCACAGATTTGAAAATTTCTTTTGATAGAGCAGTTTTCAAACACCCTTTTTGTAGAATCTACAAGTGGATATTTTGTTCCCTTTGAGGCCTATTTTGGAAAACGAAATATCTTAACATAAAAACTAGACAAAAGCATTCCCTGATACTTTTTTTGCTGTTTGCATTCAACTTACAGAGTTAGAACGTTCTTTTGATAGAGCAGTTTTGAAACACTCTTTTTGTAGTATCTGCAAGGGGATATTTGGTTTCCTTTGAGGCCTATGTTGGAATACGAAATATCTTCACATAAAAACTAGACAGAAGCATTCTCAGAAACTCCTTTGTCATGTGTGCAATCAACTCACAGAGTTGAACCTTAATTTTTTAGAGCAGTTTTGAAACACTCTTTTTGCAAAATCTGCAAGTGGATATTTGGAACGCTTTGAGGCCTATGGTGGAAAAGGAAATATCTTCACATAAAAACTAGACAGAAGCATTCTCCAAAACACGTTTGTGATTAGTGCATTCAACTCACACAGTTGAACCTTTCTTTTGATAGAGGATTTTTGAAACACTCTTTTTGTAGAACCTGCAAGTGGATATTTTGAGCACCTTGAGGCCAATGGTGGAAAAGGAAATATCTTCACATAGAAACTACACAGAAGCATTCTCAGAATCTTCCCTGGATGTATGCATTCTGCTCACAGAGTTGAACCACGCTTTTGATAGAGCAGTTTTTAAACACTCTTTTTGTATAATCTGCAAGTAGATATTTTGAGCACTTTGAGGTCTATGGTTTAAAAGGAAATATCTTCACATAAAAACTAGACAGAAGCATTCTCTGAAACTTCTTTCTGATGTGTTCTTTCAACTCACAGAGTTGAACCTTTCTGTTGATAGAGCAGTTTTGAAACACTCTTTTGTAAAATCTGCAAGTGGATATTTGGAGCGCTTTGAGGCCTGTGGTGGAAAAGGAAAATCTTCAAATAAAAACTAGATAAAAGCATTCTCGGAAACCTCTTTGTGATGTGTGCATTCAACTCACAGAGTTGAACTTTCCTTTTGATAGAGCAGTTATGAAACACTCTTTCTTTAGAATCTACAGGTGGATATTTTCTTTCCATTGAGGCCTATGTAGGAAAACGAAATATCTTCATATAAAAACTACACAGAAGCCTTCTCAGAAACTTCTTTGTGATGAGTGTATTCAACTCACAGAGTTGACCATTTCATTTGATAGAGCAGTTTTGAAACACACTTTTTGTAGAATCTGCAAGTGGATATTTGGAGTGCTTTGAGGCCTATGGTGGAAAAGGAAATATCTTCATATAAAAACCAGACAGAAGCATTCTCAAAAACTTATTTGTGATGTATGGATTGAACTCACAGAGTTGCACATTTCTTTTGATAGAGCAGTTTTGAAACACTCTTTTTGTAGAATCTGCAAGTGGATATTTGTAGCGCTTTGAGGCCTATGTAGGAAAATGAAATATCTTCATATTAAAACTAGACAGAAGCCTTCTCAGAAACTTCTTTGTGATGTGTGTATTCAACTCACAGAATTGAACGTTTCTTTTGTTAGAGCAGTTTTAAAACACACTTTTTGTTGAATCTGCAACTGGATACTTGGAGCGCTCTGAGGCTTATGGTGGAAAAAGAAATATCTTTACATAAAAACTAGACAGAAGCATTCTCAGAAACTTCTTCATGATGTGTGCTTTCAACTCACAGAGTTGAACATTTCTTTTTAGAGAGCAGTTTTGAAACATTCTTTTTGTAGAATCTGTAAGTGGATATTTGGATCGCTTTGAGACCTATGGTGGAAAACGAAATATCTTCCCATAAAAACTAGACAAAAGCGTTCCCCGAAACTTCTTTGTAATGTGTGTGTTCAACTTGCAGAGTTAGAAAGCTCTTTTGATAAAGCAGTTTTGAAACACTCTTTTTGTAGGATCTGCCAGGGAATATTTGGTTTTCTTTGAGGCCAATGTTGGAATACGAAATATCTTCACTTAAAAACTAGACAGAAGCATTCTCAGATACTCCTTTGTCATGTGTGCATTCAACTCACAGAGTTGAACCTTTCTTTTTTTAGAGCCGTTTTGAAACACTGCTTTTGTAGAATCTGCAAGTGGATATTTGGAGCACTTTGTGGCCTATATTGGAAAACCAAATGTCTTCACATAAAAACTAGACAGAAACATTCTCAGAAACTGCATTGTGATTTGTGCATTTAACTCACAGAGCTGAACCTTTCTTTTGATAGAGCAGTTTTGAAAACTCTTTTTGTAGAATCTGTTACTGGATATTTGGATTGCCTTGAGGCCTATGGTGTAAAAGAAAATATCTTCACATAAAAACTAGACAGAAGCGTTCTCCGAAACTTCTTTGTGATGTGTGCATTGAACTCACAGAGTTGAGCCTTTCTTTTGATAGAGCAGTTTTGAAACACTCTTTTTATAGAATCTACAAGTGGATATTTGGAGCGTCTTGAGGCCTCTGGTGGAAAAGGAAATATCTTCTCATAAAAACTATACAGAAGCATTCTCAGAAACTTCCTTGGATGTGTGCATTCTGCTCACAGAGTTGAACCATGCTTTTGGTAGAGCAGTTTTGAAACACTCTTTTTGTAGAATCTGCAAGTGGTATTTGGAGAGCTTTGAGGCCTATGGTGGAAAAGGAAATATCTTCACATAAAAACTAGAAAGTAGCATTCTCTGAAACTTCTTTGTGATTTGTGCATTCAACTCACAGAGTTGAACAGTTTTGTTAGAGCAGTTTTGATACACTCTTTTTGTAGAATTTGCAAGTGGATATTTGGTTCCCTTTGATGCCTTTTTTTTGGAAAATGAAATAGTTTACCATAAAATCTAGACAGAAGCAGTTTCAGAAACTTCTTTGTGATGTGTGCATTCAACGCACAGAGTTGAAACTTTCTTTTGTTAGAGCAGTTTTGAAACACTCTTTTTGTAGAATCTGTAAGTGGATATTTGGAGCACTTGGAGGCCTATGTTGGAAAACGAAGTATCTTCACATAAAAACTAGACAGAAACATTCTCTGAAACTTCTTTTTGATGTGTGCATACAACTCATAGAGTTGACCCTTTCTTTTGATAGAGCAGTTTTGAGACACTCTTCTTGTAGAATGTACAAGTGGATATTTGGTTCCCTTTGATGCCTATGTTGGAAAAAGAAATATCTTCACATAAAAACTAGACAGAGGCATTCACAGAATCTTCTTTGTGATGTGTGCATTCAACTCACAGGTTTGAACCTCTCTGTTGGTAGAGCAGTTTAGAAACACTCTTTTTGTAGAATGTGCAAGGGGATATTTTGTTCCCTTTGAGGCCTATGGTGAAAAAGGAAATATCTTCACATAAAAACTAGGCACAAGTATTCTCAGAAACCTCTGTGCTGTGTGCATTCAAGTCTCGGAGTTTAACGTTTCTTTTGATTGATAGAGCAGTTTTGAAACACTCTTTTTATAGAATATGCAAGGGGATATTTTGTTCCCTTTGAGGCCTACATTGGAAAACGAAATATCTTCACATAAAAACTACACAGAAGCATTCTCAGAAGCTTCTTTGTGATGTGTGTATTCAACTAACAGAGATGAACCTTTCTTTAGAGAGAGCAGTTTTGAAACATGCTTTTTTTTGAATCTGCAATTGGATATTTGGAGCGATTTAAGGCCAATGGTTTAAAGGGAAATATCTTCCCATAAAAACTAGACAGAAGCATTCTCCGAAACTTGACTATTATGTGTACATTCAACTCACAGAGTTGAACTTTTCTTTTGATAGAGCGGTTTTGAAACACACTTTTTGTAGAATCTGCAAGTGGATATTTCGTTCTCTTTGAGGCCTGTGTTTGAAAAACGAAATATCTTCACATAAAAACTAGACAAAAGCATTCTCCGAAAGTTCTTTGTGATGTGTGCATTCAACTCACATAATTGAAACTTTCTTTTGATACAGCAGTTTTCAAACACTCTTTTTATAGAATCTGCAAGTGGATATTTGGTTCCCTTTGAGGCTTATGTTATAAAATGTAATATCTTCACACAAAAATTAGACAGAAGCAATCTCTGAAACAGCTTGGTGATGTGTGCATTCAACTCACATAGTTGAAACTTTCTTTTGATAGAGGAGGTTTGGAACACTCTTTTTGTACAATGGGCAAGTGGATATTTTACTCACGTTGGGGCATATGGTGTTAAAGGAAATATCTTCACATAAAGAGTAGACAGACGCATTCTCCGAAACTTCTTTGTGATGTGTGCATTCAACTCACAGAGTTCAACCTTTCTTTTGATAGAGCAGTTTTGAAGCACTCTTTTTGTAGAATCTGCAACTGGACATTTGGAGCGCTTTGAGGCCTATGGTGTAAAAGGAAATATCTTCACAAAAAAACTAGACAGAAGCATTCTCTGAAACTTCTTTGTCATGTGCGCATTCAACTCACAGAGTTGAACCTTTCATTTGATAGAGCAGTTTTGAAACACTCTTCTTGTAGTATCTGCAAGTGGATATTTGTATCCCTTAGAGGCCTATGTTGGCAAACGAAATATCTTCTCTTAAAAAGTAGACAAAAGCATTCTGAGAAGCGTCTTTGTGATGTGTGCATTCAACTCACAGAGTTGAACCTTTCTTTTGATAGAGCAGTTTTGTAACATCATTTTGTAGGATCTGCAAGTGGATATTTGGAGCGCTTTGAGGCCTATGGTGGTAAAGGAAATATCTTCACATAAAAAGTAGACAGAAGCATTCTCAAAAACTTCCTTGTGATGTGTGCATTCAACTCACAGAGTTGAACCATTCTTTTCATAGAGCAGTTTTGAAACACTCCTTTTGTAGGATCTGCCAGAGGATATTTGGAGCGCTTTGAGGCCTATGGTGGAAAAGGAAATATCTTCACATAGAAAATAGACAGAAGCATTCTCACAAACTTCCTTGTGATGTGTGCATTCACCTCACAGAGTTGAACAATTCTTTTCATAGAGCAGCTTTGAAGCTCTCTTTTTGTAGAACCTGCAAGTGGACATTTCAGGCGCTTTAAGGCCTGTGGTGGAAAAGGAAATATCTTCTTCATATAAAAACTAGACGGAAGCATTCTCAGAAACTACTTTGTGATGTTTGTATTCCACTCACAGAGTTGAACATTCCTTTTGGTAGAGCAGTTTTGAAACACTCTTTTTGTAGACTCTGCAAGTGGCTATTTGGAGCGCTTTGAGGTCTTCGGTGGAAACGGGAATGTCTTCACATAAAAACTAGCAGAAGCATTCTCAGAAACTTCTTTGTGGTGTGTGCATTCAACTCACAGAGTTGAAAGTTTCTTTTGATAGAGCCGTTTTGAAACAATCTTTTTGTAGAATTTGAAAGTGAACTTTAGGAGGGTTTTGAAGCCTTTTGTGGAAAAGGAAATATCTTCATATAAAAACTAGACAGAAGCATTCTCAGAAACTACTTTGTGATGTTTGCATTCAACTCACAGAGTTGACCATTACTTTTTATAGAGCACTTTTGAAGCACTCCTTTTGTAGAATCTGCAAGTGGATATTTGGACAGCTTTGAGGCCTTCAGTGGAAACGGGAATATCTTCATACAAAAACTAGACAGAAGCATTCTCAGAAACTACATGGTAATGTTTGCATTCAAGTAACAGAGTTGAACCTTTCTTTTGTTAGAGCAGTTTTGAAACACTCTTTTTCTAAAATCTGCAAGTGTACATTTGGAGTGCTTTGATGCCTATGTTGAAAAAGAAAATGTCTTCACATAAAAACTGGACACCAGCATTCTCAGGAACTTCTTTGTGATGTGTCCATTGATCTCAGAGAGTTGAGCCTTCCTTTTGACAGAGCAGTTTTGAACCACTCTTTTTGTAGAATCTGCAACTGGATATTTGGAGCGGTTTGTGGCCTATGGTAGGAAAGGAAATATCTTCATATAAAAACTAGACAGAAGCATTCTCAGAAACTTCTTTGTTATGTGTGCAGTCATCTCACAGAGTTGAACCTTCCTTTTGATATAGCAGTTCTGAAAGACTCTTTTTGTAGAATCTGCAAGTGGATATTTGGAGCACTTTCAGGCCTTTGGTGCAAATGGGAATATATTCACATAAAAACTAGACAGAAGCATTCTCAGAAAGTTCTTTGTGATGTGTACATTCAACACACAATGTTGAACTTTCTTTTGATAGAGCAGTTTTGAAACACTCCTTTTGTAGAATCTGCAAGAGATCATTTGGAGCCCTTTGAGGCCTGTGGTGGAAAAGGAGATATCTTCACATAAAAGAAGACAGAAGCATTGTCAGAAACTTCTTTGTGATGTGTGCATTCAACTCATAGCGTTGAACTTTCTTTTGATAGAGCAGTTTTGAAACACTCTTTTTGTATAATCTGCAAGTGGACATTTGGAGCTCTTTGAGGCATGTGTTGGAAAAGGAGATATCTTCATATAAAAACTAGACAGAAGCATTCTCAGAAACTACTTTGTAATGTTTGCATTCAACTCACAGAGTTGAACATTCCTGTTGATAGAGCAGTTTTGAAACACTCTTTTTGTAGAATATGCAAGTGGATAATTGGAGCCCTTTTAGGCCTGCGGTGGAAACGGGACTATCTTCACATAAAAACTAGACAGAAGGATTCTCAGAAACCATTTTGTGATATGTGCATTGAAGTCAGAGAGTTGAACCTTCCTTTTGATAGAGCAGTTTTGAAACACTCCTTTTGTAGAATCTGCAACTCTATATTTGGAGAGCTTTGAGGCCTACTAAGGTAGAAAAGAAAATATGTTCATATAAAAACTAGACAGAAGCATTCTCAGAAACTTCTTTGTGATGCCTGCATTCAACTCACATAGTGGAACCTTCCTTTTGATATAGCAGTTTTGAAACACTCTTTTTGTAGAATCTGCAAGTGGATAATTGGACGGCTTTGAGGCCTTCAGTGGGAAAGGGAATATCTTCACATAAAAACTAGACAGAAGCATTCCCAGAAACTGCTTTGTGATATGGGCATTCAACTCATAGAATTGAAACTTTCTTTTGATAGAGCAGTTTTGAAGCATTCTTTTTGTTGAATCTGCAAGTGGACATTTGGAGCACTTTGAGGCCTGTGGTGGAAAAGGAGATATCTTCATATAAAAACTAGACAGAAGCATTCTCAGAAACTACCTTGTGATGTTTACATTCAACTCACAGAGTTGAACCTTCCTTTTCATATAAAAACTAGACAGAAGCATTCTCAGAAACTACTTTGTGATGTGTGCATTCAACTCACAGAGTTGAACCTTCCTTTTGATAGAGCCGTTTTGAAAGACTCTTTTTGTAGAATCTGCAAGTCTCTATTTGGAGCACTTTGAGGCCTACGGTGGAAACAGGGATATATTCATATAAAAACTAGACTGAAGCATTCTCAGAATCTTCGTTGTGATGTATGCATCCAACTCAGAGAATTGAACCTTCCTTTAAAAAGAGCAGTTTTGAAACACTGTTTTTTTATAATCTGGAAGTGGACATTTGGAGCCCTTTGATGCCTGTGTTGGAAAAGGAGATATCTTCATATAAAAGCTAGACAGAAGCATTCTGAGAAACTACTTGGTGATATTAGCATTCAACTCACAGAGTTGAACATTCCTTTTGATAGAGCAGTTTGGAAACACTCTTTTTGTAGAATCAGCAAGGGGATATTTGGAGCACTATGAGGCCTACAGTGGAAACTGGAATATCTTCCCATAAAAACTAGAAAGAAGCATTCTCAGAAACTTCTCTGTGTTGTGTGCATTGAACTCAGAGAGTTTAACCTTCCATTTCATAGAACAGTTTTGAAACACTCTTTTTGTATAATCTGCAACTGGATATTTGGAGTGCTTTGAGGCCTGCTGTGGTAGAAAATGAAATATCTTCATGTAAAAACTAGACAGAAGCATTCTCAGAAACTTCTTTCTGATGCCTGCATTCAACTCACAGAGTTGAACCTTTCTTTTGATAGAGCAGTTTTGAAACACTCTTTTGCATAGTCTACAAGTGAACATTTCATGCACTTTGATGCCTATGTTGAAAAGGGAAATATCTTCAGATAAAAACTAGTCAGAAGCATTCTCAGAAACTTCTTTGTGATGTGTGCATTCAACTCAGAGAGTCGAATCTTCCTTCTGATAGAGCAGTTTTGAAACACTCTTTTTGTGTGATCTGCAAGTGGATATTTGGACCACTTTTAGGCCTTCCGTGGAAACGGACGTATCTTCACATAAACACTAGACAGAAGCATTCTCAGAAGCTTCTTTGAGATGTGTGCATTCAACTCACAGAGTTGAAAATTTCTTTTGATAGAACAGTTTTGAAACTCTCTTTTTGCAGAATCTGCAAGTGGATATTTGGAGGACTTTGAGGCCTTCGGTGGAAACGGGAATACCTTCACATAAAAACTAGACAGAAGCATTCTCAGAAAATTCTTTGTAATGTGTGCCTTCAACTCAGAGAGTTGAATCTTCGTTTTCATAGAGCAGTTTTGAAACACTCTTTTTGTAGAATCTGCAAGTGGATATTTGTACTGCTTTGAGGCCTTCGGTGGAAACGGGAGTATCTTCACATAAAAACTGGACAGAAGCATTCTCAGAAACTTCTTCATGATGCCTGCATTCAACTCACAGAGTTGAATCTTTCTTTTGATAAAGCAGTTTTGAAACACTCTTTTTGTATAATCCGCAAGTGGCTATTTGGAGCGCTTTGTTGCCTATGTTGAAAAAGGAAATATCTTCACATAAAAACTAGAGAGAAGCTTTCTCAGAAACTTCTTTGTGATGTGTGCATTCAACCCACAGAGTTGAACATTCCTTTTGATATAACTGTTTTGAAACTCTCGTTTTGTAGAATCTGCTAGTGGATACTTGGAGCGCTTTGAGTTCTATGGTGTAAAAGGAAATATCTTCACATAAAAATTAGATGGAAGCATTTTCTGAAACTTCTTTGTGATGTGTGAATTCAACTCACAGAGTTGAACTTTTCTTTGTTAGAGCAGTTGTGGAACACTCTTTTTGCAGAATCTGCAAGTGGATGTTTCTTTCCCTTTCAGGCCTATGTTAAAAAAAGAAATATCTTCACATAAATACTAGACAGAGGCCTTCTCAGAAACTTCTTTGTGATGTGTGCATTCAAGTCACAGAGTTGAACCTTTCTATTCATAGAGCAGTTTTGAAACACCCTTTCTGTAGAATCTGCAAATGTATATTTTGAGGGCTTGTAAGACAATGACCAAAAATGAAATATCTTCACATAAAAATTAGACAGAAGCATTCTCAGAAACTTCTTTGTGATGTGGACATTCAAGCCACAGACTTGAACCTTTCTTTTGATAGAGCAGTTTTGAAACACTCTTTTTGTAGAATCTGCAAGTGGATATTTGGAATGCTTTGAGGACTACGGTTTAAAAGGGAATATCTTCACATAAAAACTAGACAGAAGCCTTCTCAGAAACATCTTCGTGATGTGTGCATTCAACTCACAGAGTTGAAACTTTCTTTTGATAGAGCAGTTTGGAAACACTCTTTTTGAAGAATCTGCAAGTGGATATTTGGAGCGCTTTGAGTCCTATTGTGGAAAAGGAAATATCTTCACATAAAAAGTAGACAGATGTATTCTCAGAAACGGCTTTGTGATGTGGCCATTCAACTCACAGTGTTGAACCATTCTTTTGACAGATCAGTTTTGAAACTCTCTTTCTGTAGAATCTGCAAGTGGATATTTGGAGCATTTTGAGATCCTTCATGGAAAAGGAAATATCTTCACATAAAAGCTAGGCCAAAGCATTCCCAGAAACTTCTTTTTGATGTGTGCTTTCAACTCACAGAGTTGAACCCTTCTTTTGATATAGCTGTTTTGAAACATTCTTTTTGTAGAATGTGCAAGTGGATATTTGTTTCCCTTTGAGGCCTATGTTGGAAAACGAAATATCTTCAGATTAAAACTAAACAGAAGCATTCTAAGAAACTTCTCTGTGATGTGTGCATTAAACTCACAGAGTTGAACGTTTCTATCGATAGAATAGTTTTGAAAGGCACTTTTTGTAGAATCTGCAAGTGGATATTTGGAGCTCATCGAGGCCTATGGTGGAAAAGAAAATATCTTCACATAAAAACTAGACAGAAGCATTCTCTGAAACTTCTTTGTGATGTGTGCATTCAACTAACAGTGTTGAAACTTTCTTTTGATGGAGCAGTTTGAAACACACTTTTTGTAGAATCTGCAAGTGGATAATTTGTTCCCTTTGATGCCTATGGTTGAAAAAGAAATATCTTCACATAAAAACTACACAGAAGCATTCTCAGTAACTGCTTTGTGATGTGTGCATTGAACTCACATTGTTGAACTTTTGTTTTGATAGAGCAGTTTTAAAACACTCTTTTTGTAGAATCTGAAAGTGGATATTTGGAGCGCTTTGAGGTCTATGGTGGAAAATGAAACATCCTCACATAAAAACTAGACAGAAGCATTCTCAGAAACCTCTTTGTGATATGGGAATTCAACTCACAAAGTTGAACTTTTCTTTTGACAGAGCAGTTTTGAAACACTCTTTTTGTAGAATCTGCAAGGGGATGTTTTGTACCTTTCGAGGCCTATGGTGGAATAGGAAATATCTTCACATAAAAACTGCCCAGAATCATTCTCCGAAACTTCTTTGTGACGTGTGCATTCAACACACAGAGTTGAACCTTTTTTTGGATAGAGCAGTTTTGAAACACACTTTTTGTAGGATCTGCCAGTGGATATTTTGTTCCATTGGAGGTCTATGTTGGATAACAAAATATCTTCACATAAAAACTAGACAGAAGAATTATCAGAAACTTCTTTGTGATCTGTGCATTCAACTCACAGAGTTGATCCTTTCTTTTGATAGAGGAGTTTTGAAACAATCTTTTTGTAGAACCTGCAGGTGGATATTTGGAGCGCTTGGAGGCCTATGGTGGAGAAGGAAATATGTTCACATAAAAACTAGACAGAAGCATTCTTTGAAACTTCTTTTTGCTGTATGTATTCAAGTAACGGAGTTGAACCTTTCTTTTGATAGAGCAGTTTTGAATCACTCTTTCTGTAGTATCTACAGCTGGTTATTTTGTTCCCTTTGAGACCTACGATGGAAAACGAAATATCTTCACATAAAACGAAACAGAAGCATTCTCAGAAACTGCTCTGTGATGTGTGCATTCAACTCGGAGAGCTGAACCTTTCCTTTGATAGAGCAGTTTTGAAACACTATTTTTGTAGTATCTGAAAGGGGATATTTTGTTCCCTTTGAGGCCTATGTTGGAAAAAAAATATCTCCACATAAAAACTAGACAGAAGCATTCTCAGAAACTTCTTTGTACTGTGTGCATTCAACTCACAGAGATGAACTTTTCTTTTGATAGAGCAGTTTTGAAACAATCTTTTTGTAGAATATGCAAGTGGATATTTGGAGTGCTTTGAGTCCTATGGTGGAAAAGGAAATATCTTCATATAAAAACTAGACAGAAGCATTCTCAGAAACTTCTTCGTGGTGTGTGCATTCAACTTACAGAGTTGAAATTTCTTTTGATAGAGCAGTTTTGAAACACTCTTTTTGTACAATCTGCAAGTGGATATTTGGAGCGCTTTGAGGCCTATGGTGGAAACGGAAATATCTGCACATAAAAACTGGACAGAAGCATTCTCCAAAACTTCTTTGTGTTGTGTGCATTCATCTCACAGAGTTGAACCTTTCTTTTGATAGAGCAGTTTTGAAACATCCTTTGTAGAATCTGCAAGGGGATAGATTTTTCCCTTTGAGGCCTATGGTGAAAAAATAAATATCTTCACATAAAAACAAGACACAAGAATTCTGAGAAACTTCTTTGTGATGCGTGCATTCAACTCAGAGTGTTGAACCTTTCTTTTGACCTAGCAGTTCTGAAAAGCTCTTTTAGTAGAATCTGCAAGAGAATATTTGGAGTGCTGTGAGTCCTATGGTGGAACAGGAAATATCTTCGCATAAAAAACTAGACAGAAGCATTCTCAGAAACTTCTTTGTGATGTGTGCATTCAACTCACAGAATTGAACATTTCCTTCGATAGAGCAGTTTTGAAACACTCTTTTTGTAGGATCTGCAAGTGGATATTTGGTTCCCTTTGACGCCTATGTTGGAAAAGGAAATATCTTCACATAAAAACTAGACAGAAGCATTGTCAGAAGCTGATTTGTGATGTGTGCATTCAACTCACAGAGTTGAACCTTTCTTTTGATAGAGCAGTTTTGAAACACTCTTTTTGTAGAATCTGCAGGTAGATGTTTCGAGTGCTTGGAGGCCTACATTGGAAAACGAAATATCTTCACATAAAAACTAGACAGAAGAATTCTCTGAAACTTTTTTGTGATCTGCGCATTCACCTCATAGAGCTGAACCTTACTTTTGATGTAGCAATTTTGAAACATTCTTTTTGTTGAACCTGAAAGTGGGTATTTGGTGCGCTTTGAGGCCTATTGTGGAAAAGGAAATATTTTCACATAAAAACTAGACAGAAGCATTCTCTGCAACTTCTTTGTGATGTGTGCATTCAACTCACAGAGTTGAACCTTTCTTTTGATAGAGTAGAATTGAAACACTCTTTTTGTGGAATCTGTAAGGGGATATTTCTTTCCCGTTGAGGCCTATGTTGGAAAATGAAATATCTTCACATAAAAACTAGACAGATATATTCTCAGAAACTTCTTTTTGATGTGTGCATTCAACTCACAGAGTTGAACCTTTCTTTTGATAGAGCAGTTGTGAAACTTTCTTTTTGAAGAATCTGCAAGTGGATATTTTGTTCCCTTTGTGGCCTATGGTGAAAATGAAATATCTTCACAAAAAAACTAGACACAAGCATTCTCTGAAACTTCTTTGTAATGTGTGCATTCATCTCACAGAGTTGAACCTTTCTTTTGATAGACGAGTTTTGAAACACTGTTTTTGTAGAATCTGCATGTGGATATTTGGAGTGATTTGAGGCCTATGATGGATATATCTTCACATAAAAATTAGATAGAAGCATTCTCAGAAGCTTCTTTGTGATGGGGGCATTTGAAACTTCTTTATGATGTGTACATTCAACTCACATAGTTGAACCTTTCTTTTTATAGAGCAGTTTTGAAACTCCCCTTTTGTAGAATCTGCAAGTGGATATTTGGAGTGCTTTGAGCCCACTGGTGGAAAATGAAATAACTTAACATAAAAACTAGACAGATGCATTCTCCGAAACTACTTTGTGATTTGTGCATTCAACTCACAGAGTTGAACCATTCTTTTGATAGAGCAGTTTTGAACCACACTTTTTGTAGAATCTGCAAGTGGATATTTGGTTCCCTCTGAGGCCTATGTTGGAATATGTAATATCTTCACATAAAAACTAAAGAGAAGCATTCTCAGAAACTTCTTTGTGATGTGTACATTCAACTCACAGAGTTGAAAGTTTCTATTCATAGAGCAGTTTTGAAACACTCTTTTTGTAGAGTCTGCAAGTGAATATTAGGAGCGCTTTGAGGCCTATGGTGGAAAAGGAAATATCTTCCCATAAAAACTAGACAGAAGCGTTCTCAGAAACTTCTTTGTGATGTGTGCATTCAACTCTCAGGGTTGAACCTTTCTTTGGCTACAGCAGTTTTGAAACTCTCTTTTTGTAGAATTTGCAAGTGGATATTTGGTTCCCTTAGTGGCCTATGGTTGAAGAAGACACATCTTCACATAAAAACTAGACAGAAACATTCTCAAAAACTGCTCTGTGATGTGTGCATTCAACTCACCGAGTTTAACTTTTCTGTTGATAGAGCAGTTTTGAAGCACTCTTTTTGTAGAATCTGCAAGTGGATATTTGGAGCACTTTGATGCACATGGTGGAAAAGGAAATATCTTCACTTAAAACCTAGACAGAAGCATTCTCCAAAACTTCTTTGCGTTGTGTGCATTCAACTCACAGAGTTGAAACTTTCTTTTGATAGAAGAGTTGTGAAACACTGTTTTGGTTAAATCTGCAAGGGTATATTTTGTTCCCTTTGAGGCCTATGTTGGAAAATGAAATATCTTCCCATGAAAACTACACAAAAGCATTCCCCGAAACTTCTTTGTGGTGTGCGCATTCAACTTACAGAGTTAGAACTTTCTTTTGATAGAGCAGTTTTGAAACACTCTTTTTGTAGAATCTGCAAGGGGATATATGGTTTCCTTTGAGGCCTATGATGGAATACGAAATATCTTCACATAAAAAGTAGACAGAAGCATTCTCAGAAACTTCTTTGAGATGTGTGCATTCAACTCACAGAGTTGAACCTCTCTTTTGATAGAGCAGTTTTGAAGCACTCTTTTTGTAGAATCTGCAAGTGGATATTTGCAGCGCTTTAAGGCCTATGGTGGAAAAGGAAATATCATCACTATAAAACTAGACAGAAGCATTCTCCGAAACTTTTTGTGGTCTGTGCATTCAACTCAGAGTTCAACCTTTCATTTTATACAGCAGTTTTGAAACACTCTTTTTGTAGAATCTGCGAATGGGTATTTGCAGCGCTTTAAGGCCTATTGTGGAAAAAGAAATATCTTCACATAAAAACTAGACAGAAGAATTCTCAGAAAATTCTTTGTGATGTGTACATTCAACTCACAGTGTTGAACCTTTCTTTTGATAGAGCAGTTTTGAAACAATCTTTTTGTAGAATCTGCAAGTTGATATTTGGAGTGCTTTGAGGCCTATGGTGGAAAAGGAAATATCTTCACATAAAAGCTAGATAGAAGCATTCTCCGAAACTTCTTTGTGATGTGTGCATTCAACTCACAGAGTTGAACATTTCTTTGGATGGCACAGCTTGGAAACACTCTTTTTGTAGAATCTGCAAGTGGATATTTGGTTCCCTTTGGGGCTTATGTTGGAAATCGAAATATCTTCACATAAAAAGTAGAAGAAACATTTTCATAAACTGCTTTGTGATGTGCGCATTCAACTCACAGAGTTGAACATTTCTTTTGATAGAACAGTTTTGAAACACTCTTTTTGTAGGATCTACAAGTGGATATTTGGAGCGCTTTGAGGCCTATATTGGAAAACAAAAAGTCTTCACATAAAAACTAGACACAAGTATTCTCTGAAACTGCTTTGTGATTTGTGCATTCAACTCACAGAGTTGAACCATTCTTTTGATAGAGCAGTTTTGAAACACTCTTTTTGCGGAATCTGCTAGTGGTATTTGAAAGCTTTGAGGCCTATGGAGAAAAGGAAATATGTTCACATAAAAATTAGACAGAAGCATTCTCCGAAACATCTTTTTGATGTGCGCATTCAACTCACACAGTTGAACCTTTCTTTTGATAGAGCAGTTTTGAAACACTCTTTTTGAAGAATTTGGAAGTGGATATTTGGAGCGCCTTGAGGCCTATGGTGGAAAAGGAAATATCTTCACATAAAACTAGACAGAAGCATTCTGCGAAATTTCTTTGTGATGTGTGCATTCAACTCATAGACTTGAGCCTTTCTTTTGATAGAACAGTTTTGAAACACTCTTTTTGTGGAATCTGCAAGTGGATATTTCGATCCCTTTGAGGCCTTACGTGGAAAAGGAAATATTTTCACATAAAAACTAGACAGAAGCATTCTCCAAAACTTCTTTGTGATGTGTGCATGCAACTCACAGTGTTGAAAGTTTCTTTTGTTGGAGCAGTCTTGAAATCCTCTTTCTGTAGAATCTGCAAGGGGATATTTGGTTCCCTTTGAGGCTTATGTTGGAAAACGAAATACCTTCACATAAAAACTAGACAGAAACATTCTCATAAACTGCTTTGTGGTTTGTGCATTCAACTCCCAGAGTTGAAAATTTGTTTTGATAGAGCAGTTTTGAAACACTCTTTTTGTAGAATCTGCAAGTGGATATTTTGTTCCCTTTGAGGCCTATGTTGGAAAACGAAATATCTTAACATAAAAACTAGACAAAAGCATTCCCCAATACTTCTTTGTGATGTGTGAGTTCAACTCCCAGAGTTAGAAAGTTCTTTTGATAGAGCAGTTTTGAAACACTCTTTTTGTAGTATCTGCAAGGGGATATTTTGTTTCCTCTGAGGCGTAAGTTGGAATAGGAAATATCTTCACATAAAAACTAGACAGAAGCATTCTCAGAAACTCCTTTGTCATGTGTGCATTCAACTCTCAGAGTTGAAACTTTATTTTTTAGAGCAGTTTTGAGACACTGTTTTTGTAGAATCTGCAAGTGGATATTTGGAGTGCTTTGAGGCCTATACTGGAAAACGAAATGTGTTTAATTAAAAACTGGACAGAAGCATTCTCAGAAACTACTTTGTGATTTGTGAATTCAATTCTCAGAGTTGAACCTTTCTTTTGAAAAAGCAGTTTTGAAACACTCTTTTTGCAGAATCTGCAAGTGGATATTTGGAACGCTTTGAAGCCTATGGTGGAAAAGGAAATATCTTCAGTTAAAAACTAGACAGAAGCATTCTCCGAAACACCTTTGTGATTTATGCATTCAACTCACACAGTTGAACCTTTCTTTTGATAGAGCAGTTTTGAAACACTCTTTTTGTAGAATCTGCAAGTGGATATTTGGAACGCCTTTTGGTCTATGGTGGAAAAGGAAATATGTTCACATAAAAAGTAGACAGAAGCATTCTGTGAAACTTCCTTGTGATGTGTGCATTCAACTCACAGACTTGAGCCTTTCTTTTGATAGAGCAGTTTTGAAACACTCTTTTTGTAGAATCTGGAAGTGAATATTAGGAGTGCCATGAGGCCTATGGTGGAAAAGGCATTATCTTCACAAAAAACTACACAGAAGCATTCTCAGAAACATCCGTGGGTGTATGCATTCTGCTCACAGAGTAGAACTATGCTGTTGATAGAGCAATTTTGAAACACTCTTTTTGTAGAATCTGCAAGTGGATATTTGGAGCACTTTGATGTCTACGGTTGAAAAGGAAATATCTTCACTTAAAAACTAGACAGAAGCAATCACCGAAACTTCTTTGTGATGTCTGCATTCATCTCACAGAGTTGAACAGTTTTGTTAGAGCAGTTTTGAAACACTCTTTTTGTAGAATTTGCAAGTGGATATTTGGTTCCCTTTGAGGCCTATGGTGAAAAAGGAAATATCTTCTCATAAAACCTGGACACCAGCATTCTCAGAAACTTCTTTGTGATGTGTGCATTCAGCTCACAGAGTTGAACTTTCTTTTGATAGATCAGTTTTGAAACGCTCTTTTTGTAGTATCTCCAAGTGGATATTTGAAGTGCTGTGAGTCCTACGGTGGAAAAGGAAATATCTACACATAAAATCTAAAGAGAAGCATTCTCAGAAACTTCTTTGTGATATGTGCATTGAACTCACAGTGTTGAACCTTTCTTTGGATAGAGCTGTTTTAAATCACTGTTTTTGTAGAATCTGCAAGTGGATATTTGGTTCCCTTTGAGGCCTATGTTTGAAAACGAAATATTTTACCATTAAAACCAGACAGAAGCATTCTCAGAGACTTCTTTGTGATGTGTGCATTCAACTTATGGGTTTGAACCTTTCTTTTGATAGAGCAGTTTTGAAACACTCTTTTTGGAACATCTGCAGGTGGACATTTTGTTCCCTTTAAAGACTATGTTGGAAATGAAATATCTTCACATAAAAACTAGACAGAAGCATTCTCAGAAACTTCTTTGTGATGTGTGCATTCAACTCACAGAATTGAACATTTCCTTCAATAGAGCAGTTTTGAAACACTCTTCTTGTATAATCTGAAAGTGGATATTTGGAGCGCTTTGTGGCCTTTGGTGGAAAAGGAAATATCTTCACATAAAAACTAGACAGAAGCATTCTCCGAAACTTCTTTATGATGTGGGCATTGAACTCACAGGGTTGAATCTTTCTTTTGAAAGAGCAGTTTTGAAAGTCTCTTTTTGAAGAAAATGCAAGTGGATATTCACAGGCCTTGGAGGCCTATGGTGGAAAAGGACATATCTTCACATAAAAACTAGACAGAAGCATTCCCAGAAACTTCTTTGTGATGTGGGCATTCAATTCACAGAGATGAAACTGTCTTTTGATAGAGCAGTTTTGAAACACTCTTTTTGTAGAATCTGCAAGTGGATATTTGGTTCCCTTTGAGGCCTTTGTTGGAAAACGAAATATCTTCACATAAAACTAGACACAAGCATTCTCAGAAGCTTCTTGTGATGTGTGCATTCAAGTCACAGTGTTGAACCTTTCTTTTGATAGAGCAGTTTTTAAACACTCTTTTGGTAGAATCTGAAAGTGAACATTTGGAGCGCATTGATCACTATGGGGGAAAAGGAAAGATCTTCACATTAAAACTAGATAGAATAATTCTCAGAAACCACATTGTGATGTTTGCATTCAACTCACACAGTTGAACCTTTCTTTTGATCGAACAGCATTGAATCTCTCTTTTTGAAGAAAATGCAGGTGGATATTCATAGCGCTTTGAGGCGTAGGTTGGAAAAGGAAATATCTTCACATGAAAACTACACAGAAGCATTCTCCGAAACTACTTTGTGATGTGTGCTTTCTACTCACAGAGTTGAACCTTTCTTTTGATACAGCAGTTTTGAAAGTCTTTTTGTAGAAAATGCAAGTGGATATTTGGAGCGATTTGAGGCCTATGAAGGAAAAGGAAATATCTTCACATAAAAACTAGACAGAAGCATTCTCTGAAACTTCTTTATGATGTGGGCATTGAACTCACAGGGTTGAAACTTTCCTATGAAAGAGCAGTTTTGAAAGTCTCTTTTTGAGGAAAATGCAAGTGGATATTCGCAGGCCTTGGAGACCTATGGTGGAAAAGGACATATCTTCACATAAAAACTTGACAGAATCATTCCCTGAAACTTCTTTGTGATGTGGGCATTCAACTCACAGAGATGAAACTTTCTTTTGATAGAGCAGTTTTGAAACACTCTTTTTGTAGAATCTGCAAGTGGATATTTGGTTCCCTTTGAGGCCTTTGTTGGAAAACGAAATATCTTCTCATAAAACCTGGACACCAGCATTCTCAGAAACTTCTTTGTGATATGTGCATTCAGCTCTCAGAGTTGAACCTTTCTTTTGATAGAGCAGTTTTTGTAGTATCTCCAAGTGGATATTTGAAGCGCTTTGGGTCCTGTGGTGGAAAAGGAAATATCTACAGATAAAAACTAAAGAGAAGCATTCTCAGAAACTTCTTTGTGATGTGTGCATTGAACTCACAGTGTTGAACCTTTCTTTGGATAGAGTAGTTTTAAAACACTCTTTTTGTAGAATCTGCAAGTGGATATTTGGTTCCCTTTGAGGCCTATGTTTGAAAACGAAATATTTTACCATTAAAACCAGACAGAAGCATTCTCAGAGACTTCTTTGTGATGTGTGCATTCAACTCATGGATTTGAACCTTTTTTTTGATAGAGCAGTTTTGAAACACTCTTTTTGGAATATCTGCAGGTGGATATCTTGTTCCCTTTGAAGACTATGTTGGAAATGAAATATCTTCACATAAAAACTAGACAGAAGCATTCTCAGAAACTTCTTTGTGATGTGTGCATTCAACTCACAGAATTGAACATTTCCTTCAATAGAGCAGTTTTGAAACACTCTTCTTGTATAATCTGAAAGTGGATATTTGGAGCGCTTTGTGGCCTTTGGTGGAAAAGGAAATATCTTCACATAATAACTAGACAGAAGCATTCTCTGAAACTTCTTTATGATGTGGGCATTGAACTCACAGGGTTGAATCTTTCTTTTGAAAGAGCAGTTTTGAAAGTCTCTTTTTGAAGAAAATGCAAGTGGATATTCACAGGCCTTGGAGGCCTATGGTGGAAAAGGACATATCTTCACATAAAAACTAGACAGAAGCATTCCAAGAAACTTCTTTGTGATGTGGGCATTCAATTCACAGAGATGAAACTGTCTTTTGATAGAGCAGTTTTGAAACACTCTTTGTAGAATCTGCAAGTGGATATTTGGTTCCCTTTGAGGCCTTTGTTGGAAAATGAAATATCTTCACATAAAACTAGACACAAGCATTCTCAGAAGCTTCTTGTGATGTGTGCATTCAAGTCACAGTGTTGAACCTTTCTTTTGATAGAGCAGTTTTTAAACACTCTTTTGGTAGAATCTGAAAGTGAATATTTGGAGTGCATTGATCACTATGGGGGAAAAGGAAAGATCTTCACATTAAAACTAGATAGAAGAATATTCAGAAACTACATTGTGATGTTTGCATTCAATTCACACAGTTGAACCTTTCTTTTGATCTAACAGTATTGAATCTCTCTTTTTGAAGGAAATGCAGGTGGATATTCGCAGCGCTTTGAGGCATAGGTTGGAAAAGGAAATATCTTCACATGAAAACTACGCAGAAGCATTCTCCGAAACTACTTTGTGATGTGTGCTTTCTACTCACAGAGTTGAACCTTTCTTTTGATAGAGGAGTTTTGAAACACTCTCTTTGTAGAATCTGCAAGTTGATATTTGAAGTGCTTTGAGGCCTATGGTGGAAATGGAAATATCTTCACTTAAAAACTAGACTGAAGCATTCTCAGAAACTTCTTTGTGATGTTCGCATTCAACTCACAGAGTTCAACCTTTCTTTTGATACAGCAGTTTTGAAAGTCTTTTTGTAGAAAATGCAACTGGATATTTGGAGCGATTTGAGGCCTACGATGGAAAAGGAAATATCTTCACATAAAAACTAGACAGAAGCATTCTCTGAAACTTCTTTATGATGTGGGCATTGAACTCACAGGGTTGAAACTTTCTTATGAAAGAGCAGTTTTGAAAGTCTCTTTTTGAAGAAAGTGCAAGTGGATATTCGCAGGCCTTGGAGGCCTATGGTGGAAAAGGACATATCTTCACATAAAAACTAGACAGAAGCATTCCAAGAAACTTCTTTGTGATGTGGGCATTCAACTCACAGAGATGAAATTTTCTTTTGATAGAGCAGTTTTGAAACACTCTTTTTGTAGAATCTGCAAGTGGATATTTGGTTCCCTTTGAGGCCTTTGTTGGAAAACGAAATATCTTCACATAAAACTAGACACAAGCATTCTCAGAAGCTTCTTGTGATGTGTGCATTCAAGTCACAGTGTTGAACCTTTCTTTTGATAGAGCAGTTTTTAAACACTCTTTTGGTAGAATCTGAAAGTGAATATTTGGAGCTCATTGATCACTACGGGGGAAAATGAAAGATCTTCACATTAAAACTAGATAGAATAATTCTCAGAAACTACATTGTGATGTTTGCATTCAACTCACACAGTTGAACCTTTCTTTTGATGAACAGTATTGAATCTCTCTTTTTGAAGAAAATGCAGATGGATATTCGCAGCGCTTTGAGGCATAGGTTGGAAAAGGAAATATCGTCACATGAAAACTACACAGAAGCATTCTCTGAAACTACTTTGTGATGTGTACTTTCTACTCACAGAGTTGAACCTTTCTTTTGATAGAACAGTTTTGAAACACTCTTTTTGTAGAATCTGCAAGTGGATATTTGGGATGCTTTGAGGCCTATGGTGGAAATGGAAATATCTTCACATAAAAACTAGACTGAAGCATTCTCAGAAACTTCTTTGTAATGTTCGCATTCAATTCACAGAGTTCAACTTTCTTTTGATACAGCAGTTTTGAAAGTCTTTTTGTAGAAAATGCGAGTGGATATTTGGAGCGATTTGAGGCCTATGGTGGAAAAGGAAATATCTTCACCTAAAAACTAGACAGAAGCATTCTCAGAAACTTCTTTGAGATTTGGGCATTCAACTCACAGAGTTGAACCTTTGTATTGATAGACCAGTTTTGAAATACTCTTTTTGTAGAATCTGCAAGTGGATATTTGGAGCACTTTCAGGCCTATTGTGGAAAAGGAAATATCTTCATATAAAAACCAGACAGAAGCATTCTCAGAAACTTCTTTGTGATGAGGGCATTCAACTCAGAGAGTTGAACCTTTCTTTTGATAGAGAAGTTTTGAAACACTCTTTTTGTTGAATCTGCAAGTCTATATTTGGAGTGGTTTTAGGCCTACATTGGAGAAGGAAATATCTTCACATAAAAAGTAAACCGAAGCATACTCAGAAACTTCTTTGTGATGTGCGCATTCAACTCACAGACTTGAACCATTATTTTGATAGAGCAGTTTTGGAACTCTCTATTTGTAGAATCTGCAAGTGGATATCTAGAGCGCTTTGAGGCCTACGGTGGAAAAGAAAATATCTTCACATAAAAACTAGAGAGAAGCATTCTCTGAAACTACTTTGTGATGTGTGCATTCATCTCACAGACTTGAAATTTTCTTTTGATTGAGCAGTTTTGAAACATTCTTTCTGTAGGATCTGGAAGGGGATATTTTGTTCCCTTGGAGTCCTATGTTGGAAAAGGAAATATCTTCACATAAAAACTAGACAGAGGTATTCTCGGTAACGTCTTTGTGATGTGTGCATTCAACTCACATTGTTGAAACTTTCTTTTGATAGAGCAGTTTTGAAACACTCTTTTTGTAGAATCTGCAAGGGGATATTTGTAGTGCATTGAGGCCTATGGTGGAAAAGGAAGTATCTTCACATAAAAACTAGACAGAAGCATTCTAAGAGACTTCTTTGTGATGTGTGCATTCAAATCACAGTGTTGAAAATTTCTTTTGATAGAACAGTTTTGAAACACTCTTTTCGTAGAATCTGCAAGTGGATATTTGGAGCTCCTTTAGTCCTATGTTGGAAAAGGAAATATCTTCACATAAAAACTAGACAGATGCATTCTCCAAATTTTTTTGTGATGTGTGAATTAAACTCACATTGTTAAACCTTTCCCTTGATAGAGCAGTATTGAAGCACTCTTTTTGTAGAATCTTCAAGGGGATATTTTCTTCCCTTTGAGGCCTATGTTGGAAAACGAAATATCTTCACATAAAAACTAGACAGAAGCATTCTCCGAAACTTCTTTATGATGTGTGCCTTCAACTCACAGTCTTAAACCTTTCTTTTGATAGAGCATTTTTCAAGCACTCTTCGTGTAGAATCTGCCAGTGGATATTTGGAGCGCTTTGAAGCCTGTGGTGGAAAAGGAAATATCTTCACATAAAAACTGGAGAGAAGCATTCTCAGAAACTTCTTTGTGATGTGTGCATTCAACTCACAGTGTTGAAACTTTCTTTTGATAGATCAGTTTTGAAACACTCTTTTTGTGATATCTGAAAGTGGATATATGGAGCACTTCGAGGCCTATGGTGGAAAAGGAAATACCTTCATATAAAAACTAGACAGAAGCGATGGCCAGTGATGGTGAACATTTTTTCACGTGTTTTTTGGCTGCATAAATGTTTTCTTTTGAGAAGTGTCTGTTCATGTCCTTCACCCACTTTTTGATGGGGTTATTTGTTTTTTTTCTTGTAAATTTGTTTGTGTTCATTGTAGATTATGGATATTAGCCCTTTATCAGATGAGTAGGTTGCAAAAATTGTCTCCCATTTTGCAGGTTGCCTGTTCACTCCGATGGTAGTTTCTTTTGCTGTGCAGAAGCTCTTTAGTTTAATTAGATCCCATTTGTCAATTTTGGCTTTTGTTGCCATTGTTTTTGGTGTTTTAGACATGAAGTCTTTGCCCATGCCTATGTCCTGAAAAAATGCTCACCATCACTGGCCATCAGAGAAATGCAAATCAAAACCACAATGAGATATCATCTCACATCAGTTTGAATGGCAATCATTACAAAATCAGGAAACAACAGGTGCTGGAAAGGATGTGGAGAAATAAGAACACTTTTACACTGTTGGTGGGACTGTAAACTAGTTCAACCATTGTGGAAGTCAGTGTGGTGATTCCTCAGAGATCTAGAACTAGAAATACCATTTAACCCAGCCATCCCATTACTGGGTATATACCCAAAGAACTATAAATCATGCTGCTATAAAGACACATGCACACATATGTTTATTGCGGCATTATTCACAATAGCAAAGACTTGGAACCAACCCAAATGTCCAACAATGATAGACTGGATGAAGAAAATGTGGCACATATACACCATGGAATACTATGCAGCCATAAAAAATGATAGTTCATGTACTTTGTAGGGACATGGATGAAATTAGAAATCATCATTCTCAGTAAACTATCGCAAGAACAAAAAACTGAACACCGCATATTCTCACTCATAGGTGGGATTTGAACAATGAGAACACATGGACACAGGAAGGGGAACATCACACTCTGGGGACCGTTGTGGGGTGGGGGGAGGGGGGAGGGATAGCATTGGGAGATATACATAATGCTAGATGACGAGTTAGTGGGTGCAGCGCACCAGCATGGCACATGTATACATATGTAACTAACCTGCACATTGTGCACATGGACCCTAAAAAATAAAGTATAATAATAATAAATAAATAAATAAATAAATAAATAAACCAGGCAGAAGCATTCTCAGAAATTTCTTTGTGATGTGTGCATTCAACTCACAGAGTTGAAACTTTCTTTTGATAGAGCAGTTTTGAAAAACTCATTTGTAGAATCTGCAAATGGATATTTGGAGCACTTTGAGGCCTATGTTGGAAAAGGTAATGTCTTCACTTAAAAACTAGACAGAAGTGGTCTCAGAAACTTCTATGGGATGTGTGCACTCAACTCACAGTGTTGAACCTTTCTCTTGAAGCAGCAGTTTTGAAACTCTCTTTTTGTAGAATCTGCAGGTGGATATTTTGTTCCGTTTGAGGCCTATGATGGAAAACGAAATATCTTCACATAAAAACTAGACAGAAGCATTCTCAGAAACTTCTTTGTGATGTGTGCATTCAACTCACAGAGTTGAACCTTTCTATTGGTAGAGCAGTTTTGAAACACTGCTTTTGTAGAATCTGCAGGTGGATGTTTAGAGCGCTTTGAGGCCTATGGTGGAAAAGGAAATATCTTCACATAAAAACTAGACAGAAGCATTCTCCAAAACTTCTTTGTGCTGTGTGCATTCAACTCACAGTGTTGAACGTTTCTTTTGAGAGAGCAGTTTTGAAAAACTCTTTTTGTAGAATCTGCAAGTGTATATTTGGAGCGCTTGGAGGACAATGTTGGAAAAGTAAATATCTTCACATAAAAACTAGACAGAAGCATTCTCTGAAACTTCTTTGTGATGTGTGCACTGAACTCACAGAGTTCAACTTTTCTTCTAATTGCACAGTTTGGAAACAGTGTTTTTGTGGTGTCAGTAAATGGATATTTGGACAGATTTGAGGCCTATGTTGGAAAAGGAAATATATTCAGATGAAAACTAGCCATAAGCTTTCTGAGAAACTTCTTTCTGATGTGTGCATTCATCTCACAGATTTGAAACTTTCTTTACATTGGGCAGTTTTGAAACACTCTTTTTGTAGGATCTGAAAGTGGATATTTGGAGCACTGTGATGCCTATGGTGGAAAAGGAAATATCTTCACATAAAAACTAGACAGAAGCATTCTGAGAAACTTCTTTGTTATGTGTGAATTCACCTCACAGAGTTGAACCTAACTTTTGATGGAGCAGTTTTGAAACTCTCTTTTTGTAGAATCTGCAAGTGGATATTTGGAGTGCTTTGAGGTCTATGGTGGTAAAGGAAATATCTTTACATAAAAACTAGACACAGCCATTCTCAGAAACTTCTTTGTGCTGTTTGCATTCGTCTCACAGAGTTGAAAATTTCTTTTGATAGAGCAGTTTTGAAACACTCTTTTTGTAGAATCTGCAAGTGGATATTTGGCTCACCTTGAGGCCTATTGTGGAAAAGGATATATCTTAACATAAAAACTAGACATAGGCATTCTGAGAAACTTCGTTGTTTTGTGTGCATTCAAATAACAGAGTTGAAACTTTCTTTTTATTCAGCTATTTTGAAACACTCTTTTTGTGGAATCTGCAAGTGGATATTTGCAGCGCTTTGTGGCCTCTAGAGGAAAATTAAATATCTTCACATAAAAACTAGACGGAAGCATTCTGAGAAACTTCTTTTTGATGTGTGCTTTCAATTCACAGAGTTGAGCCTTTCTTTTAATGGAGTAGTTTTGAAACACTCTTTTTGTAGAATCTGCATTTGGATACTTGGAGAGCTTGGAAGCCTATGGTGAAAAAGGAAATATCTTCACATAAAAACTACACAGAAGCATTCTTAGAAACTTCTTTGTGATATGTACATTCATCTCTCAGAGCTTAACATTTCTTTTGATTGAGCAGTTTTGCAACACTGTTTTTGGAGAGTCTGCAAGTGGACATTTGGAGCACTTTGAGGCCTATTGTGAAAAAGGAAATATCTTCACATAAAAACTACACAGAAGCATTCTGAGAAACTTCCTTTTGATGTTTGCATGTAACTCACACAGTTGAACCTTTCTTTTGATTACGCAGTTGGGAAACGGTGTTTTTGTGGTAAATGCAAATGGATATTTGGAGAGGTTTGAGTCCAATGGTGGAAAAGGAAATATCTTCACATAAAAACTAGACAGAAGCATTCTGAGAAACTTCTTTATGATGTGTGCATTCAACTCATGGAGATGAACCTTTCTTTTGATTGATCACTTTTGAAACACTCTATTTGCAGAATCTGCAAGTGGATATTTGGAGCACTTTGAGGCCTACTGTGGAAAACGAAATATCTTCACATAAAATTACACAGAAGCATTCTGAGAAACTTCTTCGTGATGTGTGCATTTAACTCTCAGTGTTGAACCTTTCTTTTGCTTGCTCAGTTTGGAAACAGTGTTTTTGTTTCATCTGCAAATAGATATTTGGAGAGGTTTGAGGCCTATGCTGGGAAAAGAAATATCTTCAAATAAAAACTAGGTAGAAGCATTCTGAGAAACTTCTTTTTGATGTGTGCATTCATCTGACAGAGTTGAACCTTTCTTTTCATTGAGAAGTTTTGAAACACTCTTTTTGTAGAATCTGCAAGTAGGTGTTTGGAGCGCTTTGAAGCCTATGTTGGAAAAGGAAATATCTTCACATAAAAACTAGACAGAAGCATTCTCAGAAATTTCTTTGTGATGTGTGCATTCATCTCACAGAATTGAAACTTTCTTTTGATTGACCAGTTTGGAAACACTCTTTATGTAGCATCTGCAAGTGGCTATCTGGAGCTTTTTGAGGCCTATGTTGGAAAAGGAAATATCTTCACATAAAAACTACACAGAAGCATTCTGAGAAACTTCTTTTTGTTGTGTTTATTCACCACAGAGAGTTGAACATTTCTTTTGATTGAACAGTTTTGAAACATACTTTTTGTAGAATCTGCAAGTGGATATTTGAGCACTTTGAGGCCTATTCTGCAAGTGGATATTTGAGCACTTTGAGGCCTATTATGGAAGAGGAATTACCTTCAGTTTGGAAACACTCCTTTTGTAGAATCTACAAGTGGATATTTGGAGCTGTTTCAGGCCTATGGTGGTTAAAGAAGTATCTTCACATAAAACCTACACAGAAGCATACTGAGAAAGTGCTTTGCGATGTGTGCGTTCATCTCACAGTGTTGAACCTTTCTTTTTATTGAGCAGTTTTGAAAGACTCTTTTTGTAGTATCTGCAAGTGGATATTTGCAGTGCTTTGAGGCCTATTGTGTTAAAGAAAATGTCTTCACATAAAAAGTACACAGAAGTATTCTGAGAAACTTCTTTGTGATGACTGCATTCATCTCACGGAGTTGAACCTATCTTTTGATTCAGCAGTTTTGCAACACTCTTTTTGTAAATTCTGCCATTGGATATTTGAAGCGCTTTGGGACCTATTGTGGGAAAGGAATTATCTTCAGATAAAAATTGAACAGAAGTATTCTGAGGAACTTCTTTGCGATGTGTGCATTCATCTCACAGAGTTGAACCTTTCATTTGATTGAGCATTTGGAAACACTCTTTTTTGTAGAATCTGCAAGAGGATATTTGGATTGATTTGAGGCCTATGGTGGAAAAGGAAATATCTTCACATAAAAACTACTCAGAAGCATTGTTAGAAAATTCTTTGTGATGTGTACACTCAACTCACAGAGTTGAACCTTTCTTTTGATTGAGAAGTTTTGAAACTCTTTTTGAAGAATCTGTAAGTGGATATTTGCAGCCCTTTGCGGCTATTGGTGGAAAAGCAAATATCTTCACGTAAAAATGGCACAGAAGCATTCTGAGAAACTTTTCTATGATGTGTGCTTTCATCTCACAGAGTTGAAACTTTCTTTTGATTGAGCAGTTTTGAAACACTCTTTTTGTAGAATCCACATGTGGATATTTGGAGTGCTTTGAGGCCTATTGTGGAAAAGGAAATATCTTCACATAAAAACTACACAGAAGCATTCTGAGAAACTTCTTTGTGATGTGTGCATTCATCTCACAGAGTTGAACATTTCTTCTGATTGAGCCATTAGGAAACACTCTTTCTGTATAATTTGCAAGTGTATATTTGGAACACTTTGTGGCCAATGGTAGAAAAGGAAATATCTTCACATAAAAATTACACAGAAGCATTCTGAGAAACTTCTTTGGGATGTGTGCATTCATCTCACAGAGCTGAACTTTCTTTTTCTTGAACAGATTTGAAACGCTCTTTTTGTACAATCTGCAGCTGGATATTTGGAGCACTTTGAGGCCTCTTCTGGAAAAGGAAATATCTTCACATAAAAACTACACGGAAGCTTTCTGAGTAACTGCTTTGTGATGTGTACATTCATCTCACAGAGTTGAACCTTTCTTTTGATTGAGCAATTCAGAAACACTCTTTTTGTAGAATCTGCAGATGGATATTTGGAGTGCTTTGAGGCCTATATTGGAAAAGGAAAAACTACACAGAAGCTGTCTGAGAAACTTCTTTGTGATGTGTGCATTCAACTCATAAATTTGAACCGTTCTTTTGATTGAGCAGTTTGGGAACAGTCGTTTTGTAGTATCTGCAAATGGATATTTGGAGAGTTTTGAATCCTATGGTGGAAAAGGAAATATCTTGATATAAAAACTAGACTGAAGCATTCTGAGAAACTTCTTTGTGATGTATGCATTAAACTCACAAAGATGAACCTCTGTTTTGATTGGACAATTTTTTTTTAAATTTTATTTATTTTTAAACACTCTTTTTGTAGAATCTGCAAGTGGATGTTAGGAGTGCTTTGAGGCCTATAGTGCAAAAGGAAATATCTTCACATAAAAACCAGACAGAAGCATTGGGAGAAACTTCTTTGTGATGTGTGCGTTCATCTCACAGAGTTGAAACTTTCTTTTGATTGAGCAGTTTTGAAAAAAACCAGTTGTAGAATCTGCAAGTGGATATTAGGTGGGATTTGAGGTCTATGGTGGAAAAGGAAATATCCTAAAATAAAAACCAGACAGAAGCATTCTGAGAAACTTCTTTGTGATGTGTGCATTCTTCTCACAGAGTTGAACCTTTCTTTTGATTGAGCAGTTTTGAAACACTCTTTTTGTAGTATTTGCAAGTGGATATTTTGAGTGATTTGAGGCCTATGGTTTAAAAGGAAATATCTTCACATAAAAACTACACAGAAGCATTCTGAGAAACTACTTTGTGATGTCTGCATTCATCTCACAGAGTTGATAATTTCTTTTCATTGAGCAGTTTTGAAACACTCTTTTTGTAGAATCTGCAAGTGGATATTTGGAGCTCATTGAGGCCAACTGAGGAAAAGGAAATATCTTCACATAAAAACTACACAGAAGCATTCTGAGAAACTTACTTGTGATGTGTGCATTCATCTCACAGTGTTGAAACTTTCTTTTGATTAAGCAGTTTTAAAATACTCTTTTTCTAGAATCTGCAAGTGGATATTTGGAGCGCGTTGAGGCCTATGGTGGAAAAGGAAATATCTTCATATAAAAACTACACAGAAGCATTCTGAGAAACTTCTTTGTGATGTCTGCTTTCAACTCACAGAGTTGAACCTTTCTTTTGATTGAACAGTTTGGAAAGAGTGTTTTTGTGGTATCTGCAAATGGATATTTGGAGAGGTTTGTGGTCTGTGGTAAAAAAGGAAATATCTTCACATAAAAACTACACGGAAGCATTCTGAGAAACTACTTTGTGATGTACACATTGAATTCACAAAGTTGAACCTTTCTTTGGATTGAGCAGTCTTGAAACTCTCTTTTTGTGTAATCTGCAAGTGGATATTTGGAACACTTTGTGGCCTCTAGTGGAAAAGGAAATATCTTCACATAAAAAATACATAGGAGCATTCTGAAAAACTTCTTGGTGAAGTGTGCATTCATCTGACAAAGTTGAATCTTTCTTTTTATTGAGCAGTTTTGAAACACTCGTTTTGTAGAATCTTCCAATGGATATTGGGACCGCTTTGTGGACTGTGGTGAAAAAGGAAATATCTTCAAGTAAATACTACACAGAAGCATTCTGAGAAACTTTTTCATGATGTGTGCATTCAACTCACAGAGTTGAAACTTTTTTTTCATTGAGCAGTTTTGAAACAGTGTTTTTGCGGTACCTGCAAATGGATATTAGGAGAGGTTTCAGAAGTACGGTGGAAAAGGAAATATCTTCACATAAAAACAAGACAGAAGAATTCTGAATAACTTCTTAGTGATGTATGGATTGAACTCACAGAGATGAACCTTTTTTTTGATTGAGCAGTTTTGAAACACTCTTTTTGTACAACCTGCAAGTGGATATTTGGAGCGCTTTGCGGCCTATGGTGCAAAAGGTAATATCTTCACATAAAAACTAGACAGAAGCATTCTGTGAGACTTCTTTGTAATGTGAGCTTTCATCTCACAGAGTTCAACTTTCTTTTGATTGATTAGTTTTGAAACTCTCTTTTTGTGGAATCTACAAGGGTATATTTGGAGCGCTTTGATGCCTCTGGTGGAAATGGAAATATCTTCACATAAGAACTAGAAAGAAGCATTTTTGGAAACTTCTTTGTGATGTGTGCCTTCATCTCAGAGAGTTGAAACTTTCTTTTGATTGTACAGTTTTCAAACACTCTTTGTGTAATCTGCAAGTGGATATTAGGATCGCTTTGTGGCCTATAGTGCAAAAGGAAATATCTACTCATGAAAACTAGACAGAAGCATTTTGAGAAACTTCTTTGTGATGTGCGCATTCGTCTCACAGAGGTGAAACTTTCTTTTCATTGAGCAGTTTGGAAACACACCTTTTGAAGAGTCTGCAAGTGGATATTTGGAGCGATTTGAGGCCTTCGGTGGAAAAGGAAATATCTTCAAATGAGTACTAAACAGAAGCATTCGGAGAAACTTCTTTGTGATGTGTGCATTCATCCCACAGCCTTGAACCTTTCTTTTGATTCACCAGTTTTGTAAAACTCTTTCTGTAGAATCGGCAAGTAGATATTTCGAGCCCTTTGAGGCCTGCGGTGGAAAAGGAATTTTCTTCTCATAAATACTACATAGAAGGATTCTGAGAAACTTCTTTTTGATGTGTGCATTCATCTCACACAGTTTAAACTTTCTTTTGATCGAGCAGTTTTGAAACGCTCTTTTTGTAGGATCTGCAAGTGGACATATGGAGCGCTTTGAGTACTGTGGTGGAAAAGGAAATATCTACACATCAAAACTATACAGAAGCATTCTGAGAAACTTCTTTGTGATGTGTGCATTCAACTCACAAAGTTGAACCTTTCCTTTATTGAGCAGTTTTGAAACAGCCTTTTGTACATTCTGCAAGTGGATATTTGGAGCACTTTGCGGCCTCTAGCGGAAAAGGAAATATCTTCACATAAAAAATAGATAGAAGCATTCTGAGAAACTTCTTTGAGATGTGTGAATTCAGCTCACAGAGTAGAAAGTTTCCTTTGATTGAGCAGTTTTGAAACACTGGTTTTGTAGAATCTGCCAGTGGATATTTGGACGACTTTGAGGCCTGTGGTGGAAAAAGAAGTATCTTCAATTAAAAACTACACAGAAGCATTCTGAGAAACTTCTTTGTGATGAGTGCATTCAACTCACAGAGTTGAAATTGTCTTTTTATTGAGCAATTTGGAAACAGTGTTTTTGTGGTACTTGCAAACGGATATTAGGAGAGGTTTCAGACCAACGGTGGAAAAGGAAATATCTTTACATAAAAACAAGAAAGAGGCATTCTGAGAAACTTCTTTGTGATCTATGGATTGTACTCACAGAGCTGAACCTTTCCTTTGATTGAGCACATTTGAAACACTCTTTTTGTAGAATCTGCAATGGATGATGGGAGCTGATTGCAGCCTAAAGTCCAAAAGGGAATATCTTCGCATAAAAAAAGACAGAAGCATTCTGAGAAACTTCTTTGTGATGTGTGCATTCGTTTCACAGAGTTGAACCTTTCTCTTGATAGAGAAGTTTGGAAACACTCTTTTTGTAGAATCTGCAAGTGGATATTTTGAGTGCTTTGAGGCCTATGGTGGAGAAGGAAATATCTTCACATAAAAACTACACAGAAGCATTCTGAGAAACTTCTTAGTGATGTTTGCATTCATCACACAGAGTTGAACATTTCTTTTCATTGAGCAGCTATGAAACACTCTTTTTCGAGAATCTGCAAGTGGACGTTTGGAGGGCTTTGAGGCCTGTGGTGGAAAAGGAAATATCTTCACATAAAAAATAGACAGAAGCATTCTGAGAAACTTCTTTGTGATGTGTGCATTCTTCTCAAAGAGCTGAATCTTTCTTTTCATTGAGCAGTTTGCAACACACTTTTGTAGAATCTGCAAGTGGATATTTGGAGTGCTTTGAGGCCTGTGGTGGAAAAAGAAATATCATCACGTAAAAATCAGACCGAAGCATTCTGAGAAACTCCTTTGTGATGTGTGCATTTATCTCACAGAGTTGAATGTTTCTTTTCATTGAGCAGTTTGAAACACATTTTTTTGTAGAATCTGCAAGTGGATATTTGGAGCGCTTGAGGTCTATGGTGGAAAAGGAAATATATTCACATAAAAACTACACCTGAAGCATTCTGAGAAACTTCTTTGTGATGTGTACGTTCAACCCAGAGTTGAACCTTTCTTTTAATTGAGCAGTTTTGAATCACTCTTTTTGTAGAATCTGCAAGTGTATATTTACAGCGATATGAGGCCTACAGTGGAAAAGGAAATATCTTCAAATAAAAGCTAGAAAGAAGAATTCGGAGAAACTAATTCTTGATGTGTGCACTCATCTCAAAGTGTTGAACTTTTCTTTTGATTAAGCAGTTTTGAAACACTTTTTTTGTAGAATCTACAAGTGGACAATAGGAGCGCTTTGCAGCCTATAATGCAAAAGGATATATCTTCACATAAAATCTAGACAGAAGCATTCTGAGAAACTTCTCTGTGATGAGTGCATTCATCTCACAGAGTTGAACATTTCTTTTGATTGAGCAGTTTTGAAAAACTCCTTTTACTGAATTTGCAAGTGGATATTTGGAGCGCTTTGAGGCCTGTGGTGGAAAAGGAAATATCTTCAAATAAAAACTAGACAGAAGCATTCTGAGAAACTTGTTTGTGATGTGTGTATTCATCTCACTGTGTTGAAACTTTCTTTTGACTCAGCAGTTTTGAAACACTCTTTTGGAAGAATCTGCAAGTGGATATTTAGAGAGATTTGAGGCCTGCGTTGGAAAATTAATTGCCTTCTCATAAATACTACATAGAATGATTTTGAGAAACTTCTTTGTGATGTGTGCATTCATCTCACAGAGTTGAACCTTTCTTTTGACTGAGCAGTTTTGAAACACTCTTTTTGTAGAATCTGGAAGTGGAAATATGGAGCGCTTTGTGTCCTATGGTGGAAAAGGAAATATCTAGACATAAAAACTAGACAGAAGAATTCTGAGAAACTTCTTTGTGATGTGTGCATTCAATTCACAGAGTTGAACCTGTCCTTTATTGAGCAGTTATGAAACACTATTTTTGTGGAATCTACAAGTGGATATTTGCAGCGCTTTGCTGCGTCTAGTGGAAAAGGACATATCTTCACATAAAAAATGGATAGAAGCATTCTTAGAAACTTCTTTTTGATGTGTGCATTCAACTCACAGTGTTGAACCTATCTTTTCATTGAACAGTTTTGAAACACTCTTTGTAGAATCTGCCTTTGGATATTTGAACCACCTTGAGGCCAGTGCTTGAAAAGGAAATACCTTCAATTAAAATTTACACAGAAGCATTCTGAGAAACTTCTTTGTGATGTGTGCATTCAACTCACAGAGTTGAAATTTTCTTTTTATTGAGCAGTTTAGAAGCAGTGTTTTTGTGATACCTGCAAATGGATGTTAGGAGACGTTTCAGACCTATGGTGGAAAAGGAAATATTTTCACATAAAAACAAGACAGAAGCATTCTGAGCAACTTCTTTGTTATGTATGGATTGAACTCACAGAGTTGAACCTTGCTATTGATTGATTGAGCACTTTTGAAACACTCTTTTTGTAGAATCTGCAATGGATGTTAGGAGCGGTTTGTGGCCTATAGTGCAAAAGGAAATATCTTCACATAAAAACTAGACAGAAGCATTCTGAGAAACTTCTTTGTGTTGCTTGCATTTGTATTACAGAGTTGAACCTTTCTTTTGATTGAGCAGTTTGGAAACACTCTTTTTGTTGAATCTGAAAGTGGATATTTGGAGCGCTTTGAGGCCTATGGTGGAAAAGGAAATATCTTCGCATAAAAACTACACAGAAGCATTCTGAGAAACTTCTTTTTGATGTGTGCATTCATCTCACAGAGTTGAATATTTCTTTTGAGAGAGCAATTTTGAAACACTCTTTTTGTAGAATGTGCAGTTGGATATTTGGAGCCCTTTGCGGCATATGGTGGAAAAGGATATATCTTCACATAAAAACTAGGCAGAATCATTCTGAGAAACTTCTTTTTCATTTGTGCATTCAGCTGAGGGAGCTGAACGTTTCTTGTGATTGAACAGTCTGGAAAGAGTCTTTTTTTAGTGTCTGCAAATGGATATTTGCAGAGGTTTGAGGCCTATGGTACAAAAGGAAATATCTTCACATAAAAACTACACAGAAGCATTCTAAAAAAACTTCTTAGTGTTGTGTGTGTTCAACTCACAGAGTTGAAACTGTCTTTTGATTGAGCAGTTTTGAAACACTCTTTTCATAGAATCTACAGGTGGATATTTAGAGCTCTTTGGGTCCTATGGTGGAAAAGGAAATATCTTCACATAAAAACTAGACAGAGGCATTCTGAGAAACTTCTTTGTGATGTCCGCATTCAACTCACAGAGTTGGAACTTATTCTGATTGAGCAGGTTTGAAACACAGTTTTTGAAGAATCTGCCATTGGATATTTGGAGGTCTTTGGGGCCTGTGGTGGAAAAGGAAATATCTTCCCATAAAAACTACGCAGAAGCATTCTGAAAAATTCTTTGTGATGTGTGAATTTAACTCACAGAGTTGAAACTCTCCTTTTATTGAGGAGTTTGGAAACAGCGTATTTGTGGTAACTACAAATGGCTATTAGGAGAGGTTTCAGACCTATGGTGGAAAAGGAAATATCTTCACCAAAAAAACCGGACTTCTTTGTGATGTATGGATTGAACTCACAGAGGTGAAACTTTCTGTTTATTGAGCAGTTTTGAAACACTCTTTTGTAGAATCTGCAAGTGGATATTTGGAGCGCTTTGAGGCCTATGGTGGCAAAGGAAATATCTTCAGAATAAAAACTAGACAGAAGCATTCTGAGAAACTTGTTTGTGATGTGTGCTTTCAACTCACAGAATTGAAACTTCCTTTTGATTGAGCAGTTTTGAAATACTCCTTTTTTAGAATCTGCAAGTGGATATTTGGAGCACTTTGTGGCCTATGGTGGAAAAGGAAATATCTTCAGAATAAAAACTAGGCAGAATCATTCTGGGAAACTTCTTTGTGATGTGTGCATTCAACTCACAAAGTTGAAACTTGCTTTTGATTGAGCAGTTTTGTCACCCTCTTTTTGTGCAATCTGCAAGTACATATTTTGATCGCTTTGAGGCCTATTCTGTAAAAGAAAATATCTTCACATAAAAACCACACAGAAGCATTCTGAGAAACTTCCTCATGATGTGTGCGTTCATCTCACAGAGTTGAAACTTTCTTTTGCTTGAGCAGTTTTGAAACACTGTTTTTGTAGGAATTTGAAAGTGCATATTTGGAGCGCTTTGAGGCCTATGGTGGAAAAGGAAATATCTTCACAAAAAAACTAGACAGAAGCATTCTGATAAACTTCTTTGTGTTGTGAGCATTCATTGCACAGAGTTGAACCTTTCTTTTGATTGAGAAGTTTGGAAAGAGTGTTTTTGTGTTATCTGCAAATGGATATTTGTAGAGGTTTGAGGCCTATGGTGGAAAAGGAAATATCTTCACATAAAAACTAGACAGAAGCATTCTCAGAAACTTCTTTGTGATGTATGCCTTGAAATCACAGAGTTGAACCTTTTTTCTGGTTCATCATTTTTGAAATCCTCTTTTTGTAGAATCTGAAAGTGGATTTTGGTAGCGCTTTGTGGCCTATAGTGGGAAAGGAAATATCTTCACATAAAAACCAGAGAGAAGCATTCTGAGAAACTTCTTTGAGATGTGTGCATTCATCTCACAGAGTTGAACATTTGTTTTGATTGAGCAGTTTGGAGACACTCTTTTTGTAGAATTTGCAAGTAAATATTTGGAGCGATTTGAGGCCTAAAGTGGAAAAGGAAATAAGTTTAAATAAAAACTAGACAGAAGCATTCTGAGAAACTTCTTTGTGATGTGTGCATTCATCTCACACAGTTGAACCTTTCTTTTATTTTAGCAGTTTTGAAACACTCTTTTTGTAGAATCTTTAAGTGCATATTTGGAAGGCTTTGAGGACAACTGTGGAAAAGGGAATATCTTCACATAAAAATTACATAGAAGCATTCTGAGAAAATTCTTGTGATGTGTGCATTCATCTCACAGAGTTGAACATTTCTTTTGATAGAGCAGTTTTAAAACACTGTTTTTGTAGGACCTGTAAGTGGATATTTGGAGCCATTTGATGTCTATGGTGGAAAAGGAAATATCTTCAAATAAAAACTAGACGGAAGCATTCTGAGAAACATCTTTCTGCTGTGTGCATTCATCTCTCAGAGTTGAAAATTTCTTTTGATTCAGCACCTTTGAAACACTCTTTTTGTAGAATCTGCAAGTGGATATTTGGAGCGCTTTGAAGTCTACCATGGAAAAGTAAATATCTTGACAAAAAAACTACACACAAGCATTCTGAGAAACTACTTTGTGATATCTGCATTCATCTCACAGAGTTGAACATTTCTTTTCATTGAACCATTTTGAAGCACTCTGTTTGGAGAATCTGTAAGTGGATATTTGGAGCGCCTTTTGGCGTGTGGTGGAAAAGGAAATATCTTCACATAAAAACTACACAGAAGCATTCTGAGAAACTTGTTTGTGTTGTGTGCATTCAACTCACAGAGTTGAACCTTTCTTTTGATTGAACAGTTTCGAAAAAGTGCTTTTGTAGTACCTACAAAGAGGTATTTGAGAGGTTTGAGGCCTATGGTTGAGTAGGAAATACCTTCACATAAAAACTAGGCAGAAACATTCTCAGAAACCACTTTGTGATGTATGCATTGAATTCTCACAGTTGAACCTTTCTTTTATTTGAGCAGTTTTGAAACACTCTTTTTGTAAAATCTGCAAGTGGACATTTGGAGCGCTTCACGGCCTATAGTGGAAAGAGAAATATCTTCACCTAAAAACTACACAGAAACATTCTGAGAAACTTCTTTGTGATGTGTGCATTCACCACCCAGAGTTGATCCTTTCTTTTGATTGAGAGTTTTCAAACACTCCTTTTGTAGAATCTGCAAGTGGATATATGCAGCATTCAGAGGCCTATGGTGGAATAGGAGATATCTTCATATAAAAAATAGACAGAAGCATTGTGAGAAACTTCTTTGTGATGTGTGCATTCAACTCAAAGAGTTGAACCTTTCTTTTGATGTAGCAGTATTGGAACACTCTTTTTGTAGAATCTGCAAGTGGATATTTGGAGCGATTTGAGGCCTATGGTGGATAAGGCAATATCTTCACATAAAAACTAGACAGAAGCATTCTGAGAAACTTCTTTGTGATGTCTGCATTCAACTCACAGAGTTGAACCTTTCTTTTAATTGAGTAGTTTGGAAACAGTATTTTTGTAGTGTCTGCAAATGTATATTTAGAGCGGTTTTAGGCCTATTTTGGAAAAGCAAATACCTTCACATAAAAACTAGACAGAAAGTTTCTGAGAATCTGCTTTGTGATGGGTACATTCATCTCACAGTGTTGAACCTTTCTTTTAATTGAGAAGTATGGAATCAGTCTTTTTGTAGTATCAGCAAAAGGATATTTGGAGCAATTTGGGGCCTATGTTGGAAAAGGAAATATCTTCTCATAAAAACTAGACAGAAGCATTCTGAGAAACTTTTTTGTGATGTGTGCATTCATCTCCCAGAGTTGAAACTTTCTTTTGATTGAGAAATTTTGAAACAGTCTTTTTGTAGTATCTACAAATGGATATTTGGAGCTCTCGGAGGCCTACTGTGAAAAGGAAATATCTTCACATAAGAACTAGACAGAAGCATTTTGAGAAACTTCTTTGTGATGTGTGCATTCATCTCACAGAGTTGAACCTTTCTTTTTTTTTAAATCTTTAAATGTCTTTTTTTTTAATTTTCTTTTTTTTATTATTATACTTTAAGTTTTAGGGTACATGTGCACATTGTACAGGTTAGTTACATATGTATACATGTGCCATGCTGGTGCACTGCACCCACTAACTCGTCATCTAGCATTAGGTATATCTCCCAATGCTATCCCTCCCCAGTCCCCCCACCCCACAACAGTCCCCAGAGTGTGATGTTCCCCTTCCTGTGTCCATGTGATCTCATTGTTCAATTCCCACCTACGAGTGAGAATATGCGGTGTTTGGTTTTTTGTTCTTGCGATAGTTTACTGAGAATGATGATTTACAATCTCATCCATGTCCCTAAAAAGTACATGAACTCATCATTTTTTATGGCTGCATAGTATTCCATGGTGTATATGTGCCACATTTCCTTAATCCAGTCTATCATTGTTGGACATCTGGATTGGTTCCAAGTCTTTGCTATTGTGAATAATGCCGCAATAAACATAGGTGTGCATGTGTCTTTATAGCAGCATGATTTATAGTCCTTTGGGTATATACCCAGTAATGGGATGGCTGGGTCAAATGGTATTTCTAGTTCTAGATCCCTGAGGAATCGCCACACTGAATTCCACAATGGTTGAACTAGTTTCCAGTCCCACCAACAGTGTAAAAGTGTTCCTATTTCTCCACATCCTCTCCAGCACCTGTTGTTTCCTGACTTTTTAATGATTGCCATTCTAACTGGTGTGAGATGGTATCTCATTGTGGTTTTGTTTTGCATTTCACTGATGGCCAGTGATGATGAGCATTTTTTCACGTGTTTTTTGGCTGCATAAATGTCTTCTTTTGAGAAGTGTCTGTTCATGTCCTTCGCCCACTTTTTGATGGGGTTGTTTGTTTTTTTCTTGTAAATTTGTTTGAGTTCATTGTAGATTCTGGATATTAGCCCTTTGTCAGATGAGTAGGTTGCAAACATTTTCTCCCATTTTGTGGGTTGCCTGTTCACTCTGATGGTAGTTTCTTTTGCTGTGCAGAAGCTCTTTAGTTTAATTAGATCCCATTTGTCAATTTTGGCTTTTGTTGTCATTGCTTTTGCTGTTTTAGACATGAAGTCCTTGCCCATGCCTATGTCCTGAATGGTAATGCCTAGGTTTTCTTCTAGGGTTTTTATGGTTTTAGGTCTAACGTTTAAGTCTTTAACCCACCTTGAATTGACTTTTGTATAAGGTGTAAGGAAGGGACCCAGTTTCAGCTTTCTACACATGGCTAGCCAGTTTTCCCAGCACCATTTATTAAATAGGGAATCCTTCCCCCATTGCTTGTTTTCTCAGGTTTGTCAAAGATCAGATAGTTGTTGATATACGGCATTATTTCTGAGGGCTCTGTTTTGTTCCATTGATCTATATCTCTGTTTTGGTACCAGTACCATGCTGTTTTGGTTACTGTAGCCTTGTAGTATAGTTTGAAGTCAGGTAGTGTGATGCCTCCAGCTTTGTTCTTTTGGCTTAGGATTGACTTGGCAATGCAGGCTCTTTTTTGGTTCCATATGAACTTTAAAGTAGTTTTTTCCAGTTCTGTGAAGAAAGTCATGGGTAGCTTGATGGGGATGGCATTGAATCTGTAAATTACCTTGGGCAGTATGGCCATTTTCACGATATTGATTCTTCCTACCCATGAGCATGGAATGTTCTTCCATTTGTTTGTATCCTCTTTTATTTCCTTGAGCAGTGGTGTGTAGTTCTCCTTGAAGATGTCCTTCACATCCCTTGTAAGTTGGATTCCTAAGTATTTTATTCTCTTTGAAGCAATTGTGAATGGGAGTTCTCTCATGATTTGGCTCTCTGTTTGTCTGTTGTTGGTGTATAAGAATGCTTGTGATTTTTGTACATTGATTTTGTATCCTGAGACTTTGCTGAAGTTGCTTATCAGCTTAAGGAGATTTGGGGCTGAGACAATGGGGTTTTCTAGATATGCAATCATGTCATCTGCAAACAGGGACAATTTGACTTCCTCTTTTCCTAATTGAATACCCTTTATTTCCTTCCCCTGCCTGATTGCCCTGGCCAGAACTTCCAAAACTATGTTGAATAGGAGTGGTGAGAGAGGGCATCCCTGTCTTGTGCCAGTTTTCAAAGGGAATGCTTCCAGTTTTTGCCCATTCAGTATGATATTGGCTGTGGTTTTGTCATAGATAGCTCTTCTTATTTTGAAATATGTCCCATCAATACCTAATTTATTGAGAGCTTTTAGCATGAAGTGTTGTTGAATTTTGTCAAAGGCCTTTTCTGCATCTATTGAGATAATCATGTGGTTTTTGTCTTTGGTTCTGTTTATATGCAGGATTACACTTATTGTTTTGCGTATATTGAACCAGCCTTGCATCCCAGGGATGAAACCCACTTGATCATGGTGGATAAGCTTTTTGATGTGCTGCTGGATTCAGTTTGCCAGTATTTTATTGAGGATTTTTGCATCAATGTTCATCAAGGATATTGGTCTAAAATTCTCTTTTTTGGTTGTGTCTCTGCCTGGCTTTGGTATCAGGATGATGCTGGCCTCATAAAATGAGTTAGGGAGGATTCCTTCTTTTTCTATTGATTGGAATAGTTTCAGAAGGAATGGTACCAATTCCTCCTTGTACCTCTGGTAGAATTGGGCTGTGAATCCATCTGGTCCTGGACTCTTTTTGGTTGGTAAGCTATTGATTATTGCCACAATTTCAGCTCCTGTTATTGGTCTATTCAGAGATTCAGCTTCTTCCTGGTTTAGTCTTGGGAGAGTGTATGTGTTGAGGAATTTATCCATTTCTTCTAGATTTTCTAGTTTATTTGCGTAGAGGTGTTTGTAGTATTCTCTGATGGTAGTTTGTATTTCTGTGGGATCAGTGGTGATATCCCCTTTATCATTTTTTATTGTGTCTATTTGATTCTTCTCTCTTTTTTTCTTTATTAGTCTTGCTAGCGGTCTATCAACTTTGTTGATCCTTTCAAAAAACCAGCTCCTGGATTCATTAATTTTTGAAGGGTTTTTTGTGTTTCTGTTTCCTTCAGTTCTGCTCTGATTTTAGTTATTTCTTGCCTTCTGCTAGCTTTTGAATGTGTTTGCTCTTGCTTTTCTAGTTCTTTTAATTGTGATGTTAGGCTGTCAATTTTGGATCTTTCCTGCTTTCTCTTGTGGGCATTTAGTGCTATAAATTTCCCTCTACACACTGCTTTGAATGCGTCCCAGAGATTCTGGTATGTTGTGTCTTTGTTCTCGTTGGTTTCAAAGAACATCTTTATTTCTGCCTTGATTTCATTATGTACCCAGTATTCATTCAGGAGCAGGGTGTTCAGTTTCCATGTAGTTGAGGGGTTTGGAGTGAGATTCTTAATCCTGAGTTCTAGTTTGATTGCACTGTGGTCTGAGAGATAGTTTGTTATAATTTCTGTTCTTTTACATTTGCTAAGGAGAGCTTTACTTCCAAGTATGTGGTCAATTTTGGAATAGGTGTGGTGTGGTGCTGAAAAAAATATATATTCTGTTGATTTGGGGTGGAGAGTTCTGTAGATGTCTATTAGATCCGCTTGGTGCAGAGCTGAGTTCAATTCCTAGGTATCCTTGTTGACTTTCTGTCTCGTTGATCTGTCTAATGTTGTTGAGCAGTTTGGAATCTGTCTTTTTGTATTATCTGCAAATGGATATTTGGAGGACTTTGAGGCCTATAGTGGAAAAGGAAATATCTTCACTAAAAAACAAGACAGAAGCATTATGAGAAACTTCTTTTTGAAGCTTGAGTTCATCTCACAGAGTTGAAACTTTCTTTTGATTGAACAGTTTTAAAACACTCTTTTTGTAGCATCTACAACGGATATTTGGAGCACTTTGAGGTCTATGATGGAAAAGGATATATCTTCACATAATAACTAGACAGAAGCATTCTCAGAAACTTCTTTGAGATGTGTGCATTTAACTCACAGAGCTGAACCTTTCTTTTGATTGAGTGGTTTGGAAACAGTCTTTTTGAAATATCTGCAAATGGATACTTGGAAGTCTTTGAGGTCTATGGTGGAAAAGGAAATATTTTCACGTAAAAACTAGACAGAAGCATTCTGAGAAATGCCTTTGTGATATGTGCATTCATCTCACAGAGTTGAAGCTTTCTTTTGAGAGCGCAGTTTTGAAACACTCTGTTTGTAGAATCTGCAAGTGGATATTTGGAGCGTTTTGAGGTCTATGGTGGAAAAGGAAATATCTTCACATAAAAACTAGACAGAAGCATTCTGAGAAACTATTTTCTGATATGTACATTCATCTCACACACTTGAACATTTCTTTTCATTGACAAGTTTGGAAACAGTCTTTTTGTAGTATCTGCAAATGGATATTTGCTTTGAAGCCTATGGTGGAAAAGGAAATATTTTCACATAAAAACTAGAGAGAAGCATTCTGAGAAACTTCTTTGTGATGTGTGCATTCATCTCACAAAGTTGAACCTTTCTTTTGATTGAGCAGTTCGGAAACAGTCTTTCTGTAGTACCTGTATGGAGTGCTTTGAGGCCTACGTTGGAAAAGGAAATATCTTCCCATAAAAACTAGATAGAAGCATTCTGAGAAACTTCTTTGTGATGTGTGCATTGAACTCACAGAGTTGAACCTTCTTTTGATTGAGCACTTTGGAAACAGTCTTTTTGTATTATCATCAAATGGATATTTGGAGCGCTTTTAGGACTATAGTGGAAAAGGAAATATCTTCACATAAAAACTATACAGAAGCATTCTGAGAAACTTGTTTGTGAGTTGTGCATTCATCTCACAGAGTTGAAACTTTCTTTTGATTGAACACTTTTGAAATACTCTTTTTGTAGAATCTGCAAATGGATATTTGGAGCGCTTTGAAGCCTATGGTGGAAAAGGAAATATCTTCACATATAAACTAGACAGAAGCATTCTCAGAAACTTCTTTGTGATCTGTGCATTCAACTCACGGAGTTGAACTTTTCTTTTGATAGAGCAGTTTTGAAACAGTCTTTTTGCAGTATCTGCAAATGGATATTTGTAGCGCTTTGAGGCCTATGGTGGAAAAAGAATATCTTCACATAAAAACTAGACAGAAGCATTCTGACAAACTTCTTTGTCATGTGTGCATGCATCTCACAGAGTTGAAGCCTTCTTTTGATTGAGCATTGTTGAAAGACACTTTTCATAGTCTCTGCAAATGGATATTTGGAGTGCTTTGAGGCCTATGGTGGAAAAGGAAATATCTTCTCATAAATACTACATAGAATGATTTTGAGAAACTTCTTTGTGATGTGTGCATTCATATCACAGACTTGAACCTTTCTTTTGATTGAGCAGTTTTGAAACACTCTTTTTGTAGAATCTGCAAGTTGATATTTGGAGTGCTTTGCGGCTTATAGTGTTAAAGGATATACCTAATGCTAGATGATGAGTTAGTGGGTGCAGCGCACCAGCATGGCACATGTATACATATTTAACTAACCTGCACAATGTGCACATGTACCCTAAAACTTAAAGTATAATAATTAAAAAAAAGAAAAAAAAGAAAATATCTTCACATAAAAACTAGAAGGAAGCATTCTGAGAAACACGTTTGTGATGCATGCTTTTATCTGACAGTGTTGAACCTTTCTTTTGATTGAGTAGTTTTGAAACACTCTTTCTGTAGAATCTGCAAGTGGATATTTGGAGCTCTTTGAGGCCTTTGGGGGAAAAGGTGATATCCTCATATAAAAACTAGACAGAAGCATTCTGAGAAACTTCCTTGTGATGTGTGCATTCATCTCACAGAGTTGAAACTTTTGACTAAGCAGTTTTGAAACAGTCTTTTTGTAAATTTTGCAAGTGGACATTTTGTGCGCTTTGAGGCCTATGGTGGAAAAGGAAACATCTTCACATAAAAATTAGGCAGAAGTATTTGGAGAAACTTCTTTGGGATATGTGCACTCAACTCTCAGATTTGAACCTTTCTTTTGATTGAGCAGTGTGGAAACAGTCTCTTTATAGTATCTTCAAATTAATATTTGGAGTGATTTGAATCCTATTGCGGAAAAGGAAATATCTTCACATAAAAACCAGACAGAAGCATTCTGAGAAACTTCTTTGTGATGTGTGTATTCATCTCACAGAGCTGAGCCTTTCTTTTGATTTAGCAGTTTTGAAAAACTCTTTCTGTGGAATCTGCAAGTGGATACTTGGAGGGCTTTGAGACCAATGTTGGAAAGGAAAATATCTTCAATAAAAAACTAGACAGAAGCATTCTGAGAAACATCTTTGTGTTGAGTGCATTCACCTCACAGAGATGAACCTTTCTTTTGATTGAGCAGTTTGGAAACACACTTTTTGTGCAATCTGCAAGTGGATATTTGGAGCGCTATGCAGCCTATAGTGGAAAAGAAAACATCTTCACATAAAAACTAGACAGAAGCATTCTGAGAAATTTCTTTGTGATGTGTGCATTCAATGCAAAGAGTTGAACCTTTCTTTTGATTGAGCAGTTTGGAACCAGTCTTTTTGTAGTATCTGAAAATGGATAGTTGGAGTGCTTTTTGGCCTATGGTGGAAAAGGAAATATCTTCACATAAAAACTAGACAGAAGAATTTTGATGAACTTCTTTGTGATGTGTGCATTCATCTCACAGAGTTTAACATTTCTTTTGATTGAGCAGTTTTGAAACACTCTTTTTGCATAATCTTTAAGTGGATATTTGGAGCGCTTTGAAGCCTACGGTGGAAAAGGAAATATCTTCACATAAAACCTAGACAGAACCATTCTGAGAAACATATTTGTGATATGTGCATTAATCTCACAGAGTTGAACATTTCTTTTGATTGAGCAGTTTTGAAACTCTCTTTTCGTGGAATGTACAAGAGGATATTTGGAGCACTTTGAGGCTTATGGTGGAAAGGAAATATCTTCACAAAGAAACTAGACAGAAGCATTCTGAGAAAAATCTTTGTGATGTTTGCATTCAACTCACAGAGTTGAAACTTACTTTGACTGAGCAGTTTGGAAACAGGCCTTTTATACTATCTGCAGGTGGATATTTCGAGCACCTTCAGGGCCGTAATGGAAAAGGAAATATCTTCACATAAAAACTAGAAAGAAGCATTCTGAGAAACTTTTTTGTGATGTGTGCATTCAACTCACAGAGTTGAAACTTTTTCTTTGGATTCAGCAGTTTTGAAACACTCTTTTCATAGAATCTGCAAGTGGATATTTGGAGAGCTTTGGGGCTTATACTGGAAAAGGAAATATCTTCACATAAAAAGTAGACAGAAGCATTATGAGAAACTTCTTTGTGATGTGTGCATTTGACACAGAATTGAACATTTCTTTTGAGCATTTTGGAAACTATTTTTGTTGTACCTGCAAATGGATATTTGGTGTGCTTAGAGGACTCTGGTGGAAAATTAAATATCTTCAAATAAAAACTAAACGGAAGCATTCTGAGAAACTTCTTTGTGATGTTTGCATTCAACTCATATAGTTGAACCTTTCCTTTGAGCATTTTTGAAACACTGTTTTTGGAGAATCTGCAATTGGATATTTGGACCGCTTTGAGGACTATAATGGAAGTGGATATATCTTCAAATAAAAACTACTCAGAAGCATTCTGAGCAACTACTTTGAGAGGTGTGCATTCATCCCTCCAGGTTGAAACTTTCTTTTGATTGAGCAGATTTAAAACACTGTTTTTGTAGTATATTCCAGTGGATATTTGGAGGGCTTTGAAGCCTATAGTGGAATAGGAAATATCTTCACATACAAACTAGACAGAAGCATTCTGAGAAACTTCTTTCTGATGTGTGCATTCATGTCAGAGAGTTGAAATGTTCCTTTGATTGAGCATTTTGGAAAAAGTCTTTTTATAGTATCTGCAAATGGATATTTTGTGTGCTTTGAGGCCAATAGTGGAAAATTAAATATCTTCATATAAAAAGTATACAGAAGCATTCTGTGAAACTTCTTTGTGATGTGTACATTCATGTCACAGAGTTGAACCTTTCTTTCGATTTAGCAGTTTTGAAACATTCTTTTTGTAGAATCTGCAAGTGGATATTTGGAGCGATTTGCGACCCATAGTGGAAAAGGAAATATCTTCACATAATAATTAGACAGAAGCATTCAGAGAAACTTGTTTGTGATGTGTGCATTCGTCTCACAGTGTTGAAACTTTCTTTTGATTGAGCAGTTTTGAAACACTCTTTTTGTAGAATCTGCAAAAGGATATTTGGAACACTTTGAGGTCTGGGGTGGAAAAGGTAATATCTTCACATAAAAACTAGACAGAAGAATTCTGAGAAACTTCCTTGTGATGTGTTCATTCAACTCACAGAGTTTAAACTTTCTTTTGATTGAGCATTTTGGAAACAGTCTTTTTGTAGTATCTGCAAACGGATATTTGGAGCGCTTTGAGACCTATGGTGGAAAAGGAAATATCTTCACCTAAAAACGAGACAGAATTATTCTGGGAAACAACTTTGTGATGTGTGCATTCATCTCAACGAGTTGAACATTTCTTTTGATTGAGCAGTTTGGAAACAGTCTTTTTGTAGTATCTGCAAATGGATATTTGGAGCGATATGAGGCCTACAGTGGAACAGGAAATATGTTCATATAAAAACTAGACAGAAGCATTCTGAGAAACATCCTTATGATGTGTGCATTCGTCTCACAGAGCTGAAAGTTTCTTTTGATTGAGCAATTGTGAAACACTGTTTTTGTAGAATCTGCAAGCGGATACTTGGAGCGCTTCATGCCCTATAGTGCAAAAGGAAATATCTTCACATAAAAACTGGACAGAAGTATTCAGAGGAACTTCTTTGTAATGTGTGCATTCATCTAATAGAGTTGAACCTTTCTTTTGATTGAGCAGTTTTGAGACACTCTTACAGTAGAATCTGCAATTGGATATTTGGAGCGATTTGAGGCCTATGGTGGAAAAGGAAATATCATCACATAAAAACTAGACAGAACCATTCTGAGAAACTTCTTTGTGATGTGTGCATTCAATGCAAAGAGTTGAACCTTTCTTTTTATTGAGCAGTTTGGAACCAGTCTTTTTGTAGTATCTGAAAATGGATAGTATGAGTGCTTAGAGGCCTACGATGGAAAAGGAAATATCTTCACAAAAAAACTTGAGTGAAGCATTCTGAGAAACTTCTGTGCAATGTGTGCATTCATCTCACAGAGATGAACCTTTCTTTTGATTGAGCATTTTGGAAATAGTCTTTTTGTAGTATCGGCAAATGGATATTTTTAGCGCTTTAAGGCCTATGGTGGAAAAGAAATATCTTCACATAAAAACTAGACAGAAGAATTTTGAGAAACTTCTTTATGATGTGTTCATTCAACTCATGGAGTTTAAACTTTCTTTTGATTGAGCATTTTGGAAACAGTCTTTTTGTAGTATCTCCAAATGGATATTTGGAGTGCTTTGAGCCATATGGTGGGAAAGATATATCTTCACATAAAAACGAGACAGAATTATTCTGGGAAACAACTTTGTGATGTGTGCATTCATCTCACCGAGATGAACATTTCTTATGATTGAGCAGTTTGGAAACAGTCATTTTGTAGTATCTGCAAATGGATATTTGGAGCAATATGAGGCCTGCAGTGGAAAAGGAAATATGTTCATATAAAAACTAGACAGAAGCATTCTGAGAAACATCCTTATGGTGTGTGCACTCGTCTCACAGAGCTGAAAGTTTCTTTTGATTGAGCAATTGTGAAACACTGTTTTTGTAGAATCTGCAAGTGGATACTTGGAGCGCTTCACGCCCTATAGTGCAAAAGGAAATATCTTCACATAAAAACTGGACAGAAGCATTCAGAGGAACTTCTTTGTGATGTGTGCATTCATCTAACAGAGTTGAACCTTTCTTTTGATTGAGCAATTTTGAGACACTCTTATTGTAGAATCTGCAAGTGGATATTTGGAGTGATTTGAGGCCTATGGTGGAAAAGGAAATATCTTCACATAAAAAATTGACAGAGGCATTCTGAGAAACTTCTTTCTGATGCGTGCATTCATCTCACAGAGTTGGATCTGTCTTTTGATTGAGCACTTGTAAAACACTCCTTTTGTACAATCTGCAAGTGTATATTTGGAGTGCTTTGAGGCCTATGGTGGAAAAGGAAATGTCTTCACATAAAACCTAGACAGAAGAATTCTGAGAGTCTTCTTTGTGATGTGTGCACTCAACTCACAGAGTTGAATCTTTCTTTGGATTGAACAGTTTGGAAACAGTCTTTTTGTAGTATCTGCAAATGGGTATTTGGAGTGCTTTGAAGTCTATGGTGGAAAAGGAAATATCTTCAGATAAAAAGTAGACAGAAACATTCTGAGCAATTTCTTCCTGATGTGTGCATTCATCTTACAGTTGAACCTTTTCTTTGAGGAGTTTTGAGACACTCTTTTTGTAGAATCTACAAGTGGAAAATTTGAGCGCTTTGTGGATTATAGTGGAAAAGGAAATATCTTCACATAAAAACTAAACAGAAGCATTATGAGAAACTTCTTTGTGATGTGTGCATTCACCTCACAGAGTTGAAACCTTTTGATCGGGCAGTTTTGAAACACTCTTTTTGTACAATCTGCAAGTGGATATTTGCAGCGATTGGCGGCCTTTATTGGAAAAGAAAATATCTTCACATAAAAACTGGAGAGAAGCATTCAGAGAAACTTCTTGGTGATGTGTGCATTCATCTTACATAGTTGAAGCTTTCTTTTGATTGAGCAGTTTGGAAACAGTCTTTCTGTAGTATCTGCAAATGGATATTTAGAGTGCTTTGAGGCCTATGGTGGAAAAGGAAATATCTTCACATTAAAACTAGACAGAAGCATTCTGAGAAACTTCTTTGTGATTTTTGCATTCAACTCACAGAGTTGAAACTTTCTTTTGATGGAGGATTTTAGAAACAGTCTTTTTGTACTATCTGCAAATGTTTATATGGAGCACTTTGAGGCCTATGTTGGAATGGAAATATTTTCAAATAAAAACCATATAGAAGCATTCTGAGAAACTTCTTTGTGATGTGTGCATTTCTCTCACTGAGGTGAACCTTCCTTTTGATAGAGCAGCTTTGAAACACTCTTTTTGTATAATCTGCAAGTGGATACTTTGAGCACTTTGCAGCCTATAGTGGAAATGGAAATGTCTTCACATAAAAACTAGACAGAAGCATTCTGAGAAACTTCTTTCTGATGTGTGCATTCATCTCACACAGTTGAATCTTTCTTTGATTGAGCAGTTTTGAAACACTCTTTTTTGTAGAAACTGCAAAAGGATATTTGGAGGGCTTTGAGGCCTATGGTGGAAAAGGAAATATCTTCACATAAAATCTATACAGAAGCATTCTGAGAAACTTCCTTGTGCTGTGTGCATTCAACACACAGAGTTGAACCTTTCTTTGGATGGAGCAGTTTGGAAACTGTCTTTTTGTAGTATCTGCAAATGGATATTTGTAGCGCTTTAAGTCCTATGGTAGAAAAGGAAATATCTTCACATACAAACTAGACAGAAACATTCTGAGAAACTTGTTTGTAATTATGTGCCTTCATATCACAGAGTTGAAATTTTCTCTTGATTGAGCAGTTTTCAAACACTCTGTTTGTAGAATGTGCAAGTGGATATTTGCAGCGCTTTGTGCCTATGATCGAAAAAAGAAATATCTTCACATAAAAACTAGACAGAAGCATTTGAGAATCTCCTTTGTGATGTGTGCATTCATCCGAAAGAGTTGAAACTTTTTTTGATTGAGCAGTGTTGAAACAATATTTTTGTAATATCTGTGAGTGGATATTTGGAGGTCTTTGTGGCCTAAGGTGGAAAAGTAAATATCTTCATATAAAAACTATACAGAAGCATTCTGAGAAACCTCTTTATGTTGTGTGCATTCATCTCACAGAGCTGAACCTTTCTTTTCATTGAGCAGTTTTGAAATACAGTTTTCATAGAATCCACAAGTGAATATTTAGAGAGCTTTGTGGCCTATAGTGGAAAAGGAAGTATCTTCACATAAAAACTAGACAAAAGCATTCTGAAAAACTTCTTTGTGATGTCTGCATTCATCTCATGGAGTTGAACGTTTCTTTTGATTGAGCAGTTTTGAAAAACTCTTTTTGTAGAATCTACTAGTATATATTTGGAGGGTTTGAGGCTTATAGTGGAATAGGAAATATGTTTACATAAAAACTTTACAGAAGCATTCTGAGAAACTAGTTTGTGATGTGTGCATTCATCTCACAATTTTGGAACTTTCCTTTGATTGTGCAGTTTGGAAACAACAGTCATTTTGTAGTATCTGCAAATGGATATCTGGTGTGCCTTGAGGCCTATGGTGGAAAAGGAAATATCTTCACATAAAAGCTAGACAGAAGCATTCTGAGAAACTTCTTTGTGATCTGTGCATTCATCTCACAGAGTTGAACTTTTCTTTTGATTGAGCGGTTTGGAAAAAAGTCTTTTTGTAGGATCTGCAAGTGGATATTTGGACTGCTTTGTGGCTTATGGTGGAAAAGGAAATATCTTCACATAAGAAATAGAAGCATTGTCAGAAACTTCTTTTGATGTGTGCATTCATCTCACACAGTTGAAACTTTATTTTGATTGAGCAGTTTTGAAACACTCTTTCTGTAGAATTTTCAATTTTATATTTGGAGTACTTTGAGGCCTATGGTGGAAAAGGAAATACCTTCACATAAAAACTAGACAGAAGCATTCTGAGAAACTTCTTTGTGATGTGTACATGCAACTCACGTAGTTTAACCTTTCTTTTGATTGAGCAGTTTGGAAACAGTCTTTTTGTAGTATCTGCAGATGGACATTTGGAGTGCTTTGAGGACTGTGGTGGAAAAGGAAATGTCTTCAAATAAAAACTATACAGAAGCACTCTGAGAAACTTCTTTTTGTTGTGTGCATTCATCTCACAGTGTTGAACCTTTTTTTTCCTTGAGCAGTTTTGAAATACTCTTTTTGTAGTACCTGTAAATGGATATTTTGAGTGTTTTGTGGCCTATAGTAGAAAAGGAAATATCTTCACATAAAAACTAGACAAAAACATACTGTTTAACACCTTTGTGATGTTTGCATTCATCTCACAGAGTTGAACCATTCTTTTGATTGAGCAGTTTTGAAAGAGTCTTTTTGTAGAATCTTCAAGTGGATATTTGGAGTGCTTTGAGGCCTAGAGTGGAAAAGGAAATATCTTCACTTAAAAACTAGACAGAAGCATTCTGAGTAACTTCTTTTTGTTGTGTTTATTGAACTCACATAGTTGAACCTTTATTTTGATTGAGCAGTTTGGAAACAGTCTTTTTTAGTATCTGCAAATGAATATTTAGAGTTCTTTGAAGCCTATTGTGGAAAAGGAAATATCTTCACATAAAAACTAGAAGGAAGCATTCTGAGGAAATTCTTTGTGATGTGTGCATTCATCTCACATAGTTGAAACTTTGTTTTGATTGAGCAGTTTTGAAACACTCTTTTTGTAGAATCTGCAAGTGGATATTTGGAGCGCTTTGAGGCTTCTGGTAGAAAAGGAAATATCTTCACATAAAAACTAGACCAAAGCAGTCTGAGAAACTTCTTTGTGATGTGTGCATTCAACTCACAGAGATGAAATTTTCTTTTGATTGAGGAGTTTAGAAACAGTCCTTTTGTAGTATCTGCAAAAGGATATTCGGAGCGTTTTGACTCTTATGGTGGAAAAGGATATATCTTCACATAAAAACCAGACAGAAGCATTCTGAGAAACTTCTTTGTGATGTGTGCATTCATCTCACAGAGTTGAACCTATCTTTTCTTTGAGCAGTTTTAAAACACTATTTTTAAAGAATCTGCAAGTGGACATTTGGAGCGCTTTGAGGCCTATGGTGGAAAAGGAAATATCTTCACATAGAAACTAGACAGAAGCATTCTCAGACACTTCTTTGTGATGTGTGCATTCAATTCACTGAGTTGAACCATTCTTTTGATTGAGCAGTTTGGAAACAGTCTTTTTGTAGTATCTGCAAATGGATATTTGGAGCACTTTCAGGTCTATAGTGGAAAAGGAAATATCTTTACACAAAATTAGACAGTAGCATTCTGAGAAACTTATTTGTGATGTGTGCATTCATCTCATTGAGTTGAACCTTTCTTTTGATAGACCAGTTTTGAAACACTCTTTTTGTAGAATCTACAATTGGATATTTGGAGCGATTTGAGGCCTATGGTGGAAAAGGAAATATCTTCACATAAAAACTAGACAGAAGCATTCTGAGAAACTCCTTTGTGATTCATGCATTCATCTCACAGAGTTGAACCTTTCTTTTGATTGAGCAGTTTGCAAACACTCTTTTTGTAGAATCTGCAAAGGGATATTTGAGGTGCTTTAAGGCCTATGTTGAAAAAGGGAATATCTTCACATGAAAACTAGATGGAAGCTTTCTGAGAAACTTCTTTGTTGTGTTGGCATTCATCTCACAGAGTTAAACCTTTCTTTGATTGAGCAGCTTGGAAATAGTGTTTTTCTGGAATCTGCAATGGCATATTTGAGGGCTCATTGAGGTCTTTGGTGAAAAAGGAAATACCTTCACATATAAACTAGATAGAAGCTTTCTGAGAAACTTCTTTGTTATGCGTGCATTTATCTCACAGAGTTCAAACTTTCTTTTGATTGAGCAGTTTGGAAACAGTCTTTTTATGGAATCTGCAAAGGGTTGCTTGGGAACTCTTTGAAGCCTATGGTGAAAAAGAAAATATCTTCACATAAAAACTAGACAGAAGCTTTCTTAGGAACTTCTTTTTGATGTGTGCATTTATCTCGAAGATTTGAATTTTTCTTTTGATTGAGCAGTTTGGAATCTGTCTTTTTGTAGAATCTGCAAAGGGACACTTCGGGGTGCGTTGAGGCCTATGGTGGAAAAGGAAATATCTTCACATAAAAGCTAGACAGAATCTTTCAGAGGAACTTGTTTTTGATGTGTGCATTCATCTCACAGAGTTGAAACTTTCTTTTGATTGAGCAGTTTGGAAACAGTCTTTTTGCAGAATCTGCAAAGGGATATTTCTGAGCAGTTTGAGGCCTATGGTGAAAAAGGAAATCTTTTCACATAAAAACTAAACAGAAGCTTTCTAAGAAACATCTTTGTGATGTGTGCATTCGTCTCACACATTTGAAACTTTCTTTTGATTGAGCAGATTGGAAACACTCTTTTTGTACAATCTGCAAAGGGATATTTCTGAGTGGTTTGAGGCCTATGGTGAAAATGGACATATTCATATAAAAACTACACAGAAGCTTTCTGAGAAACTTCTTTCTGTTGTGTGCATTCATCTGACAGAGTTGAAGCTTTCTTTTGATAGAGCAGTTTGGAAACAGTCTTTTGTAGAATATGCAAAGGGATATTTAGGAGCCTTTGAGGACTATGGTGAAAAAGGAGATATCTTCACATAAAAACTATACAGAAGCTTTCTCAGAAATGTCTTTGTGATGTGTGCATTCATCTCACATAGTTGAACCTTACTTTTGATTGAGCAGTTTGCATACAGTATTTTTGTGGAATCTGTAAAGGGATATTTCTGAGCGTTTTGAGGCCTATGGTGAAAAAAGAAAAATATTCACATAAAAGTAGACAGAAGATTTCTGAGAAACTTCTTTCTAATGAGTGCGTTCACCTCACAAATTTGAACCTTTCTTTTGACTGAGCAGTTTGGAAACTGTCTTTTTGTACAATCTGCAAAGAGATATTTGGTGGTGCTTTGAGGCCTATGGTGAAAAAGGAAATATCTTCCCATAAACACTAGACAGAAGCTTTCTGCAAAAAATTTTTGTGATGCATGCATGCATCTCACAGAGTTGAAACTTCCCTTTGACTGAGCAGTTTGGAAACACTCTTTCAGTATAATCTGCAAAGGGATGTTTGGGAGCCCTTTGAGGCTTATGGTGAAAAAGGAAATATCTTCATATAAAAACTATACAGAAGCTTTCTGAGAAACTTATTTGTGATGTGTGCATTCTTCTCACAGATTTGAACTTTACTTTTGATTGAACAGTTTTGAAACAGTCTTTTGGAGGATCTGCAAAGGGATAATTGGGAGCCCTTCGAGGCCTATGGTGTGAAAGGAAATATCTTCACATAAACACTACACAGAAGCTTTCTGAGGAACTACTTTTTGATGTGTGCATTCACTTCACATTGTTGAATTTCTCTTTTGATTGAGCAGTTTGGAAACAGTCTTTTTATAGAATATGCAAAAGGACACATGGGGGAGGTTTGAGGCCTATGGTGGAAAATGAAATATCTTCACATAAAAACTAGACAGAAGCTTTCTAAGAAACTTCTTTGTTATGCGTGCATTCACCTCACAGAGTTTAGACTTTCTTTTGACTGAACAGTTTGGAAACAGTCTTTTTCTAGAATATACAAAAGGATATTTGGGAACTCTTCATGGCCTATGGTGAAAAAGGGAATATCTTAACATAAGAACTAGACAGAAGCTTTCTAAGAAACTTCTTTGTGATGTGTGCTTCCAACTCACAGAGCTGAAACTTTCTTTTGATTGAGTACTTTGGAAACAGTCTTTTTGTAGAATCTGCAAAGGGATATTTCAAAGCGGTTTGAGGCCTATGGTGAAAAAGGAAATATGTCCATATAAATACTAGACAGAAGCTTTCAGAGAAACTTTTTGTGATGTGTGTATTCATCTCACAGAGTTGAACATTTCTTTTGATTGAGCAGTTTGGAAACAGTCTTTTTCTAGAATCTGCAAGGGGATATTTCCGAGCATTTTGAGGCCTATGGTGATTAAGGAAATATCGTCACATAAAAACTATACAGAAGCTTTCTGAGAAACTGCTTTGTAATGAGTGCATTCGCCTCAAAGAGTTGAACGTTTCTTTTCACTGAGCATTTTGGAAACAGTCTTTTTGCAGAATCTGCAAAGGGATATATGAGGGCGCTTTGAGGCCTGTGGTGAAAAAGGAAATATCTTCATATAATAACTAGACAGAAGCTTTCTGAGAAACTTCTTTTTGTGATGTGTGCATTCATCTCATAGAGTTGAAACTTTCTTTTGATTGAGCAGTTTGGAAGCAGTCTTTTTGTAAATTCTGCAGAGCGATATTTGTGAGCTGTTTGAGGCCTATGGTGAAAAAGGAAATATCATCACATTAAAACTAGACAGATTTCTGAGATACATTTTTGTAATGAGTGCAATCATCTCACAGAGTTGAACCTTTCTTTTGATTGAGCAGTTTAGAAACAGCCTTTTTCTAGAATCTGCAAAGGGATATCTCTGAGCAGTTAGAGGCCTATGGTGCAAAAGAAAATATGTTCACCTAAAAACTAGACAGAAGCTTTCTGAGATACTTCTTTGTGACGTGTGCTGTCATCTCACAGGGTTGAAACTATCTTTTGATTGAGCAGTTTGGAAACAGTCTTTTTGTGGAATCTGCAAAGGGATATTTGGGGGCCCTTTGAGGCCTATGGTGAAAAAAGAAATATCTTCACATAAAAACCAGACAGAGCTTTCTGAGAAACTTCTTTGTGATGCGTGCATTCATCTCACAGAGTTCAAGCTTTCTTTTGATTGAGCCGTTTGGAAGCAGACATTTTGTAGAATTTGCAAAGGGATGTTTGGGAGTCCTTTGAGGCCTATGGTGAAAAAGGAAATATCTTCATATAAAAACTAGATAGAAGCTTTCTCAGAAACTATTTTGTGATGTGTGTATTCATCTCATATGTTTGAACCTCTCTTTTGATTGAGCAGTTTGGAAACATTCTTTTTGTAGAATCTTCAAAGTGATAATTCTGAGTGTTTTGAGGCCTATGGTGAAAAAGGAAATATCTTCATATAAAAATTAGAAAGAACCTTTCTGAGAAACTTCTTTGTGATGTATGCATTCAGCTCACAGAGCTGAACCTTTGTTTTGATTGAGCAGTTTGGAAACAGTCTTTTTGTAGTATCTGCAAAGGGATATTTCTGAGCAGTTTGAGTCCTATGGTGAAAAAGGAAATATCTTCACATAAAAACTAGACAGGAGATTTCTGAGAAACTTCCTTGTGATGTGTGCATTCAACTCACAGAGTTGAAATTTTCTTTTGAATGAGCAGTTTGGGAGCAGTATTTTTGTGGAATATGCAAAGGGATATTTGGGATCCCTTTGAGGCCTATGGTGAAAAAGCGAATATCTTCCCATAAAAACTAGACAGAAGCTTATTGAGAAACTTCTTTGTGATGTGTGCATTCACCTCACAGAGCTGAACCTTACTTTTGATTGAGCAGTTTGGAAACAGTCTTTTTGTAGAATCTGCAAAGGGATATTTGAGGGTGCTTTGAGGCCTACGGTGAAAAAGAAATTATCTTCACATAAAAACTGGACAGAAGTTTTATGAGAAACTTCTTTGTGATGTGTGCATTCCTCTCACACAGTTGAAACTTTCTTTTGATTGAGCAGTTTGGGAGCAGGCTTTTTGTAAGATCTGCAAAGAGATATTTTGGAGCCCCTTGAGGCCTATGGTGAAAAAGGAAATATCTTCACCTAAAAAGCAGACAGAATATTTCTGAGAAACTTCTTTGTGATGTCTGCATTCATCTCACAGAGTTCAACCTTTCTTGGATTGGGCAGTTTGGAAACAGTCTTTTTCTAGAATCTGAAAAGGGATATTTCTGAGTGGTTTGAGGCCTACGGTGAAAAAGGAAATATGTTCACCTAAAAACTAGACAGAAGCTTTCTGAGAAACTTCTTTGTGATGTGTGCATTCATCTCACCGAGTTTAACCTTTCTTTTGATTGAGCAGTTTGAAAACAGTCTTTTTGTGGAATCTGCAAAGGGATATTTGAGGGCCCTTTGAGGCCTATGGGGAAAAGGGAAATATCTTCACATAAAAACTAGACAGAAGCCTTCTGAGAAACTTTTTTCTGATGCATCCATTCATCTCATAGAGTTCAAACTTTATTTTGATTGAGCAGTTTGGAAACAGTCCATTTGCAGAATCTGCAAAGGGATATTTGACGGCCCTTTGAGGCATATGGTGAAAAAGGAAATATCTTTACATAAAAACAACTAGACAGAAGCTTTCTGAGAAAATTCTTTGTGATGCATGCATTCATCTCACAGAGTTCAAGCTTTCTTTTGATAAAGCAGTTTGGAAACAGACTTTTTCTAGAATCTGCAAATGGATGTTTGGTAGCTCTTTGAGGACTATCATGAAAAAGGAAATATCTTCACATAAATACTAGCCAGAAGATTTCTGAGAAACTTCTTTGTGATGTGCACATTTATCTCCCAGTGTTCAAACTTTCTTTTGATTGAGCAGTTTGGAAATAGTCTTTTTCTAGAATCTTCAAGGGGATATTTCTTAGCATTTTGAGGACTACGGTGAATAAGGAAATATCTTCACATAAAAACTAGACAGAAGTTTTCCGAGAAACTTCCTTGTAATGTGTGCATTCAACTCACAGAGTTGAAATTTTCCTTTTAATGAGCAGTTTGGAAACAGTATTTTCGTAGAATCTGCAAAGGGATATTTGGGAATCCTTTGAGGCCTATGGTGAAAAGGAAATATCTTCAGATAAAAACTAGACTGAAGCTTTCTGAGAAAGTTCTTTGTGACGTGTGCACTCATCTCACAGAGATGAACCTTTCTTTTGATTGAGCAGTTTGGAAACAGTCTTTTTGGAAAATCTGCAAAGGGATATTTCTGAGCAGTTTGAGGCCTAGGGTAAAAAAGGAAATATCTTCATATAAAAACTTGACAGAAACTTTCTCAGAAACTTCTTTCAGATGTGTGCATCAATCTCACAGAGTTCAACCTTTCTTTTGATTGACTAGTTTGGAAACAGTGTTTTTGTAGATTCTGCAAATGGATATTTGGGAGCCCTCTGAGGCCTATGGTGAAAAAGGAAATATCTTCAGGTAAAAACTAGACAGACAAAAGCTGTCTCAGAAACTTCTTTGTGATGTGTGCATTCATCTCACAGAGTTGAAACTTTCCTTTCATTGAGCAATTTGGAAAAAATCTCTTCATAGAATCTGCAAAAGGATATTTCTGAGCGGTTTCAGATCTATGGTGAAAAAGGAAATACCTTCATATAAAAACTAGACAGAAACTTTCTGAGAAACTTCTTTATGATGTGTGCATTCATCTCACAGAGATGAACTTTTCCTTTGATTGAGCAGTTTGGAATCATTCTTTTTCTAGAATCTGCAAAGGGATATTTAGGAGCCCTTGGAGGCCTATTTTGAAAAAGGAAATATCTTCAAATAAAAACCAGAAAGAAATTTCCTGAGAAACTCTTTTGTGATGTGTGCATTCATCTCACAGAGTTGAAACTTTCTTTTGATTGAGCAGTTTGGGAGCAGTCTTTTTGTAGAACCTGCAAAGTGATATTTGAGGGCCCTTTTGGGTCTATGGTGAAAAAGGAAATATCTTCACACAAAAACTAGACAGAAACTTTCTGAGAAACTTCTTTGTGATGCATGAATTCATCTCATAGAGTTGAAAATTTCCTTTCATTGAGCAGTTTGGAAACAGTCTTTTTGTAGAATCTACAAAGGGATATTTGGGAGCCCTTTGAGGCCTACTGTGAAAAAGTAAATATCTTCACATAAAAACTACACAGAAGCTTTCTGAGGAACTTCTGTGTGATGTGTGCATTCATCTCACAGAGCTGAACTTTTCCTTTGATTGAGCAGTTTGGAAACAGTCTTTTTCTAGAATTTGCAAAGGGATATTTGGGAGCCCTTTGAGGTCTATGGTAAAGATGAAACATCTTCACATAAAAACTAGAAAAAGAAGCTTTATGAGAAATTTCTTTGTGATGCATGCATTCATCTCACAGAGTTGACATTTCTTTTGATTGAGCAGTTTGGAAACAGTATTTTTCTAGAATCTGCAAAGGAATATTTCTGAACTTTTTTAGGCCTATGTTGAAAAAACAAATTTCTTCACATGAAAGTAGACAGAAGGTTTCTCAGAAACTTTTTTGTGATGTGTGCATTCATCTGACAGAGTTGAACTTTTCTTTTGATTGAGAAGTTTGGAAACAGTCTTTTTGTAAAATCTGCAAAGGGATATTTGGGATCCGTTTGAGGCCTATGGTGAAAAAGGAAATATCATCACATAAAAACTAGACAGAAGTTTCTGAGAAACTTCTTTGTGATGCATGCATTCATCTCAGAGAGTTGAACCTTTCTTTTGATTGAGCAGTTTGGAAACATTCTTTTTGTAGATTCTGCAAAGTGATATTTGTGATAGATTCTGCAAAATGATATTTGTGATCCCTTTTATTCCCATTGAGAAAAAGGAGATATCTTCACATAAAAACTAGACAGAAGCCTTCTGAGAAACTTCTTTGTGATGCATTCATCTCACAGAGTCGAACCTTTGTTTTGATTGAGAAGTTTGGAAAAAGTCTTTTTGTAGAATCTGCAAAGGGACATTTGTGAGAGCTTTGAGGCCTGTGGTGAAAAAGGAAATATCTTCCCATAAAAACTAGACAAAAGCTTTCTGAGAAACTTCTTTGTTATGTGCACATTCACCTCACAGGGTTGAACATTTCTTTTGATTGAGCAGTTCGGAAACAGTCTTTTTGTAGGATCTGCAATGGGATATTTGTAGGCGGTTTGAGGGATATGGTGAAAAAGGAACTATCTTCACATAAAATCTCGACAGAAGCTTTCTGAAGAACTTTTTTGGATGTGTGCATTCACTTCACATAGTTGAATCTTTGTTTTGATTGAGGAGTTAGGAAACTTATTTTGTATAATCTGCAAGGGGATATTTGTGAGCACTTTGAGGCATATGGTGAAAAGGGAAAAATCTCCACATAAAAACTGGACAGAAGCTTTCTGAGAAACTTCTTTGTGTTGTGTGCATTCATCACCCAGAGTTGAACGTTTCTTTTGACTGAGCAGTCTGGAAACAGTCTTTAAGTAGAATCTTCAAAGGGATATTTGTGAGCACTTTGAAGCCTATGGTGAAAAAGGAAATATCTTCACATAAAAACTAGACACAAGTTTTCTTGGAAACTGCTTTGTGATGTGTGCTTTCATCTCACAGAGGCAAAAGTTTCTTTTCATAAAGAAGATTGAATACTCTGCTCTGGTAGAAGCTGCAAAGGGATATGGTGAAAAAGGAAATTTCTTCACCTTAAAGCACGACGGAAGCTTTCTGAGAATCTTCTTGATGTCTGCATTCATCTCACAGAGTTAAAAATTTCTTCTGATTGACTAGTTTTGAAACAGTGTTTTTGTAGAATCTGCAAAGGGATATTTTTGAGTGCTTTAGGCCTATGGTGAAAAAAGAGATAGCTTTACATAAAAACAAGACAGAAGATTTCTCAGAAACTTCTTTGTGATGTTCGCATTCATCTCACACAATTGAACCTTTCTTTTGATTGAGCAGATTGGAAACAGTCTTTTTGTAGAATCTGCAAAGGGATATATTTGTGAGCGCTTTGAGGCCTATGCTGAAAAAGAAATATCTTCAAATTAAAACTAGTCAGAAGCTTTCTGAGAAACTTCTTTGTGATGTGTGCATTCACCTCACAGAGTTTAACAATTCTTTTGATTGAGCAGTTTGGAAAAAGTCTTTTTGTAAAATCTGCAAAGGGATATGTGTGAGCGGTTGGAGGCCTATGGTGAAAAAGGAAATATCTTCACATAAAAACCAGATAGAAGCTTTTGGAGAAACTTCTTTGTGATGTGTGCATTCAACTGACAGAGCTGAACCTTTCTTTACATTGAGCCGTTTGGAAGCAGTCTTTCTGTAGAATCTTCAAGGGTATATTTGTGGGTACTTTGAGGCCTATGGTGAAAAAGGAAATATCTTCATATAAAAACTCAACAGAAGGTTTCTGAGAATCTGCTCTGTGACGTGTGCATTCAGCTAACAGAGGTAAAGGTTTCTTTTCATTGAGCAGATTGGAAACTCTGTTCTTCAAGAATCTGCAAAGGGATATTTGAGAGTGCTTTGATACCTATGTCAAAAAAGGAAATACCTTCACATAAAAGCTAGAGAGAAGCTTTCTGAGAAACTCCTTTGTTTCTCACAGAAACAGAACAAATGTTCATCTCACAGAGTTGAACATTTCCTTTCATTGAGCAATTTGGAAACAGTCTTTTTGTAGAATCTGCAAAGGAATATTTGTGAGTGTTGTGAGGCCTACAGTGAAAAAGGCAATATTTTCGCATAAAAATTATACAGAAGCTTTCTGAGAAACTTTTGTGATGTGTGCATTCATCTCACAGAGTTGAACCTTTCTTTTGAGTGAGCAGTTTGGAAACAGTCTTTTTGTAGAATCTCCAAAGGGATATTTGTAGGCTCTTTCATGCCTATAGTGATAATGGAAATATCTTCACATAAAAACTAGACAGAAGCTTTCTGAGAAACTTGTTTGTGATGTGTGCATTCATCTCACAGAGGGGAACCTTTCTTTTGAGTGTGCAGTTTGGAAAGAGTCTTTATGTAGAATCTGCAAAGGGATATTTGTAAGCTCTTTGAGGCCTATGTTGGAAATGGAAATATCCTCACTTAAAAACTAGTCAGAAGGTTTCGGAGAAACTTCTTTGTGATGTGTGCATTCATCTCACAGACTTGAACCGTTATTTTAATTGAGGAGTGTGGAATCCGTCTTTTTGTAGAATCTGCAAAGAGACATTTGTGAGCACAATGAGGCCTATGGTGAAAAAGGAAACATCTTCACATAAAAACTGGAAAGAAGGTTTCTGAGAAACTTCTTTGTGATGTGTGCATTCATCTCACAGAGGTAACAATTTGCTTTCATTGAGCAAATTGGAAACTCTGTTCTTGTAGAATCTACAAAAGATATTTGGACGCGTTTTCAGGCCTATGGTGAAAAAGGAATTATCTTCACATAAAAACTAGACGGGAGCTTTCTTAGAAACTTTTTTGTGATGTGTGCATTCATCTCAGACAGTTGAAACTTTCTTTTGATTGAGCAGTTTGGAATCAGTCTTTATGTAGAATCTCCAAAGGGATATTTTTTAGTGCTTTGAGGCCTATGGTGAAAAAGAATATATCTTCATATAAAAATTAGACAGAAGCTTTCCGAGAAAGTGCTTTGTGATGTGAGCATTCACCTCACAGAATTTAACCCTTCTTTTGGTTGAGCAGTTTGGAAACATTCTTTTTGTACAATCTGCAAAGGGATACTTTTGAGCTATTTGAGGCCTATGGTGAAAAGGAAATATCCTCACATAAAAACTAGAGAGAAGCATTCTTAGAAAATTATTTGTGATGCGTGCATTCATCTCACAGAGTTGAAGGTTTCTTTTGATTGAACAGATTGGAAACAGTCTTTTTGTATAATCTGCAAAGGGATATTTGTGAGTGCTTTGAGGCCTATGCTGAAAAAGGAAATATCTTCAAGTAAAAACAAGACAGAACATTTCTGAAAAACTTCTTTGTGAGGTGTGCAGTCATCTCACAGAGTTGAACCATTCTTTTGATTGAGCATTTTAGAAACATACTTTTTTTTAGAATCTGCAAACGGATATTTGTGAGCGCTTTGATTCTTATGGTAAAAAAGGAAATATCTTCACATAAAAACTAGACAGAAGCTTTCCGAGAAAGTGCCACGTGACGTGTGCATTCATCTCACACAGTTGAACCTACCTTTTGATAGAGCATTTTGGAAACAGTCGTTTTGTAGAATTTGCAAAGGGTTATTTCTGAGCTGTTTGAGGACTATGGTGAAAAAGGAAATATCTGCACATAAAAACTAGATAGAAGCTTTCTGAGAAACTTCTTTCTGTTGTGTGCATTCATCTCACAGAGTTGAAAATTTCTTTTGATTGAGCAGTTTGGAAACAGTGTTTTTGTAGAATCCACAAAGGGATATTTATGAGCACTTTGAGGCCTATGGTGAAAAAGGAAGTATTTTCACGTAAAAACTAGACAGAATCTTTCTGAGAAGCTTCTTTGTGATGTGTGCACAGAGTTGAACCTTTGTTTTCATTGAGCAGTTTGGAAACAGTCCTATTGTAGAATCTGCAAAGGGATACTTGGGAGCCATTTGAGACCTATGGTTAAAAAGGAAATATCTTCACATAAAAATTAGACAGAAGGTTTCTTAGAAACTGATTTGTGATCTGTGCATTCATCTCACAGAGGTAAACGTTTCTTTTCATGAGCAGATTGGAAACACTGTTCTTGTAGAATCTGCAAAAGAATATTTTTGAGCCCTTTGAGGCCAATGGTGAAAAAGGAAATATCTTCACATAAAAAGAAGACAGAAGTTTCTGAGAAACTTTTTTGTGATGTGTGCATTCATCTCACAGGGTTGAAACTATCTTTTGATTGAGCAGTTTGGGAACAGTCTTTTTCTGGAATCTGCAAAGGGACATTTGTGAGTGCTTTGGGGCCTAAGGCAAAAGAGGAAATATCTTTACATAAAACCTAGACAGAAGCTTTCTGAGAAACTTCTTTGTGATGTGTGCATTCATCTCCCAGAGTTGAATATTTCTTTGATTGAGCAGTTTGGAAACAGTATTTTTGTAGAATCTGCAAAAGGATATTTGTGAGCACTTTGAGGCCTATGATGAAGAAGGAAATTTTTTCACATAAAAACTAAACAGAAGCTTTCTGAGAAACTTCTTTGGATATGTGCATTCATCTCATGGAGTTGAACATTTCTTTTAATTGAGCAGTTTCAAAAATGTCTTTTTGTAGAATCTGCAAAGGGATATTTGTGATTGCTTTGAGGGCTATGGTGAAAAAGGAAATATCTTAATGTAAAAACTAGGCAGAAGCTTTCTGAGAAACCTTTTGTGATGTGTGCATTCATCTCACAGAGTTGAACCTTTATTTTGATTGAGCAGTTTGGAAACAATCTTTCTGTAGAATCTTCAAAGTGATATTTGTGAGCGGTTTGAGGCCTATGGTGAAAAAGGAAATATCTTCACACAAATACTAGCAGAAGCTTTCTCAGAAACTTCACTGTGATGTATGAATTCATCTCACAGAATTGAAACTTTCTTTTGATTGAGCAGTTTGGAAACAGTCTTTTTGTAGAATCTGCAAAGGAATTTTTTGAGTCCTTTGAGGTCTATGTGAAAAAGGAAACATCTTCACATAAAAACTAGCCAGAAGGTTTCTGAGAAAAAGCTTTGTGATGTGTGCATTCATCTCACAGAGGTAAACGTTTCTTTTCATTGAGCAGATTGGAACCTCTGTTCTTGTAGAATCTGCAAAGGGATATCTATGTTCACTTTGAGGCCAATGGTGAAAAAGGAAATATCTTCATATAAAAAGGAGACAGAAGCAGTCTGAGAAACTTCTTTGTGATGTGTGCATTCATCTCACAGATTTGAACCTTTCTTTTGATTGAGCAGGGCAGAAACAGTCTTTTTGTAGATACTGCAGAGGGATTTTTTGAGCCCTTTGAGGCCTGTGGTGAAAAAGGAAATATCTTCATGTAAAAACTAGACAGAAGCTTTCTGACAAAGATCTTTATGATGTGTGCATTCATCTCACAGAGTTGAACCTATCTTTTCATTGAGCATTTTGGAAACAGTCGTTTTGTAGAGTCTGCAAAGGGATATTATTTATGAGCAGTTTGTGGCCTACGGTGAAGAAGGAAATGTCTTCATGTAAAAACTAGACAGAAGCGTTCTGAGATACTTCTTTCTGTTGTGTGCATTCATCTCATAGATTTGAACATTTCTTTTGATTGAGCAGTTTGGAAACAGTCTTTTTGTAGAATCTGCCAAGAGATATTTGTGAGCGGTTTGAGTCTTACGGTGTAAAAGGAAATATCTTCATGTAAAAACTAGACAGAAGCATTCTGAGAAACTTCATTCTGTTGTTTGCATTTGTCTCACAGAGTTGAAAATTTCTTTTGATTGAGCAGTTTGGAAACAGTCTTTTTGTAGAATCAGCAAAGAGATGTTTGTGAGTGCTTTGAGGACAATGGTTAAAAAGGTAGTATCTTCACATAAAAACTAGACAGAATCTTTCTCAGAAACTTATTTGTGATGTGTGCTTTCATCCCGCAGAGTTGAACCTTTCTTTTGATTGAGCAGTTTTAAAAGGGTCTTTTAGTAGAATCTGCAAAGGAATATTTGTGAGCCCTTTGAGGGCAATGGTGAAAAAGGAAATATCTTCACATAAAAACTAGACAGAAGGTTTCTGAGAAACTGCTTTGAGATACGTGCATTAATCTAACAGAGGTAAAAGTTTCTTTACATTGAGCAGATTGGAAGCTCTCTTCCTGTAGAATCTGAAAAGGGATATTGGTGAGTGCTTTCAGGCCCATGGTGAAATAGGAAACATCTTCACATTAAAACTGGACAGAAGCTTTCTGAGAATCTTCTTTGTGATGTGTGCATTCTTCTCACAAAGTTGAACCTTTGTTTTGATTGTGCAGCTTGGAAAGAGTCTTTTTGTAGAATCTGCACTGGGATATTTGTGAGTGGTTTGAGACCTATAGTAAAAAGAAACATCTTCAAGTAAAAACTAGACAGAAGCTTTCTGATAAACTTCTTTCTGTTGGGTGCATTCGTCTCACAGAGTTGAACATTTCTTTTCATTGAGCAGTTTGGAAACAGTCTTTCTGTAGAATGTGCAAAGGGATATTTGTGAGTTCTTTGAGGCCTATGTGAAAAAGGAAATATCTTCATATAAAAACTGGACAGAAGTTTACTGAGAAAATGCTTTTTGATGTGTGCATTCATCTCACAGAGGTAAACGTTTCTTTTCATTGAGTAGATTGGAAAGTCTGTTCTTGTACAATCTGTGTATGGATATTTGTGAGCGCTTTGATGCCTATAGTGAAAAAGGAAAAAAGTAGACAGAAACTTTCTGATAAACTTCTTTCTGATATGCGCATTCATCTCACAGAATTGAACCTTTCTTTTGATTGAGCAGCTTGGAAAAACTCTTTTTGTAGAATCTGCAAAGGGATATTTTTGAGTGGTTGGAGGCCTATGGTGAAAAAAGAAATATCTTCCCATAAAAACTAGACAGAAGCTTTCTGAGAAACTTCTTTCTGTTGTGTGCATTCATCTCACACATTTGAACTTTTCTTTTGATTGAGCCATTAGTAAACAACAGTCTTTTTGTAGAATCTGCAAAGCAGTATTTGTGAGCCCTTTTTAGGCCTGTGTTGAAAAAGGAAATATCTTCACATAAAAATAGACAGAAGGTTTCTGAGAAACTGCTTTGTAATGTGTACATTCATCTCACAGAGGTAAACGTTTGTTTTCATTGAGCAGATTGGAAACTCTCTTCTTGTAGAATCTGCAAAGGAATATTTGTGAATGCTTTGAGGCCTATGGTGAAAAAGGAAGTATTTTCACTTAAAAACTAAAAGTAAGCTATCTGAGGAATTTCTTTATGATGTGTACATTCATCTCACACAGCTTAACCCTTCTGTTGATTGAGCAGTTTGGAAACAGTCTTTTTGTGGAATCTGCAAAGGGACACTTTTGAGTGCTTTGAGGCCTATGGTGAAAAGGAAATATCTTCACATAAAAACCAGACAGAAGCTTTCTGAGAAACTTCTTTGTGATGTGTGCATTCATCTCACCGAGTTGAACCTTTCTTTTGATTGAGCAGTTTGGAAACAGTCTTTTTGTAGAATCTGCAAAGGGATATTTATGAGCACTTTGAGGCCTATGGTGAAAAAGGAAGTATCCTCACATAAAAACTAGACATAAACTTTCTGAGAAACTTCTTTGTGATGTGTGCATTCACCTCAGAGAGTTGAAACTTTCTTTTGATTGAGAACTTTGGAAACAGTCTTTTTGTAGAATCTGCAAAGTGACATTTGTGAGCGCTTTGAGGCCTATGGGGAAAAATGAAATATCTTCACATAAAAACTAGGCAGAAGCTTTCTGAGAAACTTCTTTGTGATGCGTCCATTCATCTCACAGAGTTGAACATTTCTTCTGAATGAGCAGTGTGGAAAAAGTCTTTTTGTAGAATCTGCAAAGGGATATTTCTGAGCACTTTGAGGACTGTGGTGAAAAGGGAAATATCTTCACATAAAAACTAGAGAGAAACTTTCTTAGAAACTTCATTGTGATGTGTGCATTCGTCCCACATATTTGAATTTTTCTTTTGATTGAGCAGTTTGGAAACAGTCTTTTTGTAGAATCTGCAAAGGGATATTTGTGAGCGCTTTGATGCCTATGGTGAAAAAGGAATAACTTCACATGAAAACTAGACAGAAGCTTTCTGAGAAACTTCTTTTTGATGTGTGTTTTCATCTCACAGATCTGAAACTTTCTTTTGATTGAGCAGTTTGGAAACAGTCTTTTTACAGAACCTGCAAAGGGATATTTGTGAGCACGTTAAGGCCTGTTGTGAAAAAGGAATAACTTCACATGAAAACTAGACAGAAGCTTTCTGAGAAACTTTTGTGATGTGTGCATTCATCTCACAGACTTGAATATGTCTTTTGATTGAGCAGTTTGGAAGCATTCTTCTTGTAGAATCTGCTAAGGGATATTTTCGACTGCTTTGAGGCCTATGGTGAAAAAGTAAATATCTTCACATAAAAACTAAACAGATGCTTTCTGAGGAACTTCTTTTTGATGTGTGCATTCATCTCATGGAGTTGAACCTTTCTTTTGATTGAACAGGTGGAGACTGTCTTTTAGCAGAATCAGTAATGGGATATTTGTGACCCCTTTGAGGCCTATGGTGAAAAAGGAAATATCTTCCCATAAAAACTAGACAGAAGCTTCCTTAGAAACTTCTTTGTGATGTGTGAATTTATCTCACAGATTTGAAACTTTCCTTTTGATTGAGCAGTTTGCAAACACTCTTTTTGCAGAATCTGCAAAGGTATATTATTTGTGAGCAGTTTAAAGCCTAGGGTGAAAAAGTAAACATCATCAAATTAAAACTAGACAGAAGGTTTCTGATTAACTTCTTTGTGATGTGTGCTTTCATCTCACAGTGTTGAATCTTTCATTTGACTGAGCAGCTTGGAAACAGTCTTTTTGTAGAATCTGCAAAGGGATATTTGTGATAACTTTGAAGGCTGTGGTGAAAAAGAAATATCTTCACATAAAAACTAGCCAGAAAGTTTATGAGAAACTGCTTTGTGATGTGTGCATCCTTCTCACAGAAGCAAACATTTCTTTTCATTGAGAAGATTGGAAACGCTGTTCTTGTAGAAACTGCAAAGGGATATTTGTGAGCACTTTGAAGCCTATGGTGAAAAAGGAAATATCTTCACATAAAAACTAAACAGAAGGTTTCTGAGAAACTTCTTTGTGATGTGTGCCTTCATCTCACAGAGTTGAACCTTTCTTTTGAAAGAGCAGTTTGGAAACAGACTTTTTGTAGAATTCGCAAAGGGATATTTGTGAGTGGTTTGAGGCATATGGTGAGAAAGGAAATATCTTCATGTAAAAACTAGACAGAAGCATTCTGAGAAATGTCTTTCTGGTACATACATTCATCTCACAGAGTTGAATATTTCTTTCAATTGAGCAGCTTGGAAACAATCTTTTTGTAGAATCCACAAAGAGATACTTGTGAGCGCTTTGAGGCCTATGGCGAAAAAGGAAATATCTTCCCATAAAACCTAGACAGAAGCTTTCTGAGAAACTTCTTTGTGATGTGTGGATTCAGCTCACAGTGTAGAAACTTTCATTTGATTAAGCAGTTTGGAAAGAGTCTTTTCATAGGATCTGCAAAGGGATATTTTTGAGCACTTTGAGGCCTATGGTGAAAAAGGAAATATCTTCACATAAAAAGTAGACAAAAGCTTTTGGAGAAACTTCTTTGTGATGTGTGCATTCATCTCACAGTGTTGAACCTTTCTTTGGTTGAGCAGTTCAGAAACTGTCTTTTTGTACGTTCTTCGTAGGGATATTTTTGAGCCCTTTGAGGCCTATGGTGAAAAAGTAAATATCTTCACGTAAAAACTAGACAGAAGTTTTCAGAGAAACTGCTTTGTGATGTGTGCATTCATCTCACAGAGTGAACCTTTGGTTTAGTAGAGCAGTCTGGAAGCAGTCTTTTTGTAGAATCTGCAAAGGGATATGTGTGAGCGGTTGGAGGCCTATGGTGAAAAAGGAAATATCTACACGTAAAAATCAGACAGAAGCTTTCTGAGAAACTTCTTTCTTTTGTGTGCATTCATCTGACAGAGTTTAACCTTTTTTGATTGAGCAGTTTGGAAACAGTCTGTTTTAGAATCCACAATGGGATATTTGTGAGTGTTTTGAGGACTATGGTGAAAAAGGAAATATCTTCACGTTAAAGCTAGACAGAAACTTTCTGAGAAACTTCTTTATGATGTGGGCATTTATCTCACAGAGTTGAACCATTCGTTTCATTGAGCAGTGCAGAAACAGTCTTTTTGGAGATTCTGCAAAGGGATATTTGTGAGCCCTTTGAGACCTATGGTGAAAAAAGGAAATATCTTCACATAAAATCTAGACAGATTGAGCAGTTTGGAAGCATTCTCTTTGTACAATCTGCAAAGGGGTATTTCTGAGCGATTTGGAGCCAACGGTGAAAAAGGAAATATCTTCCCATAAAAATTACACAGATACTTTCTTAGAAACTTCTTTGTGCTGTGTGCATTCATCTCATAGAGTTGAAACTTTATTTTGATTGAGCAGTTTGGAGACAGTCTTTTTGTAGAATCTGCAAAGGATTATTTCTGAGTGCTTTGAGGGCTATCATGATAAAGGAAATATCTTCACATAAAAACTTGACAGAAGTTTCCTTCGAAACTTCTTCTCTGTGAATTCATCTCACAGATTTTAAACATTCTTTTGATTGAGCAGTTTGCAAACAGTCTTTTGCAGGATCTGCAAAGGGATATTTGTGAGAGGTTTGAGTCCTAGAGAGAAAAAGTAAATATCATCACATTAAAACTAGACAGAAGCTTTTTGGGTAACATCTTTGTGACTTGTGCATTCATCTCAGAGAGTAGAACCTTTCTTTTGATTGAGCAGTTTGGAAACGGTCTTTTTATAGAATCTGCAAAGGGATATTTGTGAGCTCATTGAGGCCTATGGTGAAAAAGGAAATGCCTTCACAAATAAACTAGACAGAACGTTACTGAGAAAATGCTTCTTTGTGATGTGTGCTTTCATCTCACACAGGTAAATGTTTCTTTTCATTGAACCGTTTGGAAACTCTGTTCTCTGCAGAATCTGTAAAGGGATATTTGTGAGTGCTTTGAGGCCTATGGTGAAAAAGGAAATATCTTCACATAAAAACTAGACAGAAGCTTTCTGAGAAACTTCTTTGTGATGTGTGCATTCATCTCACAGAGTTGAACCTTTGTTTTGATTGAGCAGTTTGGAGACAGTCTTTTTGTAGAATCTGCAAAGGGATATTTGTGAGTGCTTTGAGGACTATGGTGAAAAAGGAACTATCTTCTCATAAAAACTAGACAGAGACTTTCTTAGAAACTTATTTTTGATGTGTGCATTCATCTCACAGATTTGAAACTTTCTTTTGATTGAGAAGTTTGCAAACAGTGTTTTGGCAGAATCTGCAAATGGATATTTTTGAGTGCTTTGTGGCCTATGGTGAAAAAGGAAATACCTTCACATAAAAACTAGACAGAAGCTTTCTGAGAAACTTATTTGTGATGTGTGCATTCATCTTACAGGGTTGAACCATTCTTTTGTTTTGGGGGTTTGGAAACAGTCTTTTTGTAGAATCTGCAAGGGGATATTTTTGAGCACTTTGAGGCGTATGGTGAAAAAGGAAATATCTTCACATAAAAACTATAAAGAAGGTTTCTGAGAAACTGCTTTTTGATCTGACAATGTATCTCACAGAGGTGAACCATCCTTCTGATTGAGTAGTATGGAAACAGTCTTTTTGTAGAATCTGCAAATGGATACTTGTGAGCACTCTGAGGCCTTCGTTGGAAAAGGAAATATCTTCACATAACTACTAGAGAAAAGGTTTCTGAGAAACTTCTTTGTGACTTGGGCATTCAACTCAAAGAGGTACCCATTTCTTTTCATTGTGCGTATTGGAAACTCTTTTCTTGTAGAGTCTGCAAAGGGATATTTGTGAACATTTAGAGGCATATCATGAAAAAGGAATATCTTCACCTAAAAACTAGACAGAAACTTTCAAAGAAAATTCTTTGTGATGTGTGCATTCATCTCATGGAGTTGAACCATTCTTTTGTTTGTGCAGTTTGGAAACAGTCTTTTTGTAGATTCAGGAAAGGGATATTTGTGGGTGCTTTGTGGTCGATGGTGAAAAAGGAAATATCTTCACATTAAAATTAGACAGAAGCTTTCTGAGAAACTTCTTTGTGATGTGTCCATTCATCTCACAGAGTTGAAACTTTCTTTTGCTTGAGCAGTTTGGAAAGTCTCTTTTTGTAGAATCTGCAAAGGGATATTTGTGAGCGATTTCAGTCCCATGGTGAAAAAGCAAATGTCTTCACATAAAAACTAGACAGAAGCTTTCTCAGAAACTTCTTTGAGACGTGTGCATTCATTTCACAGAGGTACCCATTTATTTTCATTGAGCAGATTGATAACTCTCTTCTTGTAGAATCTGCAAAGGGATATTTGTGAGCGTTTTGAGGTCTATAGAGAAAAAGGAAATGTCTTCATATAAAAACTAGACAGAAACTTTTGGTGAAACTTCTTTGTACTGTGTTCATTCATCTTACAGAACTGAACCATTCTTTTGATTGGGCAGTTTGTAAACAGTCTTTTTGTAGAATCCCCAAAGGGATATTTGTGAGCACTTTGAGGCCTATGGTGAAAAAGGAAATATCTTCAAATAAAAACTAGACAGAAGCATTCTGAGAAACTTCGTTGTGATGTGTGCCTTCATCTCACAGAGTTGAACCATTCTCTTCATTAAGCACTTTGGAAATAGTCTTTTTGTAACATCTACAAAGTGATATTTGTGAGCACTTTGAGGACTATGGTGAAAAAGGAAATATCCTCACATAAAAACTAGACAGAATCTTTCTGAGAAACTTCTTTGTGATGAGTGCATTCATCACACAGAGTTGAACCATTCTTTTGATTGAGCAGTTTGGAAACAATCTTTTTGTATAATCTGCAAGGGGATATTTTTGAGCGCTTAGAGGCCTATGGTGAAAAAGCAAATATCTTCACATAAAAACTAGACAGAAGCTTTCTGAGAAACTTCTTTTTGATGTGTGCATTCATGTCCCAGAATTGAACCATTTTTTTTTTCTTGAGCAGTTTGGAAACAGTCTTTATGTAGAATCTGCAAAGGGATATTTGTGAGCTCTGTGGGGTCGAAGGTCAAAAAGGAAATATGATCACAAAAAAAATAGAAGGAAGGTTTCTGAGAAACTGCTCCCTGATGTGTGCATTTTCCTCACAGAAGTAAAAGTCTCTTTTCATTCAGCAGTTTGGAAACTCTGTTCGTATAGAATCTGCAAAGGAATATATGTGAGTGCTCTGAGGCCTATGGTTAAAAAGGAAATAGCTTCACATAAAATCTAGAAAGAAGCTTTCTGAGAAACTTCTTTGTAATGTGTTCATTCGTGTCACAGAGTTGAACCATTCTTTTGATTGAGCAGTTTGGAAACAATCTTTTTGTAGAATCTGCAAAGGGTTATATGTGAGCGCTTTCAGTCCTATGGTGATGATAAAAAGAAATATCTTCAGATAAAAAGTAGACAGAAGGTTTCTGAAAAACTGCTTTGTGATGTGTGCATTCATCTCACAGAGTTCAATGTCTCCTTGGATTGAGCAGTTTTGAAACAGTCTTTTTGTAGAATCTGCAAAGGGATATTTTTAGGTGGTTTGAGGCATATGGTGGAAAAGGAAATATCTTCACATAAGAACTAGACAGAAGCTTTTGAAGAAATTTGTTTGTGATGTGTGCATTCAAGTCACAGACTTGAACAATTCTTTTGATTGAGGAGTTAGGAAACAGTGTTTTTGTACAGTCTGCAAATGGATAATTTTGAGCCCTTTCGGGCCTATGGTGAAAAAGGAAATATCTTCACATTAGAACTAGAAGGAAGCTTTCTGAGAAACTGTTTTGTGATGTGTGCATTCATCTCACAGCGGTAAATGTTTCTTTTCATTGAGCATTTTGGAAACAGTCTTTTTGTAGAATCTGCAACGGGATATTTTTGAGTGCTTTGAAGTCTATGTGGATATCTTCACATAAAAACTAGAAAGAAGGTTTCAGAGGAACTGCTTTGTGATGTGTGCATTCATCTCACAGAGATAAACGTTTCTATTCATTGAGCAGTTTGGAAGCTCTGTTCTTGTAGAATCTGCAAAGGGATATTTGTGAGTGCTTTGAAGCCTATCAATCATCATGAAAAAGGAAATATTTTCACATAAATACTAGAAAGAAGTTTTTTGAGAAACTGCTTTGAGATGTGTGCATTCATCACACCAAGGTAAAAAAGTTTCTTTTCATTGAGCAGTTTGGAAACTGTTTCTGTAAAATCCACAAAGGGATGTTTGTGAGCACTTTGAGGCCTATGGTTAAATAGGTAATATCTTCACATAAAAACTAGACAGGAGCTTTCTGAGAAGCTACTTTATGATGTGTGCATTCATCTCACAGAGGAAAACGTTTCTGTTCATTGAGGAGTTTGGAAACTGCAGTTTGGAAAACTGCATAAGGCAGTTCCTCAGAAACCTTCTTTCTAGATTTAATGTGAAGATAATTCCTTTTTTAACATGGGCCTCAAAGTGCTCAGAGCTATCTCTTTGCAGATTCTACAAAAAGACTGTTTCCAAACTGCTTCATCAAAAGAATGGTTCAACTCTGTGAGATGAATGCACACATCACAGACAAGTTTCCCAGAAAGCTTCTGTCTAGTTTCTTTGTGAAGATATATCCTTTTTCACCATTGGCATCAAACCCCTCACATATATCCCTTTGAAGATTCTACAAAAAGATTATCCAAACTTATCAATCAAGAGAATGGTTCAACTCTGTGAGATGAATGCACACATCAAAAAGAAGTTTCTCAGAAAGGTTCTTTCTAGTTTTTATTTGAAGATATTTCCTTTTTCACCATAGGCCTCAAGTGCTCGGAAATATCCCTTTGCAGATTCTAGAAGAATAGAGTTTCCACACTGCTCAATGAAAAGAAACGTTTACATCTGTGAGATGAATGCACACATCACAAAGCAGTTTCTCAGAAATCATCTTTCTAGCTTTTATGTGTAGACATTTCCTTTTTCACCATAGGCCTCAAAGCACTCAAAATATATCTTTTCAGGTTCTACAAAAAGACAGATTCCAAACTACTCGAACAAAAGAATGGTTCATCTCCTTTAGATGAATACACACGTCACAAACTAGTTTCTCAGAAAGCTTCTGTCTAGTTTTCATGTGCGTTTATTTCCTTTTTCACCATAGGCATGAAAGCGCTCCCAAGAATCCCTTTGGAGATTCTATAAGAACAGATTTTCCAAACTGCTGACTGAAAAGAAACCTTTACCTCTGTGTGATGAATGCACACATCACAGAGCAGTTTCTCAGAAACCTTCTTTCTTGTTTTTTGTGAAGATATTTCCTTTTTCACAACAGGCCTGAAAGCACTCCCAAGTATCCTTTTGCAGATTCTACAAAAAGACTGTTTCCAGACTGCTCAATCAAAACAAAATTTCAATTCTGTGGGATGAATGCACTTATCCCAAAGAAGTTTCTAGGAAACCTTCTTTCTGGTTTTTATGTGAAGATATTTCCTTTTTCACCATAGGCCTCAAAGCACTCAAAAGTATCCCTTTGCAGATTCTACAAGACCAGAGTTTTCAAACTGCTCAATGAAAAGAAACGTTTACCTCTGTAAGATGAATGCACATATCTCAAAGCAGTTTCTCAGAAAACTTCTTTCTAGTTTTTTGTGAACATATTTGTTTTTCACCATAAGCCTCAAAGCGCTCACAAAAATCCCTTTGCATATTGTACAAAAAGAAGGTTTCCAAACTGCTCAATCAGAGGAATGGTTCAACTCTGTGAGATGAATTCACATCTCACAAAGAAGTTTCTCAGAAAGCATCTGTCTAGTTTTTATGAGAAGATATTTCCTTTACCATCACAGGCCTCAAAGTGGTCACAAATATCCCTTTGCAGATTCTACAAGATCAAAGTTCTAAAACTGCTCAATGAAAAGAAACGTTTAACTCTGTGAGATGAATGCACACATCACAAATCAGTTTCTCAGAAACCTTTTGTCTAGCTCTTATATGAAGATATTTCCTTTTTCACCATATTCTTCAAAGTGTTCCAAATATCCCTTTACAGATCTTACAAAAAGACTGTTTCCAACCTGCTCAATCAAAAGAATGGTTCAACTCTTTGAGATCAATGTGCACACCACAAAGAAGATTGTCAGAAAGCCTCAGACTAGTTTTCATGTGAAGATATTTCCTTTTTCTCCATAGTCCTCAAAGAGTTCAAAAATATCCCTTTCCAGATTCTACAGGAACAGACTATCAAAACTGCTCAATGAAAATAAACGTTTACATCTGTGAGATGCATGCATGCATCACAAAGCAGTTTATCAGAAAGCTTCTTTCTAGTTTTTATGTGAAGATATTTCCTTTTTCACCACAGGCCTCAAAGTGCTCCCAAATATCTGTTTGCAGATTCTGCAAAAAGACTGTTTCCAAACTGCTCAATCAAAAGAATGTTTCAACTCTGGGAGGTGAATGCACACATCACAAAGAAGTTTCTCAGAAAGCTTCTGTCTAGTTATTATGTGAAGATATTTCCCTTTTCAACATAGGCCCCAAAGGGCTCACAAATATCCCTTTGCATATTCTACAAGAACAGAGTTTCCAAACTTTGCAATGAAAGGAAATGTTTACTTGTGTGAGATGAATGCACACATCACAAAGCAGTTTCTCAGAAACCATCTTCCTAGTTTTTATTTGAAGATGTTTCCTTTTTCACCATAGGCCTGAAAGTACTCCCAAATATCCCTTTACAGATTCTACAAAAATACAGTTTCCAAAGTGCTCAATCAAAAAAATGGTTCAACTCTCTGGGATGAATGCACACATCACAAAGAAGTTTCCTGGAAAGCTTCTGCCTAGTTTTTATGTGAAGATATTTCCTTTTTCACCATAGGACTCAAAGCAATCACAAATATCCCTTTGCAGATTCTAAAAAAAGGCTGTTTCCAAACTGCTCAATCAAAAGTATGGTTCAACTGTGTGAGACGAATGCACACATCACAAAAAAGTTTCTCAGAAAGCTTCTGTCTAGTTTTTATGTGAAGAGATTTCTTTTTGCATCATAGGCCTCATAGCACTCAGAAATATCCCTTTGAACATATTTCAAAAAGACTCTTTCCAAACTGCTCACTAAAAAGAAACGTTTACCTCTGTGGCATGAATGCACACATGACAAAGTAGTTTCTCAGAAAGCTTCTGTCTAGTTTTTATGTGAAGGCATTTCCTTTTTCACCATAGGCCTCAGAGCACTCACAAATATCCCTTTGCAGATTGTACAAAAAGACCCTTTCCAAACTGCTCTATCAAAACAATTTTTCAAATCTGTGAGTTGAATGCACGCATCACAAACAAGTTTCTCAGAATTTATCTGTCTAGTTTTTATGTGCAGATATTTCCTTTTACACAATAGGCCTCAAATCGCTCACAAATATCCCTTTGAAGATTCTACAAGAACAGAGTTTCCAAACTGCTCAATGAAAAGAAACGTTTATCTCTCTGAGATGAATGCACACATCACAAAGCAGTTTCTCAGAAACCTTCTTTCTAGTTTTTATGTGGGGACATTTCCTTTTTCACCCTAAGCCTCAAAGTGCTCAAAAATATCCCTTTGCAGTTTTACAAAAACAATGTTTCCCAACTGCTCAAGCAAAAGAATGTTTCATCTCTGTGAGATTAATGCACACATCACAAAGTACTTTCTCAGAAAGCTTCTGCCTAGTTTTTATGTGATGATATTTCCTTTTTCACCATAAGCCTCAAAGCGCTCCCAAATATCCCTTTGCAGAATCTACAAAGGACTGTTTCCAAAATGCTCAATCAAAAGAATGGTTCAACTCTGTGAGATGAATGCACACATCACAAAGATGTTTCTCAGAAAGCTTCTGTGTAGCTTCTATGTGAAGATATTTCCTTTTTCACCATAGGCCTCAGAGCACTCACAAATATCCCTTTGCAGATTCTACAAAAATGGTGTTTCCAAAATGCTGAATCAAAAGAAAGTTTTAACTCTGTGAGGTGAATGCACATATCACAAATTAGTTTCTCTGAAAGCCCCTTTCTAGTTTTTATGTAAGGATATTTCCTTATTCACCACAAGACACAAAGGACTCCCAAGTATCCCTTTCGAGAGTGTGCAGAAACAGTGGTTCCAAACTGTTCCATCAAAAGAATGGTTCAACTCTGTGAGATGAATGCACACATCACAGAGCAGTCTCTCAGAAAGCTTCTGTCTCGTTCGTATTGGAAGATAATTCCTTTTCACCACAGGCCTCCATGTGAATCCAAATATCCCTTCACAGATTCTACAAACACTGTGTTTTCAAACTGCTCAATCAAAAGAATGGTTTAACTCTGTGAGATGAAAGCACAGATCACAAAGCAGTTTCTACGAAAGCTCCTTTCTAGTTTTTATGTGGGGATATTTCCATTTTCAACATAAGCCACAAAACACTCACAAGTATCCCTTTGCAGTTCCTAGAAAAATAGTGTTTCTAAACTGCTCAATCAAAAGAATGGGTCAGCTCTGTGGGAGAAATGCACACTTCACAAAGCAGTTTCTCAGAAAGCTTCCTTCGAGTTTTTAGGTGAAGATATTTCCTTTTTCACCTTAGGCCTGAAAATGCTCCCAAATATCCCTTTGCAGATTCTACAAAAACGGTGTTTCCAAATTGCTGAATCAAAAGAAGGTTTTAGTTCTGTGAGACAAATGCACACATCACAAAGCAGTTTCTAAGAAAGCTCCTTTCTAGTATTAATGTGAGGATAATTCCTTTTTCATCATGGGCCTCAAAGCACTCACAAATATCCCTGGGTAGATTCTAGAAAAGCAGTGGTTCCAAACTGCTCAACCAAAAGAATGGTTCAACTCTGTTAGAGGAATGGACACATCACAAAGCAGTTTCTCAGAAAGATTATTTCTAGTTTTTATGTGAAGATATTTCCTTTATTACCATAGGCCTCAAAGCACTCCCAATTATCCCTTTGCAGATTCTGCAAAAACAGTGATTCCAAACTGCTCAATCAAAAGAATGGTTCAACTCTGTGAGATGAATGCACACATCAGAAAGCAGTTTCTGAGAATGCTTCTCTCTAGTTTGTATTGGTAGATATTTGTTTTTCACCAAAGGCCTCCAGGTGAATCCAAATATCCCTTTGCAGATTCTACAAACACTCTGTTTCCAAACTGCTCCATCAAAAGAATGGTTCAACTCAGTGAGAGGAATGCACACATCACAAAGCAATTTCTCAGAAACTTACTTTCTAGTCTGTATTGGAAGATATTTCCTTTTTCACCATAGGCCTCAAAGGGCTCCAAAATAGCCCTTTGCACATTCTAGTAGAACAGAGTTTCCAATCAGCTCAATGAAAAAAGCGTTTAACTCTCTGAGATGAATGCACACATCACAAAGCAGTTTCTCAGAAAGCTTCTGTCTAGTTTGTATCAGAGGGCTATTCCTTTGTCACCATAGGCCTCAAGGTGAATCCAAATATCCCTTCGCAGATTCTACAAAAACTGTTTTTCCAAACTGCTCCATCAAAAGTATAGTTTAACTCTGTCAGCCAAATGTACAGATCACAAAACAGTTTCTAAGAAAGCTCCTTTCTAGTTTTTAACGTGAGGATATTTTCTTTTTCACCATTGGCCTCAAAGCACTCAGAAATATCCCTGTGCGGATTCTAGAAAAACAGTGATTCCAGACTGCTCAATAAAAAGAATGGTTCAACTCTGTTTTAGGAATGCACACATCACAAAGCAGTTTCTCAGAAAGCTTCTGTCTAGTTTGTATCAGAAGATATTTTCTTTGTCACCATAGACCTCAAGGTGAATCCAAATATCTCTTCACAGATTCTACAAAAACAGTGGTTCCAAACTGCTCAGTTGAAAGAATGGTTCAACTCTGTGAGATGAATGCACACATCACAAAGCAGTTTGTCAGAAAGCTTCTGTCCAGTTTGTATCGACAGATATTTCCTTTTTCAATATAGGACTCCATGCAAATCCAAATATCCCTTTGCAGATTCTACAAACACTGTGTTTTCAAACTGCTCAATCAACAGAATGGTTAAAATCTGTGAGCTGGATTCACACATCACAGAGTTTGTGAATGCACACACACAGACTTCCCAAACTGCTCAATGAAAAGAAACATTTAACTCTGTGAGATGAATGCACACATCACAAAGCAGTTTCTCAGAATGCTTCTGTCTAGTTTGTATCAGAAGTTATTTCCTCTGTCACCATAGGCCTCAAGGTGAATCCAAATATCCCTTCACAGATTCTACAAACACTGTGTTTCTGAACTGCTCAATCCAAAAAATCGTTTAACTCCATGAGACAAATGCACAGATCACAAAGCCGTTTCTAAGAAAGTTCCTTTCTAGTTTTTGTGTAAGGATATTTCCTTTTTCACCATAGGCCTCAAATCACTCGCAAATATCCCTTTGCAGATTCTAGAAAAACAGTGGTTCCAAACTGCTCAATCAAAGGAATGGTTCAACTCTGTGAGAGGAATGCACACATCACAAAGCAGTTTCTCAGAAACCTTCTTTCTAGTTTTTATGTGAAGATATTTCCTTTTTCACTATAGGCTTCAATGCACTTGCAAATATCCATTTGCAGATTGTAGAAAAACAGAGTTTCGAAACTGCTCAATATAAAGAAACATTTAACTCCTTGAGATGAATGCACACACCACAAAGCAGGTTCTAAGAATCTTTCTCTCTAGTTTGCATGTGAGGATATTTTCTTCTTCAACATAAGCATCAAAACACTCCAAAATATAAACTACAAAGATTCTGCAAAAACTGTTTCCAAATTGTTCAATGAAAAGAATGGTTTCACTCTGTGAGATGAATGCACGCCTCACAAAACTGTTTGTCGGACACCTTCTTTCTAGTTTACATCAGAGGATAATACCTTTTTCACCATAGGCCTCAGTTTAATCCGTTTTATCCCTTCCTAGATTCTACCAAAACTGTGTTTCCGAACAGCTCAATGAAAGGAAGGTTTAACTTTGTGAGATGAATGCACGTATGACAAAGAAGTTTCTCAGAAAGCTTTCTTTTGATTGAGCAGATTTGAAACACTCTTTTTGTAGAATCGGCAAGTGGATATTTGGAGCGCTTTGAGGCCTATGGTGGAAAAGGAAATATCTTCACATAAAAACTAGTCAGAAGCATTCTCAGAAACTTTCTGAGACCACATGTTCTCACTGTTATGTGGGAATTGAACAATGAGAACACTTGGACACAGGAAGGGGAACATCACACACCAGGGCCTGTTGTAGGGTGGGGGGAGGGATAGCATTAGGAGATATATCTAATGTAAATGACGAGTTAATGGGTGCAGCACACCAACATGGCACATGTATACATATGTAACAAACCTGCAAGTTGTGCACATGTACCCTAGAACTTAAAGTATAATAAAAATATATTAAAGAAAACACACACACACACAAAACAAAGATGGCTTGTTTCTAGTTTTTATCTGGTGATATTCTCTTTTTTCCCATAGGCCTAAATGGGCTCCGAAATGTCCCTTCACAGATTCCACAAAAAAAGTGTTTCTAACCTGCTGAATCAAAAGAAAGGTATTACTCCGTGAGATGAATCCACATATTTTAATACAGTTTCACAAGTAGCATTTTTCTAATTTTTATCTGGGGATATTTAGTTTTTCCAAATAGGCCTTAATTGGCTACCAAATGACCCTTCACAGATTCTACAAAAAGAGTGTTTCCAACCTGCTGAATCAAAAGAAAGTTTAAACTCTCTGAGATGAATCAACACTTCACAAAGTAGTTTCACAGATAGCTTCTTTCTAGTTTTCATCTGGGGATATTCAGTTTTACCCCATATGCTTCAATGGGCTTTCATATGTCCCTTCATGGATTCTACAAAAAAAAAAGTGTTTCCAATCTGCTGAATCAAAAGAAAATTTTAACTTTCTGAGATGAATCTACACATCACCAAGCAGTTTCACAGATAGCTTCTTTCAAGTTTCTAATTGGGAATGTTCCGTTTTTCTCCATAGACCTCAAGGGGCTAAGAAAAGTTTCTTTGCAGCTTCTACATAAAGAGTGTTTCCAACCTGCTGAATAAAAAAAAAAACAGGTTTAATTTTGTGTAATGAATCCACATATCACCAAGAAGTTTCACAGATAGCTTCTTTCTAGTTTTTAATCTGAGAATATTCGGTTTTTCCTCACAGGCCACAAAGGGTTCCCAAATGTCTTTGTGCAGATTCTACAAAAAGAGAGTTTTCAACCTACTGCATCAAAAGAAAGTTTTAACTCTGTAAGAAGAATCCACACATCAACTGGCAGTTTCATAGATAGATCCTTTCTAGTTTTTAGCTGGGGATATTCATTTTTCCCCCTTTGCCCTCATTGGGCTCCCAAATGTCCCTTCACAGATTGCACAAAAAAGTGTTTCCAAACTGCTGAATCAAAAGAAAGTTTTACCTCAGTTAGCTGAATCCACACTTCTTGAAGCAGTTTCACAGATAGCTTTTGCCAAGTTTTTATCTGGGGATATTCAGTTTTTCTTCATAGGCTGAATGGACTCTTGAATCTCCCTTTGCTGATTCTACAAAAAGAGTGTTTTTAACTTGCTGAATCAAAAGAAACGTTTAACTCTGTGAGATGAATCCACACATCACCAGGCAGTTTCCCAGATAGCTTCTTTTTAATTTCTATCTGGTGATACAAAATTTTTCCCCATAGGCCTCTATGGGCTGCCAAATGTTCCTTTGCAGATTCTACAAAAAGGGTGATTCCAACCTGGTGAACCAAAAGAAAGGTTTAATTTTGTAAGTTGATTCCACCCATCACTAAGCAGTTTCATAGATAGCTTTTTTTTAAGTTTGTGTCTGTGGTCTTTTTCTTTCTTTCTTTTCTTTCTTTCTTTCTTTCTTTCTTTCTTTCTTTCTTTCTTTCTTTCTTTCTTTCTTTCTTTGTCTAGGCCTAGATGGTCTCCCAAATTTCCCTTTGCAGATTCTAAAAAATAATGTTTCAAACCTGCTTAATCAAAAGAAAGTTTTAACTTTGTGAGATGAATCCACACATCAGCAAGCAGTTTCACAGATAACTTCTTTCTAGCTTTTAACTGGGGATAACCTGGTTTTCCCCGTAAGCCTTGAGGTTCTCAGAAATCTCCCTTTGCACATTCTATAATAAGAGTGTTTCCAAACTGCTGAACTGAAAGAAAGGTTTAGCTCTGTGAGATGAATTCACACATCACAAAGCAGTTTCGCAGGTATCTTCTTTCTAGTTTTAATCTGGTAATATTCAGTTTTTCCCCACAGGCAATGATGGGCTCCCAAATGACCTTTCACAGTTTCTACACAAAGAGTCTTTCCAACCTGCTGAATCAAAAGAATGGTTTCCCTAGGAGGGATGAATTCATATATCCTCAAGCAGTTTTACAGATAGATAGATTCTTTCTAGATATTATCTGGGGATATTCGGTTTATCCAAATAGTCTCAATGAGCTCCCAAATGTCCCTTCACAGATTCTACAAAAAGAACCCTTTTAACCTGCTGAATCAAAAGAAACGTTTAATTCTGTGAGATAAATCCACACATCACCTGGCAGTTTCACAGATAACTTCTTTCTAATTTTTATCTAAGGATGTTCGTTTTTTTCCCTGTAGGCCTCAATGGGTTCTCAAAACTCCCTACACACATTCTGCAGAAATGTTTCCAACCTGCTGAATCAAATAAAAAGGTTTAACTCTGTTAGTTGAATCCACATATCACCAGACAGTTTCAGAGATATCTTCTTTCTAGTTTTTTTCCGGGGATATTCCCTTTACACCTCTATGGGCTTCCAAATGTCCCTTTGCAGATTCCTGAAAAACATTGTTTCCAACCTGGTAAATCAAAAGGAAGGTTTAACTTTGTTAGATAAGTCCACATATCACCAAGGAGATTCACAGATATCTTCTTTCTAGTTTTTATCTAAGGATATTTGATTTTTCCCCTTAGGTTTCAATGGGCTCTGTTGTGTCCATTTGCAGATTCTACAAAAAGAGTGTTTTCAATCTGCTGAATCAAAAGAAAGGTTAAACTCTCTGAGATGAATTGACATTTCACAAAGCAGTTTCACGGATATCTTCCTTCTAGCTTTTATCTGGGGATATTCAGTTTTTCTCCGTAGGCCTTAATGGCTCCCAAATATCTCTTGGCCAATTCTACAAAAAGAGTTTTTCCAACCTGCTGATTCAAATGAAAGGTGTAACTCTGTGAGATAAATCAAAATGTTAAAAAGCAGTTTTACAAATAACCTCTTTCTAGTTTTTATCTGTGGATAATCAATCTTTCCCCATAGGCCTCAATGGACTCCTCATTGTCCCTTTGCTGATTCCATAAAAGGATTCTTTCCAACCTGCTGTATCAAAAGAAAGGTTTAACTTTATGAGATGAATCCACACATTACAAAGCAGTTTCACTGATACATTCTTTCTAGTTTTTATCTGGGTATATTTGGTTTTCCCCATAGGCCTCAATGGGCTCCCAAATATCCCTTCACAGATTATACTGAGAGAGAGTTTCCAACCTACTGAATCAAAAGAAAGTTTTAACTCTGTGACATGAATCCACGTAGCACAAAGCAGTTTCACAGGTAGCATCTTTCTAGTTTTTGTCTCTGGATATTCTGTTTTCCCCACAGGCCTCAATGGTCTCCTAATTTTCTGTTCGCAGATTCTACATAGAGAGGAGTATTATCAACCTATTGAATCAAAAGAAAGGTTTAACTTTGTTAGGTGAATCAATAAATAACAAAGCAGTTTCACAGATAGCTTCTCTCTAGTTTTTATCTGGTGATATTCAGTTATTCCCTATAGGCCAAAATAAGCTCCAAAATGTTCCTTTGCAGATTGCACAAAAAGAACTTTTTTTAACCTCCTGAATCAAAAGAAAGGTTTAACTCTGTGAGATGAATCTACGTATCTCAAAGCAGTTTCACAGATAGCTTCATTCTAGTTTTTATCTGGGGATATTCGGTTTGTCTTCTTAAGCCTCAGTGGGCTCTGAAAAGTCCCTTCACATATTCTACAAAAAGTGTGTTTCCACCCTGCTGAAACAAAGGAAAAGTTAAACTCTGTGAGCTGAATCAACACTCCAAAAAGCAGTTTCATAGGTAGCTTCTTTCTAGTTTTTATCTGTAATATTCCGTTTTTCCCTTAAGATCTCATTTGACTCTCAAATGCACTTTTGCAAGTTCTACAAAAAGAGTGTTTCTAACATGCTTAATCAAAAAAAAACATAATTCTTTGAGTTGACCAGACACATCACAAAGCAGTTTCACAAATAGTTTCTTTCTACTTTTGATCTAGGGATATTCGGTTTTTCCCTTAGGCTTCAATGGGCTCTCAAATGTCCCTTTGCAGATTCTACAAAGAGTGATTTCAACCTGCTGAATCAAAAGAAAGCTTTAAATCTATGAGATGAATCCACACAACACCAAGCAATTTCACAAATAGTGTCTCTCTAGTTTTTAAGTTGGAATATTCAGTTCCTCCTCCTGATTGATTTTCTTCTCCAATGTCCCTTTGCAGATTCTACAAAAAGAGTTTTCAAACTGCTGAATCAAAAAAAGGTTTAACTCTGTGATACCATTCCACACATCACCAAGCAGTTTCACAGATAGCTTATCTTTTTTTTTTTAATCTAGGGCTAATTGATTTTTCCTCATAGGCCTCAATGGGCTCTGAGGTGTCACCTCACAGTTTCTACAAAAGAGTATTTCCAACCTGCTGTATCAAAAAATAGGTTTAATTTTTGTGAGATGATTCCCCACATCACCAACCAGTTTCACAGATAGCTTCTCTCTAGTTTTTATCTAGAAATATTCAGTTTTCCCCACATGCCCCAATGGGCTCCAAGGTGTCCCCTGGTTGATTCTACAAAAAGAGTGTTTTCCACCTGCTGAGTCAAAATGAAGGTTTAACTCTGTGAGATGAATCCACATATCACCAAGCAGTTTCACAGATAGCTTCTTTCTAGTTTTTATCTGGGGATATTCAGCTTTTCCCCATAGGCCTCAATGGGCTCCCAAATGTTTCTCTACAAATTCTACAAAAAGAGTGTTTCCAACTGGCTGAAAGAAAAGAATTGTTTAACTCTGTGAGATGAATCCACACATCACAAAGCAGTTTCACAAATGGCTTCATTCTGGTTTTTATCAGGGCATATTTTATTTTTCCTGATAGGAGTCAACAGACTCCCAAATGTCCCTTTGCAGATTCTACAAGAAAAGTATTTACAACGTGCTGAATCAAAAGAAAGGTTTACCTCTGAAAGATGAATTCTCACATCACCAAACATTTTCACAGATAGTTTCTTTCTATTTTTTATCTGGGGATATTCTGTTTTGTTCCCAGAGGTCTCAATGGGGTCCAAAATGTCCCTTCACAGATTCTACAAAAAGAGAGTCTCCATACTGCTGAATCAAAGAAAAGTTTCACTTTGTGAGATGAATCCACACATCACAAAGCAGTTTCACAGATATTTTCTTTTTGATTTTTATCCAAGGATATTTGTTTTTTTCTCATAGGCCTCCATGTTCTATCAAATATCTTCACAGATTCTACAAAAAGAGTGTTTCCAAATTGCTGAATCAAAAGAAATATTTAACTCTGTGAGATGAATCCACACGTAACAAAGCATTTTCCCAGACAGCATCTTTCTACTTTTTATCAGGTGATATTCGGTTTTTCCCCATAAGCCTTAATGGGCTTCCTAAAGTCCCTTCACAGATTCTACCAAAAACAGCTTATTTCTAGATTTTCTTTGAGTTTATTCAGTTTTTCCCTATAGGCCTCAATGGGCTCTTAAACGTCCCTTCACAGACTCTACAAAAAGAGTTTTTCTGACCTGTTGAACCAAAAGAAAGCTTTAACTCTATGAGATGAATCCAGCTATCATAAACCAGTTTCACAGATAGTTTCTTTCTAGTTTTTATCTGAGGATATTCAGTTTTTCTCCATAGGCCTCAATGGGCTCCAAAATATCCTTGGCAGATTCTACAAAAAGTGTTTACAACATGTTGAATCAATAGAAAGCTGTAAGTCTGTGAGATCAAGGGAAATATAACAAAGCATTTTCACATATGCCTTCTTTCTAGTTTTTATCTGGGGATATTTTGCAGATTCTACAAAAATAGTGTTTCCAACCTGTGGAATGAAAAGAAAGGTTTAACTCTGTGAGATGAATCCACACATCACCAAATAGATTCACAGATAGATAGTTTTTTTCTAGTTTTTATATGTGGATATTCGATTTTCCCCCAGGCCTCAATGGGCTGCAAAAATTCACTTCACTAGTTCTGCAAAATAAATGTTTCTAAACTGCTCAATCAAAAGTAAGGTTTAACTCTGTGAGATGAATCCATACATCACAAAGCATTTTCACAGATGGCTTCCTTTGAATTTTTATCTGTGGATATTCTGTTTTTCCATGGGCCTCAATCAGCACCCAAATGTCCCTTCACAGATTCTACAAAAAGAGAGTTTCCAACCCACTGAATCAAAAGAAAGTTTAGCTCTGAGATGAATAAGCACATCACTAAGCAGTCTCTCAGATATCTTCTTTCTAGTTTTTACCTGGGGATATTCCATTTTTTCCCATAGGCCTCAGTGGTCTTCAAAATGTTCCTTCACAGATTCTACAAAAAGCGTGTTTGCAACCTGCAGAATCAAAACAAAGTTTTAATTCTGTGAGATGAATCCACACATCACCAAGCAGTTTCGCATATAGGTTCTCTTCAGTTTTTATCTGGAAATATTCCGTTTTTCCCCACAGGCCTCAATTGGCTCTGAAATTACCCTTTGCAGAGTCTACATAAAGAGTGTTTCCAACCTGATGAATCAAAAGGAAGTTATAAATCTGTGAGATGACTCCACCTATCACAAAGCAGTTTCACACACAGCTCCTTTCTAGTTTTTATCTTGGGATTTTTGGTTTTTTCCCATATGCGTCAATGGGCTTTGAAATGTCCCTTTGCAGATTCTACAAAAAGAATGTTTTCAACCTGATGAATCAAAAGAAAGGTTAAACTTTCTGAGATGAATCAACACTTCACAAAGCAGTTTCACAGATAGCTTCTTTCTAATTTCTATCCGGGGATATTCTTCTTTTCCACATAATCGTCAATGGGCTCTGAAAACTCCCTTGGCAGTTTCTACTAAAAGAGTGTTTCCAGCTTGCTGATTCAAAAGAAAGTTTTAACTCTTTGAGATGAATAAACACATCACAAAGCAATTTCACAGATAGCTTCTTTCTAGTTGGTATCTGTGGATACTCTGTTTTCCCCATAGTCTGAAATGGGCTCCCAAATGCCCCTTTGCAGAATCTACAAAAAGAGTGTTTCCAACCTGCTGAATGAAAAAGAAGCTTTAAGTTAGTGAGTTGAATACCCACATCAAAGAGCAGTTTCACAGATAGCTTTGTTCTAGTTTTTATCTGGGGTACTCTCTTTGTCCCCATAAACCTTAATGGGCTCCAAAAAATCTCTACTCATATACTACAGAAAGTGTGTTCCCTCCCTGCTGAATCAAAAGAAAAGTTAAACTCTTTGAGATGAATCAACACTTCACAAAGCAGTTTCACAGATAACTTCTTTCTAGTTTGTATCTAAGATATTCAGTTTTTCCCTGTAGGCCTCAATTGGCTCCTAAATGTCTCTTTGCAGGTTCTATAAAGAGTGTTTCTAACCTGCTTAATCAAAAAATTTGTAACTCTTTGCAATGAATTGACACATTGCCAAGCAGTTTCACAGATAGCATCTTTCTAGTTTTTATCTAGAGGTATTCAGTTTTTCCCATAGGCTTCAGTAGTCTCTCAAATGTCCCTTTGCAGATTTTACAAAAATAATGTTTCCAAACTGCTGAATCAAAAGAACAGTTTACCTCTGTGAGATGAATCCACAAATCACCAAGCAGTTTCACAGATAGCTTCTTTCTAGTTTTTAACTTGGAATACTTTGTCCACAATACAACAGGGCTCTCTCTTTGTCCCAAGGTGGATCAGCAGGTTGAGAAATAAGTGATACACACAAAAGAGTGAGAACACTGGGTCCAGGGAGGTCACTGCCTTCTGGTCTTGTGATGTCACCAATTCGCTGGATATACCAGCAATTATTATCAGGTTTAGTGAGGAAAGTGGTGAAAGAGTGAGGGGTTTGGGGTAGTATGATCATGGGGTGTGGTGATCACATGGGGATGAAGTAACTTCTTGTCATCCAAAGTATAGGTTTACAAAAGACAAACTTTTACAATATAGTGTGTGAGTCACCAGTTTAACAGAGCCATAAAGTAGGAACAACATCTACCCATAACTTATGTTTAGCAAGATACTAATCAGCAGCAGCAGCTGCAGCAGAAGCTGGTTTCAGGCAATCAATAACAACAGGACGTGAAACTAGACAACTGGTTAGACCACAAATTCTCAGAAGCCAGTAGGCTTTAACCCCAAAGAGGCCTAGAAGGGCTGTGGTACCATAAGGGCATTTTAGCTCCATCTTATCCCTGAGAAGAGGCACCACTCATGCTTCCATTTTAGGCTCTTCTCAAGGGTCGCCTTCCATTCTCAGAGCTATGAACACCTGCTTTTCTGTGATAGGAATCTTGGTGATGTGAAACCTCCTGATCTGCGTGTCCGTTTATAGGCTTTCTGCAGTGGTAAGCACATCACTTGCTCTTGGCTCATTCTGGCAGTCCAACCACATATTGTCTTTGCAACATTCCTGTATTCAATATTTTATTTACAACGATTAAGAACGTTTCATTCCTTCATTCTGTAGAAACAGTTTCAGGGGGTGTCCCTACATCTCCCCCTTTGCTCTGATTTAAATGAACCATAGCAATCATTGCTTGACGGTGATCATGGTTAGATTGATGGATCCTTTTTCCAATCTTACAGATAATCAATAAACCAATAGCACAGAATATGCATAGAATAAAATTTACAACTTTAGAACCTCCTAAGGATTTTACCCATTGAACAAGATTCAGGTTAGATAATCCTTCAGAAATACCATCTAATACTTCAGCACCTGGCAAGGCCTTTAGATGTGCTTGAGAGGCCTCAAAAATTTGTCCTTTCAATTTACTAATATCTCAACGTAAATTATCTCCACTTCCTTTTAAATAGCATTTCATGGATTCTCAATTATGAACAGACTCATTGTATTGAAAAGGTGTTATACAAAAATCAGAAGTATTCCAATCACATTGCATTTGTAGTCTATGTTCTAAACTCATAATTCTATCTCTCATCCATATTATAGTTTGTCTTAAATCATTAATTTGGTTGGCCAACTTTTGATCAACACCTGATTGAGAATTCCACATTCAGGTAGAATTTTTTTGCCATTTGCCCACAAAGTGAACAGTTTGGATAGATTGATCTAATGTAACTCCAGCCATGGCTGCCGTTGCTGTGACTGCAATTAGACCCATAACTACTGCAATTAGAGTGAAAATAAACCACCTACTTCATTTTAAAATTTTTTGTAAAATATAGTTAATAACATGAATAGAGGGAGAAGATTCCCAAAGTCGATGTAAGACTACTGGGAGCCATGTGCCTTCCCTAGTTCTAACAATAAGCACACTATGATGTTGATTAAAAGACAAATCAACACAAGTATACAAATAACAATTAGTACAGGTGATAATATTAGTCTCTAAACTAAAATGCATTTTCCTGCCAACAACATATATGAGGGTTTAACACAGCTTTTAAGAGGTACTGTTTTGTTATATTCCATGTACACAGTATAAATATTTTGAGATGTTGTTCTTTGGGGACGTACTGTAAGGGGAGCAGGCTGCATAAGGGGTGGAAAATGTGCATTATAAACAGGGGGGTATTGATCTTCGTAGTCCTCATTATCCCATTTTTGAATTGACCTTTTAACAACAGACATCATTATGTTTTTTGCTGTATGTGAATAATAATGTAAATCAATTTGTTTTCTAAGTTGTCAAGGTGATGTGGTAGATTTACTGATAACACTTTCTCTGGCCCAAACTCTCATGCCTGTCATGGCAATAGTCAATCTCCAAAATTCTGAATGTTCACGTCCTAAATGGGGAATGATAAGTCTGGGTTTAGGAGGAGCAATTCCTGCCCCTTTCCACTTAAAAAGAAAGAAAGAGTTAAACCTACTATATAATATGGGAGAATTGTCACTACCTTCTCAATATGTGATATCATAAAGAAAATGGTTGAGAGTCCCTTTGACCTTGTGAACAATCATTTGTATGATGTCCTTTCAGGGTCCAATCTATAATAGTATAGCCAGAAGGGTTAAATAAAAGTGTTCCTTCAGGACTGATACAATCATTCCATATTAGCTTTTCAGTGTGGGAAGACAAATTAAGAGGGCATGCAGGTCCTAGAGGTTTGAATTTTGAAGTATGGATATAATCAGCAATTCCTATTTTATATTGTCTTAAAGGTTTTAGAGAGAGTCCTGATACTAAATGTCCTAAAGGGGGAACAGAATGACCAGATGGTAATGTAACTGCCCAGGTCTGAATATCTAATGGGAGGCATCCTTCTGTTGGTCCTAAACATAGAGGTGGGTATTTAAAACCTAGAGTAATATTGAATGGGATACCTTCCTCGGAAGTTTGAGTGGGACAATGATCATCTATGTAACCAGGCATCCAAATACTATCATCATTAACATAAACTTCAATAGGACCATCCATCCGTGTCATAGCTCTGATAAGTGGGGGGAAAGGAACATAGGCCCAATAAGTATAGTTCTTAACAGTCTGTGGAGTGACTGGAGGCAGGAGAATCAGCGTCATCAGGAGAAGGCAGAGGTTGAGTCGAACCTGAATTGCTGGGGATGAATTGTTTGGGATAGCTGACTGAATTGTCTGTTGTAGGCGAGTGGTTATCCTCATCTTTTTGTTGACTGAGGGTCTCAGCTGACTCTTGTTGCAGCGTCTTTTCAGTAGTCTTTTACGTCTTTTGATCACGTACATTTTCAGGGCACAATTTCAAGTGTCTAGTGGGGATCCAAATGGGAGATTGATGTTCACCTGGGGAGACACAATCATAGCCTCTTTCCCACGTAAGAATAGTGCTTTTTGACCATTTGTTGGATTGAGTATCTTCCACCATACTTCCCACCCTTGATTTACATTAGAGCAGTTAGCAGAGAAATGTTTTTCAGCAGCAATGACAGAACTGGATTTAGAGATATTAAGAAAATTTAACGTTAGTAATGCCAAATTTAATTGCAAGTGTGGGGTGGATAACTCCTTATCACTTCCCCTTTTTTGTTTAAGTAATTGTAGCTTTAACGTCCTGTTGCTCCTTTTCTACAATGGCTTGACCTTGTAGATTATAGGGAATTCCAGTAATAGGTTTAATATCCCATTGATCGAGAAAAATTTTGAAAGCCTTGCTGCAATATGCAGGGCCATTGTCTGTTTTGATTTCTCTTGCAACTCCCATAACTGCAAAACAAGACAACAAATGTCTTTTAACATGAGAAACAGTTTCTCTTGTTTGACAAGTAGCCCAGATGAAGTTTGAAAAGGTGTCTACCAACACATGAACATAAGCTAATTTCCCAAAAGAAGGAACATGAGTAACATCCATTTGGCAGATTACATTAGGAGAAAGACCACAAGGATTGACACCGGGAGATTGTGTAGGTAGACCAACCACCTGACACTGAGAGCAGTTTTGGATGATATGTTTTGCCTGTTTTCAACTAAAAGAGTATTTATGTTTAAGGCCTGACACATTGGTATGAATAAGCTGATGAAACTGTGTGGCATCAGTGAAGGCTAGGGAAACAAGAGCATCTATTTTTTGATTGCCATTGGATAAGGGTCCAGGCAAATTGGTATGAGAAGGGATATGAGCAATGAAAAAGGCGTGATTTCTATCTCTGACCACTTGTTGTAATGAAGAAAACAGAGAAGACAGATTGGTGTCAGTGATATTTTTTATAGTAGCTGTTTCTATGGCTTTGGTAGCATGAATAACATAAGCTGAGTCAGATACAATGTTAAGAGGCTGATCGAAATCTTGCAATGTTGTTATAACAGCAAATAATTCAGCCTTCTGAACAGAGGTGTGAGGAATAGAAATGACTTTATCTTTTGGCCTACATATCCAGCCTTTCCATCACCAGATCTGTCAGTGAACAGTGTAAATCTCCCTCTAATGGAGAAAGACAAATAATTTTGGCAGAATCCAAAAAGTATTTCGTAAAAACTGGAAGAATTTTGACTTGGGTAAGTGATGATAGTCTATTGGCCAACGAAATCATCCGAATTAGTTTGCCAACATAGGGAAGTAGAAAAGGCATTTTTTTACTTAACTTTTTTGACAGAGGGACCACAATAACATTAGGATCAAGACCAGAAATTTTAACAATATGTTGTCGTCCTAATCCAATTGATGTAGAAATTTGATCAAGATATACTGAAAGAGTTTTAGAGGCAGAATTTGGGAAAAATACCCATTCAATTAAGGAATCATTTTGTGCTATAAGTCCTGTTGGAGAGTGAAGAGTAGGAAAAACTAAAAATTGTAAAGTTTGATTTGGATCTGTATGGAAATGAAACAGTTGGTTTGGACCTGTGTCATACAAGTCAAAAAGGTTGGTTTGGACCAGTTCCGTACAGATCCATACAAGATCTGTATGGAAACCAAAAGTCTGGTTTGGACCTGTGCCTCTCTTACCCTTTGTTCTGCAAAAGCCAACCCTCAATTAGCTGGTTCAGAAAGAACGTGAGGGTCATTTAGATCTGGATCTTCTGATAAGGTAGCAAATAAGTTGGAAACAGCATAGGTATAAATTGCTAATGTTGGTCTTAAATAATTAATGTCACTGAGTAATTTTTGAAAATCATTTGAAGTTTTTAAATTGTCTGTACGAAGTTGTATTTTTTGAGACTTAATAGAGGAAATTCGATTTGCATTCCTAAGTAAAGATATGGGGTAACTTGTTGAATTTTGTCAGGAGAAATGTAGAGTCCTGCATTAGCAATGGCTGCTTTTAAAGAAGTAAAGCAAGGAATTAATTTTTCTTTAGTAGGAGCAGCAATCAGTGTCCATATAATGAAGAACGTAATTATCTTGGAAGGCCTGTCAGATAGATAGGTTGTAATACAGTGCCCACAAAAAACTCACAAATAAATAATAAGACTGTTAATCATTCCTTGAGGTAAAATTTTCCACCGGAACCTAGCTGCAGGAGCTGTTATTTATAGAAGCCATAGTAAAAGCAAACTTTTCACAATCTGATTTGTCTAGGGGAATATGGAAAAAACAATCCTTGAAGTCAATAATAGTTAGAGGCCATTCTTTAGGAATCATGGAGGGGGAGGGCATGCCAGGTTGCAGTGCTGCCATGGGTTTAATAACTGCATTAGTAGCTCTTAAATCTGTTACCGTTCTCCATTTCCCTGACTTTTTTGTACAACAAGCAGGGGAGAATTCCATGGAGACAAAGAGGACCCAATTATGTTTGATTTTAGTAAATCATTAACAATTTCAATTAAAACTTCCAACTTTTGTTTGGACAGCAGCCACTGCTCTACCCAAACAGGTGAGTCACACATCCACTATAAAGGAATTCGTGGGGGAGACTCAGGAGTGACCACTCCTAAAAAGGCTATCCAAGTCCGGTTTTGTCAAGTTTTATGGTGGAGGTCTACGTGCTCTGCTATTACCCTCCCCTTTAACTCCTAATCCTCTTCCAGGAATAAAATTCATTTTACGCATCATGTTTTTACTAGCTTCACTGTAATTTGATAAAGGGATCAATATTTCAGCCCCCCATTATTGTAACAAATCCCATCCCCATAAATTAATGGGAATTGGAATAATGAAGGGCTGGATAGTGCCAACTTCATCATCAGGTCCAGCTCAAGGAAGTATTAAAGAACTTTGATACACAACAGAAGATGTCCCATCTCCCACTAAATTAGCGGAAGAAGGCTGTTTAGGCCATGATGAAAGCCATTGGTTAACAGCAATGATAGAAACATCAGCTCCAGTATAGACTAGACCTTCAAACTTTTTTCCTGAAATTTTTATAATACATGTAGCTTGATGTGATGAAATAGCATTAACCCAAAAAGCGGCTTTCCCTTGTTTAGAAGTATTTCCTATTGCTCCTGTTCGAGGGGCTGTCCCTGCAGCTAGAAACAGTGCTGTGAGAAGTAATTGAGCAATACACTCTCCTGATTCAATAGAAAATAGGAGATTTAGTGGAGATTACTAGACAAATTTCATCAGTGGTGTCAGCGTGTATTAGATCTGTATGCAGGGTAACAGCTTTTAACGCTAGTGATGCTCTGCCTAAAATTAAACCAATGTGATCTTTAGGTAATGGCCCTTTCACTCCAGTGTGGGCTAAGACAGGCTGTTCCCCAGGGAGTAAGGACGAAGGAAGGGTACTACACAAGTCTATTGAGCCCCCTACTGCAGTGGAATTGGACAAGCATTGTACTGGGACAAGAGAAGAGATTGGCTGGTATTGGGTATTGGATATTGAATTTGAGGCAGTATTTGTGCTATAGTATACATCTGGGTCTGTGGCATAGCCTGTGCAGCTAATAGATGTTGTAACTGGGAGGGTGAATCAAAACACTGGGGCCCCAATTGCGATCAGGGCCCAAGGCCAGCCCCTCCCCCCATTTCCCTGAAACAGAATGGAATTGACTGTGTTATTAGCCACGTTTAAAGGTGGAAGTGGGTTGTCACTGATATCAAAGTTAGGGTGACAATATTTCATCCAACGTTTACCCTATTTGCATCATAGACACACAGTAGCAGGGGCCTTTTGCGTATTTTGAGTTTGAATAGTGGCTTGTGGAGGATTCAAATTGAGTAAAGGACAGGATTTTTTAAAGTGTCCTACTCCACCACATTTGTAGCAAGCACCAGGAAAAGTATTATGTACCCCTGCAGGAGGAACATTAGGAATAACAGTGACTGCTTTTAGAGAAGTCATAGCTTGTGCCATAAGTACAGCTTTATGAGTTTCAGACCCAATTCCATCACAAGCAAAGATATAAGAAGGAATTATGGCATCATCAGGAATATTTTCAGTTTTATGATGTAAAGGTCAGATGGCAGCCTGGCACTCAATATTAGCATTTTCAAAAGCCATGAGTTTAATGACTACGTCTCTGGCTCTAGTATCAGAAATAGCCTTTTCAGCAGCATCTGTTAATCATGCCACAAAATCAGGATACAGTTCAGAGGGGCCTTGTTTAATAGCACTAAAGGATTAAGGAGCTTTGCCTGTATCTTGAATTGACTCCCAAGCCCAAAGGCATACTTGTGTAACTTGAGTCAGTATACATGGAGTATATTCCAATTGCTATGTAGGAGTATTACACACATCACCATTTCCCATAAACATATTATAAGAACCTTCCTCCGTAATCTCAGAATTAATGGATGCTTGCATCATGGCCTCTTCTGATCAATAAGTTTTAAACTGCAAAAATTGGGAAGGAGTAAGAGGAGCATGAGATGACAGATTCCAATCAATAGGGACAAGTTGTTTTTCAGTGGTAAGAGAAGGTAAAACAGTCATAAGGTAGGGAGAGTTTGGTCCATATTGATCACAAGCTGCTTTAAAATATTTAAGTTATTGTAAAGAAAAAGTCTCCTAATATTTGCTACCTTTAGAAGTTCCTTTGGCACTTTCGCCAGTGCCTTTGGTCTTAGGTGTCATGGCTATGGTGAATTGCCAGGCGTCCATGCCACCAGAAGCCCTAGCTCTACCATCGCCTCTTGAATTGAGGTATGGATAGATCTAGATGAGGCAGAGGAAAAGAGAGGAGGAGAGCAAGACTGCCAGGATATGGACTGGGGGGACATGGTATTCCAAGCCTCTGAAAGAGGGGGTCCCATGGCATTGAAAGAAACAGTAGGCTTAGCGGAGGGGAGTGGTCCAAAAGGATGAGAAGATCAAGAAACAGGCCACTCAGTTGAATGTTACACGTCCTCTTCTGGCACAGAGGGCAGCGGCTTAGAAGAAGAATTGTTAGCATATATAGGTTTTTCCTCAGGAGGATAAAGAAAGAAAAGAATGAATTCTTGCTCATCATCAGAAGGAGGACTCAGAAGGGTTCAGGAACATGAGGTAAAAGAAGTGGCTCACTGGCTGTGTTAAATTGTGGCAGTTGTAAAGGATCACCAGACTGAAAAGGAAGTAAAGCAACACGAATAAGATCCCAATCAGTCCAAACAGAAACAGGAAGAAAAACGCCATCTTTCATAAGTTGGCAGAGCATAGCACCAAAGTGGTCTCAATCCAAAAGGTCCATAGAACCTTTATCTGGAAACCAGGGACAATGTTTTTCAATAGTCTGAAATAAGATAATTAAGGTATGAGTATCAGCCTTAATTCCACCCTGTTTTAAAAGAAGTTTAATAAAGGAAAAATAAGCCTGGTGTTTAGACTGTGATTGTCCCATATTTGCCCTGGAATAATACCAGTCAACAAACCCACAGAAAAGGGGAAACTCAGAAAAAAAGCATAACCAGAGACCTTACTGTCAAGACCATAGACTGGTCGTCTTGAACCACACTCACAGTGCACTGAGTCAGGGAATGAAGAACACCATGTCAGACACCAGCCAGTGGCCTGCAATACAACAGGGCTCTCTCTTTGCCCCAAGGTGGATCAGCAGGTCGAGAAATAAGAGATACACAAAAAATAGAGAGAAACCTGGGTCTAAGGGGGTCACTGCCTTCTGGTCTTGCAATACCACCAATTCACTGGATATACCAGCATTTATTATCAGGTTTAGTGAGGGAGGGGGTGAAACAGTGAAGGGTTTGGGGTCGTATGATTGTGGGGTGAGATGATCACATGGGGATGAAGTAACTTCTTGTCATCCAAAGTATAGGTTTACAAAAGATAAGCTTTTACAATATAGTGTGTGCATCAGCAGTTTAACAGACCTATAAAGTAGGAATAAATTCTACCCACAACCTATGTTTAGCAAGATACTAATCAGCAGCAGCAGCTGCAGCAGAAGGTAGTTGCAAACAATTAATAGAAACAGGACGTGAAACTAGACAACCGGTTAGATGACAAATTCTCAGAAGAGTGTAGGCTTTAACCCTAAAGAGGCCTAGAAGAGCCACTGTAAGATAAGGGCGTTTATAGCTCTATCTTATCCATGAGAACAGGCGCCCCTCATGCATTCGTTTATAGGCTTTCCACAAAGGTTTCATTCCATTCCCAGAGCTATGAACATCTGCTTTTCTGGGATAGGAATCTTGGTGATGTGAATCCTCCAGATCTGCAACCGTTTATAGGCTCTCTGCAGTGGGAAGAACATCACACACAGCCCAACCCCACATTGTCTTTGTGACAATCCTGTATTTAATATTTTATTTACAATGATTAAGAACATTTCATTCCTTTGTTCTGTAGCAACCGTTTCAGGGGGTCTCCCTACACTTTCTAGTTTTTACCTAGAGGTATTTAGTTTTTCCTAATAGGTTTCAATGGCATTTAAAATGTACCTTTGCAGATTCTACAAAAAGAGTGTTTCCAACCTGCTGAATCAAAAGAACAGTTTACCTCTGTGAGATGAATGCACACATCATGAAGCAGTTTCACAGATAGCTTCTTTCTAGTTTCCAACTTGGAATATTCGGTTCCTCCCCGTAAGAATCAATGGATTCCCAAATGTCCCTTAGCAGATTCTATAAAAAGAGAGTTTCCAACCTGCTGATTCAAAGGAAAGGTGTAACTCTGTGACCTGAATCAACACATCACAAGTCAGTTTCACATATAGCTTCTTTCTAGTTTTTATATGGGGATATTTAGTTTATTCCTTTTGGCCTCAAAGGGCTCAAAAATGTCCCTTCACATATTCTACAGAAAGAGTGTTTCCAACCTGCTGAATCAAAGAAAGATTAAACTCTCTGAGATGAATCGACACTAAACAAAGCAGTTTCACAGATAGTTACTTTCTAGTTTTCATCTGGAGATATTCTGATTTTCCCCATAGGCCACAATAGGCTCCCAAAAGTTCCCTTGCAGATTCTAGTAAAAGAGTGCTTCCAACCTGTTGAATCAAAAGAAAGATTTAACTCTGTGACATGAACCCACACATCACAAAGCAGTTTCACAGCTAGCTTCTTTCTAGTTTGTATCTGTGGATATTCTGTTTTTCCCCATAGGCTTCAAAGGGCTCCAAAATGTCCCTTCACAGATTTTACAAAAAGAGTGTTTCGACCTGCTGAACAAAAGCAAAGTTTTAACTTTGTGTGTTGAATCCACACATCAAAAAGCAGTTTCACAAATAGCTTTTTTCTATTTTTTATCTGGGGATATTTCATTTATCCCCATAGGCCACAATGGGTTCCCAAATGTCCCTTTGCAGAGTCTATAAAAAGAGTATTTTTAACCTGTGGAATTAAAAGAAAGTTTTTACTCTGTGAAATGAATCCACACATCACAAAGCTGTTTCACAGATAGTTTCATTCTAGTTTTTACTGGGGACATTCCTTTTTTCTCCTTAGGTAACAATGGGCTCCCAAACATCACTTCACGGATTCTACAAGAAGATTGTTTCCAACCTGCTGAATCAAGAAATGTATAATTCTTTGAGGTGTATCAAGACATCACAAAGCAGTTTCACAGATACCTTACTTTCAGTGTTTATCTGGGAATATTCATTTTTTCCCCATATGACTCAATGGGCTCCCTAATGTCCATTCACAGATTCTACAAAAATAGTACTTCCAACCTGCTGAATCAAAGGAAAGGTTTGACTCTATGAGATGAATCCACACATCACCAAGCAGTTTCACAGATGATAGCTTCTTTCTAGTTTTTATCTGTGGATATTCGGCTTTTTCCCATAGGCCTCAATGGGCTCCCAAATGTCCCTTTGCAGATTCTATAAAAACGGTGTTTCCAACCTGCTGAATTAAAATAAAAGTTTAACTCTGTGCATTGAATAAACACGTCATTAAGCAGTCTCACAGTTAGTTTCTTTCTAGTTTTTATCTGGGGATATTCAGTTTTTCTCCTTACGTTTCAAAGCACTCCCAAATATCCCTTTGCAGATTCTACAAAAAGTGTGTTTCCGACCTGCTGAATCAAAAAAAGGGTTTAATTCTGCAAGTTTAATCCACACATCCCCAAGCAGTTTTTCAGCTACTTTCTTTTTTTTTTTAGTAACCTGGGGATATTTTGATTTTTTCCATAAGCCTCAATGTTCTCCCAAACGTCCTGTTGCTGATTCTAAAAAAGATTATTTCCAGCCTGTTGAATAAAAAAAGGATTAATTCTATGAGACGAATACACAAATCCAAAGCACTTTCCCAGATATCTTCTTTCTACTTTTTATGTGAAGGTATTCGGTCTTTCCTTTTAAGCCTAAATGGGCTCCCAAATGTCCCTTCACAGATTCTATAAAAAGAATCTTTCCAAGCTGCTGAATTAACAAAAGGGTTGGCTCTGTGAGAATAATCCACAAACCCAAAGCAGTTTCACAGATAGCTTCTTTCTGGTTTTTATTTGGGGATATTCCATTTTTCCCCATAGACCCTAATGTGCTCCCAAATGTTTCTTAGCAGATTCTACAAAAGAGTGTTTCCAAACTGCGAATATAAAAAAAAAAGGTTTAATCCTGTGAGACGAATCCACACATCACAAAATAGTTTCACAGCTAGTTTCTGTCAAGTTTTTATTGGGGATATTCTGTTTTTCCCCATATGTTTCCATGGGCTCTCAAAAGACCCTTCACAGATTGTACAAGAAGAGTGTTTCCAAGCTGCTGAATAAAAAGACAAGTTTAACTCTGTGAGATGAATCCACGCATCATAAAGCAGTTTAAAAGGTAGCTTCATTATCGTTTTTATCTGGATATATTCTGTTTTCCTAATATGCCTGAATTGGCTCCCAAATGTCCCTTCACAGTTTCAATAAAAAGAGTGTTGCCAATATGTGGAATCAAAGGAAAGGTTTAATTCTCTGAGATTAATCCACACATCCCAAGGAGTTTCACAGTTATCTTGTTTCTAGTTTTTATCTGAAGATATTGGATTTTTCCCCATAGGACTCAAGTCCCAAATATACCTTTGCAGATTGTACAAAAAAAAAGGTTTTAAAAGTGCTGAAACAAAAAAAAATGTTTAACTCTTTGAGATGAAGACACACGTCACCAAGCAGTTTCACAGAAAACTTGCTTTTAGTTTGTATCTTGGGATTTTCCGTTTTTCCCCCAATGCCTCAATGGACTCCCAAATGTCCTTTAACAGACTCTAGAAAAAGTGTTTCCAACCTGCTGAATAAAAAGGAAGGTTTAATTCTGTTTGATGAATCCACACATCACAAAGCAGTTTCACAGAGAGATTCTTTCCAGTTTTTTTTTTTTTTTTTGAGGTATATTCGGTTTCTCCCCATATGCCTCAATAGGATCTGAAAACTCCCATCACAGATTCTACAAAAAGACTCTTTCCAAAATGCTGAATCAAAAGAATGGTTTATCTTTGTGAGATGAATCCACACCTCACAAAGTAGTTTCACAGATAGATCTTTCTAGTTTTTATCTAGGGATAATCATTTTTTCTCCACAGGCCTCAATGGGCTTTCAAATGTTTCCTCACATATTCTACAAAAAGAGTTTCCAACCTGCTAAATCAAAAGAAAGTTTTAACTCTGTGAGATGAATCCACACATCCCCAAGCAATTTCACAGATAACTTCTTTCTAGTTTTTTCAGGGAATATTCAGATTTCCCCATAGGCCTCAGTGGGCTCCCAAATGTTTCTTCACAGATTCTACAAAAAGAGTGTTTTCAACCTTCTGAATAAAAAAAAAAGTTTGAACTCTTTGAGATGAATTTACTATTCTCAAAGCAGTTTCACAGACACGTTCTTTCTAGTTTTTGTGTAGGGATATTCTGTTTTTTCCCACAGGCCTCAATGGGCTTCAAAATGTCCCTTCCCAGTTTCTACAAAAAGAGTATTTCCAACCTGCTGAATCAAAAGAAAATTTTAACCCTGTGAGATGAATCCACACATAATTAAGCCATTTACAGATAGTTTTTTTCTACTTTCTATCTGAGTATATTCAGTTTTTCCATAGTCCTCACTGGGCTCCAAATGTCCCTTCATAGATTTTACAAAAAGAGTGTTTCCAACCTTCTGAATCAAAAGAAAGTTTTAACGCTGTAAGATGAATCCACACATCACAAAACAGTTTCACAGATAGCTTCTTTCTAGTTTTTATGTTAGGGTATTCAGTTTTTCCCCATGGGCCTTAAATGGTTCCCAAATGTCGCTTTGCAGATTCTACAAGAAGAGTTTTTCCAACCTGCTGAATCAAAATAATGTTTTAACTCTGTGAGATGAATCTGTATATCACAATCAGATTCACAGATAGATTCTTTCTGGTTTGTATCTGGAAATTCTCGGTTTTTCTTCCTAGGTCTCAATGGGCTCCCAAATATCCCTTTGCAGATTCTTCAAAAATAGTGTTTCCAACCTGCTGAATCAAAAGAAAAGTTAAACTCTGTGAGATGAATAAACACTTCACAAAGCAGTTTCACAGGTATTTTCTTTGTAGTTTTCATCTGGGGATATTCATTTATTCCCCATAGGCCTCAATGGGCTCCAAAATGTCGCTTCACAGATTCTCCAAAAAGAGTGGTTCCAAACTGATGAATCAAAAGAAAGGTATATCTCTGTGAAATAAATCCCTATATCACCAAGCAGCTTCACTGATTGCTTCTTCCTATTTTTTTTACCGGGAATATTTGTTTTTTCCCCATAGACTCAATGGATTTCAAAATGTCTTTTTGCAGATTCTACAAAAAGGGTGTTTTCAACCTGCTGAATCAAAAGAAAGGTTAAACACTTTGAGATAAATTGACGTATCATAATGCAGTTTCACCGTTAGCTTCTTTCTTGTTTTTATCTGTGGATATTCAGTCTTTCCCTATATGCCTCGTGGGCTCCCAAATATCCCTTTGCAGATTCTACAAAAAGAGTGTTTTTGACACGCTGAACCAAAGGAAAGTTTTAACTCTGTAACATGAATCCACACATCACCAAATGGTTTCACAGATTGCTTCTTTCTACTTTTTATATGGGGATACTCGATTTTTCCCCATAGTCCTCATAAGGCTTCAAAAATTCCCTTCACAGATTCTACAAAAAGTGTGTTTCCCACGTGCTGAATCAAAGAAAAGTTTTAACTATGTGAGATGAATCCACACATCAGAAAGCACTTTCAGGATAGCTTATTTATAGTTTTTATCTATCTGGGGATATTCATTTTTTTTAACACAGGCCTCAATTGGCTCCAAAATCTCTTTTGACAGATTCTACAAAAAGATTGTTTTCAAACTGCCAAATCTAAAGAAAGGTTTAACTCTGTGAGCTGAATCCACACATCACCAAGCAGTTTCACAGATAGCCTCTTATAGTTTTTATCTGGGGATATTCTGTTTTTCCCCATAGGCTTCAATGGGCTCCCAAGTCAATTCACATATACAACAAAAAGGGTATTTTCCACCTGCTGAATCAAAAGACAATTTTTACTCTGTGTGGTGAATCCACACATTACCTAGGAATTTCACAGATATCTTCTTCCCAGTTTTTATTTGGGGATATATATTTTTTCCCCCAAGGCCACAATTAGCTTAAAATGTCCCTTTGGAGATACTACAAAAAGAGTGTTTCCAACCTGCAGAATTACAAGAAATGTTTAACTCTGTGAGATGAATCCACACATCACCAAGCAGTTCTACAGATAGCTTCCTTCTAGTTTTTAACTCAGGATGATTGGCTTTATCCCCTAGGCCTAAAAGGGCTCCAAAAGAGCACTTTGCAGATTTTTATCTAGGAATTTTTATCTAGTTTTTATCTAGGAATATTCGGTTTTTCCCCATTGGCCTCAGAGGGCTCCCAAATATCCCTTTGCAGATGCTACAAAAACAGTGTTTTACACCTGCTGATTAAAAAAAAAAAAAAAAAAAAAAGTTTAACTCTGTGAGAAAAATCCACAAATCTCCAAGCAGTCACAGGTAGTTTCTCTCTAGTTTTTACTTGGGTTATTCGGTTTTTCCCTATAGACCTCAAAGGGCTCCCAAATGTCTCTTAGCAGATTCTACAAAAAAAGTGTTTTCAACCCATCAAATCAAAAGAAGGGTTTAACTCTGTGAGCTGAATCCACTCACCACTAAGCAGACTCACAGATGGCTTCTTTCTATTTTTTATCTGGGGATATTCATTTTCTTCACAGGCCTAAATGGGCCCTGTAATATCCCTTTGAAAATTCTACAAAAAGAATGTTTCCAACATGCTCAAACAAAAGACAGGTTTAACTCTTTGAGATGAATCTACACATCCCCAAACAGACTCATAGACAGCGTCTTTCTAGTTTTTATCTGGGGATATTCGGTTTTTCCCCAAAGCCCTCAAAAAGCTCCCATATGGCTCCTCACAGATTCTACGAAAAGAGTGTATCCAACCTGCTCAATGAGAAGACAGGTTTAACTCTGTGAGATGTAGTGAAACATCAGCAAGCAATTTCAAAGTACCCTCTTTCCAGTTTTTATTGGGGGATATTCAGTTTTTCCCCCATAGGCTTCAAAGGACTCCCAAATGTCCCATCACAGATGATACAAAAAGAGTTTTCCAAACTGCTGAATCAATAGAAAGCTTTAACTCTGTGAGATGAATTTTCACATCACCAAGCACTTTCACAGACAGCTTCTTTCTAGTGCTTTGCTGGGGATATTCTGTTTCTCCCCATAGGCCTAAGTGGGCTCCAAAATGTCCCTTTGCAGATTCTACAAAAAGAGTGCTTCCAACTTGCTCAATGAAAAGAAAGTTTGAACTCTGTGGGATGAATCCATACCTCACCAAGCAGTTTCACAGACAGCTTCTTTCTACTTTTTATCTGGGGATATTGTATTTTTCCATATTGGCATCAATGGGCTAAAAAATATCCCTTGACAGATTATATAGAAAGAGTTTTTCAAACCTGCTGAATGAAAAGAGACGTTTACTTCTGTGAGAATAATCCACACATCACCAAATAGTTTCACAGAGGGCTTCCCTCCAGTTTTTACCTGGGGATATCCTTTTTTTTCATACACCTCAAATGGCTTTCAAATATCCCTTTGCAGATTCTACAAAAATCTGCTTCCAATCTTTTGAATCTAAAAAAAGTTTATCTCTGTGAGATGAAACCACACATCCCAAAGCAGTTAGTTTCACAGATAGTTTCTTCCTAGTTTTTGTTTGGGGATATTCAGTTTTTCCATATAGTTCTCAAAGGGCTTCCAAATACCCCTTCACAGATTCTAGAGATAGAGTGTTTCTTACCTGTTGAATCAAAAGACAGTTTTAATTCTATGAGACTAATGCACTCATCTCCAAGCAGTTTCACAGACATATTCTTTATAGTGTTTATGTGGGGATATTCGTTTTTTTTTCCATAGATCTCAGTGGGCTCCCAAATGCCCCTTCATATGTTCTACTAAAAGAGTCTTTCCAACCTGCTCAATCAAAAGAAAGGTTTGACTCTGTGAGATGAATCCAAACAACCACAAGCAGTTTCAGAGATCACTTCTTTCTAGTTTTTCTTTTGGGATATTCAGTTTTTCCCCATAGGCCCCAGAGGGCTCCCAAAAGTCCCTTCACAGATTCTACAAGAAGAGTATTTCCAACCTGTTGAAACAAAAAAAAAAGTTTTACTCTTTGAGATGAATCCACACATCATGAAGCAGTTTCACTGATAGCTTCTTTCCAGTGTTTATCTGAGGATATTCCATATTTCCCTATATGGCTCAATGGGCTTCCAAAAGACCCTTCACAGATCCTCCAAGAGGAGTGTTTCGAACATACAGAAAAAAAAACAAAGATTTCACTCTGTGAGATGAATTAGACGTCTACAAACAGTTTCACAGATAGTTTCTTCAAGTTATTATCTTGGGATATTTGGTTTTTCCCCATAGGTCTCAAGGGGCTCCCAAATGTCCCTTCGCAGATTCTACAAAAAGAGTGTTTCCAACCTGCTAAATGTAAAGAAAGGTTTAACTCTGTGAGATGAGTCCACACATCACAAAACAGTTTCACAGATAGCTTCTTTCTAGTTTTTATCTAGGGATATTCCGTTTTTCCCCATAGGTTTCAATGGGCTCCAAATGTCCCTTTGCAGATAGTACAAAAAGAGTCTTTCCAACCTGCTGAATCACAACAAAGGTTTAACTCTCTGAGATGAATCCACACATCAAGAAGCAGTTTAACAGATAGCTTTTTGCTAGTTTTTATCAGAATATTAGGTTTTTCCCCAGAGACCTCAATGGGCTACCAAATGTCCCTTCCCACATACTACAAAAAATGTGTTTCTAACCTCTGAAACAAGAGAAGTTTACCTGTTTGAGATGAATCCACACATCACCAAGGAGTTTCATAGATGATAGTTTCCTTCAAGTTTTATCTGGGGAAATTTGCTTTTTCTTTATAGGTCTCAATGGACTGCCAAAAGTCACCCTGCAGATTCTACAAAAAGAGTGTCTGCAACCTGCTGAATCTAAAGAAAGGTTTACCTCTATGAGATGAATGCCCACATCACCAAGCAGTTTCACAGATAGCTTCTTTCTAGTTTTTATCTGGGGATATTCTGTTTTCCACCTAGGCTTCAATGTGCTCATGAATGTAACTACACAGATTCAACAAAAAGAGTGTTTCCAACCTGCCAAATCAAAAGAAAGGTTTTAGACTGTCAGATAAATCCACACATCAGCAAGCAATTTCACAGATTGCTTCTATCCATTTTTTTATCTGGGGATATTCTCTTTTTTCCCATAGGCCTCAATGGGCTCTCATATGCACCTTCAAGATTCTACAAAAAGAGTGTTTCCTAACTGCCGAAACATAAAAAAGTTTTAAAGGTGTGAGATGATTCCAAGCATCACCAAGCACTTTTATGGATAGTCTCTTTCTATTACTTATATGGAGATATTCGTTTTTCCCCCATAGGACCCAATTGGCTCCCACATATCCCTTCATAGATTCCTTAAAAAAAAAGTATTTCCAACGCTCTGAATTGAAATAATGGTTTAACTCTGTGTGATGAATGCACACATCACCAAGCCGTTTCACAGATAGCTTCTTTCCAGTTTTTATCTGGGGATATTGTTTTTTTTTTCCAATAGCCCTCAAAGGGCTCTTATATGTCAGCTTTCAGATTCCACAAAAAAAAAAGGGTTTCAAAGCTGCTTTATCAAAATAAAATTTTAACTTTATGAAATGATCCACATATCACCAAGTAGTTTCACAGATACATACTTTGTACTTTTTATCTGTGGATTTTCAGTTTTTTCCCATAGGCCATAATACGCTCCCAGGTGTCCCTTTGAAGATTCTAAAAAAATAGTGTTTCCAACCTGCTGAATTAAAAGAAAAGTTTAAATCTGTGAGATGAATCCACACATCACAAAGCACTTTCATAGATAGCTTCTTTCTAGTTTATATCTTGTGATATTCGGTTTTGCCCCATAGGCCTCAATGGGCTGTCAAATTTCCCTTTGCAAATTCTACAAACAGTGTTTCCAACCTGCTGAATGAAAAGAAAGGTTTAACTCTGTGAGATGAATCCACACATCACCAAGCAGTTTCACAGATAACTTCTTCTTAATTTTTATCTGGGGATACTTTGCTTTCCCTGACAGTACTCAATGGACTCCCAACTGTCCCTTAGCAGATTCTACAAAAAAAGTGATTCCAAACTGCCAAATCCAAGGAAAGTTTGAACTCTGAGAGATGAATCCACATATCACAAAGCAGTTTTACTGGGTTTGTTTCTCGTGTTTATCTGGGGATATTTGGTTTTTCCTCACAGACCTCGATGGGCTCCAAAGTGTCCCTTTGCAGATTCTACAAAAAGATAGTTTTCAACCTGCTGAATTAAAAGTATGGTTTAACTCTGTGAGATGAATCCCAAGCAGTTTCACAGATAGCTTCTTTCTAGTTTTTATCTGGGGATATTTGTTTTTTTCCAATAGACCTCAATGGACATTCACATGTCTCTTCACAGGTTCTACAAAAAAGTCATTCCAAACTGCTCAATGAAAAGAAAGGTTTGACTCTGTCAGTTGAATCCAAACATAATGAAGCCATTTCACAGACAGCTTCCTTCTACTTTTTATCTGGGGATATTCAATATTCCCCATAGGCTTCAATGGGCTTCCAAATGTCCCTTCGCAGATGCTACAAAAAGATGTTTCCAATCGGCTGAATCAAAAAGAATGTTTTATAATCTGAGATGAATTGACACATCACAAAGCAGTTTCACAGATATCTTCTTTCCAGTGTTTATCTGGGGATATTCCATATTTCCCCATAGGCCTCAAAGGGCTTCTAAGTGCCCCTTCAGAGCCTCTACAAAGGAGGGTTTCAAAACTACTGAATCAAAAGAAAGATTTAACTCTGTGAGATGAATCCACACATTACCAAGCAGTTTCACAGACAGCTTCTTTCTAGCTTTTATCTGAGGATATTTTGTTTTTCAACATAGGCCTCAACAGGCTCCCAAATGTACCTCTGCAGATTCTACAAAAAGAGTGTTTCCAACCTGTTGAATCAAAAAAAAGTTTTACCTCATGAAAAGAATCAACACATCACAAAGCAGTTTCACTGAGAGCTTTTTTCTAGTTTTCATCTGGGGATATTCTGTTTTCTTGCATAGGCCTCAATGGGCTCCCAAATATCCCTTCATAGATTCTTTTAAAAAAGTGTTTCCAATCTTCTGACTCAAAAGAATACTTTAACTCTGTGAGATGAATCCACACATCATCAAGGAGTTTCACAGATAATTTTTTTCTAATTTTTATCTTGAACTATTCAGTTTTTTCCATAGGCCTCAATGGACTCCCACATATTTCTTGGCAGATCCTACAAAAAGAAAATTTCCAAACTTCTCAATCCAAAGAAAGGTTTAACTCTTTCAGATTAATCCATACAACAAAAAGCAGTTTCACAGATAGCTGCTTTCTAGTTTTTATCTAGGGAAGTTCAGTTTTTCCTTTTAGTCCTCAATGGGTTCCCATGAGTCCATTTGAAAATTCTACAAAAAGAGTTTCCAACCTGCTGAATGAAAAGAAAGGTTTAAATTTGTGAGATGAATCCACACATCTCCAAGCAGTTTCACAGATAGCTTCTTTCTAGTTTTTATCTGTGGATTTTCTATTTTTCCACTAAGGCCTCAATGGGCTCCCAAATGTCCCTTTGCAGATTCTACAAAAAAAGTGTTCTCAACTTGCTTAATCAAAAGAAAGTTTTCACTCTGTGAGATGAATTTAAACATCACCAAGGAATTTCACTGAGAGCTTGTTTCTATTTTTTTTCTTGGGACATTGGGTTTTTTCCCATAGGCCACAATGGGCTCCCAAATGTCCCATCAGGGATTGTACAAAAAGAGTGTTTCCAACCTGCTCACTCAAAAGAAAGGTTTAACTCTTTGAGATGAATCCACACATCACCAAGCAGTTTCACAGATAGCTTCTTTCTAGTTTTTATCTGGTGATATTTGGATTTTCCCCAGAGGCATCAATGGGCTTATAAATGTCCCTTAGCAGGTTATAAAAAAGCAGTGCTTCCAAACTGCTGAATCAAAAGAAACGTTTAACTCTGTGAGAATAATCCACACATCACCAAGCAGTTTCAGAGATAGCTTCTTTCTAGTTTTGTCTGGGGATATTCATTTTTTCTCCTTAGGCCACAATGGGGTCCCAAATGTCTCCTCACAGAATCTACAAAAAGTGTGTTTCCAACATGCTAAATCAAAAGACAGGTTTAACTCTGTGAGTTGAATCCACCCTTCACCAAGAAGTTTCACAGATAGCTTCTTTCTCATTTTTCACTGGGGATATTCGTTTTTTATTCCATAGACCTCAAATTGCTCCCTAATCACCCTTTGCAGATTCTACAAAAAGAGTTTTCCAACCTGCTGAATCAGAATAAAAGTTTAACTGTGTGATATAAACCACACCTCACAAAGCAGTTTCAGAGATCATTTCTTTCTACTTTTTCCTTCAGGATATTCAACTTTTCCCCTTAGGCCTCAAAGGGCTGCCAAATGTCCCTTCAGAGATTCTAGAAAAGAGTGTTTCCAACCTGGTTAATCAAAGGACAAGTTTAACTCTTTGAGATGAATCTACTCAACACCAAGCAGTTTCATAGATTGCTTTTTCATGTTTTTGTTTGGGGATAATTGTTTTTTTCCCACAGGCCTATATGGGCTACCAAATGTCCCTTCACAGAGTCCAGAAAAATAGTATTTTCAACCAGTTGAATAAAAAGTAAGGTTTATCTCTGTGAGATGTATCTAAACATCACCAAGTAGTTTCACAGACTGCTTCTTCCTAGTTTTTGTCTTGAAATGTTCTATTTTTCCCCATAAGCCGCAAAGGGCTATCGCATGTTTCTTCACAGATTCTACAAAAAGTGTGTTTCCAATCTGTTGAATCAAAAGAAAGGCTTAACTGTGTGAGATGAATGCTCACATCACCAAGCAGTGTCAAAGTTAGTTTCTTTCAAGTTTTTCTCTGGGGATGTTCCATTTTTCCCCATGGGCCTCAATGGGCTGCCAAATGTACCTTCACAGATTCTACAAATAAAGTGTTTTCAACCTGCTGAATCAAAAGAAAGTTTTAACTCTGTGAGATGAAGCCACACATCATGAAGCAGTTTCACAGATAGCTTCTTTCTAGTTTTTATCTGAAGATATTTGGTTTTTACCCATAGCTGCCAATTGGCTAAAAAATTACACATCGCAGGTGATACAAAAAGAATGTTTCCAGCCTGCTGAATTAAAAGTCACATTTAACACTGTGTGAATTATCCACACATCACAAAGCACTTTCACAGATAGTTTCTTTCTAGTTTTTACCTGGGGATATTCTGTTTTTCCCCATAGGCCTCAATGGGTACCCAAAGGTTATTTGCAGATTCTACAAAAGGTGTGTTTCCAACCTGCTGAGGAAAAGACAGGTTTAACTCTGTGACATGAATCCACACATCAGCAAGCAGTTTCACAGAGATCTTCTCTGTAGTTTCTATTTGGAGATAAATATGTCTATCTGGGGAAATTTCTATCTGAGGAAATTCGTTTATTATTTCCCACAGACTTCAGTAAGCTACCAAATGTTCCTTCACAGATTATACAAAAAGAGTGTTTCCAACCTGCTGAATCAGAAGAAAGGTTTAACTCTTTGAGATGAATCATCTACACATCACAGAGCATTTCCACAGATTGATTCTTTCTAGTTTTTATCTGGGGATATTCAGTTTTTTCCCATAGGCCTCAATGGGTGGCCAAATATCCCTTCTCAGATTCTACAGAGTGTTTCCAACCTGCTGTATCAAAAGAAACAGTTAAGTCTCTGACATGAATCCACACATCACAAAGCACTTTAACAAAGAGGTTTTCTCTAGTTTTTATCTGGGTGTATTAGATTTTTTCCCCATGCACCTCAATGGGCTCCCAAATATCACTTTGCAGATTCTAAAAAATGAGAGTTTCCAACCATCTGAATGAAAAGAAAAGTTTAATTCTGTGAGATGAATTCACACATGACAAAGCAGTTTCACACAGTGTTTCTTTCTAGTTTTTATCTGGAGATATTCTATATTTCCCCGTAGGCCTCAGTGGGCTCCCAAATGTTCCTTCACAGATTCTACAAAAAGAGTGTTCCAACATGCTGAATCAAAAGAAAGATTTTATTCTGTGAGTTGAATCCACGCATCACAAAGCAGTTTCATTTATAGCTTCTTTTTTGGTTTTATGTGGGGATATTCCCTTTTTCAACACAGGCTTCAAAGGGCTCTTGAATGTCCCTTTGGAGATCCTACAAAAAGTTGTTTCCAATATGCTGTATCAAAAGAGAGGTTTACTTCTGTGAGATGAGTCCAATTATCACAAAGCAGTTTCACATATAGCTCCTTTCTAGTTTTTATCTAAGGATGCTTTGTTTACCCATATGCCTCAATGAGTTCCAAGATATCCCTTGGCAAATTCTACACCATGAGTGTTTCCAAGGAGCTGAATGAAAAAAAAAAGGTTAATTTGTGAGATGAATTTATACATGACCAAGCAGTTTCACGCAGAGTTTCTTTCTAGTTATTTTCTGGGGGTATTATATTTTTTCCCCATAGGCCTCAGTGGACTCCCAAATGTGGTTTTGCAGATTCTACAAAAAGAGTGTTTCCAACATGTCAAATCAAAAGAAATGTTTAGCTCTGTGAGATGAATCTGCACATCACAAAGCAGTTTCACTTATAGCTTCTTTCTAGGTTTAATCTGGGGATATCTGCTTTATAAATATAGGCCTCAATGGGCTCTCGAATATCCCTTCACAGATTTTACAAAAAGTTGTTTCCAAACTGCCAAATAAAAAGAATGGAATCATCTGTGAGATGAGACCACACATCACAAAGCAGCCTCCTTCTACTTTTTATCTAGGGATATTTGGTTTTTCCCCATATGCCTCAAAACGCTCCAAAATATCCCTTTTGCATATTCTACAGCAAGAGTGTTTCCAAGTTGCTGAATCAAAAAAAAGGTTTAACAATGCAAGATGAACATACACTACAAAAGCCACTTTCACAGATAACTCCTTCCTAGTTGTTGTCTGTAGATATTCTGTTTTTCCCCCTAGGCTTCAATGGGCTCCCAAATATTTTTTTCAGAGATTACACAAAAAAAGAATTTACCACCTGCTGAATCAAAAGAAACGTTCAACACTGTGAGATGAATCTACACATCAGAAAGTAGTTTCACAAAAAGCTTCTCTCTAGTTTTTATCTGGGGATATTCTATTTTTCCCAAAAGGCAACAATGGTCTCTTAAATGTCCTTTCAGAGATTCCACAAAAAGAGTGCTTCCAACCTGCTGAATCAAAATAAATGTTTAAATATTTGAGGTGAATCCACACATTACAAAGCAGTTTCACTGATAGCTTTTTTCTACTATTTATCTAAGGATATTCAGTTTTTCACCACAGGCCTCAATGGGCTCCAAAATGTCCCTTTGCAGATTCTACAAAAAATGTGTTTCCAACCTGCTGAATAAAAAGAAAGGTTTAACTCTGTGAGATGAATCCAAGCATCACAAAGCAGTCTCACTTACAGCTTCTCTCTGGGTTTTATCTGGAGATATTTGCTTTTTCAACATAAACCACAATGGTCTTCCGAATGCCCATTCACAAATTCTGCAAAAAGTTGCTTCCAACCAGATGAATAAAAAGAAAGGTTCAACTGTTTGATATGAATGCACAAATCACTAAGCAGTTTCACAGATAGCTTCTTTCTAGTTTTTATCTGAGGATATTGTGTTTTTCCCCATAGGCCTCAAAGGGCTCCCAAATGTCCCTTGGCAGATCCTACAAAAAGAATGTTTCCAACCTGCTGAATCAAAAGGAAAGTGTAACTCTGTGAGATGAATCGACACATAACAAAGCAGTTTCATAGATAGCTCCTTTCTAGTTTTGATCTGGGGATATTCAGTCTTTTCCCTTAGGCCTCAAAGGGCTCCCAAATGTCCCTTCACAGATTCTACAGAATGTGTTTTTCCAACCTGCTGGGTCAAAAGAATGGTTTACCTTCATGAGTTGAATCCACACATCACTAAATAGTTTCACAGATTGCTTCTTTCTAGTTTTTATATGGGGATATTTGATTTTTCCCTGTAAATCTTAGTGGACTCCAAAAATTGCCTTCACAGATTCTACAAAGAAATTTTCCAAACCTGCTGAATCAAAAGAAACGTTTAACTCTGTGAGATCAATCCACACATCACCAAGCAGTTTCAGAGATAGATTCTTTCTAGTTTTTACCTAGGGATACTCAGATTTTCCCCATAAGCCTCAATGGGCTCCAAAATGTCCCTTCACAAACTCTACAATAAGAGTGTTTCCAACCTGCTGAATCAGAGGAAAGGTTTATTGGTGTGAAATGAATCCACACATCACAAAGCAGTTTCACATATAACTTCTTTCTAGTCCTTATCTTAGGCTATTCTGTTCTTCCCTATAGGCCTCAAAGGGCTCTTAAAAGTCCCTTTGCCAATTCTACAAAAAGAGAGTTTCCACCTGGCTGAATAAAAAGAAAGGTTTAACCCTGTGAGATGAATGAACACATCAGAAACCAGTTTCACAGACCACTTCTTTGTAGTTTTTATCTGGGGATATTCGGTTTTTCCCCATAGGCATCATTGGGCTTTCAAATCTCCCATCACAGCTTCTACAAAAAGAGTGTTTCCAATATGCCGAAACAAGAAATAATTTAAACCTGTGAGATCACTCCACAAGTACCAAAGCAGTTTCAATGATAGCTTCTTTCTAGTTTTCATCTGGGGATATTTGTGTTTTCCCCATAGGCCACAATGGGCTTCCAAATATCCCTTCACAGACTCTACAAAAAGAGTGTTTCCAAAGGGGTTAATCAAAAGAAAAAATTAACTCTGTCAGATGAATCCTGACATCATCCAACAGTTTCATGGAAAGCTTCTTTCTAGTTTTTATCTGAGGATATTCATTTTTTCCCTATAGGCCTCAATGGGCTCCCAAATGTCACTTCCAAGATTCTACAAAAAGAGTATTTCCAACCTGCTGAATCAAAAGAAACATTTAACTGTGAGATGAATCCACAAATCACAAAGCAGTTTCACAGACAGCTTCTTTCTAGTTTTTATGTGGGGATATGCTGTTTTTCTCCATAGGCCTCAATGACTCCCAAATGTTCCTTCACAGATTGCACAAAAAGAGTGTTTCAAACCTGCTGAATCAAAATAAAGGTTTAACTCTGTGAGATGAATCCAAGCATCACCAAGCATTTTCACAGATACCTTATTTCTACTTTTTATCTGGAGATATTCAGATTTTCCCCATAGGCCTCAATGGGCTCCCAAATGTCGCTTCACAGATTCTACAAAAACAGTGTTTCCAACCGGATTAATCAAAAGAAAAATTAACCTCTATCAGATGAATTCCAACATCACCAAACAGTTTCACAGACAGCTTCTTTCTAGTTTTTATCTGGTTATATTTGCTTTTTTCCCATATTCCTCTATGGACTCCCAAAAGTCCCTTCAGAGATTCTACAAAAAGAATGTTTCCAAAATGTGAATCAAAAGAACAGTTTAACTCTGTGAGATGAATCCACAAATCACAAAACAGTTTCACAGATAGCTTCTTTCTAGTTTTCATCTGGGGATATTTGGTTTTTCTCCATAGGCCACAATGGGCTTCCAAATGCACCTTCACAGATTCTACAAAAGGAATATTTCCAACCCTCGGAGTCAAAGGAAAGGTTTATCTCTGTGAGATGAAGCCACGCATCAGAAAGCTCTTTCACAGATAGCTTCTTTCAAGTTTTTATCTGGGCGTATTCTGATTTCTTCCGAGGCTTTAATGGGGTCCAAGATGTCCCCTCACAGATTCTACAAAAACACTTTTTACAACCTGCTGAATGAAAAGAAATGTTAAACATTTTGAGATGAGTCAACATATCACAAAGTAGTTTCCCAGATAGCTTGCTTTTAGTTATTACCTGGGGGTATTAGGTTTTTCGTTTTAGGCCTCAATGTGCCACCAAAAGTCCCTTTGCAGATTCTACAAAAAGAATGTTTCCAACCTGCTGAATCAAAAGAAAGGTGCAACTCTGTGAGATAAATTGACACATCACAAAGATGTTTAATAGAGAGCTTCTTTCTAGTTTTTATTTGGGGATATTCAATCTTTTCCCTTAGGCCTCAATGGGCTCGCAAATGTCCTTTCACAGATTCTACAGAAAGAGTGTTTCCAACCTGCTGAATCAAAGGAAAGGTTAAGTTTTGATGGATGGATCCACACATTACAAGAAGTTTCACAGATTGCTTCTTTGTAGTTTTTATCTGGGGAAACTCTTTTTTTTCCCACAGGCCTCAATGGACTTCAAATGTCACTTCTCAGATTCTCCAAAATGAGTGTTTACAACATGCTAAACCAAAAGAAAGGTTTAATTCTGTAAGATGAATCCACACCTCATCAAGCAGTTTCAAACATAGCTGCTTTCTAGTTTTTACCTGGGAATATTCTGTCTTTTCCCATATACCTCAATGGGATCCCAAATGTTCCTTTGCAGATTCTACAAAGGAATGTTTCCAACATGCAGAATCAAAAGAAAGGTTTAACTCTGTGAGAAGAATCCACACATCACAAAACTGTTTCACAGATAGCTTCCTTCTTTTTTCTGGGGATATTAGGTTTTTCCCCATAGGCCTCAATCAGCTCCCAAATGTTTCTTCACGTACTCTACAAAAAGAGTGTTTACAAACTGCTGAATCAAAACAAAAGTTTAATTCTGTGAGATGAATTGAAACATCACAAAGCAGATTCACAGATAACTTCTTCCTAGATTTTATATGGGGATATGTCGTTGTAGGCCTCAGTGGACTGAAAAACGTCCCTTCTCAGACTATACAAAAAGAGTGTTTCCAGCCTGATTAACAAAAAGAAAGGTTTAACTTTGTAAGATGAACTGACCCAACACAAAGCAGTTTCACAGGTTGCTTCTTTCTAGATTTTATCTGGGGATATTCAATTTCTCCTCATGGGCCTCAATGGACTCTGATTAGTCCCTTCACAGATTCTAAGAAGAGTGTTTCCAAACGGCTGAATCGAAAGAAAGTTTTAACTTTGTGAGAAGAATCCATAAATCACAAATCAATCAGTTTCATAGATAGTTCCTTCCTAGTTTTTATCTGGGGATATTCAGTTTCTCCCTAAGTCCTAAATAGGCTCCCAAAAGTCCCTTTCCAGATTGTACAAAAAGAGTGTTTCCAACCTGCTGAATCAAAAGAAAGGTTTAACTCCGTGAGAATAATTCACACATCAAAAAGCCTTTTTACATAGTGAGATGAATCCACCCAACACAAAGCAGTTTAAAAGAGAGATTCTTGCTAGATTTTATCGAGGGATACTTGGTTTTTCCCCATAAGCCTCCATGGACCCCCAAATGTCCTTCATAGATTGTATAAAAAGAGTGATTCCATCCAGCAGAATCAAAGGAACGTTTTAAATCTGTGATATAAATCCACACATCACAAAGTACTTTCATAGAGAGCTTCTTTCTAGTTTTTATCTGGGTTAATCTTTTTATTCCATAGGGTTCAATGGGCCCCCAAATGTCCCTTCACAGATTTAACAAAAAGAGTGTATTCAACCTGATGAATCAAAAGGAAAATTAAACTCTGTGAGATGAATAACACATCACTAAGCCATTTCACAGATAACTTCTTTCTAGTTTTTATCTGAGTATATTCAGTTTTTGTAAAAAGGCCTCAGTGGGCTCCCAAATGTCCCTTCGCAGATTCTACAAACAGAGTGTTTCCAACCTCCTGAAGTAAAAGAAAGCTTTAACTCTGTGAGATGAATCCACATTTTACAAAGCAGTTTCACAGAGAGCTTCATTCTAGTTTTTATCTGAGAATAGTTGGTATTTCCCCACAGGCGTCAGTTTGCTCCCAGTTGTCCCTTCAGACTCTACAAAATGGTGTTTCTGAACTGCTGAATCAAAAGAAACAGTTACATAGTGAAATGAACCCACACAACACAAAGCAGTTTAAAAGAGAGATTCTTGCTAGTTTTTATCTAGGGATACTTTATTTTTTCCCATAAGCCTCCATGGGCTCCCAAATGTCCTTTATAGATTGTACAAAAAGAGTGAGTCCATCCAGCAGATTCAAAGGAACATTTTAAATCTGTGATATAAATCCACACATCACAACGTACTTTCACAGAGAGCTTCTTTCTAGTTTTTATGTGGGTTATTCATTTTTTTTCCATAAGGTCCAATGGGCCCCCTAATGTCCCTCACAGATTTAACAAAAAGAGTGTATCCAACCTGACGAATCAAAAGGAAAATTAATCTCTGTGAGATGAATAATCACATCACTAAGCCATTTCACAGATAGCTTGTTTCTAGTTTTTATATGGATATATTCTGTTTTCACTGTTTGCCCCAATGGGCTCCAAATATCTCTTTGTAGATTATACATAAAGAGGGTTTCCAAGCTGCTGAATCAAAAGAAATGATTAACTCTGTAAGATGAATCCACACATTACCAGGCAGTTTCACAGATTCCTTTTTTCTAGTTTTTATCTGGGGATATTCTGTTTTTCCCCATAGGCCTCAATGTGTTCCAAAATGTCCCTCCACAGATTCTACAAGAGTGTTTCCAACCAGCTGAATCAAAAGTAAGGTTTACATCTTGAGGTGAATCCACACAGCACAAAGCAGTTTTATGGATAGCTTTTTTCTAGCTTTTATCTGGGAATATTCTGTTTTTCCCCATGGGCCTCAAAGGGCTCCCATATGTCCCTTCACATATTCTACAAAAAAGTGTGTCCGACCTGCTGAATAAAAAAAAATTAACTCTATGAGAAGAATCCACACATCACCAATCAGTTTCAGAGGTAATTTTCTTCTAGCTTTTTTTCTGGGGATATTCTGTTTTTCCTCTTAGGCTGCAATAGGTTCCAAAATGTCTCCTCAATGATTTTACAACAATAGTGTTTCCTACCTGCTGAATCAAAAGAATGGTTTAACATGTGAAATGAATCTGCACATCAAAAATCAGATTCACAGATAGATACCATCATTTTGTTTGTATCTGAGAATTTTCGGCTTTTCACCTTAGGCCTCAATGGGCTCCCAAATGTCACTTTGAAGATTCTACAAAAAGAGTGTTTCCAACCTGCTGAATCATAAGAAAGGTTTAACTCCATGAGATGAATCCACACATCACCAAACAGTTTCACAGACAGCTTCTTTCTAATTTTTATCTAGTGACATTTTTTTCCCACAGGTGTCAGTGGGCACCATATGTACCTTTGCAGATTCTACAAAACCAGTGTTTCCAACCTGTTAATCAAAGGAAAGGTTAAACTCCATGAGTTGAATCCAGACATAACCAAGCAGTTTCACAGATACTTTCTTCCTAGTTTTTATATGGAGATATTAGTTTTCATCCTGTAGGCCTCTATGGAATCCCAAATGTCCCTTCACAGATTCTACAGAAAGAGTGTTTCGAACCTGCTGAATCTAAAGAAAGGTTTAAATCTGTGGAATAAATCCAGACATCACAGGGTATTTTACAAATAGCTTTTTTCCCAGTTTTAACCTGGAGATATTCCATTTTTCCCTGTAGGCCTTAATGGGCTCCAAAAGTTTTTCGCATATTCTACAAACAGAGGATTCCAACCTACCATAGCAAAATAAAGGTTTAACTCTGTGCAGTAAATCTGCACATCACAAAGCAGTTTCACAGATATCTTCTTCCTAGTTTTTATCTGGGGATATTTGGTTTTTCCCCATAGGCATCAATGGGCTTCAAAACGTACCTTCGCAGATTCTACCAAAAAAGTGTATGCAACCTCCTGAATCAAGAGAAAGGTTTAACTCTGTGAGATGTATTGACCCATCACAAAGCAGTTTCACAGACAGCTTTTTTCTAGTTTTTATCTGAGGAGATTCTGTTTTTCCCATAGGCCCCAATGGGCTCCTAAAAGTGTCTTTGCACCTCCTACGAAAAGACACTTTCCAACCTGCTTAATCAAAAGAAAGGTTTAACTCTGGGAGATACATGCCCACATCACAAAGTAGTTTCACAGATACCTTCTTTCTAGTTTTTATGCGGCGATATTCGGTTTTACACCATAGGTCTTAATATGCTCCAAATATCACTTTGCAGATTCTACAAATAGTGTTTCCAACCTGCTGAATCAAAAGAAAGGTTTAACTCTGTGAACTGAATCCACACATCACAAAGCTGCTTCATAGATACCTTTTATCTAATTTTTATGTGGGGATATTCTGTTCTTGCCCATCGCCTAAATCAACTCCCCAATGTCCTTTTCCAGACTCTATAAAAAGAGTGTTCCAACTGGCAGCATCAAAATAAATGTTTAACTCTGTGACATAAATCCACACATCACCAAGCAGTTTAATACATGGCTTCTTTCTAGTTTTTATCTGGAGATATTTACTTTTTCCCCATAGCCCTTAATGAGCTCCCAAATGTCCCTTTGGAGATGCTACAAAAAGTGTGTTTCCAACATGCTGAATAAAAAGAAAAGTATAACTCTGTGATTTGAACTCACACATCCCCAAGCAGTTTCACAGATAGCCTCTTTCTAGTTTTTAATTAGGGATATACAGTTTTTCCTTATAGGCAAAAATAGGCTCCAAAATGTCACTTTGTAGATCCTGCAAAAATAGTGTTCTTGCCCACTGAATCAAAAGAAGGGTTTCAATTTGTGAGATGAATCCACACATCAACAAGCAATTAAACAAATAGCTTTTTTCTAGTTTTTATCTGGGGATGCTAGGTTTTCCTCCATAGGCCACAATGGGCTCCCAAATATCCCTTCACTGATTTTACAAAATGGGTTTTTCCAACCTGCTGAATCAAAAGAAAGGTTTACTTCTGTGAGATGAATTGACACATCACAAAGTGGTTTCACAGATTGCTTCTTTCTACTTTTTCAGGGGGGTATACTTGGGTTTTCCCCATAGGTGTATATGAAGTTTGAAAAGTCCCCTGTGGATTCCACAAAAAAAAAGTATTACCAATCTGCTAAATCAAAATAAAGTTTTAACCCTGTGAGGTGAATCCACACGTCACAAATAAGTTTCACAGATAACTTATTTCTAGGTTTTATCAGGGAACAATCTTTTTTTTTTTTCCATATGCCTTAATGGGGTCCCAAATTTTCCTTCACAAAGTCTACAAATACAGTGAGTCCAACCTGCTATATCAATACAAAGTTTAACCCTATGAGATTAATCCACACACCACCAAGAAGTTTCAAAGACAGCTTCTTTCTACTTTTTATGTTGGGGTATTTGGCTTTCCCTGCAGTCCTCAATGGGCTCTCAAAAGTCCCATCCAAGATTCTATGAAAGGAGTGTTTCCAATCTGGTGAATTAAAAGAGAGTTTTAACTCTGTGAAACGAATCCACACATTAAAAAGCAGCCTCACAGATACCTACTTTTTAGTTTTTATCTGGGGATATTCTGTTTTTTTCCCATGGGCCCCAATGGGCTCCCAAATGTCCCTTCCCAGGGTCTACGAAAAGAGTGTTTCCAACCAGCTGAATCAGAGGAAAGTCTTCACTCCGTGAGATGATTCCTCACATCACAAAGTAGTTTCTTCAATAGTTTATTTCTAGTTTTTATCTGGGGATATTCAGTTTCTGTCTATAGGCCACAATAGGCTCTGAAGTGTCCCTTCACTGATACTGCAAAAACAGTGTTTCCAACCTGCTGAATCAAAACAATATTTCAACTTTGAGAGATTAATCCACACATCACCAAGAAGTCTCACAGATAGCTTCTTTCTAGTTTTCACTGGTGATATGCGGTTGACATTTATTATCTTGTTTTGCTATCATGGGAGTTCCAAAAAAAAATTAAAATGGATAATGGGCCAGGATACTGTAGAAAAACATTTCAATAATTCTTAAATCAGTGGAAAATTACACATACAACAAGAATCCCCTATAATTCTCAAGGACCGGCCATAATTAAAAGAACAAATAAAACACTCAAAGCTCAATTGGTTAAACAAACAAACAAGGACAGTAAAGAGTATAATGCTCCCCAGATGCAACTTAATCTAGCACTCTATACTCTACACTGTTTAAACATTTATAGAAATCAGACCACTACTTCTGAAGAACAACATTTCACTGGTAAAAAAACAGCCCACCTGAAGGAAAACTGATTTGGTGGAAAGACAACAAAAATAAAATATTGGAAATAAGAAAGGTGATAATGTAGGGGAGAGGTTTTGCTTGTGTTTCCCCCCAAAAAAAAACCAGCTTCCAGTTTAGGTACCTACAACTTACAGAAGAAGTTGTCATCCACCAAAAAAATAGAGCCACCGACTTGGGCACAATTAAAGAAGCTGACACAGTTAGCTGAAAAAAGCCTAAAGAACGTAAGGGCAGTGCAAACTCCAGAGAATATGCTGCTTTCAGCTTTGATGATTGCATCAACATTGTTAAATCTCCCCATGTCTACAGGAGCAGCTGTAGCTAATTATACTTACTGGGTCTATGTGCCTTTCCCACAACTAATTCGGGCAGTCACATGGATGGATAATCCTATTAAAGTATATGTTAATAATAGTGCATGGGTACCAGGCTCCACAGATGATCGTTGCCCTGTCCAGTCTAAAAAAGAAGGAATGATGATAATTATTTCCATTGGGTATCATTATACTATTTGCCTACGGAAGGCACCAGGATGTTTAACGCCTACAACACAAAATTGGTTGGTGAAAGTACCTACTGTCAGTGCCACCAGTAGATTTACTTATCACATGATAAGTAGAATGTTACTCGAGGCACAGATAAATAATTTACAGGACTCTTCTTTTCAAAGATCATTAAAATTTAGGCCTAAGGTAAAGCCTGGCCCCAAGGAAATTCCCAAAAAATCAAAATGCCCAAAAGTCTTAGTTTGAAAAAAATGTCTGGCTAATGTTGTGGAGGTATTACAAAACAATAAATTTAAAACTACTATAGACTAGGCCCCTCAAGGCCAATTATATTGTAATTGTATGGGCCAGACTCACTCATGTTCACAGGCCCCATCCATCTGGCACATTAATCCAGGCTATAATAGTAATTTAACTGAAAGGCTGGACAAAGTTTATACAAGGTGAGAAGCACTCTATCCATGGAAATGGGGTGAAAAGGAAATTTCATCACCTCGACCAAACTTAGTCCTGTTAATGGTCCTAAACAGCCAGAATTATTAAAGCCTACTGTGGCCTCACACCACATTAGAATTTGGTCTAAAAATCAAGCTATAGAAACAAGAGATTGTAAGCCATATTATACTATCAACCTAAATTCCAGTCTGACAATTCCCTTACAAAGTTGTGCAAAAACCCCTTATATGCTAGTTGTAAGAAACATAGTTATTAAACCAGATTCCCAAACTATAACCTGTAAAAATCATAGATTGCTCACTTGCGTTTATTTGACTTTTAACTGGCAACACTGTATTCTGCTAGTAAAGGCAAGAGAGGGCATGTGGATCCCTGTTTTCATGGATCAACAGTGGGAAGCTTCACTATCCATCCATATTTTAACAGAAATATTAAAATAAATTCTAACTAAATTCAAAAGGTTCATTTTTACTTTCATTGCAGTGACTATGGGTCTTATTGCAGTCAAAGGTACTGCTGTGGCTGCTGGAATTGCTTTACACTCTTCTATTCAAACTACAAAATATGTAAGTAACTGGCAAAAAAAATCCTCAAAATTGTAAAATACTCAGACCCAAATAGATCAAAAATAAGCAAACCAAATTAATGATCTTAGACTAACTGTCATTTGGATGGGAGATAGACTCATGAGCTTGAAAAAACTTTTTCAGTTACAATGTGACTGGAACACATCAGAATTTTGAATTACACCCTGAGCCTATAATAAGTCTGAGCATCACTGGGAAATGGTTAGACTCCATCTACAAAAAAATAAGATAATCTTACTTTAGATATATCAAAATTAAAAGAACATATTTTTGAGGCATCAAAAGTCCATTTAAATTTGGTGCTAGAAAGTGAGACAATCGTAAAATCTGCTGATGACCACACAAAACTTAACCCCTTCACTTGGGTTAAAACCCTAAGAAGTTCCACTATTGTAAATTTTGTATTAAACCTTGTGTGCCTGTTCTGTCTGTGGTTAGTCTACAGTTGTATCCAGCAGCTCCAAAGAGACAGTGACCATAGAGAATGAGCCATAATGACGAAGGTGCTTTTGTCAAAAAGAAAAGGAGGATATGTAGGGAAAAGAAAGAGAGATCAGACTGTTACTGTGTCTATGTAGAAAAGGAAGACATAAGAAACTCCATTTTAGAATACTGCGCTTTTCCGACGGGGTTAAAAAACGGAGCACCAGATTATATCCCGCACCTGGCTCAGAGGGTCCTACGCCCACGGAGTCTCACTGATTGCTAGCACAGCAGTCTGAGATCAAACTGCAAGGTGGCAGCCAGGCTGGGGGAGGGGCGCCCGCCATTGCCCAGGCTTGCTTCGGTAAACAAAGCAGCCGGGAAGCTTGAACTGGGTGGAGCCCACTACAGCTCAAGGAGGCCTGCCTGCCTCTATAGGCTCCACTTCTAGGGGCAGGGCACAGACAAACAAAAAGACAGCAGTAACCTCTGCAGACTTAAATGTCCTTGTCTGACAGCTTTGAAGAGAGCAGTGGTTGCCCCAGCAAGCAGCTGGAGATCTGAGAATGGGCAGACTGCCTCCTCAAGTGGGTCCCTGGCCCCAGACCCCTGAGCAGCCTAACTGGGAGGCACCCCCCAGCAGGGGGAGACTGACACCTCACACGGCCGGGTACTCCCACAGACCTGCAGCTGAGGGTCCTGTCTGTTAGAAGGAAAACTAACAAACAGAGAGGACATCCACACCAAAAACCCATCTGTACATCACCATCATCAAAGACAACAAGTAGATAAAACCACAAAGATGGGGAAAAAACAGAGCAGAAAAACTGGAAACTCTAAAAAGCAGAGCGCCTCTCCTCCTCCAAAGGAGCACAGTTCCTCACCAGCAATGGAACAAAGCTGGTTGGAGAATGACTTTGACGAGCTGAGAGAAGAAGGCTTCAGATGACCAAATTACTCCGAGCTACGGGAGGAAATTCAAACCAAAGGCAAAGAAGTTGAAAACTTTGAAAAACATTTAGACGAATGTATAACTAGAATAACCAATACAGAGGAGCGCTTAAAGGAGCTGATGGAGCTGAAAACGAAGGCTCAAGAACTACGTAAAAATGCAGAAGCCTCAGGAGCCGATGCGATCAACTGGAAGAAAGGGTATCAGCAATGGAAGATGAAATGAATGAAATGAAGTGAGAAGGGAAGTTTAGAGAAAAAAGAATAAAAAGAAATGAGCAAAGCCTCCAAGAAATATGGGACTATGTGAAAAGACCAAATCTACGTCTGATTGGTGTACCTGAAAGTGATGGGGAGAATGTAAACAAGTTGGAAAACACTCTGCAGGATATTATCCAGGAGAACTTCCCCGATCTAGCAAGGCAGGCCAATATTCAAATTCAGGAAATACAGACAACACTGCAAAGATGCTCCTCGAGAAGAGCAACCCCAAGACACATAATTGTCAGATTCACCAAAGTTGAAATGAAGGAAAAAATGTTAAGGGCAGCCAGAGAGAAAGATCGGGTTACCCACAAAGGGAAGCCCATCAGACTAACAGCTGATCTCTCTGCAGAAAGTCTACAAGCCAGAAGAGAGTGGGGACCAATATTCAACATTCTTAAAGAAAAGAATTTTCAACCCAGAATTTCATATCCAGCCAAACTAAGCATCATAAGTGAAGCAGAAATAAAATCCTTTACAAACAAGCAAATGCTGAGATATTTTGTCACCACCAGGCCTGCTTTACAGGAGATCCTGAAGGAAGCACTAAACATGGAAAGGAAAAACCGGTACCAGCCACTGCAAAAACAGGCCAAATTGTAAAGACCATCATGGCTAGGAAGAAACTGCATCAAATAACAAGCTAAATAACCAGCTAACATCATAATGACAGGATCAAATTCACACATAACAATATTAACCATAAATGTAAATGGGCTAAATGCTCCAATTAAAAGACACAGACTGGCAAATTGGATAAAGAGTTAAGAACCATCAGAGTGCTGTATTCCGGAAACCCATCTCACGTGCAGAGACACATATAGGCTCAAAAAAAAAAGGAATGGAGGAAGATGTACCAAGCAAATGGAAAACAAAAAATGGAAAAACAAAATAAACAAAAAAAAGGCAGGGGTTGCAATCCTAGTCTCGGATAAAAGAGACTTTAAAGCAACAAAGATCAAAAGAGACAAAAAAGGCCATTACATAATGGTAAAGGGATCAATTCAACAAGAGGAGCTAAATATCCTAAATATATATGCACCAAATACAGGAGCACCCAGATTCATAAAGCAAGTCCTTAGAGACCTAGAAAGTGACTTAGACTCCCACACAATAATAATGGGAGACTTTAACACCCCACTGTCAACATTAGACAGATGAACAAGACAGAAAGTTCTCAGAGAGATCCAGGAACTGAACTCTGCACCAAGTGGACCTAATAGACATCTACAGAACTCTCCACCCCAAATCAACAGAATATACGTTTTTTCAGCACCACACCACACCTATTCCAAAATTGACCACATAGTTGAAAGGAAAGCACTCTTCAGCAAACGTAAAAGAACAGAAATTATAACAAACTGTCTCTCAGACCACAGTTCAATCAAACTAGAACTCAGGATTAAGAAACTCACTCAAAACCGCTCAACTACATGGAAAGTGAACAACCTGCTCCTGAATGACTACTGGATACATAACGAAATGAAGGCAGAAATAAAGATGTTCCTTGAAACCAACAAGAAAAAAGACACAACTTACCAGAATCTCTGGGACACATTCAAAGCAGTGTGTAGAGGGAAATTTATAGCACTAAATGCCCACAAGGGAAAGCAGGAAAGATCTAAAATGGACACCCTAACATCACAATTAAAAGAACTAGAGAAGCAAGAGCAAGCACATTCAAAAGCTGGCAGGAGGCAAGAAATAACAAGATCAGAGCAGAACTGAAGGAAATAGAGAAACAAAAAATCCTTCAAAAAATCAATGAATCCAGGAGCTGGTTTTTGAAAAGATCAACAAAATTGATAGACCACTAGCAAGACTAATAAAGAAGAAAAGAGAGAAGAATCAAATAGACACAATAAAAAATGATAAAGGGGTTATCACCACCAATCCCACAGAAATACAAACTACCATCAGAGAATACTATAAACACCTCTACACAAATAAACGAGAAAATCAAGAAGAAATGGATAAGTTCCTCAACACATACACCCTCCAAAGACTAAACAAGGAAGAAGTTGAATCTCTGAATAGACCAACAACAGGCTCTGAAATTGAGGCAATAATTAATAGCTTACCAACCAAAAAAACACCAGGTCCAGATGGATTCAAAGCCGAATTCTACCAGAGGTACAAGGAGGAGTTGATACCATTCCTTCGGAAATTATTCCAATTAACAGAAAAAGAGGGAAACCTCCCTAACTCATTTTATGAGGCCAGCATCATCCTGATGCCAAAGCCTGGCAGAGACACAACAACAAAAAAAGAGAATTTTAGACAAATATCCTTGATGAACATCAATGCAAAAATCCTCAATAAAATACTGGCAAACAGAATCCAGCAGCACATCAAAAACTTATCCACCATGATCAAGTAGGCTTCATCCCTCGTATGCAAGGCTGGTTCAACATACACAAACAAATCAATGTATTCCAGCATATAAACAGAGCCAATGACAAAAACCTCATGATAATCTCAATAGATGCAGAAAAGGCCTTTGACAAAATACAACAATGCTTCATGCTAAAAGCTCTCAATAAATTAGATATTGATGGGATGTATCTCAAAATAATAAGAGCTATCTATGACAAACCCACAGCCAATGTCACACTGAATGAGTAAAAACTGGAAGCATTCCCTTTGAAAACTGGCACAAGACAGGGAAGCCCTCTCTCACCACTCCTATTCAACATAGTGTTGGAAGTTCTGGCCAGGACAATCTGGCAGGAGAAGGAAATAAGTGATATTCAATTAGAAAAAAGGAAGTCAAATTGTCCTTGTTTTCAGATGAGATGATTGTGTGTTTAGAAAACCCCATTGTCTCAGCCCAAAATCTCCTTAAGCTGATAAGCAACTTCAGCAAAGTCTCAGGATACAAAATCAATGTGCAAAAATCACAAGCATTCTTATACACCAATAATAGACAAACAGAGAGCCAAATCATGAGTGAACTCCCAGTCACAATTGCTTCAAAGAGAATAACATACCTAGGAATCCAATGACAAGGGATGCGCAGGAGCTCTTCAAGGAGAACTACAAACCACTGCTCAATGAAATAAAAGAGGATACAAACAAATGGAAGAACATTCCATGCTCATGGGTAGGAAGAATCAATATCGTGAAATTGGCCATACTGCCCAAGGTAATTTATCGATTCAATGCCGTCCCCATCAAGCTACCAATGACTTTCTTCACAGAATTGGAAAAAACTACTTTAAAGTTCATATGGAACCAAAAAAGAACCCTCATTGCCAAGTCAATCCTAAGCCAAAGAACAAAGCTGCAAGCATCAGGCTACCTGACTTTAAACTATACTACAAGGCTACAGTAACCAAAACAGCATGGTACTGGTAGCAAAACAGAGATATAGACCAATGGAACAGAATAGAGCCCTCAGAAATAATGCTGCATATCTACAACTATCTGATCTTTGACAAACCCGACAAAAAGAAGAAGTGGGTAATGGTTTCCTTATTTAATAAATGGTGCTGGGAAAACTGGCTAGTCATATGTAGAAAGCTGAAACTGGATCCCTTCCTTATGCCTCATACAAAGATTAATTCAAATGGATTAAAGACTTAAGTGTTAGACCTGAAGCCATAACAAGCCTAGTAGAAAACCTAGGCATTACCTTTCAGGACATAGGCATGGGCAAATACTTCATGACTAAAACACCAAAAACAATGGCAACAAAAGCCAAAATTTACAAATGAAATCTAATTAAACTAAAGAGCTTCAGCACAGCAAAATAAACTACCATCAGAGTGAACAGGCAACCTACAGAATAAGAGAACATTTTTGCAACCTACTCATCTGACAAAGGGCTAATATCCAGAATCTACAATGACCTGGAACAAATTTACAAGAAAAAAACAAACAACTCCATCAGAAAGTGCGCGAAGGATATGAACAGACACTTCTCAAAAGAAGACATTTATGCAGCCAAAAAACACATGAAAAAATGCTCATCATCACTGGCCATCAGAGAAATGCAAATCAAAACCACAATGAGATAACGTTGCACACCAGTTAGAATGGTCATCATTAAAAAGTCAGGAAACAACAGGTGCTGGAGAGGATGTGGAGAAATAGGAACACTTTTACACTGTTGGTGGGACTGTAAACTAGTTCAACCGTTGTGGAAGTCAGTGTGGCGATTCCTCAGGGATCTAGAACTAGAAATACCATTTGACCCAGCCATCCCATTACTGGGTATATACCCAAAGGACTATAAATCATGCTGCTATAAAGACACATGCACACATATGTTTATTGCGGCATTATTCACAATAGCAGCACTACTCACAATAGCAAAGCCTTGGAAGCAACCCAAATGTCCAACAATGATAGACTGGATTAAGAAAATGTGGCACATATACACCATGGAATACTATGCAGCCATAAAAAATGATGAGTTGATGTCCTTTGCAGGAACGTGGATGAATCTGGAAACCATCATTCTCAGCAAACTATCGCAAGGACAAAAAACCAAAGACCGCATGTTCTCACTCATAGGTGGGAATTGAACAATGAGAACACATGGACACAGGAAGGGGAACACGACACACTGGGGACTGTTGATGGGTGGGGGGAGGGGGGAGGGATAGCATTAGGAGATATACCTAATGTTAAATGACGAGTTAATGGGTGCAGCACACCAAAATTGCACAAGTATGCATATGTAATTAATCTGCACATTGTGCACATGTACCCTAAAACTTAAAGTATAATAAATAAGTAAATAAATAAAGGAAGGAAGAGTGTTTCCAACCCACTGAAACAAAAGTAAGGATTAACACTGTGAGATGAATCCACACATCAGAAAGCAGTTGAACAGATATATTTTTCTAGTTTTTATCTGAGGATATTAGGTATTTCACCGTAAGCCAAAATAAGCTACAAAATATCCATTTGCAGATACTACATGAACAATGCTTACACGATGGTGAATCAAATGAAAGGTTTAATTCTGTGAGATGAATGCACACATTAGAAAGTAGTTTCACAGATAAATTCTTTCTAGGTTTGATCCGGGGATATTCAGTTCTTCACTGTAGGCCTCAATGGTCTCCCAAATGTCCCATCACAGATTCTACAAGGGGAGTGTTCTCAACCTGCTGAATCAAAAGAAATGTTCATCTCTGTGAGATAAATCCACATATCACAAATCAGTTTCAGAGATATCTTCTTTCTAGTTTTTTCTGGGAATATTCAGTTTTTCATAGTAGGCCCCAAGGATTCCCCAAATGTCCCTTCGCAGATTCTACAAGAAGAGTGTTTCCAACCTGCTAAATCTAAAGAAAGGTTTAACTCTGTGAGATGAATCTACATATCACAAAGCAATTTCACAGATAATTTCTTTCTACTTTTTATATGGAGATATTCAGTTTTTCATCATAGGCTGCAATGGGCTCCCAAATGTCCCCTCACGGATTCTACAAGAAGAATGTTTCCAACTTGCTAAATCAAAAAAAAAGTTTTAACTCTGTGAGAGGAATCCACACATCAGAAAGCAGTTTCACAAATAGCTTCTTCATAGTTTTTATTTGTCGATATTCACTTTTTCACCATATGCCTCAATGGTCTCCAAATGTCTTTTCACAGAAGCTACAAAAAGAGTGCTTCCAACATCTGTAAACAAAAGAAAGATTTAACCCTGTGAGATTAATCCATAAATCAAACAGCAGTTTCATAGATAGCTTCTTTCTAGTTTTTATCAGAGGATTTTTGTTTTTCACCATAGTCCTCAACAGCTTCCCAAATGTCCATTCACAGATGCTACAAGAATAGCATTTCCAACCTACTGAATGAATAAATTTAAATCTTTGAGATGAATCAAGACATCAGAAGGCAGTTTGACAGATAGCTTCTGTCTAGCTTTTATCTGGGAATATTCAATTTTTCACCTTAGGCCTCAATGGGCTCCCAAATATCCCTTCATAGATTCTACAAGAAGAGCATTTCCAACCTGCTTAATCAAAGGAAAGGTTTATCTCTGTGGGATGAATCTACACATCACAAAGGAGTTTCACAGATAGCTTCTTCTTAGTTTTTATATGGGGATATTCCGTTTTTCACATTAGGCCCCAGTGGGCTCCCAAATGGCCTTTCACGTATTCTACAAAAAGAGTGTTTCCAAACGGCTGAATCAAAAGAATGGTTTATCTCTGTGAGACAAATCCAGACATAATAAAAGGGTTTCACAGGTATCTTCCTTCTAGTTTTTATCTGGGAATATTCCATTTTTCACCATAGACCTCCATGGCCCCCAAATGTACTTTCACAGATTCGACAAGAAGAGTGTTTCCAATTTGCTGAAACAAAAGAAATGTTTAACACTATGACATGAATCCACACATCACAAAGCAGATTCACAGATAGCTTCTTCTTAGTATTTCTCTGGAGATATTCTGTTTTTCACATTGAACCACAAGGGGCTTCAAAACACCCCTTCGCAGATTCTACAAAAAGAGTGTTTCCAACCTGCTGAATTAAAAGAATGTTTTAATACTATGAGATGAATCCACATATCACAAAGTGGTTTCACAGATAGCTTCTTTCTAGTTTTTTTTTTTTTTTTTCCTCTAAGGATATTCAGTTTTTCACCACAGGACTCAATGGTCTCCCAAAATTTCCTTCACAGATTCTACAAAAAGAGTTTTTTCCAACCTGCTAAAATAAAAGAAATATTTAACACTGGGATGAATCCACACATCGCAATGCAGTTTCACAGATGCCTTCTTTCTAGTTTTTATCTGAGAACATTGGGTTTTTCACCATATGCCTCAAGAGGCTCCCAAATGTCCACTCACAGATACTACAGGAAGAGTGTTTCAAACCTGCTGAATCAAAAATAAAATGTTTACTTCTGTGAGATGAATCCACACATCACAAAGCAGTTTAATAGATTGCTTTTTAGTTTTTATGTGGATATGCGGTTTTTCACCACAGGCCTTAATGGCCTTCCAAATGTCCCTTCTCAGATTCTACAAAAAGAGTATTTCCAACCTGGTGAATCAAAAAATTGGTTAACCTCCAGGAGATGATTCCCCACATCTCAAAGCAGTTTCGCAGGTACCTTCTTTCTCGTTTTTATCTGGGGATATTCCATTTTTCACCATAGGCCTCAATGGGCCCCCTGATTCCTTTCACAGTTTCCAGAAGAAGAGTGTTTCCAACCTGCTGAAACAAAAGAAAGGTTTATCTCTGTGAGATGAATCCACACATCACACAGCAGGCTCACAGATAGCTTCTTCTTAGTTTTTATCTGGTGATATTCGGTTTTTCACGGTAGGAAACAATGGGCTGCAAAATGTCCCCTTGCAGATTCAAAAAAAAGAGTGTTTCCAAACTGCTTAATAAAAAGTATGGTTTAACTCTGTAAGATGAATCCACACAACACAAAACAGTTTCAGAGAGAGTTTCTTCTTTGTTTTTATCTGGGGATATTCCGTTTCTCACTATAGGCTTCAAAGGTCTCCAAAATGTCCCTCCACAGATTCTACAAGACGAGTTTTTCCAACATGCTGAAGCAAAAGAAATATTTAACACTGTGAGATGAATCCACACGTCACAAAGCAATTTCACAGATAGCTTCTTTCTAGTTTGTTATCTGAGGATATTTGGTTTTTCACCACAGGCCTCAATAGGCTCCCAAATGTCCATTCACAGATGCTACTAGAAGAGTGTTTCCAACCTGCTGAAACAAAACAAAGGTTTAACTCTGTGAGATTAATCCACATATCTGAAAGCGGTTTCACAGAATGCTTCTTTCTAGTATTTATCCAGAAATATTCAGTTTTTCACCATAGACCTCAATGGCCTCCCAAATATCCCTTCATGGATTCTACAATGAGTGTTTCCCACTGCTGAATTAAAAGAAGCTTTAACTCTGTGAGGTGAATCACACGTCACAACACTGTTTCTCAGATAGCTTCCTGTTCGTTTTTTTCTGGGTGTATTCAGTTTTTCACAGTAGGCCCCAATGGGCTCCAAAATGTCGCTTCACAGATTCTAGAAGAAGAGTTTTTCCAACCTGCTGAATCAAAAGAATGGTTTAACTCTGCAAGATGAATCCACACATCACAAAGCAGTTTCACAGATTGCTTCTTTCTAGTTTTTATCTGGGGATATTCGATTTTTTACCACAGGCCAGAAGGTCTCCCAAATGTCCCTTCGCAGAGACTACAAGAAGAGTGTTTCCAACCTGTGGAATCATTTAAATCTGAGAGATGAATCCACACGTCACAAAGCAGTTTCACAGATAGCTTCTTTCTAGTTTTTATATGGGGATATTTGGTTTTTCACAGTAGGCCTCAATGGGCTCCCAAAAGTCCCATCACAGATTCTACAGGAAGAGTGCTTCCAACCTGCTGAAACAAAAGAAAGTTTCAGCTCTGTGAGGTGAATCCACCCATCAAAGTGCAGTTTCACGAGTAGATTCTTTCCAGTTTTTATCCAAGGATATTCAGTTTTTTCATAGGCCTCATTAAGCTTCCCAATGTCCCTTCACAGATTCTACAAGTAGAGTGTTTCTAGCTTGCTGAATCAAAAGAAATATTTAACTTTGTGAGATGAATCTACATATCACAAAGTAGTTTCACAGATTGCTACTTTCTAGTTTTTATCTGGGGATAATCAGTTTTTCATCATATGCCTCAAAGGGCTCCCAAATGTCCCTTTGCAGATTCTTCAAGGAGAGTGTTTCCAACTGGCTAAAAGAAAGTTTTAACTCTGTGAGCTGAATCCATACATCAAAAAGCAGTTTCACTGATAGCTTCTTTCTAGTTTTTATCTGAAGATATTCGGTTTTTCACCACAGGACTTAATAGGCTCCCAAATATGCCTTCCTGGCTACTACAAGAAGGGTGTTTTCAACCTGCTGAATCAAAAGAAAAGTTTAACTCTGTGCATTGAATCCACATATCAGGAATCAGTTTCATAGATAGCTTCTTTCTAATTTATATCTGGGGACATTCTGTTTTTCACCATAGGCCTCAATGGGCTCTCAAATGTCCCTTCGCAGATTCTACAAAAACAGTGTTTCCAAGCTGCTGAATCAAAAGAAGGGTTCAATTGGGTTAGATGAATCCACACATCAGAAAGCAGCTTCACAGATAGTTTCTTTCTAGTATTCATCTGGGAATATTCGGGGTTTCACAATAGGCCTCAATGGGCTCCCAAATGTTCCTTCCCAGATTCTACAAGAAGAGTGTTTCCGAACTGCTGAATCAAAAGAAGGGTTTAATTCTGTGAGATAAATCCACCCTTCACAAAGCAGTTTCACAGATAGCTTCTTCTTAGTTTTTACCTGTGGATATTCTGTTTTTCACAGTAGGCCCCAATGGGCTCCCAAATGTCCCTTTGAAGATTGCATAAAAAGAGTGTTTCCAACCTGATGAATCAAAAGAATGGTTTAATTCTCTGAGATGAATCCACACATCACAAAGCAGTTTCACATATAGCTTCTTTCTACTTTTTATCTGGGGATATTCCGTTTTTTACCATAGGCCTCAATGGGCTCCCAAATGTCCCTTCCCAGATTCTGCAATAGAATGTTTCCAGCCTGCTGAAACAAGTCAAAGTTTTAACATTGTGAGATGAGTCCACACATCACAAAGCAGTTTCACAAATAGCTTCTTTCTAGTTTTTAATTGAGGTGATTCAGTTTTTTACTGCAGGCCACAATAAGCTCCCAAGTGTCCATTTGCAGATAGTACAAAAAGAGTGTTTCCAACGGGTTGAATGGTTTAATTCTGTGAGAAGAATCCACACATCAGACAGCAGTTTCACAGATAGCTTCTTTCTAGTTTATATCTGGGGTTATTTGGTTTTTTACCATAGACCTCAGTGGGATCCTAAATGTCCCTTTGCACATTCTACAAGAACACTGTTTCTAACCTGCTAAATCAAAAGAAAGGTTTAACTCTTTCAGAGGAATATACACATCAGAAAGCATTTTCACAGGTAGCTTCTTTCTAGTTTTTATCTGGGGATATTCCTTTTTTTCACCATATGCCAAGACCAGCTCTTTCATGGAGACCCTAAAGCAGTGACACTAGTAGAATTAAAGACACACACACTGAAATATATTGTGTGGAGTGAGAAATCAGGGTTCTCACAGCCTTCAAACCTGAGAGCCTTGAACAGAGATTTATCCACATATTTATTGACAGCAAGCCACTGATAAGCATTGTTTCTATAGATTATAGTTTAACTGAAAGTATTTCTTACGGAAAATAAAAGGATGGGCTGAAATAAAGGGATGGGCTCTGGCTAGTTATCTGCAGCCTGAACATGTCCTTAAGGCACAGATCACTCATGCTATTGTTTGTGGGTCAAGAAAGCCTTTAAGCATTTTTCCACCCTTGGTGGGCCAGGGCTACTTCCCCTCATTCTGGTGAACTGACAGCCTTCCAGTGGGGGCCTCATGGCCATCACAAGCAGGTCACAGTGCTGTAGAGATTTTGTTTATGACCAGTTTGTGGCCAGTTTAAGGCCAGATTTGTGGCCTTTTCCCAACATGTCTTCCTTCTTCGTTTTGCAAAGTGATAAAAGCATAGGCAGCTTTGTCACAGTGAGCTACTTCTCACAGGATTCAGGATTCACATCTGCAGACTATACAAAGACCAAAAACACAGATTAATAACACAACCATTGTTGAAATCACAGAGCTTTCCAGTGTTTTTATCCGTTTTAATGGGGTACTAGCTGCTAATCTCTCTGCAGCTCCTTCAAGCACTCCAGTTCCTGACATTAAGGCCAGGTGTGACTGGGATGCCTTAAATATTTGTTCTTTTAAATTTTGCAATAGCCAAAGACAAGTTTGTAGAGTGTCTTAGACGCATTTTATTCTTTCCCAAATTTGATCTTATTAAGAGCCATTAATAGTTTCCACAAGTTCATATGTTTAGCTCACACAACGAGCCACCTCATTTGAGGTTGAGGTGCCACTATACCGTAATGGTTCCAGATAATAGGAACTCTTGCCATACTTCTTACCATTTATACCATCTGACTGTTTTGTTCAGACCAGCTGAACATAGTGTGACTGTGGCACACCAATTGAGAGGTGCAATTCAAGCTAAACATCCTCTTAGGGGACCAATCAATCGTGATTCCATAGGAGTCATTGCATAGCACCTCTGACTGTTCTGCAATGCAATCTTCCCAAACAAGTACATTCATTTTTTCTAACCAGATCCAATCATGTTTACAAATTAGTTTTTGAGGACAGTATGCCTCAATTATAGGAGCAAATTTATCATGGTTTATTCTGAGATTAGAAAGCATGTGTAACTGTGTCATACAGTGATTACATCCAGGCATTATTGCCAGCCAGGATTGATAGATATGTCCAGTAACTATAATTGTTCTCTGTTTCAGCCATTTTTGAAGGAATACACATGGCAGTGGTGATCACTGCTATCATAGATATCATTAAATTACTAATAGTGACCGGTTGTCCCACTTTTCTTAGGTTTTCTTCCTCCTTCTGTGACAGCTTCTTGATCTGTCCCCATGTGGGTGGCTGTGTTCGACAGGTGTGTCTCATGATAGTTGGGGTCCTCCTCAGTGTCAGTCTTGACATGGCTGCAACCAGGGGGTCCTTGCAACCCTCTCAGAATATCTTCCTCAATATCTGGCTCATGATAAGGTTTCAGGTGTCTTGATGGTATCAAAATTGGCTGTTGATTCGGTCCTGGAGAAACACAAGCATAACCTCTACCCCAATTGATTATTTTAACTATTTTGCAAATTTTGCTATTGGATCTCTCCTCAACCCAGTTGTTCTGCTTCTGTCTTTGCAGCAGGTTTCTGTAGATGCTGTTCAGCTGCTGATAGCATCTGGCCTTTAAGAAGGCTCAAAAATTTAAAGTTAATAATGCTAGATGCAATTGCATATGGGGTGTCCCATAGTCACTGTTTCTCCCCCTTTTTTTGTTTTTCTAACTGGTGTTTCAGGGAGAGATTCATTCTTTCCACTATGGCTTGTCCTTGAGAGTTATATGGGATACCAGTAATGTGTTTCATATTACATATAGAGAAAAATGTAGCTAGAGCTTGGGGAGTATATCCTGGGGCATTATCTGTTTTAATAGAAGCTGGAATGCCCATCACCACAAAACACTGCAAAAGGTGACATTTAACACAGGCAGAAGACTCTCCTGATTGGCATGTAGCCCAGACAAAGTGAGAAAAGGTGTCCACACATACATGTACATAAGCTAGTCTCCCAAACGAGAGAACATGTGTGACAACTATTTGCCAAAGAGAACTAGGTTCCAATCCCCAAGGATAAACTCTTCCAGTAAAAGATAAGGAATGCACCATTTGGCAAGTTGGGCATCACTGGATAATAGCTTTAGCTTCTTTCGTTAATTGCCGAGGACTAGTGAGACTAGGTTCTCCTCTAAGAATAGAAAATAGATTACTCATGGCATAGGTAGGAACGCCTACAGCAGGTCATATCCAATTAATGTCCCCTAGTAATTTTTGAAAGTCATTAAATCTTTTCAATTGATCCCTATGTATGGCTACTTTCTGTAGCACAATGTTAGTGTCATTTACTAAGGTCCCCAAGTAGGAGTAAGGAGTAGTAGTCTGAATTTTATCAGGAGCTATAATTAAACAAGTACGAGAAATTGAATTTTGCAAGTGATCATAATATTGAAGTCATATTTCTCAGGTGGGGACAGCACAAAGTATATCGTCCATATAATGAATAATGTAACACTGAAAATTTTTTACAAGTAGGTTCAATTGTTTGCCCTACATATGCCTGGCAAATTGTTGGACTGTTTATCATGCCCTGTGGCAACACTTTCCAATGAAAATGCTTAGCAGGCTGCAGGTAGTTTACTGCAGGAATCGTAAATGCAAACCTTTCACAGTCTTGCTCAGCTAAAGGGATAGTAAAGAAACAGTCTTTTAAATCTATGACTCTTAAAGGCTTTTTTTTAAAATCATAGCAGGAGAAGGCTGCAATATCCCCATAGGTTGTGTAACTGAATTAATGGCTCTTAAATCAATTAACATTCTCCATTTACCTGATTTTTTCTTAATTACGAAAACTGGAGAATTCCAATGGGAAATTTTGGAGCAATGTGTCCTTTTTCTAATTGTTCAGTAACTAATTCCTCTAAAGCCTCCAGTTTCTTTTTACTTAGCGGCCATTTTTCTATCCAAATTGGCTTATCTGTTAACCATTTTAAAGGTGTAGGTTCTGGAGGCTTAACAATGGCCACCGTCAAAAATGGTATCCTAAACCTTGGCAGGAACTTTGTCTTTCCACTTGAAGTAGTTGCTTCAAATCTTACAAATTTTTTCCTAGTCCCATACCAGGGACCTAACCCTTTTCATGCATCATATGTTGACTTTGAGGGCTGTATAATTGCTCTGGAATTAGAACTTGTTCTCCCCATTTTGTAATAAATCTCTTCCCCATAAATTTATAGTTACAGAAGTTAGAATTGGTTGAATAGTCCCAGATTGTATGTCGGGCCCTTCACAGTGAAAAATATAACTACTTTGATATACTTCAGGGGCTTTACTAACTCCAACTATGTTAAATTGAACAGGTTGAATTGGCCACGCAGATGGCCAGTGCTGTATAGAAATGATTGAAACGTCCGCTCCTGTATCTACCAAACCTTTGCATTTCTTTCCCTTAATAGTTATTTCACAGGTAGAAAGTTTATCAGTAATTGGATTTACCCAGTAAGCCGCTTTGCCCTTTTTATTTGTGCTTCCAAATTCTCCTGATCATTTAATTTTACTTTTCCCCATTTCCACATATAGCACAATCAGGAGCTGTGCTATACACTCTCCTGGCTCTGCTTTCCAGGAAACAGAAGTAGATATAACAATTTGAATTTCCCCATTGTAATCTGAATCAATGAATCCTGTTTGTACTTGTACCCCTTTTAAATTTCAACTAGACCTGCCTAGATATAATCCTATCATCCCTGCTGGCAAGGGTCCACAGACTCCTGTTGGGACCCTTTGCAGGGGTTCCCCGGGCAGAAGTCTCACAGCTTTTGTGCAGCACAAATCTGCTCTGGCACTACCAGCTGTGACAGGGGACAGATATTTTACAGTGGTGAGAGAATGGCCTGAGCCAGAAATGCCTTGGTTTGGAATGCGGCCCAGGATAGGCCCCTCATGGCCTTTCCTGAAATCAAGTTACCATCTTTATCAAACTTAGAATGACACTGATTTTCCCAATGTTTTCCTTTTTTATATTTTGGACGTATTTCAGGCTCAGCAGTTTTCTTTTTTCCCCTACCTTGTGGCCTGACTTACCGATTTTTTCTACATTCTTTTTTAGTATGAACATGGTTTCCACAGTTAAAACAAGCTCCAGGAAATGGAACATTTCCTTTATTCACTTTCAGTCCTGCCATAGCTTACACCAACAAAGTAGCTTTATGCAGATTGCTTCTGATACCATCACAGGCCTTGATATAATCAACTAAATGTGCTTTCCCTCTAATATGTCACAGAGCAGCCTGGCACTCAGGATTAGCATTTTCAAAAGCTAATAACCGCAACACTATATCCTGAGAAGCTGAATCTGCAATCACCTTTTTAAGAGACACCGATAACCAAACTACAAAATATATATACTGTTCTTTTGGTCCCTGTTTTACAGCACTGAAGGAAGGGTATTGCTCTCCTCCTGAAGTTATTTTTCCCCACGCTCTAATGCACACTCCTCTAAGCTGCTCTATGGCATCATCCTGCATGACCACTTGTGCATTGAAACCAGCCCAACTGCTAACCCCCAAAAGGTGGTCTGCAGTTATATTAACTTGCAGTTGGGCCTGTGCATTGCAAGCAGCCTGAATGGAACTTTCATCTGCCCACCAAGTTTTAAATTGTAAGAACTGAGCAGGAGTTAGGCAAGCTAGTGTAAGAGCATCCCAGACAGTAGGAATCATCCAAATGGAAACAGTAATATTCTTAAACACTCCCATTACAAAAGGAGAACCTGGTCCATATTGATTAACAGCTTTTTTAACTTCTTTGAGTAATTTAAAAGGAAAAGGCTCAAATGTAGATATAATATTTTCCTGTTGATCTTGGTGGTGTATTCTAAGGGGGAACTGCCAAGCCTCTAAATCACCTTCTCTTCCAGCTTGCTGAAATCCTGCCTGAATACAACTGAGAATGGTTGCTCAAAGCACTGCTTGAACAGTCACTGGAGCAACTACTTTTCACCTAGTGTCCTCCAGAAAAGAAAGATCTGGAGGGTCAGGACACTCCTTTCCTTCACAATAAGGAGGGGGTGTAGAAAGGTAGGGAAAAACCTCTTCCTCCTTTGCTGCTTTAGGTTAGCTGGCAACAAACCTGCTCTGTTACTTCATTTTACTCTCCTTCCTCCTCCTCACCAGTGTGAAAAGGTTCCAAGGTGGAATGAGCTAGAGCCCACACTTCTCTTATTGTTACCATGATGCTTCCAAGCTCCCCTCCTTACTCACCATGGGGATTGCTTAATAGCACTTGGGTGTCCTCCAGCTTAATTCCATGTTCTCCAATCAATGTTCTGGAGACCCTTTGACCCAGGTTTGATCCCCACATATGGGCGCCACTTGCCAAGATTAGCTCGGTTGTGGAGACCCTAACCCAGCAGTGCTAGAGGAATAAAAGACACACACATAGAAATATAGCATGTAGAGTGGGAAATCAGGGGTCTCACAGCCTGCAGAGCTGAGAGCCTTGAACAGAGATTTATCCACATATTTATTGACAGCAAGCCAGTGATAAGCATTATTTCTAACAGACTATAGATTAACTAAAAGTATTCCTTACAGGAAATAAACAGATGTTCTGAAATAAAGGGATCAGCTCTGGCTTGTTATCTGTAGCAGGGAAATGTCCTTAAGGCACAGATTGCTCGTGCTACTGTTTGTGGTTCAAGAATGCCTTTAAGCGGTTTTCTGCTCTGGGTGGGCTAGGTGTTCCTGGCCCTCATTCTGGTAAACCAACAACCTTCCAACGTTGGCATCATGGTCATCACGAGCATGTCAGAGTGTTGCAGGGAATTCGTATATGGCCAGTTTTAGGGCCAGTTAATGGCCAGATTTGGGAGCCTGTTCCCAACAACCATAGGCCTCAATGAGCTCCCATATGTGCCTTCGCAGATTCTACAAGAAGAGTGTTTCCAATCAGCAGAACCAAAAGAAAGGTTTAACTTTGTGAGATGAATCCAAACATCACAAAGCATTTTCACAGATGGCTTCTTTCTAGTTTTTATCTGGGGATATTCTGTTTTTCATAATAGGCCTAAACAGACTCCCAAGTGTCCATTCACAAATTCTAAAAGAAGAGTGTTTCCAACCTGCTGAATCAAAAGAAAGGTTTAACTCATTGTGATGTATCCAAACTTCACAAAGCAGTTTCACAGATAGTTACTTTCTAGTTTTTATCTGAGGATATTTGGTTTTTCACATTAGGCCTGAATAGGCTCCAAAATGTCCCTTTGCAGATTCTACAAGAAGAGTGTTTCCAACCTGCTGAATCAAAATAAAGGTTTAACTCTGTAAGATGAATCCATGCTACAAAAGCAGTTTCACAGATAGCTTCCTCTTAGTTGTGATCTGGGAACTTTCAGTTTTTCACAGTAGGCCTTAATGGGCTTCCAAATATTTCTTCACAGATTCTAAAAAAGGAGTGTATCTAACCTGCTGAATCAAAATAATGGTTTACCTCTGAGAGATGAATCCACACGTCACAAAGTAGTTTCACAGATAGCTTCTTTCCAGTATTTATCTGGGGATATTCAGTTTTTCATCATAGGCCTCAATGGTCTTTGAAATGTCCTTTCACAGATCCTACAAGAAGAGTGTTTCCAATCTGCTGAAACAAAAATAAGGTTTAAAATTGTGAGATGAATCCACACATCAAAAAGCGCTTTCACAGATAGCTTCTTTCTAGAATTTATCTGGGGATATTTGTTTTTTCCCATAGGCCTCAATGGGCTACCAAATGTCCCTTTGTGGATCCTACAGAAAGAGTGTTTCCAAACTGCTGAATCAAAAGAAAGGTTTAACTCTGTGAGATTAATCCACACATCAGAAAGCAGTTTCACAGATAGCTTCTTTCTAATATTTATCTGGGGATATATGGTTTTTCACCATAGGAATCAATGGGCTCCAAGTATGCCTTCACAGATTCTACAAGGGTAGTACTTTCAACCTGCTAAATCAAAAGAAAGGTTTACATCTGGGAGATGAATCTACACATCACAAAGCAGTTTCACAGATAGCTACTTTCTAATTTTTATCTGGGGATATTTGGTTTGTCACCATATGCCTCAATGGGCTCCCAAATGTCTCTTTGAAGATTCTATAAGAAGAGTGTTTCCAACCTGATGAATCAAAAGAAACGTTCAACTCTGTGTGATGAATCCACATATCACAAAGCACTTTCACAGATAGCTTCTTTCTTGTTTTTATATGGGAATAATCGGTTTTTCATAGTAGGCCTAAATGTGCTTTCAATTGCCCCTTCGCAGATTCAACAAGAAGAGTGTTTCCAACCTGCTGAATTAGCAGAAAAGTGTAACTCTATCAGATGAATCTAAACTTCAGAAAGCAGTTTCACAGATAGCTTTATTCTAGTTTTTATCTGAGGATATTCAGTTTTTCACCATAGGCCTCCATAGGCTCCCAAATATCCATTAGCTGATACTACAAGAAGAGTATTTCTAACGTTCTGAATCAAAAGAAAGGTTTAACCCTCTCAGATGAATTCAAACTTCACAAAGTGGTTTCACAGATAGCTTTTTCCTAGTTTGCATCTGAGGATATTCGGATTTTCACATTAGACCCCAATGGGCTCCCAAATGTTCCTTCGCAGATTGTAGAAGAAGAGTGTTTCCAACCTGTTGAATCAAAAGAAAAGTTTAACTCCGTAAGATGAATCCACACTACAAAAGCAGTTTCACAGATAGCTTCCTCTTAGTTGTTATCTGGGGATATTCAGTTTTTCACTGTAGGCCTCAATGGGCTTCCAAATGTTTCTTCACAGATTCTACAGAAGGAGAGTTTCCAGCCTGCTGAATCAAAGGAATGGTTTATCTCTGTGAGATGAATCCACATATTACAAAGCAGTCTCACAGACAGCATCTTTCCAGTATTTATCTGGGGATATTTAGTTTTTCACCATAGGCCTCAATGGTCTTTCAAAGTCCTTTTGTAGATCCTACAAGAGAGTGCTTCCAACCTGCTGAAACAAAAGAAAAGTTTAAAACTGTGAGATGAATACACACATCAAAAAGCAGTTTCACAGGTTAACTCTGTGAGATGAATCTGCACATCAGAAAGCAGTTTCACAGATAGCTTCTCTCTAGTTTTTAGCTGTGAATATTTGGTTTTTCACCATAGGAATCAATGAGCTCCAAGTGTGCCTTTGAAGATTCTGAAGGAAGAGTATTTCCAACCTGTTGAATCAAGAGAAAGGTTTAAATATGTGAGACGAATCTACACATCACATCACAAAGCAGTTTCACACATAGCTACTTTCTAGTTTTTATCTGGGGACATTTTGTTTTTCACAATAGGCTGAAATGGGCTCCAAATATCCCATCTCAGATACTACAAGAAGAGTGTTTCCCACCTGCTGAATCAAAAGATAGGTTGAATTCTGTGTGGTGAATCTATATATGACAAAGCAGTTTCACAGATAGCTTCTTTCTTGTTTTTATCTGAGGATATTCTGTTTTTCATAGTAGGCTTAAATAGGCTCTCAATTGTCCCTTCGCAGATTCTGCAAAAAGAGTGTTTCCAATTTGCTGAATCAAAAGGTATAACTTTGTGACATGAATCTACATATCAGAAAGCAGTTTCACAGACAGCTTCTTCTTAGTTTTTGTATGGTGATATGTGGTTTTCCCCATAGGCCTCAATGGGATCCCAAATATCCCTTCTCAGATTCTACAAAAAGAGTGTTTCCAACCTGCTGAAACAAAAGAAAGGTTTATCACATTGAACTGAATCCACAGATCACAAAGCAGTTCCACAGATATCTTCTTCCCCTTTTTTATCTGAGGATATTTTGTTTTTTACCATAAGCCTCAATAGGCTTGCAAATGTCTCTTCACATATGCTGCAAGAAGAGTGTTTTCAACCTGCTGAATCAAAAGAAAGGTTTAACTTTGTGAGATGAATCCAAACATCAGAAAGCAGTTTCACGGCTACCTTCTTTATAGTTTTATCTGGGGATATTCAATTTTTCACTGTAGGCCTCAATGGGCTCCCCAATGTCCCTTCACAGATTTTGCAAGACATGTGTTTCCAACCTGCTGAATCAAAAGAAGGTTTAACATTGTGACATGAATCTGCACACCACAATGCAGTTTCACAGATACCTTCTTATTTGTTTTTATCTGATGATATTTAGTTTTTCACAGTAGGCCTCAATGGACTCCCAATAGTCTTTTCTCAGATCCTACAAAAAGAGTGTTTCCAACCAACCAAATCACAAGAAAGGTTTAGCTCTGTGAGATGAATCCACACAGCAGAAAACAGTTTCACAGATAGCTTCTTTCTAGTTTTTATCTGGGGATATTTGGCTTTTCACCGTAGGTCTCAATGGGCTTCTAAATATTTCTTTGCAGATTCTACAAGAAGAGTGTTTACATCCTCCTGAATCAAAAGAAAGGTTTAACTCTTTGAGATGAACCCACACGTCAGAAAAAAGTTTCATACGGTTTTCTAGTTTTTATCTGGGAATATTCAGTTTGTAACCTTAAGCTTCTAAAGGCTCCCAAATGTCCCCTTGCAGTTTCTACAAGAAGTGTTTCCAACTTTCTGAATCAAAAGAAAAGTTTAACTGGGACAGGTGAATACACACATGAGGAAGCATTTTCAGAGATACCTTCTTTAGAGTTTTTATCTGGTATTCAGTTTTTCACCATAGGCCGCAATGGGCGATCAAATATTTCTTTAATAATTCTACTAGAAGAGTTTTTCCAACTGCTGAGTCAAAAAAAAAAAAGTTTAACTCTGTGAGATGAATCCACACATCGGAAAGGAGATTCACAGATAGCATTTTTCTAGTTTTTTTTTTTCTGGAAATATTATTTTTTCACCATAGGCCTCAATTGGCTTGCAAATGTCCCTTTGCAGATTCTACAAGAAAAGTGTTTCCAACCTGCTAAATCAAAAGAAAGGTTTTACTCTGTGAGATGATTCCACACATGAGAAAGCAGTTACACAGATAGCTTCTTTCTAATATTTATCTGGAAAATTCAGTTTTTAACCTTAGGCCACAATATGCTCCCCAATGTGCCTTTGCAGATTCTATGAGGAGAGTGTTTCCAACTTGCTGAACCACAGGAAGGTTTGTCTCTGTGAGATGAATCCACACATCAGAATGCAGCTTCGTAGATAGCTTCTTTCTAGGTTTTATTAAGGATATTAGGTTTTTCATCATAGGCTTCAGTGGGCTCCCAAATATTTCTTCACAGATTCTACAAGAAGAGTGTTTACATCCTCCTGAATCAAAAGAAAGGTTTAACTCTTTGAGATGAACAGACACATCAGAAAATAAGTTTCATACATAGCTTTTTTCTAGTTTTTATCTGGGAATATTTGGTTTGTCACCTTAGGCCTCAATAGCCTCCCAAATGTCCCTTTGCAGATACTACAAGAAGAGTTGTTCCAACCTGCTGAAAGAAAAAAATTTTAACACTGTGAGATGAATCCACATATCACAAAGCAGTTTCACAGATAGTTTCTATTTTTTACCTGAAGATATTCCGTTTTTCACCAGTGGCCTCAATAGGCTCCCAAATGCCCATTCGCAGATAGAACAAGGTGTTTTCAAGCTGGTGAATCAAAAGAAAGATTTAAACTTTGAGACGAATCCACACATCAGAAAACATATTCACAGATAGCTTTTATGTATTTTTTATGGAAGGATATTCGGTTTTTCACCCATAGGCCTCAATGGGCTCCCAAGTGTCTTCACGCAGACTGTGCGAGAAGAGTGTTTCCAATCTGCTGAATCAAAAGAAAGGTTTAAATGGGTTAGATGAATCCACACATTAGAAACGAGTTTCAAAGATAGCTTCTTTCCAGTTTTTTTCTGGGGATATTTGGGTTTTCACCACAGGCCTCAATGGGCTCCCAAATGTCCTCACGCAGACTCTGCGAGAAGAGAGTTTCCAACCTGCTGAATCAAAAGAAAACTTTAACTCTGAGAAGAATCCACACATCAGAAAGCAGATTCACAGATAGATAGCTTCTTTCCAATTTTTTTGCTTGGGATATTCGGTTTTTCACCATAGGCCTCAATGAGCTTTCAAATGCCCTTTCCCAGATTCTACAAGAAGAGTGTTTCCAATACACTGAATCAAAAGAAAGAATTAACTGAGTTAGATGAATCCTCGCATTACAAAGCAGTTTCACAGATAGCTTATTTTTAGTTTTTATTTGGGAATATTTAGTTTTTAACCATAGGCTTCAATGGGCCCTCAAACGTCCTGTCACAGATTCCACAAGAAGAGGCTTTTTAACCTGCTGAATCAAAAGAAAGGTTCAACTCTGTGAGACGAATCCACACATCAGAAAGCCTTTTCACAGATAGCTTCTTTCTAGTTTTTTATCATGGGATAATCTGTTTTTCACCATAGGCCTCAGTGGGCTCCCAAATGTCCCATTGCAGATTCTACAAGAAGAGTGTTCCCAACCTGCTGAATAAAACCAGATATTTAACTCTGTGAGATGAATCCACACATCAAAAATCCTTTTCACAGATAGATAGTTTCTTTCTAGGTTTTATCTGGGAATCTTTGGTTTTTAACCATAGGCCTTAATGGGTTTTCAAATATCCCTTCGCAGATTCTACAGGAAGAGTGTTTCCAATTTGCTGAATCAAAAGAAATATTTAACTGGGTTAGGTGAATCCACACATCACAAAACATCTCACATATAGATTCTTTCTAGTTTTTATCTGGGGACATTCCGTTTTTCACCTTAGAACTCAATGGGCTCCGAAAAGTCCCCTCACAGATACTACAAGAAGAGTGTTTCCAACCTACTGAGACAAAAGATAGGTTTAATACATTGAGAAGAATCCACACATCACAAAGCAGTTTCATAGATAGCTTCTGTCTAGCCTTTATCTGAGGATATTCGCATTTGCACCATAAGGCTCAACTGGCTCCCTAATGTCCATTTGGAGATACTTCAAGAAGAATGTTTCCAACATGCTGAATGAAAAGAAAGATTTAACTCTGTGAGATGAATCCACACATCACAAAGCAGTTTCATGGATAGCTTCTTTCTAGTTTTTGTCTGAGGATATTCAGGTTTTCCCCATAGGCCTCAATAGGCTCTAAAATGTCTATTTGCAGATATTATAAGAAGAAAGTTTCCAAACTGCTGAATCAAAAGAAAGGTTTAACTGTGTGAGATAAATCCACACATCAGAAAGCAGATTCACAGATAGCTTGTTTGTATTTTTTATCTGGAGATAATCTGTTTTTCACAATAGGCCTCAATGGGCTCCCAAATATCCCTTCACAGATTCTACAAGAAGTGTGTTTCCAACCAGCTGAGAAAAATCAAAGATTTAACCCTGTGAGGTGATTTCACACATAACAAGCAGTTTCACAGATAACTTGTTTCTAGTTTTTATCTGAGGATATTCAGTTTTTCACCATATGCCACAATAGGCTCCCAAATGTCCAATCGCAGTTACTACAAGAAGAGTGTTTCCAACATGTTTAATAAAAAGAAAGTTTCAACTATGCGAGTTCAATTCACATATCACAAATCAGTTTTAAAGATAGCTTCCTTCTAGTATTTATCTGGGGATATTCTGTTTTTCATAGTAGGTTTCAATGGGATCCCAAATGTCCTTTTGCAGTTTCTATAAAAAGAGTGTTTCCAACCTGCTGAATAATAAAAAAGGTTTAACTCTGTGTGATGAATCCACTTTTCAAAAGCAGTTTCACATATAGCATGTTTTTAGTTTTAATCTGAGGATATTCTTTTTTTCACATTAGGCCTCAATGGGCTCCCAAATGCCCCTTTGCAGATTCTACAAAAAGAGTGTTTCCAACCTGCTGAATAAAAAGAATGGTTTAACACTGTGAGATGAATCCACACATAACACAGCAATCTCACAGATAGCTTCTTTCCAGTCTTTATCTGGGGATATTCTGTTTTTCAACCTAGGCCTCAATGGGATCCCAAATATCCCTTCACAGATTCTATAAGAAAAGTTTTTCCAATTTGCTGAATCCAAAGAAAGGTTTAACACATTGAGATGAATCCACACGTCACAAAGCAGTCTCTCTGATAGCTTCTTTCTGGTTTTTATTTGGGAATATTCAGTTATTCACCATAGGACATTATGGGCTTCCAAATATCCCTTCGCTTATTCTACAAGAAAAGTGTGTCCAATCTGCTGAAACAAAAGAAAAGTGTAGCACATTGAGATGAATCCACAAATCACAAAGCAGTTTCACAAATAGCTTCTTTCTAGTTTTTATCTGAAGATACTTGGTTTTTCACCATAGGCCTGAATAGGCTCCCAAATGTCCTTTTGCAGACACCACAAGAAGAGTGTTTCTGACCTGCTGAATGAAAAGAAAGGTTTAGCCCTGTACCATGAATCCACACATCAGAAAGCAGTTGCACAGATACCTTCTTTCTTTTCTTTATCTGGGGATATTCAGATTTTCACCATTGGCCTCAAAGGGCTCCCAAATACTCATTCACAGATTCTACAAAAAGAGTGTTTCCATCCTGTCAAATCATAAAAAAGGTTTAACTCTGTGAGATGAATCCACAATTCTAAAGCAGTTTCACAGACATCATCTTCTTACTTTTTATCTGGGGATATACAGTTTTTCACCATAGGCCTCAGTGGGCTCCCAAATGTCCTTTTGCAGATACTACAAGAAATGTGTTTCCAACCTACTGAAACAAAATAAAGGTTTAACACATTGAGATAAATCCACGCATCGCACAGAAGTTTCCTGGATAGCTTCTTTCTAGTTTTTATCTGAGGATATTCGATATTTCACCATAGACCTCAATAGGCTTCCAAACATCTATTTGCAGATGCTATAAGAAGAATGTTTCCAACCTGATAAATCAAAAGAAAGGTTTAACTCTTTGAGATGAATCCACACGTCAGAAAACAGATTTACAGATAGCTTGTTTGTATTTTTTATCTGAGGATAATCTGTTTTTCACCATAGGCCCCAATGGGCTCCCAAATATCCTTTCACAGATTCCATAAGAAGTGTGTTTCCAACCAGCTGAAAAAAAAATCAAAGGTTTGACACTGTGATATGAATCCACACATCAAAGCCATTTCACAGATAGCTTCTTTGTAGTTTTTATCTGAGGATATTCTGTTTTTCACCATAGGCCACCATAGGCTCCCAAATGTCCAATCACAGTTACTGCAAGAGTGTTTCCAACCTTCTGAAGCAAAATTAAGTTTCAACTGTGTGAGATGAATCCACGTATCACTAAGCAGTTTCACAGATAGCTTCTTTCTGGTATTTACCTGGGGATAATCTGTTTTTCATAGTAGGCTTCAATGGGATCCCAAATGTCCTTTCACAGTTTCTACAAAAAGAGTGTTTCCAATCTGCTTAATCATAAAAAAAATTTAACTCTGTTTGATGAATCCACTCTTCAAAAGCAGTTTCACAGATAGCATCATCTTCTTAGTTTTTATCTGGGGATATTCCGTTTTTCACAATAGGCATCAATGGGCTGCCAAATGTCCCTTTGCAGATAGTACAAAAAGAGTGTTTCCAACTTGCCACATCAAAAGAATGGTTTAACTCTGTGAGATGAATCCATACATAACACAGCAATCTCACAGATAGCTTCTTTCTAGTTTCTATCTGGGGATATTAGGTTTTTCAACCTAGGCCTCAAAGAGATCCCAAATATCCCTTTGCAGATTCTATAAGAAAACTTTTTCCAATTTGCTAAAACCACAGAAAGTTTTAACACATTGAGATGAATTCACGCATCACAAAGCAGTTTCACTGATAGCTTATTTCTAGTTTTTATCTGAAGATATTTGGTTTTTCACCATAGGCCTGAATAGGCTCCCAAATGTCCATTCGCAGTACTAAAAGAAGAGTCTTTCCAACCTGCTGAATGAAAAGAAATGTTTAGCTCTGTACCATGAATCCACACAACAGAAAGTAGTTTCACAGATAGCTTCTTTCTTGTCTTTATCTGAAGATATTCGGATTTTCACTATAGGCCTCATGGGCTTCCAAATGTCCTTTCACAGATTCTACAAAAAGAGTGTTTCCATTCTGGTGAATCATAAAAAAGTTTTAACTCTGTGAGATGAATCCACAATTCAAAAGCAGTTTCACAGACAGCATCTTCCTATTTTTTAAATGGGGATATACAGTTTTTCACCATAGGCTTCAATGGGCTCCCAAATGTCATTTGCGGATACTACAAGAAGCGTGTTTACAACCTACTGAAACAAAAGAAAGGTTTAACACATTAAGATGAATCCACATATCACAAAGAAATTTCATAGATGTTTCTTTCTAGTTTTTATCTAAGGATATTTGATTTTTCACTGTAGGCCCTAGTAGGCTCCAAAATGCCCCTTTGTAGATTCTACAAGAAGAGTATTTCCAATCTGGTGAACCAAAAGAAAGGTTTACCTCTGTGAGATGAATCCAGACATCAAAAAGCACTTTCACGGATAGCTTCTTCTCATTTTTTATCTGGAGATATTCGGTTTTTCACAGTAGACTTCAATGGGCTCCCAAATTTCCCTTTGCAGTTTCTACAAAAACAGTGTTTCCAACCTGCTGAATCAAAAGAATGGCTTATCTCTTTGAGTTGAATCCGCGAATCACACAGCAGTTTCAGATAGATAGTTTCTTTCTAGTTTTTATCTGGGGATATTCAATATTTTCATAGCAGGCCTCAAAGAGCACCCAAATGTCCCTTTGCACATTCTACAAAAAGAATGTTTCCTACCTGCTGAATCAAAAGAAATGTTTAACTCTGTGAGATGAATCTACACAACACAAAGCAGTTTCATAGATAGCTTCTTTCTAGTTTTTATCTGGGGATATTTGGTTTTTCACCATAGGCCTCAATGGGTTCCCAAATGTCCCTTTGCAGATCCTACAACAAGTGTTTCCAACCTGCTGAAACAAAAGAAACGTTTATCATGTGAGATGAATCCACCTATAACAAAGCAGTTTCACAGAGAGTTTCTTTTTAGTTTTTATCTGGGGATGTCTGTTTTTTCACCATAGGTCTCAATGGGCTCCCATATCTGCCATTGCAGATTCTACAAGAAGGCTGTTTTCAACCTCCTGAATCAAAAGAAATATTTAACTCTGTGAGGTGACTCTACACTTCAGAAGCAGTATCACAGATAACTTCTTTTCAGTTTTTATCTGGGGATTCTTAGTTTTGCACAGTAGGCCTCAATAGGCTCCCAAATGTCCCTTCACAGATTCTACAAGAAGAGAATTTACATCCTGGTGAAACAAAATAAACTTTTAACACTGAGATGGATCCACATATCACAAAGAACTTTCACAGATAGCTTCTTTCTCTTTTTTATCTGGGAATAATCAGTTTTTCATAGTAGGCATTAATGGGCTCCCAAATGTCCTTTTGCAGATTCTACACGGAGAGTATTTCCAACCTGATGAATCAAAAGAAAGGTTTAACTCTGTGAGATGAACTCAAACTTCACAAAGCAGTTTCAGAGATAGCTTCTTTCTAGTTTATATCTTGGGATGTTTTGTTTTTCACCATAGACCGCAAAAGGCTCCCAAATGTCCATTTGCAGATACTGCAAGAACAGTGTTTCCACCCTGCTGAATAAAAAAACGTTTAACTCTGTGAGATGAACCTACACGTCTGAAATCAGTTTTCCAGGTAGCTTCTACTTGGTTTTTATTTGGTGACATTCGGTTTTAAACCATAGGCCTCAATGGGCTCCCAAATGTCACTTCGCAGATTCCACAAGAAGCTTTTCCAACCTGCTGAACTAAAAGAAAAGTTTAACTCTGTGGGATGAATTTACACCTCACAGAGCAGTTTCGCAGACAGTTTCCATCCACTTTTTATCTGAGTATATTATTTTTTTCACAGTAGGACTCCACAGGCTCCCAAATGTCCCATCGCAGACTCTATAAGAAGAGTGTTTCCAACCTGCTATAACAAAACAAAGTTTTAACTCTGTGAGACTTATCCTCAGATCAAAAAAGCAGTTTCACAGATAGCTTCTTCTTAGCTTTTATCTAGAGATATTCGCTTTTCCACAGTATGCCCCAGTGATATCCCAAATGTCCCCTCACAGATTCTACAAAAAGTTTTTCAAAGCTGCTGAATCAAAAGAATGGTGTACCTCTGTGAGAGGAATCCACACATCACAAAGCAGTTACACAGATAGCTTCTTTCAGGTTCTTAACTGGGGATATTTGGTTTTTTATTTCAGGCCTCAATGGTCTCCCAAAAGTCCCTTCACAGATTCTACAAGAATAGTGTTCCAACATGCTGAAATAAAATAATGCTTTAACTCTGTGAGATGAATCCACACATCAGGAAGCAGTTTCACAGACAGGTTTTCTCTGCTTTTTATCTGGGGATATTCAGTTTTTCACCATAGGCCTCAATGGGCTCCAAAACGTCCCTTAGCAGATTCAACAAGAAGTGTGTTTCCAACCTGCTGAAACAAAAGAAAGGTTTAACACATTGAGATGAATCCACACATCACAAAGCAGTTTCACAGACAGCTTCTTTCTCGTTTTTATCTGGGGATATTCAATGTTTCACCATAGACCTCAATGTGCTGTCCAATGTCCCTACACAGATTTTACAAGAAGGCTCTTTCCAACCTGCTGAATCAAAAGATTTAACTCTGTGAGATGTATCCACACTTCAGAAAGCAGTTTCAAAGACAGCTGCTTCTCAGTTTTTATCTCAAGATACTTAGTTTTACACAGTAGGCTTCAATAGGCTCCCAAATGTCCTTTTGCAGAATCTAGAAAAAGAGTGTTTCCCACCTGCTGAGTCAAAAGAATGGTTTAACTCTGTGAGATGAATCCAATCATCACAAAGCACTTTCACAGATAACTTCTTTCTAGTTTTTATCTCTGGGATATTCAGTTTTTCACCATAAGCCTCAATGGGCTCCCAAATGTCCCTTCACAGATTCTACGAGAAGTGTGTTTCCAACCCGCTGAAACAAAATAAAGGTTTAGCACATTGAGATGAATCCACACATCAAAAAGCAGTTTCACAGGTAGATTACTTGTACTTTTTATCTGAGGATATTCAGTTTTTCACCATAGGCCTCAATAGGCTCCTAAATGTACATTCACATATATTACACAAAAAGTGTTTCCAACCTGCTGGATGAAAAGAATAGCTTAACTCTGTGAGCTAAATCCAAACATCAGAAAGCAGTTTCACAGATAGCTTCTTTGTAGTTTTTAACTGGGGATATGCTATTTTACATTATAGGCCTCCATGGGCTCCCAAATGTTTATTTGCAGATTCAACAGGAAGAGTTTTTCCAACCTGCTGAAAGAAAAGAAAGGTTTAACATATTGAGATGAATCCACACATTTCAGAACAGTTTCACAGATAGCTTCTTCCTAGTTTTCATCTGAGCATATTCTGTTTTTCACCATAGGCCTCAATGGGCTCCCAACTGTCCCTTTGCGCATTCTAAAAAATGAGTGTTTCCAATCTGCTGATTCAAAAGAAAGGTTTCACTCTGTGCGATGAATCCACACATCAGAAAGCAGTTTCGGAGATTGCTTCTTTCTAGTTTTTATCTGGGGATATTCAGTTTTTCACCAGAGGCCTCAGTGGGCTTCCAAATGTCCCTTTGCAGATTCTGCAAGAAAAGTGTTTCCAACCTGCTGAATCAAAAGAAAAGTTTAAATTGTGATATGAATTCACGCATCACAGTTAGTTTCACCATAGTTTCTTTCTACTTTTTATCTGGGGACATTTGGTTTTTCACCATAGGCCTCAATGCTCAACAAAATTTCCCTTCGAAGTTTCTACAAGAATAGTGTTTCTAACCTGATGAAAGAAAAGAAAGGTTTAACACTGTGAGATGAATGCACACATCACAAAGCAGTTTCACAGATAGATTCTTACTCATTTTTATCTGAGGTTATTTGGTTTATCACCATAGGCCACAATAGGCTCCGAAATGTACATTTGTATATACTACACAAAAAGTGTTTCCATCATGCTGGATCAAAAGAATGGCTTAAATCTGTGAGATCAATCCAAACATGAGAAAGCAATTTCACAGATAGCTTCTATTTAGTTTTTATCTGTAGATATTTTATTTTTCATTACAGGCCTCAATGGTGTCCCAAATGTCCCTTTGCAGATTCCACAAGAAGAGTGTTTCCAACCTGCTGAAAGAAATGTTTAACATATTGAGATGAATCTACACGCCACAAAGCAATTTCAGAAATAGCTTCTTTCTAGCTTTTGTCTGGGAATATTTGGGAATCTTCACAGATTTTACAGGAAGGGTGTTTCCAACATGCTGAATCAAAAGAACTTTTAACTCTGTGAGATGAATCCACCCATCAGAAAGCAGTTTCACAGACAGCTTCTTTCTATTTTTTATCTGGGGATATTGGATTTTTCAAGATAGGCCTCAATGGGCTTCCAAATGCTTCTTCACAGCTTCTACAAGCAGAGTGTTTCCAACCTGCTGAATCAAAAGAAAGGTTTAGATCTGTGACATGAATCCACATATCACACACAGGTTTCACAGATTGCTTCTTCCTAGTTTTTATCTGGGGATGATTGGTTATTCACCAAAGGCCTCAATGGGCTCCCAAATTTCCCCTCACAGATTTACAAAAAGAGTGTTTCCAACCTGCTGAGTTAAAAGAATGGTTTAACTTTTTGAGATGAATCCACACATAACAAAGCAGTTTCACAGATACCTTTTTCTAGTTTTTATCTGGGAATAATCAGTTTTTCACCATAAGCCTCAATGGTCTGCCAAATGTTTCTTTACAGATTCTACAAGAGGAGTGTTTCCAACCTGCTCTAACAAAAGAAAGATTTAACTCCGTGATATTAATCCACACATCAGAAAGCAGTTTCACAGATAGCTTTTTTCCAGTTTTTATCTGTGAATATTTGGTTTTTCACCATAGGCCTCAATAAGCTCCCAAATGTCCACTCACAGATACTACAAGAAGAGTGTTTCCAACCTGCTGAATCAAAACCAAGGTTTAACTCTGTGAGATGAATCCACACATCACAATGCAGTTTCACAGATAGCTTATTCTTAGTTTTTATCTGGGGATATCAGTTTTTCACAGTAGGCCTCAATGGGTTTTCACGTGTCCCTTCACAGATTGTACAAAGAATTTTTCCAACTTGATGAATCAAAAGAATGGTTTAACTCTGAAAGGTGAATCCACACATCACAAAGCAGTTTCACAGATAGCTTCTTTCTAGTTTTTTTCTGGGGATATTCTGTTAATCACCATATGCCTCAATGGTCTCCCAAATGTCCCTTTGCAGATTCTACAAGAAGAGTGTTTCCAAACTGTTCAAATGAAAGAAAGGTTTAACATATTGAGATGATTCCACACATCACAAAGCACGTTCACAAATAGCTTCTTTCTAGTTTTTATCTGAGGATATTCTGTTTTTCACCATAGGCCTAATTTGGCTCCCAAATGTCCATTCACAAATTCTACACGAATAATATTTGCAACAAGCTGAAGCAATAGAAAGGTTTAACTCTGTGAGATGAATGCACAAATAAGAAACCAGGTTCACAGATAGCTTCTTTCTAGTTTTTATCTGGAGATATTCGGTTTTTCACCATAGGTCTCCACGGTATCCCAAATGTCCCTTTGCAGATTCTACAAGAATAGTGTTTCCAACCTACTGAATCACAAGAAAGGTTAACTCTGTGAGATGAATCCACACTTCACAAAGGAGTTTCACAAGTAGATTCTGTCCAGTTTTTATTGGAGGATATTCAGGGGTTCCCTATAGGCCTGAATGACATCCCAAACATCCTTTCCAAGTTTCTATTAACAGAGCATTTCTGACCTGCTAAATTAAAAGAAATGTTTAACTCTGTGTGATCAATGCACACATCACAAAGCGGTTTCCCAGATAGCTTCTTTCTAGTTTTTATTGGTGGATATTCAGTTGTTCAGTATAGGCCTCAATGGGCTCCCAACCTGGTGAATCAAAAGAAAGGTTTATCTCTGTGAGATGAATACATACATCACCCACCTGTTTCACAGATAGCTTCTTTCCAGTTTTTGTATGGGGATATTTGTTTTTTTCATAATAGGTTTCAATGGGCTCCCTAATGTCCCTTCACAGATTCTGCATAAGAGGGTTTCCAGCCTGCTGAATCAGAAAAATGTTTAACTCTGTGAGATGAAACCACACATCACAAAGTAGTTTCACAGATAGCTTCTTTCTACTTTTTATTGGCAGATATTCAGTTTTTTACTATGGGCCTCATCATTGTGCTCCCAAATGTCCCTTCACAGATTCTACAAACAGTGTTTCCAAACTACTGAGACAAAGGAAAAGCTTATATCTGTGAGATGAATTCACACATTGCAAAGCAGTTTCACAGATAGCTTCTTTCTAGTTTTGGTTGGAGTATATTTGGTTTTTCACTGTAGGCCTCAATAGGCACCAAAATGTCCCTTTGCATATTCTATACTAGAATGTTTCCAACATGCTCAAACAAAAGAAAGGACTAACTCTCTGAGATAAGTCCACACATCTAAAAGCTGTTTCACAGATACATTCTTTCTAGTTTTAATTGTGGGATATTCAGTTTTTCACTATAGCCCTATATGGGATTGCAAATGTTTTTTTGCAAATGCTACAAAAAGAGTGTTTCCAACTGGCTGAATCACAAGAAAAGTTTAACTCTGTGAGATGAATCCACACATCACAAAACGTTTTCACATATAGCTTCCTTTTAGCTTTGATCTGAAGATATTTTGTTCTTCACTATAGGCCTCAATGGGCTCCCAAATGTCCCTTCTTAGATTCTACAAAGAATGTTTCCAACTTGCTGAATCAAAAGAAAGATTTAGCCTTGTGACATGAATTCACACTTAACAAAACATTTTAACAGATTGAGTCTTTCTAGTTTCTATCAGAAAATTTTGGTTTTCATTATAGGCCTAAACATGCTCCCAAATATCCCTTCTCCTATTATACAAAAAGTGTTTTTCCAACTTTATAAATCAAAAGAAAGGTTTAACTCTGTGAAATGAAACCACATATCACAAAGAGGTTTCACAGATAGCTTCTTAATAGTTTTTATTGGAAGATATTCTGTTTTTCACTGTAGGCCTCAAAGAGCTCCCAAATGTCCTTTTGCATATTCTACAAACAGAGTGATTCTAAACTGCTGAATCAAGGAAAGATTTAACTCCATGAGATGAATCCACTCATCACAAAGTGGTTTCACAGATAGCTTCTTTCTAGTTTTTATTCACAAATATTGAGTTTTTCAATGTAGCCCTCAATGACTTCCCAAAGGTCCCTTCGCATATTCTACAAAAAGAGTGTTTCCAAACTGCTGAATCAAAAGAAAGTTTTAACTCTGTGAGATCAATCCACAGATTGCAAAGTGATTTCAAAAGTACATTCTTTAAAGTTTTTATCAGGGGATATTCAGATTTTCACTATAGGCCTCAATGGGCTCCCAAATGTCCTGTCCCAGATTCTACAAAAAGACTGTTTCCAGCCTCTTGAAAAAAAAGACAGGTTCAACTCTGTGAGATGAATTCAACATCACAAAGTGGTTTCACAGAGAGCTTCTTTCTGTTTTTTGTTTGTTTGTTTGTTTTTTGCTTTGTTTTGTTTTTTGTGGTTAACTGGTATTTCACTATAGGTGTCAATGGACTCCCAAATGTCCCTTCAGAGATACTACAAGAAGAGTTTTTCCAACCTGCTTAATAAAAAACAAACAAAAAAAAAGATTTACCTCAGGGACATGAATCCACACATCACAAAGCAGTAGAACAGATATTTTCTTTCCAGTTTTTATCGGGGCATATTCAGTTTTTCACTACATACCTCAATGGAATTCCAAATCTCTATTCACAGATTCTACAAACTGAGTGTTTGCATCCTGCTGAATCAAAAGAAATGTGTAATTCTGAGACATGAATCCACACATTGAAAGGAGTTTCAGAGACAGCTTCTTAATAGCTTTTATTGGAGGATATTCTGATTTTCACTGTAGGCCTCAATGGGATTCCAAATGTCCCATCACAGCTTCAACAAAAGGTGTTTTCCAACCTGCTAAATCAAAAGGAAAGTTTACCCCTGTGAGATAAATCTACACATCAAAAAAGCAGTTTCCCAGTTAAATTTTTTTTCAGTTTTTTTCAGGGGATATTCAGTTTTTCATTACAGGCCTCAGTGGTCTTCCAAATCTCTTTTTTCAGTTTCCTGAATCAAAAGACAGGTTTTCCTCTGTGAGATGAATCCAAACATCACAAAGCAGTTTAGCAGATAGCTTGTTTTTGGTTTTTAATGGTGGATGTTAGATTTTTCACTATAGTCCTCAATGGGCTCCAAGTGTCCTATCTCAGATTTTACAAAAGAGTGTTTCCAACTGGCTGAATCAAAAGACTGTTTTAACTCACTGAAATGAATCCACACATTGCAAAGCAGTTTCACAGAGAGCTTCTTTCTAGGTTTTATCAGGGGATATTCGGTTTTTCATTGTAGAGCTCCATAAGCTTCTTCAAGAAACAGAGTGTGTCTAACCTGATGAATCAAAAGAAAAGTTTAACTCTTTGAGAGAAATCCACAAAATGTGAAGTGGTTTCACAGATCCTTTCTTCTAGTTTTTATCGGAAGATATTCCGTTTCTCACTATAGGCCTCAATGGGCCCCCAAATGTAAATTTGCAGATTCTACTAACAGATTCCAATGTGCAATTCAAAAGAAATGTTTAACTCTGTGAGATAAATCCACACATCACAAAGTGGTTTCACAGATAGCTTCTTTTTAGTTTTTATCAGTGACTATTCCATATTTCACTATTGGCTTTAATGGGCTCTCTGATGTCCCTTCACAGATTCTACAGAGTGTTTTTGACCTGCTGAATCAAAAGAAAAGCTTAACCCTCTGAGATGAATCCATACATCACAAATAAGTTTCACAGATAACTTCTTTCTAGTTTTTATCTAGGGATATTCAGTTTTTCACTATAGGCCTCAATGGGCTCCCAAATGTTTCTTCTTATATTCTACAATCAGGGTGTTTCCAACTGTTAAATGAAAAGAAAGGTTTAACTTTGTGAGATGAATCTACACATCACAAAGCAGTTTCACAGATAGCTTGTTTCTAGTTTCTTTAGGAAGATATACTTTTTTTATTATTGGCCTCAAAGGGCTCTCAAACTTGCCTTCTTAGATTTCACAAAAAGAGTGTTTCCAACCTGCTGAATCAAAAGCCAGGTATAACTCTGGGAGATGAATCCAAAAGTTGGAAAGCAGTTTCACACATAGCTTCTTTCTAGATTTTATTGGGGGATATTCAGTTTTTCACTGTAGTCCCCAGTGGTCTCCCAAATGTCCCTTCTCAAATTCTACAAAAATAGTGTTTCCAACCTCCTGAATCAAAAGACAGGTTTAACTCTGTGAGATGAATCCACACATCACAAAGCAGTTTCACAGATGATAGCTTCTTTTTAATTTTTATTGGTAGATAGATATTGGGTATTTTACTATAGGCCTCAATGGGCTCCCAAATGTCTCTTCAGAGATTCTACAGACTGTTTCCAACCTGCCGAATCAAAAGAAAGGTTTAACTCTGTGAGATGAATGCACACAATGCAACGCAGTTTCACAGATAGTTTCTTCTAGTTTTTATCGGGGGATATTCAGTTTTTCACTACAGGCCTTATTGGGCTCCCGAATGTAACTTTGCAGATTCTACTAACAAAGAGTTTCCAACCTGCTGAATCAAAAGACAAGTTTAACTCTGTGAGCTGAATCCGTACATCACAAAGCAGATTCACAGGTAGCTTCTTTCTAGTTACTATTTGGGGATATTCGGTTTTTTACTCTATACCTCAATAGGCTCTCAATTGTTTTATCCCATATTCTACAAACAAGGTGTTTCCAACTACTAAATCAAAAGTAAGGTTTAACACTGTGAGGTGAATGCACACATTGTGAAGCAGTTTCACAAATAGCTTCTTACTAGATTTTATTGGGGGATATTTTGTTATTCATTATAGGCTTCAATGGTGTCCCAAATGTCCATTCACAGATTCCATAAACAGAGTGTTTCCAACCTAATGCATCAAAACAAAGGTTTAACTCTGTGAGCTGAATCCACACTTTGCACAGCAGTTTCACAGATAGCTTCTTTCTAGTTTTTATTCAGGGATATTCTGTTTTTCCCTGTAGTCCTCAAAGGTCTTCCAAATGTCCCTTCTCAGATTCTATAAAAAGAGTGTTTCCGACGGTCTCCATCTTCTTGGAGTGCTTTAGGCCAGCCGGTGGCACTGGGAAGTGGAGTCATTGGTGTTGCTGTTTGTGAGCCTGTGGCATGGCTCTGTGGGCCGGAAACTTAAAGATAGCCACAAAGGCTGAAAATGGTGATAATGAAAAGATGGCTGCCCTGGAGGTCAAAATCTGTCATCAAAATGAGGTTGAACCGTCTAACAGACTTTAATGTAACTGTGGAAGCATTGAGCAAATCCAAGGCAGAACTCATGGAAATCAGTGAAGATAAAACTAAAATCAGAAGGTCTCCAAGCACAGCCCTACCTGAAGTGACTGATGAGTATAAAAATGATGTAAAAAACAGATCTGTTTATATTAAAGACTTCCCAACTGATGCAACTCTTGAAGACATAAAAAAATGGTTAGAAGATAAAGGTCAAGTACTATATATTTAGATGAGAAGAACATTGCATAAAGCATTTAAGGGATCAATTTTTGTTGTGTTTGATAGCATTGAATCTGCTAAGAAGTTTGTAGAGACCCCTGGCCAGAAGTACAAAGAAATATACCTGCTAATACTTTTCAAGGATGATTACTTTGCCAAAAAAAAAAAATGAAGAAAGAAAATAAAATAAAATGGAAGCTAAATTAGGAGCTAAACAGGAGCAAGAAGCAAAATAAAAGTTAGAAGATGCTGAAAAGAAATCTCTAGAAGAAAAGATTGGATGCTTGTTGAAATTTTCGGGTGATTTACACATACTTTTCTCAAGTCATGGTGAAATAAAATGGATAGACTTCGTCAGAGGAGCAAAAGAGGGAATAATTCTAATTAAAGAAAAAGCCAAGGAAGCACTGGGTAAAGCCAAAGATGCAAATAATGGTAACCTACAATTAAGGAACAAAGAAGTGACTTGGGAAGCACTAGAAGGAGAGGTGGAAAAAGAAGCACTGAAAAAAATAATAGAAGACTAACAAGAATCCGTAAACAAATGGAAGTCAAAAGGTCGTAGATTTAAAGGAAAAGGAAAGGGTAATAAAGCTGCCCAGCCTGGGTCTGATAAAGGAAAAGTACAGTTTCAGGGCAAGAAAGCGAAATTTGCTAGTGATGATGAACATGATGAAAATGGTGCAACTGGAGCTGTGAAAAGAGCAAGAGAAAAAACAGACAAAGAAGAACCTGCATCCCAACAAGAGAAAACAGAAAATGGTGCTAGAGACCAATAGTTTAGTAAACCAATTTTTTATTCATTTTAAATAGGTTTTAAACTACTTTTGTTTGCATCAGCTTTTAAAAGGAAAACTGAATTAGGTCCACTTCAATGTCCACCTGTGAGAAAGGAAAAATTTTTTTGTTGTTTAACTCGTCTTTTTGTTATGCAAATGAGATTTCTCTGAATGTATAGTTCTGTTTGTGTCATTTCAGGTGATTCAAATATCAAAAGGAAGATTCTTCCTTTAAATTGCTTTGTAATATGAGAATGTACTAGTACAAACTAATAGAATATATACTATATGAAAAAAAAGAGTGTTTCCAACCTCCTGAATCAAAATACAGGTTTAACTCTGTGAGATGAATCTACACATCACAAAGTGGTTTCACAGGTATTTTCTTTTTAGTTTTTATCAGTGGATATTCGGTATTTCACTATAGGCCTCAATGGGCTCCCAAATGACTCTTCAGGTATCCTACAAACAGAGTGTTTCCAATCTGCTTAATCAAAAGACGGGTTTAAACCTGTGAGATGAATCCACTCATTGAAAGTGGTTTCACAGACGGCTTCTTTCCACTTTCATTGAAACATATATGGTTTTTCACTATAGTCCTCAATGGGCTCCAAATGACTTTTCACAGATTTTATGAAAGAGTGTTTCCAACCTGCTGAATCAAAAGACAGTTTTAACTTGCTGAGATGAATCCACACATCACAAAGCAGTTTCACAGACAGCTTCTTTCTAGGTTTTATCAGGGGATAGTCGGTTTTTCACTGTAGGCCTCATTGGGCTCTTAAATGTAGCTTTGTGTATTCAACAGAGCGTTTCCAACCTACTGAATCAAAAGAAAGTTTCAAATCTGTGAGATGAATCCAAACAATATGAAGAGGTTTCACAGATACTTTCTTTCTTATTTTATTTATTTATTTATTTATTTTAATTATACTTTGAGTTCCAGGGTACACATGCGCAACATGCAGGTTGGTTACATATGTATACATGTGCCATGTTGGTGTGCTGTGCCCATTAACTCGTCATTTATATGACGAGGTATATCTCCTAGTGCAATCCCTCCCCCATCCTCCCACCCCATGACAGGCCCTGGTGTGTGATGTTCCCCACCCTGTGTCCATATGTTCTCATTGTTGGATTCCCACTTAAGAGTGAGAACATGTGATGTTAGGTTTTCTGTCCTTATGATAGTTTGCTGAGAATGATGGTTTCCAGCTTCATCCATGTCCCTACAAAGGGCATGAACTCATCCTTTTTTATGGCTGCGTAGTATTCCATGGTGTATATGTGCCACCTTTTCTTAATCCAGTTTATCATTGATGGGCATTTGGGTTGGTTCCAAGTCTTTGCTGTTGTGAATAGTGCCACAATAAACATATGCATGCATGTGTCTTTATAGCAGCATGATTTATAATCCTTTGGGTATATACCCAGAAATCGAATAGCTGGGTCAAATGGGATTTCTAGTTCTAGATCCCTGAGGAATCGCCACACTGACTTCTGCAATGATTGAACTAGTTTACACTCCCACCAACAGTGTAAAATTGTTCCTATCTCTCCACATCCTCTCCAGCACCTGTTGTTTCCTGACTTTTTAATGATCACCATTCTAACTGGTGTGAGATGGTATCTCATTGTCGTTTTGATTTGCATTTCTCTGATGGCCAGTGATGATGAGCATTTTTTCATGTGTTTTTTGGCTGCATAAATGTCTTTTTTTGAGAAGTGTCTGTTCATATCCTTTACCCACTTTTAGATGGAGTTGTTTGATTTTTTCTTGTAAATTTGTTTGAGTTCATTGTAGATTCTGGATATTAGCCCTTTGTCAAATGGGTAGATTGCAAAAATGTTCTCCCATTCTGTAGGTTGCCTGTTCACTCTGATGGTAGTTTCTTTTGCTGTGCAGAAGCTCTTTAGTTAAATTCGATCCCATTTGTCAATTTTGACTTTTGTTGCCATTGCTTTTGGTGTTTTAAACATGAAGTCCTTGCCCATGCCTATGTCCTGAATGATGTTGTCTAGGTTTTCTTCTAGGGTTTTTATGATTTTAGGTCTAACATTTAAGTCTTTAATCCATCTTGAATTAATTTTTGTATAAGATGTAAGAAGGGATCCAGTTTCAGCTTTCTACATATGGCTAGCCAGTTTTCCCAGCACCATTTATTAAATAGGGAATCCTTTCCCCATTTCTTGTTTTTGTCAGGTTTGTCAAAAATCAGATGGTTGTGGATGTGTGGTATTATTTCTGAGGGCTCTGTTCTGTTCCATTGGTCTATATCTTTGTTTTGGTAACAGTACCATGCTGTTTTGGTTACTGTAGACTTGTAGAACAGTTTGAAGTCAGGTAGCGTGATGCCTCCAGGTTTGTTCTTTTTCTTAATATTGTATTGGCAATGCAGGCTCTTTTTTGGTTCCATATGAGCTTTAAAGTAGTTTTATTTTCCAATTCTGTGAAGAAAGTCATTGGTAGTTTGATGAGGATGGCATTGAATCTGTAAATTACCTTGGACAGTATGGCCTTTTTCACAAAATTGATTCTTCCTAACCATGAGCTTTGAATGATCTTCCATTTGTTTGTGTCCTTTTTTATTTCATAGAGCTAGAAGAAGGCAAGAAATAACTAAGATCAGAGCAGAACTTAAGGAAATAGAGACACAAAAAACCTTCAAAAAATCAACGAATCCAGCAGCTCGTTTTTTGAAAAGATCAGCAAAATTGATAGATCGCTGGCAAGACTAATAAAGAAGGAAAGAGAGAAGAATCAAATAGATGCAATAAAAAATGATAAAGGGAATATCACCACCAATCCCACAGAGATACAAACTACCATCAGAGAATACTATAAACACCTCTATGCAAATAAACTAGAGAATCTAGAAGAAATGGATAAATACCTGGACACGTACACCCTCCCAAGACTAAACCAGGGAGAAGTTGAATCCCTGAATAGACCAATAACGGGCTCTGAAATTGAGGCAATAATTTAGAGCCTACCAACCAAAAAAAAGTCCAGGACCAGACAGATTCACAGCCGAATTCTTCCAGAGGTACAAAGAGGAGCTGGTACCTTTCCTTCTGAAACTATTCCAATCAATAGAAGAAGAGGGAATTCTCCCTAACTCATTTTATGAGGCCAGCATTATCCTGATAGCAAAGCTTGGCAGAGACAAGACAGAAAAAGAGAATTTTAGACCCATATCCCTGATGAACATCGATGCATAAATACTGAATAAAATACTGGCAAACTGAATCCAGCAGCACATCAAAATTTTATCCACCATGATCAATGGGCTTCATCCCTGTGATGCAAGGCTGATTCAAGATATGCAAATCAATAAAAGTAATCCATAATGTAAACAGAACCAACGACAAAAACCACATGATTATCTCAATACATACAGATACTTTCTTCTAGTTTTTATCACGGAATATTCGTCTTTTCACTATAGGCTTCAATGGGCTCCCAAATGTAACTTCGCAGATTCTAACAGAGTGTTTCCAACCTGCTGAATCAAAAGAAAGTTTTAACTCTGTAAAGTGAATCTACACATCACAAAGCTGTTTCTCAGATAGCTTCATTTTTAGATTTTATTGATGGATATGTTATATTTCACTATAGGCTTTTATGGGCTCCCTAATATCCCTTCACAGATTCTACAAACCCAGTGTTTCCAAACTGCTGAATTAAAAGTCAAGTTTAAACCTGTGAGATGAATCCATACATCACAAATGAATTTCACAGATAGCTTCTTTCTAGTTTTCATCTGGGGACATTCTGTTTTTAACTATAGACCTCAATGGGCTCCTAAATATTTCTTCTCATATTCTACAAACAGGGATTTTGCACCTGCTAAATCAAAAGAAAGGTTTAACCCTGTGAGATGAATCCACACATCACAAAGTGATTTCACAGATAGCTTCTTTCTAGTTCATATAGAAATGTATACAGTTTTTTATTATAGGCCTCAATGGGCTCTCAAATGTCTCTTCACAGATTCTACAGAAAAAGTGTTTTCAACCTGGTGAATCAAAAGTCAAGCTTAACTCTATGAGATGAATCCACATGATGAAAAGCGATTTCACAGATTGCATCTTTCTGTTTTTCATTGGAGGATATTCCGTTTTTCACTGTAGTTCTCAATGGTCTCCCAAATGTCCGTTCTCAGATTCCAGAAAAAGAGTTTCTCCCAGCCTCCTGAATCAAAAGATAGTTTCAAATCTGTCAGCTGAATCCACACATCACAAAGCAATTTCACAGATATCATCTTCTTTTTAGATTTTATCCATGGATATTTAGTATTTCACTATAGGTCTCAGTTGGGTATTAAATGTCTCTTTAGAGTTTCTACAGACAGAGTGCTTCCAACCTGCTAAATCAAAAGAAATTTTATGTCTGTGGGATGAATCCACACAATGCAATGCTGTTTCACAAGTACTTTCTTCTAGTTTTTGTCAGGGTATATTTTGTTTTTCACTATAGGCCTCATTGGGCTCCCAAATGTAACTTCACAGATTCTACTAACAGAGTATTTCCAAACTGCTGAATCAAAAGAAAGGTTTAACTCTGTGAGACAAAATCACACACCACAATACGGCTTCAGAAATATCTTCTTTCTATATTTTATTGGGGAATATTTGATTATTCACTATAGGCCTCCGTGGTGCCCCAAGTGTCCATTCGCAGATTCCATAAACAGTGTTTTCAACCTGACGAATCAAAACAAAGGTTTAACTCTGTGAGTTGAATCCACACTTCACAAAGTGGTTTCACAGATAGTTTCTTTCTTTTTTATGTCAGGAGATATACGGTTTTTTATTATAGGCCTCAATGGGTTCTCAAATGTCCCTTCACAGATTCTATAAAAAGAGTGTTTCCAACCTTCTGAATCGAAAGTCAGGTTTAACTTTATCACATGAATCCACACATTGGAAATCGGTTTCACAGTTTCTTTCTAGTTTTTATTGGAGGATATTTGGTTTTTCACTGTAGACCTCAATGGTCTCCCAAATGCCTCTTCTCAGGTTCAACAAAAAGAGTGTTTCCAACTTCCTGAATCAAAAGACAGGTTAAACTCTGTGAGATAAATCCACACATCATTTAACGGTTTCACAGATAGATAGCTTCTTTTTTATTTTTTATCAGTGGATATTTGATATTTCACTACAGGTCCCAGTCAGCTCCCAAAGGTCTCTTCAGAGATCCTACAGAGTGTTTCCAACCTGCTGAATCAAAAGAAAGGTTTAACTCTGTGAGACAAATCAACGTATTGAAAAGCAATTTCACAGATAGTTTCTTCCTAGTTTTTATCAGGGGATATTCGATTTTTCACTATAGGTTTCAAGTGGCCCCCAAATGTTTCTTCAAAGATTCTACAAAAAGTGTGTTTCCAACCTGCTGAATCAAAAGAAAGGTTTAACTCTTTGAGATGAATCCACACTTTGCAACAAAGTTTCACAGATAGCTTCTTTAAAGTTTTCATCAAGGGATAATTGGTTTTTCACAGTAGGACTGAATGGGCTCCCAAATGTTCCCTCTCAGATTCTACAAAAAAAGTTTTCCCAACCTGCTGAATTAAAATAAAGGTTTAACTCTGTGAGATGAATCCACACATTGCATGCAATTTGTGAGATAGCTTCTTTATTGTTTTTATCAGTGGATATTTGGTATTTATTTTACTATAGGCCTCAAAGGGATCCCAAATGTCTCTTCACAGATTCTACAAACAGAGTGTTTCCAACCCGCTATATCAAAAGAAAGGTTTACCTCTGTGAGATGAATCCACACAATGCAAAGCAGTTTCACAGATAGCTTCATTCTAGTGTTTATCTGGGTATATTCAGTTTTTCATTATAGGCTTCAAAGGGCCCCAAATGTTTCCTCCCATATTCTATAAACAGAGTGTTTCCAACCTGCTGAATCAAAAGACAAGTTTAACTCTGTGAGATGAATCCCCACATCACAAAGTGGTGTCACACATAGCTTCTTTCTAGTTTTTATTAGGGCATATTCGGTTTTTTACTTCGGGCCTCAATGGGATTGTAAATGCCGATTCTGTTTCTACAAACAGAGTGTTTCCATCCTGCTGAATCAAAAGAAATGTTTAATTCTGGAAAATGAATCCACACATTGCAAAGTGGTTTCCCAGATAGCTTCTTTCTAGTTTTAATGATGGGATATTCGGTTTTTCCCTGTAGTCTTCAATGGTCTCCCAAATGTCCTCTTGTAGATTCTACAAAAAGTGTGTTTCAAACCTGCTAAATCAAAAGAATATTTAACTCTGGGAGATGAATCCATACATCGCAAAGCAGTTTCACACACAGCTTCTTTCTAGTTTTTATCTGGGGATATTTGATTTTTCACTATAGACTTTAGTGGGCTCCCACATGTCTCTTCTTAGATTCTGCAAAAAGAGTGTTTCCTACTTGCTGAATCACAAGAAAAGTTTACCTCTATGAGATGAATTCACACATCACAAAACATTTAAACAGATAGTGCCTTTCCAGTTTTTATTGGAGGATTTTTTTTTTACTATTGGCCTAAATGTGCTCCCAGATGTCCCTTCTCAGATTCCTCAAAAATAGTGTTTCCAACATTTTAAATCTAAAGAAACTTTTAACCCTGTGAAATGAATCCGCACATTGCAAAGCAGTTTCACAGATAGCTTCTTTCAGGTTTATATCCGGGACTGTTCTGTTTTTTACTATAATCTCCAATGGGCTCCCAAATGTCCTTCACAGATTCCACAAACAAAGTGTATCCAATCTGCTGAATTAAAAGTAAGTTTTAACTCTGTGAGATGAATCCACACATTGCAAAGCAGTTTCACAGACAGCTTGTTTCTAGTTTTTATCATGGGGTATTCAGTTTTTCACTATAAGCTTCTGTGGGATCCCAAATGTCTCCTCAAAGATTCTACGAAAACAGGGTTTCCAATCTGATGAATCAAAAGAATGGTTTAACTCTGTAAGATGAATCCACACATGGCAAAGCAGTTTCACTGATACCTTCTTTCTAGTTTTTATCGGAGTATATACAATTTTTCACTATAGGCCTCAGTGGGCTCACATATGTTGCTTTTCAGATTCTACAAAAAGAGTTTTTCTAACATGCTGAATCAAAGGAAGATTTAATTCTGTGAGAAGAAGCCACACATGACAAAGAAGTTTCCCAGATAGCTTCTTTCTAGTTTTATTGGTGGATATTTTGTTTTCCAATATAGGCCTCAATGGGGTCCCAAGTGTACCTTCTCAGATTCTACACAAAGTGTTTCCAACCTGCTGAATTAAAGAAAAGGTTTAAGTCTGTGAGATGAATCCACACATCAAAATGCAGCTTCACATATAGCTTCTTTCTAGTTGTTATCTGAGGATTTTTCACTATTGGCCTCAATGGGCTCCCAAGTGTCCCTTCAAAGATTCTACAAACAGAGTTTTTCCAACCTACTGAATCAAAAGAAAAGGTTAACTCTGTGAGATGAATCCACATATCACTAAGCAGTTTCACACATAGCTTCTTTCTAGTTTTTATCTGGGGATATTTGGTTTTTCAACATCGGCCTCAATGGGCTCCCCAACCTCCCTTTGCAGATTCTACAAAAAGAGTGTTTCCAACCTGCTGAATCCAAAGAAAGGTTTAACACTGTGAGATAAATCCACACACCAGTTACACAGATAGCTTCTTTCTTGTTTTTATCTGGGAATATTCGGTTTTTCACCATAGGCCTGAATGGGCTCCCAAATGTCCCTTTGCAGATTCTACAAAATGATTCTTTCCAATCTCCTGAATGAAAGAAAGGTTTATCTCTGTGAGATGAATGCACACCTCACAAAGCTTGTTCACAGGTAGATTCTGTCTAGTTTTATTGGGGGATAGTCTGTTTTTCACTGTTGACCTCAATTGGCTTCCAAATATCCCTTTGCAGATCTTACAAAAAAGTATTTCCAACTTGCTGAATCAAAAGACTGGTTTAACTCTGAGAGATGGATCCACACATTGCAAATCAGCTTCCCAGATAGATTATTTCTAGTTTTTATCAGGGGTATTCAGCTTTGCATTTTAGGCTTCAATGGGCTTTCAAATGTCTCTTCACAGTTTCTACAAACACAGTGTTTCCAACCTACTGAACCAAAAGAAAGATTTAACTCTGCGAGATGATTCTAAACATTGCAAAGTGGTTTCACAGACAGCTTCTTTCTAGTTTTTATCAGGGGATATACGGTTTTTCACTATGGTCCTCAATTCACCCACAAATATCACTTTTCAGATTCTATAAAAAGAGTGTTTCTAACGTGCTGAATCAAAGAATGGTTTAATTCTTTGAGATGGATCCACAAATCACAGAGCAGTTTCAAAGATAGAATTTTTCTGGATTTTTTCAAGAGATGTTGTTCAGTTTTTTATTACAGGCTTCAATGGGCTAGAAAATATCACTTTGCAGATTATACAAAAATAGCATTTCAAACCTGCAGAATCAAAAGATAGGTTTAACTCGGTGAGATGAACCCATACCCAACAAATTGTTTTCACAGACAGCTTTTTTCTACTTTTTATCAAGGGATATTTGGTTTTGAACTATAGGCCTCAATGGGCTCCCAAATATCTCTTCACAGATTCTACAGAGTGTTTCCAACCTGCTTAGTCAAAAGGAAGGTTTAACTCTGTGAGACGAATCTACACATCAAAATGTGGTTTCACATATAGCTTCTTTCTAGTTTTTATCAGGGGATATTCGGGTTTTCACTGTTGGCCTCAGTGGTCTTTCAAATGTCCCTTCACAGATTCTACAGAGTGTTTCCAAACTGCTGAATAAAAAAAAATAAGACTTAAGTCTGTGAGATGAATCCATACATCACAAAGTGCTTTCACAGATAGCATCTTTCTAGTGTATATCAGGAGATATTATTTTTTTCACTATAGGCCTCAATGGGCTCCCAAATTATCCTTCCCAGAGTCTACAAACAGAGAGTTCCCAACCTGCTGAATCAAAAGACAGGTTTAACTCAGTGAGGTGAATCCAAACATCACACAGTAGTTTCATGGTAGCTCCTTTGAAGTTTTTATCAGGGATATTCCATTTTTCTCTGTAGGCCTCATTTGGCTCCCAAATGTTTCTTTGCCAATTTTACAGAAAGAGTGTTTACAACCTGCTGAATCAAAAGACAATTTTAAATCTGTGAGATGAATCCACACATCACAAAGAGGTTACATAGATAGCTTCTATCTAGTTTTTATCATGGGATATTTGGTTTTTCACTATTGGCTTCTATGGGATCCCAAACATCTCTTTGCAGATCTTACAAACCATGTGTTTCCAACCTAGTGAATCAAAAGACAGGTTTACCTCTCTGAGATGATTCAAAACATTGCAAAGTGGTTTCACAGATAGCTTCTTTCTAGTTTTTATCAGGGGATATTTGGTTTTTCACTGTAGGCCTCTATGGGCTCCAAAATGTCCCTTCACAGATACTACAAACAAAGTGTTTCCAAACTTCTGAATCAAAACACAGGTATAACTTTGTGAGATGAATCCACACTTCACAAAGTGGTTTCAAAGACATCTTCTTTCTGGTTTTTCTCAGGGGATATTCGGTTTTTCACTGTAGGCCTCAATGGGCTCCCAAATGTCCCTTCATAGATTCTACAAACAAAGTATATCCAACCTGCTGAATGAAAAGGAAGGTTTAACTCTGTGAGATGAATGCACACATCAAAAAGCCATTTCACAAAGGGCTTCTTTCTAGTTTTTATCTAGGGATATTCATCTTTCACAGTAGGATGCAATGGGCAATGAAATATCCCATTGCAGAATACACAAAAAGTGTGTTTCCAACCATCTGAATAAAAAGAAAGTTTTAACTCTGTGAGTTGAAGGCACACATCACCATGCAGTTTCATAGATAGCTTCTTTCTAGGTTTCATCTGGGGATATTTGGTTTTTCAGTGAAGGTGTCAATGGGCTCCCAAATGTCCATTCACAGATTTTACAAAAAGAGTGTTTCATACCTGCTGAATCAAAGAAAGGTTTAACACTGTGAGATGAGTCCACACATCACAAAGCTGTTTCACAGATAGCTTCTTTCTAGTTTTCATCACTGGATATTCTGTTTTTCATTATAGACCTCAGTGGGCTCCCAAATGTCCTTTTGCAGTTTCTACAAACAGAGGGTTTTCATCCTGCTGAATCAAAAGAAAGGTTTAACTCTGTGAGATGAATCCACATTTTGCGAAGTGGTTTCACAGAGAGCTTTTTTCTAGTTTTTATAGGAAGATATTTGGTTTTTCACTATAGGCCTCAATGACTTCCCAAATGACCCTTCACAGCTTCTACACAATGAGTGTTTCCAACCTGCTGAATCAAAATGCAGGTTTACTTCTGTGAGATGAATCCACAAATTGCAAAGCAATTTCCCAGATAGCTTCTTTCTAGTTTTTATCAAGAGAAATTCAGTTTTTCAATATAGGCTTCAATGGACTCCAAAATGTCACTTCACAGATTTTACAAAAATAGTGTTTACAAACTGCTGAATCAAAGGAAGGTTTAACTCTTTGAGATGAATCCACACATTGAAAAGCATTTTCATGGACAGCTTATTTCTAGTTTTTATCAGGGGATATTCGTTTTTTTACTGTAGGCCTCAATTTGCTCCCAAATATTCCTTCGCAGATTCTATAAACAGAGTGTTTCCAACCAGCTGAATAAAAAGAAAGGTATAACTCTGTGAGATAAATCCATACCTCACAAGCAGTTTCACAGATGCCTTCTTTCTAGTTTTTATCAGTGGATATTTGGTTTTTCACTGTAACACACAATGGGCCCCCAAATGTCCCTGTACAGTTTCTACAGAGTGATTCCATCCTGCTGAATCAAAAGAAAGGTTTAAACCACACATTGCAAAGCAGTTTCATAGCTTCTTTCTAGCTTTTATCGTGGGATACTCAGTTTTTCACCATTGACTTCTGTGGGATTCCAAATGTCTCTTCACAGATTCTACAAACAACGTGTTTCCAACCTGGTGAATAAAGACAAGTTTACTTCTGTGAGATGATTCCAAACATCACAAAGTGGTTTCCAGATAGCTCCTTTCTAGTTTTTATCACGGGATATTCGCCTTTTCACTGTAGGTCTCGATGGGCCCCAAAATGTCCCTTCGCAGTTTCTACAAACAAAGTGTTTCCAAACTGCTGAATCAAAAGACGGGTATAACTCTGTGAGATGAATACACACTTCACAAAGAGACTTCAAAGACACCTTCTTTCTGGTTTTTTTGGGGGGATATTTGGTTTTTCACTGTAGGCCTGAATAGGCTCCTAAATGTCCCTTCATAGATTCTACAAAGAAAGCGTTTCCAATATGTTGAATGAAAAGAAAGATTTAACTCTGTGAGATGAATGCACACATTGAAAAGCCATTTCACAAACAGTTTCTTTCTAGTTTTTATCCAGGGATAATCAGTTTTTCAGTATAGGCCTCTATAGGATCCCAAATGTCCTTTCACAGATTCCACAAAAAGAATGTTTCCAACCTGCTGAATAAAAAGTAAGGTTTAACTCTTTGAGATGAATCCATATATCACAAAACGGTTTCACAGATAGCTTCTTTCTAGTTTTTATTAGTGGATATTCAGTTTTTCACTATAGGCCTCAATGGGCATGCAAATGTCCCTTCACAGAATCTACAATAAGAGTGTTTCCAACCAGATGAATCAAAAGAAAGATTTAATTTTGTGAGAAGAATGCACACATCCCAAAGCAGTTTCACAGATAGGTTCATTCATGTGCTTATCATGGGATATTTGGTTTTTCTCCTTAGGCCTCAGTGGGCTCAGAAATGTCTTTTTGCAGATTCTACAAAAAGAGTGTTTCCAACCTACTGCATCAGAAAAAAAGGTTAGTGCTGTGAGGTGAATCCACAAATTACAAAGCAGTTTAACAGATAGCTTATTTTTAGTTTTTTTATCATGATGTTCAGTTTTATAACTACAGACCTTTATGGGCTCCGAAATGTCCCTTTGCATATTCTGCAAAAACAGTGTTTCCAACCTGCTGAATCAAAAGGAAGTTTTAATTCTGTGAGCTAAATACACACTTCCAAAGCAGTTTCACAGGTAGGTTCTTGCTGGTTTTTATCACGGGAACTTCGTTTTTTCACTACAGACCTCAGTGGACACTGAAATATCCCTTCTCAGATTCTGCAACAAATGTATTTTCAACTTGCTGAATCAAAAGAAAGTTTAAATCTGTGAGCTGAATCACACGTAACCAAGCAGTTTCACAGATAGGTTCTTTGTAGTTGTTATTGCAGGATATTTGTTTTTTTCCCTATAGGCCTCAGTGTGCTTCAAAATGTATTTTTGCAGATTCTGAAGAAAAGGTGTTTCCAACCAGGTCAATCAGAAGAAAGTTTTAATTCTGTGAGCTGAATCAAACATCGTAATGCAGTTTCACAGATAGCTTCTTTCTACTTTTTATCTCAGGATATTTGGTTTTTTACTATAAGGCTCAGTGGACCCAGAAATGTCGTAGTTTCTACAAAAAGAGTGTTTCCACCCTGCTGAATCAAAAGAAAGGTTTAACTCTGTGAGCTGAATCCACAAATCCAAAGCAGTTTCACAGATAACCTCTTTCTAGTTATTATCACAAGATATTTGGTTTTTCACTGTAGTCCTCAGTGGACTTTGAAATGTCTCTTTACAGATTCTACAAAAAGAGTGTTTCCAACCTGCTGAATCAAAAGAAAGTTTTAAGTTTGTGAGGTGAATCCACACATCACAAACCAGTTTCACAGATAGCGCTTTTGAGTTTTTCTGGAAGGGTATTCTGTTTTCTACTATAGGCCTCAGTGGGCTCCAAAATGTCCCTTCGCAGATTTTTTAAAAAGAAGTGTATACCTTCTGCTTAATCCAAAGAACGGCTAAACTCTGAGGTGAAACCACTCGTCAAAAAGCAGTTTCACAGATAGCTTCTTTCTAGTTTTTAGCACAAGATATTCAAGTTATCACTATAGGCCTCAGTGGGTTTCAAAATGTCTCTTTGCACTCTCTGCAACAAGAGTGTTTCCAATCTGATGAATCAAAAGATAGCTTTAACTCTGTGAGGTGAATCCACATCTCAAAGCAGTGTCACAGACAGCTTCTTTCTAGTTTTTATTGTGGGGTATTCTGTATTTCACTCAGGCCTCAGTGGACTCTGAAGTATTTCTTTGCAGATTCTTTGAAAAAAGTGTTTCCAACATGCTGAATATTCGGTTTTTCAGTGTAGACCTCAGTGGGCTCTGAAACGTCCCTCGTCAGATTATACAGAAAGAGTGTTTCCAACCTGCTGAATCAAAAGAAAGTTTTAAAACTCTGTGAGATGAATGCACACATTGCAAAGTGGTTTCACAGATATTTTCTTTTTAGTTTTTTGGCAGGTTAATTGGTTTTTCACTATAAGCCTCAGTGGGCTTTGAACTGTGTCTCCAGAGATTCCATAAAAAGATTGTTTCCAACCTACTGAATGAAAATAGATGTTTAACTTTGTTAGCAGAATTCACTATAGCAAAGCAGTTTCACGGATAGCTTCTTTATAGTTCTTATTGCAAAGTATTTGGATTTTTAATATAGGCCTCTGGGGGCTGGTAAATATCCTTCCACAGATTTTGCGACAAGAATGTTTCCCACCTGCTGAATCAAAACAAAAGTTTAACACTATGAGCTGAATCTACACATGACCAAGCAGTTTCCCAGATATCTTATTTCTGGTTTTTATTGCAGGATATTTCGTTTTTCACTATTGGCCTCAGAGGGCTCCAAAATGTTTCTTCACAGATTCAACAAAAAGAGTGTTTCCATTCTTCTGAATCAAATGAAAGTTTAAATTATGTGAGGTGAATCCACACATCACCAAACAGTTTCAGAGATAGATTCTTTGTAGTTTTAACAGTGGAATATTTGTTTTTTCACTATAGGCCTCAGTGGGCTCCGAAATATCCCTTCACAGATTCTGCAAAAATAGAGTTTCCAAAATGCTGAATCAGAGAAAAAGTTTATCTCTGGGAGTTGAATTCACACATCACATAGCTGTTTCACAGTTAGTTTCTTTCTAGTTGTTATCACTGGATATTTTGTTTTTATCTATAGGCCTCAGTGGGCACTGAAATGTCCCTTGCATATTCTACAACAAAAGTATTTCCAACCTGCTGGATCAAAAGGAAAGTATAACTCTGAGAGTTGAATCCACACATTGCAAAACTGTTTCAATGATAGATTGTTGCTAGATTTTATTTGAGATATTAAGGTTTTCACTATAGGCCTCAGGGGCTCCTAAATGTCCCTTTGCAGATTTTGCAATGAGAGAGTTTCCAACTTGCTGAATCAAAAGAAAAGTTTAACTCATTTGGTGAATCTACACATCATAAAGTGGTTGTACACATAGCTTCCTTCTAGTTTTAGTCCGGGGATATTTGTTTTTTCACTATAGGCCTCAGAGGGCTCTGAAATGTCCCTTTGCCCATTCTGGAAAAAAAAAAAAAAAAAAACAGTGCTTTTGGCCAGGCTCAGTGGCTCACACCTGTAATCCCAGCACTTTGGGAGGCTGAGGTGGGCAGATCACGAGGTCAGGAGATCAAGACCATCCTGGCTAACACGGTGAAACCCCGCCTCTACTAACAAAACACAAAAAATTAGCCGGGCATGGTGGTGGGCTCCTGTAGCCCCAGCTACTCGGGAGGCTGAGGTGGGAGAATGGTGTGAACCTGGGAGGCAGAGCTTGCAGTGAGCCAAGATTGCACCACTGCACTCCAGCCTGGGTGACAGAGCGAGATTCTGTCAAAACAAACAAACAAACAAACACCAGTGTTTTTAAAATACTGAATGAAAAGAAAGGTTTATCTCTCTGAGCTGAATCCACAGATCACAAAACAGTTGCACAGATAGTTTCTTTGTAGTTTTTATCAAGGGATGTTCAGTTTTTAAGTATAGGCCTCATTTGGCGCTGAAATGTCCCTTCACAGATTCTCCAAAAATGTGCTTTCAACCTGCTGAATCAAAAGAATGTTTTAACTCTATGAGGTGAAACCACACATCACAAAGCAGTTTCACAGGTAGCTTCTTTCAAATTCTTATCGTGAGATATTCTGTTTTTCACCATAGGCCTCAATGGGCTCCCAAATATCCCTTCATAGATTCTACAAGAAGAGTGTTTCCTGAATGTCCTTTCACAGATTCTACAAAAAAGTGTTTCCAACCTGCTGATTCAGAAGGAAGTTTTAACTCTGTGAGGTAAATCCACACATCACAAAGCAGTTTCACAGATAGCTTCCCTCAAGTTTTTATTGTGAAATATTCAGCTTTTCACTATAAGTCTCAGTGGGCTCCAAAATGTCCCCTCACCGATTCTACAAAAAGAGTGCTTCCAACCTGCTAAATCAAAGGAAAGATTTTACTCTGTGAAGTAAGTCCACACAACCCAAAGCAGTTTCACAGATAGCTTCTTTTCAGTTTATATTGCAAGATATTCAGTTTTTCCCTATTGGCCTCAGTGGCCTCCTAAATGTCCCTTCACAGATTCTGCAAAAGGAGTGTTTCCAACCAGTTGAATCAAAGAATGGTTTAACTCTGTGAGCAGAATCCACACATCACAAAGTGGTTTCACAAAATGCTTCTTTCAATTTTTTATAGCAGGGTATTCTGTTTTTCACCACAGTGCTCAGTGGGCTTCAAAATGTCCCTTCGCAGAATCTACAAAATGAGTGTTTCCAACCTACTGAATCTAAAGATTTAACTCTGTGAGATGAATCCACACATTGCAATGCAGCTTCACAGATAGCTTCTTTCTACTTTTTGTTGGCGGATATTCAGTTTTTCACTGTAGGCCTCAATGGGCTCCAAAATGTCCCTTCAGAGATTCTACAAAAACAGTGTTTTCAACCTGCAGAATCAAAATCAAATTTTAAATCACTTGGATGAATACACAAATTGCAAAGCATTTTTACAGATAGGTTATTTGTTGTTTTTATCTCAGGACATTCGTGTTTTCACTATAGGTCTCAATGGGCCTTGAAATGTCCACTTGTACATTCCACAAAAAGGGAGTTTCCAACCTGCTGAATAAAAACATAAGTCACTGAGATGAATCCATATATTGCAAAGCATTTTTACTGATAGCTTGTTTCTAGTTTTTATTGTGGAATATTCTGGACTTCACTATAGGCCTCAATGTGCTCTGAAATGTCCCCTCGTGGATTATACAAAAAGAGTGTTTCCAACCTGCTGAATCAAAAGAAAGCTTTAACTCTGTAGATGAATCCACAGATCGCAAAGCATCTTCACGAGTTGCTTGTTTTTGTTTTTACCATGGGGTATTCTGTTTTTCACTATAGGCCTCAATGGTCTTTAAAATTTCCCCTCATAGATTCTCCAAAGTGTTTCCAACCTTCTGATTCAAAACAAAGGGTAAACACTGTGATGTGAACCCACAAATCGCTAAGCATTGTCACTGAGAGCTTGTTCCTAGTTTTTTTTTTTTTTTTTTTTTTTTCAGGATATTCCTGTTTTTACTATAGGCCTCATTGGGCTTTGAAATGTCTGCTCATATATTCTACAACAAGAGTGTTTCCAACCAGCTGAATCAAAACAAAGCTTTTACTCTGTAGATGAATCCACAGATGAATCTGTGAAGATGTATCTTCACAGATCGCATGTTTCCAGTTTTTATTGCAAGATACTCAGTTTTTTACTATAGGCCTCAATGGTCTCCGAAATTTCCCCACATAGATTCTACAAAAAAGAAGTATTTCCAACATTCTGAATCAAAAGAAGAAGTAAACTCTGTGGGACAAACCCACACATTGCAAAGCATTTTCACTGAGAGCTGGTTTCTAGTGTTTATCATGGGATATTAGGGTTTTTACTACAAGCATCAATAGGCTTTGAAATGTCCCTTTGAAGATTTGACAAATAGTGTTTCTCACCTACTGAATCAAAACAAAGGTTTAACACTGTAAGAGGAATCCATAGGTCACAAAGCATCATCAGTGATAGCCTTTTTCTTTCTAGTTTTTATGGTGAGATATTTGGCTTTTCAATATAGGCCTCAATGGATGTCAAAATGTCCCCTGTTAGATTCTACAAAAAAGTGGTTTGCAACATGCTGGATGAAAATAAATATTTAACTCTGTGCAATGTATCTGCACATCACAAAGCATTTTTACTGAGAGCTTGTTTCTAGCTTTTATCATAAGATATTTTCAGTTTTTCACTGTAGGCCTCAATGTGCTCCAAAATGTTCCTTCCTAGATGCTACAAAAAGAGTCTTTCCAACCTGCTGAATCAAAACAAAGGTTTAATTCTGTGAGTCGAATCTGCACATCACAGAGCATTTTCACTGATTGATTGTTTCTAGTTTATATCATGGGTTACTCAGTTTTTCACAATAGGCAGCAAAGGGCTTTGAAATGTCCCTTAGTAGATACTACAAAAAGAGTGTTTCCAACAAGTTGAGTCAAAATAAAGTTTTAACTCTGTTACATGTATCTACACATCGCATAGCATTTTCACTTATTGCTTGTTTCTAGTTTTTATCACGGGATATTCGGTTTTTCAGTATAGACCTTAATGGGCTACGAGATGTCCCTTCATAGATTCTACAGAAAGAGTGTTTCCAACGTGCAGAATCAATACAAAGTTTTATCTCACTGAGATGAATCCACTCATTGGGAAGCATTTTCACAGATAGCTTGTTTCTTGTCTTTTTTGCTGGATATTCAGGAAAGTTTAACTCAATGAGATGAATCCATACATTGCAAAGCATTTTGATTGATAGACAGCTTTTTTCTAGTCTTTATTACAGGTTATTCAGCATTTTGCTATAGGCCTCATTGGGCTCTAAAATGTACCCTCACAGATTCTACAAAAAGAATGTTTCCAATCAGCTGAATCAAAAAAAAAAAGAAAAGCTTTAACTCTGTAGATGATGAATCCACACATCACAAGGCATTTTCACAGACAGCTTTTTTTCTAGTTTTTATCGAGAGATAATCAATTTTTTACCATAGGACTCAATGGTCTCAGTTTCCTCTCATAGATTCTACAAAAAAAGAGTTTCCAACCTTCTAAACCAAAACAAAAATTAAACTCTGTGATACGAATCCTCACATTGCAAACCATTTTCACTGAGAGCTGGTTTCTAGTTTTTATTGCAGGATATTTTTGTTTTCACTAGAAGCCTCAATAAGCTTGGAAGTGTCCCTTTGTAGATTCTACAAAAAGAGTGTTTTCAACCTGCTGAATCAAAACAAAGGTTTCACACTGTAAGAGGAATCCATATGTCACAAATTATTTTCACTGATAGCTTGTTTCTAGCTTTTATCATGAGATATTCAGCTTTTCAACATAGGCCTCAATGGACTCCAAAATATCTCGTGGTAGATCCTTCAAAAAATTGTTTTCAATATGCTGAATCAAAACAAACGTTTAACTTTGTGAGATGAATCCACACATCACACAGCATTTTTACTGAGAGCATTGTTTCTAGTTTTTACTGTAAGATATTTGGTTTTTCACTGTAGGCCTCAATGGGATCCAAAATATCTTTTCATAGATTCCACAAAAAGATTGTTTGCAAACTGCTGAATCAAAAGAAAGAAAGATTTAATTCTGTGAGATGAATCTGCACATCACAAAGCATTTTTACTGACAGCTTGATTCTAGTTTTTATCAAGGGATAATTGATTTTTTAGTATAGGTCTCAATGGCCTCCGAAATGTCCCTTTGTAGATTTTACAATAAGAGTATTTCCAACCTGCAGCATCTATACAAAGTTTTACTTCATGGAGATGAATCCACAGATCACAAAGAATTTTCACTGAGAGTGTGTTTCTAGTTTTTATCTCGGGATATACTGGTTTTTACTACAGGCCTCAAAGGGCTCTGACATGTCCCCTTGTAATTTCTACAAAAATAGTGTTTACAACCTGCTAAATTAAAACAGAGTTTTAACTCTGTGAGATGAATCCACACATTGCAAAGCATTTTCACAGAAAGCTTGTTTCTAGTTTTTACTGTGGGATATTCAGCTGCATACTATAGGCCTCAATGATCTCTGAAATGTCCCTTTCTAAATTCTACAAAAAAAAGTGTATCCAACCTGCTGAATCAAAAAAAGGTTTAACTCTGTTGGATGAATCCAACCATAGCAAAGCATTTTCACTGATACCTTGTTTCTAATTTTTATCATGGGATATTTGATTTATCACAGTAGGCCTCAATGGACTCTGAAATGTCCTCTTGTAGATCTACAAAAACAGAGTTTCCAACCTGCTGGATCAAAACAAATGTTTAACTCTGTGAGATGTGTCCACACATTGCATAGAATTTTCACTGAGAGCTTGTTCCTAGTTTTTCCTCATGGGATATTCTGTTTTTCAATATAGGCATCAATGGGCTCTGAAATGGCCCTTCACAGATTTTATAAGAAGAGTGTTTCCAACCTGCTTAGTAAAATCGAAGGTTTAAATCTGTTAGATGAATCCACACATCACAAAGCATTTTCACTGAGAGCTTCCTTCTAGTTTTTATCACAGATATTCAGTTTTTCAAAATAAGCCTCAATGGGCTTTGAAATGTCCCTTCGTAATCTCTACAAAAAACAGTGTTTTCAACCTGCTGAATCAAAAGAAAGATTTAATTCTGTCAGATGAATCCACACATCCTAATGTATTTTCACTGAGAGCTTGTTTTTACTTTTTATTGCAAGGTATTTGGTTTTTCACTGTAGGCCTCTATGTGCTCCAAAATGTCCCCTGGTAGATTCTACAAAAAAGAGTGTTTCCAACTTCCTGAATCAAAAGGAAGGTTTAACTCTGTAAGATAAACCCACACATCATATAGCATTTTCACTTAGAGCATGGTTCTAGTTTTTATCACAGAATATTTGGGTTTTCACTATAGACCTCAATGGGCTTTGAAATGTCCCCTCATAGATATTGCAAAAAGACTGTATCCAACCTGCTAAATCAAAACAAAAGTTTAACTCTGTCAGAGGATTCCACACATTGCAAGCCATTTTCACAGACAGCTTGATTCTATTTTTTATCACGGTATCTTCTGCTTTTCACTATAGGCCTCAATGGGCTCTGAAATGTCCCTTCGTAGATTCTACAAAAAAAGTGTTTACAACCTGCTGAATCAAAATGAAAGTTTAGCTCTGTGAGATGAAGCCATACGTCACAAAGCATTTTAAGGTACAGCTTGTTTCTAGCTTTTGTCATGGAATATTAGGATTTTCACTATAGACCTCAATGGGCTCCAAAATGTCCCTTCGTAGATTCTACAAAAAGAGTTCTTCCAAGCTGCCTAATCAAAATAAAGGCTTAACTCTGTGAGATGAATCTACACATCACAAAGCATTTTCACTGAGAGCTTGTTTCTAGTTTTTATTGTGGAATATTCCATTTTTCACTTTAGACATCAAGGAGCTCCACAATGTCTCTTCGTAGATTCTACAAAGAGTTTCCAACCTGTTGAATCCAAACAAAGGTTTAACTCACTGAGATGAATCTACACATTGAAAAGCATTTTCACTGAGATCTTGTTTCTAGTTTTTATCATGGGATATTTGGGTTTACACTACAGACCTCAATGGGCTCCGAGCTGTCCCTATGTAGATGACTCAAAATGAGTGTCTCCAATTTGCTGACTCAAATCAGAGATTTAAGTCTGTTAGGTGAATCCACATATCACAACGCATTTTCTTGAAAACTTGTTTCTATTTTTCATCAAGGGATATTTGTTTTTTTGCAATACGCATCAATGGGCTCCAAAATATCTCTTCGTGGATTCTACAAAAAAAGTGTTTCCAACCTGCTGAATCAAAACAAAGGTTTAACTCTGTTACATGAATCCACAAACCACAAACCGTTTTCACTGGTAGCTTTTTTCTAGATTTCATGGTGGGATATTAAGTTTTTCACAATAGGCATCAATAGGGTCCAAAATGTCCCAAAGTAGATTCTACAAAAAATGTGTTTCCAACCTACTGAATCAAAGCAAAGGTTTAGCTCTGTCAGATGAATACACACATCACATAGCATTTTCACTGAGAACTTGTTTCTAGTTTTTATTTTGAGATGTTTGGTTTTTCACTATAGGCCTCAATGAGCTTCAAAATGTCCCCTCACAGATTCTACAAAAAGAATGTTTCCAATGTACTGAATAAAAATAAAGGTTTAACTCTGTCAAATGAATCCACACATCACATAGCATTCTCACTGAGAGCTTGTTTCTCGTTTTTGTAACAGGATATTCAGGTTTTCACTATAGGCCTCAATGGGCTCTGAAATGTCTTTTAGTAGATCCTATAAAAAAAAGTGTTTCCAACCTGCTGAATCAAAATAAACTTTTACCTCACTGAGATGAATCCGCACATTGCAAAGCATTTTCAATGAGAGGTTGTTTTTAGTTTTTTTTTTTGTGTGTGGAATATTCAGGTTTTCACTGTAGGCCTCAATGGTCTCTGAAATGTCCTCTCGTAAAGTTTTCAAAAACAGTGTTACAAACCTGCTGAATAAAATCAAAAGTTTAACTCTGTAGATGAATCAACATTTCACAAAGTACTTTCACAGATAGCTTGTTTCTAGTTTTTATCATGAGATATTTAGTTTTTCAGTATATGCCTCAGTGGGCTCTGAAATGTACCTTCATAGGTTGTACAAGAGGGTTTCCAACATGCTGAATCAAAACAATGGCTTAACTAACTGAGATGAATCCACACATTGCAAAGCATTTTAACAGACAGCTTATTTCTAGTTTTTATTGCAGGATATTCTGGTTTTCAGTATAGGCCTCAATGGGCTTCAAAATGTCCTTTTGTAGTTTCTACCAAAAAAAGTGTTTCCAACCTGCTGAATCAAAACAAAGGTTAAACTCTGTTAGATTAATCCACACATCACATAGCGTTTTCACTGAGAGCTTGTTTCTAGTTTTTATTGCAGCATATTTTGTCTTTCAGTGTAGGCTTCAATGGGTACTGAAATGTCCCCTCATAGATTCTACAAAAATTGTGTTTACAACATGCTGAATCAAAAACAAAGGTTTAACTCTGTGAGATAAATTTACACATTGCAAAGCATTTTCAAAGATAGCTTGTTTCTAGTTTTATCTTGGGATATTTGGCTTTTCAATGTAGGCCAATTGGCTCTGAAATTACCTTTCTTAGATATTACAGAAAAGAGTGTTTGCATCCTGGTGAATCAAAACGAAGCTTTAACTCTGTGCAATGACTCCACTTATTACAAATCATTTTTGCTGATATCTTGTTTCTAGTTTTTATCCCTGGATATTTTGTTTTTCACAATAGGCATCAATGGACTCTGAAATGTCTCATTGTATATTCTACAGAAAGTGTGTTTCCAATGTGCAGAATCAAAACAAAGGTTTAAATTGGTGAGATGAATCCACACATCACAAAGCATTTTCACTGAGATCTTGTTTCTAGTTTTCATCGTATCATATTAGGTTTTTCACCATAGACCTCAATGAGCTCTGAACGGTCCCTTCATAGATTCAAAAAAAAGAGTGTTTCCAAACTGCTGAACCAAAAAAAAAGATTTTACTCAGTGAGAGGAATCCACCCATTGCAAAGCATTTTCATTGATAACTTGTTTATAGTTTTCTTCGAAGGATATTCTGTTTTTCACTATAGTTCTCAATGGGCTCTGAAATGTTCCCCAGTAGATTCTACAAAAAGAGTGTTTCCAGCCTGCTGAATCAAAACAAGGATTTATCTCTGTGAGATGAATCCATGCACTGCAAAACATTTTTACTGAGAGCTTGTATGTAGTTTTTATTGCTAGTTATTCTGTTTTTCACTATAAGCCTCAAAGGAATCCAAAATGTCCCTTCGTAGATTCTACAAAATGAGAATTTGCCACCTGCTGAATAAGAACAAATGTTTACCTCTGTGAGATAAGTCTACAACTCGCAACACATTTTGACTGACAGCTTGTTTCTAGTTTTTATGGTGGGATATTCATTTTTTCCACATAGGAATAAATGGGCTTTGAAATGTCCCTTCATAGATTCTACAAAAAGAGTATTTACAACTTGCTGAATCAAAACAAAGGTTAAATTTTTTGAGATAAATCCTCACATCCCAAAGTATTTTCACTGATATCTTGTTTCTAGTTTTTATCACAGGATAGTAGGAATTTTACTATTGGCCTCAATGGGCTTTGAAATGTCCTTTTGTATTTTCTAAAAAAAGATGTTTCCAACCTGCTGAGTCAAAACAAAGGTTTAACTCTCTTAGATGAATCCACACATCAGAAAGCATTTTCCCTAAGAGCCTGTTTCTAGTTTTTATTGTGGGATTTTCTGTTTTTCACTCTAGGTCTCAAAGGGCAGTTAAATGTCCCTTTGTGGATACTACAAAAATAGCTAAATCAAAACTAACATTTAACTCTGTGATTTGAATAGACATATCACAAAGCATTTTCACTAAGAGATTGCTTCTAGCTTTTATCATGGGATATTCGGTTTTTCACTATAGGCCTCAATAAGCTCTGAAATGTCCCTTTGTAGGTTCCACAAAAAGAGTGTTTCCAACCTGCGGACCCAAAACTAAGGTTTAACTCTGTGAGATGAATACCCACATCACAAAGCATTTTTACTGACAGACTGCTTCTAGTTTTTATTGCAGGATATTCAGTTTTCCACTACAGGCCTCAATGGGCTCTGAAATGTCCTTTTGTAGATTCTACAAACAGCGTTTCCAACCAGCTGAATCAAAAAATAAGTTTAACTTTGTAAGTTGAATTCCCAGATCACAAAGCATTTTCACTGAGAGTTCATTTGTAGTTTTTATTGTGGAATATTTGATATTCACTATAGTCCTCTATTGGCTTTGAAATTTCCCTTTGTAAATTCTCCAAAAGCAGTGTTTCCAACATGCTGAATGAAAACAAATGTTCAACTAAGTAAGATGAAGTCACACATAGCAAAGCATTTTCACTGAGTGTTTGTTTCTGGTTTTTATTGTGGAATATTCAGTTTTACACTATAGGACTCAATGGGCTCTGAAATATCCCTTTGTAGATTCTACAAAAAGAGGGTTTCCAACCTGCTGAATCAAAACAAAGGTTTAACTCTGTGAGATGAATCCACACATTGCAAATCATTTTCACTGAGAGCTTGTTTTTAGTTTTTTTGCAGGATATTTATGTTTTTACTGTAAGCCTCAATGGGCTTTGAAATGTCCCCTAGTAGATTCTACAAAAAAAAAAAGTGTTTTCAACCTGCTGAATCAAAACAAAGCTTTAACTCTGTGACATGATTCTGCACATCACCAAGCAGTTTCACAAAGAGCTTGTTTGTTGTTTTTACCACAGGATATTCTGATTTTCACAATAGGCCTCAATGAACTAAAAAATATCACTTCATACATTCTTAAAAATAGTGTTTCCAACCTGTTGAGTCAAAACAAAGGTTTAACCCTGTAAGATGAATCCACACATGATGAAGCAATTTCACCGATGATAGCTTTTTTCTAGTTTTTATCATGGGATATTTATTTTTTCACTATAGGTTTTAACAGATTCTACAAGAAGAAAGTTTCCAACCTGCTGAATAAAAATAAGTGTTTAACTCTATGAGATGCATCCACACATCAAAAAGTATTTTCACCGAGAGGTTGTTTCTAGTTTTCATACTGGGATATTCGATTTTTCACTATAGGTCTCAATGAGCTCTGAAATGTCCCTTCATAGATTCTACAAATAGAGTGTTTCCCAACTGCTGAGTCAAAACAAGATTTAATTCTGTGAGACGAATCCACCCATCACAAAGCATTTTCACTGAGAGGTTGTTTGTAATTTTTATCATGGGATATTGGGGTTTTCACCAGAAGCCTCAATTGGCTTCAAAATGTCCCTTCATAGATTCTACAAAAAGAGTGTTTGCAACCTGCAGAATTAAAACAAAGTTTTAACTCTGTGAGATTAATCCACACATCAAAAATATTTTCACTGAGAGTTTGTTTCTAGTTTTTATCACGGGATATTCGGTTATGTGCTATAGGCCAAAAAGAGCTCTGAAATGTCCATTGTAGATTAAGAAAAGAGTGTTTCCAAACTTCTGAGTCAAAACAGAGTTTAACTGAATGAGGTGAATCCACACATTGCAAAACATTTTCATTGAGAGCTTGTTTCTAGTTTTTATCACAGGATATCGGGTTGTTTCTAAAGACCTTAAAGGGCTCTGCAATGTATCATCATAGATTCTACACAAAAATGTTTCCAATCTACTGCGTTAAAGCAAAGTTTTAACTCTGCGAGATGAATCTACACATTGAAAATTATTTTCAATGGGAACATGTTTCTAGTTTTTATCACGGGATATTTTGTTATGCAGTATAGGCCAAAATGAGCTCTGAAATGTCCATCATAGATTGTAAGAAAAGCGTGTTTCCAACATGCTTAATCAAAACAAAAGTTTAACTCTGGTAGATGAATCCACGCATCACAATGCATTGTCACTGAGAGCTTGTTTCTAGTTTTTATTGTGGGATATTCGGTTTTTCACCATAGAACTCAATTGGCTCCAAAACGTCCCTTTGTAGATCCTACAAAAAGAGTGTTTCAGGCCTGCCAAATCAAAACAAAGGTTGAACTCAGTGAAATGAATCCACACATGGCAAAAGATTTTCACTGAGAGATTGTTTCTAGTTTTTATCACAGGATACTCAGTTGTTCACCACAGGCCTCAATGGGCTTCGAAATTTCCCTTCATAGATTCCACCAAAAGAGTGTTTGCAACCTGATAAATCACAACAAAGGTTTAACTCAATGAGGTGACTCCACACATCACAGAGCATTGTGACTGAGAGCTTTTTTTCTAGTTTTTCTCTCTGCATATTTGTTTTTTCACTATAGGCCTCAATGAGCTCAGAAATGTCCTTTTGCAGATTCTACAAAGAGTGTTTTCAAACTGCAAAATCAAAACAAAGGTTTTAACTCTGTGAGATGAATCCATACATTGCAAAGTATTTACACTGAGAGCTTGTTTCTAATTTTCATGCAGAATATTCACTTTTTCACTATAGGATTCAATGGGTTTCAAAATGTCCCCTTGAAGTTTCAACAAAAAACACTTTCCAACCTGCTGTATTAAAACAAAGGTTTAACTCTATCAGATAAATTCACAAATCACAAAGCATTTTCACTTATAGCTTGTTTCTAGTTTTTAATCATGGAATAATAAGAGTTTTCGCTATAGGCCTCAATGGGATCTGAAATGTGCCATTGTAGTTTTTATAAAAGGAGTGTTTCCAACCTGCTGAATTAAAAAAAAAAAAAGATTAACTCTGTGAGATGAATCAATACATCACAAAGTACCTTCACTGACAGGTTGTTTTTAGTTTTTATCATGAGATATTCGATTTTTCACTACAGGCCTCAATGGGCTACTAAATGTCTTCAAGTAAATTCTACAAAAAGAGTTTTTCCAACCTGCTGAATCAAAACAAAGGTTTAACTCTGGGAAATAAATGCACACATTGCAAAACATTACCACTGAGAGCTTTTTCTACTTTATATCACGGAGTATTCAGTTTTTAACTACAGGCTTCAATGGGCATCAAAATGTCGCCTCATAGATTCTACAAAATCTGTTTCCAATCTACTGAATTAAAATAAAGGTTTAATTCTGTGAGATAATCTAAACATCAGGGAAAGCATTTTCCCCGAGAGCTTGTTTCTAGTTTTTATCACGGGATATTTAGGTTTTCACTGTAGGTCTCAATAAGCTCTGAAATGTCCTCTCATAGATTCTACAAAAAGTGTGTTTCTAACCTCCTGACTCAAAACAAAGTTTAACTCAGTGAGGTGAATCCACACATTCCAAAGTGTTTTCACTGAGAGCTTGTTCTAGTTTTTATTGTAGGAAATTCATTTTTTCACTATAGGCCTCAATGTACTCTGAAATGTCCTCTCATAGATTCAATAAAAAGTGTGTTTCCAACCTTCTGAGTCAAAACAAATATTTAATTCAGTGAGACGAATCTAAACATTGCAAAGCATTTTCACTGAGAGCTTGTCTCTAGTTTTTATCATGGGATATTTGGGTTGCTTCTAAAGGCCTTAATGGGCTTTGAAATATCCCATTGTACATTCTACACAAAAATGTTTCCAATCTACTGCATGAAAACAAAGGTTTAACTCTGTCAGATGAGTCCACATATCGAAAGGCATTTTCAATGAGAGATTGTTTCTAGTCTTTATCAGGGGATATTCATTTTTTCACTACAGACCTCAATGGGCTCGGAAATGTAACATCGTAGGTTCAGATGCTTTGTGATGTGTGGATTCATCTCACAGAGTTAAACCTTTATTGTGATTCAGCAGGTTGGAAACACTCTTTCTGAAGTATCTACGAAGGGACATTTTGGACCCCTTTGAGGCCTGTAGTGCAAAACCGAAGATCTCGCGATAAATATTTGTTTATTCACTTTAAGCCTCTATGGACTGTAAAAATCCCATCATAGATTTTACAGAAAGAATGTTTCCAACCTCCTGAATCAAAACAGAGATTTAACTCTGTGTGAAGAATCCACACATCACAAAGCATTTTCACAGATATTCTGTTTCTAGTTTTAATCTCGGGCTATTCGGTTTTCTATTATAGGCCTCAATGTACTCTGAAATGTCCTGTCACAGATTCTGCAAAAAAAGAGTTTCCAACCTGCTGAATGAAAATAGAGTCTTAACTCCATGAGATGAATCCATACATCACAAAGTATTTTTATGAATAGTTTATTTGTAGTTTTCACCACAGGATATTTGGCTTTTCACTAAAGGTGTCAATGTCTCCACAAAGTCCCTTCACAGATTCTACAGAAAGAATTTTTCCACCTGCAGAATAAAAACTAAGATTTAACTTGGTGATATCAGTCCACACATCTCAATCCATTTTCACAGATAGCTTGTTTCTAGTTTTTATCGCTGATTTTTTGTTTTTAAGTACAGGCCTCAATGGGCTCTGAAATGTCCCTTCATAGATTCTACAGAAAGAGTGCTTCCCATCTGCTGAATAAAAACAAAGGATTAACTCTGTGAGATGAATTCACACATCACAAAGCATTTTCACAGATAGCTTGTTTCTAGTTTTGTTCTCTGGAAAATCGGATTTTTAGTATAGAACTATATGTTTTGTGAAATGTCACTTTGTAGATTCTACAAAAAGAGTTTTTCCAACCTTCTGAATGAAAACAAAGGTTTAACTCTGTGAGATGAACCGACATATCACAAAGGCTTTTCACTGATAGCTTGGTTCCAGTTTGAATAATGAGATATTCTGTTTTCCACCGTAGACTTCAATGGGCTCTGAAATGTCCCTTCAAAGATTCCATAGAAAAAGTGTTTCCAACCTGCTGAATCAAAACAAGATTTCGCTCCATGAGATGAATCCATACATTGCCAAACATTTTCACAGATAGCTTTTTTCTAGTTTTAATTGTGGGATATTCTGGTTATTACTATAGGCCTCATTCAGATCTGATATGTCTCTTCATAGATTCTACAAAAAGAGTTTTTCCAATGTGCTGAATCAAGACAATTATTTATCTTTGTGAAATAAATCCGCACATTGCAAAGCATTTTCACAGATAACTTGTTTCTAGTTTTTATCGCAGGATATTCGTTTTTTCTTTACAAGCCTCAATGGGCTCTGAAATGTCCCTTCATAGATTCTTCAAAAAAAGTGTTTCCAATCTGCTGAATCAAAACAAAGGTTTAACTCTGTGAGATGAATCCACACATCTCAAGGCATTTTCACAGGTAGATTGTTTCTATTTTTGATTGTGAAATATCCATTTTTTCAATAAAAGCCTCAATGGTCTCTAAAAGATCCCTTTGTAGATTTTGCAGAAAGAGTGTTCCCAACCTCCTGAATTATAACAGAGGTTTAACTCACTGAGATGAATCCACACATCACAAAGCATTTTCACAGATAGCTTGTTTCTAGTTTTCATTGTGGGATATTTTGTTTTTTACTATAGGCCTCAATGTGTTCTGAAATGCCCATTTGTAGATTCTACAAAAAGAGGGTTTCCAACCTGCTGTGTCAAAACAAAGTTTTAACTCTGTGAGATAAATCCATGTATCACAAAGTGTTTTCACAGATAATATTTTTCTAATTTTAATCCTGGGGTATTCAGTTTTTCACTATAGGCCACAATGGGCTCTGAAACGTCTTTTTGTAGATTCTACACAAAGCGTTTCTAAGCTGCTGAATCAAAAAAAAGGCGTAACATTTAGAGATAAATTGATACATCACAAAGCATTTTCACTGAGAGCTTGTTTCTCGTTTTTATCACAGGATATTAGGTTTTTCGTTATAGGCCTTAATGCACTCCAAAATGTCCCTTTGTAGATTCTACAAAAAGAGTGTTTTTAGCATGCTGAGTCAAAGAAAAGGTTTAAGTCTGTGAGATGAATACACGCATCACAAAACATTTTTACACAGAGCTTGTTCCTAGTTTTTATCGTGGGATATTTTGTTTTTCATGATAGGTCTTAATTGGCTTTGAAATGCCCCTTCATAGATTCTAAAAAAAAAAAGTGCTTGCAACCTGCTGAATCAAAAAAAGGTTTAACTCTGTGAGATGAATCCACACATTGCAAAGCATTTTCACAGATAGCTTGCTTCTGGTTTTCTTTGCAAAATATTCATTTTTACACTATTAGCCTCAATGGGCTCTGAAAGGCCCCTTCGTAGATTTTAAAGAAAAAGTGTTTCCAACATCCTGAATCAAAATAAACATTTACCTCTGTGAGACGAATTGACATATCACAAAGCAATTTCACAGAGAGCTTCTTTCTAGTTTTCTTCGTGGGATATTCAATTTTTCACTATAGGCCCCAAAGTGCTCAGAAATGTCCCTTTGTAGATTCTACAAAAAGAGTGTTTCCAACCTGCTGAATCAAAACAAACATTTCACTTTGTAAGATGAATCCACACATCACAAAGCATTTTTACAGAGAGCTTGTTTCTAGTTTTTATAGCAGGACATTTGGTTTTTCACTATTGGCCTCAATGGGCTTTGAAATATCCCCTCATAATTTGTACTAGAACACTGATTCCAACCTGCTGAACCAAAAAAAGGTTTACCTCTTTGAGATAAATCCACACATTAAAAAGCATTTTTCCTGATAGTTTGTTTCTAGTTTTTATCATGGGATATTGGGGTTTTCACTGAAGGCCTCATTGGCTCTGAAATGTCACTTCATAGACTTTACAAAATGAGGGTTTTCAACCTGCTGAATCAAAACAAAGGTTTAACTCTGTGAGATGAATTCACACATTTCAAAGCATTTTCATAGGTAGCTTGTTTCTTGTTTTGATTGGGGGATATTTTGTTTTTCACTGTACTTCACAATAGGCTCTGAAATATCCCTTCGTAGATTCTAAAAAAGAGTGTTTCTACCCTGATAAATCAAAGCAAAGGTTAACTCTGTGAGACAAATCCACACATCACAAAGCATTATCATAGATAGCTTGTTTTTAGGTTTTATCATGGGATATTTAGGTTTAAACTATAGGTCTCAATGAGCTCTGAAGTGTCCCTTTGTAGATTCTACAAAATGGTGTTTCCACTCTGATGAATCAAAATAAAGGTTTGACCTTGTGAGATGAATGCACACATTGCAAAGCATTTTCACTGATAGCTTGTATCTAGTTTTTATCGTGGGATAATTAAGTTTTTAGTATAGGCCTTAATGGGCTCTGAAATGTCCCTTTGTAGATTCTATAAGAAAAGTGTTTCTAACCTGCTGAATAAAAAGAAAGGTTTATCTCTGTGAGATGAATCCACACATCACAAAGCATTTTCACTGATAGCATGTTTCTCGTTTTTATCACTGGATACTTGGGTTTTCACTACAGGTCTCAATGGGCTCCAAAATATCACTTTGTATGATTTTAAAAAAGAGGGTTTTCAACCTGTTGCATGAAAATGAAGGTTTAAATCTGTGAGATGAATCCACACATCACAGAGCATTTTCACAGATAGCCTGATCCTAGTTTTTATCATGTGATATTCAGTTTTTGATGATAGGCCTCAAATGGCTCTGTAATGTCTTTTTGTAGATTCTATAGAAAGTGGTTCCAACCTGCTGAAGAAAACAAAGGTTTACCTCTGTGAGATGAATCCACATTTCACATTTTCACAGACTGCTTGTTTTACAATCTGCTGAAGAAAAACAAAGGTTTACCTCTGTGAGATGAATCCACATTTCACATTTTCAAAGATTGCTCATTTTTTGTTTTTATTGCAGAATATTTGATTTTTCACTGTAGGCTTAAATGGGCTCCAAAACGTCCTTAAGTAGATTCTACAGAAAGAGTGTTGCCATGCTGCTGAATCAAAACAAGGGTTTAACACTATGAGATATATCCAAACATCCCAAAGCATTTTCACTGATAACCTGTTTCTATTTTTTATCACGATATATTCTGTTTTTCAATACAGGCCACAATGGGCTCTGAAGTGTCTCATAAATCCTACAGAAAGAGTGTCTCTAACCTGCTGAATCAAAACAAAGGTTTAACTCTCTGAGATGAATCCACAGATCACAAAGCATTTTCACAGACAGCTTGATTGTAGTTTTTATCATGAGATGTTCAGTTTTTCACTATAGACCTCAATGGGTTCTGAATCCCCCTTTGTAGAATCTACAAAAAGAGTGTTTCCAACTTGATGAATCAAAGCACGTTTAACTATGTGAGATGAATCCACACATCACAAAGCATTTTCACAAATTGCTTGTGTCCTGTTTTTATCATGGGATATTCAGTTTTTCACTATAGGCCTGAATGGGCTGTGAAATATCCCTCTGTAGATTCTACCGAAAGAATGTTTCCAACCTGCTGAATCAAAAGAAAGGTTTAACTCTGTGAGCTGAATCCACACATCACAAAACCTTTTCACAGATAGCTTGTTTCTAGTTTTAATCTCAGGCTATTTTGTTTATCACTAGAAGTCTCTATGTGTTCTGACACGTCTCTTCGTAGTTTCTAAAGAAGAGTTTTTCCAATCCGCTGATCAAAACAGAGGTACAACTCTGAGATGAATCCACACATTACAAATTGTTTTCACCAATAGGTTGTATATAGTTTTTATCACAGGATATTCAGTTTTCCACTATAGGCCTCGATGGGCTTGGAATGTCCCTTTGCAGATTCTACAGAAGGAGTGTTTCCAATCTGCTTAATCAAAACAAAGAGTTCACTCTGAGATAAATCCATACATCACAAAACATTTTCATATATAACTGGTTTCTAGTTTTTAATCACAGGATATTTAGGTTTCCACTATAGGCCTCATTGGGCTGGGATATGTCCCTTCATCGATTCTACAACAAGAATGTTTCCAACCTGATGAATGAACACAATGATTTATCTCTGTGAAATGAATCCGTACATCTTAAAGCATTTTCACAGATAGCTCATTTCTAGTTTTTATCGCGAGATCTTCGGTTTTGCACTACAGGCCTCAAAGGGGTCCAAAATGTCCCTTCGTAGATACTTCAGAAAGAGTGTTTCCAACCTGCTGAATCACAATAAAAGTTTAACTCTGTGAGATGAATCCACACATCACAAAGCATTTTCACAGATAGCTTGTTTGTAGTTCTGATGGTGAAATATTCATTTTTTTCATTAAATCCTCAATGGGCTCTGAAAGATCCCTCATAGGTTTTACAGAAAGAGTGTTTCCAACCTCCTGAATCATAACATAGGTTTAGCTCGGTGAGATGAATCCAAACATCACAAAGCATTTTCACAGACAGCTTTTTTTCTAGTTTTCATCGCAGGACATTCAATTTTTTTACTATAGGCCTCAATGTGCTCTGAAATGTCCTTTTGTAGATTCCACAAAAAGAGTGTTTCCAACTTGCTGTATCAAAATAATGGTTTAACTCTGTGAGATGAATCCATACCTCACAAAGCGTTTTTACAGATACCTTGTTTCTTATTTTTATCATGAGATACTCAGTTTGTCATGATAGGACTTAATGGCTCTGAAATGTCCCTTCATAGATTCTACAGAAAGAGTGTTTCCAACCTGCTGAATCAAAACAAAGGCTTAACTTGGTGAAATGAATCCATGCATCATAGTGTATTTTCACAGACAGCTTTCTTCTGGTTTTTATCGCTGGTTTTTTTGTTTGTCACTACAGGCCTCTATGGGCTTCGAAATGTCCCTTTGTAAATTCTACAAAAAGAGTGTTTCCAATCTGCTAAATCAAAACAAAGATTTAACTCTGTGAGATGAATTAATACATTGCAACACATTTTCAGAGATAGCTTGTTTCTAGTTTTTATCACGGGATATTTGGTTTTTGACTATATGCTTCAAAGGGCTCTGAAATGTCCCTCCGTAGTTTCTACAAAAAGAGTTTTTCCATCCCGCAGAATCAAAAGAAAGGTTTAACTCTGTGAGATATGTCCACACACATCACAAAGCATTTTTACAGATAGCTTGTTTCTAATTTTGATTGTGAAATATTCATTTGTTCACTATGAGCCTCAATGAGCTACATCACAAAGCATTTTCTCAGCTAGCTTGTGTCTAGTTTTTACAACAAGATATTCAGTTTTTCATTATAGGGCTCAATGGGCTCTGAAATGTCCCTTCGAAGATTTTACAGAAAGAGTGTTTCTAACCTGCTGAATCAAAACAGAGGGTTCACTCTGTGAGATGAATCTATACACCTTAAAGCATTTTCACAGATGGCTTGTGTCTAGTTTTTATTACAGGATATTCGGGTTTCCACTACAGGCCTCATAGGCTCTGATATGTCCCTTTGTAGATCCTACAACAAGAGTGTTTCCAACCTGCTGAATCAAAACAATGGTTTATCTCTGTGAAATGTATCCACACGTTGCAAAACTTTTTCACACATAGCTTGTTTCTAGTTTTTATCGTGGAATATTCAGTTTTTCACTATATGGCTCAATGGGCTCTGAAAGGTCCCTTTGATGGTTCTACAGAAAGTGCTTCCAACCCACTGAATCAAAACAAAGAGTTCTCTCTGTGAGATGAATTTTTACATCATAAAGCATTTTCACAGATATCTTTTTTCTAGTTTTTATTGCGGGATATTCAGTTTTTCACTGTAGGCCTCGATGGACTCCAAAATGTCACTTGGTAGATTCTTCAGAAAGAGTGTTTCAAACCTGCTGAGTCAAAACAAAGGTTTAACTCTATGAGATGAAGGCACACATCACAATTCATTTTCACAGATAGCTTGTTTCTAGCTTTGATCACAGGATATTCGGTTTTTCACTATAAACCTCAATGGGCTCTGAAATGTCTCTTCGTAGATTCTACAGAAATAATGTTTCCAACCTGCTGTATCAAAACAAAGCTTTAACCCTGTGAAATGAATCCATACATAGCAAAGCGTTTTACAGATAGCTTTTTTCTGGTTTTTATCATGGGATATTCAGTTTTCCACTATAGGCCTCAATGGGCTCTGAAATGTCCTATGGTACATTCTATAAAGAGAGTATTTCCAACCTGCTGAATCAAGAGAAAGGTTTAATTATGTGAGATGAATTCACACATCACAGTGGATTTTCTCGGATAGCTTGTTTCTAGTTTTTATCGTGGCATATTCAGGTTTTCACTATAGGCCACATTGGCTCCAAAATGTCCCTTCATAGATTCTACAAAAAATGGTGTCTCCACCCTGCTGAATCAAAAAAGAGGTTTAACTCTGTTAGACAAATCCACACATCACAGTGCATTTTGACAGATAGCTTGTTTCTAGATTTTATCATGGGATATTCTGTTTTTCACTATTATCCCCAATGGGCTCTGATATATCCCTTTATAGATTCTACAATAAGAGTGTTTCAAACCTGCTGAACCAAAAAAAAGGTTAATTCTGTGGAATGAATCCAAAAGTCAAAAAGCATTTTCACAAATAGATTGTTTCTAGTTTTTATCGTGGGATATTCAGTTTTTCACTATAGGCCTCAATGGGCTTTGAAATGTCCATTAATAGATTGTACAAAAAGACAGTGTCCAATCTGCTGAATCAATACAAAAGTTTAACTCTGTGAGATAAATCCACACATTTCAAAGCATTTTCACTGATAGCTTGTTTCTAGTTTTCATCACGGGATATTTGGGTTTTCACTATAGGCCTCTTTGGCTCCAAAATGTCCCTCCATAGATTTTACAAAAAGAGTGTTTCCAACCTGCTGACTCAAAATAAAGGTTTAACTCTCTGAGATAAATCCACACATCACAAAGCATTTTCATTGATAACTTATTTCTAGTTATTTTTGTGGGATATTCAGTTTTTTACTATAGGTCTCAAAGGGCTTTGAAATGTCCACTTGTAGATTATACAAAAAGAGTGTTTCCAACCTGCTGAATCAAAACACAGGTTTAATTCTGTGAGATGAGTCTACACATCACAAAGTGTTTTCAAAGATAGCTAGTTTCTAGTTTTTATTGTGGGATACTCGAATTTTCAGTGGGCCCTGAAATGTCCTTTCCTATAATCTACAAAAAGATTGTTTCTGCCCTGATGCAACAGAACTAAGGATTAACACTGTGACGTGAGTCCACACATCACCATGCATTTTCACAGATAGCTTTTTTTCTCTTTTTTATTGCTGGTTTTTCAGTTTTTCACTATAGACTTCAAAGGGCTCCAAAATGTCCCTTTGTAGATTCTACAAAAAGAGTGTTTCCAACCTGCAGAATCAAAACAAAGCTTTAACTCTGTGAGATGAATCCAACCATCACAGTGCATTTTCAGAGAGCTTGTTTCTAGTTTTGAACTCGGGATATTCAATTGTTCACTATAGAACTGTATGTGTTCCAAAATGTTTGTTTCTTTGTAGATTACAAAAAAGGTGTTTCGACCCGCTGAATGTAACAAAGGTTTAACTCTGTGTGATGAATCCACACATTGGAAAGCGTATTCACTGATAGCGTGTTTCTAGTTTTTATCACAGGATGTTCATATTTCAACTATAGGCCTCAATGGGCTCTGAAATTTCCCTTTGAAGATTCTACAGAAAGGGTGTTTTCAACCTGCTGAATGAAAATGAAGTGTTCACTCTGAGAGATAAATCCACTCATTGTAAATCATTTTCACACACAGCATGTTTCGTTTTTACCACGGGATATTTGGTTTTTCACTGTAGGCCTCAATGGGCTCTGAAATGTCCCTTCATATATTCTTCAGAAAGAGTGTTTCCAACCAGCTGAATCAAAACAAAGGTTTAACTCTGTGAAATGAATTCATACATCACAAACCATTTTTGCAGATAGCTTGTTTCTAGTTTTGATTGTGAACTATTCTTTTTTTCATTAAAAGCCTCAATGGGCTCTGAGAGGCCCCTTTTTAGATTTTACAAAAAGAGAGTTTCCAACCTCCTGAACCATAACAGAGGTTTAAGTCTGTGAGATGAATCCACACATCACACTGCATTTTCACAGATAGCTCGTTTCTAGTTTTCTTTGTGGGATATTTGGTTTTCCACTGTAGGCCTCAAAGGGCTCCTAAATGTCCCTTTGTATATTCTACAAAAAGAGTGTTTTGAACCTGATGAATGAAAACAAAGATTTAACTTTATGAGATGAATTCACACATCACAAAGCATTTTCACAGATAGATTGTTTGTAGTTTTTATCATGGGATATTTGGTTTTTCACTATATGCCCCAAAGGGCTCCAAAATGTCCCTTTGTAGATTCAACAGAAAGAGTGTTTCCAACCTGCAGAATCAAAACAAAAGTGTAACTCTGTAAGATGAATCCACACATCACAAAGCATTTTCACAGATAGCTTGTTTCTAGTTTTTGTCATGGGTTATTCGGTTTTTCACTGTAGGCCTCAGTGGGCTCTGAAATCTCTCCTCGTATATGCTACAAAAATATTGTTTCCAACCTGATGTGAGAAAACTACAGTTTACCTCTGTGATGTGAACCCACATGTTGCCATGAATTCACATGATAGCTTTTCTCTTGTTTTTATTGCTGGTTTTTTGGTTTTTCACTATAGGCCTCAATGGGCTCCAAAATGTCCCTTTGTAGATACTAAAAAAAGAGTGTTTCCAACCTGCAGAATCAAAACAAAGCTTTAACTATGTGAGGTGAATCCAACCATCACAACGCATCTTCACAGAGAGATTTTTTCTAGTTTTGATCTCAAGATAATCGATTTTTCACTATAGAGCTATGTGTCTTCTGAAATGTCTCCTTGTAGATTCTACAAACAAGGTTTTCCATCCCACTGAATATAACAAGGTTTAATTCTGTGAGATGAATCCACGCATCACAAAGTGTATTCACCGATAGCTTGTTTCTAGTTTGTATCATGGGATATTCACTTTTCCACTATGGGCCTCAATGGGCTCTGAAATTTCCCTTAGAAGACTCTACAGAAAGGTGTTTCCAATCTGCTGAATGAAAATGAAGTGTTCACTCTGTGAGATGAATCCACACATCATAAAGAATTTTCACAGATAGATAGCTTGTTTCCAGTTTTTATTGTGGGATATTTGCGTTTCCACTATAGGCCTCATTGGGCTCTGATATGTTCCTTAATAGATTCTACAACAAGAGTGTTTCCAGCCTGCTGAATCAAAACAAACATTTAATTCTGTAAGATGTATCCATACATTGCAAAGCACTTTTACAGATAGCTTGTTTTGAGTTTTTACCATGGGTTATTGGGTTTTTCATTATAGGCCTCAATAATTCTGAAATGTCCCTTCATAGATTCCACAGAAAGAGTGTTTCCAACCTGCTGAACCAAAACAAAGGTTTACCTCTGTGAGATGAATCCACAGGTTGCAAAGCATTTTCACATATAGCTTGTTTCTAGCTTTTATCATGGGATATTCAGTTTTTCACTATAGGCCTCAATGTGCTCTGAAATGTCCCTTCATAGATTGTACAGAGTCTTTCCAACCTGGTGAATCAAAACAAAACTTTAACTCTGTGAGGTGAATCCACAGGTCACAAAGTGTTTTCACAGATAATTTGTTTCTAGTTTTTATCATGGGATATTCGGTTTTTCACTATAGGCCTCATTGGGCTCTGAAATGTCCCTTCGAAGATTCTACAGAAAGAGTGTTTCCAACTTGCTGAATCAAAACAAAGTTTTAACTCTGTGAGATGAATCCATGCATCACGAAGCATTTTCACAGATAACTTTTTTCTAGTTTTTATCATTGGTTTTTCAGTTTTTCACCATATGCCACAGTGGGCTCTGAAATAGTCCTTCGTAGATTCTACAAAAAGAGTACTTCCCACCTGCTGATTCAAAACAAAGATTTAACTCTGTGAGATGAATTCACACATCACAAATCATTTTCAGAGATAGCCTGCTTCTAGTTTCCTTCATGGGATATTCGGTTTTCCACTATAGGCCTCAAAGAGCTCTGAAAAGTCCCACTGTAGATTCTGTAAAGCAAAGTGTTTCCAATTCGCTGAATGAAAACAAAGATTTAACTCTGTGAGATGAATCCACGCAGGATTTTTACAGATAACTTTTTTCTCATTTTGTTGCGGGATTTTTGGTTTTTCAGTATAGGCCTACATTGCTCCAAAATGTCCCCTTCGTAGACTCTACAGAAAGAGTGTTTCCAACCTGATGAATTAAAACAAAGTGTAACTCTGTGAGATGAATCCATGCATTGCAATGCATTTTCACAGATAGCTTGCCTCTAGTTTTTATCCTTGCCTTTATGGTTTTTCACTATACACCACGAGGGACCCCGAAATGTCCCTTTGTAGATTCTACAAGAAGAGTGTTTCCACACTGCTGATTCAAAACAACGATTTAATTCTGTGAGATAAATTCACATATCACAAAGCATTTTCACAGATAGCTTGTTTCTAGTTTTTACCTCGGGGTATTCAGTTTTTCACTACAGGCCTTAATGGGTTCCTAAATGTCCCATTTTAGATTCTACAGAAAGAGTGTTTACAAACTGCTGAATCAAAACGGAGGTTTAAATCTGTGAGATGAATCCATACATCGCAATGCATTTTCACAGATAGCTTGTTTCCAGCTTTTATCATTGCTTTTTTGGTTTTTCACTATAGGCCACGATGGGCTCTAAAATGTCCCTTTGTAGATTCTACAAAAAGAGTGCTTCCAACCTGCTGATTCAAAAAAAGATTTAACTCTGTGAGGCGAATTCACACATTGCAAATCATTTTCAGAGACAGCTTGTTTCTAGTTTTTATCATGGGATATTCGGTTTTTCACTATATGCCCCAAAAGGCTCCCAAATGTCCCTCCAAAGAAGCTACAGAAAGAGTGTTTCCAACCAGCAGAATCAAAGGAAAGGTGTAACTCTGTGTGAGATGAATCCACACATCACAAAGCATTTTTACAGATAGGTTGTTTCCAGGTTTTATAGTGGAATCTTTTTTTTTTTTACTCTAGGCCTCAGTGGGCTCTGAAATGTCCTCTCGTAGACAGAAAGAGTGTTTCCAACCTTCCAAACCAAAACAGAGGTTTATCTCTATGAGATGAATTTACACATTGCAAATCATTGTTACCGATAGTTTGTTTCTACATTTTATGGCAGGATATTTGGTTTTTTACTATTTGCCTCAATGGGCTCTGAAATGTCCCCTCATAAATTACACAGAAAGAATGAAAGAATGTTTCCAATCTGTTGAATCAAAAATAAGCTTTAACTCTGTGAAATGAATCCATCCATCCTGAAGCATTTTCACAGATAGCTTGCTTCTAATTTTAATTGTGGGATATTTGGGTTTTCATGATAGGCCTCTGTGGGCTCCGAAATGCCTCCCTATATATTCTACAGAAGGAGTGTTTCCAACCTGCTGAATAAGAAGAAAGGTTTATCTATGTGAGATAAATCCACACATCACAAAGCATTTTCACAGATAGCTTGTTTCCAGTTTTGATCAAGGGATATTTGGTTTTTCATAATAGGACTTAATGTGCTCTGAAATGTGCCTTAGTAAATTCTACAGAAAGAGTGTTGCCAACCTGCTGAATCGAAACAATGGTTTAATTCTGAGAGATGAATCCACATATCACAAAGCATTTTCACAGATAGCTTTTTTCCACTTTTGATCTCAGGATATTTGGTTTTTCACTATAGGACTTTATGTGTTCCGAAATGGCCCTTTGAGGATTCCACAAAAAGAGTTTTTCCAGCCAACTGAATCAAAACAAAGGTTTAACTCTGTGAGATCAATGCACACATTGCAAAGGGTTTTCGCCAACAGCGTGTTTCTAGTTTTTATCCCAAGATATTCAGTTTGCCACAACAGGCCTCAATGGGATTAAAATGTCCCCTAGAAGATTATACAGAATGTTTCCAACCTGCTTAATCAAAACAAAGGATTCACAGCATGAGATGAATCCATACATCTGAAAGCATTTTCAGATAGCTTCTTTCTAGTTTTTATTGTGGGATATTCTGCTTTTCACAATAGGCCTCGTTGGGCTCCAATATGTCCCTTTGTAGATCCTACAACAAGAGTTTTTCCAAACTGCTGAATCATAACAATGATTTATCTCTGTCACATGAATCCACACTTTACAAATCATTTTCACAGATAGCTTGTTTCTAGTTTTTACCATGGGTTATTGGGTTTTACATTATAGGCCTCAATAATTCTGAAATGTCCCTTCATAGATTCCACAGAAAGAGTGATTCAAACCTGCTGAACCAAAACAAAGGTTTATCTCTGTGAGATGAATCCACAGGTTGCAAAGCATTTTTACATATAGATTGTTTCTAGTTTTTATCACAGGATATTTTGTTTTTCACTATAGGCCTCGATGGGCTGCAAAATGTCCCTTGTTTGATTCTTCAGAAAGAGTGTTTTCAACCTGCTGAATTAAAACAAAGTTTAGCTCTGGACATGAAACCACATATCACAAAGCAATTTTGCAGTTATCTTGCTTCTAGCTGTGATCATGGAATATTCATTTTTTCATTAAAAACCTCGATGGGCTCTGAAAGGCCCCATCTGACATTCTACAGAAAGAGTGTTACCTACCTCCTGATTCATAACAGAGGTTTAACTCTGTGAGATGAATCCACGCATCACAAAGCATTTTCACAAACAGCTTGCTTCTAGTTTTCTTCAGGGGATATTTTGTTTTTCACTCTAGGCCTCAATGTGCTCTGAAATGTCCCTTCCTAGATTCTACAAAAAGAGGGTTTCCAGCCTGCTGTATAAAAACAAACGTTTAACACTGTGAGATGAATCCACAGGTCACACAACGTGTTGTCACAGATAACTTGTTTCTAGTTTTTGTCATGAGATATTCAATTTTTTACTCCAGGCCTCAACGGGCTCTGAAATGTCTCTTCACAGATTCTACAGAAAGAGTGTTTCCCATAACAATATTAACCTTAAATGTAAATGGGCTAAATGCTCCAATTAAAAGACACAGACTGACAAATTGGATAAAGAGTCAAGACCCATCAGTGTGCTGTACTCAGGAAACCCATCTCAGGTGCAGAGACACACATAGGCTCAAAATAAAAGGATGGAGGAAGATCTACCAAGCAAATGGAAAACAAAAAAAGGCAGGGGTTGCAATCCTAGTCTCGGATAAAACAGACTTTAAACCAACAAAGATCAAAAGAGACAAAGAAGATCATTATATAATGGTAAAGGGATCAATTCAACAAGAAGAGCTAACTATCCTAAATGTATATGCACCCAATACAGGAGTACCCAGATACATAAAGCAAGTCCTTAGAGACCTACAAAGAGACGTAGACTCCCACACAATAATCATAGGAGATTTAACACCCCACTGTCAACATTAGACAGATCAATGAGACAGAAAGTTAACAAGGATATCCAGGAATAGAATTCAGCTCTGCACCAAGCGGACCTAATAGACATGAACAGAACTCTACACCCCAAATCAACAGAATACACATTCTTTTCAGCACCAAACCGCACCTATTCCAAAACTGACCACATAGTTGGAAGTAAAGCACTCCTCAGCAAACGTAAAAGAACAGAAATTATAACAAATTTTGTCTCTCAGACCACAGTGCAATCAAACTAGAACTCAGGATTAAGCATCTCACTCAAAACTGCTCAACTACACGGAAACTGAACAACCTGCTCCTGAACGACTACTGGGAACATAACGAAATGAAGGCAGAAATAAAGATGTTCTTTGAAACCAATGAGAACAAGGACACAACATACCAGAATCTCCGGGACACATTCAAAGCAGTGTGTAGAGGGAAATTTATAGCATTAAATGCCCACAAGAGAAAGCAGGAAAGATCTAAAACTGACACCCTAACATCACAATTAAAAGAACCAGAGAAGCAAGAGCAAACACCTTCAAAAGCTAGCAGAAGGCAAGAAATAACTAAGATCAGAGCAGAACTGAAGGAAATAGAGACACAAAAAACCCTTCAAAAAATCAATGAATCCAGGAGCTGGTTTTTGAAAAGATCAACAAAACTGATAGACTGCTAGCAAGACTAAAAAAGAGGAAAAGAGAGAAGAATCAAATAGATGTAATAAAAAATGACAAAGGGGATATCACCACCGATCCCACAGAAATACAAACTACCATCAGAGAATACTATAAACACCTCTTCGCAAATAAACTAGAAAATCTAGAAGAAATGGATAAATTGCTCGACGCATACACCCTCCCAAGACTAAACCAGGAAGAAGTTGAATCTCTGAATAGACTAATAACAGGCTCTGAAATTGAGGCAATAATTAATAGCTTACCAACCAAAAAACCTCCAGGACCAGATGGATTCATAGACGAATTCTACCAGAGGTACAAGGAGGAGCTGGTACCATTCCTTCTGAAACTATTCCAATCAATAGAAAAAGAGGGAATCCTCCTTAACTCATTTTATGAGGCCAGCATCATCGTGATACCAAAGCCTGGCAGAGACACAACCAAAAAAGAGAATTTTAGACCAATATCCTTGAAGAACATTGATGCAAAAATCCTCAATAAAATACTGGCAAACCGAACCCAGCAGCACATCTAAAAGCTTATCCACCATGATCAAGTGGGCTTCATCCCTGGGATGCAAGGCTGGTTCAACATACGCAAATCAATAAACGCAATCCAGCACATAAACAGAACCAAAGACAAAAACCACATGATTATCTCCATAGATGCAGAAAAAGCCTTTGACAAAATTCAACAACCTTCATGCTAAAAACTCTCAATAAATTAGGTATTGATGGGAAGTATCTCAAAATAAGAAGAGCTAACTATGACAAACCCACAGACATTATCATACTGAATGGTCAAAAACGGGAAGCATTCCCTTTGAAAACTGGCACAAGACAGGGATGCCCTCTCTCACCACTCCTATTCAACATAGTGTTGGAAGTTCTGACCAGGGAAGTCAGGAAGAAGAAGGAAATAAAGGGTATTCATTAGGAAAAGAGGAAGCCAAATTGTCCCAGTTTGCAGATGACATGATTGTAAATCTAGAAAACCCCATCGTCTCAGCCCAAAATCTCCTTAAGCTGATAAGCAACTTCAGCAAAGTCTCAGGATACAAAATCATTGTGCAAAAATCACAAGCATTCTTATACACGAATAACAGACAAACAGAGAGCCAAATCATGAGTGAACTCCCACTCACAATTGCTTCAAAGAGAATAAAATACCTAGGAATCCAACTTACAAGGGATGTGAAGGACCTCCTTCAAGGAGAACAACAAACCACTACTCAATGAAATAAAAGAGGATACAAAGAAATGGAAGAACATTCCATGCTCATGGGTAGGAAGAATCAATATCGTGAAAATGGCCATACTGCCCAAGGTAACTTATACATTCAATGCCATCCCCATCAAGCTACTAACGACTTTCTTCACAGAATTGGAAAAAATTACTTTAAAGTTCATATGGAACCAAAAAAGAGTCCCCATTGCCAAATCAATCCTAAGCCAAAAGAACAAAGCTGGAGGCATCATGCTACCTGACTTCAAACTAAAGTACAAGGCTACAGTACCCAAAACAGCATGGTACTGGTACCAAAAGAGAGATATAGACCAATGGAACAGAACAGAGCCCTCAGAAATAATGCCACATACCTACAACTATCTGATCTTTGACAAACCTGAGAAAAACGAGAAATGGGGAAAAGATTCCCTATTTAATAAATGGTGCTGGGAAAACTAGCTAGCCATATGTAGAAAGCTGAAACTGGATCCCTTCCTTACACCTTATACAAAAATTAATTCAAGATGGATTAAAGACTTAAATGTTAGACCTAAAACCATAAAATCCCTAGAAGAAAACCTAGGCAATACCATTCAGGACATAGGCATGGGCAACGACTTCATGTCTAAAACACCAAAAGCAATGACAACGGAAGCCAAAATTGACAAATGGGATCTAATTAAACGAAAGAGCTTCTGCACAGCAAAAGAAACTACCATCAGAGTGAACAGGCAACCTACAGAATGGGAGAAAATATTTGCAACCTACTCATCTGACAAAGGGCTAATATCCAGAATCTACAATGAACTCAAACAAATTTACAAGAAAAAAACAAAGAACCCCATCAAAAGGTAGGCGAAGGACATGAACAGACACTTCTCAAAAGAAGACATTTATGCAGCCAAAAAACACATGAAAAAATGCTCATCATCACTGGCCATCAGAGAAATGCAAATCAAAACCACAATGAGATAACGTTGCACACCAGTTAGAATGTTCATCATTAAAAAGTCAGGAAACAACAGGTGCTGGAGAGGATGTGGTGAAATAGGAACACTTTTACACTGTTGGTGGGACTGTAAACTAGTTGAACCATTGTGGAAGTCAGTGTGGCGACTCCTCAGGGATCTAGAACTAGAAATCCCATTTGACCCAGCCATCCCATTACTGGATATATACCCAAAGGACTATAAATCATGCTGCTATAAAGACACATGCGCACGTATGTTTACTGGGGCACTGTTCACTATAGCAAAGACTTGGAACCAACCTAAGTGTCCAACAATGATAGACTGGATTAAGAAAATGTGGCACATATACACCATGGAATACTGTGCAGCCATAAAAAATGAAGAGTTCATGTCCTTTGTAGGGACATGGATGAAGCTGGAAACCATCATTCTCAGCAAACTATCACAAGGACAGAAAACCAAACACCGCATGTACTCACTCATAGGTGGGAATTGAACAATGAGAACACATGGACACAGGAAGGGGAACATCACACAGCAGGGACTGTTTTGGGGTAGGGGGAGGGGGGAGGGATAGCATTAGGAGATATACCTAGTGCTAAATGATGAGTTAGTGGGTGCAGCACACCAACATGGCACATGTATACACATGTAACAAACCTGCACATTGTGCACATGTACCCTAAAACTTAAAGTATAGTAATAATAAAATTTAAAAAAAAAGAAAGAGTGTTTCCAACCTCCTGAATCAAAATAAAGGTTTAACTGTACGAAATGTATCCACATATAGCAAATCATTTTTACAGATAGTTTGTTTCTAGTTTTTATGACAGGATATTCGATTTTTCACTATTTGCCTCAATGGGCTCTGAATTGTTCCTTCATAAATTCTGCAGACAGAGTGTTTCCAACCTGCTGAATCAAAACTAAGGTTTAACTCTGTGAAATGAATCCAAACATCATGAAGCATTTTGACAGATAGCTTGTTTCTTGTTTTGATTGCAGCATATTCAGGTTTTCACAATAGGTGTCAGTGGGCTCTGAAAGGTCCCTTCGTAGATTCTACAGAAAGAGTGTTTCCAACCTGCTGAATCAAAACAATGGTTTAACGCTGAGAGATGAATCCTCCCATTGCAAAGCAATTTTCCAGATAGCTTGTTTCTAGTTTGATCGCAATATATTCTGTTTTTTTGCTTTAGGCCTCAATGGCTCTGAAAAGTCCCTTGGTAGATTCTACAGAAAGAGTCTTTTCAGCCTTCTGAATCAAAACAAAGTTTTAAGTCTGTGAGATGAATCCATGCATCACAAAGCATTTTCACAGATAGCTTGTTTCTAGTTTCCACAGTACTGATACATCATAACTCTCCACTAAGCCTCTTCTGACACCATCTCATCTCAGCAAGGACTATGAGAATCACTTCATATTTCCTCTGTGTGAATGAGTGGTCTGGCTTCTCACCCAGCCTTCTTTGACACCACCCCAGAGAGGAGAGGGGAGGTTGGGGAGCCTCACTGTAGCCATTTGAGGGTAGAAGTGTGGGCTCCCTACCCTGTTTGTTGCTAGGGGGGTGGGGGCAGGGCAGCCACTGTTTCTTCTTCCATAATGTTTGGCAGTTATTATCTAAAATCTTTCTGTCTTGCTGTCCTGCCCCTTTCGCTATCCTTTAGACAAAGAAAGGCTTTGGGAGGAGCTTTCTTCTCTGTGTCCATTGTCATTTCCAGGTTGCTACCTTCTCCAGTACCTAGTCTGAGATATATGCACCATAGAGAAAACCAGGGAACTTACCACCCTGTTGTTTCACAGGCCCCACAGTCCCCAGCTGGTTGTCTGCCTTCTCAATGACTTTCAGAGTGATGTTATGTGCTTAATATGTATGGTTTAGGGTTTTCAGCTGTACTAAGTGGGAGGAGTGGGGAGAGGTGTGGCTACTACATCTTATTCCAGAACTAAAAGTGCATAAAATATTTTAAAACATTATTTAAATGTTTATTGAAATATACTTTAAGTTTAAAATTAAATTCTATTTAATCATTAACATTTAAATATATATATTATATATATATAAAGATATATATGTAAGATTATATTTGGCATTTCTTCCTTTCTAGTAGTGGACACAATAAAGAAGGTTCATTACAGAATTCAGGAGCAGGAGGCACCATCATATATACTGGTTGTAAAGTAGAGACACTGTATAGCAGGCAATGGCACTTAAGAACCACTCATACTGGGTTCAGTGTTCAGCGGCCCCACTTGCTCACCAGTTGTGTGACTTTAGACAAATCCTGAGACCCTCTGAGCCAACCCATCTCTAAAATGTGGAAACAATTATTTCTTAAAGTATAGATATGAGGAATAAATAGGCTAGTGTATGTATCATGGCTGGTACTGACCACACGGCAGTGTTTTGTTTCATTATATTTACAAAGCAACAGAAAATTTAAGAGACTAGGCCAGCTGGGTCTGCTATTCCTGAACTGGAAGTGAATGTTTCACTTTCTAGGGGGCACTGCCAGGATTTAAGAGGGGAGCAATTAATTATTCAGATTTCTGTGACTTTGGATTCCAGGCACACTTCAGAAACCGAGAAATCAGAGGTTCATTGGGTATTACCTTCTCCCTCAACCCAGTAGTTAAAGTCATATTCCCTTTGCCTCAGGGCAATGGGTGCAACTGCAAAGTTAGTAGAAGACGTTTCTGATTTAATCTTGGTTCACCTCTTTAGGTAATGGGATCCCATGCCTCACCAAAAGCACCTAACATTTCTTAATTTCCATACACAGCCTCTGAATTGCAGCTTCTATTTACCGCACATCATGGTCCATAATTGTCATACCCTTATCCCGGCTACCTTACTCCTTCTTTTAGAGGAGAGAGAATCTCATGATGGGCTAACTTTAACCCAGGAACTTCCCCTGGCTCACTCTGATATTCTTGAAACTCTTTTACGAGGCCCAGGCTTAGAAGTCTCTGTAGGCGGGTCACATCTTGAGACAGGACAAGGATATTTTCAAGCTGGCTGTGCAGTCACCACTTCCCAAGAGCTTATAGAATCCAATCTTTTTCCTGAAACTGAATCTTCACAAGTAACCAAACTTGTAGACCTGATTCCAGCTTGTGATCTAGCAAGGGATGGAAGGGCTAATGTAGACATGGCAGCAGATAAGCCTTTGTTGTATTTTATGATTTGGGCATGGTTTGGTAACTACACTTTTCTAGCTGCCTTGCTCCTTTTCCCTCAAATTGAATGTGATTAAGTTTGAAGTACATACTAGCAGACAAACCCATGAACCAAAAGGAAGTGTTTTGGTTGGCCACTTTACTGAAAAGGCTGCTCTCACTCATGTTTGATTGGCTCAACAGAGAGGCAATCTGGTTGGTAACTATGGATCATTTTTTCAAATCCCTGAGCAAACTTTAATCACAAGCACAAGGTTCTGTACAAATATATTGGGAGAAATCTAGATATGACCCCAAATTAGATGGATTATGTAGTCACTAGTGTGACTGCTTGGTCCCTCTAAGCTGTCTAAAATGGATGTTGGCAAAAGATTTGCATATTATGATGCAACACAGTAAACCAACTTGAAAATTATTCTGCAACATCACTGGTGGAAAAATTTTAATTCAATAGCAGAGGGAAGACCCCAGTTGCACCTGCTTGCTTTTTTCAACTCAGGATTCTGTAAAAGGACTAAAATTAAGGTTTTAAGAGGATGGTCACACTCTCTGACAGGTGGAGAGCAGGCTATTGCTGGCTAGAGTAGATACTGTCACTTTCCTATGTCAACAGCCATTATTCATGTCTTACTTAGGATTAAATCCCTCAGTTTTTGCCAGATAGTTTGCTGTTTGGAACAAAATATTACATCCGAAAATGATGGGACTGATTCTGGGAATGAAGCTTAAGTGAAATTTACTCAACTGAGAAGGGCCCCTATTATCCCTTCTGCTTTACTATTTCCTTCAGGCCCACAGCATTGGCATGATGGCTGGAATTCTAGCAGCCGCATTGGACCATGGGAGACCGTGAGTCTTGAAGCCATATGCCTAGGTGTTGAAGAGGAAAGATTGGTGTTTGGGTCCCTCATACCTCTATGGAGCCTTCATATGTGCTTTGGACTGCAATCTCCACAATGTCTTTATGTAAGGTGGAAAGAGCCCTACCACTTTCAATTTGTTTAAGCCATTTATTTTGTGCAACCAATGCTAGCCAAAACTGATATAAAAGGGCTACAGTGGAAGCAGGAAGTCTGGTCTAGGAAGTTCCTACAGTGATCCAGGCTAGAGAGAGGGGTGACTTTGAACAAGTGTAATAGTCTTCGAGTTGAGGAAGAGTGATCTGATGCTAGACGTGCTTTTAAGGTAGAGCCAACAGGATAAGGTCAAAGATTGGATTTAAGGTGAATAATGGTAATGCTGACTCAGAGAGTGGGTATTCAGAGTGGAGCAGATTTGGGGGAAAATCAAGACTTCTATTTTGGACAATTCTCTGACATCTTGTAGAAATCCACGTGGAGTTGTTGAGGAGGCACTTACATGTGCCTCAGGGCAGAGGTGAAGTAGGAGATAATGATTGGGTAGTCATGAGGTTAGTGACAGCATTTAAGCCACAAGACAGGATGATATCACCTAAGGAGAATGTAGGTACAAAAAGGGGATGGAGATAGGCTCCCAGACACCCTCATATTTAGATGTGCAGTGTGGGAACAGATACCAGCAAAGTCAACCAAGGAGGGTCTAAGCAGATGGGCAGGGGAAGAACCAGAGGCAGGGGCTGATAGCAAAATTAGAGGTAGAAGCAGTCAAGTGGTGCCAAAGAGACTGACAGAGATGAATAAGAAAGAGATAGAAACAGAAATAGTCAGAGACAAGACAGACAGACAACCTCACACACATAGAGAATCAGAGAAAGAGAGAGAGAGAGAGAGAGAATGCAAGAGACAGAGGCAGACAAAATAGAGGCAGAAACAAAAATAGACAGACAGACAGACTGCCAGAAATACTGTCAAAGTCACAGACAGAGGCAGGTGGTAAAGGAGAGTCAGAGACAGATAAAATAAACATATGAGGAAGAGAGAGAGAGCGCACAAGATATGGAAATAAATATAGACAGAGTCAGACAGAGACAAGCAGAGAGAGATAGACAGAGACACACAGAAACTGAGAGAAAGAGGCAGACAGAGATTCTACTTCTCTCTGACTGCCTGACTCTGTTTGACCTTATCTCTGATTGTATGTCAGGGAAGGTGAAAGAGAAGAGGACGTCATTGTGTGAAACCTGAGTGTTCAGAATGTAGGTCAGGAAGACACAGAGCAGAAGACTTTCTCTAACCACTTCAGATATTGATTCCAAATCAGCCAATTCCCTTAGCCTGCTAGTCAACTAGAAATTGAATGAGGAAAGTGGGATATTGTGAAAGTCCATGAGCAGTCCCCAGTGACCAACAGTTTATAGGTAAAAATTGTTAAATTATTTTTATCAAGGTAATTGAAGGACTGTCACATTATACAGGACAAGGATAAATCTATTCAGACAATTTACCCAGATGTATTTTGTCTTCCTTTATAACACAAAAAAACTGGACTAAGCATATTTGTTAATTCATAAGATGTAAAATTATTATGACCACCAGCAAATGAGACATTGTTTAAAACCCAATCTGAAGCTTTGCAAATAAACTTTATTCTAAATTGTTTAGAAAGTTTCACAGCTAACATCATACTCAACAGCAAAAAGTAGATTTTTTTTCTCTACAATCAGGAACGAGACAAGAATGCCCACTTTTGCCACTTCTCTTCAATATCGTAAGGGAAGTACTAGCCAGAGTAGTAGGACAAGAAAAAGAAATCTGAAGAAAAGGCATCTAAATAGGAAACAAGAAGTAGAATTGTCTTCATTTGCAGGAAACATGTTCTTATATATAGAAAATCCTGAGCAGTCCACCAGAAAGCTCTTAGAACTTATAGACAAATTCAATAAAGTGGCTAGGATACAAAATCAACTACAAAAATCCATAGCAGTCAGACACGGTTGCTCACACCTGTAATCCCAGCACTTTGGGAGTCTGAGGCGGGTGGATCACCTGAGGTCAGGAGTTCGAGACCAGCTTGCCCAACATGGTGGAACCCTGTCTCTGCTAAAAATACAAAAATTAGCCAGGTGTGCATGCCTGTAGTCCCAGCTACTCGGGAGGCTGAAGCAAAAGAATTGCTTGAACCTCGGATGCAGAGGTCGCAGTGAGCCTAGATGGTGCCACTGCACTCCAGCCCGGTGACAGAGTGAGACTCTGTCTCAAAATAATAATAATAAGAAGAAGAAATAAATCAGTAGCATTTCTATGCACAGATAATAAATTCTTCAAATAATAAAGAGAAGAATATAATCCCATTTATAAGGGAATTTTTCAAATAATTAGGAATGTATTCAACCAAGAATGTGAAAGATGTGTACATTGAAATCTTTAAAACATTGATCAAAAAATTGAAGAAGACTCACATAAAGGGAAAGATATCTTGTGATCATGAATTGGAAGGATTAATATTCTTTAAATGCCCATACAACCCAAAGTGATCTACATATTCAATGCAATCTCTATCAAAACTCAAAGTGCATATTTCACATATAAATAGAAAAAAAACCTGAAATGTATGTGGAATCACAAAAGACTCCAAGTAGCCAAAGCAATTTTGAATAAGAAGAACAAAGCTGGAGGTGGAGGGATCACATTACCTGATTTCAAAATATGGTACAAAGCTATACTAATCAAGAGGTCGTGGTACTTGAATAAAAACATACACATAGACCACTGCAACATGTTGTGACTTAATTTTCCACAAAGTGGACAAGAACACATTATGGTGAAAGGACAGTCTCTTAAATAAATGATGTTGAGAAAACTGGATATTTATATGCAATGTAATAAAACTAGGCTCTTATCACACATCAAATAAAAAGTCAACTAAAATGGATTAAATAATTAATCATAAGATCTGAAACTGTTAGACAACTAGAAGAAAACATAAGGGGAAAGCATCTGTACATTGGTCTGGACAATGATTTCTTGGCTATGACCCCAAAAGCACAGTCTCTGAAAGGAAAAATAGACAAATGGGATTGCATCAAACTGAAAGTCTTCTGCGTGGCAAAAGAAACAATCAGTAGTGGGGGAAGACAACGTATGGAATGGGAGAAAATACATCTGTTGGGTTAATAATCAAAATATATAAGGAACTCAAAGAACTCCATAGCCAGAAACATGACTTGATTAAAGAATGGGCAAAGGAGCTGAACAGACATTTCTCCAAAGAAGATATACAAATGACCAATGGATTTTTGAAAAAAAAAATTCCTTTCAACATCACTTACCATCAGAGAAATGCAAATTAAAACCACAATACCACCTCACACCTGTTAGACTGTCTGTTATCAAAAAGACAAAAAGATACTATCTGTTGGCAAGGAGAGGGAGAAGCGAACCATTGTACATTGTTGGTGGGAATGTAAATTAGTACAGCTACAGTATGATCCAGCAATACCATTTCTGTATGTATATATATGTACAGGCTTTCACTCGGGCTTTATGCTTTATATACATATATATGTGCATAAATCAATATGCCAAAGAGATATCTGAACACCTCTGTTCATTGTAGCATTTTTCATAATAGACAGGATTAGGTTCAACGTAATCTTTGGTCAACTAATGAATGGATAAAAAATGTGAGATATACATGTATATATAGACATATTTATACACACACACAATGGGATATTATTTAGCCATTAAAACAAAGGAAAACCTGATATATCTGACAGCAAGGATGAACCTGTAGGCTATTATGCTTAGTGAAATAAGCCACGGACAGACAGACAAGTACTGCATGATCTAACTTATATGGGCATCTTAGTCCATTTTGTGCTACTGTAAAGGAATACATGAGGCTGCATAACTTATAAAGAACAAAGGTTTGTTTGTCTCATGATCCTGATGACTGGAAACCTAAAGGCTGGGCATCTCTATCTGTTGAGGGCCTCAGGCTGCTTCCAGTCATGGCAGAGGTTAAAGGGGAGCCTTCATGTGCAGCAATCACATAGCAAGACAGGAAGCAAGAGAGACAGTGTGGAGGTGACAGGCTCTTTTTAACAACCAGCTCTCATGGAAAATAATAGAGTGAGAACACACTCATCCCTGAGGGAAGGCATTAATCTACTAACATGTGATCTGTCCCCATGATCCTGACACCTCCCATTAGGTCCCACCTAATTGGGATCACATTTCAGCAGGAGGTTTGGAGGAGACAAAATCCAAGCCATCACATTATTTCACTCTCCTTCCTGGTAAAATTCATAACTTTCTCTCATGCAAAATATTATAATTCCATTTCAGTGGTCCCTCTTAAAAGTCTTATTTAAGCATCAGCTCAAATTTTCAAATTCCAAAGTCTCATCTGAAGTAAAGGGAATTCCAACTAAGAGCCTATAAAGTAAACAAAACAACAACAACAACAAGCTATTTGCTTACAAGGTACAACAGCTATACAGGCATTAGGCAAATTCCCTTTCCAAAAAGGAGTAATAAGCCAAATGCAAGTGGTAACAGGTCCAACACAATTCCAAAATCCAGCAGGGCAGACATTTAATCTTAAAATGTCCAAAATAATCTCTTTTAATTCCATGTACCACATACTGGACACACTGGTGCAAAAGGTGAGTTTTTAAGGCCTTGTGAAGCCCAGCCCCCATGGCTTTGCTGGGCATAGCCCACGTGGCTGCTCTCAGGGGTTGGAATCAAATGCCAGAGGCTTTTTCAGGCTGAGGTGGCATGCTCCTGTGGCTCTACTATTTTGGGGTCCCAATGTCAGCCTCACCTCTGTGGCTTCTCTATGTATTAGTCAGGTATGGATTCTTGTTGATGGCTCTACCCCTGAAGGTTTCTGCCTGGCCACCCAGGCTTTCTCATATATCCTTTAAAGTCCAGCTGGAAGCCACCAAGCCTCCATAGCTGTTGCCTTCTGGATACCTGCAAACTTAATATTAATAACACCTGGAGCCCACCAAAGCTTGTTGTTTGTGCCCTTCAGAGTGAAAGCCTGAGCCATGCCTGGGGCCATTTGAGCCATGGGTGGAGCTTGAGTGACCAGGATGTGGGAGCAGCATCCCAAGGTGGCTCAGGGCAGTGGTACACAGGGTCTGTCCCGTGAAACCTTTCTGTCTTTCCGGGCCTCTGGGCCTATGATCAGAGAGGCAACCTTTGAAATGCTTGTGAGGCCTTTTCCCAATTGTCTTGACTAGTAACACCCGGATCCTTCTTAGTCATGCTAAACTCTTTAGCAACCTGTTGCTCCCACTGGCCAATACCCCTGGATTCCTCTCTATAATATGTTCTTTCCTCCTCTACCACATCACCAGGCTGCAAATTTAAAAAAAAAATTATGCTCTGCTTTCCCTTTAACTATAAATTTCACTTTTAGTTCATTCCTTTGCTGCCACAATTCAGCATAAGCTATTAAAAATAAACATGCCACATCTTGAGTGCACTGCTGCTTAGAAATGTCTTCCACCAGATACCCTAGGTCACCACTCTTATGTTTGGCCTTCCCCAAAGCCCTAGGTCATGGACACAATGCAGACAGGTTTTTAGCTACAGTGTAATATGGATTTCATTTGCTCGAGCTCCCAATAAGTGCCCCCTTTCCATCTGAGAACTCACCAGCATGGCCTTTACTGTCTATATCTTGTCAGCGTTTTGATCACAATCACTTAACCAATCTCTAAGCAGTTCCAAAATTTCCCGCATATTTCTGCTTTTTTCTGAGCCCTCCAGATTCTTCCAACCTCTGCCTATGATTCTTTTCCAAAGCTGCTTCCACATTTTCAGATATTTGTATAGCAACACCCCACTCGTGGTATCAATTTTCTGTCTTAGTCCATTTGGAGTTCTTATAATATAAATGAAAACCTGAGGCTGGGTCATTTATAATGACAAAAGGTTTATTTGGCTCATGATTCTGATAGCTGGAAAGTTCAAGGTTGGGCATTTGCATCTGGTGAGGACCTCAAGCTTGCTTCCACTCATGACAAAAGTCAGAGGGGAGCTGGTGTGTGCAGAGATCACATGGAGAGAGAGACAGAGAGAGAGAGAGAGAGAGAGAGGTGTCAGCATCTTTATAACAACCAGCTCTCATGAGAAGACTGGAATCCATTAATCTCTTCATGAGGGGTCTACCCCCATGACCCACACACCTCCCATTCGGCATCAACTCTAATGTTGAGGATCAAATGACAACATAAGGTTTGATGGGAATAAATGTCCTATCTGAAGCAATGTGGAATCTAAAAAAAGTCCAACTTGTAGAAACAGAAAGTAGAATGGTCCTTGCCAGGGGTTGGGATCAAAGGTACATGGGGTAATTTTGGTCAGAATGTACTAAGTTTCAGTTAGATGTGATGATTAATTCTGTGGATCTATTGCATAATGAAGCAACTGTAATTAATGATAATGTATTCTATTCTTGAAATTTTCTAGGATAGTAAATCTTGAATGTTCCCATCATAAGAAATATAATCTATATATCAATTAGTTTGATTGTGGCAGTCATTTTGCAATGTATACATATATGAAAACTACATGGTATGCAATAAATATATATGACTTTTGTTGGTCAGTTATACCTCAATAAAGCTGGAAAAAATTTACAAACATTCCTATGGAAATGCAATGTAATCAGAATAGCCAACACAGTCTTCATAAAAGGAGGACTGGATACAAAAAATGTGGTATATGTACACAATGGAATAATATTATTCCTTCAAAAGAAGGATATTCTGTCGTTTGCATCAACATGGATGAAACTCAAAGCCATTATGCTCAGTAAGGCAGTCTCTGAATGGCACATACCACATTACCTCACTTATATGTGAAATCTTAGAAAGTCAGAGACATAGAAGTAGAGAGTAGAATGGTGTTTACCAGAGTTTGGAGAACGGGCATGGAAGGGAAATGGAAGATGCTGATCAAAGGGTACAAAGTTTCATTTAGATTAAAGGAATAGGCTTTAGTGATCTATTGCACAGAATTGTGATTCTAATAATTAATAATGCTTTGTATATTTCAGAATTACTAAGAGTAGATTTTTGTTGTTTTTGCCGCAAAAAATATAAGTATGTGAGGTGATGGTTTTGTTAATTAGTTTGATGTAATGATTCAACAAAGTAAACATATACCAAAATGACACACTGTACGTAGTAATTATATACATTTATTAATTGTCAATTAAAATAAAACTTATAAATGAAATTTAAAAGGAGAGAAATGTTAGAGGGCTCAGATCTGCCAGCAATTTCAAAAATTACTACAAAGCTATGTGGCAGACCAATGAAATAGAATTGAGAATCCAGGAATAAACATACATTTATGATGACCAGCCAATTTTCAACAAGGATGTCAAGACTATTCAATGGGGAAATAATAGTTTTTCAATAAATGGTGGGTAGACAACTGGATATGCACATGCAAAAGGAAGGAAATTGTACTCCAACATCACAACATATTTAAAAATCATCTCACTATGTGCCAGAGACCTAAATATGAGCTTCAAATTAATCAAACTCTTAGAAGAAAACTTTGGTGTAACTGTTCGTGATCATTACTTAGGCAATGTTTCTCTACAATAACAATAAAAGCACAAGCAACAACAACAACAAAAAATAGATAAAGTGGACTTCATCTAAATAAAAGCTTTTGTGGTTTCACAAAAAGGAAAACTCACATATATGAGAAAATTTGTGCAAGTCATAAGCTGATAAGGGTCTACTATTCAGATTATATAAAAACTCTAGCAACTCAATAGTTTAAAAATGTTGATCAAAATAAAAAGCATGAAAATGATTTGAATGAACATTTCTCCAAAGAAGATATACAAATGGCCAATAAGCACATGAAAAGATTCTCAACATTCTTAGCCATTAAAGACATATAAATGAAAACCACAATGTGTTATCCCTTCATGCCCATTAGGTTGGCTATAATAAAAAAGGCAGAGAATAGCAAGTGTTGGTAGGGCAGGGGTGGATAAATAGAAACCCTGTTACACTACTGGTGAGAATGTAAACTGATGCAGTCACCTTGGAAAACAGTTTGTGTTTCCTCAAAACATTAAATATAGAATCACCATGTGATCCAGCTGTTCCATTCCTAGGTATATACCCAACGATATTGAAAATAAGATTCAGACAAATAATACTTGTATAAAATGGTCATGGAAGCATTGTTGATGATATCCAAAATAGAGATTGCCCAAATGTCCATCATCTGATAAATAGAAACATAAATTGCAGTATGTCCACACAACACTATTATTAAAAAGGAATGGAGTGTTACACATGCTGAAACACGGATGAACATTTACAACTTTAAGCTAAGTGAAAGAATCCAGATACAAAAGGTCACATATCATGTGATTCCATTCATATGAAATGCGCAGAATGGGTAAATTTATAGAGACAGAATATAGATTATTGGTTGCCAATATTTTTGTTGTTCTTAGCTTGGTTTATTCTGCTGTTAATAATTCAAATTCTATTATGAAATTTTTGTAGTGAGGTTTTTAGCTCTATCAGGTAAGTTTGCTTTTTTCTTAAAATGACTATTTCATCTTATAGCTCTTGTATCATTTTACCGGCTTCCTTAGAATGCTTGGATTGCCTTTCAATTCAATTCTGAATCTCAATGATCCTTGTTGTCACCCAGATTCTGAATTCTATGTCTGACATTTCAGCCATTTCCTTCTGTTAAAGAACCATTGCTGGGATGGTAGAAATTTGCTTTTAAGTTATTTGATGCCCTTGAATTTTTGTGGTATAAGTTGGGTTTATTTGATTGGATTCATTTCTGGATGACATCAAGGTCCAAGGCTCAGCTCAGAACTTCTGGGCTGCTTGCTCTAACCCTGGGGGAGTGAGACCAGGCCCAAAGCTTTGTTATCTGGCCCCTTAAGATTAAGCACCTGCTGCACTACTGGCTTCAAGGTGTTCCCAGTCCACCGGCAATAATACTCTGATGTTAGGTGCCAGCAAATGCACTTTGTTGGAGCAGTGGCAGTGTGTTCCATGCTCATTCAGATGCACTGGTGGCAGCAGAGCAGTGGCGATTTGTGGCATGCATGTGTGCCAGCAGCAACAGAGCAGTGGCATGGTGGAAACTGCATGTATATGATGCACTGGTGATGGTGAAATTTGCACGCGAACATGCTCTCTGGTAGTGGAACGGTGGGGATGTCTGAAAACACAAAGGAAACGCTCTTCTTTCCACAAGTCACAAAAATGGATGGCCCTCCTCCCCAGAAAAAGTTTAAGGAAAAATCTTCCTGCTTCACCACCAGCACTCAAAGCTGAAATTTTACTTAAACTATTCCCTGAATTCTCTACTTGGAATACAATAATTTTGTTTTAATGGCTATTTCAGTATTAAAAAATCCACAAAAATTAATGGCATAATTATGTACATCATGCATTCCTGCTTGCCCACAGGAATCAATGTACCATTACCATGTACGTTTAATCATACACTATAAATCTATGTATTATCGTACATTAAATAATCTCTGCTTCCATGAATATCTAGCAAGATCAATATTTTCATAATAATAACTCATTGCACATTCCACTAGAAATGCAACAAGAACAAATCTGTATACATGTCTATTGTCCAGTACAGTAAGTCCTTAATATTACATGGGGCATTCATTCATTTGTTGTACGTAGCACATCTTAGTCAAATCATTTCTTCTCAACATGCTTATGCCCTCCAATTCATCTTCTTAACTACCAAGCTTCAAGAAATCAGCAACCAATTTGGGAAGTTCTACCCTCCTCGCTCTGTACCCATGACAGTTAGAATTGACTATGTTGATAGTATAGCTGGTATCTGGTTCTTCCTTCAAGGCCATAAACACAAAGATCACTCACTTCTTCCCCTTAAATAAGATATCTCAAAGGATTAATAACTAATCACCTCATGATCCCTCATGGGAGCACTGCTATGCATTTGGTAATTTTTTAAAAATTGAGTATGCTATGATCCAGCATGGCAGAAGCCTAAACCCAGCAAACTCAATTGTAGCTGGTCTTGAATAGTATGAGTCAACATTTACAACCACAGTTATTAATTTATTCATTTGTGATGGAAATAACGATAATGAAGTGCATGTTCATGCATGTTCATACACGATTTTCTCCAAACAATTATCTGATTAAATCCACAAACCCCCTCACCCACCTTACCCCTAGACTAGTCTAATTTTATCAGATATGTTATTATTCTTTACAAACACCCAAAACCAGAAACATAGATCATCAATTACAGCCAGGGTCCACACCCAAAATCCAATTACAATCTCAAATACAAACACATTATAGCCAAACTCCAAATTAATTTAATTTAAAAATACACAATTTTTCTATTAAAAAACAGGCTTCCTTGGCTTAAAAAAGAATCTTTTATTTGTAAAGTTACTAAATATTGTCCCAAGAGAATCACAGCAATCCAACCCTTCATTTTTAAATCAAAAGGAAATTCTCTAGATCCAAGTTAATGTAGCTTAATTCATCAAAGCAAGGCACTGAAAAATGCCTAGATGAATACACATGATTCCATTAACATAAAGTCTTGGTTCTGACCTTTTATTCATTTATAGTAAGATTACACATGCATGTATACACATCCCAGTGTGAATGCCCTCTAGATCATTTAATATCAAAAGGAACAGGCATCAAGCATGAATAACAGCAGCTCATAACACTCCCTGTAAGGAACAGAAGTGACCAAAATTAAGCAATAAACAAAAGTTTGACTATGCTATACTAAATTTCTAGGGTTGGTAAACTTTGTGCCAGCCACCACATCCGTGCAATTAATCCAAACTAATAAAACCCAACATAAAGCGTGTTAAAGGTAACTCTCTTAACAAAGTTAAACTTTAACTAAGCTGCAAACAGCTCCAGCCGAAATAACAACAAACTATGAAAGTGACTTTCATAGTATCATGAGAACACAATAGCTAATGCCTAAACTGGGATTAGATGCCCCACTCTGCTTAGCCATACGCTCAAATAATTTAACAAAAAAATTATACACCAGCGTACTACAAGCAATAGCTTAAAAATCAAAGGAATTCATGGTGCTTTACATCCTTCTAGAGGAGACTGTTCTATAATTAATTAACCCCGATACACCCTACCATTTCTTACCACTCAGCCTATATACCACTATCTTCAGTAAACCCCAAAATGGTCTTAAAGTAAGCACAACAATCTACATAAAAATGTTAGGTCAAGGTGTAGCCTATGAAATGGAAATAAATGTGCTACATTTTCTAAATTTAGAATACCCGTGAATCCTGAAGGTCAAAGGAGGATTTAGTAGTAAACAAAGAATAAAGAGCTTCATTGAATAGGGCCATGAAGCATACACACACTGTCCATCACCCTCCTCAAATATTCCAATTAACCATATATTAATAATTAACATAACCTTATACATATATAGAAGAAATAAGTCATGACAAGGTAAGCATACTGGAAAATGTGCCTGGAATAATCAAGTGTAGCTTAACTGAAAGCAGGTGGCTTAAACCCAGAAGATATCATATGACATGACCACTTTGAACCAATGCTAGCTCTAACTTTAAAAACTGTATTATCAACTTTTTCTAAACCAAAACATTTATCCAAAACAAAAGTATAGGAGATTGAAATTAACTTATTTAGGCTGTAAATAAAGTACTTTAAGGGAACCATGAAAGAATAATTACAAATACAGAAAGGCAAAGATAATCCCTTCTAACATTTGCATAATGAATTAACTAGTATAATATTACTAAGAGAACTTTTTAGCTAAAATCCTTGAGACCAGAGGAGCTACCCATAGAAAGTCAAGAGAACACACTCATTTATACAGCAAAATAATGAGAAAATCAATGGGTAGAGGTAAAAGGCCTACCGAACCTGGTGACAGCTGGTTTTATCAAGATAGAATTTAAGTTTAACTTTAAGTTTACCTATAGAATTGTCTAATCCTATTGTAATTTTATATGTTAGTCTAAAGGGGGACAGCTCTTTAGATGTAGGAAATCACTTTTTCACTAACGGTAAGACACAAAACTCCTTTAGTTTGCCTAAAAGCAGACACCGATTAAGAAATCATTGAAGTTAAACATTTGAAACCCCTTAATTTCAATCACTACATCTAATTTCTAACACTATACTGGACCAATCTATTTTTAAATAGAAGAAATACTGTTAGTATAAGTAACAATAAATAATTGTCTTTGCATAAGCTTAGTCTTTGCGTAAGCTTAATCTTTGCATAAGCTTATGTCAAACTGGAAAATCCACTGAGAGTTAATAATCCAATACAGATAATCATATTATAAACTTTTTATTGTCCCAATTGGTAACCTAACACACAGATGCATTAAGGAAAGATTTTAAAAAGTAAAAGGAACTCAGCAAAATCAAACCCTGCCTGTTTACCAAAAACATCACCTCTGACATAACTAGTATTAGAGGCACTACCTGCCCAGTGACATAAGTTTAACAGCCACAGTATCCTGACCATGCTAAGGTAGCATAATCATTTGTTCCCAAAATGGGAACTTCCATGAATGGCCTCACAAGGGTTTAATTGTCTCTTACGTTTAATCAGTGAAATTGACCTATCTGTGGAGAGGCAGAAATATTTAAGTAAGATAAAAAAAACCTTATGGAGTTTCAATTTATTAGTAGAAATAAACTTATAAAAAAGCCTTAATAGGTCTTTTTGGGAGTAATTATTTTTATTTTTAAATATCTAGTGTACCACCATGGCATGTATTCTTTAAATTTTATACAAACAAGCACATTTTTTCAGTGTTTTGATGTATTTTCATATTTTTCTAACTTAGACGTGTAGGCAATACATTTTATCTAATGAACCAAAAATTTTGGTTGGGGTGACCTCAGAGCATAACACAACCTCTGAAATGATTTCAGCTAGGACCACACTAGTCAAGGTAATCTATTACACATTGACCCAAGTAGTTTGAGCAATGGAACACGTTACCTTAGGGATAGCAGTACAATCCTATTCTAGAATCCGTATCAGCAATAGGGTGTATGACTTCGATATTGGATCAGGATATTCCAATGATGTAACTACAATTAATGGCTCATATGTCCAATGATTAAAGTCCTATGTGATCTGAGTTCAGACCAGAGTAATCCAGGTAAGCTGCTATCTATTCAATATTTCTCTCAGTACAAAAGGACAAGAGAAACAGGGCCCACTTCAAAAAGTGCCCTCGAGTTAATAGATGATATTATTTAAATCGAATACACTATTTCTACACCCTGTCCAAGAATAGAGTTTGTTAAGATGGCAGAGCTGTAATTGTATAAAACTTTATAATCAGAGGTTAAATCCCTCTTCTTAACAGCATGTTTATAATTAACCTTCTCCTATTTATTGTCCCTGCCATTCTCATCATAGCAGTGTTAACATTAAATGAAAGAAAAATTTTAGGTCACATATAACTTTGTAAAGGTCCTAATATTGTAGGCCCATACAGACTACCCACAACCTTTTGCTGACACAATAAAACTATCCATTAAAGAGCAACTATGACCACTAACATCATCTATTCCCCTTTATATTATCACTCCATCCCTCACCTTCACCTTCATGCTCATATATGAATCCTTCTCCCTATACCCACCCCTTAATTAATATGATTATAGAAGTATTATTCATCTTAGCCACATCAAGCCTAGCTGTCTACTCAATCATATGATCAGGATGAGAATTCAATTCAAAATATGCATCAACTAGTGCATTGTGAGTCATAGCCCAAACAATTTCATAGGAAGTTACCCTGGCCATTATTCTCTTATCAGTACTTCTGATAAGTGGGTTATTCACCCTCTCAACTCTTGTCATCACACAAGAGTCTGTGTGATTACTTTTACCATCATGAGCCCTGGCCATGATATGATTTATTTAAACCCTAGCAGAAACCAATTGAGCCTCATTTGATTTAAAAGAAGGTGAGTCAGGGCCAGTCTCAAGCTTCAACATCAGATATGCTGCAGGGCCATTCACTCTATTCTTCACAGTAGATATTATTATAATATTAGTATAAGAGAATAAATGCCCTGGTGGTTATTATTTTTCTAGGAGCACGACATGACATCTTCACATTAATTGTAATTATATACAATTAATATTATATACAATTAATACAATACAATTAATTTCACCACCAAAACACTTCTACTAACACCCTTGTTTTTAAGAATTCAGGCATCATACCCACAATTCTTAGATGATCCACTTATACATCTCTTATGAAAGTATTTTCCACCCTTTACACTAGCCTTACACATATGACACATTTCAATGTCCATCTTAATATATAATATCCTGCAACAAACATAAAAAATATGTTTGATAAAATAATTACTTTGAGAAAGTAAATTGTAAAGATTAAATCATCTTATTTTTAGAATTATAGGAATTAAAAATATAAAAAATGTAGAAATTAAAATTCAAAATTATCTGTGTTACCTAATACACCTTATCCTACAGTAATGTCAGCCAAATAAGCTGTCAGGTTCATACCCCAAAAATGTTGGTTTATATCCCTTTCATAGTAATTAACCCCCTGATGTGCCTTATCATCCTTTTCACTATTTTTACAGGGTTTAATTACAATAATCAATTCACAGTGACTCCTAATCTGAATAGCGTTAGAAATAAATATGCTGGTTATCATCCCTATTCTAATATAAAAGGTTAACCCCTGCTCCACAGGAACAGCCACCAAATATTTCCTCACACAAGCAACCACACCCATAATTCTAATAATAGCCATTATTATCAATATAATGTATTCCAGACAATAAAAAATCACAAATATACTGAACCAAACAGCATTCCTAGTAATTATTGTGGCTCTAGTTATAAAACTGGGACTGTCCTCCTTTTACTTTTGAGTTTCAGAAGTAACACAAGGAGGTATAATTCTTCTTACATGACAAAAAGTGGCCCCAATTTCCATCATGTTCCAAATCTCAATGGACCTAAATATACCATTAACAATTGCAGTACTATCCATTTTAGTAAGGGTTTGAAGGGGGCTTCATCAAACACAATTCCAAAATATTTAGCCTATTCATCAATTGCACCAAACAGTGGCTGTCTCACTGAAGTCTCAATGAGGTCCTAGCATGGGGCTCGAGCTGGGGGACAGGGTAGGTGTTCTCAGCCCAGGCTCCTGGCCCCAAGCCACCACAGCTTATCCCTCATAGAGAGGTGGCACACTTGATGTTCTAGGGAATGGTCTCCTTGAAGGCCATCTTGCTTGTCTGAGTGGATATGAAGAGAGGACCCACTTTCCACCATCCCACTCCCTTAGTTGGAGAGATTCGTGGTTTTCTAAAGGCACTCTGTAAATACATTATCACAAGACACTTGTCCTTTTCCAACCCTGTGTGTGCCCTCCAAGTGGGTGAGCCATTTTTTGTAACTTGAGACAAATTGACAACCTAGTGAAATTAAGACCCAAACTGAGAAGCCCTTTGTGTATTGTTTTGTTTTTCTTCAGAGGAACAGAGAAATGCTGCCAGGGCTAGAATGCTATAATATTATGAAGGGGACACTAAACTCAGGCAGGTTCATTCAGACTGGTGTTAGGTTTGTAAAGTAGTGAAGCTGAGTGGGAACACTTTCGCAAATAGAATATTCTGAAAACCTTATTGAACTCTGCACTTTGGGGTACATAAAGCAAATGATCAGGCAGAGTAAAATAGAGCTGAGAGAAATTGCCCTTATGTTTGACTGCAGATCCAACCCTTTAAAAAAACAGCTTATAGCACTGTGATCTTCATCCTATATTGGAGTTCCAATTTTATTATATAAATGCCCAAAGAATTCAACCTAACTGACATACTGATACTGTGCTAGGGCATAACTAGGTCTCTGAAATATAATCAAATGATGACAGAGAATCCTAAAATATTAGCTGGTCAGAAAACTCAGTCTTTATTTATTGATAAGAAAAATAAAAATAAGGCATGCTGATCGAGCAGTTTAGAGTTTACCAAAACCTCTCACATGTTGTGAATTTGATATATGCAACAACACTCTGCATAAGCAGGTGAGACAGATACTGTTTTCACTTTAGTTTGGCAGATGAGGGAATCGCACCCAAAAAAAAAGAAGTTGCTTGCTTAAGTTCACATGTTTACTATAGGGTGAACCCCCATATCTGATCTCATATAGATTTCACTCCAAATCCAGGTATCTTTCCACCACACCTCAACGACCTTTATGTACAGTTTTGTCAATTGTTTAATCTGATGTCAGAGACAAGTCTCCTCTTTCAGAGAGGTCATGGTCATATACATCCCAGTAGAGAACCTGAAAAACACCTCTCACAGAACTGATCTGTCTCCCCTGTGTCCAGGTTTCCAGGCTTAGTCTTCTCCAGGGCCAAAAATTACCTTCATAACAATCAGCACTTCTGTCTCTCCATGCAGTAGCCTTCTGCCTGCAGCCAACTAAACAGCAAACACTGCTGCGGACAGAGGAGCATTTTCTTTACCATGCTGGAATAATACAAAATAGAAGGGGTATCGGGGTTGATTTTACTGTTATAAATCACTTCTTCAGGCATCATCTCTTGTAGCTTTTACAGCAAGTGTGAGAGTGCAGCAGGCTATGGTGGCATCCTCACATGACAGCTGCTAAGCCAGGGCACAAAGAAACTAGGTGACCTCACCAAGGCCACTCACTCAGTAAGTGCAGAGACAGGCTAATTCCTCCTCAGCAACTTCTGGTTCTCTGGTTTCTAATCCATTTTGCCCTTCCTGGCCCCATGGGAACCATTCCTATGATGCTGTCAATGGTCCTTTCATGTCTACGTCACTCTCCTTGCTGCTTCCCACATTTGTCATGCTCATTCACATCTCTGTGCCCGTATTCAATTTTTCCTCATTCTCCTCCCCTCTGTCGGTATAAATCCTACCTACCCTTCTAGTTCCAGTTTGGCAATAACTTCCCACCCCCTTTAAAATGCACCAGTACACCTTGATTTCTTTTATTCTCAGAAGCCCCATTGCACTTAACAGTCCAGCAATGAACGGATTAATAATTTTTCTCTACTCCGTTCCCAAGTGTAAGGTTTTATGTTTCACTATTAGTCCCAATTACATTCCAAGCTCATTAAAGAGTGAACACTTTAAACTTCTTCTCTTAGTTTCCTCTTTGAGTGTCAGGGTGCCTGAAACAGCACTGGCTCTATAAAGGGCCACCAGAAACATGTCAAATCTATGCCCTTTTATGTCACTGGAAGTAGCTACATCGCTGCATTCCTCACCTTCCCTAGCACAGTGCAGAACATAAGGAAGATGTTAACTAGATTCAGTGAGTTGGACTGAATATGTCCCACCAAATATTTTTGTTGTTTTTAGGATAGACAGGAAAGTGCTTTGGAGCCATCACGGAGGGCTATTAAACTTCCCCAATGTATATATTTCATGTAATAAGAAAGGCTTTGTAAAAAAAAAAGTCAATATTAACACAATATGAGTTACTAGTTTAAGCTCAAGGTTAAATTTGCTGAGCCCATTGTATTATTTTTATTAAAAACGTCAGGTTCTGTCTATCTCTTTGGTTCCTTTTGTACTTCTCTCCAACTATCTTGTGAAGCGTATCATTTCATTCTTATTATTTAAGAATGGTCAATGAAATATAGGCTAACCCAGGCTAAAAGTATACTGTCTAATCCATGGGCTTATCATTTAAAAATAAAGTCCTTGCCTGTTGCTACAGCTACAAAACAGCACTGAATCCAAGGCAATGGAGTCCATGCAGGCTAATTATAAAAGCTGAATGCATTAGCTCATGTGAGGAGTAAAAAGGCTGGAAGCCTTAAGAGTGGAGAGAAATGCCTCAGGCCTCCTTTTCTTACTGATTCACATGTAGCTCATGTGTGAAAGACAATCAGGCTGAATGGAAAGCAGATCCTTATTCATCTTACTCCTTCTGCAACCACATCATCAACTCTGGTCTCTCTTGAGTGTGGCTAACAATGAACGGCAATGAAAATCAAATATAATTCATGCATAAAAATAAAAAAAAAAATCTAGAAAATGACACCAGATATACGCTCACCCTCACCCCATGCCTTGCAGACTACACATTGAAAAAAGCCAGGGTGACTTATGTTGCTTTAAATGTCAGTAAGTGGTTCAAAATATGGACAGTAATGCAATCTTCAGTGCACTGTCAGCTGAGGGCTTGAGGACTAAAAAAGAAGGGATGGAGCCAAGAAACTTGAGTCAGAAGGTTTGCATTTAACTTCTCAGTTCGACAAAGGTTGGCTGTTCCAACTTGAGCAAATCAGGTAACCTCTCTGAGATGAAATCTTTTCATCCGTAGAAAAGATGTATCAATGTTTTCCTTAACTACTACTACGTATGTTTGTGGTAGAATAATTTATGTGAAAAAAAAAGTATTATATAAACCACAATCCCTGAAAATCTTGCCATAAAACAACACAGTGTGTGTGTGTGCACATGCACGCATGTGACAGAGAGAGAGACACACACAGAGAGAGAGAGTGAGCGAGAGAGTAAGAGAGAGAGAAAGAAAGTGTGATTATTAGTTTTTTTCTCAACCTGGCTGGGTCATGGTGCTGATATGTGGTCAATATTATTTTGGATGTTTCTGTGAGGGTGATTTAAGATGAAGAAACCTATTAAATCTGTGGAATTTGTGGACTTCGAGTAAAGCAGATTGCCCTCCATAATGTGGGTGGGCCTCTTCAATAAGGTGAAGGCCTGAATAGAGCACAAGACCGAATACCTCTGAACAAGAGGAAATTCTGCAGGAGACAACCTTCATTAGGCTTGAAATGTAACTTCAGCTCTTTGGATCTCTAGCCTGATGGCTTTCAGCATCAGCTCTGTCTTGGGACCCCAGCCTTCTGGTCTACCCTATAGATTTTGGAATTTCCAGCCACCATTAGTGATGGAGCCAATTCCTGTAAATAAATTATATATATAATTATATGAATAATATCTGTGTGTGTGTGTGCACGTGTGCTCTGTTTCTCCAGAGAATCCTGGTTAATACAAATCGTGGGATCAGGACTGATCCCAGAGAACAGAATCTTAAGGATCAGTTTTCTTACTTGGTTCTGGCTCTCTAATGTGATTAAAGACAGGAAGGACTCTTAGGACTCTATCTCCAGTAGTAAAGAGCACTGGTAGTCCATGGCATGATGTGGTAATAGAGATACATAAAATATCATCATTGGATACTCTTAACCAAACACATAGCAGTCAGGGATCTGGATGACTGTGTACATGATACCTTCAAATATTTTTGTCAAACGAATGAGTATAATGAGATTTGCTGTGTATTAGTCTGTTCCCACACTGCTAACAAAGACATATCCAAGATGGGATAATTTATAAAGAAAAGATGTTTAATTGACTCATAGTTCAGCAGGGATGGCTAGGCCTCAGGAAACTTACAATCATGGCGGAAGGGGAAGCAAACACGTCCTTCTTCACATGGCAGTGTGAAGGAAAAGTGGCGAGCAAAGGGGGGAAACAGCCCCTTATAAAACCATCAATTAGATATCCTGAGAACTCACTTTCTTAAAAACAGCACGGAGGTAACCCCACCTCCCATGATTCATTTACCTCTCACTGGGTCCCTCCCGTGACACATGGGGATTATGGGAACTACAGTTCAAGATGAGATTTGGGTGGGGACACACCCAAACTGTATCAGGCTGGTTTTTCCTAATGTCACTGGATAAATTAGGAAAAGAAAAAGGTGAGGTCAGGGATTCAAATTGCCTGCTCAAGCACAGCATAAATGTCCTGAAATCTTCTGTGTCTGTCCTGAAAGAGACCTTTATTTCCTGTAGCTGTAGTGCTGAGATTGCTGAAAACCTAACCAAGAATTTCATAATGTGAGTGCTTGAATTACAGTGCAAATTTAAATCCTAACTTTGAAGGATATCTACTGTTAAAAGGCATTGTTTGGGAAAGAGTGGATTTCTAACAGCTGGGGTGGGATGTGTGGGAAGACCTGATGAAGCTGGGGACACTAAGCCTATACATTCTCAAACTTCTTTGTCAGTATATGCAGGCTCTCCAGCTATTTTCCCTTCTGAGGTGATTAACCAAACACTGCCTGAGAAAAACCGTAATTTTCTCTCCTGAAGCAGTTCCATTGCATGACACTGCTGAAGCTTCACAAGACCCACTTCTATAGACCCTCTTTGCTTCTAGACTTATAATTAAAGTCAATATTAGCAGGCCCTGAAAGTTGAGGTAAAAAGCGTGATCCATGAAAAGGCATGCTATACTCCGAAATAGCTACTCAATGTTTTTAATTCATACAGACAGAAATACAGGAAAGGTTTGTGAAAATGGATGCTAAGATGTGTGAGGATGGTAGAAGGAAGTTAAGGTTTGATCAGGCTGAATATAATATTATGGACCCACTAAGCCAAGAGTCTTCATTTAATGCTGCAGCTCAGGAAAAACTCTGCTTCTTTGGTTGACTAAAAGATGGACCAAAATGTGGCCCACAGTAAATGAACTGTAATTGCCAGACCTGCCTTAAAGGGATTCAAAGGCCTAGGGGAATTAAGGTGTTAGAGTGAATTTGTCATTTAAGACCTATTCAGCCACCCTGGGAGGGTCCAGAGGACACATCCTTCACCAGACTGTGAGAAACAAATTTTTGAAGGGTACCCCAGCAACCTTGAAGAGCTCTGTGATTGCTCTTCTGTAAAGACAGAAACTGCTGCCACTGAGTTGAAAAACCTAAATTCAGTGGGAGTAACTGGATCTCAGGGTGTCAAAGTCCAAGTTGCAGCACTTGACTGTGAAAGGCAAGGTGGTCATGTTTCACACAGGAGACAGCAAAATCAAAACAAAAATCAGAACAGTCTGACTCTGAGAGACCTACACTGTTGGGCTTGTTGATCGTAGTGATCCTAGATGTGAAAGAGATAGAAAACCTACTAAATTTTTACTTAATCCACATAACCAGAAAAGTTATAGGTCAAGTGAACAAAAGACTAACTTGAATAAAACAAAGTTAGCACATCTAACTTGAATAAAACAAACAGACAAATCTCACAGAGTCAACTCCTCAATCAGTCCCCAGAACTGAGCCACTTTTGCAGATCCACCACCCCTTGAATGAAGAGGGGAGGCAAGGTCCTCTTGAGGAAAAACCCCAGTACACTGCCAAAATTTTACATCATTACAATTCATTTCACCCTTCCCCCAAAGGGGCTTATGCCCTTGTAGCAGGAGGTCTGTGAATTGGAGAAAAGGAAATAATCAGACATTTTGGGGATTACTGGGCACCAGCTCTTAACTGATACAAATTTCAGGAGACACAAAACATCACTGTGGTCTACCAGTCAGAGTAGGGGCTTGTAGAAATCAGGTGAACAATGGAGTTTTAGATCAGATCCATCTCACAGTGGGCAAAGTGGCTCACCAAATCCACCCTGTGGTTGTTTCCCCAGTTCTGAAATGCATCAGTGGAATAGAGACATGCCCCATAACTGGCAGAATCCCTACATTGGTTCCCTGTTCTGTGGGAGTGAGGGCTAATATGCCAGAGAAGTTCAAGTGGAAGCGACAAAAACTGCCTCTACTTACAAAAATAGGAAACTAACAGCAATACCTCATTCCTGGAGGGTTTCAGAGATTAGTGTCACAATCAAGGACTTAAGGGTTTCAGGGGTCGTAATTTCCACCAAATCCCTATTTGAACTTACCTATTTGGCCTGTGTGGATTTTGGAGAATGATCTTGGACTATCATAAGCTTAACTAGGTGTTGAGTCCAGTTGCAGCTGCTGTGCCAGATCTGGTTTTATTACTTGCACAAATGAACACGTCTCCTGGTATCTAGTATTCAGCTATTGATCTTGCTTAACTGTGGGCCACCAAGTTGCCATGTGACCTGAGCTACTCATCATGAACTGGATGTTATCTAGCCTCCCAAACCATAAAGCTATGCTTGCACAGCAGCATTTCATCATCAGATGGAAGTGGTGTATACAAGATCTTGCCTGAGCAGGCCCTGAAGGCACAAGTGAATTACATGAAGAAGTGGCTCAAATGCTCATGGTCCCCGCTGCTCTTATGCTACTTTTGCTTTCCCAAGCTGCACCAAGTGCCTCACAGGGAGTATCATGGAATCAATTGACAGCAGAATAGAAAACTCATACTTGTTGTACATATGGTTCTTCAGGATATGCAAGCACTACCTGAAAATGAATTGCTAAAGAGTAGCCCCCACCACCACCACCTCCTTTTTGGGGATGTCCTTGAAGAGGAGTGGTAAAGGGAAATCCTCACAATTAGAAGTTCGAGCAATGTGCCTGACTGTGCATTTTGCTTGGAAGAAGAAATGGCCAGACACAGGATGATATACTAGTCAGTGGGTTGTCGAAAACAGTTCATCTGGATGATAAGGAACTTGGAAGAAACATGGAAATTGATGATAAAGAAGCTTGGACAGGAAGTATGTGGATAGACCTCTCTGAATGGATAAACAATTTGAAGATGTTTGTGCTCTATATGAATGCTCACTAAAGGTTGACCTCAGCAGAGGAGAATTTTAATAACCAAGTTAAGAGGCTGACCCATTCTGAGGTTCTGCAGATACCAGTCAGCCGCTTTTCCTAGCCACCCTTGTCACTCAGTAGGATTATGAATAAAGTGGCCATGGTGCCAGGGATGGCAATTTTACATGGGATTATCAACCTGGACCTGTACTCACCAAAACCAACTTGGATACAGCCACTGTTGAGTGCCTAGTGAGCCAGCAGCAGAAACCAACACTGAGTCCCCAATATGGCACCATTCCACAAGGTGACCAGACAAGCTACCTGTTACATTGGACCAGGTTAGTTACATTGTACCCCTTCCATTATGAAGGCAGCAGCATCTTGTTCTTATTGAAATAGAAACTAACTCTGGATATAGATTTGCTTTCCCTGCATGCAATGCATCTGTCGAAACTACCATCCATCGAATTACAGCATGCCTTGTCCACTGTCATGGCATTCCACACAGCATTGCTTCTGATCAATTGTATTTGCCTCATCTCATGGCAAAAGAAGTGCAACAATGGGCCCTTGCTCATGGAATCCACTTTCCTTCCATGTTTCCCACCACCCTGAAGCAACTGGCTTGATATAAGAGTGGAATTGCCTCTTGAAGACTCAGTTACAGCACCCACTAATTGACAACACTTTGCAGGAGGGGGTAAGGTTCTCCAACGGGCTCTATATGCGCTAATTGAGTGACCTGTATGTAGCGTTGTCTCTCCCATAACCATGATTCATCAATTCAGGAATCAAGGGTTGAAAATGGGAGTAGCACCATTTGCTATACTATTTATCAGCACATAAGCAAATTATTATTGCTTCCTCTTCCCAAGACCTTATGCTCTGCTGGCCTAGAGATATTAGTCCCAGAAGGAGGAATGCTTCCTCCATGAGACACAACAATTATTCCATGAGATGCCTAACTTCTGTGGAAGCTAAGACTGTTACTCAGCCACTTTGGGATCCTCATGCCTCTCAATAGGCAAAGAAATGAGTTACTGTGCTGGCTGGGATAATTGATTCTGAGCCCCAATGGGAAATTGGGCTGACGTTCCACAGTAGAGACATAGCAGACTATGTGCGAAATACATAAGATTCCTTTGGTGTCTCTTAGTATCACCATGTGCTGTGTTTAGAGTCAATGGGAAACTATAACAAGTGAATTCAAGCAGCACTTCTAATGGCCAAGACCCTCCAGGAATTAAGGTTTAAGGCACCCTACTAGGTAAAGAAAAATGGCCACCTGAGATTATTTCAGAGGGTAAAGGATATATGGAAAGTATAGTGGAACGTAGTCATAAATACCAGCTATAATAATGTGAGCAGTTACAGACAAGAAAATTGTAATTGTTGTATTGCTTTATTTTATCATGAACACAAATATATGTTTGTATAATGATAACTTTCTTTTCTTCCTTTTCTTATTGTCTTATCTCATAAGGTATATTTACTTGATATTATATTAGTTAAGATTTTTAAATTTACATCACAATATTTACTTATGGGATATATAGGAGAGATTAAAGAACACCCAAAGAGTTTACATCATCTTCTGCTAATAGTATTAATGCATTTCCATATGTATATGGGGTAGTATTATCATGGTAGGTTGTTATTGACCTTGTTATTGTCTTCATTTGTACATTAAATATAGTTTAAGGAGATATGTATGAGTCCCAAAATGACAGCAAACAGACTTGTGATGGTTAATTTTATGTGTTAATTTGCCCGAATCACAGTGCCCAGATATGAGGTGAAATTTTATTCTGAAGGTTTCTGTGAGGGTGTTTTTGGATGACATTAACCTGTAACTCCTTAGACTTTGAATAAAGCAGATTGCCCTCCTTAACATCAGTGGCCCCATCAAAACAGTTGAAAATGTGAGTACAACAAAAGATTGACCTCCCCTGAGAAGGAGAAGCTCCACAGTAGATAGCGTTCAGACATGAACAGCATCATCAGTTCTTCTCTAGTCTCCAGTCTGCCAGCTCACCCTGAAGGTTATAGACCTGACAGCCTCTTGTTTTAAAATGTACCCAGGATTTGCTTTAATCAAGTATGATGAGATAACAGAAAGGGAGACAATTGCCTTTGAGAGAAGAATTCATTACAGTTACCCCAGAGAATAAGAGGTATGACATGCCACCTGGGGCCATATGCAGTCACTTGCAGTGAGAAGCAGAGAGAGAGACAGAGAGGGCGGGGGAGAGGGAACAAGAGAGAGGGAGTGCAGAGAAACCATAACCAGGCCTTTATTACAATAATGGCAGGAAGTGGCAACATGAGAATGCTCCCTATTGGGAAAAAAGTGAAACACACAGGTTGAGGCTTATGTATGGAAAGTTTATAATGAGATTTTCACACATCCATGAAAACATTGGGATGGTGGAGGTGTAAACTACCTTGCGCTGTTAACATGACCTTGAAAATCCAAAATATCTGAGACAGGTCTCAATCAATTTAGAAAGTTTATTTTGCCAACATTAAAGATGTGCCAGTGACACAGCCTTAGGAGGTCCAGATGACATGTCCCCAAAGTGGTCAGGGCATAGGTTAGTTTTATACATTTTAGGGAGACATGAGACATCAGTCAACATATGTAAGATGTACATTTGTTCAGTCTGGAAATGTGGGGAAACTTGAGGTGCGTAAGGGGGCTATCAGGTCATAAGTCAATAAGAGACAAATGGTTGCATTCTGTTGAGTATCTGATTAGAATACACAATTTACATGTGATAGTAGAGCAGTGGAATAGTCACTTATAACTTAGTCTGGCTTAGTGATACAATAGGGCAGAGGAAGCAATCAGATATGCATTTGTCTCATGTGAACAGAAAGATGATATCGAGTTCCATCTGTCCCCTGTCCACAAGAAATTTCCTTGTGGGCAAATTGTAAGGAAAGTATGTGGGGATTCTTTTTATTTTTCTTTTTCTTTTATCTCTGTGGCTATCTTATATACAAATAAATGGGAGGCAAGTTTGTCTGACATAGTTTCCAGCTTGACTCTTCCCTTTGGATTAGTGATATTGAGGTTCCAAGATTTATTTTCCTTTCACAATCTCATGACTGAAAGGTACCAAATCTTCAAGTACAAATGATCAAAAATAGTTATTACACCTTCATAATCAATCATGTAAACCAATTCCTTAAAATTCACAGACACACACAACACACACACACACACTATTGGTTTTGTTTCTCTGAAGAACACTGAGAAACAAACTTGTAAGGAAGGAAGGAAAGAATGAAGAAAGGGAGGAGAGAAAGCAGGAAGATTGGCAGGTAGGAACTTAGGAAAGAAGGCAAGAAAGAGTAAGTCACAGGACACAGAGTTTTATGTAAACTGGAAGATATATCTGGAGAACTTTGATTCCAGCACGCATCCACCATCAATTATAGACAAAAATTACTTAATTTGACATTATTGACTCTATAAAAGTTTGGTATTAAAATCCACCATTCACCTTTTAAGGATGATCAAAGAATGGGCCATAAAATTAATTTGCTCTTAGACCAAATTCTAAAATGTTGTAAATAAGGGTGATATACACTGATTCTATTTGCTTTATAGTGTGGAAGAGATTATTCAAGGCACTTTTGAAGCACACACCAAGGTTTGCATTTATATTTGTAGCAGTGGTGTGCTGCAGCCAACTGGAACTGACTGGCAATAGTCAATCATTAAAATTATAGAAAACTGTGTGAACCAGTTGGTAAACATACCATTACTAAAAACTGAATTATATGAACTTTTAAGTAAATAAACATTACCAAAAACAAAGTTAGCAAATACTCAAAACAAATTTTGTCTTAATTATTTTACTGCATGTTATTATTAATCTGTGCTCTTGAGGTTATTTTGTCTATGTTATCTGTATGATAAAAACAACAATAGAAACTCACTCAAAACTGCACAACTACATGGAAACTGAGCAACTTGCCCCTGAATGACTACTGGGTAAAAATGAAGTTAAGGCAGAAATAAATAAGTTCTTCTAAACCAATGAGAACAAAGAAACAACATACCAAAATCTCTGGGACACAGCTAAAGCAGTGTTTAAAGGGAAATTTATAGCACTATATGCCTGCAGGAGAAAGCAGGAAAGATCTGAAATCAACACCCTAACATCACAATTAAATAAACTAGAGAAGCAAGAGCAAACTAATTCAAAAGCTAGCAGAAGACAAGAAATAACTAAGATCACAGCAGAACTGAAGGAAATAGAGACACAAAAAACCCTTCAAAAAATCAATGAATCCAGGAGCTGATTTTTTTAAAAGATTAACAAAGTAGATAGACTGCTAGCCAAACTAATAAAGAACAGAGAAGAATCAAATAGACACAAGAAAAATGATAAAGGGGATATCACCACTGACCCCACAGAAATAAAAACTACCATCAGAGAGTACTATAAACACCTCTACATAAATAAGCCAGAAAATCTAGAAGAAATGGATAGATTCCTGGACACCTACAGCCTCCCAAGTCTAAACCAGGAAGAAGTTGAATACCTGAGTAGACCAATAAGAGATTCTGAAACTGAGGCAGTAATTAATAGCCTACCAACCAAAAAAAGTCCAGGACTAGACAGATACACAGCCAAATTCTACCAGAGGTACAAAGAGGAGCTGGTACCATTCCTTCTGAAACTATTCAAAGGAATAGAAAAAGAGGGGACTCCTCCCTAAATCATTTTATGAGGCCAGCATCACCCTGATGCCAACAACTGGCAGAGTTACAAAAAAAAACAAAGAAAATTTCAGGCCAATATCTCTGATGAACATTGATGCAGAAATCCTCAATAAAATACTGGCAAACTGAACCCAGCAGCACATCAATAAGCTTACCCAGCACAATCAAGTTGGCTTCATCCCTGGGATGCAAGGCTGGTTCAACATACACAGACAAACAAAGGTAATCCATCATATAAAGAGAACCAATGACAAAAAGCCCATGATTATCTCAATAGATGCAGAAAAGACCTTCTATAAAATTCAACACCCCTTCATGTTAAAAACTCTCAATAAACTGGGTATTGATGGAACACGTCTCAAAATAATAAGAGCTATTTATGACAAACTCAGAGCCAATATCATACTGAATGGGCAAAGACTGGAAGCATTCCCTTTGAAAACTGGCACAAGAGAGGAATGCCCTCTCTCACCACTCCTATTCAACATAATATTGGAAGTTCTGGCCAGGTCAATCAGGCAAGATAAAGAAATAAAGTATATTGAAATAGGAAGACAGGAAGTCGAATTGTCTCTGTTTCAGATAACATGATTGTATATTTAAAAAACCCCATCATCTCAGCCCAAAATCTCCTTAAGGTGATAAGCAACTTCAGCAAAGTCTCAGCATACAAAATCAATGTGCGAAAATCACAAGCATTCCTATACACCAATAATAGACAAACAGCCAAATCATGAAAGAAATCTTATTCACAACTGCTACAAAGAGAATAAAATACCTAAGAATACGAATTACAAGGGATGAGAGGGACCTCTTCAAGGAAAACTACAAGCCACTGCTCAAGGAAATAAGAGAGAACACAAACAAATGGAGAAACGTTCCATGCTCATGGATAGGAAGAATCAGTATTGTGAAAATGGCCATACTACCCAAAGTAATTTACAGATTCAATGCTAGCCCCATGAGGCTACCATTGACTTTCTTCATAGAATTAGATAAAACTACATTTCATATGGAACCAAAAAAGAGCCAGTATAACCAAGAAAATACTAAGCAAAAAGAACAAAGCTGGAGGCATCACGCTACCTGACTTCAAACTATACTACAAGGCTACATTAACCAAAACAGCATGGTACTGGTACAAAAACAGATATCTAGACCAATGGAACAGAACAGAGGCCTCAGAAATAGCGCCACACATCTACAACCATCCAATCTTTGACAAATCTGACAAAAACAAGAAATGGGGAAAGGATTCCCTATTTAGTAAATGGTATTGGGAAAACCGGCTAGCCATATGCAGAAAAGTGAAACTGGACCCCTTCATTACACCTTATAAAAAAATTAACTCAAGATGGATTAAAGACTTAAACACAAGACCTAAAACCATAAAAACCCTAGAGGAAAACCTAGGCAATACCATTCGGGACATAGGCATGGGCAAGGACTTCACGACTAAAACACCAAAACCAATGGCAACAATAGCCAAAATTGACAAATGGGATCTAACTAAACTAAAGAGCTTCTGCACAGCAAAAGGAACTATCATCAGATTGAACAGGCAACCTACAGAATGGGAGAAAATTTTTGCAATCTACACATCTGACAAAGGACTAAAATCCAGAATCAATGAGGAACTTAATCAAATTTACAAGAAAGGTGGTGGTTCCAAGATGGCCGAATAGGAACAGCTCCAGTCTACAGCTCCCAGTGTGAGCAACACAGAAGATAGGTAATTTCTGCATTTCCAACTGAGGTACCACGTTCATCTCACTGGGGATTGTTGGACAGTGGGTGCAGGACAGTGGGTGCAGTGCACTGAGCATGAGCCAAAGAAGGGCGAGGCATCACCTCACCCGGGAAGCACAAGGGGTCAGGGAATTCCCTTTCCTAGCCAAGGGAAGAGGTGACAAATGGCACCTGGAAAATCAGGTCATACCCACCATAATAATGGGCTTTTCCAATGGTCTTAGCAAGCGGCACACCAGGAAATTATATCCTGTGCGTCGCTCAGATGGTCCTATGCCCACGGAGCCTCACCCATTGCTAGCACAGCAGTCTGAGATCGAATTGCAACATGGCAGCGAGGCTGGGGGAGGGGCGCCTGCCATTGCTGAGGCTTGAGTAGGTGAACAAAGCGTCCAGGAAGCTCAAACTGGGTGGAGGCCACCGCAGCTCAAGGAGGCCTTCCTGGCTTTGTACACTTCACCTCTGGAGGCAGGGCATAGCCAAAGAAAAGGCAGAAGAATCCTCTGCAGACTTAAATTTCCCTGTCTGACAGCTTGGAAGAGAGTAGTGGTTCTCCCAGCATGCAGCTGGAGATCTGAGAATGGACAGACTGCCTCCTCAAGTGGGTCCCTGACCCTCGAGTAGCCTAAGTGGGAGGCACCACCCAGTAGGGGCAGACTGACACCTCACATGTCCAGGTACCCCTCTGAGATGAAACTTCCAGAGGAACAATCAGGCAGCAACATTTGTTGTTCAGGAATATTCACTGTTCTGCAGCCACTGCAGCTAATACCCAGGCAAACAGGGTCTGGAGTGGACCTCCAGCAAACCAACAGACCTGCAGCTGAGGGTCCTGACTGTTAGAAGGAAAACAAACAAACAGAAAGGACATCCACACCAAAAACCCATCTGTATGTCACCATCATCAAAGAACAAAAGGAGATGAAACCACAAAGATGGCGGAAAAAACAGAGCAGAAAAACTGAAAATTCTAAAAATCAGAGTGACTCTCCTTCTCCAAAGGAACACAGCTCATCACCAGCAAAGGAACAAAGCTGGATGGAGAATGACTTTGACGAGTTGAGAGAAGAAAGCTTCAGACGATCAAACTTCTCCGAGCTAAAGGAGGAAGTTCAAACCCATGGCAAAGAAGTTAAACACCTTGAAAAACGATTAGAAGAATGGCTAACTAGAATAACTAATACAGAGAAGTCCTTGAAGGACCCGATTGAGCTGAAAACCATGGCAAGAGAACTACGTGACGAATGCACAAGCTTCAGTAACCGATTCGATCAACTGGAAGAAAGGGTTTCAGGGATGGAAGATGAAATGGATAAAATGAAGTGAGAAGAGAAGTTTAGAGAAAAAATAATACGAAGAAATGAACAAAGCCTCCAAGAAATATGGCACTATGTGAAAAGACCAAATCTACATCTCACTGGTGTGCCTGAAAGTGACAGGGAGAATGGAACCAAGTTGGAAAACACTCTGCAGGATATTATCCAGGAGAATCTCCCGAACCTAGCAAGGCAGGCAAACATTCAAATTCAGGAAATACAGAGAATGTCACAAAGATACTTGTCGAGAAGAGCATCTCCAAGACACATAATTGTCAGATTCACCAAAGTTGAAATGAAGGAAAAAATGTTAAAGGCAGCCAGAGAGAAAGGTTGAGTTACCCACAAAGAGAAGCCCATCAGACTAACAGCTAATCTCTCAGTAGAAGCTCTACAAGCCAGAAGAGAGTGAGGGCCAATATTCAACATTCTTAAAGAAAAGAATTTTCAACCCAGAATTTCATATCCAGCCAAACTAAGCTTCATAAGTGAAGGAGAAATAAAATCCTTCACAGACAAGCAAATGCTGAGAGATTTTGTTACCACCAGGCCTGCCCTACAAGAGCTCCTGAAGGAAGCACTAAACATGGAAAGGAAAAACCAGTATCAGCCACTGCAAAAACATGCCAATTTGTAAAGGCCATCGAGTCTAGGAAGAAACTGCATCAACTACTGAGCAAAATAACCAGCTAACATCACAATGACAGGATCAAATTCACACACAACAATATTAACCTTAAATGTAAATGGGCTAAATGCTCCAATTAAAAGACACAGACTGGCAAATTGGATAGAGTCAAGACCCATCAGTGTGCTGTATTCAGGAAACCCATCTCATGTGAAGAGACACACATAGGCTCAAAATGAAGGGATGGAGGAAGATCTACCAAGCAAATGGAAAACAAAAAAAGGCAGGGGTTGCAATCCTAGTATCTGGTAAAACAGACTTTAAGCCAACAAAGATCAAAAGAGACAAAGAAGACCTTTACATAATGGTAAAGGGATCAATTCAACAAGAAGAACTAACTATCCTAAATATATATGCACCCAATACAGGAGCACCCAGATTCATAAAGCAAGTCCTTAGAGACCTAGAAAGAGAACTACAAACCACTGCTCAATGAAATAAAAGAGGATACAAAAAAATGGAAGCACATTCCATGCTGATGGGTGGGAAGAATCAATATCATGAAAATGGCCATACTGCCCAAGGTAATTTACAGATTCAATGCCATCCCCATCAACCTACCCATGACTTTCTTCACAGAATTGGAAAAAACTACTTTAAAGTCCATATGGAACCAAAATAGCCACACTTCCAAGTCAATCCTAAGCCAAAAGAACAAAGCTGGAGGCATCATGCTACCTGACTTCAAACTAAACTACAAGGCTACAGTAACAAAAACAGCATGGTACTGGTACCAAAACAGAGATATAGATCAATGGAACAGAACAGAGCCCTCAGAAATAATGCCACATATCTACAACCATCTAATCTTTGACAGACTTGACAAAAACAAGAGATGGGGAAAGGATTCCCTATTTAATAAACGGTGCTGGGAAAGCTGGCTAGCCATATGTAGAAAGCTGAAACTGGATCCCTTCCCTACACCTTATACAAAAATTAATTCAAGATGGAATAAAGACTTAAATGTTAGACCTAAAACCATGAAAACCCTAGAAGAAAACCTAGGCAATACCATTCAGGACACAGGCATGTGCAAGGACTTCATGTCTAAAACACCAAAAGCAATGGCAACAAAAGCCAAAATTGACAAATGGGATCTAATTAAACGAAAGAGCTTCTGCACAGTAAAAGAAACTACCATCAGAGTGAACAGGCAACCTACAGAATGGGAGAAAATTTTTGCAATCTACTCATCTGACAAAGGGCTAATATCCAGAATCTACAATGAACTCAAACAAATTTACAAGAAAAAAACAAACAACCCCATCAAAAAGTGGGTGAAGGATATGAACAGACACTTCTCAAAAGAAGACATTTATGCAGCCAAAAGACACACGAAAAAATGTTCATCATCACTGGCCATCAGAGAAATGCAAATCAAAACCACAGTGAGATACCATCTCACACCACTTGACTGGTGATCATTAAAAAGTCAGGAAACAACAGGTGCTGGAGAGGATGTGGAGAAATAGGAACACTTTTACACTGTTGGTGGGACTGTAAACTAGTTCAACCATTGTGGAAGTCAGCATGGCGGATCCTCAGGGATCTAGTACTAGAAATACCATTTGACCCAGCCATCTCATTAGTGGGTATATACCCAAAGGATTATAAATCATGCTGCTATAAAGACACATGCACACGTATGTTTATAGTGACACTATTCACAGTAGCAAAGACTTGGAACCAACACAAATGTCCAACAATGATAGACTGGATTAAGAAAATGTGGCACATATACACCATGGAATATTATGCAGCCATAATAAATGATGAGTTCATGTCATTTGTAGGAGCATGGATGAAGCTGGAAACCATCATTCTCAGCAAACTATCGCAAGGACGAAAAACCAAAGACCGCATGTTCTCACTCATAGGTGGGAATTGAACAATGAGAACACATGGACACAGGAAGGGGAACATCACACACCGGGGCCTGTTGTGGGGTGGGGAGAGGGGGGAGGGATAGAATTAGGAGATATACCTAATATTAAATGACGAGTTAATGGGTGCAGCACACCCACATGGCACATGTATACATATGTAACAAACCTGCACATTGTGCACATGTACCCTAAAACTTAAAGTATAATAAAAATAAATAAAGTAATAGAGACACACACACAAAAAAAATAAAAATAAATAAATGGCTTGATGCTATTCATCTCCCCAGCGAATTCCCACAGTCAGCCTGAAAATGAGATTTATACTTCCACAAAATCTATTATACAGTTGCTCTAAACTTTTTCATTGTCCCTCGACCTAACGTTCTCACTTCCCTCCATACTCAGTTTCAAGTGTTTGAGCAATTGTTACACTGTCTCTTCTGTTTATGTATATCTCAGATATCTTGTCCCCCTTCTTCTCTCTATCTATCTCGGTTTGATAAATTGCTCTAGCTAAAGTCAAGTTCCAGTTAAGTCAGCAACCTACATCAAACCTGCATCCCTCTAGCTGAACATAGCTGCAAAAAGTCACAACCATGCTGAACGTCCCCATTTTAAATTCATGATCACAAAATGAAGAGGGTCTTTAAAATTGTCTGGCAATAGTACCACATGTTCCTAGTCCAGTTGTTTCCCCACACATGGATGAGTATTAGAATGATATTCAGATCTTTTAGCAATACAAATGCCCTGGATCTACCTCCAATTGATCTATGTAGGTGCCCACATATCCCAAATTGTTAACAACTTTCTAGATGACTCTAATATGAAGGTGGAGTTATGATCCAACTCTCAAGTCAATTCATTTTCCCACACTTTAGGATGACTGTTTCCTACCTTTTTCTTTCTCACATTTCCATCATCTTCTCTCTCATCCTTATTCACAGCTAATAACGTTGTTATTTATGTCATTAATCACATAGAAACAATTAGGGGAGAACTTCCATAAGCTTTTACTGTAACTACTTGCCACTTCGTCTACTGAATCTGTGTCAGTAATACTTTGAATTTCCTTTTGATTTTGAATTAACTCTTAAGGCCCCTATTTGGAAACATTTCAGTTCATACATGCACTAGATCTAATTCACAACTAACAATTATCCAAGGAAATTTCTCCGGAAATTTTCCCTTGTTTCTCTTACATTATCAATTTTCCTTCTTTTTTCTCTATTACTCTCATTACTAAACAGACACCCTGTAATTTCTCCCACTTTCCCCTCTAGCTACAACATCACTTTATCTCCTCCTCTTTATGGCCAATATATCTCAAAGACTTGTCTATATTCACAGTTTCCACATCCCCAAATCCAAATCCCTGTGGCTTCTGAAACAGTAGCATCAGCATCACCTGGGAACTTGTTAGAAATTTGAATTTGATGCTTTCATCACAAAGCCTCTGGATCGGAAACTCTAAAACACAGAAATTTAAGTTTTAACATAGCCCCCTAAGTGTTATTAATGTATGCAAAATTAGATAATCTTTTATTATATCTCTAATTCTCGGTTGATATCTGAAACAAGATAATTATCTACTGGTTTTCGACTGTGAAATCTGAAAATTTAGTGCCTTTATACTTCTTATATTTAGCCATATTCCACCCTCTCTTTAAATATTTTTGGTTGTTATCCTCTCAGACCAGGGTACATACTGCCATTTTGGTATAATTATTTCTACAGCAGCTCCTTCTCTGCTCAATTCCAGTCACATCATATTACTGAATGCTTAACTTTCCTAATATTATTAATATTGCAGGGATAAATATCTGTGTTTTAATATTGACCAAGAGCATAGCCTTCATGTGTAGGTTAAATTTGCCTAGCTAGTGTATATGGTTTACTCTTCTTAGCATTTCAGCAAGCTCACCTGGTTGAATTCCATGTTTGTGACACTATGGACTAATCAAAAGTAGTGATTGTGGGCCCGTGATTATGTTTGTGGAAGAATCTGGTCTTGCTTTCTAAAGGAATTCTCTGTTTCTTTCAGCCTCTTTACTGGGATTCTCTTATCTGGTAGTCTTCTCTAAATATAGAGTTTACCCAAATACTAAGCTTAGAAATTTACATGCATGCAGAAAAGCATACCTGATCTAACTTTACCGACAGTTTTGGATGCTGTGATTTTGATTCTCAGGAGGGGAGCTCATGACATTGTGTAAGTTTCTATGAGTATACACATTTCGACAATTAGAACATTGGGGAAAGCATTATAATGAACATATTCATCAGCTAGAAGCTATAAGCTCTTTTCCCAAATAAAATCACTGCAAATATATTAATGCAGTTGATTCGCTAAACACACACACACACATACACACACATTGTTCCTCCAGTTTATGTATACCTCAGATGTCTATATATATATATATATATATATATATATGTCTCAAATCTTCTGTATCCAATCTGCCATTATTGAACACATAAGTTGTGTCCATGACTATGTATGCTATTGCAAATAGTACAGAGGTAAACATATGAATGCATGTGTCTTTTTTAATATAATGATTGCGTTTCCATTGTGAGGACAGCCAGCAGTGGAATTTCTGGGTCAAATAGTAGTTCTATTTTTTGATTTTTGAGATACCACCATACTGTTTTTCATTGAGCTAATTGGCATTTCCCATCGACAGTTGTTTTTTGTCTTTTTAATAGCAGCCAATCTGACTATTGTAAGGTTATATCTCATTGTGATTTTAACTTGCAAATATTTTCTTCTATAGGTTTTGTGTTTGTTCTGTTGATTATTTCTCCTGCTGTGATGAAGATTTTTCATTTAATTAAAGCCCATTTCTCTATTTCTGTTATTGTTGCATTTGATTTTGTGCTCTTTGTAATACTTTTTTTGCCTAGCTCAATGTCCAGAAGAGTTCTTAGATATTATTCCAGAACTTTTCTACTTTCAGGTCTTGTGTTTAGGACTTTATCTTGAGTTAATTTTTGTATAAGGTGAGAGATGAGAAACCAGGTTCATTCTTGCACATTTGGCTAGTCAGTTTTCCTAGCATCATTTATTGAATAGGGTGTTTTGTTGTTGTTGTTGCTGTTGTTTTGTATGAACTTTGGGATATTTTTTCAAATTCTATGAAAAATAATTATGGTAATTTGATAGAAATTGTATTGAATTGTAGACCACTTTGGGCAATATGGTCATTTTGATGATACTGATTCTTTCACTCTGTGAGCATGGGATGTTTTTTCCATTTGTTTGTGTCATCAGTGTTTTGTAGTTTCCTCACAAAAATTTTTCACCTCATTGGTTAAATGTATTCCTATGTATTTTATTTTTTTGTATGTGCCTCTTATTAATAGGATTGAGTTGATAATTTGGTTCTCAGTTTGAAATTTCATTGTATTGGAAAACCCCTAACTTTCATACGTTGATTTTGTATTTTGAAACTTTACTGAAATTGCTTATCAAGTTTGGAACTCTTCTAGGGGAGTTTTTAGGGTGTTCTAGGTATATAATCATGTGGTTAGTGAATAGAGATAATTTTTCTTCCTCTTTTCTAATTTGTTTGCCTTTTATTTTTTACTCTTGCCCAATTTCTCTGGCCTGAACTGTCAGTATGAATTTGAATAGGAGTGATGACAGTGGGCATCTTTGGAATTACAAGAAAAAATACATTGAACTTTTTTCCATTCAGTGTGATGTTGGCTGTGGAAATGTCATATATGGCTTTTCTTATTTAGAGGTATATTCTGTCTTTGCCTAGTTTGTTCAGGATTTTTTTCATGAAAAGGTGTTAGATTTTATCAAATGCTTTTTATGGATCTGTGGAGATTATTATATGGTTTATATACTTTATTCTGTTTATGTGATAAATCACATTTATAGGTTTGCATATGTTGAACCATCCTTGGTTCACTATCATCCCTGGAAAAAAACCCAACTTGATTATAATAAATTATACTTTAATGTGCTATTGGATTTTGTTTGCTAATATTTTGTTGAGAAATTTTGCATTTATGTTTATCGTGGATATTGGCCTATATTTCCTTGTTTTGTACTTGCCTGATTTTGGTATCGAGGTGATACTGTATTTATAAAATGAGTTAGTGAGAGATCACTCCCCCTCAATTTCTGGGGATAGTTTTAGTAAGATTAGTATAAGCTCATCTTCATACATCTGGTAAACTTTTAGCTGTACATCTGTCTGGCCCTAAGCTTATTTTTTGGAAGATTTTAAAATATTGATTCACTTTCATTACTTGTATTGGTCTTTTCAGTGTCGCTAATTCTTTCTGGTTCAATTTTGGGAGATAGGCTGGGTGCCGTGGCTCACACCTGTAATCTTGGCAGTTTGAGAGGACTAAGCAAGAGGGTTGTTGGAAGCCAGGAGTTCAAGACAAGTCTGGGCAATGTAGCCAAACTCTGTCTCTGAAATAAAATAAAATAAAATAAAATAAAATAAAATAAAATAAAATAAAATAAAATAAAATAAAATAAAATAAAATAAAATAAAAATAAAATAATTTTGGAAGTTGTGTTTTTTTCTCTGTTTTCTAGTGTGTGTGTGTAGAAGTGTTCATAGTATTCTCTTAGGTTCTTTTGTATTTCTCTGTTACCCAGTGTAATATCATCTTTATTATTCCTGATTGTGCTTATTTAAATATTATCTCTTTTTTCTTTGTTAGCCTAGCTAGTGCTCTGTCAATTTTGTTTATACTTTTAAATAATAAATTTCTATTTCATGGATTCTTCGTAATTTTCCTTTTTTGGTCTCAAGCTAACATAGTTCTGCTGTGACCATTGTTATTTCTTCTGTTAGCTTTGGATTTGACTTGTTCTTGTTTTTCCAGTTTTTTGAGGGGGGATATTATGTTGCTTATTTGAAATCTATCTCTTTGATGTAAAAATGTAATGCTACAAATTGCCTTCTTACTACTGCTTTTGTTTTCCAGAGGTATTGGTGTGTTGTGTCTCTATTTTTATTTGCTTCCAAAGATATTTAAATTTTGACCTTATTTTCATTGTTTACTTAAGAGTTGTTCCATGAGCAGCGGTTTGTAGCTCTCCTTGAAGAGGTCCTTCACATCCCTTGTAAGTTGGATTCCTAGGTATTTTATTCTCTTTGAAGCAGTTGTGAATGGGAGTTCACTCATAATTTGGCTCTCAGTCTGTTATTGGTGTATAAGGTTGCTTGTGATTTTTGTACATTGATTTTGTATCCTGAGACTTTGCTGAAGTTGCTTATCAGCTTAAGGAGATTTTGGGCTGAGACAATGGGGTTTTCTAGATATACAATCATGTCATCTGCAAACAGGGACAATTTGACTTCCTCTTTTCCTAATTGAATACCCTTTATTTATTTCTCCTGCCTGATTGCCCTGGCCAGAACTTCCAACACTATGCTGAATAGGAGTGGTGAAAGAGGGCATCCCTGTCTTGTGCCAGTTTTCAAAGAGAATGCTTCCAGTTTTTGCCCATTCAGTATGATATTGGCTGTGGGTTTGTCATAGATAGCGCTTATTATTTTTACAAATGTCCCATCAATACCTAATTTATTGAGAGTTTTTAGCATGAAGGGCTGTTGAATTTTGTCAAAGGCCTTTTCTGCATCTATTGAGATAATCATGTGGTTTTTGTCTTTGGTTCTGTTTATATGCTGGATTACGTTTATTGATTTGCGTATGTTGAACCAGCCTTGCATCCCAGGGATGAAGCCCACTTGATCATGGTGGATAAGCTTTTTGATGTGCTGCTGGATTCGGTTTGCCAGTATTTTACTGAGGATTTTTGCATCAATCTTCATCAGGGATATTGGTCTAAAATTCTCTTTTTTTATTGTTGTGTCTCTGCCAGGCTTTGGTATCAGGATGATGCTGGCCTCATAAAATGAGTTAGGGAGGATTCCCTCTTTTTCTATTGATTGGAATAGTTGCAGAAGGAAGCTCCTCCTTGTACCTCTGGTAGAATTTGGCTGTGAATCCATCTGGTCCTGGACTTTTTTTGGTTGGTAAGTTATTAATTATTGCCTCAATTTCAGAGCCTGTTATTGGTCTGTTCAGAGATTCAACTTCTTCCTGGTTTAGTCTTGGGAGGATGTACGTGTTGAGCAATTTATCCATTTCTTCTAGGTTTTCTAGTTTACTTTTGTAGAGGTGTACATAGTATTATCTGAGGGTAGTTTATATTTCTGTGGGATTTTATTTTTTATTGCATCTATTTGATTCTTCTCTCTTTTCTTCTTTATTAGTCTTGCTAGCGGTCTATCAGTTATGTTGATCTTTTCAAAAAACCAGCTCCTGGATTCATTGATTTTTTGAAGGGTTTTTTTGTGTCTCTACTTCCTTCAGTTCTGTTCTGATCTTAGTTATTTCTTGCCTTCTGCTAGCGTTTGAATGTGTTTGCTCTTGTTTCTCTAGTTCTTTTAATTGTGATGTTAGGGTGTCGATTTTAAATCTTTCCTGCTTTCTCTTGTGGGCATTTAGTGCTATAAATTTCCCTCTACACACTGCTTTGAATGTGTCCCAGAGATTCTGGCATGTCGTGTTTTTTTTCTCATTGGTTTCAAAGAACATCTTTATTTCTGCCTTCATTTCCTTATGTACCCAGTAGTCATTCAGGAGCAGGTTGTTCAGTTTCCATGTAGTTGAGCGGTTTTGAGTGAGTTTCTTCAACCTGAGTTCTAGTTTGATTGCACTGTGGTCTGAGAGACAGTTTGTTATAATTTCTGTTCTTTTACATTTGCTGAGGAGTGCTTTACTTCCAACTATGTGGGAGTCTAAGTCTCTTACTAGGTCTCTAAGGACTTGCTTTATGAATCTGGCTGCTCCTGTATTGGTTCCATATATATTTAGGATAGTTAGCTCTTCTTGTTGAATTGATCCCTTTACCATTATTAATGGCCTTCTTTGTCTCTTTTGATCTTCGTTGGTTTAAAGTCTGTTTTATCAGAGACTAGGATTGCAATCCCTGCCTTTTTTTGTTTTCCATTTGCTTGGTAGATCTTCCTCCTTCCCTTTATTTTGAGCCTATGTGTGTCTCTGCAGGTGAGATGGGTTTCCTGAATACAGCACACTGATGGGTCTTGACTCTTTATCCAATTTGCCAGTCTGTGACTTTTAATTGGAGCCTTAAGCCCATTCACTTTTAAGGTTAATATTGTTATGTGTGAATTTGATCCTGTCATTATGATGTTAGCTGGTTATTTTGCTCGTTAGTTGTTGCAGTTTCTTCCTAGCCTCGATGGTCTTTAAAATTTGGCATGTTTTTGCAGTGACTGATACCTGTTTTTCCTTTCCATGTTTAGTGCTTCCTTCAGGATCTCTTTTGGGGCAGGCCTGGTGGTGACAAAATCTCTCAGCATTTGCTTGTCTGTGAAGGATTTTATTTTCCTTCACTTATGAAGCTTTGTTTGGCTGGATATGAAATTCTGGGTTGAAAATTCTTTTCTTTAAGAATGTTGAATATTGGCCCCCACTCTCTTCTGGCTTGTAGAGTTTCTGCCGAGAGATCAGCTGATAGTCTGATGGGCTTCCCTTTGTGGGTAACCCGACCTTTCTCTCTGGCTGCCCTGAACATTTTTTCCTTCATTTCAACTTCGGTGAATCTGACAATTATGTGTCTTGGAGTTGCTCTTCTCGACAAGTATCTTTGTGGCATTCTCTGTATTTCCTGAATTTGAATGTTTGCCTGCCTTGCTAGGTTGGGGAAGTTCTCCTGGATAATATCCTGCAGAGTGTTTTCCAACTTGGTTCCATTCTCCCCATCACTTTCAGATATACCAGTCAGACGTAGATTTGGTCTTTTCACATAGTCCTATATTTCTTGGAGGCTTTATTCATTTCTTTTTACTCTTTTTTCTGTAAACTTCTCTTCTTGCTTCATTTCATTCATTTCATCTTCCATCCCTGAAACCCTTTCTTCCAGTTGATTGAATCGGCTACTGAGGCTTGTGCATTCATGCAATAGATCTCGTGCCATGGTTTTCAGCTCCATCAGGTCATTTAAGGACTTATCTGCATTGGTTATTCTAGTCAGCCATTCTTCTAATCTTTTTTCAAGGTTTTTAACTTCTTTGCCATGGTTTCGAACTTCCTCCTTTAGCTCGGAGAAGTTTGATCGTCTGAAGCCTTCTTCTCTCAACTCATCAAAGCCATTCTGCATCCAGCTTTGTTCCGTTGCTGGTGATAAACTGTGTTCCTTTGGAGGAGAAGAAGCGCTGTGATTTTCAGATTTTCCACTTTTTCTGCTCTGTTTTTTCCCCATCTTTGTGGTTTTTATCTACCTTTGGTCTTTGATGATGGTGACATACTGATGGGGTTTTGGTGTGGATGTCCTTTCTGTTTGTTAGTTTTCCTTCTAACAGTCAGGACCCTCAGCTGCAGGTCTGTTGGAGTTTGTTGGAGGTCCACTCCAGACCCTGTTTGCCTGGGTATCAGCAGCAGAGGCTGCAGAACAGCAGATATTGGTAATCCGCAATTGTTGCTGCCTGATTGTTCCTCTGGAAGTTTTGTCCCAGAGGAGTACCTGGCCGTGTGAGGTGTCAGCCTGCCCCTACTGGGGTGTGCCTCCCAGTTAGACTACTCGGGGGTCAGTGACCCACTTGAGGAGGCAGTCTGTCCGTTCTCAGGTCTCCCGCTGCATGCTGGAAGAACCACTACTCTCTTCCAAGCGTCAGACAGGGACATTTAAGTCTGCATAGGATTCTGCTGCCTTTTGTTTGGCTATGCCCTGCCCCCAGAGGTGGAGTCTACAGAAGCAGGCAGGCCTCCTTGAACTGCAGTGGGCTCCACCCAGTTCGAGCTTCCTAGCCACTTTGTTTACCTACTCAAGCCTTGGCAATGGCAGGCGCCCATCCCCCAGCCTTGCTGACCCCTTGCAGTTTGATCTCAGACTGCTGTGCTAGCAATAAGCGAGGCTCCATGGGCATAGGGCCCTCCAAGCCATGTGCGGGATATAATCTCCTGGTGTGCCATTTTCTAAGAACTTTGGAAAAGCACAGTGTTAGGGTGTGAGTGACCCGATTTTCCAGGTGCCATCTGTCACCCCTTTCTTTGACTAGGAAAGGGAATTCCCTGACTCCTTGTGCTTCCCGGGTGAGGCGGTGCCTCGCCCTGCTTCATCTCATGCTCAGTGCACTGCAACCACTGTCTGACACCCCCAGTGAGATGAACCTGGTACCTCAGTTGGAAGTGCAGAAACCACCTGTCTTCTGCATCACTGATGCTGGGAGCTGTAGACTGGAGCTGTTCATATTTGGCCATCTTGTCTCCACCCCACATCAAGCCATTTGTAAAGTATCTATCCCATAGCCCAAACACTTTCCGAAACTTCCCGCTTCCAACATTGCAGATCAAATTTCAAGATGAGATTTGGAGGGGACAAATATTCAGCCTACACAATAGGGTTATATCAACTGCAAAGCTTTTGTACAGGAAATGAAATAACACAGTGAAAAATACAACTTATAGAAGGGACAAAAATATTTGCAAACTATTCACCTGACAGGGAATTCATATCCAGAATATATAAGAAACTCAACACTTGACAGCAAAAAACACAAACAAACAAATAGTCTAATTAAAAGTGTAAAGAAGACCTGAATAGATGTATCTTAAAAGAAGATATACAAAAAGCAAAGAAAGAAATACATGAAAAAAATGTAGAACATTACTGATCATCATGGAAAAGCAACTTGAAATTACAATTATATATATATATATAATCTCTCCCCAGTTAGAATGGCTACTACTAATACCAAGAAGACAAAATGTAACAAATGCTGTTGAGGATACCAAGAAAAAAAAATCTAACATTCTCTTGGTAGGAATGTAAACCAGGACTGCTCTTATGGAGAATAGTATGGAAGTGCTTCAAAAAACTAGAAATACATCTACTTTATGATTCAGAAATTCCACTATTGGGCATATATCCAAAGAAAATGATATCAGTATATCAGGGAGATACAGCTCTGTATTTATTGCAGCATTATTTACCATAGCTGAGATGCGGAATCAACTTAAATGTTTCTCAGTGGATGAATTGATAGAGAAAATATACTTAATGAGATTCTATTCATCCATAAAAAAATGAAATTCTGTCATTTGCAGCAACATGGATGAGCCTAGAGAACATTATGTGAAGTGAAACAAGCCAATAACAGAAAGATGAATACTGCATATTCCTTCTAATTTGTGGAGGCTAACAAGTTGATCTCATAGAAGTAGAAAGCAGAATAGTAGTTACAAAAATGTGGGAAAAGTCGGAGAGAAAAAAAGCAGGGAGAGATTGGTTCAAGGATTCAAAATTAAAGATTGATAGGAGGAATAATTTCTAATGTTCCATAGCACTTCAGGGTGACTATAGTTAATAATTTATTATGTATTTTCAAATAGCTAACAGAGAGCGTTTCAAAGGTTTTCAATCAGAACAATAATAAACATCAGAGGTGATGAATATGCTAATTTCCATGATTGATCATTATATATTGTGTTTATCGAAGTATCAGTATTTATTCAATTAATATTAATGTACAATTATTATGTGTCAATTAAAATAATAGTAACTGCTAGTACAAAGGACGTATGTTGCTACATCACAAACATTTTTTATTAATTTGTGTGCTGGCCATGAGACTGCAGCTCGCAGACCTCCAATTACAGGATATTATTGAAAGAGAATGCCAGGTGCTGTGTTGACATTCATGCTGTGTTTGCCAGGCCATCTCACAAGAGATTCCTAGTAGCCAATAACTAAGCAATGCAAAGATACGAAGACTGCCTCATTCCTGAGAATCAGGGCACTCCTCTGACAGGCAACTTTGACTTGAGGCCTCTCAGGGGCCTTGGTAACCTTTCTTTAGGCTGCTTAGTAGTAGGAGCTTCTAGTCAACCAACCTTCCCTCCTTCCTTCCTTCTTTCCTTCCTTCCTTCCTTTTTCCTATCTTGCATTAAAGTCTGACACTTTTCCCAGCCTCACCCAGCTCCTTCACCATTTGCTCCCACTGGCCAAACTCTGGCACGTTTAATTTTTTCTTGACACCTGTTTCTTGGAGAACCCAGACTTGCACACTTTGGTAACTGTTTTACAATATAACTGCTTTCTTTTATAATCAAACATACTTTATTTTATTTTTGTTAAATCACTATTTTCACAAGAACATACTTATCTCCAAATGCATTAAGTTGTATGCATTAAATATTTACAGCTTTTTGTATGTCAACTGTATCTTGATAAGTGGTTTAACATTATTTATTTATTTTGTTTAATTGACAAATAAAAATTATATATGTTTGTTGTCCACAACAAGATGTTTTAAATTATTCATACTCTGTGGAATGTCTAAATTTAGCTACTTAACGTATGCATTATATCACATAAATATTATCATTTGGGATAAAAACACAATTTACTCCCTCAGTAATTTTCAAGAATACAGTATGTTGTTATTAATTATAGTCACTGTGTTGTACAATAGAGCTTTTGATCATATTGCTCTTATCTAACTGAAATTTTTGTATATTTCGGTAAACATCTTTTAAACACCCCTGCACCACACACACCTACCCACCCCTGGTAACCATCATTCTACTCGCTAGTTCTAGGATATCCACATTTTTAGATTCCACATATAAGAACCTGTGGTATTTCTCTTTATGTGCCTGGCTTACTTAACTTATCATCATTATCTCTTGGTTTATCCATGTCACAAATCACAAATTTTTCTGACATGGAAAATTGCTGAGAGTCTTGAAAAGAGGTACAACCATGTTGGACTTGCCAAATTTGATTCCACTGAAAATTCTGAATTATCCCAGAATCTCAATTTCAGCCCTTCAAACCCCTTGTGGCTTTGGATTTGGAGCAGTCTTATCCAGCTAGAATACTGACTGAAGATGTACTTATTTGAGCTTCTGTTGCAAATTGGCCAAACTCCATCTACCAGTAGATTTTCAAATAGCCAATAATGTCAGTCCTGACCCCTCCTGCCTGTAGACTGAGCTCTTTCTACCTGAGGTCCCAGGTGAATGCATGTCCATCAGTGCCTATTCAGGCTGATGGGTTGACTTAAGTCACATTGTGGATCTCAAAATGGCCCTATAAATTAGTTCCAGCCCTTTTTGACTATAGTATGAAAAAGGCCTTCTTGCCCAGAAATTCACTGGGAGACAACTGTCCATGACTATAGAGAAAACTGTCCATGACTATGGAGAAGACCTGAATTTTGGTTATGGACCTGAAAAATAAATGTTGCCTCAGATCTAGCTCATTAGGGCTGCAGATGTGAATAGTTCAGCCATAACAGGGACCCATTTAGTGATCCAATGGGAGTTTTTCCAGTGACATAAAGGAAGTCACACTAGTCAGCACATCTAGTAAAAGCTTTCTGTTTGAGGATATTAAAGCAAGCCTGCCCAACCCCGTACTAGTTGCTCATGGGACTCCAACCTGGGCTATATCAACCATGGCAAACCTGGACTTAGGGTTCCCTCTAGCACTGCAATGGCTGCAGTGATCATGGGTTAGGGGGACACAACAGTTTTCTCAGAATTTCTGAACAGGCATACTGTAGAAGTGCTATCATAGACAATGACAAACTCCCAAGACTGGAATAAATACCCATGTCTTCAATGTGCAGAAATCAACATACATGCACAAAGATCACAATGATCAGGGAAATACGAGGTCTCAAAACAAACCAAATACAGTGCCAGTTACCAAACCTAAACAAATGAAGATGTATGACTGACCTAACAAAGAATAAAAATCACTCTTTTAAGGAAGCTCAATAAAATTCAATAAAATACAGAAAAATAATTCAAAAAATTGGAAGACAAATTTAAGAGTTTGAAATAATTAAACATAATCAAACAGAAATCCTAGAGTGAGAAAATACAATGAAAAAAATAAAAAGTTCAACAGAGTGCATCAACAGCAGAATTAAGCTGAAGAAAAAATTAGTGAGCTCAAAGTCAGATTAGTAAAAAATATGCAGAGAAGAAAAAAATTAAAAAATTAATAAATAAAAAACATTATGAAATAATATCAGAAGAGAAAATTTGTGGGTTCATAAAGTTCAAAAGAGACTAGAGAAACACAAGATAATAGTAAATTACTTAAATAAATAATACAAGAAAACTTTCCAAGCATAAGGAATAATATAAATACCCAGATACAGGAAGCTTAAAAGCAATCACTCACAATCAATCTAAATAGGACCATATGAAGACATGTTACAATCGAACTATCCAATTTCAAAGACAGAGAGAGGATTAAAACAAAAATAGAAAAGAAGTAAAAAACATGTAAGAGAATTTCAATATGCCTGGAAGCAGACTTCTCAGCATAAATCTTACAAATTCAGGAGGGAATTAGGTAATATATATGAGCTGCTGAAGGACAATAAAAAGGGCAAACCAAAAAATACTGGATATGACTAGCTAGATGGTTTTAGATGTGTGGTTTTATTCTGAGTTCCCTATTCTGTTCCATTGGTCTATGTGCCTGTTTCTGTACCAGTGCTATGCTGTTTTTGTTATTGTAGCTTTATAGTATAGTTTCAAGGAAGGTAGTGTGAAGCCTCCAGCTTTGTTCTTTTTGCTTAGGATTGTCCTGCCTCTACACGCTCTTTTTTGGTTCCACAAAAATTTTAAAATAGTTTTTTTTTTTTTGAATTCTGTAAAGATGTCAATGGTAGTTTATTAAAAACATCGTCGAATTTATACATTTCTTTGGGCACTATAACCATTTTTATAGAATTGATTCTTCCTATCCAAGAACATGGAACGTTTTTGCATCTGTTAGTGTCCTCTCTGACTTTTTTGAGCAGTGGTTTGTAGTTCCCCTTGAAGAGGTCCTTCATCTCCCTTTTTAGCTCTATTCCTAGGTATTTTATTCTCTTTGTGGCAATTGTGAATGGGAATTCATTAATAATTTGGCTCTCTGCTTGTCTATTGTTGGTGTGATTATTAGGAAAATGCAAGTCAAAACCTCAGTGAGATATCAACTCACACCAGTCAGAATGGTGATTATTAAAAAGTCAAAAAAAAAAAAAAGATGTTGGCAAGGTTGCACAGGAATAGGAACACTTTTACACTTTTGGTGGGAATGTAAATTAGTTTGACCATTGTGGAAGACAGTGTGGTGATTCCTGAAACTCTTAGAACCAGAAATACCATTCAATCCACCAATTCAATTACTGGGTATACAACACCCAAATGCAAATCATTCTATTCTAAAGAACATGCACATGTGTGTTTATTGCAGCACTATTCACAATAGTAAAGACATGGAATCAACTCAAATGACCATCAGTGATAGACTGGGTAAGGAAAATGTGGTACATATACACCATGGAATACTATGCAGCCATAAAAAAGAATGAGATCGTTTCCTTTGCAGGGACATGGATGAAGCTAGAAGCCATTATCCTCAGCAAACTAATGCAGCAACAGAAAATCAAACCACATTTTCTCACGTATAAGTGGGAGCTGGACAATGAGAACACATGGACACAGGGAGGGAACAACACACTGGGGCCTGCTGGGTTAGGACAAGAGGAGGAGAGCATTAGGAAAAACAGCTAATGCATGCCAGGCTTAATACCTAGGTAGTGGGTTGATAGGTGCATAAAACCACCATAGATCACATTTACCTGTGTAACAAGCATGCACATCCTGCACACGTACCCCAGGACTTAGAAACAAAAGACTACTAGTTCAATCTATATTGTTGAAATGTCAAGATATTGTTTTTATGGCTGAATAGTACTCCATCATGTCTATATATATTTTCTTAATAGATTCACCTAATGATGAACACTTAGATTGCTTCCAAATCTTGGCTTTTGGAATAGTGCTGCAACCAACATGGGGGTGCAGAGATCTCTTTGATATACTGATTTTCTTTCTTTTGGTTATATACTTAGAAGTTGAATTGCTGGATCATATGGTAGCTCTATTTTTAATATTTTGAGAAACTTTCAAACAGTTCTCCATTTTGGAGATTTACATTCCCAAATGTAATTTGTCTGTAGGAAAACAATGTACAAAAGTTCCTTTTCTCCCTATCTTCATAATTATTTGTTATTTCCTGCCTTTTGGATAAAACCATTTTAACTGGAGTGAGATGATATCCCATCATAGTTTTGATTTGCATTTCTCTGATGATTAGTTATACTGAGCACCTTTTCAGATACTTATTTACCATGTTCATGTCTTTTGAGAAATATCTGTTCAGATCATTTGCCCATGCTTTAATTATATTATTAGATATTTTCCTAAAAATGGGTGAAATAAGTTTCTAATTTTATTTTTTTATTTATTTATTTTGCATGTGAATTTACAGTTTTCCCAGCAGCATTTATTGAGAGACTCTCCTTTCCCTAATGTATCTTTTTGGCACTTTGTTGAAAATGCATTCACCATAAATATATGGATTTGTTTCTAGCTTCTCTATTCTGTTCAACTGGTTTATTGGTGACTGTTTTTATGCCAGTAGTATGCTTTTTGTTTTTTGTTCAGAATAGCTTTGGCTATTCTGAGTGCTTTGTGATTCAATATGTTTTAGTATTGTTTTTTCTATTTTTGTTGAGAATGTAATTGGTATTTTATGTAAATTCCATTGAATATGCAGATTGCTTTTAACAGTATGAACATTTTAAAAGTATTGATTCTTCTAGTCCATGAACATTGAATATATTTTCATATTTTTGTACTCTTAAATTTCTTTCATCAATGTTTTATAGTTATTATAAAGAATTTTCACTTCTTTGTTAATCAATTTTAATTTACTGATGTTTTCTGTAATTTTTTGCTGCTTGCATATAGAGATGCTACTGATCTTTGTCTGTTGACTTTGCATCCAGCAACTTTACTAAATTTGTTTATCAGTTCTAATAGTTTTTGGTGGAGTCTTTAGGTTTTTCCAAATGTAAGATCATATCATTTGCAGACAATAATACTTTGACTTCTTCCTTTTCAATTTCGGTACCTTTTATTTCTTTCTTTTGTCTTATTGCTGTAGCTAGGAATTCCAGTACTATGTTGAATAACAGTGGTGGAGGTGAGCATTCTTTTTATGTTCTAAATCTCAGAGAAACGGTTTTCAGTTTTCCCCATTTATTATGATATTAGCTTTATGTCTTTCATATATGGCTTTTATTATGCTGCAGTTTCACATTACAAGAAAGTACTGTTGTAAAATACTAAGAAAGGGTAAGAAATATAATCTGTAACAAACTTACAACTACTGCCTAAAAGCAAGCAAAACTTTCAAATAAAAAAGTCAAAATACACAGAGAGAAACGATGCACAAATTCTGCATCAAATATATGAAAAATTTAATAAGAGAGTTCACTAGTTAATAAAAGATACAAAAATGGGAGGAGTGGTTACAGAAACCAAAAAATTAAATCAGCAAACCACCATGGTACATGTATATCTATGTAACAAACCTGTACATTCTGCACATGTAGCCCAGAACTTAAAGTAAAATAAAAAACAATAATAATTTGAACAAAGTTGAACCACTGTTTGCCTCCTAGTCAGAGCACACAATTCATTTTGTTTTTCCGTCCATATAACACCTAACTGTATATTTTTTATGTGTCATAAAAAAACTTGGTCATTTCATGAAATTCTTTAAATTCTTGATGATTGTTTTCAAGTACACATTTTTATGAATGAAAAACAGCCAACAATGGGCATCTGTTGTTTTTAACACTGATGCTTTAATGAAACTCTTTACAAGTTATCATAATCTTTTTTTATATTTTTCCCCCCTCAGCTTCAAATTTATCAAATCTATCACTATCCCTTCTATGTTTCCTATTGTGGATGTTAACATTTTTGCTCATTTGGGGTAATGGGTCCATGCCTAAATCTTCGTGGATCTGGAGGAATACAAGGAGGCTCAATGCAAACTGCACTGGATGTGATGTTCTCTCACTACTGGTCTGTCATTGTTGCCAAGGCATCCACGTAATTCTTTTTACAAGGTTCCAGAAATCCAGGACTACTTCTAATAATAACCACTGATTAAATGTACTTGAAAACTCTTCTCACTGCATCTGCGCAGGGATCCAAGGATTAGCTGATTGCTTTCTCTGCTAATAACTCTATAGCTCAGCTTGGAAAATTACACCAAGTTGGAATTCCTGCTTACAGAATTCTTGAAGAATACGTATGATAATCACAGAGTACTGCAGACTATTCGTTCTACCTTGGAATCACTTAGCATGGCATAGAGCAACCAGAGCATAAAGGCATTTTTACCTGTCCAAGACATCGGGTAGGTCTTTCACCATACGTGAAGTTAGATCTCTTTTCTCCATGCTATCTTCTTGAATAATTGGAGATGATAGGAGTGACAGTGGCTTGCATTTTGGGTTCCACGCATGAATTCAAAATTATTACCACTTCAGATACAGCACATCTTATTTCATACTTCTCAATGTTTAAAACAGCAAGCTGTTTGGATAGGTTTTCTTTTTTTTATGAAGGTTTTTTTATTTTATTTTATTATTATTATACTTTAAGTTTTAGGGTACATGTGCATAATGTGCAGGTTAGTTACATATATATACATGTGCCATGCTGGTGTGCTGCACCCATTAACTCGTCATTTAGCATTAGGTATATCTCCTAAAGCTATCTCTCCCCCCTCCCCCCACCCCCCAACAGTCCCCAGAGTGTGATGTCCTCCTTTCTGTGTCCATGTGTTCCCATTGTTCAATTCCCACCTATGAGTGAGAATATGTGGTGTTTGGTTTTTTGTTCTTGCGATAGTTTACTGAGAATGATGATTTCCAGTTTCATCTATGTCCCTACAAAGGACACGAACTCATCATTTTTTATGGCTCCATAGAATTCCATGGTGTATATGTGCCACATTTTCTTAATCCAGTCTATCATTGTTGGACATTTGGGTTGGTTCCAAGTCTTCGCTATAGTGAATAATGCCGCAATAAACATACGTGTGCATGTGTCTTTATAGCAGCATGATTTTTAGTCCTTTGGGTATATATCCAGTAATGGGATGGCTGGGTCAAATGGTATTTCTAGTTCTAGATCCCTGAGGAATCGCCACACTGACTTCCACAATGGTTGAACTAGTTTACAGTACCACCAACAGTTCCTATATCTCCACATCCTCTCCAGCACCTGTTGTTTCCTGACTTTTTAATGATCGCCATTCTAACTGGCGTGAGATGGTATCTCACTGTGGTTTTGATTTGCATTTCTCTGATGGCCAGTGATGATGAGCATTTTTTCATGTGTCTTTTGGCTGCATAAATGTCTTCTTTTGAGAAGTGTCTGTTCATATCCTTTGCCCAGTTTTTGATGGGCTTGTTTGTTTTTTTCTTGTAAATTTGTTTGAGTTCATTGTAGATTCTGGATATCAGCCCTTTGTCAGATGAGTAGATTGCAAAAATTTTCTCCCATTTTGTAGGTTGCCTGTTCACTCTGATGGTAGTTTCTTTTGCTGTGCAGAAGCTCTTTAGTTCAATTAGATCCCATTTGTCAATTTTGGCTTTTGTTGCCATTGCTCTTGGTGTTTTAGACATGAAGTCCTTGCCCATGCCTATGTCCTGAATGGTAATGCCTAGGTTTTCTTCCAGGGTTTTTTATGGTTTTAGGTCTAACGTTTAAGTCTTTAATCCATCTTGAATTAATTTTTGTATAAGGTGTAAGGAAGAGATCTAGTTTCAGCTTTCTATATATGGCTAGCCAGTTTTCCCAGCACCATTTATTAAATAGGGAATCCTTTCCTCATTGCTTGTTTTTGTCAGGTTTGTCAAAGATCAGATAGTTGTAGATATGCGGCATTATTTCTGAGGGCTCTGTTCTGTTCCATTGATCTATATCTCTGTTTTGGTACCAGTACCATGCTGTTTTGGTTACTGTAGCCTTGTAGTATAGTTTGAAGTCAGGTAGTGTGATACCTCCAGCTTTGTTCTTTTTGCTTAGGATTGACTTGGTGATGCGGGCTCTTTTTTGGTTCCATATGAACTTTAAAGCAGTTTTTTCCAATTCTGTGAAGAAAGTCATTGGTAGCTTGATGGGGATGGTATTGAATCTATAAATTACCTCGGGCAGTATGGCCATTTTCACGATATTGATTCTTCCTATCCATGAGCATGGAATGTTCTTCCGTTTGTTTGTATCCTCTGAAATAACTAAAATCAGAGCAGAACTGAAGGAAATAGAAACACAAAAAACCCTTCAAAAATTAATGAATCCAGGAGCTGGTTTTTTGAAAGGGTCAACAAAATTGATGGACGGCTAGCAAGACTAATGAAGAAGAAAAGAGAGAAGAATCAAATAGACGCAATAAAAAATGATAAAGGGGATATCACCACCAATCCCACAGAAATACAAAATACCATCAGAGAATACTACAAACACGTCTATGCAAATAAACTAGACAACCTAGAAGAAATGGATAAATTCCTTGACACATACACCCTCCCAAGACTAAACCAGGAAGAAGTTGACTCTCTGAATAGACCAATAACAGGCTCTGAAATTGTCACAATAATCAATAGCTTACCAACCAAAAAGAGTCCAGGACCAGATGGATTCACAGCCGAATCCTACCAGAGGTACAAGCAGAAACTGGTACCATTCCTTCTGAAACTATTCCAATCAATAGAAAAAGAGGGAATCCTCCCTAACTCATTTTATGAGGTCAGCATCATCCTGATACCAAAGCCGGGCAGAGACACAACAAAAAAAGAGAATTTTAGACCAATATCCTTGATGAACATTGATGCAAAAATCCTCATTAAAATACTGGCAAACCGAATCCAGCAGCACATCAAAAAGCTTATCCACCATGATCAAGTGGGCTTCATCCCTGGGATGCAAGGCTGGTTCAATATACACAAATCAATAAAGGTAATCCAGCATATAAACAGAACCAAAGACAATAACCACATGATTATCTCAATAGATACAGAAAAGGCCTTTGACAAAATTCAACAACCCTTCATGCTAAAAACTCTCAATAAATTAGGTATTGATGGGACATATCTCAAAATAATAAGAGCTATCTATGACAAACCCACAGCCAATATCATACTGAATGGGCAAAAACTGGAAGCATTCCCTTTGAAAACTGGCACAAGACAGTGATTCCCTCTCTCACCACTCCTATTCAACATAGTGTTGGAAGTTCTGGCCAGGGCAATTAAGCAGGAGAAGGAAATAAAAGGTATTCAATTAGGGAAAGAGGAAGTCAAATTGTCCCTGTTTGCAGATGACATGATTGTATATCTAGAAAACCCCATCATCTCAGCCCAAAATCTCCTTAAGCTGATAAGCAACTTCAGCAAAGTCTCAGGATACAAAATCAATGTACAAAAATCACAAGCATTCTTATACACCAATAACAGACAAACAGAGAGCCAAATCATGAGTGAACTCCCATTCCCAATTCCTTCAAAGAGACTGAAATACCTAGGAATCCAACTTACAAGGGACGTGAAGCACCTCTTCAAGGAGAAGTACAAACCACTGCTCAGTTAAATAAAAGTGGATAGGTTTTCTGCAATATGTCTTAATAATATCTTTGAAGGTTTCCCTGAATGCAGAAAAACAAGGTTGTCCTTGGAGAAGTAACTCTCTTGTCAAAACTTCCACTTGCATAACTTCTTTTAAAACTCTCTTTACCTCTCTCTTTCTTATGACCTTCTTCTTTGCTCTTGCTCTTCTCATGTTCAGAGAAAGTGCCTGAAATAAATTTTAAAGTACATTCAGTAATAGAAACAATTTTCTGAACTTCCTGTTACTTCTTTTCAACTAGATAAATCATTGCATATTTTCTCATTACATAGAAGTCATCAGATGAGTCAGGATGTTGTAAGCGTGCAGGCCCCTGTAGCTGAGGAGTAATGCCTGGTCACACTCCCAGGAGTCTGGGACCAGAGATCATGAGGATATTCTCCAACAGGCATTTGGTGGTTATCATCTCAATGATGCTGTTCTTCCTCCAGAACATGCACTTTTCATAACATTGCATTACCATACTCCAGCGTTGCTCCTCTTGCCTTCATCAGTAGTCCTTCTGCATTTGCTTTTGCATTTTCTCTTATTCAATCTTTCTTTCAAAAATACTAGGCTTTACTTCTACTTGCAAATCTAAATTTTTCTTTTTTCTATTTTGAAGTATGTGTCTTCACCCTTTTAAGTGAATCTCCTTAACATTGGGATTATTAAAGCTTCACTTGCATGATTTACAATGGAAGTGAACTACCTTTCCTTCTTCATTTTAAACCTCCTCCAGGTAATCATGACCCACTGGCTGCGCATCATTCTGGAAAGCAGCAAAATATACAGGTTTGATTTTTTTTCTCACACTGTCTCTTGATTTACTTCAGGAATCTGCACCATAGAAATAAAAAGAATACTTTTAACAGATGCAGTTCCTTCTAAGTACTGTGTTTTATTTCATGATGATTGTGGCTTATTATTACCAATGAAATTGATTTTGGGGTAGATATTTTTTGGCAGCCATATTTGTGGGCAATGCTGACACTTTAGTCTTCGATGTGCTGTTAAGAGACGAATTTCCTGTAGTCACAAGACTCTTCACTGAAGAAGTTGCAATTGATGAAGTATTCACAGTACAATTGCTTAAAGGATTGGTAGTTGATTTTGAAGCAGACACAGCTGTTGGAAAAGTAGCTTGGCTAGTAACATTTGGTTCTGTTGCATCTGCTCCAGTACAAGACACATTGAGGAGCTTACAGTGTAGCTGATTTTGAGTCCCATGAGTAGAGTTGTTGCTTCTGCTGATATTTTGTGAGGGTTTCTTTGCAGCCTCACAAAACACCAGCAGAAGCAACAACTTGTAATTGTTTCTGTCCTTCTGACTGTGGCTTACAAGTCTGTGGTATGGCACAGGTGGTGTTACAAACATCAAGATTGTGAATCTTTGGTGGCTTGGGAGGCTGTTTTAGCTTCAGTTGTTTATTTTGTATTTTCGAATTGTGCTTCTTTAGTAAAGATAGTTCCTGTTCAAGCAGCTGTTAATTGTAGAAAGATGCAGCTGAATACACTGCTGCTTCATAAACTGAATAAAATTTACCAGGATAAATAACTGCTGTGGTACTGCAAGTAGCACTCTGAGTATAGGATGGCACAACAGCAGCTGCAGCTGCTACTGGATGTACAGTGGAGGATATAGGATAAATAAAGTTGCGACAGCTGAACTTGCTGTGACTTATTTTATAGCTGTCACTTGTCGAGTTTGCTGGGCTTGAGTATACTGAGTTGTGCCTGGGATTTAAGAGCAGTCTGATAGTAAGCTTCAGCTACAGAAGGCCAAGGTTAGTGATTGGCAGCTATACCAGCAGCAGTTTCTGTTAGTTGTTGGTGGTAGTGCTTACTATCATAAGCTATCAGGAGTTGTGGATCTCACATATGAGTATGAGTCCTGGTAGTTTTGTGTAGTAGCGGCAGGTGGGTGGTTCTTCTTGTTGCCCCTGAGTATAACCATGATCAGTTGCTGTGTGTGCAGTGGGGTAGCTTTCATAAGCAGCAGTTGGTGCAGCAGCAACTGCAGGCCTGGTAACTGCAACTGTGGCAAATGCTGGTGCATAGGCAATAGTAACTGAGAAGCTACTGGAGCCTGATGGACTGTGTAGCTACCAACTGTAGTTGGATGAAAATAGGCTATGCTTGAATCTGGCTGCTGCCTACACTAAGCCACAATGACTCCTGCTGCCACCCAACTGTGAGTGAATCAAAAGCAGTTGCCAGTCACCATTTTGGTATCTTGCCCTAGCCAGCTGGGCACATAGGTGAAAGAAACGACAGAGCATATGGGAATCATGTTTTCCAGGTGATGCTTCTGAATTCTGACTAATCTGCTGCCTCATTTATCTGCCCTGCTCCTTTTTTCTTTTCTTTTTTTAAACCTTGTCGGGGTACATGGTTACATTGTTTATTAGAAATCTTTCTTCATTTTTAATCTGTCCACTCATTGCCATGAACTTTCTTCTCAGAACTTCTTTTACTGTGTCCTATTGGCTTTCCATGTATGTGTAAGTTATCCAAAATTATTATTGTTTTACGTTTCTAGTTTTTTACCATTGTAAGTCTGAAATGACAGTTGATTAATCTCTATCTCCTCAATTACACTTGATTAGTCTCTGTCCTCAAATTTATCAACACCCATTTGGTGGGCTAACATATTAGCTACCCCAGAGCAGTTGAGAAGAATGTATATTCTGCACCTGTTGCATGAAATGTTCACACGTCTGTTAGGTACATTTGGTCTATTACATAGTTTATGTCTGATGTTTCTGTGTTGATTTTCTGTCGAGATGATCTATATATTGTTGAAAGTGGGGTGTTGACATATCTTGGTATTATTGTATTGCAGTCTATTACTCTGTTTAAATTCCATAATATTGTATTAATATACTTGAGTACTGTAATGTTGGGTTCATATATATTTATGGTTGCTATATCCTCTTGCTGAATTAATCACCTTATCATTATAAAATTACCTACATTGTCGCTTTTAAAAGTATTTGATATAAAGTATATTTTATCTGATATAAGAACGGTTACTCCTGATCACTTTTGGTTTCCATTTGCATAAATTTTTTTTCATCACTTCGCTTTTAGTCTGTTTGTGTTTAATGGTAAGGTGGCTCATGCTTGTAATCCCAGCACTTTGGGAGGCTGAGGCGGTGGATCACCTGAGGTCACGAGTTTGAGAACAGCCTGGCCAACATGGTGAAATCCCATCTCTACTAAAAATACAAAGATCAGCCATGTGCAGTGGTGGGTGCCTGTAATCCCAGGTACATGGGAGGCTGAGGCACAAGAATCGCTAGAACCCGTGAGGCAGAGGTTGCAGTGAGCTGAGACTGTGCCACTGCACTCCAGCCTGGATGACAGAGTAAGACTCTGTCTCAAAAAAAAAAAGCAAAACTAAACAGAAAACAACAAAAACAAACAACAAAAAGCAATGAGGTGACTCCCTGTAGTCAGCAGATACTTGAGTCTTTTTTTTATCTATTCACTGAGTCTATACTTTTAATTAAAAAATCTAATCCAGTTACATTCAAGGTTATTATTGCTATTTATGGACTCACTCCAGCCATATGTTTCTTTCTTCTTATTTGGTTGTTTACTTCTGTGGTTCAGTGTTTTTCTGTGATGCTAAAGTTTGTTCCCTTTCTCCTTATCTGCCATAATTACTTTCTTTGTGATTAAAATTGGGCTACCATATAAAATCTTATAAAAGACTATGTTAGGCCAGGCGTGGTGGCTCAAGCCTGTAATTCCAGCACTTTGGGAGGCTGAGGCGGGCAGATCACGAGGTCAGGAGATTGAGACAACGGTGTAACTCCGTCTCTACTAAAAATACAAAATATTAGCCAGGTGCGATGGTGGGTGCCTGTAGTCCCAGCTACTCAGGAGGCTGAGGCAGGAGAATGGCATGAATCCGGGAGGCAGAGCTTGCAGTGAGCCAAGATTGCGCCACTGCACTCCAGCCTGGGCGACAGAGCAAGACTACGTCTCAAAAAAAAAAAAAAAAAAAAAGACTCTGTTAAGCTGATAACAACTTAAGTTTGGTTACATATAAGGACTCTAGGATACTTTTTTCTTTCCCCTACAATGTGGGTTTTGATTGCCTTAATTTATATGTATTTTTGTGTGGTTTTCTGAAGCACACATTATAGCTGTTGATATTTTTTTTATTTTTGGCTTTAGACCTTTATGCTAGAGGATTGAAAGATTTCTGTGACACCATTACAGCACTAGGGTATTCTGAGAATGATTATGAACTTACTCATACTGGTGAGTTTTACACTTTTGCATGTTTTCATCAGAGTGAACATTATGCATTTTTTTTCCAAATTTTGCACTTCCTTAAACATTTCTCATAAGTTTGGTATAGTTGTGTTGAATTTCTTCAGTTTTTCTCATCTGGGAAGTTCTTTATTTTGCCTTCATTTCTGAAGGTTAGCTTTGCTAAATGTAGGATTCTTTACTGTAAGGTTGTTTTTTTTTTTTTTTTCCCCCAGCACATTCAATATATCGTTTCATTCTTCTGGTCTACAAGGTTTCTGTGGAGAATTTTGCTCATAGTCTAATGGAGATTCCCTTATATGTGACTCGATGTTTTTCTCTTGAAGATTTTTAATGTTTTAATAATTTCAACTTTTATTTTAGATTCAGGAGGTACATGTGCAGATTTGTTAGATGGGAATATTGTGTGACACTGAGGTTTGAAATATGAATGATCATGTCATTAAGATAGTAAGTATAGCAATGAATAAACAGTTTCCTTCCCCTTTCTTCCTCCCTCTCTCCCCACTCTCTTGAGTGTCTACTGTTCTCAATTGTATGCCCATGTGTACCCAATGTTTATCTCCCAATTGTAAGTTCGAACAAACATTTGGTATTTGCGGGGGTTTCCCTGCATTAATTTGCTTGGGATAATAGCCTCCAGATGCAAAACACAATATATGGTATTTTTCAATGGCTATTGTAACTTTTAAAATTCTCAGTTTGTTTTTGAGTTTTGACATTTTAATTATGATGTCCCTTAGAAAAAACTCTTTGGGTTGAACTTGGGAATTTTTGAGCTTCCTGAATCTGTATATGCATATCTCTCCCAAAACTTGGGGAGACTTCAGCTGTTATTTTTAAGTAAGTTTTCTGTGATTTTTCTCTATTTCTTCTCCTCTGGCACTAAAAAAAATGTAAATGTGGGAGGCTACTGGCAAGATGGTTGAATAGGAATAGCTCTGGTCTGCAGCTCCCAGCAAGACCAACACAGAAGGCAGGTGATTTCTGCATTTCCCACTGAGGTACCCTGTTCATCTCATGCGGACTGGTTAGGCAGTGGGTGCAGGCCACAGAGGGTGAGCAGAAGCAGGGTGGGGTTCTGCCTCACCTGGGAAGTGCAAGAAGTGGGGGGTCTCCCTTTCCCAGCCAAGGTAAGCCATGAGGGACTGTGCTATTCAGCCCAGATCCTGCACTTTTCCCCTGGTTTTTGTAATCTGCAGACCAGGAGATTGCCTCATGTGCCTACACCACCAAGACCCTGGGTTTCGAAGCACAAAACTGGGTGGCTGTTTTGGCAGACACCGAGCTAGCTGCAGGATTATTTTTCATACACCAGTGATACCTGGAACCCCAGTGAGACGGAACCATTCACTGCCCCATAAAGGGGGCTGAAGCCAGAGAGCCAAGTGGTGTTGCTCAGCAGGTGCCACTCCCACAGGGCTCAGCAAGTTAAAAACCACTGGCTTGAAATTCTTCCTGTCAGCACAGCAGTCTGAAGTCAACCTGAGATGATCCAGCTTCGTGGGGGGAGGGCCATCCACCATTACTGATGCTTGAGTAGGTGGTTTTCCCCTGACAGCACTATAAAGGCCTGAAAGTTCGGACTGGGTAGAACTCAACACAGCGCGGAGAAGCAGCTGTGGCCAGACTGCCTCTTTAAGTTCCTCTTCACTGGTTAGGGCATCTCTGAAAAAAAGGCAGCAGCCCCAGTCAGGGGCTTATAGATAAAACTCCCATCTCACCAGGACAGAGCACCTGGGGAAAGGGGCAGCTGTGGGGGTAGCTTCAGTGTACTTAAATGTTCCTGCCAGCCAGCTCTAAAGAGAGCAGCAGATGATGACAAGGAGGGTTCTACCAGAACAGTGCTTGAGCTCTGCTAAAGGACAGACTGCCTGCTCAAGTGGGTCCCTGACCCCCATACCTCCTGACTGGGGATTGACAGACAACTCATACCGGAGAGCTCTGGCTGGCATCAGACCAGTGACCCTCTAGGATGAAGCTTCCAGAGGATGAAGCAGGCAGCAATTTTTGCTTTTCTGCAGCCTCTGCTGGTGATACCCAGGCAAATAGGGTCTGGAGTGGACCACCAGAAAACTGCAGCAGATCTGCAGAAGAGGGCCCTGACTATTAGAAGAAAAACTAACAATCATAAAACAATAAATCAACATACACAAAAAGAAACCCCACAGAGAAACCCTATCCAAAGGTCGTTAACCTCAAAGATCAAAGGTAAATAAATTCACGAAGATGAGGAAAAAACAGTGCAAAAGTGCTGAAAATTCCAAAAACCAGAATGCCTCTTCCTCTCCAAATGATTGCAACTCCTCTCCAGCAAGAGCACAAAACTGGACAGAGAATGAGTTTGATGCATTGACAGAAGTAGGCTTCAGAAGTTTGGTAATAACAAACTCCTCTATGCTAAAAGAGCATGTTCTAACCCAATGCAAGGAAGCTAAGAATCTTGACAAAAGGTTGCAGGAACTGCTGACTAGGATAACCAGTTTAGAGAAGAACATAAATGACCCGATGGAGCTGAAAAACACAGTACAAGAACCTCGTGAAGAATACACAAGTATCAACAGCCAAATTGATCAAGCAGAAGACAAGATATCAGAGATTGAAGATCAACTTACTGAAATAAGGTGTGAAGACAAGATTAGAGAAGAAAGATTGAAAAGGAATGAACAAAGCCTCCAAGAAATATGAGACTATGTGAAAAGACCAAACCTACAATTGATTGAGCTCCCTGAAAGTGATGGGGAGAATGGAACAAAGTTGGAAAACACAGTTTGGGATATTATCCAGGAGAACTTCCCCAACCTAGAAAGGCAGGCCAACATTCAACTTCAGAAAATACAGAAAACATCACTAAGTTACTGCTCGACAGTAACAACCCCAAGACACATAATTGCCAGATTCTCCAAGGTTGAAACGAAGGAAAAAGTGTTAAGTAAAGCCAGAGAGATAGGTCAGGCTACCCACAAAGAGAAGCCCATCAGACGAACAGAGGACCTCTCTGCAGAAACCCTACAGGCCAAAAGAGGGTGGGGGCCAAAATCCAACAATCTTAAAGAAAACAATTTTCAACCCAGAATTTCATATCCAGCCAAACTATGTTTCATAAGTGAAAAAAGAAATAAAATACTTTCCAGACAAGCAAATGCTGAGGGATATTGTCACCACCAGGCCTGATTTACAAAAGCTCCTGAAGGGAGCACTAAATTTAAAAAGATCAACCAATACCAGCCACTTCAAAAACACACCGAAATATAAAGACCAACAACATTATGAAGAAACTGCATCGACTAATGTGCAAAATAACCAGCTAGCATCATGATGACAGGAACAAATTCACACATAACAATATTAACTTTAAATGTAAATGGGGTAAATGCCCCAGTTAAAAAACACAGACTGGCAAATTGGATAAAGAGTCAAGACCCATCAGTGTGCTGTATTCAGGAGACTCATCTCATGTGCAAAGACATACATAGGCTCAAAATAAAGGGATGGAGGAATATTTACCAAGCAAATGAAAAGCAGAAAAAAAAAAGTGGGGTTTGCAATCCTAGTCTTCAATAAAACAGACTTTAAACCAACAAAGATCAAAAAAGACAAAGAAGAGACTTACATAATGGTAAAGAGATCAATGCAACAAGAAGAGCTGTCTATCCTAAATATATATGCACCCAATACAGGAACATCCAATTCATTAAAAACAAGTTCTTAGAGACTACAAAGAGACGTAGACTCCCACACAATAAAAGTGAGAGACTTTAACACCCCACTGTCAATATTAGACAGATCAACGAGACAGCAAAGTAACAAGGATATTCAGGACTTGACCTCAGCTCTAGACCAAGCAGACATAATAGATAGCTACAGAACTCTCCACCCCAAATCAACAGAATATACATTCTTCTCAGTACCATTTGCACATACGCTAGAAACGACCACCTAATTGCAAGTAAAACACTCCTGAGCAAATGCAAAGAATGGAAATCATAACAAACAGTCTCTCTGACAGCAGTGCAATCAAATTAGAACTCAGGATTAAGAAACTCACTCAAAACCTCCTGACTACATGGAAACTGAACAACCTGCTACTGAATGACTATTTGGTAAATAACAAAATTAAGGAAGAAATAAAGAAGTTTCTTGAAGCCAATGAGAAATAGACAACGTACCAGAATCTCTGGGACACAGCTAAAGCAGTGCTTAGAGGGAAATCTATATCACTAAATGCCCACATCAGAAAAAGGGAAAAATCTAAAATCAACACCCTAACATCACAATTAAAAGAGCTAGAGAAGCAAGAGCAAACAAATTCAAAAGCTAGAAAAACTGAAGAAATAACAAATATCAGAGCAGAACCAAGAGATAGAGACACGAAAAAGTCTTCAAAAAATCAGTGAATCCAGTAGCTGTTTATTTGAAAAGACTAACGAAATAGATATACTGCTGGACAGACTAATAAAGAAGAAAAAAGAAAGATATCAAATGGAATACATTAATAAATGATAAAGGGTATATCACCACTGATCCTACAGAAATACAAACTAACGTCAGAGAATACTAAAATCACCTCTACACAAACAAGAAATCTAAATTCGTAAATTCATAGACACATACACCCTCCCAAGACTAAACCAGGAAGAACTCAAATCCCTGAATAGACCAATAACAAGTTCTGAAAATGAGGCAGTAGTTAATAGTCTACAAACCAAAAAAAAGGCCAGGACCAGACTGATTCACAGCTGAATTCTATCAGAGATACAAGGAGGGGCTGGTACTATTCCTTCTGAAACTATTCGAAACAGTAGAAAAAGAGAGACTCCTCCATAACTCATTTTATGAGGCCAGCATCATCCTGATACCAAAATCTTGCATAGAAACAACTAAAAAAGAAAATTTCAGGCGAATATCCCTGATGAACATTGATATGAAAATCCTCAATAAAATACTGGCAAACGGAATCCAGCAGCACATCAAAAAGCTTATCCACCATGATCAAGTCACCTTCATCCCTGAGATGCAAGGGTGGTTCAACATACACAAATAAATAAACATAATTCATCACATAAACAGAACCAATGAACAATGAACCACATGATCATCTCAATAGATACTGAAAAGGCCTTTGATAAAATTTAACAATGCTTCATGCTAAAAACTCTCAATAAACTAGGTATTGATGGAACATATATCAAAATAATAAGAGCTATTTATGACACACCCATAGCCAATATCATATTGAATGTGCAAAAGCTGGTAGCATTCCCTTTGAAAACTGGCACAAGACAAGGATTCCCTCTCTAACCACTCCTATTAAACAAAGTATTGGAAGTTCTGGCCAGAGCAATGAGGCAAGAGAAAGAAATAAATGGTATTCAAATAGGAAGAGAGGAAGTCAACTTGTCTCTGTTTGCAGACAACATGATTGAATATTTGGTAAACCCCATCGTCTCAGGCCAAAACCTCCTTAAGCTGATAACCAACTTCAGCAAAATGTCAGGATACAAAACCAATGTGCAAATATCACAAGCATTCCAATACACCAATAATAGACAAACAGAGCCAAATCATGAGTGAACTCCCATTCACAATTGCTACAGAGAAAATAAAATACCTAGGATTAAAACTTACAAGGAACATGAAGGACCTTTTCAAGGAGAACTGCAAACCACTGCTCAAGGAAATAAGAGAGGAAAAAAACAAATGGAAAAAAAATTCTATGCTCATGGAGAGGAAGAATTAATATTGTGGAAATGGCCAAACTGCCCAAAGTAATATACAGATTCAATGCTATTTCCACCAAGCTACCATAGACTTATTTCACAGAACTAGAAAAAACTACTTTAAATTTTGTATGGAACCAAAAAAGAGCCCATATAGCCAGGACAATCCTAATCAAAAAGAACAGAGCTAGAGGCATCATTCCACTGGACTTCAAACTACACTACAAGGCTACAGTAACCAATATAGCATGGTACTGGTACCAAAACAGATATATAGACCAATGGGACAGAGGCCTCAGTAGTAACACCACACATCTACAACCATCTAATCTTCAACAAACCTGACAAAAACAAGCAATGGGGAAAGGAATTCCTAGTTAATAAATAGTGTTGGGAAAACTGACTAGCCATATGCAGAAACCTGAAATTAGATCCCTTCCTTACACCTTATACAGTAATTAACTCAAGATGGATTAGAGACTTATATATAAAACCTAAAACTATACAAACCCTAGGATAAAACCTAGGCAATACTATTCAGGACACAGTCATAGGCAAATACTTCATGAATAAAACACCAAAAGCAATTGCAACGAAAGACAAAATTGACAAATGAGATTTAATTAAACTAAAGAGTTTCTGCTCAGGGAAAGAAACTAACATCAGAGTGAATTGGCAACCTACAGAATGGGAGAAAAGTTTTGCAATCTATCTGACAAAGGGCTAATATCCAGAATCTACAAGAAACTTAAACAAATTTACAAGAAAAAAAAACCTATTCAAAAAGTGGGTGAAGGACATGAACAGACACTTTTAAAAAGAAGACATTTATGCAGCCAACAAACATTAAGAAAAAGCTCATAATCACTGGTCATTAGAGAAATGCAAATCAAAACCACAATAAGATACCATCTCATGCCAGTTAGAATGGCAATCATTGAAAAGTCTGGAAACAACAGATGCTGGCAAGGATGTGGAGAAATAGGAATGTTTTTACACTGTTGCTAGGAGTGTAAATTAGTTCATCTATTGTGGGAGACAGTGTGGCTTTTCCTCAGGGATCTAGAACCAGAAATATCATTTGACCCATCAGTGCCATTACTGGGTATATATCCAAAAGATTATACATAATTCTATTATAAAGACACATGCACATGTATGTTTATTGCAGCACTATTTAAAATAGCAAAGGCTTGGAACCAACCCAAATGCCCATCAATGATAGACTGGATAAAGAAAATATGGCACATATACAGTATGGAATACTATGCAGCCATAAAAAATGAAGAGTTCATGTCCTTTACAGGGACATGGATGAAACTGGAAACTACCATTCTCAGCAAACTAACACAGGAACAGAAAACCAAACACCATATGTTGTCACTCGTAAGTGGCAGTTGAACAGTGAGAACACATGGACACAGGGAGGGGAACATCACACACTGGGGCCTGTCACTGGGTGGGGGGCAATGGGAGGGAGAGCATTAGGACAAATATCTAATGCATGCAGAGCTGAAAACCTAGATGACAGGTTGATAGGTGCAGCAGACCACCATGGCACATGTATACCTGTGTAACAAACCTGCATGTTCAGCACATGTATCCTAGAACTTAAAGTAAAAAAAAAAAAAAGTAAATGTATATTCATTTAATGATGCTCCAAAAGTCCTATAGGCTTTCTTTGCCATTTGCTATTCTTGTTTTTCTTTATTCCTGTGATTGTGTTATACCAAAATACCTTTTTCTGTGTACAGAAATTCTGTATTTGCTTAATCTTGTCTGTTGTTAAAGGCCTCAACTGATTTTTTATTTTATTTATTGCATACTTCAGTTTACAGATTTTTTAAAAGTTATCTTTTACTTTAAGTTTGGGGCTACATGAGCAAATCTGTTATATAGGTAAATTTAAGTTACGTTATTTTTTCACCCAGGTAATAGAGCCTAGTACGCATTACCTATTTTTTCTGATCCTCTCTTTCCTCCCACTCTTTATCCTCCAATAGGTCCCAGTGACTGTTGGTCCTCCCTATGAGTCCATGTGTTCTCATTACTTGTTCCAACTTATAAGTGAGAACTTGCAGTATTTGGTTTTCAGTTTCTGCATTAATTTGATACAGATAATGGCCTCCAACTCCAGCCATGTTTTGACAGAAGACATGATCTCATTATTTTTATGGTTGCAAAGTATTTCATAGTGTATATGTACCACGTTTTATTTACCCAGACTACCACTGATGAGAATTTAGGTTGATTCTATGTATTTGCTATTGTGCATAGTGCTGCAATGAACATATGCATGCCTGTGTCTTTATAATAGAATAATTTATATTCCTTTGTATATATACCCAGTAATGTGATTGCTGGGTCAAATGGCATTTCTATTTTTTAGCCTTTGAGGAATCAACACACTGTCTTCTACAATGGTTGAACTAATTTACACTCCCATCAACAGTATATGAGCATTTCTTTTTCTCTGCAAACTCACCAGCATATATTATGTTTTTACTTTTGAAAAATACCCATTCTGACTGGTGGGAGATGGTGTTCTCATTGTGGTTTTGATATCCATTTCTCTAATGATAAGTGAGGTTAAGCTTTTTTTCATGATTCTTGGCCATGTGTATGTCTTCTTTTGAAAAGGGTCTGTTCCTGTCCTTTGCCCAATTTAAATGAGGTTTTTGATGTCTTATAACTTTGTTTAAGATACTTATGGATGCTGGATATCAGACTGTTGTCAGATGTATAGTTTGCAAAAATTTTCTTTCATTCTGCAGGTTTTCTGTTCACTATGTTGATAGTTGTTGTTGTTGTTATTGTTGTTGTTGTTGTTGTTGTTGTTTTGCTGTGCAAGAGTTCTATTGTCAACTTTGTTATAAAATCTTTGCCTGTTCCTATGTCCAGGATTATATTGCTTAGGTTGTCTTTCAGGGTCTTTATAGTTTTGGGTTTTCCATTTAAGTCTTTTATTCATCTTGAGTTAATTTTTGTATGTGGTGTAAGGAAAGGGTCAGGTTTCAATCTTTTGCATATGTCTAGCCAGTTATTCTTGCACAGTTTAGTGAATAGGGAGTCATTTCCACATTGCTTGTTTTAATCATGTTTGTGGAAGATTAAATAGTTGCAGGTGTGTGTCCTTATTTCTGAGTTCTCTATTCTGTTTCATTGGTCTATGTGTGTTTTAGTACCAGTAGCACACTGTTTTGATTACTGTAGCCCCTGTAGTTTAAAGTCGGGTAGCATGATGCCTCCAGCTTTGTCCTTTTTGCTTAGGATTGCCTTGGCTATTTGGGATTTTTTTGTTCCATATGTATTTTAAGATTGTTTTTTCTAGTTTTGTGAAGAATGTAATTTGTACATAATAGGAATTGCAGTAAACTTGTAAATAGCTTTGGGCAGTATAGCTATTTTAACAATGTTGATTCTTTCTGTTTATGAACATGAAATGTATTATTATCTGTTTGAATCATCTCTGATTTCTTTGAGCTGTGCTTTGTAATTGTCCTTGTAGAGATATTTTACCTCCCTGATTAGCTGCATTCTCAGACTTTTTTTGTGGTAATTGTGAATGGGATTGCATTCCTGATTTGGCTCTCAGCTTTTCTGTTGTTGGTGTATAGGAATGCCAGTGACTTTTGCACATTTATATTGTACCCTGAGACTTTGCTGAAGTTATTATTAGCTTAAAAAGTTTTGGGGCTGATACTGTGGGGTTTGGTTTTTTTATTTTATGTCCATTACTTTGTAAAATTTCTTATTTAGATCATTCATATTTTTCTTATTTTAATGGATTGTTTATATTCTCTTGTATTTTTCTGAGTTTAGAATAATATTTATTTCACATTTCTTTTTAAGTATTTATTAAATATTCAGTTCTGTCTGGTCTGTTACTTGAGACTTACTGTGTAACTTTTGGTGAGTTTTTTTTTGTATTTTCATGTTTTTTAACGTTAATATCTGTGTATCTATATGAACAGGTACTTTTCCCATTTTTTTCAAATAGTTTTTTATAGGAAGAGATATTCTTCTTATGTATGGTTTCTAGCTTGTTGGTTTGGAATGGTATATTAGCTCTAGTTCTCATTGGACTCAATAGTGTGGCCTTTGTATAGATTTTCAGCTGTAAATTTTGCCTGCAATTTCTGTAATTATCTTTGTAATCTAGGCATGTGGGAGTGTGTAATGGCAATTTCAAGATTTTGGCAGTGTTGTGGCACCAGATTGGTTGTCAGTTGGGTATACGTGTACATGGTGGGTTATAAGACTGTTTAGCAAGTTCTCTTGGAGGGTAGAGCAACCACTAGGCTTACTGTTTAGTCAGACATGGGCACAGTGTTTCAGGGAGCTTTGCAAGGCCCTCTCACTTTGTCAGGGAATCAGTGTTGCATGCACCCGAGGAATCATAGTAAAAATTATGGTGGATCTTCAGAGATAAAGGTGCTTGGTAGTTACTGGCCCCCAGGACAAAATACATGCCAGCTATGGGCCACGTTTCAAGATGGAATTATGCCATAACCACTCAGCTCATGAGAGTTAGGTTGCAAAGACTGTTTCTGCTATGGAGCAATGCAAACACACAAAAACCTGGTAACTGTGCACATTAGATTCCAAACCTATGGGCAGTAGGGGATACTACTGTAGCAATGACTGTTGGCATCTCTGGTGGAGATGGGGAATGATGAGGGCCAGCGTACCTTTCTTCTTTCAGAAGTTCCCACTTGGTCCCCACACTATGGTGCTATCCTGTGCTTTTATATTTCATAGAAATTTTCTTGCTTCCCTTGTGCTCTCCAGCATATTTTTTAAGCTACTCTAGTCAAAATATATATTATTTTGTTATTTTGTTTACTTTTTATTGGTGAGGAAGCATGCCAGGCAACTCTGGTAAGTAAACTTGATTATATCACTTCACTGTATTATTAAATTTTAAACATATGTTCAATTTTTAGACCTATAGTTTCTTTAAAATAAATCAACATATAACAAAAATTAATTTTGTAGTTCACCAAACCTTTGCATGTTATAAAACTTTCTACTATATTCACTTGTCAATAAGAGACACGATTATTAATTAGAAAGCAGTATGTTCATTATTTATTTTTGTAATTTTTATTGATACATAGTAGGTGTATATAATTGTAGGGTACATGTGATACTTTGATACAGGCAGACAATACATAGTAATTATACCAGGGTAAATGAGGTATCAGTCAATGCAAGTGTTTATTTTTTGTATTACAAACAATCTAAGTTCACTTTTTTCTCAATAAATTGTTGTTTGTTGTGTTGTGTTATTTTTTCACCCAGGTATTGAGCCTAATACCCATTACTTATTTTTTTCTGAACCTGATTTATTGGAACAATAAATAGTTTCAATGAACTGTTATGCTGATTTGCAATCAAATAGATCTATTTTCATTATATCTATATTTTTCTATCTATTAGCCATTTCCAGTGCCCCCCTTCATACTATCTCTCAGCCTCTGGTACCCATCATTATAATCTCTATCTTCATGAGCTCAAATATTTTTAATTTTTAAATCCCAAAATAAGTGAAAACATGCAGAATTTGTCTTTCTGTGCCTGGATTATTTCATTCAATATAATGATCTCCAGTTCCATCTGTGTTGTTGCAAATGACAGGATCCCTTTCTTTTTTAAAGCTGAATAGTATTTCAACGCGTATATGTAGTACATTTTCTTTATACATCAGTCTGTTGATGGACATTTAGGTGGCCTCAAAATCTTGGCTATTAGAAATACTGCTGCAGTAAAAATGAGAGTGCACGTCTTTAAAATATACCAATTTTCTTTTTGGAGTGCGTGTACCCAGCAATGTGATTGCTGGATTATATGGTAGCTCTAGTTTTAGTTTTCTGAGGAAAGTTCAAACTGTTCTCCATAGTGGATGTACTAACTTATGTTCACACCAACAGTTTATGAGGCTGCCATTTTATAACATTTTCACCATTATTTACTATTGCCTGCCTTTTGAATAAAAGCTATTTTAACTGGGTTGAGATAATATCTACTTGTAGTTTTGATTTGCATTTGTCTGATGTTCGAGGATGTTGAGCACCTTTTCATGTACCTATTTGCCATTTGTATATCTTCTTTTGAGAAATGTCTATTCTGATCTGTTGCCAATTTTAAAAATCATATTCAAATTTTTCCTATAGAGATGTTTGAATTCCTTATATATTCCAGTTATTAATACCGTATCAGATGGGTAGCTTGCAAATATTTTCTTCTATTCTGTGGGTTGTCTCTTCACTTTGTTGATTGTCGCCTTTGACTTGCAGAATCTTTTTAACTTGATGTGATTCCATTTATTTATTTTTGCTTTGATTGCCTGTTCTTGTGGGGTGTTACTCAAAAAAATCTTGTCCACTCCAATTACCTAGAAAGTATTCCCAATTTATTTTAGTACTTTCATTGTTTGAGGACTTAGATTTAAGCCTTTAATCTATTTAGATTTTATTTTTGTTTATTGCCAGAGATAGGATTCTACTTTCATTTTTTTGCAGATGTATATCCAGGTTTTCCAGCACCATTTATTGAAGAGACTGTCTTTTCACCAATGTGTATTTGCATCTTTGTTAAAAATGAGTACACTGCAGATGTATGGATTCATTTCTCGGTTTTCTATTCTGTTCCATTGGTCTATGAGTCTTTACTAAAATACCAGGATGTTGTGGTTACTAGAGCTCTGTAGTATAATTTGAAGCCAGATAATGTAATTCCTTCCGTTTCATTCTTTTTGCTCAAAATACCTTTGGCTGTTCTGTTATTTGTAATTCTTTATAGATTTTAGAATTTTTAAGGTTTTCATTTCTGTAAAGAATGTTGTTGACATTTTGACACAGACTGTATTGAATCTACAGATTGCTTTTAGTAATATAGACATTTTAACAATAGTGATTCTTCTAATCAATGAATATGGAATATCTTTCCACATTTATGAAACCTCATAAAATACTTTCATCAATGTTTTATAGCTTTCATTTAGATTTATATCACTTTTTTGCTTAAATTAATTCCTAGGTATTTTATTTTATTTGTAGCATTGTAAATGAGATAAGGTTCTTGAATTTTTTTCAGATTGCCCACTGTTTACACATAGAAATGCAACTGGGTTTGTACGTTGATTTTGCATCTGCAACTTTACTAAATTTTTGTATCAATGTTCATTAGAAATATTGACCCTCGGTTTTCTTTCTTTTTATATTTTTGATGTGTCTTTTGGTTTGCTATCAAGGTAATACTGAATTCATATAATGAGTTTGGAAGTATTTTCTTCTTCGCTGTTTTTTAGAATCATTTAAGTAGGATCAGTATTAGTTCTTGTTAAAATTTGAAAAAAAATAAACAGCAAAGCCATTGGGTCCCAGGTTTTCATTTGCTGAGAGACTTTTTATTACAGCTTCTATATCATTAGCTGTTATTTGACTGATATGGTTAGGCTTTTTTCCCCACCTAAATCTCATCTTGAATTATAATATCCATAATTCCCATAATCCCCATGTGTTAAGGGAGAGACCAGGTGGACGTAATTGGATTATGGGTGTGGTTTCCCCCATGCTGTTCTCATGATAGTGAGTGAGTTGTCATGAGATCTGATGGTTTTATAAGTGTTTGGTAGTTCCTTTTGTGTTCATTTTTCTTCCTGCTGCCCTGTGAAGATTTCTTGCTTCCCGTTCACATTCCTCCATGTTTGTAAGTATTCTGAGGCCTCCCCAGCCATGCAGAACTGTGAGTCAAGTAAACATCTTTTCTTTATAAATTAGCCAGCCTCAGGCAGTTCTTTACAGCAGTATGAAAACAGATTAATACTTGATCTCTTCAGGTTTTGGATTTCTTCTTGGTTCAGTCTTGGCAGGCTATATGTGTCTACGAATTTATTCATTTCTTCTAAATTTTCCAATTTATTGGCAAATATTGCTCAGAGTAGCCTCTAATAGTCCTTTGAATTACTGTGGTAACAGTTGTAATGTCTCCTTTTCATTTATGGTTTTACTTACAAGAGTTTTCTCTTATTTCTTAGTCTAGTTAAAGATTTGTAGATGTTAGTTACCTTTTACAACTTTTTTTTCAACATGAAGCATTTTTCTTTTTATTATTATAAGCTTTAGGGTACATGTGCACAATGTGCAGGTTTGTTACATATGTATACATGTGCCATGTTGGTGTGCTGCACCCATTAACTCGTCATTTAACATTAGGTATATCACCTAATGCTATCCCTCCCCCCTCCCCCCACCCCACAACAGGCCTCGGTGTGTGATGTTCCCCTTCCTGTGTCCATGTGTTCTCATTGTTCAATTCCCAACTATGAGTGAGAACATGTGCTGTTTGGTTTTTTGTCCTTGCGATAGTTTGCTGAGAATGATGTTATTTCATTGATTTTTGTATTGTTTTCTTTATTTCAATATTTTTTTTCTCAGATCTTTATTATTCCTTTTATTCTACTACTTTTTGGTTTTGTTTGCCTTTGTTTTTCTTCTTCTTTAAGCTGTATCATTAGGTTGTTTATTTGAAGTTTTACTACTTTTTAAAATAAAGTCACTATTAGCCATAAACTTTTCTCTTAGTACATTGTTTACTGTAGTTCATAGAATTTGGTATGTTGTGATTTTTTTTAAATTTTATTTTTATTTACTTATTTTTTTTTATTATACTTTAAATTTTAGGGTACATGTGCACAAAGTGAAGGTTTCTTACATATGTACACATGTGCCATGTGGGTGTGCTGCACCCATTAACTCATCATTTAACATTAGGTATATCTCTTAATGATATCCCTCCCCCCTCCCCACCTCACAACAGACCCTGGTGTGTGATGCTCCCCTTCCTGTGTCCGTGTGTTCTCATTGTTCAATTCCCACCTATGAGTGAGAACACGTGGTGTCTGGTTTTTTGTCCCTGCAATAGTTTGCTGAGAATGATGGTTTCCAGCTTCATCCATGTCCCTACAAAGGACATGAACTCATCATTTTTTATGGCTGTATAGCATTCCATGTTGTATATGTGCCACATTTTCTTAATCCAGTCTATCATTGTTGGACATTTGGGTTGGTTCCAAGTCTTTGCTATTGTGAATAGGGCCGCAATAAACATACGTGTGCATGTGTCTTTATAGCAGCATGATTTATAATCCTTTGGGTATATACCCAGTAATGGGATGGCTGGGTCAAACGGTATTTCTAGTTCTAGATCCTTGAGGAATCACCACACTGACTTCCACAATGGTTGAACTAGTTTATGGTCCCACCCATAGTGCAAAAGTGTTCCTGTTTCTCCACATCCTCTCCTGCACCTGCTGTTTCCTGACTTTTTAATGATTGCCATTCTAACTGTTGTGAGATGGTATCTCATTGTGGTTTTGATTTGCATTTCTCTGATGGCCAGTGATGATGAGCATTTTTTCATGTATCTTTTGGCTGCATAAATGTCTTCTTTTGACAAGTGTCTGTTCATATCCTTTGCCCACTTTTTGATGGGGTTGTTTATTTTTTTCTTGTAAATTTGTTTGAGTTCATTGTAGATTCTGGATATTAGCCCTTTGTCAGATGAGTAGGTTGCAAAAATTTTCTCCCATTTTGTAGGTTGCCTGTTCATCTGATGGTAGTTTCTTTTGCTGTGCAGAAGCTCTTTAGTTGAATTAGATCCCATTTGTCTATTTTGGCTTGTGTTGCCATTGCTTTTGGTGTCTTAGACATGAAGTCCTTGCCCATGCCTATGTCCTGAATGGTACTGCCGAGGTTTTCTTCTAGGGTTTTTATGGTTTTAGGTCTAACATTTAAGTCTTTAATCCATCTTGAATTAATTTTTGTATAAGTTGTAAGGAAGGAATCCAGTTTCAGCTTTCTACATATGGCTAGCCAGTTTTCCCAGCACCATTTATTAAATACGGAATCCTTACCCCATTTCTTCTTTTTGTCAGGTTTGTCAAAGAACAGATAGTTGTAGATATGCTGCATTATTTCTGAGTGCTCTATTCTGTTCCATTGGTCTATATCTCTGTTTTCGTACAAGTACCATGCTGTTTTGGTTACTGGAGCCTTGTAGTATAGTTTGAAGTCAGGTAGTGTGATGCCTCTAGCTTTGTTCTTTTTGCTTAGGATTGACTTGGCAATGCGGACTCTTTTTTGGTTCCATATGAACTTTAAAGTAGTTTTTTCCAATTCTGTGAAGAAAGTCATTGGTAGCTTGATGGGGATGGCATTGAATCTATAAATTACCTTGGGCAGTATGGCCATTTTCATGGTATTGATTCTTCCCACCCATGAGCATGGAATGTTCTTCCATTTGTTTGTATCCTCTTTTATTTCGTTGAGCAGTGGTTTGTAGACTTGTCGCCTCTCTGTTTGTGTTATCATTGTATAAGAATACTTGTGATTTTTGCACATTGATTTTGTATCCTGAGACTTTGCTGAAGTTGCTTATCAGCTTAAGGAGATTTTGGGCTGAGATGATGGGGTTTTCTAGATATACAATCATGTCATCTGCAAACAGGGACAATTTGACCTCCTCTCTTCCTAATTCAATACGCTTTAGTTCCTTCTCCTGCCTGATTGCCCTGGCCAGAACTTCCAACACTATGTTGAATAGGAGTGGTGAGAGAGGGCATCACTGTCTTGTGCCAGTTTTCAAAGGGAATACTTCCAGTTTTTGCCCATTCAGTATGATATTGGCTGTGGGTTTGTCATAGATAGCTCTTATTATTTTGAGATATGTCCCATCAATAACTAATTTATTGAGAGTTTTTAGCATGAAGGTTTGTTGAATTTTGTTAAAGGCCTTTTCTGCATCTATTGAGATAATCATGTGGTTTTTGTCTTTGGTTCTGTTTATATGCTAGATTAGGTTTATTGATTTTCGTATGTTGAACGAGCCTTGCATCCCAGGGATGAAGCCCACTTGATCATGGTGGATAAGCTTTTTGATGTGCTGCTGGATTCGGTTTGCCAGTATCTTATTGAGGATTTTTGCATCGATCTTCATCAGGGATATTGGTCCATAAATCTCTTTTTTTGTTGTGTCTCTGCCAGGCTTTGGTATCAGGATGATGCTGGCCTCATAAAATTAGTTAGGGAGGATTCCCTCTTTTTCTGTTGATTGGAATAGTTGCAGAAGGAATGGTACCAGTTCCTCCTTGTACCTCTGGTAGAATTTGACTGTGAATCCATCTGGTGCTGGACTTTTTTTGGTTGGTAAGCTATTAATTATTGCCTCAATTTCAGAGCTTGTTGTTGGTCTTTTCAGAGATTCAACTTCTTCCTGGTTTAGTCTTGGGAGGGTGTATGTGTCAAGCAATTTATCCATTTCTTCTAGATCTTCTAGTTTATTTGTGTAGAGGTGTTTATGGTATTCTCTGATGGTATTTTGTATTTCTGTGGGATGGGTGGTGATATCCCTTTATCATTTTTCGTTGCATCTATTTGATTCTTCTCGCTTTTTTCTTTATTAATCTTGCTAGCGGTCTATCAATTTTGTTGATCTTTTCAGGAAACCAGCTCCTGGATTCATTGATTTTTTGAAGGGTTTTTTGTGTCTCTATTTCCTTAAGTTCTGCTCTGATCTTAGTTATTTCTTGCCTTCTACTAGCTTTTGAATGTGTTTGCTCTTGCTTCTCTAGTTCTTTTAATTGTGATGTTAGGGTGTTGATTTTAGATCTTTCTTTCTTTCTCTTGTGCTCATTTAGTGCTATAAATTTCCCTCTACACACTGCTTTGAATGTGTCCCAGAGATTCTGGTATGTTGTGTTTTTGTTCTTGTTGGTTTCAAAGAACATCTTTATTTCTGCCTTCATTTCGGTATGTACCCAGTAGTCATTCAGGAGCAGGTTGTTCAGTTTCCATGTAGTTGAGAGGTTTTGAGTGAGTTTCTTAATCCTGAGTACTAGTTTGATTGCACTGTAGTCTGAGAGACAGTTTGTTACAATTTCTGTTCTTTTAAATTTGCTGAGGACTGCTTTACTTCCAGCTATGTGGTCAATTTTGGAATAGGTGTGGTGTGGTGCTGTAAAGAATGTATATTCTGTTGATTTGGGGTGGAGAGTTCCGTAGATGTCTATTAGGTCCGCTTGGTGCAGAGCTGAGTTCAATTCCTGGATATCCTTGTTAATTTTCTGTCTCGTTGGTCTGTCTAATGTTGACAGTGGGGTGTTAAAATCTCCCATTATTATTGTGTGGGAGTCTAAGTCTCTTTGTAGGTCTCTAAGGACTTGCTTTATGAATCTGGATGCTCCTGTATTGGGTGCATATATATTTAGGATAGTTAGCTCTTCTTGTTGAATTGATCCCTTTACCATTATGTAATGCTGTCTTTGTTTCTTTTGATCTTTGTTGGTTTAAAGTCTGTTTTATAAGAGGCTAGGATTGCGACCCCTGCCTTTTTTTGTTTCCATTTACTTGGTAGATCTTCCTCCATCCCTTTATTTTGAGCCTGTGTGTGTCCTGCACATGAGATGGGTTTCCTGAATACAGCACACTGATGGGTCTTGACTCTTTACCCAATTTGCCAGTCTGTGTCTTTTAATTGGAGCATTTAGCCCATTTGCATTTAAGGTTAGTATTGTTATGTGTGAATTTGATCCTGTCATTATGATGTTAGCTAGTTATTTTGTTCGTTAGTTGATGCAGTTTCTTCCTAGCCTCGATGGTGTTTACAATTTGTCATATTTTTGCAGTGGCTGGTACTGGTTGTTCCTTTCCATGTTTAGTGCTTCCTTCAGGAGCTCTTTTGGGGCAGGCATGGTGGTGACAAAATCCCTCAGCATTTGCTTGTCTGTGAAGGATTTTATTTTCCTTCACTTATGAAGCTTAGTTTGGCTGGATATGAAATTCTGGGTTGAAAATTCTTTTCTTTAAGAATGTTGAATATTGGCCCCCACTCTCTTCTGGCTTGTAGAGTTTCTGTCAAGAGACCAGCTGTTAGTCTGATGGGCTTCCCTTTGTGGGTAACCCGACCTTTCTCTCTGTCTGCCCTTAACATTTTTTCCTTCATTTCAACTTTGGTGAATCTGACAATTATGCGTCTTGGAGTTGCTCTTCTCAATGAGTATCTTTGTGGCATTCTCTGTATTTCCTGAATTTCAGTGTTGGCCTGCCCTGCTTGGTTGGGGAAGTTCTCCTGGATAATATCCTGCAAAGTGTTTTCCAACTTGGTTCCATTCTCCCCGTCACTTTCAGGTACACCAATCAGATGTAGATTTGGTCTTTTCACATAGTCCCATATTTCTTGGAGGCTTTGTTCATTTCTTTTTATTCTTTTTCCTCTTAACTTCTTTTCTTGCTTCATTTCATTCATTTCATCTTCCATCACTGATACCCTTGATCATCTGAAGCCTTCTTCTCTCAACTCGTCAAAGTCATTCTCCATCCAGCTTTGTTCATTTGCTGGTGAGGAGGTGCTTTCCTTTGGAGGAGGAGAGGTGCTCAGATTTTTAGAGTTTCCAGTTTTTCTGCGCTGTTTTTTCCCCATCTTTGTGGTTTTATCAACGTTTTGTCTTTGATTATGGTGACGTACAGATGGGTTCTGGTGTGTATGTCCTTTCTGTTTGTTAGTTTTCCTTCTAACAGTCAGGACCCTCAGCTGCAGGTCTGTTGGAGTTTGCTGGAGGTCCACTCCAGACCCTGTTTACTTTGGTATCAGCAACAGAGGCTGCAGAACAGCGAATATTGCTGAACAGCATGTGCTGCTGCCTGATCATTCCTCTGGAAGTTTTGTCTCGGTGTAGTACCCGGCCGTGTGAGATGTCAGTCTGCCCCTACCGGGGGGTGCCTCCCAGTTGGGCTACTCGGGGGTCAGGGACCCACTTGAAGAGGCAATCTGTCCATTCCCAGTTGCATGCTGGGAGAACCACTACTCTCTTCAAAGCTGTCAGACAGGGACTGTTAACTCTGCAGAGGTTTCTGCTGCCTTTTGTTTGACTATGCCCTGCCCCCAGAGGTGGAGTCTACAGAGGCAGGCAGGCCTCCTTGAGCTGCAGTGGGATCCACCCAGTATGAGCTTCCTGGCTGTTTTGTTTACCTACTCAAGCCTCAAAAATGGTGGAGGCCCCTCCCCCAGCCTGGCTGCTGCCTTGCAGTTTGATCTCAGACTGCTGTGCTAGCAATGAGTGAGGCTCCGTGGGGGTAGGACCCCCGAGCCAGGCACAGGATATAATCTCCTGGTGTGCCATTTGCTAAGACCATTTGAAAAGTGCAGTATTAGGGTGGGAGTGACCTGATTTTCCGGGTGCCATCTGTCACCTCTTTCTTTGACTAGGAAAGGGAATTCCCTGACCCCTTGGGCCTCCCAGGTGAGGCAATGCCTCACCCTGCTTTGGCTCATGCTTGGTGTGCTGCACCCACTATCCTGCACCCTCTGTCTGACACTCCCCAGTGAGATGAAGGCAGTACTCAGTTGGAAATGCAGACATCACCCGTCTTCTGCGTCGCTCATGCTGGGAGCTGTAGAATGGAGCTGTTCCTATTCATCCATCTTGGCTCCACTGTTGTGATTTTTATCATTTGTTTGAAAAGATATTTCAATTCATATTTTAATTTCTTCATTAACTCATTCATCATTTAGAGACATAGAGTTTAATTTCCACATCATTTTATAGATTTTTAAAATTCTTCTTGATATTGTTTTCTAGTTATAGTCCACTGTGTTCATAGAAGATAGTCGATATTATTTAATTTTTTTCTTTAAGACCTGTTTTGTGACCTAACATATTGTCTGTATTTGACAATGATTCATATACTGAGGAGAAGAATGTTTATTCTGAAATCATTAGATAAAATGTTCTGTAAATATCTATTAGGTCCATTTGTTCTATAGTGAAGATTAAATTTGATATTTCTTTGTTTATTTTCTCTCTGAAAGATCTGTCCAATTTTGAAAATGGCATATTGAAATCTCCAGCTATGATTGTATTGGGGCTTATCCTTTTTATTAGCGCTAATAAATTTTTTCCATATGTGGATGTGGCAGTGCTTTATATATATATATATATACACATTTATATGCACACACACACAATTGTTATATTCTTTTGCTGAAATATTTCCTTTATTAGTATATAATAGCATTCTTTGTCTGTTTTTAAAGGTTTTGTCTTGAAATCTACTTTGTCTGATATAAGCATGAGGACTCCTGCTCTGTTTTGGTTTCCGTTGACATCATATATCTTTTTCCATCATATATATAATATAATAATATATATTACATATAAATATATAATATAATATATATTACATATAAATATATAATATAATAATATATATTACATATAAATATATAATAATATATGTTACATATAAATATATAATATAATAATATATATTACATATAAACATATAATATAATAATATATATTACATATAAACATGTAATATAATAATATATATTACATATAAACATGTAATATAATAATATATATTACATATAAACATGTAGTATAATAATATATATTACATATGAATACATAATATAATAATATATATTACATATGAATACATAATATAATAATATATATTACATATGAATACATAATATAATAATATATATTACATATGAATACATAATATAATAATATATATTACATATGAATACATAATATAATAATATATATTACATATGAATACATAATATAATAATATATATTACATATGAATACATAATATAATAATATATATTACATATGAATACATAATATAATAATATATATTACACATGAATACATAATATAATGATATATATTACACATGAATACATAATATAATGATATATATTACACATGAATACATAATATAATGATATATATTACACATAAACATATAATATAATAATATATATTACACATAAACATATAATATAAGAATATATATTACACATAAACATATAATATAATAATATATATTACATATAAACATATAATATAATAATACATATTACATATAAACATATAATATAATAATATATATTACATATAAATATATAATATAATAATATATATTACATATAAACATATAATATAATAATATATATTACATATAAACATATAATATAATAATATATATTACATATAAACATATAATACTATATATTACATATAAACATATAATATAATACTATATATTACATATAAACATATAATATAATACATATTACATATAAATATATAATATAATAATATATATTACATATAAACTTATAATATAATAATATATATTACATATAAACATATAATATATATTATATATATAGTTATTTTTTGTTTGTTTTCACAGTCAGTATTAAGTGGTCATCAGTTAAAAGCAATGGGTTAAAGATATTATTTTCATGATTTATTGTAACCTTGAATCAAAAATATACAACAGAATTAAAATGGAAATAAAAAGTAAGATATTAACATATATTTTTATATATATATAATGTCTTTATAGGTGAATTTTGGGTTTTTGTAGGAAACAGATAATTGGGTCTTGTTTTGTAATCCATTCAGCCATTCTATGCCTTTAAATTGGTGAGTTTAGTCAATTTACATTCAATGTTATTATTGATAAGTAGGGAATTACCCCTGTCACTATGATATTTGTTTTCTGGTTGTCTGGTGATCTTCTATTTTTTTTTTTTTTACTTTTTTTGTCTTCATTTTAGTAAAGGTAATTTTCCTTGTTGGTATGTCCTAATATCTTGCTTTTTATTTCCATTTTAATTCTCTTGGATATTTTTGATTCAAGGCTACAATAAGTCATGCAAATAATGTCTTGTAACCCATTATTTTTTAACTGATTACAGCTTAATACTGACTGCATAAACAAACAAACAAGCAAACAAAAACTAATAAAAACTCTACTCTTTAACTTCATCTGTACACTTCTTCACTTTTTGTTATTTTTATTTATATGTTATTGTATTTTTTATATCTTGAAAGGTTGTTGGAATTATTTTTATTGGATTCTTTTTAAAACTTTCTATTAAAATTATGAGTGGTTTACAGACCACAATTAAAGTCTAATATCATTCTTTGTCTTTCTGTGTATTTACTCCTAGCAGTAAATTCTGTAGGCTTTATTAATTTTTTTATGTCTCATTAAAGTCTTTTTTATTCAGACTGAAGAACTCCCTTTAATATTTTGTGTAGGAAAGACCTGGTATTGATAAAATCTCATAGATATTGTTTTTCTTGAAAAGTCTTTTTTATTCTTTATTTGTGAGGGATGTTTTCACTGGATATATTTTTCTAGGATTTAAGGCGTATTTTTTAATCAGCACTTTAAATATGACACGCCACTTTCTTTGGCTTGTAAGATTTACACTGAAAAATCTGATGCCTGATGTGTTGGAATTTGATTGGATTTTATTTCTTACCGCTTTTAGGATACCTTCTTTCTTCCTGAATTTTGGAAATTTGATTATTAAATGTCTTGAGGCAGTCTTATTTGGTTTTAATCTACTTAGTGTTTCATTACCTTATTTTACTCAAATATTGCTATATTTCTCTACTTTTTGGAAGTTCTCTGTTATCATCTTTTTGAATAAACTTTCTATTTCTAGATCTCTTGTTATCTCCTCTTTAAAGCCAATAGTTATTTTTATTAAGGTATACATTTATGCAATTTCCACACATTAAGAGGCCGAGGTGGTTAGATCAATTGAGCCCAGGAGTTCAAGACAACCCTGGGCAGGCAAGTTGGTGAAACCCTATCTCTACACCCCCAAAATACAAAACTTAACCAGGCTTGGTGACATGCAACTGCATTTCTAGCTAATCAGAAGGCTGAGGAGGTAGGGTCACTTGAACCCTGGAGGTGGGGGTTGCAGTGAACCGGGATCACAACAGCGCACTCCAGCTTGGGTGACAGAGTAAGAACTTGTCTCAAAAAATATCAGATATTATTTTAGATACAATAGGTCCATGTGCAAAATAGTTACATGGTTATATTGGACCTAGGTATTGAGAACAGCACCCAAAATGTAGTTTGTCAATTTATTTCCTACTTCCTGTCTACCCCTTCTAGTAGTCCACTATTGATATTTTTTCCAAGTTTATGTCTATGTGTGTTCAATGTTGAGCTCCCAATTATAAGTGAGAATATGTAATATTTAATTTTTTTTCTGCTTTTAGTTTGCTTAAGACTATGGTCCCCAGCTCCATCCATGTTACTTCAAAGGACATAATTCAATTTCTTTATGACTGTGTAGTTTTCTGTGATGTATACATAACAGTTTCTTTATATAATCCACCATCGATGGGCCCCTAAGTTGACTGCATGATTTTTGTATTATTTTTACTTTTAACTTCTCTATGTATTTTTAAGTAGCCTATCTTCAAGCTAACAAATTGTTGCTTCTGATTGATCAATTCTGGTGTTAAAAGACTGATGCATTGTTTAGGATGTCAATTGTATTTTTCAACTCCAGAATTTCTGCTTGATTCTTCTTAATTGTTTCAATTTTTGTCAAATTTATCTATAGAATTCTAAATTATTTCTCTGTTATTTTAAATGCCATTCAGTTATTTCAAAACAGATATTTTGAATTCTGTCTAAAATATCTTCTATCTCTGTCTCTCCATGATTATTCAATGTTGCCTTATTTGGTTAGTTTGGTGAGGTCATGTTTTCCTGAATAGTCTTCGTACTTGCAGATGTTTGTTGGTGTCTGAGAGTTAGATATTTATTGTATTCCTCTAAGTCTGGGCTTGTTTGTACCCGTTTTTGGGGGGGACGGAGAGGCTTACTAGTTACGTGAAGGGACTTGGGTGTTGTGATCTACATTTTTGGTAACTGCAGCCATATCTGCATTAGGGAGCATCCCAAGCTCAGTAACACTGTGGCTCCTGCAGACTTTTAGAGGTACCACCTTGTTGGTCTTAGATAAGATTTGGAATAATTATCTGGATTAACAGACACTTTTTAAATCTTTTCTTACTTTCTTTCCCACAAGAATGGAGTCTCTCTATATTTCCTGTGCTACCTAGTGCTGTGACAGTGGTGACACAAGCACCCTTATGTCCACAACCACTGAGACTGCACTGGTCAGACCTGAAGCCAGTGCAGCATTGGGTCTGACTCAATGCCCATAGTAACTATTGAGTGACTATGGCTTATGTTTTCTCCAGACCTTAAGGCTCTACAATCATCAGGTGCTAAAGTCAGTCAAGCTTGTGTCCTTTCCTTAAGAGTAGTTAGTTCTTTCTGGCCCCAGGAGGGTCCAGAGATGCTATCTGGGAGTCAAGGCCTCAAGTGGGGGATTTCAAGAATCTACCTGGTGCTCTGTTCTACTGTGGCTGAGCCACAAGACAAAGTCCTTTACACAAGCACAAAAGCCTCTCCCTGTGGCCACCACCACCCCAGACCCACAGTGAATACTGCTTATCTACCGTCAATGTTTATTCAAGGCCCAAGTGTTCTTTAGTTACCTTGTGGTGAATACTGCCAGGCCTGGAACTCTCTTTTCAGGGAAGTGGGCTCACCTCTGGGTTGGTAAAGACTTAGAAATGCTGACCAAGAGCCAAGGCCTGTAATAAGGGGCTCTAAGAGCCTGCTTGGGAGAACTCAGTAGTGGGGAGAGCACACTACTCTGGCCAAGCTGGTATCTAAACTGGAAGATGAAGTCCTTTTTATTCTTTTGTTTTATTTTTTCAAGCAGGCATCTGTTCACATAGTCACCACAGTTGGGAATGTGCTACATCACACCTGAAGTGAACAAATCTCTGATACATACCCAAGGATCATGGAGATGCATTCCTGGCTACCTCTGCTGTTTATTCAGGGACCAAGGGTTCTTTAGTCAGCAGGTAGTGAATTCTGCCTGGACTGGGTCCTTTCCTTCAAGGAAGCAGGTTTCCTTCCAGAATAAGGTGTGTCTAGAAATGTTTGTCAGGATCTAGGGCCTGGAATGGGGCCTTCAGACTTTGCCTGGTAACCTACTCTACTGTGACTAATATGGTATATAAATTGCAAGATAAAGTCATCTTTAATCTTTTCTCTCCTTTCCTGGAGTGAAAGTAAGGAGTTTCTCTAAGAGCTGCAAGCTTCACTGCCTGGAATTCGAGAGGGGTGGCACAACCACTACCTTGGCCATCCCAGCTGGTGTCTCACTACTTAAAGTGCTCTCCAAATCTACTGGCTCCAAGCCCAGCACAGCACTATGTCCTGCTCATAATTTGCAGTCTTTGTGGGCTAGGCTGCCTTTTAAGGTTTTTTTTAGGACCCCTGATCTCTTTTGCCAGTGGTGGCAAGGCTTGCCAGAACTTGTGTTCTGACTGCTGGGATGGATGACTCCCCTCTGGCTAGAAGTGGTCCAAATAATCCCATCCATCAGTGCTGGTTGAGTTCTCCCCACTGTTGGCTTTCTTCTGTGGCAGGGCAGGACTGAGTTCTAATGTAAAGTCCCACAATCACTGTCTTTTACATGTAACATGGCCACTGTTATGGTTGGAAAGGGGTGGCATTGGCAACTCAAGACTGTCTTTCCTACCCTCTTTAGTGCCCCCTTTAGTGACATAAAGTTAAAACCAGGTAGTACAATTGCTCACCTAATTTTTGGTTCTTATAAGGAGGTTTTTGTGTACATAGTTGCTCAATTTGGTGTTTCTGCAGAGAGGAAGATTGGTGAAGGCTTCTATTCAGCTATTTATCACTGCCTCCCAGATAAAAAAGTAAAAGGTTTAAATTTGCGTCAAATATTACTCTGGCAATTAAAAAAGAGTAATACATTATATGTTAGCTATCATTGCATTCTCCGAACTTCTTAGCAACTATTAACTACCCCTTACCTCTTCAATATCATATGAGTCTTGCCTATTTTAAAAAATTCAAAGATTATACCTGGACTTTTCCCCAATTTTTAAACCAATATTTGTGCTTTGACCCCAGTCTAGTTGCAGACTGTCTCCAAGTTATAGCTCAACTTTATTTTTTTGACATTATGAAGGTTTTATCAATATATAACTTCATAATAAGTGTGGAGTATGCTTATATATGTCAGATACCATGCACAAAATCACTGGACTCTGACAAAGATATTTAATAGCTAGCTATGTAAAACATGTTATGGAAGCAGAAAGCCTTGAAACAAAATGCCTGACTGATTATTACAACTTAAAGGGGTTTTGCTACAGAATTCTATTTGGTTAATCTTTCTAAACAAACTAGTAGAGAAACTAATTTCACACTAGAGCTCCACTAGAATATTATTAACCATTTAGTATTATATTTCTGCTCATAAAGTACTCTGAATTAATGATAAAAGTCAAAAATATTAGAGAGAGTAATAATCAAATGAATAAAGATTTGCAGCCATTATTCTCAATATCCCAATGGCAGCTATAACTCCCAAAATTAAAAACTTTTTTGTTTGGCAATTGGAAGCTTATGCTTATATAAAAGGTGCATTAAATGATTGTTTTCAAGTATGCAAAATATAATAATAACACATTGTGTCACATTTTTCAGGTTCAGTTTTGAAAAATGAAAGAATAATATGCTAAAATACTTATTTCAGAGAGGCAATTTCAGATTCACATGTAGTTTTAAGAAATTATGTAGAAAAGTGACATTAGCAAGATATTAGACTAAAAAACTTCAGGCAAATGTTTTCACATGAAAATACAAAATGAGCAAAGAAGTAAACATAACAGGATACCTAGATACTAAAATAAGTTTACAGGAGTTCTTGAAAACATTCAAAGGTCTATAGCAACCAATAAAACGCCCTATCATAAAAATCAACATTGAAAATTACAGAAAGTGTTCTGAAATTACTCAGATTTACCTCAACTTCTTTTCCAGTGAAGTTCAACAAGGTCTGAAGAAGTCAGCATTTCAGTTCTCAATTATCTTCTTTAAATTAGCAGGAGCAAAATAGATTATATTTGTAATTGTATAACTTTTCAGGGGACTTTATGAGCAATGGGTTTCATGATTAAGAGTTTATGAAGGGAAAAGCAACATAGTTCACGTCTCAGGCTAGCAAATGCTATATAATAGGAAGGCACTACTCGTGAAAGTTGGACAGAGATTATAGACTGGCATTCACCTAAGGGCAAGAGATCTGATGCGTCCAAATTCAACAGAACATCAAATCCCTGACAGGAAGGTGGAGTAAGATATTTTTATAAATTAAAAAAATTAAAAACAGCCAGGTGTATGAAAGAATCAAAACAAGCACACACACAGGCCCAGACAAGATGTGTGCCAAAAAAATGTGTAATAGTCTTAAGCATCCAACCAGGCATTCCAAGATCAAAACATGTTCTACTAATTAGTGAATGTATTTCACAATGCATTGTTACCCTTCAAAGACTGGGAAATGTAGCTGCTTTGTTAAATGTTTAATTTCCAACAAAGCATCATGAGCTATTTAAACAAAATAAAATTGCACACTCAAAGAAAGAAAATAAAGATGTCAAAACTAGCCCTAAAGAATCACAGGCACTAGACATATTGGAAAAAAAAAACTACAACAGCTTTTTTAAGCATTCTTAAAGAATAAAAGTAAAACATAGAATTAGAAATAAAGGAAATCAGGAAAATAATCCATGACTGAAATATAATGATATGGTTTGGCTGTGTTTCCATCTAAATCTCATCTTGAATTGTAGTCCTCATAATCCCCATGTATCGTGGGAGATACCAAGTGGGACTTAATTTAATAATGAGAACAGTTATCCTCCTGTTGCTCTCATGATAATGAGTAAGTTCTCATTAGATCTGATGGTTTTAAAGGGACTTTTTTCCCCTTTGGCTCTGCACTTCTCCTTGATGCCATCATGTGAAAAGGACATGTTTGCTTCCCCTTCTGCCATAATTATAAGTTTCCTGAGACTTCCCCAGCCATGCTGAACTGTTAGCCAATTAAACCTCTTTATTTTATAAATCACCCAGTCTCTAGTATGTCTTTATTAGCAGCATGAGAATGGACTAATACCAAGATATTAGCAGAAGGACAGAAATAATCAAAAGAACCAAAACATTTTGAAGGTGGGAAATACAAAAAAATAAAACATTGATAAAGTTATTTACCAGCAGGAGAAATAATAGGAAATGTTGAAGAGAGTGCATTTGAAGATAATGAGTCTAAAGAGAAAAAAAAAAGTTAATAGAGCTTAAGAGGTTTATGGGGCACCATTATTGAGATCTGCTTACATATTATTAGGGTTCCAAAATAGAAGAAAGAGAGAAAGGCACAGAGAGATTATTGAAAACAAATAATGGGGAAAACTTTCCAAACTTAAGAAAACCATATGAAGCAAAAATGCAAGAAGGCAAAAAGCCTCAAATAGAATAATCCCAAAGATACCAAGAAAAAGGCACATTATACTCAAACTGCTGAAAGAAAAAGACAATATCTAAAAAACATCAAGAGAATAGCATCTCATTATGTACAAAGAATACTAAGATTTTTAGAAAATATATCAGCAAAAACCTTGAAAGAAAAAAGACAATGGGATAAAATATTTAAAGAGCTGAGTGACAAGAAAAGTCAACCAGTATAATATAGCCACAGAACTGTCTTTCAAAAGTGATAGAGGGACAAAAACAAGGTGGTGGAATAGGAGATCCCAGGCTTCCCTCATAATAGAAAAATCAACTAGCAACTATTTACAGAGAAGAACACCTTGGGGAAAAAAATCTCCCAAAGGAGAAAATAAGTCTGAGTCACCTTCATGTTTTATAAATCTGAATAAAAATCTGCATTAAAAAGATAATAAAAGGTCTTGTTTTGACCACATCACCTCTCTCCCCACATGCAATTTATCACAGGGCTACACAGAGATAATTCTCTAAAACCCATAATATCTGTATTTGGAAAACAGAGCCAAGAAGGTGCACATTCAGTTTCTTTAGAATTGTGAGACAATTTCCGGGGGATCCTCTATATTCTCAATTCAACAGAATAAGAAGCAGCAGAAAATGAAATGGTTAGATCACCAGGGGTCAAGTAGAAACAAAGCAAGGAGGCTTAGCCCAAATAAACCAGTGCACAGATTAGAGTGAAATCTCAATGTAATAAATAGCAGTGGTGCTTAACCGGAGGTGCAAACCAGCTAACAGCATAGCTCACCTGAAAAGAAATGGTCTCCTCTAGAAAAGGTGCAAAGTGCTACCTGACTTTGACTCCCTAGAAAGATAGCATTGAGGCCCAGCAACAGAACCAACACTACATCCCTGACCAGGGAAGAATATTTTTATAATAAATTTTCAGAACAAGCAGGTACTAGTTCTGCCACATGCATGAGTTTAACAGCACTCCCTGTAGCCTCAAACCCCAACCCTAGGTCCCTCTAAGAGAAAAAGGCAAATCTCAACTATACATTTTCTAGTCAGCATAACAGTTTATCTTCCCTGGTTCACATAAACTTGAGGCCCTGCCTACAACTCTGTCAAACTTCTGAAATCAAATACCGGTATCTTCTGATGAGAGAACACAGCCTGTGGCCTGCCATATCAAAGGCGATTCCGGTGCTCATACAATGGCTGAGCCTAATAACAGAGCTCATCAGTGGTCTCACTAAATAGCATAGCCTAGCCAGCTGCACAACCCAAATTCAGAGCAAATGCAGCAGCTCAACAATCTAAGGACCCAGAAAGCAAACTCTTTCTGCCCAGGGTTATTACCAGCTGGCCCATTCAGAATCATAGGCTTGACTGACTAGTGAAGGTTTATCCCTGACAAAGAACTCTTAAAAAACCCAAAAATCTCCATCCATGTGTGAAAACTAAGGTGAGAAAACAGTGATTACTAAGACTCAGTAAATTATGACATCTCCATAACAAACTAACAAAGCTCTAACAATGGACCTTAAAGATAGGGACATCCAAAAAATGACAGAAAAGGAATTAAAAATAATCCATTTATAAAAGTTCAGTAAAGTTCAGAAATATTTGGATAAAAGATAACGTTTGGAAAATGATACATGAAAACACAAGTATTTAGGAAAGAAAGAGAAACAATTTAAATTGCAAATAGAAATCCTAGAGATTAAGAGTACAATAACCGAACTTAAAATGTGATCAAAAGCTGCAAGAACTGGCTCAATTCATCTGAAGAAAGGATCAGTGCACTTGAAGATACACCATTTAAAATTATCTACTGAGAGGAACACATTTTTTTTAAATGAACAAAGCTTACAGAAATTGTGGGACACCATCAAGAGACCTTACCTACATCTAACAGGCATTTTAGAAGAAGAAAAAGAAAAGGGGCCAGAAAGCATATTTTTTAAAAGTAATTTAAAAAGTATTTTTAATATGAGAAAAGAAGCCAACATCCAACAGGAAGCACAAAGATCTCCAATTAAATTCAACCCAAAGAGTTTACCAATACATAATACAATCATCAAGCTATCAAAAGCAAAGATATTGCGACAGCATCTTATATCTTGGTAAGAACTATATCAGATACCAAGGCTTTTTAATATGACTATGAGTGAACTTAGCATAAACCCTGAATTCCGAGAGAAAGATGATATGTTGAAAGTGGGGAAGAGAAAAAAAGAAACTTCCAGCCAACTATACACAGCAAAGTCTTCTTTCAGAAATGAGAGAGAAATAAAACTTTCCCATAGATATAAATGTTAATCGAGTTTATCACCACTGTGCCTGCCATACAGAAATTGCTAAAAGAGTTTTTAAAACTGAAATACAATCCTGTTAGTGAAAAAAAATGAAACTTATGAAACACAAAACCTAGTGCCACACGTAGTATACAGCAATATTCAGAATATTCTAAGACTGTAATGGTGGTGAATAAAGTAATTTTATTTCCAGTATGAGAGTTAAAAGACAAAGTTATTAATAACAACTACAGCTAAAATAATTGTCAAGGAAAACGTATCACAAAATGATGTAAATTCAGACATCAAAAACATAAAATGTGGGAGAAAAAGTGTAGGGTTGCATTGTACTTAATCAAAGGTAAACACTTATCAGCTTGAAACACTTGAAACAGACTATTACAAGTGTAAGATATTCTATGTAGTCCTAATGGTAATCAAACAGCAAAAATTTATGGAAGGCACACACACAATATTAAATACTTCAAAAACTACCACTATAGATAACCACCTATCTAAAGGCATCTCTTCCTTTAATTTGGTTTTTGAAAGCACAAACAAAACCGACAAACCTTTAGATATACTAATCAAGCAAAAAGACTCATATAAATAAATAACAAAATTAAAAGGTGACATTACAACTGACTCCACAGTAACAAAAACAAACAAAAGAGAAGATTATGAGCGACTATATGCCAAATATTGAGCAACCTAGAAAGAAAATGGATAAATACCTGGACACATAAAACCTATTGATATGGTTTGGCTTTCTATCCTCACTCAAATCGCACCTTGAATTGTGATAACCCCACATGGCAAGGGCAGGACCAGGTGGAAGTAATTGGATCATGGGGAGAGTTTTCCCCCTGCTGTTCTCATAATAATGGGTGAGTCTCACAAGATCCGATGGTTTTAAAAGTGCCTGGTATTTCCCCTCCTGTCACTCATTCTCTCTCCTGCCCTGTGAAGAGGTGTGTTCTGCCATGATTGTAAGTTTCCTGAGGACTCCAGAGCCCTGTGGAACTGTGAATCAAATAAACCTCTTCTTTTTATAAATTACCCAGTCTGAGCTGGGTGCAGTGGCTCACCCCTGTAATCCCAGTACTTTGGGAGGCCAAGGTGGGCAGATCACTTGAGCTCAGGAGTTTGAGACCAGCCTGGGCAACATGGAGAGACCCAATCTCCACAAAAATACAAAAATTAGCCAGGCATGGTAGTGTGCACCTATAATCCAAGCTATTCTGAAGGTTGAGGCAGGAGAATAGCTTGAACCTGAGAGGTGGGGGTTGCAGTGAGCCGAGATTGTGCCACTGCACTCCAGCCTGGGCGACAAAGCAAGTCTCTCTCTCTCAAAAGAAAATTATCCAGTTTTGGGTATCTTTTTCATAGCAGCATGAGAACAGACTAATATACCTATTCAGACTAAATAATGAAGAAATAAAATCTGAACAACCCAATAATTATGGAAGAGAATGAATTATTATACAACATCTTTCACCAACTAAAAGCTTTCTGCTTTTAGTTTCTGTTTTCAAAAGAAATTGAAGAGGAGAAAATACTTTTTAAAATTATTTTTATGAGACAAGGATTACCCTCATACCAAAGCCAGACAAGGACATTACAAAAAGACAAAATTATAGGTCAGTACCATTGATTAGCATAGATGCAAACATACCCAAGAAAATACTAGCAAACTGAATTCTACAACGTATTAAAAGAATCATATAACAAGGTCCTGTGGAATTTATCTCCATGATGCAAGGATGATTAACATTAGCAAATACATATACAAAATATGTCATATTAACAGAATAAAGAAGTAAATTTTTATGGCCATCTCATTAGATGCAAAAAAGCATTTTACAACATTGAGCATTCTTTTATAATAAAAACATTAAAAAATTAGAGAAGAAATGTATTTCAACAAACTAAAGGTGATATATAATAAGCCCATAGCTAGCATTATATTTAATAGTGAAAATTAAAACCCTTTGCTATATGATTCATAATGAGACAAAGATGCTCACTCTTTCCACTTCTATTAAACATCATTTTGTAAGTACTTGCCACAACAATAAAGCAAAAGAAAGAAATAAAGTGCATTTAAATAGTAAAGGTAGTAGTGAAACTGTCACTGTTTGCTGACAACATAAATATATAAATATCCTGAATAATCCACCAAAAAAGTTTAAATTAATAAATTTTGTACAGTTGCAAGATACAATATCAGCATGCAAAAATCAAAGGCATGTTTCTACACTAACAACAAACTTTCCAAAAAAAAAAATCAAGGGAAAATGTTATTTACAATAGCTACAATAAATGAAAGAATATACTTAAGAATAACTTTAACCAAGGAGTAGAAAGACTGGCATGACAAAAATTATGAAACATTAATAAAACAATTTGAAGAAGACAAATAAATTTACAAATCTTTGTTCAAAAATTGGAAGGCTTAATATTGTTATAATTTCCATACTGCCAAAAGCAATTTCCAATGTCAGTTTTAAAGATACAGAAAAAATAATTCTAAAAACATGGGTAACTACAAAAGAAAAGCCAAATAACCAACGCAATAATGAGCAAAAAGAGCAAAGCTGATGGCATCATGCTACCTGATTTTAAATTATACTACAAAGCAATGGTAATTAAAACAGCATAATACTCACATTAAAAAAAACAGGAACATTTAAAAATTGAACAGAATAAAGAACACAGATATTAACCCACACATGTAACATCAATTTATTTTTTATAAAAGATTTCAAGAATATCTTGTGGAAAAAGTACAGTTTGTTCAATAAATGATGATGTGAAAACTGAATTTTCATGCAAAATAATAAAATTGATCCTTTATCTCACACCACATACAAAAAATAACTCAAAATAGATTAAAAACTTAAACAAAAATCCTGAATTCATAAAAGTACTAGAAGAAAATATATGGACCAAAGTACACAACACTGCTCTGGGCATTAAAAAAAAAAAAAAAAGACCTCCAAAGCAGAGGGAAAAAAACTAAAGTGGACAAAGGGGATTACATCAAAATAAAAAGCTTCTTTACAAAAAAATAAATACTCAACAAAGTAAAGAATCAGCCTACAGGCTTAGGTAATATATTTGTAAACTAAACATTTGATAAGTGATTAATATTTAAAATTTACAAAAACTCAAGCAACTCTGTAGAAAGAAAATAAACACTCTGATAAGACATGGGCAAAGGACCTGAACAGACATTTCTCAAAAGAAGACATATGAGCAGCTAACAGATACATTAAAACTGCTAAATACTATTAATCATTAGGAAGATACAAATTAAAAATCACAATAGATAATCAATTCACATCTGTTAGAATGACTATTGTCTTATAAAATTAACAAGTGTTGGTGAGGATGTGAAGAGTAGAGAAACTTTGTAAACATTGTGTGTGTGTGTGTGTGTGTGTGTGTGTGTGTGTGTGTGTGTGTGAATGTAAATTAATAATCATTTTTGCAAACAGTATTGAAGTTACAAAAAAAACCTAAAAATTGAGTTATCATATCATCTAGCTATCCCACTTCTGGATATTTACCCAGAAGATTTGAAATCAGAATGTGAGAGAGATGGGCACTTTCCCATTTTTGTTGCAGCACTATTTATGAAATTAACCTAAGCATTCATCAAGAGATAATTACATAAAGAATATGTGGTATATATACACAATAAAATAGTATTCAGCCTTGAAGAAAATAATACTTTCTATAATTTTATCCAAAGTGGATTAAATTGGAGAATATTATGTTAAGGGAAATAAGCCAAACACAGAAAGACAAATACTCCATGTACTCACATATATGTATAATTTTAAACAATTGAATAAATAAAAGCAGAGCATAGAAGAATAGTTACCAGAGGCTTGTAGGTTTGAGCGAGGTGATAATCAAAGGGTGGAAAGCCTCAATTAGATAGAAGTATGTTTAATGTTTTCAACATGGTGAAAATAGCTAAGAATTTTATACTGTACATTTTAATACAACCGAAAGTAAATCTCAAATGTTTTCATCACAAAAATGTCAAATATTTGAGGTAATGAATAGTCTAGTTCACTTGATTTAATTATTTGACATTGTATTAAGAAATATAAAATTGGCCGGGCTTGGTGGCTCACGCCTGTAATCTCAGCACTTTGGGAGGCCGAGTCGGGCGGATCACGAGGTCAGGAGATAAAGATCATCCTGTCTAACGTGGTGAAACCCTGTCTCTACTAAAAATACAAAAAATTTAACCAGGCTTGGTGGCGGGCACCTGTAGTCCCAGCTACCCCGGAGGCTGAGGCAGGAGAATGGGGTGAACCCGGGAGGTGCAGCTTGCAGTGAGCTGAGATCACGCCACTGCACTCCAGCCTGGGTGACAAAGCTAGACTCTGTCTCAAAAAAAAAAAAGAATTATAAAATCAAGGAGCAGGCGGGCAGCCAAGATGGCCGAATAGAAACAGCTCTTCTCTGTGGCTTCTGCCGAGAAGGATGAAAACAGCAAGTGAATCCTGCATCTTCAATTGAGGTACCAGTGTTCTCTCATTTGAACTAAGTGGTTGGTGCAACCTACAGAGAGCAAGGGAAAGCTTGGTGAAGGGAGGGCCCACCCGGGAGCTGCATTAGGCAAAGATAACTCCCTCTCCCAGCCAAGGGAGGCAGTGAGGAATTGTGGTACCCCTATCTGAAAATCATGCTTTTCCCATGGATCTTTGCAACCCAAGGATCAGGAGGTCCCCTGTGAACCCAAGCCACCAGGGCCTTGGGTACCAAGTACAGAGCTATGGAAACTCGCGGCAGCTGCTCAGGTGAGCATCCGGTCGAACAGGCACTGAAACACAGGAGAATTCACATGCTCCAGCTCTGGAAACTCCCATGAGGTGGAAGATCCATCCACTCCCATGGGAAGGGGGCTGAAACCAGAGTCAAGTGGCCTTATTCCCAAAGAATTTCACAAGCTAAAACCCACTGGCTTGAAATCGTTGCTGGCCAGCACAGCAGGCTGGAGACTGCCTAAGAGATGAACTTCCCAGGATGGAGGGGCGGCCACCATCACTGCAGCTCCAGTCGGCCATTTTCCTCTGCTGCCAGTGTCAGTTAGACTGGGTGGTAAGGACCAGAAGTGATTCCCCACAGTGCAGCACAGCGACTGGGTAAAATCGTGGCCAGACTGCTTTTTTTAAGCGAGACCCCAGTACACTCCTCCTCACTGGATGGGGCCTCCCTGTGGGAATTTCAGCATCCCCAGCCAGGTGTTTTTGGACAGAACTCTGATATCCCTGAGAGGGGCCCCTAGGAGGAGGGTTAGCAGCAGTATCATCTGTCAGTAGTCTTAGTTTTTTCTGCCTGCTGGCTCTGGAGTGTCAGGACAGCCTTGTTGAGGGGGGATTCCCCCTAGTGCATCACACCTGCTCTGCCAATGGGCAGCCAGACAGCTTATTTAAGCAGGTCCCTGATCCCTCTCCACCTGACTGGGTGAGACCTTACAACAGGAGTCTCCAGACACCTCATGCAGGAGTGTTTCTGCTGGCATCAGGTTGGTGCCCTTCTAGGACAGAGTTCCTAGAGGAAAAAGCAGGCTGTCATTTTTGCTGGTCTGCAGCCTCCTCTGGTGATACCTCCAGGGGTGGGAGGGACACAGGCAAATAGGGTCTGTAGTGGACCCCCAGCAATCTGCAGCAGCCTTATGGAAAAGGGGCCTGACTGTTAAGATAAAAACAAAGGGAAAACAACAACATCAATGAAAAAGACCCCACAAAACCCCATTTAAAGGTCAGCAGCCTCAAAGATCAAGTGTAGATAAACCTATGAAGATGAGAAAAAATCAACACAAAAGTGCTGAAAACTCAAAGAGCCAGAGTGCCTCTTCTTCTCCAAATGATAGCAACATGTCTCCAGCAAGGGCATAGAACTGAGCTGAGGATGAGACGGATGAATTGATTTCTTAAGTAGGGTTCAGAAGGTGGATAATAACAAACTTCACTGAGCTAAAGCATTATTTTCTAATTCATTGTAAAGAAGCTAAGAACCATGATAAAACATTACAGGAGGTGTTAACCAGAATAACCAGTTTAGAGAAGAACAAAAATGAACTGATGTAGCTGAAAAGCACTTTACAATGCAAACACAAGTATCAGTAGCTGAATAGTCCAAGTGGAAGAAAGGATATCAGAACTTGCAAAGCAGGCCTGGTGATGATAAATTTCTTAAACATTTTTTTATCTGAAAAAGATTTTATTTCTCCTTTGCTTACGAAGCTTAGTTTGGCCAGATATGAAATTCTAGGTTAGAAATTCTTTAAGAATATTGAATATTGGCCTCCCATTTCTTCTGGCTTGTAGGGTTTCTGCTGAGAAGTCTGCTGTTAGTCTGATGGGCTTCCCTTTATAGGTGACTTGGCCTTTCTCTCTGGCTTCCCTTAACATTTTTTCCTTTATTACAATTTTGGAGAATCTGATGATTATGTGTCTTGGGGTTAATCTTTGCATGGAATATCTTACTGGAGTTGTCTGGAGTTCCTGAATTTTAATGTTGGCCTGTTTTGTGAGGTTGGGGAATGATACGGTTTGACTGTGGCCCCACCCAAATCTCAACTTGAATTGTATCTCCCAGAATTCTCACCTGTTGTGGCAGAGACCCGGGGGGGTGGTAATTGAATCATGGGGCTGGTCTTTCCTGTGCTATTCTAGTGATAGTTAATAAGTCTCACGAGATCTGATGGGTTTATCAGGGGTTTCTACTTTTGCTTCTTCCTCATTTTTCTCTTGCTGTCACAATGTAAGAAGTGTCCTTTGCCTCCCGCCATGATTTGGATGTCTCCCCAGCTATGTGGAACTGTAAGTCTAATTAAACCTCTTTTGTTTTCAGTTTTGGGGATTTCTTTATCAGAAGCATGAAAAAGAACTAATACAGTGATTTGGTACCAGTAGAGTGGGGTTACCAGCTACTACAAAACACAATGAAGTACACAGATCAGTGACACTATGAAGCAACTACATTAATAAGTCTGTAAAATAACCAACTAGTATCATGATGACAGGATCAAACTCACATATAACTATATTAACCTTAAATGTAACTGGGCTAAATGCCCCAATTAAAAGATACAGAATGGAAAGCTGGATAAAGATTCAAGATCAACCAGTGTGCTTTATTAAAGACACCCATCTCACATGGAAAGACACACATAGACTCAAAACAAAAGAATGGAGGAAAATGAAGAAAAATGAAAAACAGAAAAAAGCAGGGGTTGCAATTCTAGTTTCTGACAAAACAGACTTTAAACCAAAAGAATGGCATTACATAATGGTAAAGGGGTCAATTCAACAAGAAGAGTAACTATCCTTAATATATATGCACCCAATACAGGAGCATCCAGATTCATAAAACAAGTTCTTAGAGACCTACAAGGAGACTTAGATGTCCACACAATAATAGTGAGAGATTTCAATACCACACTGTCAGTATTATATAATTGAGACAGAAAATTAACACAGACAATTCAGGACTTGAACTCAACTCTGTATCAAGTGGGCCTGATAGATATCTACAGAATGCTTTACTCCCAAAATCATAAAATCTCTTTGTACTTCATAAATATATACAACTGCAATTTGTCAATATATAATAAAAAATTTAAAAGAAGGATCAATTAAGACATTCCTAGATAAAAGCTGAGTGAGCTAATTGCCATTAGACATGCCCTATGAGAAATGCTAAAACAATTCCTTCAAGTTAAAATCCAAAAATACTAAAGAGTAACCTAAAGTCATCAAAAATATAAAATTATCTGGTGTCAGCAATTACAAAAAGAAATATAGAAATATTTATAATTGTAATTTTGAGTTGTAACTCTACTGTTTATTTATTTATAACATAGAACAGGAGTCCTACACATTGAAATGAAAGAACCTCATAGAGAAACTCATAGCCTATGGAAATATAAAGATATCTGGTAAAGGTAATACATGAACAAATGTAAAACTACTAGTTTAGTAATTTGGGTTTCTCCCTTTACTTCTCTCATATATAGTACTTAAAAGACAAATTTATAAAATAATTATAAATCTAGTTTAATGAGCATACAATGTATAAAAAATGTACTTTGTTATATTGAAAACATAGAGTGGGAGGGTGGAACTGTAAAAAACTAAAGATTCTGTAGGTGGTTGAAGTTATGTTGGTACCAATTTAAAGTAGTTACAATTTTAGGATATTGTATACAGTATCCATGGTAACCACAAAGAAATTACCTATAGAATATATGCAAAATAAAATAAGGTCATTTAAATGTTTCAATAAAATATCAACCAAAAAAAAGAAAGACTTTGATGGAGTAAATAAGGTACAATAAACACAATAAACTGTATGGAAAATTAATAACAAAATGGCAAAATTAGATTCTTTATATTACTAGTTACTTTCAATGTAAATAGATTAAACCACAATTAAAAACATGGATTGGTAGAATAAATTTTAAAAATTATTCAACTGTATTCTGTTTACAAAAATAATTCTGACAAAAACTCTATCATTTACCAAGCTATATTCAGGCTCATCTTGTTTTTGTTGTTGTTGTTGTTGTCTTTGACTAGTTTTCATTCATATTCTGCTTTTAGTAAGAATCCTAAGTCTATTTAGCAAGAATCCCCCCATCCTTAAAATATGTTAAAGTTGCTCATCCCCACCCTTGATATCTAAGCCCTAGGCCTGCCTTTAGCAAGAATGCTGTTACATTTAGCAGTAATCCTTTTACCATTCATATCTAATTAAGTTGCTCTAAGGAAATTTCCATCCACCTTTCTCTGTAATCATTGGCTACAAATCCCTAGTTGTCTTTGCTTTATTCAGAGTTGAGTTCAATCTATCTTCCCTATTTCAATAATCTTGAATTAAGTTTTTCTTCCCATTATTGACAAGCATCCAGTGAATACTTTTTACATTTCTGGTGTCATGGCATAAACTGGTTAATATTAATTACTGGGCCCCAGAATTTCTTACTTCGTATCTTAGCTGTATGCTTTTGAAACCTTTTCTTTTATTTTTTACTGGTTCATTGGGAATGCATTGGTAAGTCTGACTTATCATCTAACACCCTAAATTTTACATTGAAGCACAGTAAAGGCAGATTTTGATTCTTACGATTTTGGGTATATTCTTGAGAGGCTTGGTTTCAGACCCAGACTTGTTTTTTTATTTGAAAAATACCACTGGTTTAGAACATTAAAAAAGTCTCATTATCCTTGGGATGAACTTTCTTCTTTAGTGTTTAGCATATTTTTTTCTGTGTAGAGATCTTGTTTATATATTGTTTTTGTTTCAAATACTTTGGTGCCTCCCCTTCCCACAGAAAATTTTTCCCTTTTCTGATTAACCTTCTCTTAGAATTTCTGCTAACCATATGTTCTACCACCACAGAACTAATATTATATACATTCTTCTTGGCATAATTTAGCTATGAATAACTTGGTAATATACTGGCTTCCTTGGGAAACAAAACTTTCCCAAAGTGACCCAATTAATATCTTTCCATTCACTTCCCCTCTGCTTCTACTTTCTTCATTTACCATCTGCAGGTTTTCCTTCTGCTTCCTACAGTCCTTTAATGTTTCCCTTCCAACTGCTACCTCCCACATTCCTTATTTTATTCCTGTCAGCATTTTTTTTTCCATTCCAGCTTCTCAATTTGAGCTATTCACTTTAACTTTATGCCCCTGCCTATATCAGGGGCTGACAAGAAACTCACAGAACAAAAAATCAACAAATTGAGTCTTGAAAGGCTGATTGGAAATAATGGGCTACATATTTTATACATTTATCTATGCTTTGAAGACATCCATACAGCTGCTTGGTGCTTCATCAATCATTCACCTACAATTTATTTCACAACTTCTACAACATTTTATATCAGGACAAAAAAAATTTAAAAATTCCCTCACAAATATTGACAGAAATATATAGTTCTTATATTAATCAGGTAATCTCAATTGGTCCAATCTTTTAAAAATAAAATTTGGAAAAACATATCAAGTGAGAAGAAATGAGAGGCAACTATTTTATATAAACCAATGATATTTATATCCTCGTTTATGCCTAAATATGACTAAAATTTTAGAATAAAAGTTATAAGATCTCTATTGGCACATTTCTCTATAAATATGTATGGATGTGTGTACTTGAATTTTTGTGTGTGTGTATATATGTATGTTATGTACATGTGATATTTTATTACCTCAGGATATTATAAGTTAATTAATTTATAAAATTATTTCAAGGAAATCTATGTAATTATAAGGGCTTATATAAATTAAATATTCCAAAATCTCTCTGAAATAAACAAATTTATTTTCAATTTTTTTAATTTGAGTAAATATTTGGCAAACAAGAAGTGTTTAATTTTTTTCTTAAAAAAAACAGATATATTTTTTAGGTATTTTTATTAAGTATGATATTAGTTTGGTGCAAAAGTTATCACAGTTTTCACCATTACTTGTAGGGGCAAAAAATGTGATAACTTTCATGCCAACATAATAGATGCATATATTTTTATTTTACTTAATTATATTTGTCAAAAAAGCTAGTATTTTTGTCTAAAAGTTGTTTAAGATTATTGAAATTATAAAATTTATTTTAATGAAGTTAGTGTATTATTCTGACAAACTTTATTTCAGGAAAAATTATGTGCCATAACATGGCTACTTAAGGGTATTTTCCAAAATCTTTTTAATAAAATGCTACATAAGGCCTATGCTGAACTAAATAATAGATGTTCATTATATATGTAATCAGTTTTAAGTAAGATAAACTACTAAAATATTTATTACTGATTCAGAATGTTTCATTATCATTTTGGCCAGCTGGAGCCAACCAGTTGGCAGTGCCCTTGCCCTGCCTCAGCCTGTGGCTTTGGGGCTGTCCCAGCCCTGCCACCTGTCATGTGAGGTGGCTGCCCACCACTGGTGGAGGGCAGAGGGACATAATGTTACAGCCTACTCTGTACCCATGTTCAACAGGCCCGAGCATTTGTCCTACATCCAAGAAGAGAGAGGATATGCTGACAATCGAAGAGGAGAGTGAAGAATAATTTTATTAAGTGATGAAACAGCTCTTGGCAGTGATGGCATGTGAGAGTAGCCAACAGCACAGAGTCAGGGGGTTTTTCCTCCCAGTGTGTCTGAGTCTGCTGCTTTTATTGGCTCAGTATAGGGGATTGCATGCTGATCAGTTTGTGAGTATGCAAATAAATTTAAACAAAGGTGCCACTCAAAGGTGGGCATGACAATGTAAAAACCAATTAGAGAAGGGTAGCTATATGTAAAATAAGTGAAGGGTGGGAATCAATCAGATGAAAGCACACCAAACAGGAAGACAGGTTCTTAATCTGGTCGATGGATTTGACTTGTAGCTTGGCTTTCAGGCTTTGAATTGTCTTTGGCTTGAAGGTGTAGCTTCAATGGGGACCTATCCCTATCTTTTTAGGTATTTCTCTGCCTCTTGCCTCTATCATATCCTCCTCTGAAGAGCTACATCTAACTACTATTAGGATAAGAACAATGACCAATCTTAACTTCTTCCTGCTGACAGGGGGCACTGTTTTGGGAAGAAAAGAGTCAGATTTCTCTCACAGGCCTATCTAAAGGTCCCCAGAAAAAGGGAGACATTGTTCAAGGCTCTGGTTGCATGAGGATTTGGGGCTTGATGACCTGAAGGTGATAAGAGACAAACTGATTTATTAGAAGACATGGATTGAAATGGAACAAGATGGTAAAGACAGCCAAAAAATCCTGAGCCTGCTGACATGACAAGGCAAATAGTGGCTATAGTTATGCCTGCTAAGATTTGGGCATCCAGGGTTTGGCTTTGGTCAGCTCCCTTGGTCTTATTTTCCCAAACTGATACCTCCAGATAATACACACCCCATTTACCCTTATCACTGGGCAGGATTTGCAGGATAATTACCCAGAATTAGAATATCAGTCCAGATTTTTACATTACTCATCCCTATTTTGTCTTGTGACCTGCAGCCAGACATGACTGGGGTGTTTACAGAAATAAGCATGGTTATTCTAAAATGCAGACAAAAACTTATAAACAACTAATGAAACTAGAGTTTAATAACAAGTATATGATAAGGTTTGAATCATAATTTTTCTCTCTCCAGTCCTCATTTTTGTTAAAGACAAATCATAATAGGACTGAATTGCTTGCAAAATAAAATTTAGTCTTATACTTGACCCGGTTATTTGCATGAAGTACAGTAAAAAACAATTATTTTCACATAGGCTTTTTAAATTGGCTCTGATGGCACACTGTTCCATAGGGAATCTCAGATAAGACTTTTTAAAGCCAAGCCCAGCCATGGCTTCTACCTATGAGTTGGGTAAATTCCTCTCTTGTTGAGGTTCCAATATAATTTGAGCTCCTGAGTCTGTTAGAAAGTGGCATTCTTTACTCAACACAGGTTGGAAACCTTCTACAGGGACTGCCTAGACAAGCTATGAGGCCAGTTTTCCAAAGGGATTTATTGGCTCTCCAAATCAAGCTTGATTCCTTAAAGGAAATCATGCTTCCAGTCAAAGCCTCGCTAAAACAACCAGTTTCTCCAATTGCATCCTCTTGCAAAAGAAAGTGGGCTCTTATTGCACTTATGCAAATAATTATATTGTCACAAATTTATAATACTCACAAATAGTTTCCAAATGTTGGAAAAATCAAGTAGAGAGAAACAAATATGCTCCAAATTTTGTTCACAGAGAGTATATTTCACTAAATTTTTAAAAGATGTAAATAGCTCAAAAAACAGTTTTCTTGACTCCAAAAAACAAAGAATCATCAATGTTTTAAACAAAAAGGTCAAAAAGATTATTTCAGACTTTTATTAGTTCAGTCCATGCAGTTAACTTAGGCTCTGCTTGATATTCATGAATGTTTCAGCTCCTTAAGAGTCCTGAAATGTTTTCCTTTATTCCAATGTCATAATCTCCAAAGTTATAAGAAACCTGAATTTAAGGGCACCTGTTAAAGTTATATAGCTGACTATAAACTATCTTTTGAAGAGAATCAAAACATGAAAACAACTGTCTGTGAATGACAAAATGTCCACCATAGTTGTAGTCAAAAATGCGATTGACAAACAAATTTGGTTATTTCTGTGGTTTATAACAACTTAACATAATAACCATAATTATGATTGATAGCATATACTCAGATATTTGAGTTTTAAGAATGCCATATAATTTTGAAACATATATTAATATTATCCAGTAAAATATAACCTGGAAAAGATTAAACATCATTTTTATTTTGCCAATCCCATGCAACTAAACATGCCAAATAATCCTGTTACCTCTCTTTTGGATGCCTTGGGGGTCTCTGTAGCATCCAAAAGTTAGGGGTCAGAGAAGATAATTTTGAACTTGAAATTTGATTTGTGGAAACATATCAAACATGTTAATGGTTTAAAACACTTTGATATTATCAAATAGAATTTTAGGTTACCATAAGTTGTTTAATTGGCCAAAAGGATGACTAACTTTTTTAAAGGCAAAAACCTCCACTCATTAATAAAGAAGACTTAGCCTTCCAAACCATTTTTGTCTTGTGTTTTCCTTCCTTTCTTTGGTAGTTTTTTTGCAAAGCAAGCAAAAATCTCTCATTATCCTTGAATGTTACATGAAAATCTTATTCAAGAGAGAGAAAGCTAAATTTTACCCTTGCATTAGTTTACTATTAATATCAATCTCAATTTTAAAAATCAAATTTTATGGACAAATCTGTCAAATTATAATCAGTTTGACCATCAGATGAGATTCTTATAAACCTTTTATACCCTTTAAAATTTTTTGATAAAGAGAAGCACCTTAAGAAAACTTTCTTATGCTTTTATTTCAATACTCAATTTCTGGAAAAAAACAAAACCATTTTGAATTTAGTTAATGTGTTCACACACAGAATTAATTTTACAATATTACTTTTATAAACCTTCCACAACTTGTTTAAACCTTAGCTTTACCTTATCTAATTTAGAAAAATTCTTTAATCCTCTAACTTAGGCAAACATTTACACTCCCCTGTAGTCTTAAAATCTTTCATTAAAATCACATTTTACTTTTCTTAGACACCTTGCATGTACATCTTATTTCAGTAGTCTCAATTACATGTTATAATGGTAACTCTTAACAATTTTTAATTTTTATGTAAAACCTGGTAAGTTATTTTAGGTTGTACTAGGCACAGATAAGGTCTGACTCTTTTTACCATAGAGATGTGGTCAACTTGATATGTCCCCAGGCCTTACCAAACTGTGAAGCAGGCAAGTCAAACAATTTTTAAAATCTCAAAGAGCGGTATATGACCTTAAAGCATTTAAACACAATATATGACCTGCATAATTTAGACCATATGTTTAGATTTTGATGACATTTTTATTTTATTAATGATTTTAAAGCTTTTTTTAGTTTTTAAAGATTAAAGTAATATGAACTAAAAGAAATTATAGCTTTTATTTTTCTAAAATTATTTGATCTAAGCACCCATTTTTAAGATGATTACTTAGAGCTCTTTTGTATAAACATCACACACATAAAATATATATAACTATACAGACAAAAGAATCACTAGTTGTAAGATTTTTTTTCAATATTCTAATTGGATTATTGGCCTCAGGGTGGAGCCCTTCATGAAACAGGGCTAGGAAAGCATGTGATTTAACAGAGCCTTAGATTTTGATAGGGATCCATCTGCTTTTAATTCCTGGGGTTCCATGAAGAAAACAGAGATTTTTCTAATAACAGGGTCTGTGGCACCTTATCTGTTTTCCCCAAGCAGTCCCAGGCTATAAGAAGTTATCTTAGGACCTCTTGTGTGTGCATTAAGAATGGCAAAGCAAAATAAAGAAAAATAATTTGTTGACTGAGAAGAAGAAAAATAAACTTTTTTCCAGAAAAACAAGATCTAAGGAAAGAGAAAAAGATATAAAGGCCTTTTAAATATATATCTACAGCTCAGATATTCACTTTGAATTCAACTGTGTTTCAATCATAGCACTCCTTAAAAAAATTTTTTCAAATTTCTTTTTGTAGTTGTTGTTTTTTGTTTTTGAGATGGAGACTCACTCTGTCACCAGGCTGGAGGGCAGTGGCACAATCTCAGCTCACTGCAACCTCCACCTCCCAGGTTCAAGCAATTATCCTGCCTCAGCTTCCTGAGCAGCTGGGACTACAGGTGCACTCCACCATGCTCAGCTAATTTTTGTATTTTTAGTAGAGATGGGGTTTCACCATGTTGGACAGGATGGTCTCAATCTCTTGACCTTGTGGTTCATCCACCTCAGTCTCCCAAAGTGCTGGGATTACAGGCATGAGCCACCGTGCCTGGCCTCAAATTTCTTATTACTCAACTTTAGCTATTCCAAACAGTCAATATTTCTGGGTTTTAAACGTTACCAAAAGTAACATCACAGGTGAAACCAACATGCTTTAACAACTAAGGTTATGACTTAACCACGAGTGTATGAGGTATTTTCAAACAGGAGGTAGGCAGTTTTTACAAAATCTAGATTATTTAAAAGTAGCTCAGGAAATGGAAGATTTAAGAAGGGAAGATAGAAGCTGTTCATGGAGAGAAAGAGAATCAGCAAATGGTAAAAGTCACAGAGTTATTTACCAGAAAGTACTCATCCCCTAAGCCAGGATTAAACCTGAGCCACCATTATAAAAAGGCAGAGACCAGAAGAAAGTACTGCCATCTGATTACAAGGTCAAGCTCCCAAAAAAGTAAAACAAGATGGAGACATCACCATCCATTTTTTTTCTCCTCAGAGACATGTGGCAAAGTTTATAACTGACTGGTTTTCTCAGCTGGCTTGAAGAACAGACTTATGTGGTTCTAAGCCTGTGTTTTTTTTCTAAGATATTTCTTCTTATAACAGAATGATACAGAAAAACACAGAAACCACACCAGATTGGCTACAGCTTAAGACTAGCCTTATAAATCTTTTTTCAATTAATTAAAACTGCAGAGAATATAAACAGTGGTTTGTATTATTCATTCAACTGGTTTGCACAGAGAGAGAGAGAGAGAGAGAGAGAGAGACCAGAAGTCTGACTGGTTAAAACTTATACCCTTTAGCTGCCAAGTCAGGCTTCTGGGTTCCCTTCCCCTGAGCTATAGAGCCCTATCTACCCTTAAGTCCTGTGAAGGGGAAATAGACAAAGAGGGTATTTTCATACTGTAAAAGTTGTCCTTCCTCAGGAGATTGCTAAGTTAGAATTGTAATTTCCTTTGTAATTTCTTCCCAGTTTATTTTTTAAGCCAAGCAGTTTAAGGTTTGGGAAAATTAAACTTTTTCTAATTTGGGAAATGCATATGAGGGAAGTGTCCTGTGATACAAAAATAGCTGAAGATGGTCAGTTACCCATCTGGACAGAGGCAAAAAAAAGGTATAATTTAGATATTTTCCTTCCCAGCAAACATCCAGGGCATGTGAGAGAGAGAGAAAAAAAGACATACCTTTTCTTTCTTCCATCTTTTTTATTTCTGAGCACCTATAACCTTGGCAGGTACTGCCCATGGATATCAGTGTGGCCCTCATCCATGTAGTAGATGGTAGGTCACTTACGTGCTGGTAACACAGCACATAATATCGGTAACCTTTGAGTTTCCTTGACCTCATCTATGCTGTGGATACTAGCATGACCTCTATCCATGAAACAGAGGGGCAGGGTAACTGGCAGAAATTAATCATACTCACCTATACTTTGCCCCTTGACTTCTGTTGTCTGCTTTTAGATCTCTCAGATCTAGTTTTTATTTTGACGACTTCAACCCAAAGCTTGGGATTTAGTTTTGGACAAAAAGATGCATCAGGAAGGTGCATGGACTCATTGAATTAAGTCCCAGGTGTCCCTCACCAAATTGCAGTCAGAAACTGGTAAAGCAGCTCCTTTGCTATTTCCCTATTAGAAGCAGGCTGCTGATGTAGAGCTGTGGAACCATGTTCTCTTTTTAACAAGGAGAGAAAGTGATTCCTGAGAATTGGGACCTCACATAGAAAAGATCCCTGTATTCACAGGACTATGTGAATTTCTGACATTTTGGAGAAAAAAAAACAGCTGAAGTGCAGGGAGAAGAAAAGATGCCTGGGAAAAAAAGCTTCTTGCTCTATGCAAGTGGGTTCCTTCAAAAAAGAAAACAAAACTTAATTGCTGCAACCACTTGGCCTCTAAGGATAGATAGAAATCACATTTTTAAAAAACAGCATATCTGAAGGCTAGGACAAATGCTCATTCTACCCAGTAATATTTTTGTAGTTTGCAACAACACCCTTAATATTGTATATAAATAAGAGATAGGTGCCATTAAAAAAAAAGAAAAAAATGCTATATAAAAGACTGAATTGGAGATGAGGTGTGGTGGCTTATGCCTGTAATCCCAGCACTTTGGGAAGCCAAGAAAGTTAGATCACCTGAGGCCAAGAGTTCAGGAATAGCCTGGCCAAAATAGTGAAACCCTATCTCTACTAGAAATACAAAAATTAGCTGGGTGTGGTAGCACATCCCTGTATTCTCAGCTACTTGGGAGGCTGACGCATAAGAGTCATTGAACCTGGGAAGCAGAGTGCAGTGAGCCAAGATTGAGCCACAGCACTCCAGCATGGGAAACAGAGTGAGATTCCATATTTTTTTAAGAAAGAAAAGACTGGATTGGAACAGAGTAAACACTTGCGACCCCAAGGGCAATGGGGGGTGGGCAGGTGGCAGCCTCCTCTACATCTGTGCCATTTATACTGAATAGGCTAACACAGACCTGGTGCCCCATCTGTTTTGAGAAAAAGTCTTAGGATGAGAAGGCTTGGAAATAAATGTGAAAGAGGCTTTGGGTTTGCATTTACTCACCCTTCCTCAAATCCCAGTTAAGTACCCAGAAAACGATGCAGGATTTTTCTTGATCACCTTGCCACCTGGAGACACCTGGCCAGCAAGTTCTCTGCCCAACCTTGGCCTATGGTTTCAAGGCTGGCTCATCCCTGCTGCCTGTTGTGTGGGGTGCTGCCCTTCGCTGGTGAAGGGCAGAGGGATATGATTATACAATCTTCCTGGTACACACATTCAGTGGGTCTTCAGCTCTTGTCCCACCTCCGAGAAGAAGGAGGATATGCTGACAATAGAAGAGTGAGCAGAGTAAAGAATAATATTATTGAGTGATTAAATAGCTCTTGGCAGAGAGGGGATGCAAGGGTGGTCAACAACCCAGAGTTGGGTTGTTTTACTTCACAGTGTGTCTGAGTCTGGGACTTTAATTGGCTCAGAACAGGGTAGTGCATGCTGATTAGTTTGTGAGTATGCAAAAAAGTTAAAACAAAGGCACCACTCAAAGGTGGGCACAACAGTGTAAACAACCAATTAGAGAAGGGTAGGTATATGTAAAATAAGTGAAAGGTGGGAATCTATCAGAGGAAAATATGCCGAATGAGAAGACAGGTTCTCAATCTGGTCCATGGATTTGATCTGTAGTTTGGCTTTCAGGCTTTATGTTGTCTTTACCTTGCAGGTGGGATTTCACTGGGGACCTGCCCCTATCTGCCTAGTCATTTGTCTCCCCCCTGCCTCTATCGTTACTAAGCATAAGATTATATACATTTAGTTGGTTTCTTATATTTACATGCTGCAGAGATCCTAAATAATTTTGAATTTACAAATAAATATTTTCCCACATAGAGAAATTATACTGTAAGAAAGCATATACATATAAAAAGTGAAATGGCATACTCATATAGTTTGCTACACTGCTACTGAATGCAGGTATATGAGAGATATTTTACAGTTGTATGTTTTCTAGTTTTCTCTATGAATTAAATGTTACAAATAGTAAGAATTATAATCAATGTTTAAATAAAACTACTAGAAATAATAAGGGGAAGGAAATAACATTGTCTAAAATGTTTGCAAAAAATGTATGATGTGTCTTTTATCAGAGAAAAAGAATAATTTTATTATAAGGTAAAATAACTATTCTAGAATAAGAAAAAATATACAGGACAAATTCTTTTTTTAATTATACTTTAAGTTCGAGGGTACATGTGCACAATGTGCAGGTTAGTTACATACATATACATGTGCCATGTTGGTGTGCTGCACCCATTCACTCATCATTTATATTAGGTATTTATCCTAAGGCTATCCCTCCCCCCTCACCCCCACTCCACAACAGGCCCCAGTGTGTGATGCTCCCCACCCTTTGTCCAAGTGTTCTCTTTGTTCAATTCCCACCTATGAGTGAGAATATGTGGTGTTTGGTTTTCTGTCCTTGTGATAGTTTGCTGAGAATGATGGTTTCCAGCTTCATCCATGTCCCTCCAAAGGACATGAACTCATCCTTTTTTATGGCTGGGTAGTATTCCATGGTGTGTATGTGCCACATTTTCTTAATCCAGTCTAACGTTGATGGACATTTGGGTTGGTTCCAAGTCTTTGCTGTTGTGAATAGTGCCACAATAAACATATGTGTGCATGTGTCTTTATAGTAGCATGATTTATATTCCTTTGGTTATATACCCAGTAATGGAATTGCTGGGTCAAATGGTAATTCTAGCTCTAGATCCTTGAGGAATCACCACAGTGACTTCCACAATGGTTGAGCAATTTTACAGTCCAACCAATAGTGTAACAGTGTTCCTATTTCTCCGCATCCTCTCCAGCATCTGTTGTTTCCTGACATTTTAATGATTGCCATTCTAACTGGCATGAGACGGTATCTCATTGTGGTTTTGATTTGCTTTTCTCTGATGACTAGTGACGATGAGCATTTTTTCATGTGTCTGTTGGCTGCATAAATGTCTTCTTTTGAGAAGTGTCTGTTCATATCATTTGCCCACTTTTTGATGGGGTTGCTTGATTTTCTTCTTGTAAATTTGTTTAAGTTCTTTGTAGATTCTGAATATTAGCCCTTTGTCAGATGGGTATATCGTAAAAATTTTCTCCCATTCTGTAGGTTGCCTGTTCACTCTGATGGTAGTTTCTTTTGTTGTGCAGAAGCTCTTTAGTTTAATTAGATCCCATTTGTCTATTTTGGCTTCTGTTGCCATTGCTTTTGGTGTTTTAGACATGAAGTCCTTGCCCATGCCTATGTCCTGAATGGTATTGCCTAGGTTTTCTTCTAGGGTTTTTATGGTTTAAATTCTAACATTTAAGTCTTTAATTCACCTTGAATTAATTTTTGTATAAGGTGTAAGGAAGGGATCCAGTTTCAGCTTTCTACATATGGCTAGCCAGTTTTCCCAGCACCATTTATTAAATAGGGAATCCTTTCCCCATTTCTTGTTTTTGTCAACTTTGTCAAAGATCAGATAGTCATAGATGTGTGGTATTATTTCTGAGGGCTCTGTTTTGTTCCATTGGTCTATATCTCTGTTTTGGCACCAGTACCATGCTGTTTTGGTTACTGTAGCCTTGTAGTAGAGTTTGAAGTCAGGTATCGTGATGCCTCCAGCTTTGTTCTTTTTGCTTATGATTGTCTTGGCAATGCGGGCTCTTTTTTGGTTCCATATGGACTTTAAAGTAGTTTTTTCCAATTCTGTGAAAAAAAGTTATTGGTAGCTTGATGGGGATGGCATTGAATCTATAAATTACCTTGGGCAGTATGGCCATTTTGGCGATATTGATTCTTCCTATCCATGAGCATGGAATGTTCTCCAATTTGTTTGTGTCTTCTTTTATTCCATTGAGCAGTGGTTTGTAGTTCTCCTTGAAGAGGTCCTTCACATCCCTTGTTAGTTGGATTCCTAGGTATTTTATTCTCTTTGAAGGAATTGTGAATGGGAGTTCAGTCATGATTTGGTTCTCTGTCTATTATTAGTGCATAGGAATGCTTGTGATTTTTGCACATTGGTTTTGTATCCTGAGAATTTGCTGAAGTTGCTTATCAGCTTAAGGAGATTTTGGGCTGAGACGATGGGGTTTTCTAAATATGCAATCATGTCATCTGCAAACAGAGACAATTTGACTTCCTTTTTTCCTAATTGAATGCCCTTTATTTCTTTCTCTTGCATGATTGCCCTGGTCAGAACTTCCAACATTATGTTGAATAAGAGTGTTGAGAGAGGGCATCCTTGTCTTGTGCCAGTTTTCAAAGGGAATGCTTTCAGTTTTTGCCCATTCAGTATGATATTGGCTGTGGTTTTATCATAAATAGCTCTTATTATTTTGAGGTACATCCCATCAATACCTAGTTCATTGAGAGTTTTTAGCATGAAGGGCTGTTGAATTTTGTTGAAGGCCTTTTCTGCATCTATTGAGATAATCATGTGGTTTTTGTCTTTGGTTCTGTTTATGTGATGGATTACGTTTATTGATTTGCATATGTTGAACTAGCCTTGCATCCCAGGGATGAAGCCAACTTGATCATGGTGGATAAGCTTTTTTATGTGCTTCTGGATTCAGTTTGCCAGTATTTAATAAATATGGAAAGTTGTGAAAAGCATGTAAAGTGAATTTTGTGTTGTTTAAACAAACAAACATTACATAAATTTATGAGATTTTTACATGAGTTTTAGTATTACAGTACTACATTAAGACAAAACTACAATTTTGTTTTCTCACCATTAAAAATGCAAACTTTCCTTATATTATTAGTTTAGTCTTCTTTTGTCTTTTATTTAATTATTTATTTTTAAATGTTATAGATACATACAAGTTGTACATATTTGTGAGGTATGTGTGAAATTTTGATATAGGCATACAATAGGTAATAAATCAATATGATATGGAAATATTTATCACCTCACATAAATATTATTTATATACTTTGGAAACATTCCAAATTTTCTATTTTATCTATTTTTAAATGCACAATAAATTATTGTTAACTACAGTCTCCCTATTGTGCTGTTAAACAGTAGATCTTATTTTTCTATCTGTAAAAAAAAATCTTGAAACCTCAATTTACAATCCTCCCAAAAAAAATTTAAGCTGAAATCTCATTCTTACAAGGAACCACCTTTCTTTTTGTTTTTAAGCAGATAGCTACAGATCAAAAGTAAAATATTTCCACTGGTCCTGTTTGTCAATTTTGGCTTTTGTTGCAATTGCTTTTGGTATTTTAGTCATCACGTCTTTGCCCATGCCTATATCCTGAATGGTATTGCCTAGGTTTTCTTCTAGGGTTTTTATAGTTTTAGGTTTTACATTTAAGTCTTTAATATCTATCTTGAGTTAATTTTTGTATAAGGTGTAAGGAAAGGGTACAGTTTCTCTTTTCTGCATATGGCTAACCAGTTTTTCCCAGTATCACTTATTAAATAGGGAATCCTTTCCCCATTGCTTGTTTTTGCCAGGATTGTCAAAAATCAGATGGTATAGATGTGTGGTGTTATTTCTGAGGCCTCTGTTCTGTTCCATTGGCCTATATATCTGTTTTGGTACCAGTACCATGCTGTTTTGTTTGCTGTAGCCTTGTAGTATAGTTTGATGTCAGGTAGCATGATTCCTCCAGCTTTGGTCATTTTGCATAGATTGTCTTGGCTGTATGGATTCTTTTTTGTCGATGATACAGAGAAATAGGAAGACTTTTACACTGTTAGTAGGGAGTGCAAATTATTAGTTCAACCATTGTGAAAGACAGTGTGGCAATTCCTGATGGATATAGAACTGGAAATACCATTTAATCCAGCAATCCCATTACTGGGTATACACACCAAGGATAATAACTCATTCTACTATAAAGACCCATGCACACAAATGTTTATTGAAGGACTATTTACAATAGCAAAAAATTGGAACCAGCCTAAATGCCCTTCATTGATAGAAATACATCATGGAATACTATGCAGCCTTAAAAAAAGAATGAGTTCATGTCCTTTGCAGGGATATGGATGAAGCTGGGAAATATCATCCTCAGCACACTAACACAGGAACAGAAAAACCAAACACCACATGTTCTCACTCATAAGTGGGAGCTGAACAATGAGAACACATGGACACAGGGAGGGAAATATCACACACTGGGGCTTGTCATGGGGCAAGTGGAGGGAGGGCATTAGGACAAATACCTAATGCATGCATAGCTTAAAATCTAGATGATGGGTTGATAGGTGCAGCAAACCACATGTTTACCTTTGTAACAAACCTGCATGTTGAGCACATGTATCCCAGAACTTAAAGTAAAATTAAAAATATAAAAATAAATATTTCCACAGCTAGCTACTCCATGTTCACCTTCTACTAGGCAAAGTGCAAATTTACTGAGCACAAGATGAACATATTATTGACTATTTCCCTGCCTTCTCATTTTCTGTGGCAAAATGTTCATTAGTGTACTATCCTTTCTTTCCCTCCAGCCCACTTATTTATTTATTTGTTTTCTGAAAACAATTACCTGATGTTCAGGAACTCCCCCCTCCATAGAATCTCTGATATCCCCAAATTTGTTTGAGATCTAGGGTGTATTTTGATTTACAATTTCTTTTTTGGAGTTTTATTCACTTCCAAGAAATAAGTTGAGTTTTCCTGCTTTAATGGTGATGAAGGGCAGAAAATTCATTGCTGCATTTCAGTTCACTTTCAGTAAAGAAGGTAAGTTTGTGTTTCTTCTTGCTTCTAAAATGTAAAAAAGTTAGACTTTAGCCTGGGTCCTATTTTTAGGTAAGTTGGGATTTTGTTTTGAAAATTTTCATTAATGACTAAAAGTTAAGATTGTCAACTAGATGGTTTTAATTTCTCTTTACATTCAGGGTACCCGATAATTATACTGTTTTTGTATTTTTTGTTGTTGTTTTAGTTTTTCTTTCATCAGATTTGACCAACTCTACCCAATTAAGACAAATTGAAAGAAGAATTCCAAATTATGGGAAACAACACTTCTGAATTCACTAAAATTCCTCACAGCAGCAAAGAAGAAAAAAAGAGCCAAGATATTTGGTTTTTCTATCTCCTAGCTTTCTTTATAAAATTGTTCTTTTGTTTCTTTTTCTTCCACCTTACTCCTTCTTCCCCTTTTGCTATCTTTGGTTCCAAGTAAAAAAAAAAATCTAGAAAAGGCTTCTAATGATTCAGATTCCTTAAATAACTCAGAATAAGGACATTACTTACACTTTTTGGGGTGTTCTGATTATTTTGTGGGGTTTCAAGAGTCATGAGTGGATTCATCTCAGGTGTAAAGCTCTTTCTTGTATTGCATTACCACTTTGACTTTTGAAGTTACCAGAAATTATCTCTTATACTTTGAGAGAATTTGAATTTGGTGTGTATAATTGTGTACAAGAGCTACAATATTAGGGATCATTCAGAAAAATTTACAGAAAATTGGCATTACCACAGAGGGCTACTCATTTCTTTGTATGTTTAGATAAGAAAATTGTGCATCTTTTTGGCCCTTTTCCTTAAAGGGCTTCATTCTAAAGTCAGTAATATTATCAAGCAAAGTCGAAAATACCACCTATCAAACTAAGTCACTTTAATATAGCCTTTTTGTAAAGGAAATTTACATCTTTAAAGGAAATCTCCACTATTTAAGGGCAACTCTTTCTCTTCATCTAAACCACTAGGAATTTCAACTAGAGGGGAAGAAAATGTTAATGTAACAGACCACATCTTTGTTTAGACCTATGTCTGGGTTTTTGTGATGTATATTTTCCACTATGCTTCACCAAAATCATGCCTTTGGAGATACAATGTTAGAGTTGCCTTGTTTTCAATTGTTTGGAACATAAAACAGATAACCAAGAGATTAATTATCTAAGATAAAGAAAAGAAAATTTTTGTAAACAGGCAAATGAAAATTTTCGTGTCTATATGATTTTTCTTTGTCTGGGCCTGTTATGTTTATTGTTCATATATGCCATATGAAAATAATAATTTAGTACCAGTTGTATAAACAACTCTGTATTAGTGGCTTTGGAGGACTCACAATCATGGTAGAAGGCAAGGAGAAGCAAGTTACATCTTAAATGGATGGCAGCATGCAAAGAGAAAGCTTGTGTCAAGAACTCCATTTTTACAATCATCAGATCGCATGAGTCTCATTCACTATCATGAGAATGCTGCAGTAAAGACCCGCCTGCATAATTCAATCACCTCCAATGGGGTTTATCCCATGGCACATGGAAATTGTGGGAGTTAAAATTCAAGATTAGATATGGGTGGAGACACAGCCAAACCTTGTTATTCCACCCCTGGCCCCTCCCAAATCTCATGTCTTCACATTTCAAAACAAATCATAGCTTTCCAATAATTCCCCAAAGTCTTAAATCATTTCAGCATTAACTCAAATGTATATAGTCCAATGTCTCATCTGAAAATAGGCAAGTCCCTTCCACCTATGGGCCTGTAAAATCAAAAGCAAGTTAGATACTTCCTAGATACAACGGGGGTACAGGCATTAGTTAAATACAGTCATTCCAAATGGGAGAAATTGGGCAAAAAGAAAGGGCTACAGACCCGTTACAAGTCTGAAATCCAACAGGGCAGTCAAATTTTGAAGCTTCAAAATGATCTCCTTTGACTCCATGTCTTGCATCCAGGTCATGCTAATGCAAACAGTGGGTTCCCATGGTCTTGGGACGCTCTGCACCTGTGGCTTTGCAGGGTACAGCCTCCCTACTGGCTGCTTTCACTGGCTAGTGTTGAGTGACTGTGACTTTTCCAGGCCCACAGTGCAAGCTGTCAGTGGATCTACCATGATGGGGTCTGCAGGATGGTAGGAGAGGCCCTCCTCTCACAATGCCACTAGGCAGTGCCCCAATGAGGACTCTGTGTAGGGGCTTTGTCCCCACATTTTCCTTTTACACTGCCCTGGCAGAAGTTCTCCATGAGATCCCCGCCCCTGCAGCAAACTTCTTCCTGGACATCCAGGCAATTCTATACATTCTCTGAAATTTAGGTAGAGGTTCCTGAACCCCAATTCTTGACTTTTGTGCACTTGCAGGCTCAAAACCACATGGAAGTGGCCAAGGCTTAAGGCTTGCACCCTCTGAAGCCACAGCCCAAGCTCTACTTTAGCCCCTTTCAGCTACAGCTGGAGTGCCTTGGGCACAGGGCACCACAAGTCCAGCACATGGATGCTGGACCCATCCCCTGAAACCACGTTTTTTCTCTTAGGCCCCTGGGCTCATGATGACAGTGGCTGCTTTGAAGACTGCTTACATGCCCTAGAGATATTTTCTTCATTGTCTTGGGGATTAACATTTATTTCCATGTTACTTATGCATGTTTCTACAGCCAGCTTGAGTTTCTCCTCAGAAAATGAGTTTTCCTTCTTTATTGCATTTTCAGGCTGCAAATTTTACAAGCTTTTATACTCTGCTTCTCTTATAAAACTAAATGACTTTAACAGCACCTAAGTCACCTCTTGAATTCCTTGCTGCTTAGAAATTTATTCTGCCAGATACCTTAAATTTTATCTCCCAAGTTCAACTTTTCACAAATCTCTAGGGCAGGGGCAAAATTCTTCCAGTTTCTTTGTGAAAACTTGACAAGAGTCACCTTTGCTCCAGTTTCCAATAAGTCCCTCATATTCATCTGAGACCACCTCAGCCTAGACTTTATTGTCCATATCACTATAAGCACTTTGATCAAAGCAATTCAACAAGTCTCTAGGAAGTTCCAAACTTTCCCACATTTTTCTGTCTTCTTCTGAGCCCTCCAAACTGTTCCATCCTCTTCCTGTTACCCAGTTCCAAAGTCGCTTTCACATTTTTGGATATCTTTTCAGCAGTGCCCCACTCTACTGGTATCAATTTACTGTATTAGTCCACTTTCATGCTGCTGCTAAAGACATACGTGGGATTGGGTAATTTATGCAGCAAGAATGTTATTGGACTTACAGTTCCACGTGGCTGGGGAGGCCTCAAAATCATGGCAGAAGGCAAGGAGGAGAAATTCACATTTTACGTGGATGGCAGGAGGCAAAGAGAGAGCTTGTGCAGGAAAACTCCCATTTTTAAAACCATCAGATCTCATGAGACCCATTCACTATCATGAGAATATCACAGGAAAAACTCACCCCCATTATTCAATCCTCTCACACCTTGTACCTCCCACAATACATGGAAATTATGGGAGCTACAAAATGAGATTTGTGTGGGGACACAGAGCCAAACCATATCAAACTTTAATTAAGTGACTTTAAAAAAGTAAGCATTTATCAGACTAATAGAATAGCTCTGAGGCTTTTCAGTACACATGACATTAGCTATTTTTGGTAAAAATAATTTGGTATATTTAGTCTCAATATTTCCTCCAGTAACTTAGAATCTTAAATTTATGTCATGTTACATTAAGTAATTCTAGGTTATCCACTGGTATTTAGGGTTATGAAGAATAGAAGGAGAGTAAGATGAGATTTGGTGGAGTTTAGTGAAAACGTGGATGTGATTTTTGCTTTAAAAATGTCAAGTGGAAGAAAAGGTATCAGTGATTGAAGATCAAATTAATGAAATAAAGTGAGAAGACAAGGTTAGAGAAAAAAGAGTAAAAAGAAACGAACAAAGCCTCCAAGAAATATGGGACTATACGAAAAGACCAAATATACACTTGACTGCTGTACCTGAAATTGATGGGGAGAATGGTACCAAGTTGAGAGATATCATGGGAAATTGAGCCCCCAATACTTCATGTGGGTCCCTTTCTATTTTCCCTAAGTGTCAGCCAGTCTGAGAAATAAAGGGAAAGAGTACAAAAGAGAGAAATTTTAAAGCTGGGTGTCCGGGGGAGACATCATATGTTGGCAGTTTCCATGATGCCCCTCAAGCTGCAAAACCAGCAAGCTTTTATTAGTGATTTTCAAAAGGGGAGGGAGTGTACAAATAGGGTGTGGGTCACAGAGATCACATGCTTTACAAGGTAATAAAATATCACAAGCCAAATGGAGGCAGGGTGAGATCACAGGACCGGAGTGAAATTAAAATTGCTAATGAAGTTTCGGGCACCCATTGTGATTGATAACATCTTATCAGGAGACAGGGTTTGAGAACAGACAACCGTGTGACCAAAATTTATTAGGTGGGAATTTCCTTGTCCTAATAAGCCTGGGAGTGCTATGGGAGACGGGCTTATTTCGTCTCTTATCTACAACCATAAAACACAGACGTTCCCAAAGCGGCCATTTTAGAGACCTCCCCCTGGGAAGGCAATCTCTTTCTCAGGGATGTTCCTTGCTGAGAAAAAATAATTCAGTGATATTTCTCCTATTTGCTTTTGAAAGAAGAGAAATTTGGCTCTGTTCCACCTGGCCCACAGGCAGCCAGACTTTATCTCCCTTGTTCCCTGAACATCGCTGTTATCCTGTTCTTTTTTCAGGGTGCCCAGATTTCATATTGTTTAAACAATTTGTGCAGCAAATGCAATCATCACAAGGTCTTGAGGCAACATTCACCCTCAGCTTATGAAGATGACGGGATTAAGAGATTAAAGTAAAGACAGGCATAGGAAATCACAAGATTATTGATTGGGGAAGTGATAAATTTCCATGAAGTCTTCACAATTTATGTTCAGACATTGCAGTAAAGACAGGCATAAGAAATTATAAAAGTATTAATTTGGGGAACTAATAAATGTCCATGAAATCTTCACAATTTATGTTCTTCTGCCATGACTTCAGCCGGTCCCTCCATTTGGGGTACCAGACTTCCCACAACATGACATGTTACATTAAGTAATTCTACGTTATTCACTGGTATTTAGGGTTACTAAGAATAGAAGGAGAGTAAGATAATATTTGGTGAAGTTTAGTGAAAACGTGGATGTGATTTTTTCTTTAAAAGTGTCAAGTGGAAGAAAAGGTATCAGTGATTGAAGATCAAATTAATGAAATAAAGTGAGAAGACAAGGTTAGAGAAAAAACAGTAAAAAGAAATGAACAAAGCCTCCATGAAATTGGGGACTATGTGAAAAGACCAAATCTACATTTGACTGGTGTACCTGAAAGTGATGGGGAGAATGGTACCAAGTTGAAAAACACTCTGCAGGATATTATCCAGGAGAACTTCCCCAACATAGCAAGGCAGGCAACCATTCAAATTCAGGAAATACAGAGAACACCACAAAGATACCCCTGGAGAAGAGCAACCCCAAGACACATAATTGTCAGATTCACCAAGGTTGAAATGAAGGAAAAAGTGTTAAGTGCAGCCAGAAAGAGAGGCCAAGTTACCCACAAAGGGAAGCCCATCAGACTAACAGCAGATCTCTTGGCAGAAACCCTACAAGCCAGAAGATAGTGGGGACCAATATTCAACATACTTAAAGAAAAGAATTTTCAACCTATAATTTCATATCCAGCCAAACTAAGCTTCATAAGTGAAGGAGAAATAAAATCTTTTACAGAGAAGCAAATGCTGAGAGATTTTGTCACCACCAGGCCTGCCCTAAAAGAGCTCCTGAAGGAAGCACTAAACATGGAAAGGAACAACTGGTACCAGCCACTGCAAAAACATGCCAAATTGTAAAAACCATGGATGCTATGAAGAAACTGCATCAATTAATGAGCAAAATGACCAGTGAACATCATAATGACAGGATCAAAGTTGCACATAACAAGATTATCTTTAAATGTAAATGGGCTAAATGTCCCAATTAAAAGACACAAACTGGCAAATTGGATAAAGAGTGAAGACCCATCAGTGGGCTGTATTCAGGAGACCCATCTCATGTGCAAAGACACACATAGGCTCAAAATAAAGGGATGAAGGAAGACATACCAAGCAAATGGAAAGAAAAAAAAAAGCAGGGGTTGCAATCCTAGTCTCCAATAAAACAGACTTTAAACCAACAAAGATAAAAAGGGACAAAGAAGGCCATTACATAATGGCAAAGTGATCAATTCAACAAGAAGAGCTAACTATCCTAAATATATATGCACCCAATACAGGAGCACCCAGATTCATAAAGCAAGTCCTTAGAGACCTACAAAGAGACTTAGACTCCCACACAATAATAATGGGAGGCTTTAACACCCCACTGTCAACATTAGACAGATCAATGAGACAGAAAATTAACAAGGATATCCAGGAATTGAACTCAGCTCTGCACCAAGCAGACCTAATAGACGTCTATGGAACTCTCCACCCCAAATCAACAGAATACACATTCTTCTCAGCACTACATCACACGTATTCTTAAATTGACCACATAATTGGAAGTAAAGCACTCCTCACCAAATGGAGAAGGACAGAAATCACAACAAACTGTCTCTCAGACCACAGGGCAATCAAATTAGAATTCAGCATTAAGAAACTCACTCAAAACAGCACAACTACTTCGAAACTGAACAACTTGCCCCTGAGTGACTACTGGGATAATAACGACATGAGGTCAGAAATAAAGACATTCTTTGAAACCAATGACAACAAAGACACAATGGACCAGAATCTCTGGGACACATATAAAGCAGTGGTTGGAGGGAAATTTATAGCACTAAATGCCCACAAGAGAAAGCAGGAAAGATCTAAAATCAACACCCTAACACCACAATTAAAAGAACTAGAGAAGCAAGAACAAAAACATTCAAAAGCTAGCAGAAGGCAAGAAATAACTAAGATCAGAGCAGAACTGAAAGAGATAGAGACACAAAAATACCTTCAAAAAAATCAATGAATCCAGGAGCTGGTTTTTTTTTTTTAAAGATCAACACAATTGATAGACCATGAACAAGACTAATAAAGAAGAAAAGAGAGAAGAATCAAATAGACACAACAAAAAATGATAAAGTGGATATCACCACCAATCCTACAGAAATACAAACTACCATCAGAGATTACTATACACACCTCTATGCAAATAAACTAGAAAATCTAGAAGAAATGGATAAACTCCTGGAGACATACACTCTCCTAAGACTAAACCATGAAGAAGTTGAATCTGAATAGACCAATAACAGGCTCTGAAATTGAAGCAATAATTAATAGACTACCAACAAAAAAGGTCCAGGACCAGATGGATTCACAGCCAAATTCTACCAGAGGTACAAAGAGGAGCTGGTACCATTCCTTCTGAAACTATTCCAATCAATAGAAAAAGAGGGAGTCCTCCGTAACTCATTTTATGAGGCCAATATCATCCTAATGCCAAAGCCTGGCAGAGACACAACAAAAAAAGAGAATTTTAGACCAATAACCCTGATGAACATCAATGCAAAATCCTCAATAAAATAATGGCAAACCGAATCCAGCAGCACATCATAGATTATCCACCACAATCAGGTTGGCTTCATCCCTGGGATGCAAGGCTGGTGCAACATATGCAAATCAATAAATGTAATCCATCACATAAACAGAACCAAAGACAAAAACCACATGATTATCTCAACAGTTGCAGAAAAGTCCTTCAACAAAATTCAACAGCTCTTCATGCTAAAAACTCTCAATAAACTAGGTATTGATGGAAAGTATCTCAAATAATCAGAGCTATTTATGAAAAAACCACAGCCAATATCATATTGAACGGGCAAAAACTGGAAGTATTCACTTTGAAAACCGGCACAAGACAAGGATGCCCTCTCTCACCACTCCAATTCAACATATTGTTGGAAGTTCTGGCCAGGGCAATCAGGCAGGAGAAAGAAATAAAGGGTATTCAATTAGGAAATGAGGAAGTCAAATTGTCCCTGTTTGCAGATGACATGATTGTATATTTGGAAAACCCCATCAACTCAGCCCAAAATATCCTTAAGGGGATAAGCAATTTCAGCAAAGTCTCAGGATAAAAACTCAATGTGCAAAAATCACAAGCATTCCCATGCACCAATAACAGACAGAGAGCCAAATCATGAGTGAACTCCTATTCACAATTGCTACAAAGAGAATAAAATACCTAGGAATCCAACTTACAAGGGATATGAAGGACCTCTTCAATAACTGCAAACCACTGCTCAACGAAATAAAAGAGGATACAAACAAATGGAAGAATATTCCATGCTCATGGTTAGGAAGAATCAATATCGTGAAAACGGCCATACTGCCCAAGGTAATTTATAGATTCAATGCCATCTCCATCAAGCTACCAATGACTTTCTTCACAGAATTGGAAAAAACTACTTTAAAGTTCATATGGAACCAAAAAAGAGCCCGCATTGCCAAGTCAATCCTAAGCCAAAAGAACAAAGCTGGAGGCATCACGCTACCTGACTTCAAACTATACTACAAGGATACAGTAACCAAAACAGCATGGTACTGGTACAAAAACAGATATATAGACCGATGGAACAGAACAGAGCCCTCAGAAATAATGCCACACATCTACAAACATCTGATCTTTGACAACAATGACAAAAAAAAATGGGGAAAGGATTCCCTATTTAATTAATGGTTCTGGGAAAACTGGCTAGCTATATGTAGAAAGCAGAAATGGGAACCCTTCCATATGCCTTATACAAAAATTAATTCAAGATGGATTAAAGACTTAAATGTTAGACCTAACACCATAAAAACCCTAAAAGAAAACCTAGGCAATACTATTCAGGACATAGGGATGGGCAAGGACTTCATGACTAAAACAACAAAAGCAATGGCAACACAAGCCAAAATAGACAAATGGCATCTAACTAAACTAAAGAGCATCTGCACAGCAAAAGAAACTACCATCAGAGTGAACAGGCAACCTACAGAATGGGAGAAACTTTTTGAAATCTACCCATCTGACAAAGGGCTAATATCCAGAATCTACAAAGAACTCAAAAATATTTACAAGAAAAAAATCAAGCAACCCCATCAAAAAGTGGGCAAATGATATGAACAGACATTTCTCAAAAGAAGACATTTATCCAGCCAACAGACACATGAAAAAATGCTCAACATCACTGGTCACCAGAGAAATACAAATCAAAAGCACACTGAGATATCATCTCATGACAGTTAGAATGGCAATAATTAAAAAGTCAGGAAACAACATATGCTGGAGAGGATGTGAAGAAATGGGAATGCTTTTACACTCTTTGTGGGAGTGTAAATTGGTTCAACCATTGTGGAAGACAGTGTGACAATTCCTCAAGGATCTAGAACTAGAATTACCATTTGCCCCAGCAATTCCATTACTGGGTATATACCTAAAGGAATATAAATCATGCTACTATAAAGACACATACACCCATATGTTTATTGTGGCACTATTCACAATAGCAAAGACTTGGATCCAATCCAAATATCCATCAATGATAGAATGGATTAAGAAAATGTGGCACATATGCACCATGGAATACTTTGCAGCCATAAAGAAGGATGAGTTTATGTCCTTTGCAGGGACATGGATGAAGCCGGAAACCATCATTCTCAGCAAACTATCACAAGGACAGAAAACCAAACACTGTATATTCTCACTCATAGGGGGTAATTGAACAATGATATCATTTGGACACAGGGCGAGGATCATCACACACCAGGGCCTGTTGGGGTATGGGGGGCCTGGGGGAGGCATAGAATTAGGAGAAATTCCTAATGTAAATGATGAGTTGATGGGTGCAGCAAACCAACATGGCACATGTATACCTATGTATCAAACCTACACATTGTGCACATGTACCCTAGAACTTAAGGAATAATAATTTTTAAAATGTAATTTTTTGTAGCTTAGAGAAGCTTTCTACTGTTATTGAGATAAAAATCACTGGTGATATTCAAACTTTTTTTGTAAACTGATGAGTTTGTATTGATATCTCATGGCTAGAATTCCAAACTGAAAACTTTAAGATCTTTATTCATATGAGTGTTCATGTCTGCTTAGGTGTCCTATGTGTATGTACATGTGCTTTGTTATGTGTTGTGGCCACAAGGTACCAAATTTGCTTAAAATTAAAAGATTACTAAAAAATGGCCTGTCATGGTGGCTCATGCCTATAATCCCAGCACTTTGGGAGGCCAAGGCAGGTGGATCACAAGGTCAGGAGTTCAAGACCATCCTGCCTAACATGATGAAACCCATTCTCTACTAAAAATGCAAAAAAATTAGCCAGGCATGGTAGTGAGCACCTGTAGTCCCAGCTACTCAGGAGGCTGAGGCAGGAGAATGGCATGAACCTGAGAGGTGGAGCTTGCAGTGAGCCAAGATCCCACCACTGCACTCCAGCCTGGGTGACAGAGAGAGACTCCATCTCAAAAAAAAAAAAGAGTACTAATAAATTAAGTAAATAAGCCCACATGTATTTATTTATTTATTTATTTAGAGACAGAGTCTCACTCTGTTGCCCAGGCTGGAATGCAGTGGCACAATCTTGGCTCACTGCAACCTCCACATCCCAGGTTCCAGTGATTCTCCTGCCTCCACATCGCGAGTGGCTGGGATTAGAGGTGCATGCCACCATGCCCAGCTGATTTTTTCTATTTTTAGTAGAGATGGAGTTTCACCATGTTAGCCAGGATGGTCTCAATCTCCTGACCTCGTGATCCACCCACCTCAGCCTCCCAAACTGCTGGGATTACAGTCGTGAGCCACTGTGCTTGGCCACCCACATGTATTTTAAGTTCATGTGTCTTAAGTAAATATTTGACAAGTACACTGGCTTTAAAGTTATTGTTGAAGTAAAATGAGAAATGTCTTCAGAATTGTCAAAATACATTATAGTTTATGTTTATTGGTCAAGAAGTTTTAAATTTATATCTGCTAAATATTACAAGGTGTCAAGATATGGCATAAAGCTATATATTATAAAGCTACAAAGGCAGTTTGGAAAAGAATTATCTTCATGTACTTTTTTATAAATAAAGATTTAATATTGTTGCTTTAATGAAAATAGCTAAATCTTGAGTTACTGGCAAAAAAAAAAATTATGTAACCTTAAGGTTCTTACTTAGGTAATAACCTGAAATTCACAAGCTATAAAAATGGTTAACAGGGAAATAAATTTAAATGAATACTATCACGGTTTTTATAAATAATCTAGGTAAACTGTTAAAAGTAATTAAACAAATAAAATTAAATAAATGCATGTAAATAAATGTGTCAAGTAATTTAGAATCTAAAGTTACATTAAATTAAATAAGTCATTAAGTGTCTGAATCATTTCCAATTTTCTAAAACAGTAGGAAAACTTCTTTACTAAGAAACCAATGTGTTCTTCTAAATAAAATTGTTGTCTAACTCACAGGTTATTTAAAGAATATGTATAAAATAATGTAAATGGAACCAGTAAATAAAAGAGATAAAAAAGTTATACATAAAGAGGTTTTTTTTTGTTAGAAAGGTTAAAAGAAACAATTTTCAATGTGAAAAAATAGTATATGGTAAATTAGTGTCCTAAAATAAAATGACTGCTTATTTAAGAAAAAGGGATGTGAAGGATAAAATGGGGAGTCTAAGCATGTCATAAATGGTTTGTGTGAGTCAAAGTAAAGTTTGTATATAGAGAATTTATTGATAACAACACATGGACACAAAGAGAACAACAGAAACTAGAGCCTACCTGAGGTTGGAGGGTAGGGGAAACAAGAGGAACAGGAAAAAATTACCACTGCATACTAAGCTTAATACATGCGTGACCAAACAATTTGCATAACAAACTCCTGTGACGCTAGTTTACCAATATAACAAACCTGCACTTACACCCTTCAATCTAAAATAGAAGTTTAACAAATGAACAAATAAATACATAAATAAATACAGGATAAGTAACTGTTCAAAAAAAGTTAATTTTTGGTAGAAAATTTAAATAATCAAGTGGGCTATAATTAAAAGAAAATTATTTATAATACTCTTTATGGAGATGTGGCTTTGTTCTTAAAATATAGTAATAAACTAAAGAATTGGTTATAATAATAAAAAATTTTAAGGTATTGATTTTCTCTTAATAAAGTTACAACAGATTTTAATTTATTTTACCCCCAAGTTCAATTTTTATGGCATCTCACTGTTTTCAGTTTTCTTTTACCCTCTGGGCCACCTAAAACAATCTCCTTAAACTGTTTCATCAGTTTCTGTCATATTCTTTCCTCAGGTTCTAACGCTGTTGTGGCCTCATGCTAAAAATATTTTATCTTAAATGTCAAAATAAGTTTTTTTCCAACATAACATTATATGCTCTTGGCTTTAAATTTCTTCATGAAATTAAAAATTTTCATTTGTGACTCAGTACTCATTCCTGTTATGCCTAAATAATTCAATTCCAAGGAACACTGAGATGAAACATTAAGGTTATTACATTCATGTAACTTTCAATATTGCTTTTAAAGTCATTTTGCTACTAAGATAAAGGACTTTGATTCCTGCATCTAAAAATAACACCAAGTCTTGCTAAGTTGTAAACAGTGACAGCAGTTGAAATCTAATCTCCAGACCCAGGAGAAGATAACAATTAAAATAAACACTGTTTATGAGTCACAGGGCCAGAAATTAAAACTATTAAACACTTATAGGCCAAGGGACTCTCAAAGAAAACATGGGTGCATGAGATGTAAGAGTCAACTTTGAGACATAAGATCAATTCAGAGTTTCTTTATGAATTACACATTAATATCTGTAATTCGCTTATCCAAGAGCAGAATCTGGGGCCCTGTTTTATATTAACAAAGTTTTCATGGATGATTAATCCGTTCTTTAAAAAATATATAAAAAGTCATTAAAAGTTTTTTAGAAATTATATCCTACAGTCAAGATAATTAAAATTTAAGAGATTGATTTATAAGATTTGAGAGATTTAATTGGCCTCATTATGTCTTTAGTAGGGCTTATACTTTGGAAAAGTAAGTCTCCTCTCACAAAGAGTAAAGGTTTTTGCCTTTTTAAAAAAATCTTTGAGTTATCACTTTGGATAAATCAATGACTTAATTTATAATAACCTGTAATCTTATTTTGTAATATCAAGTATTTTAAGCTTTTGATAAGGTGTTGATAAACCTTTCCAAAATATAATTCTAAATTTTGTCCCTTAGACCTCGTATGTTTGATAGTAGGTCTGCTGAAGTCCAAAAGAGACATATTCAGCTTATTTGGTATAATAAAATTATTCAAGACACATTGTCAAATGTGAAATGGTATTTAATCTTCTTTGGAGTATGTTTATATAAATATCTACAGTATGTGCTCCAAAATTTTATGAAAATTCTGATTTTAATATATCATGTTATTAGCAGTAATTATCACTATTATGTAAAATTATGTGCCACAGAAGTAAACAAATTTTTATATCAATTGTGTCTTTAACCATGGCTTTTCTAATATTTTTGTCATCAATAATTCTTGTTTTACTATTCTTCTTCTTTTTTTTTTTTTTGAGATGGCATCTCGCTCTGTTGCCCAGGCTGGAGTGCAGTGCCACGATCTCAGCTCACTGCAAGCTCCAGCTCCCAGATTAATGCCATTCTCCTGCCTCAGCTTCCCAGTAGCTGGGATTACAGATGTCCACCACCACTCCTGACTAATTTTTTGTATTTTTAGTAGAGATGGGGTTTCACCGTGTTAGCCAGGATGGTCTCAATCTCCTGACCTTGTGATCCACCCACCTTGGGCTCCCAAAGTGCTGGGATTACAGGTGTGAGCCATTGCACCCAGCATACTATTATTCTTTTATGGGGTGGTTTATAGTCAGCTATAGAACCCTGAGTAGTACTCTCAAATATAGATTTCTTATAAATTTGGAGATAGTTCCATTAGGATAGAGAGAAATACTTCCAGGATTCTCATGAAGAGCTGGTGTATTTGTGAGGACTGTTAATAAAATATTGAGCAGAAGAGGAATTAATTGCATGGATTTAACTAACAGAAAATTGAGATAATTTTTTTGACTTTTTGTTTAAAACATTTACTGATTCTTTTTCTTTTGGTCTTCAGATTCAAGAAAAATTTGTCTTCTTTAAACAATTCTGTAAACTATAACCTTGTGAGCAAAACTTAAAACATAATTTATTTCTCTCAACACAATTTCTGCAAAATTATAGTACTATTTTGTGGTATTCTTCATTTACAAATTATTAATTTGAATTAATTCTTAATTTATAGTTACTTTGCAAGTTCAATAAAAATTTGTTTTCTCTTGTAACAGAACGTAGTTGGAGTCACTGGTCATTTTACCAAGTCTTTGACTGAAATGATATTTTCATATTGCCTTGAGAAAATAGGTCTGAACTAAGGGAGCTTATAAAAGCCCCTTGAAGAAACTGGCCCTATAATTTGTCCGTTAAAGTGTCCTGACATGTAGTAAGTAAAGAATGTCACCTTTTACAGGCCCAGGATCTACTAGTTTTCTTGGGACTTCAAAAAAAACTGGAATTCACCCAATTCACACAAGTATCTGCAGGCACACATAAATCCTCAGCTGGGTTTGAGGCTTTAAGAAGGTCTAATCTTAGACTCCTTATTAAAAAGCTGCCTGCAAAGCCAATTTTAAAAGACAGAGAACATATATGCCACATAATAATTTCTGCTGTATTTTATGCAAATAATCAAGCCAAATACAATAGGACATAATGTGTTTTACAAATAAATTTCGTCCTACTATGATTTTTGTCTTTAATAAAATTGGGGAATTAGAGAGAAAAAAATGTAATGAAATGAAATATTAGTATACCTGTTATTAGATTCTAGCCTTCCCTAATGCTTTTCAATGTTTATTATTTTGTATAATTTGGGCTAAATTCTAAAATTATTCCTGGCTACAAGTCTCCAAAATAATGTGTTTTTTTTTATTTTTTGTCCAGTTTTTTCTAATTTGAAATCATGAAAAATTAAGCTGTGCTTTTCTTTTTTTTTTCTTTTTTTTTATTATACTTTAAGTTTTAGGGTACTTGTGCACATTGTGCAGGTTAGTTACATATGTATACATGTGCCATGCTGGTGCGCTGCACCCACTAACTCGTCATCTAGCATTAGGTATATCTCCCAATGCTATCCCTCCCCCCCCCACCCCACCACAGTCCCCAGAGTGTGATATTCCCCTTCCTGTGTCCATGTGATCTCATTGTTCAATTCCCACCTATGAGTGAGAATATGCGGTCTTTGGTTTTTTGTTCTTGCGATAGTTTACCGAGAATGATGATTTCCAATTTCATCCATGTCCCTACAAAGGACATGAACACATCATTTTTTATGGCTGCATAGTATTCCATGGTGTATATGTGCCACATTTTCTTAATCCAGTCTATCAATGTTGGACATTTGGGTTGGTTCCAAGTCTTTGCTATTGTGAATAATGCCACAATAAACATACATGTGCATGTGTCTTTATGGCAGCATGATTTATAGTCATTTGGGTATATACCCAGTAATGAGATGGCTGGGTCAAATGGTATTTCTAGTTCTAGATCCCTGAGGAATCGCCACACTGACTTCCACAATGGTTGAACTAGTTTACAGTCCCACCAACAGTGTAAAAGTGTTCCTATTTCTCCACATCCTCTCCAGCACCTGTTGTTTCCTGACTTTTGAATGATTGCCATTCTAACTGGTGTGAGATGATATCTCATTGTGGTTTTGATTTGCATTTCTCTGATGGCCAGTGATGATGAGCATTTTTTGAGCCCTCAGAAATAATGCCGCATATCTACAACTATCTGATCTTTGACAAACCTGAGAAAAACAAGCAATGGGGAAAGGATTCCCTATTTAATAAATGGTGCTGGGAAAACTGGCTAGCCATATGTAGGAAGCTGAAACTGGATCCCTTCCTTACACCTTATACAAAAATCAATTCAAGATGGATTAAAGATTTAAACGTTAGACCTAAAACCATAAAAACCCTAGAAGAAAACCTAGGCATTACCATTCGGGACATAGGCATGGGCAAGGACTTCATGTCCAAAACAACAAAAGCATTGGCAACAAAAGACAAAATTGACAAATGGGATCTAATTAAACTAAAGAGCTTCTGCGCACCAAAAGAAACTACCATCAGAGTGAACAGGCAACCTACAAAATGGGAGAAAATTTTCGCAACCTACTCATCTGACAAAGGGCTAATATCCAGAATCTACAATGAACTCAAACAAATTTACAAGAAAAAAACAAACAACCCCATCAAAAAGTGGGCGAAGGACATGAACAGACACTTCTCAAAAGAAGACATTTATGCAGCTAAGCTGTGCTTTTCTTAAAGCCCTGTATAGTGAAGCTAGACAACTTAAACCTCGGGAAAAATATAACAGCAACCTATTTATATACATGAACAACTTTCGTAGTTGCCTACTGATTTATGGACTTCAGAGTAGTATGGTCTATGTCAGATTTCCAGAATTGCTCTCACTTTTTGTTTGTTGTTTTCTTTCTCTCTTCATCTCCATATTTTACTCTTCAGGAGAGGTGAGACCTCAAAGCCTGGTAAAAATAAGCTTTCATAACATGTGGGACCTATTTATCTAGAAATAAACTGTCTAAGCCATAAGAGAAGAAAAAAACTCAAGAGCAGAAACTCATTTTCTTGTAAATGGCTTTTTCCAAAGATTTTAAAAAGAAAAATGGGGAGAAACATGGAAGAAAAATAAAAGCTTTGGAACTCAATTTACTCTTCCAAAAAATTAAGCTGAATATTAAGTCATGCAAAAGGCTGCCTTTTTTACTGTTCCTAAGCAAATAACTACAAATAGAAGTTTAAATATCTCCACAGATAACTCTTCTGTGTTTACATTATTTTATGTAAAGTGCTGAATGACTGAGCATGTGGCAAATACATAATTTTTTCTGCTTTCTCCTATTTTCTTAAAACATGTGAATTACCAAACTCTTTCTCTTTCCCCTTTATGCCACTTTTCCCATTTAAATATTGAAGCCCTCAAAATCAACTTTGGAGAAAGGCACAGAACACAGACTATTTCTGTGATTCTGTTTTTTTTTCTTCCAGGAATCGTCCTTAAATTTGGCATAATTAATGTCAAAATTAATTAAGATCTGTGTCTGATATATTTTGGTTTACATACTGAAATAATTTTGTAACCATTAAACAACTGTCCTCATTTTCTTTTCCAACTATGCTTAAAAACCTTTGGTAGATTCATCCTACAGAATGGGTGACTAGACACAGCCAGTTGGAACAGCTGCAACCAAGAGACTGAGATGACTTGTGCACTCCTTACAGATTTTCAAAGGAAAGGCACTTACAGTGGATGGACAAAAGACAGAAGCTGGACAGAAGTGGGAGAATGATGGGAACCCCATGGAAGGCTACCATGCACCAGGAATTATTTCTGCCTCCCAATGACTCCAGGGAATGGGTGAGTTGAACTATCAATGAGCAAACTGCTCTTGCCATGGGCCTCTATAATCCCAACAAGAGGAGACTTCTCAACAATTAGGGACACTTGAGCTAGCATGGGGAGCTGATTAGAGAACTGGTAGGGGAAGTCTGCCAGATAAAGGGGAGCCCAGAGGAATTGCTGCAGGAGCATTTGTAGTGAAGCATAGCCAGAGAAGCTCATCTCTCTAGGCTCGACTTGATCCCATAGTAGACTTTAGCCCTAAAGGAAGTGTCAGACCTATTCTCTGCAAGGCAGTTTTACCTATCAAATGGGGCTGGTCCAACCTGAGCATTATTTATTTTACTGGTCTCTCCCAGGGTCCCAGCCTGGCAGTGCCTGTTTTTGGGCAGCCTTGAATGCCCTCGAGTCCTGTATCACACCTCTTGTTATGGTGAACCATGTCTGAATGGCAGAGAACTGCACCAGGGCCACCCCTAAAGCCATGCAATAGCTGACCTGCTTCCTCACAACACTGCAGCTTCCTCGAGGCCCACGGCATCCCCTACATTGCTGTGTCAGTACATGTATGTGTGAGTGGGTTATGCCTTCTTTGCTCCACCATCATGCTTGTGTGTGTGCATCCTGCCCTGCCACTGTTGTGGTGGGAATGCACTCCACCCTCTCCCCTGCCAGACCATCATTGCAGTTGGAGTCTTGGTGAGCAAAAGGCCAGCCAGCCCCAGCCCTACCAATTCCCCATCCTTGTACCAAAACTGCTGCAGGAGTAAAACTAGTAATATAGGAGTTAAGAAGAAATAACTTAGGCTGATAGCAAGGGCATCAGAGACATCAGTAAGTCTTTCTTTCTCATGAAAAACAGCCCCAAATTATTATCTAACAAAGAGCAGCCTGCAAGCTGGGAGCTTGCATGGTGAACGCCAGCAGGAACTAAGGACTAGACATGTTCAAGATGGCGACTCCATCTTCCCTTCTCTGCCAACCACGTGTACAGCGAGAAGTAGACAAGATTGTGACAATCAACTGGAAAACTCATTTTCCTAAGATTAGGGTGGGGTGACCAGCCTTCCCTGTGTGCTATGTAAACATCATACCTGATCAAACCAATCTGTGAGCCTTATGTAAATCAAACACCACCTCCTAAAACTGGACTATACAACCTGGTGCATTTGCTGCCTGCCTGTCCTTTCCAGTCAGAAACCCCTTCCTCTACAGAGGAAACTGTTTATCTTTCACTTCTCTTCTACATATTAAACCTCCACTCCTAAACTCTTTGTGTGTGTCCGTGTCCGAAATTTTTGTGGCATGTGAAAATGAACCTCAGTGTATAGACCCCAGACAATGTAGCCGCTTCACTAGGCACAGAGAGACACTTACTCTCCCCAAGCCAGAGTAAACACTCTTGCCTATGGCAAAGAAAACACACACACACAAATACACCTGCAACCATCAGTGCTTTATCCCCCTGATTTTTTTTTCTTTTTTATTTATATTATAGTTTAAGTTCTGGGATACATGTGCAGAACTTGGTGGTTTGTTACATAGGTATACACGTGCCATGGTGATTTGCTGCATCCATCAACCCATCATCTACATTAGATGTTTCTCCTAATGCTAGTTCCCCTAGTGCCGCACCCCCTGACAGGTCCCAGTGTGTGATGTTCTCCTCCCTGTGTCCATGTGTTCTTATTGTTCAACTGCCACTTATGAGTGAGAACATGTGGTGTTTGGTTTTCTGTTTTTGTGTTAGTTTACTGAGAATGATGGTTCCCAGCTTCATTCATGTCCTTGCAAAGTACATGAACTCATCCTGTTTTATAGCTGCATAGTATTCCATGGTATAAATGTGTCACATTTTCTTTATCCAGTCAATCATTGATGGGCATTTGGGTTGGTTCCAAGTCTTTGCTATTGTGAACAGTGTTGCAATAAACATACGTGTGCATGTGTTTTTATAGCATAATAATTTATAATCCTTTGAGTATATACCCAGTAAGGGGATCGCTGGGTCAAATGGTATTTCTGGTTCTAGATCCTTACACTCCCATCAACAGTGTAAAAGTGATCCTATTTCCCCACATCCTCTCCAGCATCTGTTGTTTCCTGACTTTTTAATGATAGCCATTCTAACACGCAAGAGATGATATCTAATTGTGGTTTTGATTTGCATTTCTCTAACGACCAGTGATGATGAGCTTTTTTTATTTCTTGGCTGCATAAATGTCTTCTTTTGAGAAGTGTCTGTTCATATCCTTCACCCACTTTTTCATGGGGTTGTTTGTTTCTTCTTGTAAATTTTTTTAAGTTTCTGTTAGATTCTGGATATTAGCCCTTTGTCAGATGGATAAATAGCAAAAACTTTTTCCCATTCTGTAGATTGTTGTGCAAAAGCTCTTTAGCTTAATTACATCCCATTTATCTATTTTGGCTTTTGTTGCCATTGCTTTAGGTGTTTTAGTCATGAAGTCTTTGGCCATGCCTATGTTCTGAATGGTATTGTTCTGACTGGGTTTTCTTCTAGAGTTTTAATGGTTTTAGGTATTACATTTAAGTCTTTAATCCATCTTGTGTTAATTTTTGTATAAGATGTAAAGAACGGGTCCAGTTTCAGTTTTCTGCATATGACTAGCCAGTTTTCCCAACACAATTTACTAAATAAGAAATCCTTTCCCCATTGCTTGTGTTTGCTAGGTTTGTCAAAGATCATTTGGTTGTAGATGTGTGGTGTTATTTTTGAGGCCTCTGTTCTGTTCCATTGGTCTATATATATGTTTTGGTACCAGTACCATGCTGTTTTGGATACTGTAGCCTTGTAGTATACTTTAAAGTCAGGTAGCATATGCCTCCAGCTTTGTTCTTTTGCTTAGGATTGTCTTGGCTATACAAGCTCTTTCTGGTTCCATATGAAATTTAAAGTAGTTTGTTCCAGTTCAGGGAAGAAAGTCAATGGTAGCTTAAAGGGGATAGCATAGAATCTAAATTACTTTGAGCAGGATGACCATTTTCATGATATTTATTCTTCCTGTCCATAAGTATGAAATGTTTTTCCATTTGTTTGTGTCCTCTCTTATTTTCTTGGGCAGTGGTTTGTAGTTCTCCTTAAAGAGGTCCTTCACATTTCTTGTAAGTTGTATTTCTAGGTATTTTATTCTCTTTATAGCAATTGTGAATAGCAGTTCACTCATGATTTGGCTCTCTCTTTGTCTCTTATTGGTGTATAGGAAAGCTTGTGATTTTTGCACATTGATTTTGCATCCTGAGACTTTGCTGAAGTTCTTTATCAACTTAAGGAGATTTTGGGCTGAGACAATGGGGTTTTCTAAATATACAATCATGTAATGTGCAAACAGAGATACTTTGACTTACTCTTTTCCTAGTTGAATACCTTTTTTTTTTTTGTCTTGCCTGATTTCGCTGGTCAGAACTTTTAATACTATGTTGAGTTGGAGCGGTGAGAGAGGGTATACTTGTCTTGTGCTAGTTTTCAAAGGGAATGCTTCCAGATTTTGCCCATTCAGTGTGATATTGGCTGTGGGTTTGTCATAAATAGCTCTCATTGATATGAGATATGTTCCCTCAACACCTAGTTTATTGAGAGTTTCTAGCATGAGGTGGTGTTGAAGTTTATCAAAGGCCTTTTCTGCATCTATTGAGGTAATTGTGGTTTCTGTCATCAGTTCTGTTTATGTGATGGATTATGTTTATTGATTTGCATATATTGAACCAGCGTTGCATCCCAGGGATGAAGCCGACTTGGTCATGCTGAATAAGCTTTATGATGTGCTACTGAATTTGGTTTGCCAGTATTTTATTGAGTATTTTTGCATCAATGTTCATCAGCGATATTGGCCTGAAATTTTTTTGTTGCCATTGTGTCTCTGCCAGGTTTTGGTATCAGGATGATGCAGGCTTCATAAAATGAGTTAGGGAGGAGTCCCTTTTTTTCTATTGTTTGGAATAGTTTCAGAAGTAATGGTACCAGCTCTTCTTTTTACCTCTGATAGAATTCAGCTATGTATCCCTCTGGTCCTGGGCTTGTTTTAGTTGTTAGGCTATTGATTACTGCCTCAATTTCAGAACTTGTTATTGGTCTATTCAGTGATTCAAATTCTTCCTGGTTTAGTCTTGGGAGGGTGTATGTGTCCAGAAATTTACCCATTTCTTCCAGATTTTCTGGTTTATTTGTGTAGAGGTGTTTATAGTAATTTCTGATGGTAGTTTGTATTTCTGTGGGATCAGTGGTGATATTATCTTTATAATTTTTTATTGTGTCTACTTGATTTTTCTCTCTTTTCTTCTTTGTTAGTCTGGCTATGGGTCTATCTATTCTGTTGATCTATTCATAAAACCATCTCCTGGATTAATTGACTTTTTAAGGATGTTTTTGTGCTTCTATTTCCTTGATTTCTGCTCTGATCTTAGTTATTTCTTGTCTTCTGCTAGCTTTTGAATTTGTTTGGGCTTGCTTCTCTAGTTCTTTGAATTGTGAAGTTAAAGTTTCAATTTTAAGTCTTTCCTGCTTTCTCCTGTGGGCATTGAGTGCTATAATTTTTTCTCTAAACACTGCATTAGCTGTGTTCCAGAGATTCTGGTACGTTGTGCCTTTCTTCTCATTGGTTTCAAAGAACTTACTTATTTCTACCTTAATTTCGTTATGTAGCCAGTAGTCATTCAGGAACAGGTTGTTCAGTTTCCATGTAGTTGTGTCGTTTTGAGTGAGTTTCTTAATCCTGAGCTCTAATTGATTGCACTGTGGTCTGAGAGAATATTTCTTATGATTTCAGTACTTTTGCTTTTGCTCGGGAGTGTTTTACTACTAATTATGTGCTCAATTGTCTAATAAGTGCAATGTGATGCTGAGAAGAACGTATACTTTGTTCATTTGGGGTGTAGAGCTCTGTAGGTACCGGTCAGGTCTGCTTGGTCCAGAGCTGAGTTCAAGTCCTGAATATCTTTGTTAATTTTCTGTCCCGTTGACCTGTCTAATATTAACAGTGGAGTTTTAATGTCTCCCAATATTATTGTGTGGAAGTCTAACTCTCTTTGTAGGTCTCCAAGAACCCTCTTTATAAATCTGGGTGCTCCTGTAATGGATATATATATATATATATTTATATATATTTTTTTATATATATTTATCTACATATAAATATATAAATGTATATTTATATATATTTATATATATATTTATATATATTTATAAATATATATATTTATATCTTTATATATCTTTATATATCTTTATATATTTATATATTTATATATTTATGTATCTTTATATATATTTACATGTATATTTATATATAGGTAAATACATTTACATGTATATTTATATATATATTTACCTATATATTTATATATGTATATATATTTACCTATATATTTATATATGTATATATATTTACCTATATATTTATATATGTATATATATTTACCTATATATTTATATATGTAAATATATTTACCTATATATTTATATATGTAAATATATACATATATATATTTATATATGTAAATATATACATATATATTTATATATGTAAATATATACATATATATTTATATATGTAAATATATACATATATATATTTATATATGTAAATATATACATATATATTTATACATATATACACATATATATGTATATATACACATATATACACATATATGTATATATACACATATTTATATATGTATATATACACATATTTATGTATGTATATATACACATATATAAATATATATGTGTATATATACATATATATTTATACATGTATATATACACATATATATTTATATGTGTATATATACATATATATTTATACATGTATATATACATATATTTATACATGTATATATACATATATATTTATGTATGTATATATACATATATTTATATATGTATATATACAGATATATGTATATTTACATATATTTATATGTATATATACATATACATGTATATATACATATATTTATATGTATTTATACACATGTATATTTATATATGTATATATACACATATATTTATATATGTGTATATATACATGTATATTTATATATACACATATATATTTATATATGTGTATATATACATATATACGTATATATATTTATATTAATATATATTTATTTTTATATATATTTATATTAATATATATTTATATATATTTATTTATATTCTAGTTCTAGATCCCTGAGGAATCGCCACACTGACTTCCACAATGGTTGAACCAGTTTACAGTCCCACCAACAGTGTAAAAGTGTTCCTATTTCTCCACATCCCCTCCAGCACCGGTTGTTTCCTGACTTTTTAATGATCGCCATTCTAACTGGTGTGAGATGGTATCTCATTGTGGTTTTGATTTGCATTTCTCTGATGGCCAGTGATGGTGAACATTTTTTCCATGTGTTTTTTGGCTGCATAAATGTCTTCTTTTGAGAAGTGTGTGTTCATGTCCTTCGCCCACTTGTTGATGGAGTTGTTTGTTTTTTTCTTGTAAATTTGTTTGAGTTCATTGTAGATTCTGGATATTAGCCCTTTGTCAGTTGATTAGGTTGCAAAAATTTTCTCCCATTCTGTAGGTGGCCTGTTCACTCTGATGGTAGTTTCTTTTGCTGTGCAGAAGCTCTTTAGTTTAATTAGATCCCATTTGTCTATTTTAGCTTCTGTTGCCATTGCTTTTGGTGTTTTAGTCATGAAGTCCTTGCCCATGCCTATGTCCTGAATGGTATTGCCTAGATTTTCTTCTAGGGTTTTTATGGCTTTAATTCTAACATTTAAGTCTTTAATCCATCTTGAATTAATTTTTGTATAAGGTGTAAGGAAGGGATCCAGTTTCAGCTTTCTACATATGGCTAGCCAGTTTTCCCAGCACCATTTATTAAATAGGGAATCCTTTCCCCATTTCTTGTTTTTGTCAGCTTTGTCAAAGATCAGATGGTCATAGATGTGTGGTATTATTTCTGAGGGCTCTGTTTTGTTCCATTGGTCTATATCTCTGTTTTGGCACCAGTACCATCCTGTTTTGGTTACTGTAGCCTTGTAGTAGAATTTGAAGTCAGGTAGTGTAATGCCTCCAGCTTTGTTCTTTTTGCTTATGATTGTCTTGGCAATGCGGGCTCTTTTTTGGTTCCATATGAACTTTAAAGTAGTTTTTTCCAATTTCGTGCAAAAAAGTTATTGATATCTTGATGGGGATGGCATTGAATCTATAAATTACCTTTGGCAGTATGGCCATTTTTGCGATATTGATTCTTCCTATCCATGAGCATGAAATGTTCTCCAATTTGTTTATGTCCTCTTTTATTTCATTGAGCAGTGGTTTTTAGTTCTTCTTGAAGAGGTCCTTCACGTCCCTTGTAAGTTGGATTCTTAGGTATTTTTTTCTCTTTGAAGCAATTGTGAATGGGAGTTCAGTCATGATTTGGCTCTCTGTTTGTCTGTTATTTGTGTATAAGAATGCTTGTGATTTTTGTACATTGATTTTGTATCCTGAGACTTTGTTGAAGTTGCTTATCAGCTTAAGGAGATTTTGGGCTTCATCCCTGGGATGCAAGGGTGGTTCAATATATGCAAATCAATAAATGTAATTTATCATATAAACAGAACCAAAGACCAAAACCGCATGATTATCTCAATAGATGCAGAAAAGGCCTTTGACAAAATTCAACAACCCTTCATGCTAATAACTCTCAGTAAATTTGGTATTGATGGGACGTATCTCAAAATAATAAGAGCTATCTATGACAAACCCACAGCCAATATCATACTGAATGGGCAAAAACCAGAAGCATTCCCTTTGAAAACCTGCACAAGACAGGAATGCCCTGTCTCACCACTCCTATTCAACATAATGTTGGAAGTTCTGGCCAGGGCAATTAGGCAGGAGAAGGAAATAAAGGGTATTCATTTAGGAAAAGAGGAAGTCAAATTGTCCCTGTTTACAGATGACATGATTGTATATGTAGAATAATTTTTTTAAGTCCAAATGTAAGCAACTTCAAAGATGGAAGAAACATCACCCTACAAATAGAAGAAAGAAATAGTGCAGGCCGGGTGTGGTGCCTCGTGCCTGTAAATCTCAGCACTTTGGGAGGCTGAGGCTGGTGGATCAGTTGAGGTCAGGGATTTGAGACCCACCTGGCCAACATGATGAAATCCCTTCTCTGCTAAAAATACAAAAATTATACAGGCATCGTGATGCATGCCTGTGATCTCAGATACTTGGGAGGCTGAGGCATGAGAATCGCTTGAACCCAGGAGGCAGAGTTTATAGTGAGCAGAGATTGTGCCACTGCACTCCAGGCAGCCTGGGTGACAGAGTGAGTCTGGAAAAAAAAAGAAAGAAAGAAAGAAAGAAAGAAAGAAGAAAAAGAAGAAAAAAGAAAGAAAGAAAAAGAGAGAAAGAGAGAGAGTAAAGAATGAAAGAAAGAAAGAAAGGAAAAGAGAAAGAGAGAGAGTAAAGAATGAAAGAAAGAAAGAAAGAAAGAAGAAAGAGAAAGAAAGAAAAGAAATAAATAAAAAAGAAAGAAAAGAAAGAAGAAAGAAAGAAAGAAAGAAAGAAAAAGAAAGAAAGAAAGAAAGAAAGAAAGAAAGAAAGAAAGAAAGAAAGAAAGAAAGAAAAAAGAAAGAAGAAAGAAAGAGAACGAAAGAAAGTGCAAGGACTATGACAACTCGAAAACTGAGAAGTCCTTCTCTCCAAAGGGCTGCACCACCCCTTCATCAAGGGTTCTTAAGCTGGCAAGGGTGGCTAAAATGACAGAAATAGAGTTCAGAATATACATAGGAATGAAGATCGTTTAGATACAGAAGTACATTGAAATTCATTGAAGTAAGCTAAGAGTCACAATAAAATAACACAGGAGCTGACAGACAAAATGGCAATTATAGACAAAGACATAACTAACCTGACAGAGCTGAAAAGCACACTACAAGAATTTCATAATGTAATTGCAACTAGTAACAGCAGGATAAACCAAGATAAATAAAGAACCTCAGAGCTTTATGACTGGCTTTCTAAAATAAGACAATCAGACAAGAATAGAGAAAAGATAATAAAAAGAAATAAACAAAACCTCCAAGAAATATTGGGTTATGTGAAGAGACCAAATCTAAAACACATTGTTATCCCTGAAAGAGATCGAAAGGGTATACAACTTGGAAAACATATTTCAAGATATTATTTATAGGAACTTCCCTAACCTAGATAGAAAAACCAACGTTCAAATTCAGGAAATGTAGAGAACCCCAGTAAAATACTTCACAAGTTTATTCCCAACACATATAATCAACAAATTCTCCAAGGGTGAAAGGAAAGGAAAAAAATAATAAAAGCAATTAGAGAAAAAAATAAAGTCACTTACAAAGGAAAGTTTATCAGACTAACAGTGGACCTCTCAGTAGAAACCCTATAAGCCAGAAGAAATTGGAGTATTGTCAATAGTTAAATTTTTTTAAAAAAATGAATTACAACAAAAAATTTTATTATTTAGCCAAATTAAGCTTCATAAGTGAAAGAGAAATAAAATGTTTTTCATACAAGCACATGCTGAGGAAAATCATTACCACCACACCTACTGTAAAAAAGCTCCAGAAGGAAGCACTACAAAAAACACACTTAATTACACAGACCAGTGACACTATAAAGCAACCAACCAAACAATTCGGCATAATAACCAGCTAACATCATGATGACAGAACTAAATCCACACATATCAATATTAATCTTGAATTGAAATGGATTAAATGCCACAATTAAAAGGCACAGAGTGCCAAGCTGAAAAAAGAACCAAGAATCATTGGTATGCTGTCCTTGAAAGAGCCATCTCACATGCAATGATGCCCATAAACTCAAAATAAAGGGATGGGGAATAATACACCAAGCAATCAAAAAACATAAAAAAATGTAGGGGTTGCAACCTTAATTTTAGATGAAACAGAATTTAAATAAACCACTATCAAAAAAGACAAAAAGGGGCATTACATAATGATAAAGTGTTCAATTAAACGAGACCTAACTATTCTAACTGTATATACACTCACCACAAGGAGCACTCAGATTCATAAAGCAAGTTCTTAGAGACCTTCAAAGGGATTTAACCTTTCACGTAATAATACTGGGAGATCTGAACATCCCACAGAGAGTATTAGATGTATCACCGAGGAAGAAAATTAACAAAGACATTCAAGACCTGAGCTCAACACTGGATCAAATGGACCTGATAAAAATTGAAAGTACTCTCTACCTCAAAACAACAAAATACATATTCTTCTCATTATGGAGAGGACTTAACTAGCTAGCATTTTGTAGACAGCAAGGGAAGGATCCCCAGAGAGCCCTCCACCTATGGGTTAGTGCCTCATCTTCACATAACATAAAAAACAGCCTGGGAAAAATCAAGCTGTAGGAACTGATAAGGGAACTAGCACAGGGGTTTATGCCTGAAGACATGCCTATGGCTGAACAAATAGAAGAATCTGAAGCCCATTCAGGTAAAAACTTGCACAAACCTCCACTCACTCAGACAAAGGAACAAGGCCTGACAGAGAAATGCCTTTGTCCTTTGTATAATCAGTGGGCTCCCAGGAATAAATTTCTTCTCTTTCGTGGGCATGAACACAGTGAGTTTTGGTGGGTTGTGGTGATCACTTTCTTTTTCTTTTTGGATTGTAGACCCAGCCTCTATGAATCATCACTTCAGCCCCTGATTGGTCCCAGGCAGTAGTCCCAGGCCAAGCTTTCACTCCAATTCCTGATAAGTCCAAGGCCAGGCTAAACAGCCTCTATAAATCTCGATTTGAGCCCCTGATTGGTCCTGGACCAAGAATTCTAAGACAATCTGCAGACAAAGCACATTTATTCTCCTTCCCAGTCAATAAAAACCCTGGACCTCATGCTCATAGGGGGCAACCCATCACCCCGATGGCAGAGAGCTTTCTTCTTTTGCTCATTAAACTTTTGCTCCAACCTCACCCTTGTGTCCACACTTCTCAATCTTCCTGGATGTAGGACAAAGAAATCCTGGTATTGGCTCAGACAATGAGAAACTGTTACGTTTTGGTAAATTGGCAAGACTACAACATTACCACATGGCACACACTTTAAAATTGATCGCCTCATAGGACACAAAACACTCCTCATCAAATGCAAATATATATATATACATATATATCAACCACTGTTTTGAACCACAGCACAATCAAATTAGAAATCAGGACTAACAAATTTACTCAAAGCAGACAATTACATGGAAATTGAATAACCTGATAATGAATGACTTTGGAGTAAATAAAATTAAGGAAGATACAAAAAGTTTTTTGAAACTAATGAGAACTAAATCACAGCATACTAGAATCTCTGTGACACAGCTAACACAGTGTAAAGAGGCAAATTTATAGCACTAAAATGCCCACATTAAAAAGTTAAAAAAATTCAATTTAACAACATAACATCACAACTAAATGAAGTAGAGAACCAAGAGTAAACCAACTCCAAATCTAGCAGAAGACAATAAATAATCAAATTCAGAACTTGAACTGATGAAAATTGAGCCACAAAAATCTCAAAACAATAACAGATCCAGAAGTTGAATTTTTGAAAAAGTTATTTAAATAGATAGACTGCTAAGTAGACTAATAAAGAAGAACAGAGAAGATCCAAGTAAACACAATTAAAAATCACAAAGGGGATATAACCACTAACCGCAAAGAAATGGAAAAAAAATAGTAAATATTATGAAAACCTCTATTAATATAAAGTAGAAAATCTCAAAGAAATTGATAAATTCCTGGACTCATACGCTTTCCCACTGAGCCTGAAAGAAATTGAATTCCTTAACAGATCAATAACAAGCTCCAAAATTGAATCAGTAATACATACCCTACCCACCAAAAAAGCTCATGGCTAGACGGATTCACAGCTGAATTCTACAAGGTGTAAAGAGAAGGGCTAGTACTATTCCTAGGAAAAAAAATGAGGAGAAGGGACTCTTCTCCATCTTATTCTATTAGACCTACATCATCCTGTTACCAAAACTTGGCAAAGACACAATAAAAAATGAAAACTTCAGGCCAATATTCTTGATGAACATAGTTGCAAAAATCCTCAACAAAATACTGGCAAACCAAATCCCACAGCACATCAAAATTCACATTCAGCACAATCACATAGACTTTATTTCTGGGATGCAAGATTGGTTCAACATATGTAAATCAATAAATGTGATTCATGAAATAAACAGAATTAAAGACAAAACCACATGATTATCTTAATAGATGTGAAAAGACTCTCAATAAGATTCAACACTCCATATTAATAACTTTCAAAGATAAAGGTATTGAAAGAACACAACTCAAAATAAGTAGAGCCATATAAGACAAACCCACAGCAACATCATACTTAATGGGCAAAAGCTGAATGCATTCCCCTTGAAAAGTGGCATAAGACAAGGATGCCCTTTCTCACCACTCCTATCCAATATAAGATTGGAAGTTGTGGCCAGAGCAATCAAGCAAGAGAAAGTAATAAAGGGCATCCACATAGGAATACATGACGTCAAACTATCCCTGTTTGCAGATGACATAATTCTGTATTTAGAAAACCCCATAGTCTTGGCCTAAAAGCTCCTCAAACTGAGAAAAAATTTCAGCAGTTTTGGGATACAAAACGAACATACAAAAATCACTAGCTTTTTTATAGATTAACAACAATCAAGCTGAAAGCCAAATCAGGAATGTAATCCCATTCAAAATAACCACAGCATTTAAAATACCTAGGTATACAGCTAACCAAGGAGGTGAAGGATCTCTACAAATGAGGTAAAAAACACTGCTCAAAAAATGACAGATGACAGAAACAAATGGAAAATCATTCATGCTCATGGAGAAGAATCAATATCAATATGGTCATACTACCCAAAGCCACTTACAGATTCAAGGCTATTGCTATTAAACTACCAATGACATTTTTTACAGAACCAGAAGAAACTATGTTAAAATTTATATGGAACCAAAAAAAAACAAAAAAAAAAAACAACCTAGAAAGCCAAAACAATCCTTAGGAAAAAAAAAAAAAGCTAATGCCTTTATACTATAGTACAAGACTATGGAAACTAAAACAGCATACAGCACTGGTACAAAAACAAACACACAGGCGAACAAAACAGAATAGAGAGCTGAGAAATGAGGCCACATACCTAGAACTGTCTGATCTTTGACAAAATCAACAAAAACAAGCAATGAGAAAAATACTTCCTATTCAATAAATGGTGCTAAAATAACTTGCTAACCATAAAGAGAAGATAGAAACTCAACCTTTTCCTTACACCATATACAAAAATTAACTGAAAATGGATTAAAGACTTAAATGTAAAACTCAAAGCTATAAAAACCATGAAGAAAACCTAGGCAATTCCATTCTGGATTTTAAAAAATGGGCAAAGTTTTCATGACAAAAATGCTAAAAGTAATTGCAACAAAATCAAAATTTGACAAATGTGATCTGTTTAAACTAAAGAGCTTCTACACAGCAAAATAAATTAGCAATAGACAACCTAGAGTATTAGAAAAAATTTTTGCAAACTATGCATCTGAAGATGTTCTAATATCCAACACCAATAAGGAACTTAAACAAATTTACAAACAAAACAAAACAAACGACCCAATTGAAAAGTTGGCAAAAGACATAACAGACACTTTTTTCAAAGAAGACACATAAGTGTGGCCAATGAACATACGAAAAAAATTAACATCACTAATCATTAGAGAAATGCAAATCCAAACCACAATACAATATCATTTCACACAAGTCAGAATGGCTATGAATAAAAAGTCAAAAAAAAAAAAAACCCACAGGTGCTGGTGAGGTTGCAGAGGAAAAGAAATTCTAATACACTGACAGTGAGCATGAATATTAGTTAAACCATTATGGAAAAAAGTCCTCAAAGACCTAAAAACAGAACTGCCATTCGACCCAGAAATCTCGTTACTGGGTGTATTAGTCCGTTTTTATGCTGCTGATAAAGACATGCCTAAGACTGAGAAGAAAAAGAGGTTTAATGTACTTACAGTTCCATATTGCTGGGGAAGCCTCACAATCATGGCAGAAGGCAAGGAGGAGCAAGTCACGTCTTACATAGATGATGGCAGGCAAAGAGTGAGCATGTGCAGAGAAACTACCCATTATAGAGCCATCAGATCTCATGAGATTTATTCACTATCATGGAAACAGCATGGAAAAGACCTGCCCCCATGATTAAATTACCTCCCACCAGGTACCTCCCATAACATATGGGAATTCAAGATAAGATTTGGATGGGGACACAGCCAAATTCTGCTCCTGGCTTCTCCCATATCTCATATCCTTACATTTCAATATCAATCATGCCTTCCCAACAGTCCCCCAAAGTCTTAACTCATTTCAGCATTAACTTAAATGTCCACAGTCCAATGTCTCATCCAAGACAAGGCAAGTCCCTTCTGCCTATGAGCCTGTAAAATCAAAAGCAACTTGGTTACTTTCTAAACACAATGGGGGTACAGATATTGCATTACTACAGCCATTCCAAAGGGAAGAAATTGGCATAAACAAAGAGGCTACAGGCCCCATGCAAGTCTGAAATCCAGTGAAGCAGTTAAATCTTAAAACTCCAAAATGGTCTCCTTTGATTCCATGTCTCACATCCAGGTCATGCTGAGGCAAGAGGTAGGTTCCCACAGTCTTTGGTAGCTCTGCCTCTCTGGCTTTGCAATGTATGTCCTCCCTCCCAGCTGCTTTCACTGGCTGGCATTGAGTGTCTCTGGCTTTTCCAGGCCCACAGTAAAAGCTGCTCAGTGGGTATACCATTCTGGGGTCTGAAGTACAGTGGCCCTCTTCTCACAGCTCCACTAGGCAGTGCCCCAGAAGGGACTGTCTGTGGGGGATCTACCCCACATTTTCTTTTCACACTGCCCTAGCAGACTTGATCCATGAGGGCCCCTTCCCTGCAGCAAATATCTGCCTGGGCATCCAGGCATTTTCATACATCTTTTAAAATCTACGTGGAGGTTCCCAAACCTCAATTCTTGACTTCTGTGCATGTGCAGCCTCAACATCAGGTGGAAGCTGCAAAGGCTTGAGGCTTTTGCTCTCAGAAGCAACAGCCTGAGCTGTATCTTGACCCCTTTTCACCATGGGTAGAGCAGCTGGAATGCAGGGTACCAGGTCCCTAGGCTGCACAGAGCAGGGGAGCCCTGGGCCCAGCCCATAAAACATTTTTTTTCCTCTTAGGCCTCTGGGCCTGTGATGGGAGGGTCTGCCGTGAAGACCTCTGACATGCCCTGAAGACATTTTCCCCATTTTCTAGGGGATTAATATTCAGCTCCTCATTACTTATGCAAATTTCTGCAACCAAATTTAATTTCTTCTCAGAAAATGGGATTTTCTTTTCTATTGCATAGTCAGGCTGCAAATTTTCCAAACTTTCATGCTTTGTTTCCCTTTTAAAACTGAATGCTTTTAAGAGTACCCAAGTCACCTCTTGAATGCTTTGCTGCTTAGATATTTTTTCTGCCAGATATCCTTAATTATCTCCCTCAAGTTCAAAGTGACACAAATGGAACTTTCAAAGTTCCACAAATAGGCAGGGCCAAAATGCCACCAGTCTCTTTGCTAAAATATAACAAGAGTCACCTTTGTCCCTGTTCCCAAAAAGTTTCTCATCTCTCATCTGAGACTACCTCAGCCTGGACCTTCTTGTTCATATTACTATCAGCATTTTTATCAAAGCCATTCAAGAAGTCTCTAGGAAGCTTCAAACTTTCCCACATTTTCCTGTGTTCTTCTGAGCCCTCCAAACTTTTCCAACTTCTATCTGTTAACCAGTTGCAAAGTCGCTTCCACATTTTTGGGTATCTTTTCAGCAACACCCCACTCCCAGTACAAATTTACTATATTAGCCTGTTTTCATGCTGCTGATAAAGACACACCCAAGACTGGGAAGAAAATTGGTTTAATGGACTTAGAGTTTCACATGCCTGGGGAGGCCTCACAATCATAGTGAAAGGCAAGGAAGAGCAAGTCACATCTAAGATGGATGGGGGCAGGAAAAGAGAGAGCTTGTGTGTGGAAACTCCTGTTATAGAACCATCAGATCTCATGAGACTTATTCACTATCTTGAGAACAGCAAGGGAAATTCCTGCCTCCATGATTCAGTTACCACCCTCTGGGTCCCTCCCACAACACAAGGGAATTCAAGATGAGATTTGGGTGGTGATACAGCAAAACCATATCACTGGGTATATCCCCAAAGAATATAAATTGTTCCATCATTAAGACATATGCACGTGTAGGTTTATTGCAGCAGTATTCACAATAGCAAAGACATGGAATCAACAAAAATGTCCATCAATGGAAGACTGGATAATAAAAACATAGTACATATACACCATGAAATACTGTTGAGCCATAAAAAGGAATGAGATCTTGTGCTTTGCAGGAACATGGATGGAGCTGGTGGCCATTAATTTTAGCAATCTAACACAGGAACAGAAAACCAAATACTGCCTCTTCTTACTTATAAGTGGGAGCAAAATGATAAAAACAAATAAACACATGGAGGGAACAACAGACACTGGGTCCTACCAGTAGTTAGAGGGTAAGAGGAGGGAGATTATTAGAAAAAAATAAGTAATGGGTAGTAGGCTTAATATCTTGGTAATGAAATAATCTTTACACAAACCTCCATGACATGTTTACCTATTAGCAAACCTGCATGTGTATTCCAAACTTTTAAAATAAAAGTTAGAAACAAAAATCTTTGATAATCATCACTGTATTTACTACCTCTATGAAATCAATTTCTAACTCCTTCATGAGTAAAAACATGTGACATTTGTCTTTCAGGCCTGGCTTATTTCACTTAACATAATGTTCTCCACTTTCTTTCATATTACTGCAAAAGAGATAATTACGTTTTTCTTTATGATTAATATTCTATTAGATATATATCATATAATTTCTTTATCTGTTTATCTGTTGATAGACACTAAAGTTGTTTCCATATTGCTGCTATTTGAAATAAAATTACATTAAACATGAGAGTTCAGATATCTCTTCTATGTGCTGACTTCTTTCCTTTTGGATATGACTCAGCAGTGGGATCACTGAATCGTGTACTTTTTCTATTTTTAGTTTTCTGGGAAACCTTCATACTGTTTTTGATAGTAGCTGCAGACATTACAATGAGCTATTTTTGAACATGTCTCTTTCTCTGCACCCCTACCAGCATTTATTTTCTGTGGTTTTTAAAAATAATAGCCATGTGGACTAGGGCGAGATGATATCTCATGGTTTTAATTTTCATTTCCCTGTTGATTTAGTGTTGTTAATAATTTTTTTCACATGCGTGATAACCACTTCTATATCTTTCTTTGAGAAACATCTATTTATGTTTTTACCCATTTTAAAAACAGATTATTTATTTTCTTTACAATTGGGTTGTTTGAGTTCCTCATATATTCTGGTTATTCATGCCTTGTTAGATGAATAATTTTCAAATATTTTCTCCCATTCTGTAGGTTGTCTCTTCACTGTGTTGATTGTTACCTTTGCTAGGAAGAAGCTTTCTTACCTTGATGCAATCTTATTTGTCAATGTTTTTGCTTTGGTTGCTTTTGCTTCTGAGGTCTTATTCAATATATCTTTGCCAAGACCAATGTCCTGAAGTGTTTTCCCAATGTCTTATTCCAACAGATTCATAGTTTCTGGTCTCAGTTTTAAGTCTTGGATCCATTTTGCTTTGATTTTTGCATATGGTGAAAGGGTTCAGGGTTCTAGTTTTATTCTACATATGGATATCCAGTTTTCTCAGAATCTTTCATTGAAGATATTGTACTTTGCCCAGTGTATATTTTTGTGTTTTTATCAAAATTGAGTTGGCAGTAAATATGAAGATTCATTTCGAGGTTCTCTACTTTTCTCTATTTATCTATGTGTTTATTTTATGCCAGTATCATGCTGTTAGGGTCGTTATAGATTTTTGATACTTTTGCAGTTACTTCATGTAATGCCTCCAGTTTTGTCCTTTATGATTAGGGTTGCTTTCACTATTGGGTTTTTTGTGGTTTTATAAAATTGTTTGGATTGTTTTTCTATTTCTGTTAAATATTTCATTGATATTTTGATAGAGATTGAATTAAATTAATAGATTTCTTAGGGCAGTATTGATATTTTTACAATATTATTCCAATCTGTACATGAAATGTCTTTCCATTTTGGGGGGTTTTCTTCATTTTTAGTAGTGTTTTATAGCTTTCATTTTGTGTAAATCTTTCACATCTTAAATTTGTTCCTAGGTATTTTATTTTTTTGACTATTGTCAATATTATTGATGTATTTAATTGTTTTTCAGATTTTTTATTGTTAGCATATAAAAATAAATGTTACTACATTGTGTATGGTATTTTTTATACTGCAATTTTATTAAATTTTTCTATTAGATCTAACAGATTTTGGTAGAGTGTTTAGGTTTTTCTACATATAAGATTATATTATGTGTAAACCAAAACAATTTTAATTCTTTCTTTCCCGTTTGGATGCATTTTATTTCTTTTTTCTTTTGTCTAATTGCCCTGGCTAGGACTTCTAATACTAGGTTGAATAAAAATGGTAAAATGTGGTGATCATTGTCTCGTTCCAGATCTTAGGGGTAAAGGTTTCAATTTTCCCTACTAGGTTTCATGCTAGCTGTGGGTTTGTCATACATGGGCTTTATTGTTTTGAGATATGTTCTTTCTATAGCCAGTTTTTTAGTTTTTTATTATAAATGGGTGCTGAATTTTATTGAATGTTTTATGAGATCCATTGTAAAGATTGTATAGTTTTTATTCCTGAGTCTGTTAATCATTGAAACATTTTTACCAATTTGAGTTTGAATAACAATCCTTGACCACCCAGAGAAATTCCACTTGATTATAGTGAGTAATACTTTCACTGTGTTTTTAAATTCAGTCGGCTGTTATTTTATTGAGGACTTTTGCATTTTTATTCTTCAGGGGTATTGGTCTGTAGTTTTGTTGTTGTTGTATGTTTGTCTGGTTTTAGTATCAGGATAATGTTGGCCTTGTAAAATGAGTTCAGAAGTATTTATTTCTCTTCAGCTTTTTGGAATAATTTGAGTAAAATTGGCAATAGGTATTTATTAAAAGCTTAATAAAATTCACCACTGAAGACATCAGGTTTTAACTTATCTTTGATAGGGGACATTGTTTTGCTGCTTTAATCTCATTACTCCTTATTTTTTGGGTTCAGGTTTTCTATCTCTGCATGGTTTAATCTTGGTAGGTTTCATAAGTATAAACATTTATTTATTTATCTTATGTTTTCTATTTATTGTTTTATAGTTGCATACAGTAGACTTATATGATTCTCCGAATATCTGTGGTATCAGTTACTGTATCTTCTTTTGTCTCTGATTTTACTTATTTTGTTATTTTCATTTATTTCTGGTCTACTTAAAGATTTGCCAAAGTTTTTTTTCTTCTTAAAAATCAACTATTTTTTTAATCTTTTGTAGTGTTTTTAATTCTCAATTTTATGTATTTGTGTTTAGGTCTTTATTATTTCTTCTAATAATTACGGGATTGGTTTCTTCTTGATTTCAAGTTATTTAAGGCACATGATATGTTTGTTTATTTGAAGTCTCTACTTTTTTGATATATGTGTTTGTTGCTATAAATTTTCCTCTTAGTACTGCTTTCTTTGTATCCCGTAAGTGTTGTTATGTTGTCTTTCCATTTTATTTGTTTAAATACATTTTCAGAATTTTATTTTTAATTTATTTATTGACAATTTATTGTCCAGAGACACGATGTTTAATTTCCATGTTTTTGTTTAGTGTCCATTATTACTCTTGTTATTGATTTCAAGTTTAAGTCCATTGTGCTCAAAAAATATATACTTCAAACAATTTTTTTTATATTTCTTAAGACTTGTCTTATAGCCTAATATATTTTGTTTTCTAGATAATGCTCTATGTTCTGATGAGAAAAAATGTGAATCCTGTTGCAGTCGGATGAAATGTTCTGTAATTGTCAGTTATTGTATTTTCTTCTACATTGTAGTTAAATATAATGCTTCTTTGTGAATCTTCTGTCCAGAAGATCAGTCCATTGCAACAAATGTGGTATTAAAGTCTCCTATTATTAATGTATTGCAGTCTATCTCTATCTTCAGATCAATTGATATTTGCTTTTTACACTTGGGTGCTCAAATATTGGTTTCATAGAGATTTGTAATTGTTATATTCTATTGCTTCATTGACCCCATTATCATCATATGAGTACCTTCTTTGCCTGTTCTTACAGTTTTTTAAAAAATGTGTTTAATTTGGCATAAGCATAGATACTCCAAGTTTTCTATTGTTTTCATTTGTATGGGATATCTTTTTTCATGTCTTTACATTCAATCTAAGATTGTCACTAGAGGTTAAGTGAGTTTCTTATTTGCAGAATATAGTTGTCTTGTGTTTTTGTTAAATATATTGAGCCACTCTGTCTTCTTTTTTATTCTTTTTATTTAAAAATTTCAACTTTTATTTTAGGTACAAGGGTACATATGCAGGTTTGTTGTATTAGAATATTGCATTATGCTGAGGTTTGGGATACAGATCTTGTCACCCAGGTAGTAAGCATACTGCCCAATAGTAATTTTTCAATCACTCTTCAGTAGTCTATAGTGCACATTGTTCCTATATCTATGCCCATGTGTGCTCAATGTTTCGTTCACACTTATAAGTGAGAACATGCAGTGTTTGATTTTCTCTTCTTACGTTGATTTACTTAAGATTATGGCTTTCAGCTCAATCCATGTTCATCCAAAGGATATGATTTTACTCTTTATGGTTGTGTAGTATTGTATGGTGCATATGTACCATATTATCTTTACCCAATTTACTATTGATAAGCATCTGTGTTTATTTCACTCCTTTGCTGTTGTAAATAGCACAGCAATTAATATACAAGAGAATGTGTCTTTTTGGTTGAATGATTTATTTTGCTTCGTGTATATACCTAGTAATGGGATTGCTGGGTCCAATTGTAGCTCCATTTTAAGGTCCTTGTGAAATATCTAGACTGCTTTCCACAGGGTCTGGACTAATTTACATCAGCAATAACAATGTATATGTGGTCCCTTTTCTCCACAGCCTTGCCAGCATGTGTTGAGTTTTTTAAACTTGTAAATAACAGTCATTCTGAGTGGTGTGAGATGGTATCTCATTATGGTTTGGATTTGCATTTCTCTAATAATTAGTAATATTGAGCATTTATTAATATGTTTTTTGGCCACTTGTACGTCTCCTTTCATGTCCTTTACCCGCTTTCAAATAGGATTGCTTGTTTTCTGCATGTGGGTTTATTTAAGTCTTCTATCGATTCTTGATATTGGGTCTTTCTCAGGTGCATGGCTTGGGAATATCTTCTACCATTCTGTAGGTTTTTTTCTCTGTTGATAGTTTATCTTGCTGTGCAAAAGATCTTTAGTTTAATTAGGTCCCACTTTTCTATTTTTGGTTTTTATCACAATTGCTCATGGGGACTCAGCAAAACATTTTTTGCTGAGACCAATGTCAAGAAGAGTATTTTCTAGGTTTTCTTTCAAAATTTTTGTAGTTTTAGAACTTATATTTAAAACCTTTATCAATTTAAGTTAATTTTTGTATATGGCGAAAAGTAGGGGCTGAGCTACAATCTTGTCCGTATAGGTAGACAAGCACAATTTACTGAATACAAGGTTATATTCCCATTGCTTGTTTTTGTCAGCCTTGTCAAAGATCAGATGGTCGTAGGTGTAATAATTTATTTCTGATACCTCTGTTCTATTCCATTGGTCTACATATCTTTTTTGTAACAACATAAAGCTGTTATTATTTTTTTTACTGTGGTTCTATACAATAGTTTGAATTTGAGTAATGTTATAATTATAGCTTGTTGTTTTTGCTGAGAATTGCTTTGGCTATTATGGCTCCTTTTTGTTGTTGTTCTACATAAGTTTTAGAAAAGTTTTTTTCTGATCTGGTGGAGAATTACATTGGTATATAGGAATAGCATCGAATCTGTAAATCGCTTTGGACAGTCTGGCCCATTTTTACAATATTGATTTTTCCATAAATACATGAACATGTATTTATTTTTCCATTTATTTGTGTCACCCATGGTTTCTTCCAGCAGTGTTTTGTAGTTTAATTTGTACAGATTTCTTATCTCCTTTGTTAGCTGTGCTACTAGCTATTTTATTTTAATTGTGGCTACTGTAAGTTGGATTGCTTTCTTAATTAATTATTTTATTATCTTGCCTGATTTCTCAGACTAGGACTTTCAGTCCTGTGTTGAATAAGAGTGGTAAGAGTGGGCATTCTTATCTTGTTCCAGTTTTCAAGGGAAATGGTTTGAGCTTTTATAAATTCAGTATGATGTTGGCTATGGATTTGTCATAGATAGGTCTTACTATTTTGACACATGTTACTATAATGCCTACTTGGTTGAGTGATTTTATCATGAAGAGATAATGAATTTTTCAATGGTTTTTCTCTGCATTTACTGTGATGATCATATGGTTATAAGTTTCAATTCTTTTTATAAGGCGAATCAAATTTATTGATTTTCATGTGTTAAATCAGTCTTATATTCCTGGAAAGAGCTCTACTTAATTATGGTGTATTAACGTTTGAGGTGCAGCTAGATTTGGTTTGCTGTTGTTATTTGGTTGAATATTCTTGTGTCTATGCTCCTAAGGGAATGTTGGCCTCTTTTTTTCTGTTTGTTTTTGTTTTTTTTTTTATTGTGTCTCTGTCAAATTTTGGTATCATGCTGATGCTGACTTCATAAAATCAGGTAAGGAGTTGCCCCTCTGTAACTCATTCTATGAAGTATTCAGTTTCAAATATCTTCAGTAGGATTGGTACTAGTTCATTAGAGTTAGTATCAGTTCTTTGTATGACTGGTAGAATTCAACTGTGAATTTATCCAGTCCAGAGCTTCTTTTACTGTTGGTTCTTTATTAATAATTCAATTTTAGAAATTAATATTGGTCTATTTAAGATTTCAATCTCTTCCTAACTCAATCTTGGGTCATTGTGGACTTCCAATAATTTATTTATTTCCTCTAGATTTTCTAATCGGTGTGCATAGAATTATTCATAGTAGTCTCTGTGGATCTTGTGTATTTCTGTGGGATTATTGCTTTGTCATTTCTGATTGCACTTATTTGGATGCTCTTTTATCAATATTTATTTTTTAAAGCATAAACTCTTGGTTTCATTGATGTTTTATAGGAATTTTGCCATCTCAATTTTATTAAATTCTTCTCAAATTTTAGTTTTTTTCTTTTTTTCTGCTAGCTTTGTGTTAATTTGTTCTGTTTTTTTCTAGTAACTGTAGGGGAAAGTTAGATTGTTAATTTGGGATGTTTCTAACGTCTTAATAAATGCATTTAGGGCTATAAACTTTCACCTTAACACTGTTTTGGCTTTATCTCAGAGATTTTGGTAGGTTGTTTTTTCTATTTTTATTAATTTTAAATAATTTCAAAAATTTCTGCCTTAATTTTACAGTTTATCCAGGAGTTATTTATGAGGAAGTTATTTAATTTCTATATATTTTCGTAGTTTTGAAAAATCATCTTGATATTGATTTCTATTTTTTTTTTGCACTGTGGTTCAAATGTATATAGGTATGTGTATTAGTCCCTTCTTACACTGCTAATAAAGACATATCCAGGACTGGGTAATTTATAAAGAAAAGAGGTTTAATTGAGTCACAGTTCAGCATGACTTGGGAGTCCTCAGGAAACATACAATCATGACAGTAGGGTAAGCAAACAAGTCTTTCTTCACATGATGGCAGCAAGGAGAAGAATGAGAGCTGAGCAAATGGGAAGCCCTTTATAAAACTGTCAAATCTCGTGAGAACTTACTATCACAAGGATAGAATGGGGGAAACCACCCCCATGATTCAATTGCTTCCTACCGGGTTCATCCCATCACACATAAGAATTATGAGAACTGCAATTCAAGATGAGACTTTGGTAGAAGCACAGCCAAAAACCATATCACTCCACCTCCAGCCCCTCCCAAATCTCATGTCATCACATTTCAAAACACAATCATGCCTTTCCAACAGTCCCACAAAATCTTAACTCATTCCAGCATTAACCCAAAAGTCCAAGTCCAAAGTCTCATCTGAGACAAAGCAAGTCCTTTCCATCTATGAGCCTGTAAAATCCAAAACAAGTTAGTTACTTTATAGATACAATGGAGGTACAGGCATTGGGTAAATACACCTGTTCCAAAAGGGAGAAATTGGCCAAAACGAAGGGGTTACAGGGCCCATGCAATCTGAAATCCAGCAGGGCAGTCAAATCTTAAAGCTCCAAAATAATTTCCTTCGACTCCATGTCTCACAATGAGTCACACTTATGCAAGGAGTGGGTTCCCACAGTCTTGGGCAACCCCACCCCTGTGGCTTTGCAGGGTACAGCCTCCCTCCCCACTGCTTTCACAGGCAGGCATTGAGTATCTGTGGCTTTTCCAGGCACACAGTGGAAGTTGTCAGTGTATCTACCATTCTTGGTCTGGAGAATGGTGACCCTCTCCTCACAGCTCCATTAATCAGTGCCCCAGTGGGGATTCAGCATGGGGTCTCCAAGTCTACATTTCTCTTCTGCACTGCCCTAGCCAAGATGCTCCATGAGGGCCCTTCACCCGCAGCAAACTTCTGCCTGGACAAGGAAGTTTATCTACTTTGTGATGGTAGGTGTCATTCTTTTTAATCAATGTTTAGTACTCCCTATAGAACCTCTTATAAGGCCTGTTTAATTAAAATGTATCACCTCAGCATTTTCTTGTCTGAGAATAATTTTATTTCTTTTTTCTTAATAATTTCAACTTTTATTTTAGATTCGGGGGTGCATGTACAGATTTGTGACATGAGCATATTGAATGATGCTTAGGTTTGAAATATGAATGATCCCATCATCCAGATAGCACAGGTCAGGTGCTTTGGCTCATGCCTGTAATTCCAGCACTTTGGGAGCCTGAGGCGGGTGGATCACATCAGGCCAAGAGTTCAAGACCAGCCTGGCCAACATGGCAAAACCCATCTCTACTAAAAATACAAAAATTAGCCGAGTGTGGTGGCACACATCTATAATCCCAGCTACTCAGGAGGCTGAGGCAAGAGACTTGCTTGAGCCCAGGAGGCAGAGGTTGGTTTCAGTGAGCCAAGATCATGCCACCGCACTCCAGCCTGGGTGACAGAGTGAGACTCTGTCTCAAAAAACAAAACAAAAACAGATAGCACAGTGCTCAACAGTTAATTTTCCAACCCTTGCCCTCCTCTTACCCTCCCCACCTCTATTAGTCCCCAGTGTCTATGGTTGCCATCTTTATGTCCATGGGTATTCACTTATAACTCCCACCTATAAGTGAGAATGTGTGGTATTTGGTTTTCTGCTGCTGCATTAATTTGATCAGGACTGTGGCCTAAGCTGTATCCATGTTTCTTCAAGGGATGTGCCTTTGTTCTTTTTATAACTGTGTGGTATTCCATGTTGCATATGTACCACATTTTTTTATCCAGTGCATGGTCGATGGGCATCTAGGTTGATTCCATGTCTTTGCTATTGTGACTAGTGCTGCAATGAACATACGAGTGCATGTGTCTTTATGGCAGAATGACTTACATTCCTTTGGGTACTTATGCAGTAATGGGATTGAGGTCAAGTTGTAGTACTGTTTTAAGTTCTTTGAGAAATCTCCAAACTGCTTTTCACAGTGGCTGAACTAATTTACATTCCCATCAACAATATATAAGCATTCCCTTTTCTCCATAGCCTCGCCAGCATCTGTTGTTTTGGGACTTTTTTTTTTTTTTTTTTTTTGAGCCGGAGTCTGGCTCTGTCGCCCAGGCTGGAGTGCAGTGGCGCGATCTCGGCTCACTGCAAGCTCCGCCTCCTGGGTTTGTGCCATTCTCCTGCCTCAGCCTCCCGAGTAGCTGGGACTACAGGCGCCCACCACCGCGCCCGGCTAATTTTTTGTATTTTTAGTACAGACGGGGTTTCACCGTGTTAGCCAGGATGGTCTCGATCTCCTGACCTCGTGATCCGCCCGCCTCGGCCTCCCAACGTGCTGGGATTACAGGCGTGAGCCACCACGCCCGGCTGGGACTTTTTAATAATAGGTATTTTGACTGATGTGAGATGGTGTCTCATTATGGTTTTGGTTCGCATTTCTCTGATTATTGATGTTCAGCATTTTTTCATGTTTGTTGGCCACTCATATGTTTTCTTTTGAGAAATGTTTGTGCATGTCCTTTGCCCACTCATTTTAATGGGGTTGTGTTTTGCTTGTTGAACTGTTTAAGTTTCTTATAGATATTAGACCTTTGTTGGATGCACAGTTTGTGAATATTTTCTCACACTCTGTAGATTGGTCTTTAATTGCTTCTGAGGACTTAGACCAAATTCTTTCCCAATGCTGATGCCTAATATCGTGTTTCCTAGGTTTTCTTACCATATTCTTGTAGTTTGAGGTCTTACATTTAAGTAAGTCTTTAATCCATCTTGAATTAATTTTTTTATATGGTGAAAGATAGGGGGGTCCCATTCCATTATTCTGCATATGGCTATCCAGGTATCCTAGAACAGAGCCCTCAGAAATAATGCCACATATCTACAACTATCTGAACTTTGACAAACCTGACAAAAACAAGCAATGGGGAAAGTATTCCCTATTTAATAAATGGTGCTGGGAAAACTGGCTAGCCATATGTAGAAAGCTGAAACTGGATCCCTTCCTTACACCTTATTCAAAAATTAATTCAAGATGGATTAAAGACATAAACGTCAGACCTAAAACCATAAAAACCCTAGAAGAAAACCTAGGCATTACCATTCAGGACATAGGCATGGGCAAGGACTTCATGTCTAAAACACCAAAAGCAATGGCAACAAAAGACAAAATTGACAAATGGGATCTAATTAAACTAAAGAGCTTCTGTGCAGCAAAAGAAACTACCATCAGAGTGAACAGGCAACCTACAGAATGGGAGAAAATTTTCACAACCTACTCATCTGACAAAGGGCTAATATCCAGAATCTACAATGAACTCAAACAAATTTACAAGAAAAAAACAAACAACCCCCATCAAAAAGTCGGTGAAGGACATGAACAGACACTTCTCAAAAGAAGACATTTATGCAGCCAAAAAACACATGAAAAAATGCTCACCATCACTGGCCATCAGAGAAATGCAAATCAAAACCACAATGAGATACCATCTCACACCAGTTAGAATGGCAATCATTAAAAAGTCAGGAAATAACAGGTGCTGGAGAGGATGTGGATAAATAGGAACACTTTTACACTGTTGGTGGGACTGTAAACTAGTTCAACCATGGTGGAAGACAGTGTGGCGATTCCTCAGGGATCTAGAACTAGAAATACCATTTGACCCAGCAATGCCATTACTGGGTATATACCCAAAGGATTATAAATCATGCTGCCATAAAGACACATGCACATGTATTTTTATTGCGGCACTATTCACAATAGCAAAGACTTGGAACCAACCCAAATGTCCAACAACGATAGACTGGATTAAGAAAATGTGGCACATATACACCATGGAATACTATGCAGCCATAAAAAATGATGAGTTCATGTCCTTTGTAGGGACATGGATGAAATAGGAAATCATCATTCTCAGTAAACTATCGCAAGGACAAAAAACCAAACACCGCATGTTCTCACTCACAGGTGGGAATTGAACAATGAGAACACATGGACACAGGAAGGGGAACATCACACTCTGGGGACTGCTGTGGGGTGGGGGGAGGGGGGAGGGATTGCATTAGGAGATGTACCTAATGCTAAATGACGAGTTAATGGGTGCAGCACACAAGCATGGCACATGTATACATATGTAACTAACCTGCACATTGTGCACATGTACCCTAAAACTTAAAGTATAATAATAATAAAATAAAATAAAAAGAAACAAACAAATGGACAAACATTCCATGCTCAAAAGTTGGAAGAATCAATATCATTACAGTTGCCACACTTCCCAAAGCAGTCTGCAGATTCGTTGGTATTCCTATCAAACTATCAACATCACTTTTCACATAACTAGAAAAAAACTATTCTAAAATTCATATGGAACCCAAAGAGAGCCTGAATAGCCAAAGCAATCTGAAGCAAAAAGAACAAAGCTAGAGGCGCCCTGTTACTCAACTTCAAACTTTAAGACTACAGTAACCAAAAGAGCATGGTACTAGTACAAAAAAAGGCACAGATACCAACTGAACATAATAGAGATCCCAGAAATAAAGCTGTGCACCTACAGCCATCTGATCTTCAACAATGTTGACAAAAGCGATGAGGAAAGATGCAATAAACGGTGCTAATTTTATTTCTTTCTTCAATTATTTCTCCAGGCTTTTCCATACATCCTCTGAAATCTAGGCACAGATTTCCAAACATAAATTCTTGACTTCTGTGCATCCACATGTCTAACGCCATGTGTATGCCCCCAAGTCTTGTGGCTTGCACCCTCTGAAGGTGGCCATCCTGGTGGAAGTAAAAGCAAACACATCCTTCTTCACATGGCAGAGCAAGGAGAAACAGGAGAGCACAGTGAAGGGAAAAACCCCTTATAAAACCATCAGATCTCTTGGGAACTTACTCACTATCATGAGAATAGCCTGGGGAAAACCACCCCCACGATTCAATTACTTCCAACTGGGTCCCTCCCACCACACATGGGGATTATTGGAACTACAATTCCAGAATAGATTTGGGTGGGGACACAGCCAAATCATATCAGTATTATTTCAACTTCTTAAAACTCTTGAGGCTTGCTTTATGACCTATCATATGGTTGATCTTAGAATATTTTTTTGTGCTGTGATAAGAATGTATATTTTGTCACTGTTTAGCGGAGTGTCTTGTAGATGTCTATGATGTTCAATTGGTCAGTGGTTGACTTTTAGTGCAGAGCTTCTTTCTTAGTTGTTTGTCTCAATAATCTGTCTAACACTGTAAGTAGGGTGTTAAGTCTCCTGCTATTACTCTGTGGCTGTCTAATTTTTCTGTAAGCCAAGAAGAACTGGTTTTATGAATCTGGGTGCTCAAGGTTAGGTGCATATATATTTAGGACAGTTAAGGCTCCTTGTTGGATTGTACCATTTAGCATTGTGTAATGCCCTCCATTGATCTCATTAATTTTTATTGGTTTAAAGTCTCTCTCATCTGATGTAAGAATAGCAATTCATGCTCTTTTTTTTCCGTTTGCATGGTAAATCTTACACCACTGTATTACTTCGAGTCTCTGGTTGTCATTTTATGTGACATGGGTCTCTTGAAGTCAATAAATGCTTAGGTCTTGTGTTTTTATCCTCCTAACACTTTTTTGTCTTTTAGATGGAGTATTTACTGTATTTATATTCAATGTTATCATGTATATTTGTACATTTGTTCCTGTCATTGTGTTATTAACTATTTTTTGTAGACTTCATTGTGCAGTTGCTTCATAGTGCTTGTGTAGTGCTTAAGTGTGCTTTTGTGATAGCAGGTGTAATTCTTATGAATTAATGTTTAGTATTCCTTACAGGACTTTTTTTTAAGGCTGGTTTAATTAAAATGTATCTCCTCAGCATTTGCTTGTCTGAGAATAATTTTATTTTTCCTTCATGTATAAAGCTTAATTTGTTAGAATATAAAGTTCTTGATTGGAATTTCTTTCTTTTATGATGCTGAAGATAGGAACCCAATTTTTTTCTGGCTTATAAGATTTTGCTGAGAGGTTTACTGCTATCCTGATGGGGTTCCTTCTGTAGGTCACCTGTCCCTTTTCTCTAGTTGCATTTAAGATATTTTCTCTCACATTAACCTTGGTGACTCTGATGACTATGTGCCTTGGAAATCATCATCTTTTGTAGTGTCTAGCTACTGTTCTGTGTATTTGTTGGATTTTAATGTAATTTTTAGAGAGATTAAGCATATTTTTGTAGGCTATATTCTCAAATGTGTTTTCCAAGTTGTTTAGTCATAGATAGTTCCAACTCATAGATTTGGTCTTTTTAAATAATCCCATAATTTTCAGAGGTTTGGGTTATTTCTCTTAATCTTATTTTATTTATTTTTTCTCACTGTGTTGATTGAAGACCTGGTCATCAAGCTTTGAGATTCAATAGTCAGTTTGGTCTGTTTTGTGGCTAATACTTCTAATGGTATTATGAAATTCTTGTAGTGAATTTTTCAGCTTTGATGTTCATTTTTGGTCTTTCTTAACATGGCTATTTTATCTTTCAGCTCCTGAATTGTTTCACTGCATTACTTGGCTTCCTTGAATTAAATTTTAACTACCTCCTGGGTCTCAATGAGCTTCTTTGCCATTCAGATTCTGAATTTCATGTCTGTCATTTCAGACTGGTAAAAAACCGTAGCCAGGGATCTAGTGGGCTTGTTGGAGGTAAGGGGACACTTTGGTAGAGTTCTTGAATAAATCCTTTCTTACTTAAGAGGGTTGGTATTCCTTTAACTGTCCTATAAATTGAGTATAGTCAGTTTGCTTTGTTTCTGGAAGATTTCAGAGGGTAAGACTCCGTAGTGAGTTTTTGTTTGTTGTTAAATTATTGCCCTTGGTTTTGCAATGAGCAGAATTAGTTGGTTTTTGGTGTCGTAGTTAGGTCTGCAATCCAGTAGATGACACTTGAGAACAATAGGTGGTAGATAGACTCTTAGCCTCGTGGCTCCTTTGTGTATCCTCATGTTTGCAACTATCTTCTTCAGTGTGGGGAGAGAGAGGTGACCCCCTCACCTGGTACATTCCTCAGCCTTGAGGGAGACACTTCCAATCACTGGCATTGTGCTCATAATTCTTGTTTTTGTTTTCTTTTTGTTGTTGTTTTTTTTTTGTTGTTGTTTTTGTTTTTCCAGACAGACTCTCACTTTGTCACACAGGCTGGAGTGCAGTGGTGCAATCTCGGCTCACTGCAACTTCTGCCTCCTGGGTTCAAGTAATTCTCTGCCTCAGCCTCTCGAGTAGCTGGGATTACAGGTGTCCGCCACCATGGCCCGCTAATTTTTGTATTTTTAGTAGAGACAGGGTTTCACCATATTGGCCAGGCTGGTCTTGAACTCCTGACCTTGTGATCAACCCGCCTCGGTCTCCCAAAGTGCTGGGATTACAGTGTGAGCCACTGTGCCTGACCTATTGTTTTTAGGTCTTTGGGGCTGTGGGACTTTTTGGGGGATAGGTCTGGCAAAGAGATAGGCCCTACGCTTACCTGACCAGCCTGGTGAAGGGAAGCATGTCTAGGTCATAATCAGCCTGAGAATCTGTGTGACTTCTCTCTTTCAGTTTTCAGAGAGTATGTACTCTTCCTTCATCAAGTGCCAAGCAATGATTTCAGTTTGGGACACAGAGTTTTTGGCCATAGTTCTGAAGCACTAAGACTTGCTTGTGGTTTCCTTCTCTGGACCCTCAGGGTTAAAGTCTGTTTGCACTGGGGAATCCAAAGGCCCTCCAGGCTGTGGGAATGCACTCAGCTGTAGCAAAGCACTTAGCCTGGGCAGTGGAGGCTGCACTGTGTATACACTTTAGTGGGGCAGCCAGGAAGGAGCCCTGGGAGGGGGTAGCGGGCAGAAAATCCTGCAGGAAAGACATGCCTTAGTTCTCCTGGGAAAGCAAGCCCTGCTTTCTCTTGGGTGGATAAGTGAAGCCAGAGCCTCCCATACGTTGATGGGAAGCCCTGGTGCATGGGCACTACTGCCTGGGCTCTGCTGGGGCTGACTCACACAAGGCTTCTTGCCTGCTGCAGCTTCATTTTCATCTAATCTCCAGGAAGATACTCTTGCTGGCTCATGGCTCTATGGGGATGTGGGGTTTCTTGCACCTTGAATCCCAGAGCTCCATGATGGAAATAAGTAGTCTCCTAGATCCTTCTCTTCCCCCTTCACTAGGTGCTGTTTAAAGCCAGGAACCAGCCCTAGTGTTCAGGCACCCCATGTAGGATTCTCGGCTTTCTCCCTCTTCAATCTTAGTATCTGCTCATTTTCTCCATCCATATTTGGCATTTTCTCTCTGAAGTTCTGTTCAAATTATGTTAAAGTAGTTGAAAGTATGATCTGTGGGAGGAGAACTTATTGATTCAATCCAGTTGGCTGCCTTCTAACTCTATGTTTTAGATAGATAAATTAGTCTATTTACATGCAATGTTATTATTAATTTGATTGATAGACAATGGATTACTACTGCCATTTTACAATTTGTTTTCTTGTTTTGTAAGTTCTGTCTTCCTTTCTTGTTTTTACTTAATTTATTTGTGGATAAGCTATTTTCTCTGGGAATAAGTTCACTTTTTTACTATTTTTGTGTTTTTAGTTTTTGCTGTGTCATTACCATTAGGCTTACAAAAATCAGTTATGACTTCAAGCTCAAAGTAAGCTCAAATATATACAAGTTATTTTAAACTGGTGAAAACTTAAATTTGGCCAGAAAGAAACAAACAATCAGATAAAAAACTAAAATAATTATACACTTCAACTCCACTTTTTCAACTTTTTTACTTTTTGATGTCTCTATTTATATCTTTTAATGTTGCCTATCTCTTAATAAATTCTTACAGCTATTATTTTGGATAGATTTGTCTTTAAGTTTATAATAAAGATATAAGTGGTGTACTCACCACAGTTAAAGAGTTAGCGTATTTTTAATTTTTGTGTGTATTTACCTTTACCAGCGAGTGAGTTTTATGCCTTCACATACATTATTTTTGCATGTTACCATCTCTTTCTTTAAGTTTAAAGAATGCCTTTAGCGTTGCTTTTGAGACAGATCTTGTGGTGATGAATTTTCTGTTTTTCATTGTTTGAAAAAGTATTTACCTCACCTTCATGTTTAAAGTATAGTTACGATGGGTAGAGTTTTCTTAATTGGAAATTATTTTCTTTCAGCACTTTGAACATGTTGTCCAACTTTCTCCTTGTTTGTAGTTTTCACTAAGTCTGCTGCCAGACTTATTAATGTTCCTTTATATGTCATTTGGTTATTTTTCTTTGCTGCTTTAGGACTCTTTTTTTGTCCTTGACCTTTGAGATGTTATTACATGCCTTGGGGTGGTTTTATATGGAATGAACCTGATTTGTGTTCTTTGGCTTTCTTGTACCTGTACATTCATATTCTTCTCTAAGTTTGAAAAGTTCTCTATGATTATTTCTTTGAATGAATTTTCTACCTCTATGTCTTCCTTTAAATCCTATTTAAGGCCACCAACTCTTTGATTTGCCGTTTTGAGAGTGTTTTCTAGATCTAGTAATTGTAGTTAATGTTTTTACTTTTGTTTCTTTTTCTCCTCTGACTGTTTCTTCAAATAGTCTGTCTTCAAACTCACTAACATTTTTTTCTGCTTGATTAATTCTGCTGTTGAGATACTCTGATGCATTTTTCAGTTCATCAAATGAGTTTTTATGTCCCGTATTTCTGTTTAAATTATTATTTTTATTTAAATCACTTTATTTCTCTGATAGATTTCTGAATTCCTTCTCTGTGTTATATTCATGTTTATTGAGCTTCCTCAAAACAAGTATTTTGATTTTTCTATCTAAGACACATATCTCCATCTCTCCAGGATTGCCCACTGATGCCTTATTTAGTCAATTTGGTGAAGCAATATTTTCCTGGATCCTCTTGATGTTTGTGGACAATCACTGACGTCTGGAAATTGAGGAATTAGGTGTTTATTTCAGTCTTCAAATTCTAGCTTTATTTGTACCCATCCTTCTTCAAGGAGCTTTCCAAGGAAAGTGAACTTTTAGTACTAAGCTTTTGGCCACTACAGCATTTTTTTTTTTTTTTAAGCACTAGAGGATGTCCTAAGCCCAGGTATGCTGCAACCCTTCCAGCCTCCTAGATGCCAAGTCCTGTTGGTCTTGAGAAAAATTAGGGAAAAAATTCCCTGGGTTCTGTCCTTGACTTTTTCCCTATATTTCCCCCAATAAAAGGAATCTTTCTCCATGTTGGGATTCCTGGAGTTGGAAGAGGGGTGACATCAGCACTCTCATAGTTGCTGCAACTGGCATAATGCTGGGTCATAACTAACACCCACTGCCTCTCAGACAAGTACAGTACCAAGGATGGCCCAACATCTATGGCTGCTACTGCCTAACTGCTGCTAATATTTATTCAAGGCTTGAGGATACTTTAGTCAGCAAGTCCAGGACTCAGGTCCATCCCGCCAGAGCAGCATATTTTCTTCTTGCCTGGGGTGGGTCTACAAGAGCTTTCCAGGAGTAACCTTGACAGCAACTGGAATTAGAGGCTTCAGGATACTTTCTGGTGCTTCATTTTACTGTGCCTGGGCTAGTATCCAGTTACAAAACAACATCCCATGTACTTTTTTCTCTTTTTGCCCTAAGTAGAAGGTGTTTCTTTCTATATGCTGCACTACCTGGAGTTGAAAGAGAAGTGACACAGGGACTCCTATGGGCACCACAGCTAGTATTGTGCTGAGTTGCACCCAAGCCCATGACCTAAAAACAGCACAGCTCTGGGAATCAACCAAGGACTGAAATTGCTTCTGCCTTACTGCCACTGAAATGTATTTGAAGCACAAGATTCCTTCAGTCAACCAGTGGTGAAGTGGGCTGGGACTCATGTTTTTTGCACTGAGGTGGCAGTTTCTCTTATGGCCAAGGCTTGTTTAAATGCTCCCTCTGTTTACCCCAGTGAAATTTTGCTCAGTGCTAAGTTACACTGTGACAGGGCGTAACTGAGTTCCAATGTAAAGTCCCACACTCACCTTATTCACCTTCCCCCAAGCTGGAATAAGACATTTCTTACTATTTTCTTCAGTGCATCCTTTTTGTTAGTTATGCTGTAATTAGGTACTATGATTTCTCACTGGATTTTTTAATTCTTAAGAAGACGTCTTCTTGCCCGGATAGTTGTTCAATTTGATGTTTCTGTGAGGGAGGTTGATGACTTATGGATGGTCTTATTTGGTTCTTTTGCTCCACCTCTACCCTATGAATCTGCTCTTAAAAAGATATTTTAAAAGTTGTTTTTTCTTACAGTTTGAGTAATCTGCCTAGAAACAAATGTTCTATGTCTTAGCAGAATAGTTTCCTGTGCTTCATGTGAACTTAATCATGCCCTTCATTATTCAAAAGAGCTAAGTATTCACTATTTTAATAGAGCTAATGTTTTTATTTTTGGTATGGTTTTTTTTTCAATTATATTACCACCTGTATTTAATTTTGAAATATGTTTTGTCACATCAATTGAATATATACTTAAATATTATTCCACAATATTCCATGATCAGCTTCAGGCAAATGTTCAAAACTTTTGACATTTTTTACTTATATTGATATTTTGACTTCCCAAAAATCAGCTCTTTAATGAAATCTTCATGACTTCAAATTGACTTTCAGGGTTCTCAGAAGGTCTTTGGAAAATCATAAAGTGTTTTATTTTCCTTGATATAAAGAAAAAGGTGTTAAAATAATTAAGTTCATTTGATATGTTTAATTTTATAAAGTGTTGCCCAATATGAATTGATGCTTAGCCTTCCATAGATTATACTTCCAGTTAAAATTGTATTAATAGAATATTTTTCAATGTTGCATAAAACATATAGAAATTTGTCAATGCCTTTGCTGTCCCTGTTACATCCTTGTACAATTTTTGTTATAATACCAGTTGTGTTTTTAAAGGTGGTATGTCACAGAAACAACCAAATTTCTTTCTAAATTGTGTTATTTTTATAACGAATCCTCATCAGATCTTTAATCACACCTGAGGTGGTTTGGCTCTGTGTCCCCTCCCAAATCTCAACTCAAATTGTAATGCCCACATTTTGAGGGAGGGACCTGGTTGGAGGTGATTGAATCATGGGGGTGGTTTTCCCCATGTTGTTTTCCTGAGAGTGAGGGAGTTCTCATGAGATCTGATGGTTTTAAAAGTGGCAGTTTCCCCTGCTTTCTTTCTCCTGCTGCCTTGTGAAAAAGGTGGTTGCTTCTTCTTCACCTTCTGCAGTAATTGTAATTTTCCTGAGGCCTCCCAAGCATTGCAGAACTCTGAGTCAATTAAGCCTCTTTTATTTATAAATCACCCAGTCTCAGGTAATATCTTAATAGCAGTGTGAAAACAGTCTAATACGGCACTCATTTTATTTTATCTACAGATAATTTTTGTTTTACTATGATGCTATCCTGAAAGTTCAATCAAGCTGCTACAGGCCAGATTGTTTGTCTCCAACAAAAATAAGTTGTCTCAGAATCCCACATAGAGGACTTTGCTAGTTACTCTGGAGAACAAGCTTCTGTTTGTCTTAAATAACTTTGAGACCATACAGCGAGAAAGTTAGTATATCCAGAATTCTAGTAAATAAGTTGATGGGTTTATGGAATTGCTAACCTAACATCAAGCAGAGCAAGAATTAACTGCATGGGACTGAATAAACTGATGAAGAACGATTATGGCTTTTGTTTAAAATTTTGCTAAAAGTTGATGTTTTTATTTGTATAAAAATGATGCCTTTCTACTTTCTCTTCAACTGTCTGTAACTCATTAGACTTCAGTAGATTATACTTTTGTAAAGAGAAATAAAATTTTTGACTTATTAAAAGGCCTATGTGATCAATTATCACTCTTTCTGCACTTATGTAATTAATTAATAATTAGGTAAAATCTAATGAGATCAAGCTTATTTTGTAAGTGAGAATGATATTATTGATTATGTTTTATTACATATGGAGTTGAATGTATGGACAAATTTTATATTTTAATAGAAAATACACACTTTTTTGTGTTATTCAATTCTATTCATGTTCATTGTTTTTGAGTTGTTTGGGACTTTTTTGTAAACAACCTACCTACAAATTAGATGGAAACTTGCATCTTGGACACTCTGTCAGTTCTTACTGAATTCTCAGTAATTTTAGTTTCTTTGAATGTCTGGATACAACTCTCCAAATCAACTTTTCTCCAAACCTCCTGACTTGGTGCCACTGGGTACTAAAATTTGACTTCCCAGATTCTTGTTGAAACTTTAGATTTTCTTGTAGCTTACCTTTCCCCAAGGATATAAAGGATCCCTGCAACTTGAATGTAAATTATGTGATATAAACTTCAAAGGACTGATAACTGTAGCAGACAATAAATAGACAACTTTCATGACAGGAGCTGCTGCTGTATGGACAACTCAGGAATTTAACTAACCTCCCATATATTCCGTGCTCTGTTCCAAGGTATAATCATGACTGGACAACGTTATGGAAACCTCTCTAATGTACATGCCATTGCCAAAAGCATTAAAACTGCAAACTATCTATCAGATTTCCACTACTGCCCTCACCTTACCATCTAAAGATGATTTAAGCCTAATGTCTAGAAATCTTGACTAGCTCCTCTTCATACTCTCCATACTCAAAAACTAGGTTTACAGTTTTAGCTCCAAAAAAATCCTTGAACTTATTTTGTGCTTTGATAAAATTCCCCTATGAAATAACTGATTGCTCACATCATAAAGGAAACATCCTCTACATCCCAACTTCAACAGATGGTTCAGCTTCTCCTTAATAAAGAAAAAGTAAACCAATAAGAAATTTATTTATACTGTTAGAAGAAAAAGATAATGTTTCTTTTTTTTAATAAAAAGAATAAATGTAAAAAACTCCTTCTTAGTCTTACATTAGTTAGGCTTCTGAGCACTCCTTTTATCTAAGACTCATCTTCAGCCACAACTTTGGAATGATTTTAACAATAATAATGATAATCAAATTTAGCAAGAACTCCCTTACATGGGACATACAATCAAATTTTTCTTAATAAAGTTTTATCTACTTATCTTCTTTATCTGCTAGTTCACAATAAGTCTCCAGCTATCTTTACTGTACTCAGAGTTGAGATTAATCTTTCTTTCTTACTGTAGTAGTATTAACCCCTATAGAAATTGTATTTAATAAAATTATATTTTAAGTTTTTAACAGGCATATGGTAATTATTTTTATTTTTAAGATCTAAAGACATACATAGATTGAAAGTAAAAAGATAAAAAACATATTCCATGGAAATAGCAACCAAAAGAAACTTGATGTGGCCATAGAAATATTAGAAAAAATATACCTTACTCTAAACAGGTTACAAGAAAACAAAAGACATTTTATATTGATAAAAAAAGAGTTGATTTACAAAAAGATATAACAATTATAAACATAGAAGCACTTAACACAAGAGCTCCTAAATATAGAAAGAAAATATTAAGATAATAGAAGAGAGAAATATATATCTTTATAATAATAGTTGGAGATTTCAACACCTTTCTCTCAATAATCAATAGAGCAACAGGAATGAAAATAAGAAAATAGATAACTCAAAGATTAGTATAGTAAAATTGAAATTAACAGACATATACAGAACACTTTACCCCATAAAAGCAGAATACTCATTTTTCACTATTCTCTTGTTTAGACCATATGTCAGTCTATCAAATAAGAATCAGTAAATGCAAAATATTTTAATAATAATAAGTATATTTTCAAAGATAGTGGAATTGCTGTCATTTCCTTGTGTGGGTATGGTTGCTCTTCATAAGATTACATAAATAATCTTATAATATTTTAAACTGAGAAAAACTTGACTTTGGTCACATACAAAACTCATTTTTTATTCTTAGCCACAATTTATAATTTTGCTGTCTTAATTTATGTATTTTACATGTGTGTTCCTCCACAGTTTGTTTTAGTTATAGACATTTTTGATCGTCTTGCCTTCTTACCTTTATACTAGAGACTTCAAAGATTTACATGCCATGATTGCAATAATAAAGTATAAATTTGATTGTAAATTTACATCTACCCATGAGTTTTATACTTTCATATATTTATATGATAGGGCTCATTATCCTTCCACTTTTTCTTAAAGCACTCCCTTGAACATTTTTTGTAAGTCTGGTCTAGTAATAATAAATTCATGCAGCTTTTCTTTGTCTGGAATGGCCTTTGTTTCTCCTCTACTATTTAGTGATAGCTTAGCTGAGTATAGTATTCTTGGGTTGTAGTTATTTTTTCTTTCAGAACTTTCAATATGTCATCCAATTCTCTCTTGATATGCAAGCTTTCTGCTGAGAAATCTGCTAATTGTCTGATGAGAATTCTTTTATATGTCACTTGCTGCTTTTAGAATTGTCTCTCTCTCTCTTTTACTTTTGACAATTGATTACAATATGCCTGAAGGAAGATATTTTTAGGTAGACTCTATTTGGGAATTGTTATGCCTTATGGGTCTGGATGCCCATATCTCTCCCCAAACTTGAAAAGTTTTCAGCTATTATTTTGTTAAATACACTTTCTGTGACTTAATCCATCTCTTCTCTCTCAGGAACTCCCATATTGAAAAGATTTGGTAACTTAATGGTGTCCCATAAGTCCTATTTTTTTGTCACATTTTTTTCTTTTTTTTTTCCAAACTGGCTTATTTCAATAGATACATCAAGCTCACATTTTTTTTTCTTCTACTTAATCTAGTCAGCTGTTGAAGCTCTCAATTGTATTTTTAATTTTATTCTTTAAACTATTCAGCTTCAAGATTTATGTTTTGTTATTTGGAATGATGTCTATCTCTTTGTGAAATTTTTTATTCAGATCATAAATTGATTTTCTGATTTAATTTGTTTATCTGTATCAATTTATATCACACTGAGTTTCCTTATCATCATTATGTTAAAATCCTCTTTAGGCAGTTCATATATTTTCTTTTCTTTGGGGTAACTTACTAGGGAACTCTTGTGTTCCATTGTGGTTTCACTTTTTTTTTTTGCGTTTTTGTGTATCTTGTATTCCTGTGTTGCTATCTGCCCATATTGTGGAACAGTCAGCTCTTTCAATGTTGTAGAATGGCTTTCATAGGTAAAACCTATCATCTGCAAATGAGTCCTAGGGTGTTTGTTGTGTCGGGTGCATTGACTTTGGTCCCTGCTGAATGCAATAGTTTAGTCTCTGTGAAGGCTATAGTGTAGTCTGTGTGAAGGTTTTTTGTTTGTTTGTTTTTGTTTTTTGCTGTGATGAATGTCAGCAATACATGTGAGTTCTTCTATGGCTTAGGCTTCAGGAGTTTGTGGAAGCAATGGTGCAGCGTAGGTTGTTAGAATTCTCAGTGGCAATAACTTCAGAGAGATTCCTGTTCTAGTTTTTCCTAAAGTTGAGAGACCTAATTGAGGAGATCTCTATTGGTGTTGGGTTTGACACAGGCCACTTGCTGCCACAGTAGCACTGTATTCTAGAGCCCAAATGCTATGGACCTGTAGTCATGGGCTTAATGTCCTGCTGAAATACTGTGTCACCTGTGACATATATGTATGTTTGCTCTCAGACATGGGTGGATGCAGCACTCACACTAATTTGAAATATGTGACTTTGGTGTACAGATCATTTCATCATCCAGGTACTAAGCATAGTATCCAATAGTTATTTTTCCTGATACTCTCCTTCCTCCCACCCTTCTCTTTCAAGTAGGCCCCAGTGTCTGCTGTTCCCCTCTTTGTGCCCATTTGTTCTCATTATTTAACTTCCACTTATAGGTAAGAACAAGTGGTGTTTTGTTTTCTGTTCCTGCATTAGTTTGCTAAGGATAATGGCCTCCAGCTCCCTCTTCATCCATGTTCCTGCAAACATGTTCCTGATCTCATTCTTTTTATGGCTGCATAGTATTCCATGGTGTATATGTAAAACATTTTCTTTATCTAGTCTACCATTGATGGGTGTTTAGGTTGATTCCACGTCTTTGCTATTGGGAATAGTGCTGCAATGAACATACACATGTGTGTGTGTTTATGGTAGAACAATTTATATTCCTTTGGGCATATACCCTGTAATTGGATTGCTGGGTTGAATGGTAGTTCTGTTTTTAGCTCTTTGAAGAATTGCCACACTGCTTTCCACAATAGTTGAACTAATTTACATTCCCACCAGCAGTGTATAAGGATTCCCTTTTCTCTGCAACCTCGCTAGCATCTGCTTTTTTTGACTTTTTAATATTAACCATTCTGACTGGTGTGAGATGGTATCATTTTGTGCATAAGTCAGCATATTTTTGATACATTAATTTGGAGACTAAAGATGAAATACAACCTCACTATTCTATTACAACAATTGTATATATTGATAATAAAACTTGAAAAAATTCTAAAATTATGCACAAATATTACTGCTAAATATAAATTAAAAATTAAAAAAAAAGAGAAATATTTGACTTTGAAGCACTCCCCAGTAGGTTGAACCTAGGAGGCAAATATGTAACTGGGACTGTAATAATCAGTGTCTGGGCACCACAACAGCATGGCTTCAGAGATAAAGGGGTTTTCCAGAGGTTAAGGCTCTAGGGAGCAGGGACTGCAAGTTCAGAGCCAACATGGCATAGTGGCAACTTGTGCACCAGAAGAAAAGGCTACTGAGTAGCGGTGACCTTGGACACTAAGGTAGTGAGACACAGCCATGGCCCAGGCTCTGTGAGGCCAAGTGCCATGGCAGTTATGACCCCTGAATGGTGGGGCACAGCCATGGCTTATACTGCAAGGGAAAGTGATTAGTGCAATGTTGGCTTTATTCACCAGAAAGGTGGTGTACCTCAGCAGCTCAGACTCCAGAAGTCTACTCCAGATCCAGGTAGGGAGAAGACTCTGCCTGTTTGGTGCAGAATGTGGGGTGATTCAGATCAACCAAGCCTATGTTTCCCAGAAGTCTGGGAATCATGCCAGCTCAAGCACCAGGGTATTGGCTTCTCTCTGAGACAAATCATTGTTTCTCTGCAGGTGGAGCACCAGGTTGGTTTAGGCACCAAGAGGTCATAACTTGTCTGCCAGCTCAGGCATGGCATGCTTGTGGTGATGTACTGGGATGGTTCATGCAGAGTGGGTACAAAATTGGTCCACTGGCTTGGGCCTAGCTTCCTAGGGGCAAAACACCATGCTGGTTTATGCACGAACGGGACACACATGTTCTGCTAGGTTGGGTGTGGATTCTCCGGGGGTGAGGCGTAAAGCTGATTCACACAGAAAGAGGTTTACTGGCTGCTCAGCTGACCTATGTGTGACTTGCCTAGAAGCAGTGCACTGGTCTATTTGATGTGTCAACAGGGCACACCACTGTTTCACTCATGAGTTTGGCTTCCCTGCTGGGAAGGACCACACATTCCTTGGGGGATAGGACATTGCATGTGCTTTGACACCAGGGTCATGGCTGTTTTGGTAAGCTTAAGCTTTGAATAGTCAGAGTTGGGGTGCTGCAGCCACTGTGGATGAGGAACATGAAGTGCCTCCTAGGCAGCTTTTCCCAAGGGTGTAGAGACCTTTAGTACATTGGCTGTGAAGTGGTGCATTACCATGTTTGACCATGTTGCAATGATTTGGAAGCCTCAGGGATAAAGTTTCAGTGGCTACTGGCACTTAAAGCAGAATGCACTCTAGCAGTTGGCTACATTTTAAAGATGGTTTTATGTAGTAATATCTTGGTTCATAGGGAGCACGATATTGGCTATAAATAGTGCAGCCATTTGAACTCCAGGAAGATCCTCAATCTGGCCTTAGGGCTTGTGAGAAATATACTATTCTTTTGTAGAAAAAAATATTGCATGTGTACACACCACTAATGGAAGCTTCTGATCTTATTCTTGCAAGGAAAAATTTATACTGTTTCCAAGCTGATCCCAACTGAAGAAATGATTTGGCAAAGCAGGATGTTGTGTTCCCCACTCTAAGTGGTCATCCTGAGGTTCCATGCTTTACAGGGTTTTGACACTCCCTCTCTATATGCCAAAGATCTCTTTTAGATCCTTTAGTCAAAATATAGCTGTGTATTTCTTGTTTTGGTCTTTTGTTGTAGGGGAAATAAATATTAGGCATGTCTAGTCAGCAATCTTGCTGACTTCACTGCCCACTTTTTTATGTCTTGCAATATATCTCTTTCTCCAGATCTTTAATATTTGCTTTACATATTTAGGTGTTTGATATGGTATGTATGTTTGTCTTCTATAATCTTATGTTGAAACGTGATTCCTAATGTTAGAGGTAGGAACTGGTGGGAGGTAATTGGATCATGAGAGAAGACCTCTCATGAATGGTTTAGCACCATCCCCTTGGTGAAAAGTGAGGTGTAACTCAATTCACACATAATCTTATTGTTTAAAATTCTGGGACCTCACTCTTCTTCCTCTCTTGCTCCCACTCTCACCATCTCAGCTCCTGCTCCCTATTTACCTTCCACCATGATTGTAAGCTTTTTGTGGGTCACATCAGAAATATATGATGGCACCACACTTCCTGAACAGCCTGCAAACTCCTTTTCATTATAAATTACCCATCCCCAGATATTTCTTTTAACAGTGTAAAAATGGCCTAATAATGTGTTTCACTCTCAAATGCATATATATTTATAATTGTGATATTGTCTAAATCAATTGACCACTTTTTCATTATACAATGGATTTATTTGCCTCTTTTTACAGTTTCTAATGTAAAAAATATATGTTGTCTTATTTAAGTATTCTTAGCCCTACTTTAACGGTTTCCATTTGCATAGAATATCTTTTATCACTTTATTTTTAGCCTGTGTGTATCTGCAAAAGTAAAGTTTATCTTGTATACAACATATAGTTGGACCCTTTTCTTTTTAACCCATTCTGGTATTTTATGTATTTAAATAGAAAGTTTAATTCATTAGCCTTCAAAGTAATTATTGATGCATAAGAACTTACTACTGATTTTTTATGCTAAATTTTGGTGTTGTTTAGTAGACATTTCCTTTCTTTCTATTTTTGTGTATTTCTTTTATATTTGACGGTTTTATGTAGTGGTCAGTATTAAAACATTTCTTCTTTTTGTTTTGTGAGCTTCCTATAGTTTTTCTTTGCTATTTGGATACCACAAGAATTACATAGAACATCTTATACTAACAATAGTATAATTCAAGCTGATAACAACTTTACTTTGAGTGCATACCCATCCATATTTATTTTTTGTGTCTGAATTTATATCATTTTTTGATATTAAACTTTTGTAAATTTATATTTGATCTGGTTGTTATTAATAATTTTTCTTCTAACCCTCATGATAGGAATAAAATTGCCTTATGTATCACAATTACAATTCTAAAGTTATATGAATATTGCTCTACATTACTCATATTATTGAGGTTTGCAGATTTCAGTTTAATTTTATGTGTCTGTAACTAGCAGACCTTCATTTCAGTTTAAAGAACACCTTTTAGAAAATCTTGTAATGCAGCCTTAGCGGTGATGGACTCCCTTAGTTTTTGTCTCAAAGAAAAATTATATTTCTCTTGGTGGAAGATAGATTTGCTGTGTAAAGAATTCTTCATTGGCAATTTTTTTTAGCATTTTGAATATGTTATCCAACTCTCTCCTGCTGTAAAGTGTCACTGTTGAGAAGTCCACTGACAGTTGTATTGGGACTTCTTTTTATGTGATGCATTTTTTGAGACAGAATCTTGCTCTGCTGCCCAGGCTAGAGTGCAGCGGTGCATTCAATGCTCACTGGAGCCGTTACCTCCCAGGGTCAAGTTACCTTCCCACTTCAGCCTCCCAAGTTTCTGGGATCACAGGCACGCATCACCATGTCCAGCTAATGTTTTGTTATTGTTGTTGTTGTTGTTGTTGTTATTGTTGTTTTGTAGAGAAGGGGTCTTCCTACTTTGCCAGGGCTGGTCTCAAATTTCTGGGCTCAACTGATCCACTTGCCTCAACCTCCCAAAGTGTTAGGATTTCAGGATTGAGCCACCTTGCCCAACCAATGGGATGCCTTTTTTTTTTATCCCTTCCTGCTCTCAGAACTTTTTCTTTCTCTTTGATTATTCTAATATTTGATTATGTGTCTTGGTGAATGTCTTTTTGGAGATACATTTGGTTGGAGATCTCTGATCTTCCTTTCCCTATATGTTGGCTTATTTTCTCACATTAGAAAATGTTATTCCATTATTTAAAATATATATTTTATGGCACATCTACTTATATTCCTTCTTGAGTGTCTGTTATGCATATGCTAGTTTCTTGATGCAGCTCCATAATTCCTGTAGGTTTTCTCCATTGTTTATTATTTCTACTTCTCTGATTGGATTATTTCAAATATTCTGTCTTCAATTTACTCTCAACTCAACTTCATCAAGTCAGCTGTTAGAGCTTTCTATTGTGTTTGTCACCTCAGTCATTATATTCTTCAGCTCTAGGTTTTCAATTGGGTATTTTTATGATACCCATTTCTATGTCAAACTACTCATGTTTGTATATTGCTTATTAAATTTTGTTTAATTTTTATTAATATGCTCTTGAAGTGTGTTGAGCTTGTAAATTAATGCATAATAATTGTACCTATATAAGGGACACTTGTGATATTTGATAAATGCATATGTTGTATAATAATTAAATAAAGGTAATTTAAATATCCATAAAGTAAAAAAATCCTTTGTGTTGGAAAGAGTTCAAATATTAATGTGTGGCTATTTTAAAATATACAATAAATTACTGTTAACAATACTCAGCCTAATATTGCTATTGGCCCTAGAACTTATTTTGTCTACCTAACTGTATTTTTACCCTGTAAATCAACCTATGTCCTTTTTTCAAGCCCCTATACGCTTAACCTCTGATAATCATTCTGCTTTCTGTCTCTATGAGATAAAGTGTTTTATCTTTTACATATGAGTACAGAACATGTGATATTTGTCTTTATCGGTCAAGTTTATTTTACTTAATATAATGTCTTCCAGGATAATTTATTTTGCTGCAAATAATGAGGTTTCTTTCATTTCTATTTTGGAATAATATTTCATTATATAGGTATACTACATTTTCTTTATCCATTTATCTTTTGATGAACACTTAACTTGATTCCATAACTTGATTATTGTGAACAGTTCTGTATTAAACATCAGAGTGCAGATAAATTTTCAACATACTGACTTCAGTTCTTTTGGGTATATACCCAGAATTGAAATTGCTAGCTCATATAAAAATTCTATTGTAAATTTTTTTAAGAATCTCCATAAGTGTTTCCATAATGGCTGCATATTAACTTACATTCACACCAATAGTGTATATGAGTTCATCTTTCTCCACATCCTCACGAGCAATTTTTTTTTCCTGTTTTATAACAGTCATTTTAAATGGAGTGGGATAATATCTCATTGTCATTTTGATTTACTCATCCTTGAGACTAGGGATGTTGAGCTTTTTTTATATAGCTGTTGGCAATTTGTATGTGTTATTTTTAGAAATGTTTCCACAGATCATTTGCCCATTTTTAATGACATGATTTGTTTCTTTGCTGTTGAGTTGTTTGGATTTTTTATTTATTCTGGTTATTAACTTGTTGTCCAGTAAATAGTTTGCAAATATTTTCTTCCATTCAGTACATTGCCCATCAGTATGTGAAGTGTTTTATTTTCTTAGTAGAAGTTTTTCACCATGATATATTATATTTGTCTATTGTTCTTTGGTTAGACTTTTGAGGTACAAACAACAACAGAAAAAATCGATACCAAGGCCAATGTCAGGAAGGTATCTCCACTTTTTTTTTAGTATTTTTATAGTTTCAGATTTTATAATTAAATCTTTATTTTTATTTGATTTTTGTATATGGTGGCAGATAAAGGTCATTTTATTTTTCTGCCTGCGGTAACCCAGTTTTCACAGCACCATTTATTGAAGAAATTGTTCTTATTGTTCTTTCCCAAAGTATGTTTTTGTGGCCTTTGTTACAAATTAGTTGGCTGTAAATGTATAGATTTGTTTATAGTTTTTCCTCTACTCTTTCTTATTGTTCTGTCTATTTTTATGCCAGTACCATACAATATATGTTTATTGTAGCATGAAAGTATATTTCAGGTCAAGTAGTGTGATACCCTTAGCTTTGTTAATTTTATTTAGGATTGCTTTGGCTATATGGGCCCATTTGTGGTTTTATACAAACTTTAGGATAGTTTTTTTCTAAATCTGTGAAGAATGTTATTGATATTTTGATTGGAATTTAATTGAATCTGTAGATTATCACCTTAAGTAATATTATTATTTTAACAATATGAATTCTACCATCCATGAACATGAAATATCTAATTTTGAGTCTTCTTTGGTTTTTTAAATTATTGCTTTATAGTATTCATTGTAGAAGTCTTTCACTTCTTTGATTATATTTATTCCTAGCTAATTTATATCATTTGTAACTACTATAAGTGAGATTGCTGTCTTGATTTCTTTTACACAATACTTATTGTTGGTATATAAATATACTACTGATATTTGCATGTTGATTTTGTATTCTATAACTTTGCTGAACATGGATAAGGTCTAATAGTTTCTTGATGGAGTTTTTGTTTTTTTCTAAATATAAGATCCTGTTGTATGTAACCAAAAACAATTGGACTTTCTTTTTTTTTTCAATTTTGATGTCCCTTTTCCCTTCTTGTTGACTAATTGTTCTGGCTAAGACTTTGAGTACTGTGTTGACTAAAAGCGATGATAGTGGGCATTCTTGTCTTTTTCCAGGTCTTAGAGAAAATTCTTTCAATTAGTTTACATTTAGTATAAAGTTAATGGTGTGTTTGGTTTTTATTGCTTTAAGTTTTTTTATACCCAGTTTGTTTACAGTTTTTATCATAAAGGGATGTTTAGTTGTACCAAATACTTACAGCATCTCTTGGAATAATTATAAGTCATTATACAAAAAAGATACTTGCACACACATGTTCATAGCAACACAATATGAAATTGCAGAAATGTAGAACCAACCCAAATGCCCATCAATCAACAAGTGGATAAAGAAACTGTGGTGTATATGTATATACAACAGAATACTACTCAGCCATGAAAAGGAATGAATTAATGGCATTTGCAGTAACCTGGAAGAGATTGGAGTCTATTATTCTAAGTAAAGTCACTCAGGAATGGTAAACCAAATATCATGCATTCTCACTCATAAGTGGAAACTAAGCTATGAGGATGCAAAAGCATAAGAATGATGTAATAGACTTTGGGGACTCAGGGGAAAGCATGGGAAGGGGGTGGGGGATGAAAGACTATAAATTGGGTGCAGTGTACACTGCTCGGGTGATGCGTAAACTAAATTCTCACAAATCACCACTAAAGAACTTACTCATGTGACCAAATACCACCTGTTCCCCAATAACCTACAGAAATAAAATACTTATTTTAAAGCTTAAATATAATAAAATAAAATTTTATTATTTTAATGTGATGTAGCACACTTTTTGATTTGCTTATGTTAAACTATCCTTTCATCTCTAAAATAAATCTCACTTTATCATGTTGAATGACATTTTAATATGTTTTGAATTCAGTTTGCCAGTATATTGTTAAAGATTTGTGCATGTATCTTTATTAAATATATTGACCTGTTGTTTTCTTTTCTATTATTTTGTTGTTGTTATATCCTTGTTTATTTTTAGTATCAGGATAATGTTACCATCACAGAAAGAGTCTGATAGTGCTTTTTTTCTCTTAAAATTTGTGGAATAGTTAGTGTAGTATTAGTATTAGTTCTTACTTAAATGGTTGGTAGAATTCAACTGTGAAAAATATTAGAATGTGGAGTTTTATTTGGTGTGAGACTTTTTTGAACTGCTCCAATCTTCTTCTTTACTATTAGTGTTGTCAGGATTTTTATTTCTTCTTGTTTGAATGTAGGTATGTTCTATCTGTCCAGAAATTAGTTCATTTTCTCCAGGTTTTACAATATGTTGGCGTATAGTTGTTCAGAATAGTTTTCAATAATCCTTTATAGTTTGGTGGTATCAGTTGTAATGACTCTTTGTGTCTCTGATTTTATTTTTTTAGTCTTCTCTTTTTCTTATTTTAAACTGAGAAATGTTTTCAATTAATTGAAAAACTAAGCCTTCACATATAACATATATGTGTGTGTGTGTGTGTGTATGTTAATTAAACACATATTTTATGACAACCATTAGTTTTAAGAACCAAATTGTCCTGTGTCCATAATCTTGGGAGTGTGGCAAGGAAGACAGGGTAATGAGCCCTCATCCTCAGATTTCTTGAAGAAGCCTGAGAAAAGAAAAGCAAATTTTGCCACATAATTTTCGGTTTTGAAAACTGTTTATTAGAAATATTTTGAAGGCAATGTTAAGTTGAATATACAGATCATAAAATGAACTCTCAATATTGTGCAAACTGAATAAATGAAATTTTTATCAAAAGCACTGCCTTGTAGTTATCACTACACCTTGTTTAACCACACTGATAAGCACTCTTGGAATATCACTGTTTAACTCTAACTTTGTGTAAATGAACAAACTTCAAAATCTTCTTACTGTGAATGTCAGTGATAGTGTTTAGAAACCATTATTTTCTATTTGCTTTGCACCTAAAAAATGCCTGCAACCAATAATAATAGAGTAGTGTACTAGTTGATAGATCTTATAGCAATATCACTTTGAACAACAAATATGTTTCTAATTGGCCTTACTTATTGCTTTAAATTCAAACTTTCCTTTTAGATTCAAGGAACACATGTTCAGGTTTGTCGTATGGGTATATTGCATAATACTGAGTCATGGGGTAGAATTGAACTCATCACCCAGGTAATGAGCATAGTACCATATAGGTAGTTTTTCAACCCTTGCCCCCTCTGTTGTTCCTCGATTTGGAAGTCCCCAGTTTCTATTGTTTCCATATTTACGTCCATGTTAACCAACTCTTTAAGACCTACTTGTAAGTGAGAACATGTAAGATTTGCTTTTCTGTTTCTGTGATAATTCTGTTAGGATAATGGACTCTAACTGCATTCATATTGCTGCAAAGGATATAATTTTATTCTTTTTTATGGATGCCTAGTATTGCATGCTGTAAATGTGCCAACCCTAAATACTCTGACAAAAGGCTCCTAGATTTAGGAGATGACTTCAGTGTAGTTTCCAGGATAAATAAAATCAATACACAGAAATCAGGAACATTTCTATACATGAATAACACTCAAGCTGAGAGCCAAACAAGAATGCAATGACAGTTACAAAAGCCACACACACACACACACACACACACACACAAAAAAAAAAAAAAAAAAACAGAAATAAAGACAGATAACCAAGGAGGTGAAAGATTTCTATGGGAAGAACTATAAAACTGTGGGTAGCACAAACAAATGGAAAAACATTTTATGCTCATGGACTAAAAGAATCAATATTGTTAAAATGTTTATACTATCAAAGCAACCTACAGATTGAATGTTATTCTTATCAAACTAGCAATGCCATGTTTCACAAAAATAGAAAAAATATATTATTATAAAATGCAAGTGGAACCAAAAATAAAAAGAGTGTGAATAGCAAAAGCAACCCTAAGCTGAAAGAACAGAGCCAGAGGCATCACATTAACCAACTCTAAACTATACCATAAAGAGATAGTAACCAAAACAGCATGGTACTGATACAAAATCAGACACATAGACCAATGGAACACAATACAGAACCTAGAAATAAAGCTGCATACTTATAATCAACTGATATTTAACAAAGCTGACAAAAATAAGCAATGAGGAAAGAGAACTCCTTATTCAATAAATGATGTGAGGATAACTGAAAAAACATACCCAGAAGAATGAAACTGGACTTCTACCTATCATCATATACAAAAATTAACTCACCATGAATTAAATAGTTAAATGTAAGATCTAAACCTATAACAATCCTAAAAGAAAATTTAAAACACACCCTTCTCTGTGTCTGCCTTGGCAAGGAATTTATGACTAAGTCCTAAAAGGCAAAATACAACAATAACAAAAAGTGACAAGTAGTAACTAAAACTGAAGAGCTTCTGCACAGCAAAATAAATTATCAACAGATTAAACAGACAACCTACAGAATAGGAGAAAATATTGTCAATCTATGTATTTAACAAAGGTCTTATATTCAGAATCTATAAGAAACTTAAACAAATCAACAAGATAAGAAAAACAAATAACTCCGTTAAGAAGTGGGCAAAAGACTTGAAAACATACTTCTATTTGTTCAACTATCTAAGAGTTCATCAATCTTGTTTGTCTTTTCAACACACAAAATTCAATGTTTGTATGTTTTGTAGCCTTTTAAATCTCAATTTTAGTTATTTCTACACTGATTTTTATTATATTGTTTCTTCTACTAATTTGGGAATTGGTTTGTTGTTACTTCCTTATTTTCTTTAGGTGCATTTTTAGGTTGTTCATTAAAGTCTTTCTACTTCTTGTTTTTATTTTCATTTGTTTCAATTTTTTTGTTCTCTCTAATTGCTTCATTGATCTATTGGTTTTTCAGGAGCACAGGGTTCAATGTTGAATTATTTTTATAGTCTCCAAAGTTTCTCATATTTTTTATTTGTATTTTTCCATTTGTATATTTGATTTTGTTCCACTGCAGCTAGAAAATATACAGTTATAATTTATTCTCTTCACTTTCAGTCTATATGTTTCTTTATAAGGAAAGTGAGTTTCCTGTAGAAATTATAGAGTTATAGACTTGTTTTTGTTTGTTTCATCTATTCAGTCACCCTATGACTTTTGATTTCAAATTTTAGTTTATTTACACTCAAGGTTATTACTCATAGGCAAGAACTTGCTACTGCCATTTGTCACTTCTTTATTGTTGCTCTGTAAGTACTCTCTTCCTTTCTTTCTTATTGACTTCCTTGATGGTTACTTTCCCCAGTAGTATGTTTTAAGTCGGTGCTTTTTTCTTTACATGTTATAAGTTATTGCTTGTAGTTAAATGGGGGACTTAACAAAAACATCTTAGAGTTAAATTAAGTTGTTTTAAACTGATGACAAATTAACCTTGATCACAATAAAAAACTTTAAATTTTATGTACTTTATTCCCATTTTCCTCAACAGTTTGACTTTTTGTTTTCTTAATTTACATCTTTTTATAGTATCTGTCTCGAAATACTGTAGCTATTATTATATTTTCTAGTTTTTTCTTTTAGTTTTAATACTAGAGATATGACTAGTTTACAAACCACAATTACAGTATCGAGCTATTCTGGATTTTTCTTATACTTACTTTTATTAGTGAGTTTTATACCTTCAGATGTTTCTTTGTTGCTCATTATCATTATTTGAGATTAAGGATGTTACTTCTGAATTATTTAAGATAGATCAGGTGGTGACAAATTTCTTTAGCTTTTACTTGGCTGGGAAAATCTTTACTTCTTTTTCATGTTTAAAGAATAGCTTCACTGAACACAGTATTTTTGATTGGCAATTACTTTTCTTTCAGCATTTTGCATATGTCCCTTCCACTTTCTCATGGCTTGTTTGGTTTCTGCTAACAAGACTGTTGCCATATGAATTGGACCTCCTTTCTGTGTTATGTGCTTTTTTACTCTTTCTGTTTTTAGGATTCTCTCTTTGTCCTTGGCCTTTGAGACTTTGATTATGATATGCCTTGGGGTAGTCTTTTTTTTTTTTTTCCAGAGTCTCACTCTGTCGCCCAAGCTGGAGTGCAGTGGTGCCATCTCAGCTTACTGCAACCTCCGCCCCCTGGGTTCAAGCGATTCTCCTGCCTCAGCCTCCCAAGTAGCTAGGATTACAGGTGAGTGCCACCACACACGGCCAATTTTTTTTGTGTTTTTAGTAGAGAAGGGTTTTCACCATGTTAGTCGGGATGGTCTCAATCTCCTGACCTCATGATCTGCTTGTCTCGGCCCCCCAAAGTTCTGGGATTATGGGCATGAGCCACCATGCCCAGCTGGGGTAGTGTTATTTAGCTTCAATATATTTGGTAATATTTGACCTTGTTGTAACTAGACATTGATATATTTCTGTATGTTCAAAATGCTTTATATTTTATTTGAATAAGGTTTGTACAACTTGCTCTTTCTTAAGTACATCTTGAAGGCAAATAAGTCTTAGATTTGCTCTTTTGATGTTATTTTGTAGATGTCTTAAACATTATTTCTCTTCACTCTTCATTTTTCTTTTTCTGCTCTTTCTTTTGCTTGATCAATTCTCCTGTTGGTACCCTCTACTGCATTTTTTTTTTAGTTCACTTATTTTATTTGGTAGCTCCAGGCTTTCTTTTTAATTTTTTATTATTTCTACCCTTTTTAAAGTTTCTCTGGTATTTTTATTAGTTGCTTTTCTGTTTTCCTTTGATTTTTCTGCGTTTTCTCAAAACTGCTATTTTGAATTATTGATCTGAGAGCACACGCGTTGCTGTCTCATTATGGTCGGCCACTCCCTCCTTCTTTTGTCCATTTGTAGAGGTCATAGTTTTCCATTTGCTCTTGTTATGGATATGTGTCTGTTTTCACATTGAAGGGTTTAGTTGTTTATTCTAATGTTTGCTATCTGTGTTACTTATTCTGTCTAGAAGTTTTGTGCAGAATGACTGAGTTCCTTTATTGTGATACTGCTCCCTCTTTTTAAGCACTAGATGTCACTCTAAGCCCTGGTTTGCTGTGGCATTCACAAACTTTTCAAGAGCTGCCTATTCCAGATGTAGAGGTCCTAATGGGGATATCCTTGCTGTGTGGAAAGGCTGGCTAGATGTTTGTGCCTAGAGGACCTATGAAGCATGCTTCTTACAGTGTGGTGCTGCTGAATAGCTTCTCTAATAAGGAGTCTCCTCTGACTGTGATAAAAAGCAGCCACCACATTTCACAAGCTTGGTGTGGGCAGCCCTACCTTCACACATGCCTCAGGATTTTCACCCTACATGCACTTACTCTGCTTCCTATGGATTTAGGCAAGAACAATTTTCCTACAAAGAAACCAAAGTTGGTGGGGAAGCTGGCTGTCTGCCCTGATCCCAGTTTTTTGCTGTAGAATCATGAGTCTGGGGGGATATTTCCACATGGCATGTGGGGAAGCTTGATGGGAGAGGTGTTGCAATTATAGAAGTTCATTTCTCTGATTGCGTGCTTGTGGTTTTTTACTCCTCTTTGGTTCCCGGGATTGTGACAGCCTTGATTTTGAGTTCTGGGATATTCCTAGTGATAATCTTGGCACTGGATAATTGTTTTTGGTATTATATAAAAGATTAAAGACAAATTGTTTCTACTTCACCATATTGTTGAAGCTTTGTTTATTTCCTTTGTAGATTTTATGATTTTCTATTTCTTTGTAACCATTGTTTTCTTTTGATGGTATTTGTGCATTTGCAAAGACAAACTCTTTTTCCAGTTCGCACAGGTTTTCTTTGGCAAGGGTAAACCTTCACTATTTAGTCTATCCTATAATTCTGGGTAGGGTAGCTTGTATTAACCTTGGGCTGGAGGAGCTTGCTTTCAGATTCTCTAGATGCCTGGGATTCTACCTTTACTCGAAATTTGAGGGGAGCAGTTGGCTAAGTTCTGCCAGATGTCAAGGTTACTGGTTTAGCTCTGTAATCAAGCTGACCTGATACTGGAAACTACAATTGCCTCTGACTCATATGGGCCATAGGGTGTATTCCCTGGTCAGAAAGTATCATTGTTTAAATTTAGCAGTTTGAGACAGTTGAAGAAGGATCCCAGAGTAAAGTGGAGTAAAACGAATAAAACCCACTTCCATGTTCAGCAAGAATGCATATTTAAGATTTGCTTTACCTAATTCATGCGGGGCTTAAAGCCTAGATGATGGGTTGATAGACTCAGCAAACCATGATGGCACATGCATACCTATGTAACAAGCCTGCACGTTCAGCACATGTATCCCAGAACTTAAAGTAAAATAAAATTTAAAAAATAAAAAATTTGCCTTTCTTCCTGGGTGGGGTCTGAAGGTGGGCTTTGGGGCCCCGTGGAGTGCTGATTTAGCTTCTGTTTGTGGCAGAATTAGTGGCAGATATTTAGCAAAATTCACCCAGATGATTATCTCTCTTGGCAGGGCCTAGGAATGGCAATTTATATACTGGGCTTGGAAGAATCTGTGCCTGTCTTCTTGCAAAAATTAGCTGTGTGTGTTGTCTCCCTGTATATGTGGGGTATGGTGTGGGCTTTGAGGCAGCAAGGAGTGTTGTTTAAGCTTCTGGATATGACATAACTAGTGCCCACTTTTTCTCAACATTTAATGTTGGTTTTTTTTTTCTCCTGGTGTGGAGTCCTAGGGTAGGGTCAGAGGCTTGGCCTGCAGGCTGGCCTTTAGTTGTTAGGCTATTAATTACTGCCTCAATTTCAGAACTTATTTTTGGTCCATTCCGGGATTCATCTTCTTCCTGGTTTAGTCTTCAGAGGGTGTGTGTGTCCAGGAATTTATCCATTTCTGTTAGATTTTCTAGTTTATTTGCATAGAGGTGTTTAAAGTATTCTTTGATGGTAGTTTGTATTTCTATGGGATCAGTGGTGATATCCCCATTAACATTTTCTATTGTGTCTATTTGATTCTTTTATTTTTTCTTCTTTATTAGTCTGGCCAGTGATCTACGTATTTTGTTGATCTTTTCAAAAAACCAGCCCCTGGATTCATTTATTTTTTTGAAGAGTTTTCATGTCTCTATCCCCTTCAGTTCTGCTCTGATCTTACTTATTTCTTGTCTTCTGCTAGCTTTTGAATTTGTTTGCTCTTGCTTCTCTAGGTCTTTTAATTGTGATGTTAGGGTGTCAATTTTAGATCTTTCCTGCTTTCTCTTGTGGGCATTTTGTGCTATAAATTTCCCTCTAAAAGCCACTTTACCTGTGTCCCAGCAATTTTGGTACATTGTATCTTTGTTCTCATTGGTTTCAAAAAACTTATTTATTTCTGCCTTAATTTCGTTATTTACCCAGTAGTCATTCAGGAGCAGGTTGTTCAGTTTCCACGTAGTTGTGCAGTTTTGAGTGAGTTTCTTAATTCTGAGTCCTAATTTGATTGCACTGTGGTCTGAGAACCCGTTTATTATGATTTCCATTATTTTGCATTTGCTGAGGAGTGCTTTACTTCCAATTATGTGGTCAATTTAAGGATAAGTGCAACGTGTTTCTGAGAAGAATGTATATTCTGTTGATTTTGGGTGGAGTGTTCTGTAGATGTCTTTTAGGTCCTCTTGGTCCAGAGCTGAGTTCAATTCCTGAATATCCTTGTTAATTTTCTGGCTCATTGATCTGTCTAATATTGACAATGGGGTGTTACAGTCGCTCACTGTTATTGTGTAGGAGTCTAAGTCTCATTGTAAGTCTCTAAGGACTTCCTCTGTGAATGCGGGTACTCTTGTATTGGGTACATATATATTTAAGATAGTTACTCTTGTTGCATTGATCTCTTTACCATTATGTAATGCCCTTCTGTGTCTTTTATGATCTTTGTTGGTTAAAAGTCTATTTTACCAGAGACTAGAATTGCAACCCCTGCTTATTTTTCTTTCCATTTGCTTTTATAAATATTCCTCCATCCCTTTATTTTGAGCCTATGTGTGTCTTTTCCCATGCGATAGGTCTCCTGAACACAGCATACTGATGGGTCTTGACTCTATCATCTAATTTGCCAGGCTGTTAATTTTAATTGGTGGCGTTTAACCCATTTATATTTAAGGTTAATATTGTTATGTGTGAATTTGATCCTGTCATTATGATGCTAGCTGCTTATTACCCACCTTCTGAAGCCCACTTCCATCAATTTATCAAACTCATTCTCCATCCAGTTGAGCTCCTTTGCTGGCAAGGAGTTGTGACCCTTTGGAGGAGAAGAGGTGTTCTGGTTTTTGGAATTTTCAGCCTTTTTGCACTGGTTTTTCCTCATCTTCATGGATTTATCTACCTTTGGTCTTTAATGTTGGTTACCTTCATGTGGGGTTTCTATGTGGACGTCCTTTTGTTGATGTTGATGCTATTCCTTTCTGAATGTTAGTTCTCCTTCTAACCATCAGGCCTGTCTGCTGCAAGTCTGCTGGAGTTTGCTTGAAGTCCACTCCAGACCCAGACCCTGTTTGCCTAGGTATCACTGGTGGAGGCTGCAGAACAGCAAAGATTGCTGCCTGTTCCTTCCTCTGTAAACTTCATCCCAGAGGGTCACCTGTCAGATGCCAGCCAGAGCGTTCCTGTATAAGTTGTCTGTCTACCCCTGATAGGAAATGTCTCCCAGTCAAGAGACATGGGGGTGTAGGACCCACTTGAGGGGGCAGTGTGTCCCTTAGCAGAGCTCGAGCACTGTGCTGGGAGATCTGTTGCTCTCTTCAGAGCCAACAGGTAGGAACGCTTAAGTCTGCCAAAGCTGTGCCCACAGCCTCTCCTTCCCCCAGGTTCTATGTCCCAGAGATGGGAATATTATCTATAAGTCCCTGACTAAGGCCGCCTTTCTTTCAGTGATGCCTTGCCCAGAGAGGAGAAATCTAGACACGCAGTCTGGCTACAGTGGCTTTGCCAAGCAGCAGTGGGCTCTGCCTAGTTCAAACTTCCTGGTGCCTTTGTTTACACTGTGAAGGAGAAACCGCCTACTCAAGCCTCTGTAATGGTGGATGCCCTTCCCCCCACCAAGCTCAAGTGTCCCAGGTGGACTTCAGACTGCTGTGCTGGAAGTGAGAATTTTGAGCCAGTGGATCTTAGCGTGCTGGGTTCCATGGGGGTGGGATTTGCTGAGCTAGATGACTTGGCCCCCTGACTTCAGCCCCCTTTTTAGGGGAGTGAACAGTTCTGTCTCACTGGCATTCCAGGCACCACTGGGGTATGCAAAATAATCCTGCAGCTAGCTCAGTGCCTGCCCTAATGGCTACCCACTTTTGTGCTTGAAACTCAGGGCTCTGGTAGTATAGGCACCAGAGGGAATCTCCTGGTCTGTGGGTTGTGAAGACCATGGGAAAAGCATACACCATTCCTCATGGCATAGTTCCTCATAGCTTCCTTGGCTAGGGAAGGGAGTTCACCAACTCTTGCACTTCCTGGGTGAGGGGGTGCCCCACCCTGCTTTGGCTTGCCCTCCATGGGCGGAATCCACTGTCTACCCAGTCTCAACAAGATTAGCCAGATACCTCAGTTGGAAATCCAGAAATCACCCACCTTCTGCATTGATCTCACTGGGAGTTGCAGATGGGAGCTTTTCTTATTCAGCCATCTTGACAGCCACCATGGTTGTTGTTGTTGTTGTTGTTTTTGTTTTTCTAATTCATTGTGTCATTCTCTGCCATTTGTTGGTGTATTTAGATTATTTATGGTTAATTATTAATATGTTAGAGCTTAAGTCCAACATTGTATTAATTGTATTTGCTTTTTATGTTTTTCATTATTCAATTTAAGTTTCTTACTAGATTTTTAACACTTTTTAAGATTCTGTCTTTATTCGCTTGTAGTTTTTAGAGGTATCTCTTTGTATATTTTCTTAGTTATTGCTTTGATTATTACTATGTATTTGTGAAATTACAGTCCACCAGTGTTGATATATTATATACTGAGTACCATCTTGAGTATCAGATATTATTATATTTTCATCCAATTACCAATGTGATATACAAATCTCATGCAAAATTAGAATAGTCTACTGTATGCCATATTTTTTTCTGTTATTATGCTTTCTGTTTATCGTCATTTACAAGGTTTCTTCAGCCATTTCTAGAGAACAAATTTGCTATCAACAAATTGTTTTATCTTTATGAAATAAAGAAAACAGGCAGTTCCAAGATGGCCAAATAGGAACGGCTCCAATCTACAGCTCCCACCGTGAGCAATGCAGAAGACAGGTGATTTCTGCATTTCCAACTGAGGTACTGGGTTCATCTCACTGGGGCATGTCAGACAGTGGGTGCAGGACAGTTGCTGCAGCCCACGGAGTGAGAGCCAAAGCAGGGTGAGACATCACCTTACCCAGAAAGTGCAAGGGATCAGGGAATTCCCTTTCCTAGCCAAGGGAAGCCATGACAGACAGCACCCGGAAAATTGGGTCACTCCCACCCTAATACTGTGCTTTTACAAGGGTCTCAGCAAATGGCACACCAGGAGACCATATCCTGTGCCTGGCTCAGAGGGTCCCATGCCCACAGAGCCTGCTATCACCAGCAGTCTGAGATCAAACTGCAAGGTGGGCAGCAAGGCTGGGGGAGGGGCGTCCACCATTGCTGAGGCTAAAGTAGGTAAACAAAGTGGCCCAGAAGCTCCAACTGGGTGGAGCCCACCGCAGCTCAAGGAGGCCTGCCTGCAACTGTAGACAACACCTCTGGGGGCAGGGCATAGACAAACAAAAGGCAGCAGAAACCTCTGCAGATTTAAATGTCCCTGTCTGACAGCTTTGAAGAGAGTAGTGGTTCTCCCAGCATGGAGTTTGAGATCTGAGAATGGACAGACTGCCTCCTCAAGTGGGTCCTTCATCCCTGAGTAGCCTAACTGGGAGGCACCCCCCCCCCCCAGTAGAGGCAGACTGACACCTCACATGGCTGGGTACCCCTCTGAGACAAAGCTTCCACAAGAATGATCAGGCAGCAACATTTGCTGTTCAGCAATATTCGCTGTTCGGAAGCCTCTGCTGCTGATACCCAGGCAAACAGCGTCTGGAGTGGAACTCCAGCAAACTCCAACAGAACTGCATCTGAGGGTCCTGACTGTTAGAAGGAAAGCTAACAAACAGAAAGGACATCCACACCAAAACCCCATCTGTACGTCATGATCATCAAACACCCAAGGAAGATAAAACCACAAAGATGGGGAGAAACCAGAGCAGAAAAGCTGAAAATTATAAAAATGGGAGTGCCCCTTCTCCTCCACAGGAATGCAGATCCTCGCCAGCAATGAAACAAAGCTCGATGGAGAATGACCTTGACAAGTTGAGAGAAGAAGGCTTCAGATGGTCAAACTTCTCCAAGCTAAAGGAGGATGTTCAAACCCATCACAAAGAAGCTAAAAACCTTGAAAAAACATTAGACGAATGACTAACTAGAATAATCAGCATAGAGAAGTCCTTAAATGACCTGACAGAGCTGAAAAACATGACATGAGAACTACGTGATGCATGCACAAGCTTCAGTGGCCGATTTGATCAACTGGACGAAAGGGTATCAGTGACTGAAGATCAAATGAATGAAATGAAGCGAGAAGAGAAGTTTAGAGAAAAAAGAGTAAAAAGAAATGAACAAAGCCTTCAAGAAATATGGGACTATGTGAAAAGACCAACAAAGATCAAAAGAGACAGAGAAGGCCATTACAGAATGGTAAAGGGATCAATTCAACAAGAAGAGCTAACTATTCTAAATATATATGCACCTAAGACAGGAGCACCAAGATTCATAAAGCAAGTCCTTAGTGACTTACAAAGAGACATAGACTCCCACACAATAATAATGGGAGGCTTTAACACACTTCTGTCAACATTAGACAGATCAACGAGACAGAAAATTAACAAGGATACCCAGGAATTGAACACAGCTCTGCACCAAGCAGACCTAATAGACATCTACAGAACTCTCCACCCCAAATCAACAGAATAAACATTGTTTTCAGCACCACAGCACACCTATTCCTAAATTGACCACATAGTTGGAAGTAAAGCACTCCTCAGCAAATGTAAAAGAACAGAAAGTATAACAAACTGTCTCTCAGACCACAGTGCAATCAAACTAGAACTCAGGATTAAGAAACTCACTCAAAACCGCTCAGCTACATGGAAACTGAACAACATGCTCCTGAATGACTACTGGGTACATAACGAAATGAAGGCAGAAATAAAGATGTTCTTTGAAACGAATGAGAAAAAAGACAAAACATACCAGAATCTCTGGGACACATTTAAAGCAGTGTGTAGACGGAAACTTATAGCATTAAATGCCCACAAGAGAAAGCAGGAAAGATCTAAAATTGACACCCTAACATCACAATTAAAAGAACTAGGGAAGCAAGAGCAAACACATTCAAAAGGTAGCAGAATGCAAGAAATAACTAAGATCAGAGCAGAACTGAAGGCAATAGAGACACAAACACCCCTTCAAAAAATCAATGATTCCAGGAGCTGGTTTCTTGAAAAGATCAATAAAATTGATATACCACCAGCAAGACTAAAAAGAAGAAAAGAGAGAAGAATCAAATAGACGTAATAAAAACTGATAAAGAGGATATCACCACCGATCCCACAGAAATACAAACTACCGTCAGAGAATACTATAAATGCCTCTATGCAAATAAACTAGAAAATCTAGAAGAAATGGATAAATTCTTGGACACATGCACCCTCCCAAGACTAAACCAGGAAGAAGTTCGATCCCTGAATAGACTAATAACAGACTCTGAAATTGAGGCAATAATTAATAGCCTACCAACCAAAAAAAGTCCAGGACTAGACGGATTCACAGCCGAATTCCACTACAGGTACAAGGAGGAGCTGCTACCATTCCTTCTGAAACTATTCCAATCAATAGAAAAAGAGGGAATCCTCCTTAACTCACTTTATGAGGGCTGCATCATCCTGATAACAAAGCCTGGCAGAGACACAACAAAAAAAGATAATTTTAGACCAATATCCCTGATGATCACTGATGCAAAAATCCTCAGTAAAATACTGGCAAACCTAATCTAGCAGCACATCAAAAAGCTTATCCACCATGATCAAGTGGGCTTCATCCCTGGGATGCAAGGCTGGTTCAACATACACAAATCAATAAACGTAATCCAGCATATAAACAGAACCAAAGACAAAAACCACAAGATTATCTCAATAGATGCAGAAAAGGCCTTTGACACAATTCAACAACCCTTCATGATAAAAGCTCTCAATAAATTAGGTATTGATGGGGGTGTATCTCAAAATAAGAAGAGCTATATATGACAAACCCACAGCCAATATCATACTGAGTGGGCAAAAACTGGAAGCATTCCCTTTGAAAACTGGCACAAGACAGGGATGCCCTCTCTCACCACTCCTATTCAACATAGCGTTGGAAGTTCTGGCCCAGGCAATCAAGCAGGAGAAAGAAATAAAGGGAATTCAATTAGGAAAACAGGAAGTCAAATTGTCCCTGTTAGCAGATGACATGATCGTATATTTAGAAAACCCCATTGTCTCATCCCAAAATCTCTTTAAGTTGATAAGCAACCTCAGCAAAGTCTCAGCATACAAAATTAGTGTGCAAAAATCCCAAGCATTCTTATACACCAATAACAGACAAACAGAGAGCCAAATCATGAGTGAACTCCCATTCACAATTTCTTCAAAGAGAATAAAATACCTAGGAATCCAACTTACAAGGGACGTGAAGGACTTCTTCAAAAGGAGAACTACAAACCACTGCTCAATGAAATAAAAGAGGACACAAACAAATGGAAGATCATTGCATGGTCATGGATAGGAAGAATCAATATCGTGAAAATGGCCATACTGCCCAAGGTAATTTACAGATTAAATGCCATCCCCATCAAGCTACCAATGACTTTCTTCACAGAATTGAAAAAAACTACTTTAAAGTTCATATGGAACCAAAATAGCCCACACTTCCAAATCACTCCTAAGCCAAAAGAACAAAGCTGGAGGCATCACACTACCTGACTTCAAACTGTACTGCAAGGCTACAGTAACCAAAACAGCATGATGCTTGTACCAAAACAGAGATATAGACCAATGGAACAGAACAGAGCCCACAGAAATAATACCACACATCTACAACCATCTGATCTTTGACAAACCTGACAAAAACAAGAAATGGGGAAATGATTCCCTATTTAATAAATGGTGCTAGGAAAACTGGCTAGTGATATGTAGAAAGCTGAAACTGGATCTCTTCCTTACACCTTATACAAAAATTAATTCAAGATGGATTAAAGACTTAAATGTTAGACCTAAAACCATAAAACCCTAAAAGAAAACCTAGGCAATACTATTCAGGACATAGGCATGGGCAAGGACTTCATGTCTAAAACACCAAAAGCAATGGCAACAAAAGACAAAATTGACAAATGGGATCTAATTAAATGAAAGAGCTTCTGCACAGCAGAAGAAGCTCCCATCAGAGTGAATAGGCAGCCTACAGAATGGGAGAAAATTTTTGCAGTCTACTCATCTGACAAAGGGCTAATATCCAAAATCTACAAAGAACTCAAACAAATTTACAAGAAAAAAACAAACAACCCCATCAACAAGTGGGTGAAGGATATGAACAGACACTTCTCAAAAGAAGACATTTATGCATCCAACAGACACATGAAAAAATGCTCATCATCACTGGCCATCAGAGAAATGCAAATCAAAACCACAATGAGATACCATCTCACACCAGTTAGAATGGCGATCATTAAAAAGTCAAGAAACAACAGGTGCTGGAGAGGATGTGGAGAAATAAGAACACTTTTACACTGTTGGTGGGACTGTAAACTAGTTCAACCATTGTGGAACACAGTGTGGCAATTCCTCAAGGATCTAGCACTAGAAATACCATTTGACACAGCCATCTCATTACTGGGTATATACCCAAAGGACTACAAATCATGCGGCTATAAAGACACATGCACACGTTTATTGTGGCACTATTCACAATAGCAAAGAGTTGGAACCAACCCAAATGTCCATCAATGATAGACTGGATTAAGAAAATGTGGCACATATACACCATGGAATACTATGCAGCCATAAAAGAGGATGAGTTCATGTCCTTTGTAGGGACATGAATGAAGCTGGAAACCATCATTCTCAGCAAACTATCACAAGGATAGAAAACCAAACACCGCATGTTCTCACTCATAGGTGGGAATTGAACAATTAGAACACTTGGACACAGGAAAGGGAACATCATTTACTGGGGCCTGTTGTGGGGTGGTGGAATGGGGGAGGAACAGCATTAGGAGATATACCTAATGTAAATGATGAGTTAATGGGTGCAGCACACCAACATGGCACATGTATACATATGTAACAAACCTGCACGTTGTGCACCTGTACCCTAGAACTTAAAATATATATATATATATATAAAAAATCCTAAGTCAAACCATGAAAAAAAAAGAAAACCAAGTATAGTTTAATTTATTTTATCTTCTCTGCATTTTCAATGTAATTTTGTTAAGTATTTCCTCTATCTACACTGATTATTATATAAGATAATGTTATGTGTACTTCAGCTGTGAGACATGATTTAAGAACTTCATTTACTCCTACATTTACTCCATCAACATTTCTTTTTAAATAATATTCCAAGCCATTTTTTGGTTTTATATGTTTTCATTTGAAGAATTTCATTTAATTGTTCTTCAACTGTAGAGTATTTTAATTTAAAAAAATTTTAATAAAACACATAACATAAAATTTACCATATTAATAATTTAAGAGCACAGTTCAATATTTTTATGGATATGCATTTTGTTCTGCAACCAAACTCCAGAAATTTTTTTATCTTGCAAAACTGAAGCCATACCTATTAAACAACAAGTCTTCCTTTTATTCCCATCCCTTGATAAACATCATTCTACTTTGAGTTTCAATGAATTCTTCTACTTTAGATAATGCACAAAATTTGGATCATGTAGTATTCATTTTTTCTCGTTGGCTTATATTATTTAGCATAATGTCTTCAAGATTTATTGAAGTTGAAGCATATAATGGGATTTTCTTCCTTTTTAAGGCTTAATATTGTTTCATTGTATGTACATTCCAAGTGTATATTTTAAGATAATTTAGTTGTCTAAGAGTTTCTTTTCCCAAAAGTGCCTTTTAAAAATTATTATAAAAGGTTCATGTGCTACATGTGCATGTCTGTTACATGCATATACTGTGTCATTATGAGATTTATGTTTCTACTTTAATCATCACCTGAATAGTGAACATTGTAACAAATAGGTCATTTTTCAACACTCACCCTTTTCCATTTTAACCTCTTTGATGTCTATAATTTTTTTCATGTATGTCTATGTGTACCCATTTCTTAATAAATGAGATCACACAATATTTGTTTATCTGCTTCTGAGTTATGTCACTTAAGATACTAGCCTCCAGCTCAATCTGTCTTGCTGTAAATGCATGATTTTAAATTTTATGGATGCACAGTATTTTCTGGTATATATATATAGCACACTTTCTTTATCAAATCCACCATCAGTGGTAACCTGAGTTGATTTTCATGGCATTGCTATTTTAAATAATGTGGTGATAAGCATATGAGTGCAGGTGTGTTTTTTATATAATTATTTATTTTCCTTCAGATAGAAAACCAGTAGCAGAATTGTTAGAATGAATAACAGTTCTATTTTAGGATCTTTGACAAATTTCTAGGCTGTTTTCCATAAGGTTTCACTAATTTACATTCCCACCAACAGTGTAAAAGTGTTTCCTTTTCTCTGCCTCTTCAACATCTGTTTTGTTGTTTTTTGCCTTTTCAGTAATAAACATTCTGAGTAGTCTGAGTAGAAACTCATTGTAGTTTTAGTTTGTATTATACTAATAATTAGTGATGTTAAGCATTTTCTCATGTGTTTCTTGCCTGCTTGTATGTCTAATTTTGAGAAATATCTCTTCATATACTTTGGCGACTTTTAATGAGATTATTTGTTTTTTCCTCTTGAGTTGTTTGGGTTCCTTGTAGATTATAGATGTTAGTAATCTGTCAGATGCTAAGTTTCCAAATATTTTCTCCCATTTTATAGGTTTTCTGCTTTTTTTGATAATTGTCTTTTTTGCTGTGCAGAAGGTTTAGAGTTTAATTAAGTACCATTTGTCTATTTATGAGTTTGTTGCATTTGGTTTTTTGGTCTTACTAACAAATTTGTTGCCTAGGCAAGTTTTCAAGAGTAGTTTCTAAATTTTTACGGGTTCAGGTCTTACATTTAAATCTTTAATGTATCTTGAATTAATTTTTGTATAAGGTGTGAGAGAGGGTTTAGTTTTATTCTTTTGCATATGGGTTTTCTGTTTTCTCAGCATCATTTATTGAACGGAATGTACTTTTCCAATTATATATTTGTGTTGACTTTGTCAAAGATTATTTGAGAATAAGTATTTGGTTTTATTTCTTGCATTCTATTCTATTCTATTCTATTCTATTCTATTCTATTCTATTCTATTCTATTCTATTTATATTCCATTGATCTATATGTCTACTTTTGTACCAGTACCATTCTGTTTTGATTAATACTGCCTTGTAGTACAGTTTGAAGTCAGGTAATGTGATGCCTCCAGCTTTGTTTTAATGTTGAGTTGCTTTGGTTGTTTAGGATTTTATTTGGTTGCATATAATTTTTAGCATTTTTTCATAATTCTATAAAATACGACATTGGTAATTTGATAAATATTGCCCTAAATCCGTAGATTGTTTTGAGCAGTATGGTCATTTTATAATATTGATTCTTCCAATCCAAGAGCATATGATATTTTTTCTATTTGTTTGTGTGACTTATGATTTCTTTTATCAGTGTTTAGTAATTTTCCTTGTATAGATCTTTCATCTCCTTCATTAACTTTATTCCAGAATAATTTGTGTGTGTGTGTGCCTTTTGTAAATGGTATTGAGTTTTTTATCTGATTCTCAATCTGAAGGTTATTGTTATATAGAAACACTACTGATTATTGTAACCAGAAACTGAATTTATTTATCAAATCTAGTAGTCTTTCAAAAGAGTGTTTAGAGTTTTCTAGAGATAAAAATAATTTTACAAGCAAACAGAGATACTCCAACTTCCTCTTTTTTTAATTTGGATGCATGTTGTTTCTTTCTCTTTCTTTACTGCTCTGTTTGGGACTTCTGGTACTATGTTGAATGAGAGTGCCAAGCATAGGCATCCTCGTTATAACCCTGTTCTTAAAGAAAATGTGTATTAGTCTGTTCTCACGCTGCTAATACAGACATACTGAAGACAGGGTAATTTATAAAGGATAGAGGTTTAATTGACTCACAGCTCCACATGACTGAACAGGCCTCATAATCATGGCAGAATGTGAATGAAGAGCAAAGTCATGTCTTCCATGGTGGCAGGCAAGAGAGCTTGTGCAGGGCAATTCCCATTTATAAAACAATCAGATCTCATGAGACTTACTACCACAAGAACAGGATGGGGGAAATCACTCTTATGATTCAATTATCTCCACCTGAACCTTGACACATGAGAATTATTATAATTCAAGGTGAGGCTTGGGTGAGGAAACAGGCAAACCATTTTATTCTGCCCCTGGCCCCTCCCAAATCTCAGGTCCTCATATTTCAAATCCAATCATGCCTTCCCAACAGTCCCCCAAATTCTTAACTCATTCCAGCATTAACCCAAATGTCCACAGTCCAAAGTCTCATCTGAGATTAGGTAAGTTTCTTCCTCCTATGAGTCTGTAAAATAAAAAGCAAGTTAGGTTCTTTTTAGATACAATGGGGGTACAGGCATTGGGTAAGTAGACCTGTTCCAAATGGGAGAAACTGGCCAAAACAAAAGAGCTACAGGTCCCACACAAGTCCAAAATGCAGCAGGGCAGCCAAATCTTAAAGTTTCAAAATGATCTCCCTTGACTCCAGGTCTCACATCTAGGTCACACTGATCTAAGTGGTAGGTTCCCATGTTCTGGAGCAGCTCCACCCCTGTGGCTTTGCAGGGTACAGCTCCCCTCCTGGCTGGCTTCATGGGCTAGTGTTGAGTGTCTGTAACTTTTCCAGGTACATGGTGCAAGCTGTCAGTGTATCTTCCATTTTTGGGTCTGGAGGATGGTGACCTTCTTCTCATAACTCCACTAGGCAGTGCCCCAGTGGGGACTCTGTGTGGGGGCTCCAACCCCTCATTTCCCTTCTGCATTGCCCTAGCAGAGATTCTCCATGAGGGCCCTGCCTGGGCAGTGAACTTCTGCCTGGACATCCAGGCGTTTCCATAAGTCCTCTGAAATCTAGATGGAAGTTCCCAAACCTCAATTCTTGTCTTTTGTGTACCCATAGGCTCAACACCCGGTGGAAGCTGCCAAAGCTTGGGGCTTGCACACTCTAAAACCATGACCTGAGCTGCAAGTTGGCTTCTTTTAGCCATGGCTGGGATGTAGGGCACCAAGTCCAAAGAATGCACAAAGCAGGAAGGTTCAGGCCCCAGCCCACAAAACAATTTTCCCTCCTAGGCCCACGCCCTGGAGACCTTTCCCCCATTGTATTTATGATTAACTTTTGGATCCTCTTTTTTTTATACAAATTTTTGAATACAGCTTGAATTTATCCTCTGAAAATGGGGTTTTCTTTTCTATTGTCTTTTCAGGCTGCAAATTTTTCAAACTTTTATGCTCTGTTTCCATTTTAAACATAAGTTCTAATTCCAAACCATATATTTGTGAATACATAAAACTGAATGCTTTTAACAGCACCTCTTGAATCACCTCTTGAATGCTTTGCTGCTTAGAAATTTCTTCCGCCAGATACCCTAAATCTTTTATCTGAAGTTCAAAGATCCACAGATCTCTAGGGCAGGAGCAAAATATTACTAGTCTCTTTGCTAAGGCATAATAAGAGTAAGTCATCTTTTCTCCAGTTCCCAACAAGTTCCTCAACTCCATCTGAGACCACCTCAGCCTAGACTTTGTTATCCATAGCACTATCAACTTTTTGGTCAAAGCCATTCAACAAGTCTCTAAATACTTCCAAAGTTTCCCATATTTTTGTGTCATCTGAGCCCTCCAAACTGTTGCAACCTCTGCCTGTTACTCATTTCCAAAATCACTTCCACATTTTCAGGTATCTTTACAGCAGCACCACACAGCTTGGTACCCATTTACTGTATTAGTCTGTTCTCATACTGCTAATAAAGACATGCCCAAGACTGGGTAATTTACAAAGAAAATAGGTTTAATTGACTCACAGTTCCACATGGCTGGGGAGGCCTCACAATCATAGCAGAAGGTGAATGAGGAGCAAAGTCATGTCTTACATGGCAGCAGGCAGTAGAGCTTGTGCAGGGTAACTCTCAGATATAAAATCATCAGATCTCGTGAGATTTATTCACTACCCCAAGAGCAGCATGGGGAAAACTCCCTCAATGATTCAATTATTTTCACATGGCACCACCTTTGACATTTGAGGATTATTACACTTCCCAGTGAGATTTGGTTGGAGACCCAGCCAAACCATATCAAAACGCTTTCAACTTTACTCCATTTAGTATGAGGTTAGTTAGTTGTTTGTCGTATGTGGCTCTTATTATTTTGAGGTATGTTCCTTCAATGCCTAGCTTGTTGAAGGTTCTTCTCATGAAAGGATGTTGGATCTTATCAAATATTTTTTCTAATCTATTGAGATAATACTGTTCATTTTATTTTTAATTATCTTTATGTGGAAAAAAATTTATGTAGAAAATCACATTTATTAATTACTATATATATTGAACCATCTTTGCATCTCTGGAATAAAACCCACTTGATTGTGATGAGTTATTTTCTTGTTGGGCTGTTAAAGTCACTTTGCTAGTAATTTGCTCAGGTTTTTTACATCTATGTTCATCAGAGCTATTGGCTTACTGTTTGTTGTTGTTGTTGTTTCTTTGCCTGATTTTGCTATTTGGGCAATAGTGGTTTTGTGCAATGATTTATGGATGAATCACTCATGCCTGAATTTTTTATATCATTTCAGTAAGATGGGCAACAGCTTTTCTTTGTAAGTCTGATAAAATTCAGCTCTGGAATAATCTGATTTGGGGATTTTATTGTTTTGATTTTTTTATTATGGATTCAATTTTCATTACTTATTATTCATCTAGTCTACATTTCTATCTGTTTCTGGTTCATTCCTGGAAGGTTTCATGTTTCCCAGAGTTTATCTGTTTCTCTAATTTTTCTAGTTTTTTTTTTAATTAGACATGCTTATAGTAGTATCTGGAGATGTTTTGTATTTTTGTGGTATTAGATGTAATATCACTTCTATCATTTCTGACTTTACTTTCTTGAATCTCATCTTTTTTCTTAGTTAATTTAGCTAGTTGTCTATCAGTTTTGTTTAATCTTCTAAAAAACAACATTTTGTTTTGATACTTTTTAATCATATTTTGTCTCAATTTTATTTAGATGTGTGCTGAAATTGTTATTTTTCTGCTAGCTTTGGGTTTTATTTGTTCTTGTTTTGTAATTATTTGAGGTGCCATGTTAGGTTGCTAATTTGATGTCTTTTTTGATGTAGGCATTTAACAATCTAAACTTTTCTCTTAGCACAGTATTTGCTGTATCACAGAGGTTTCAGTATATTGCATCTCTATTTCATTTGTTTCAAAAAATTTATTTATGTCTACCTCTAGTTGGTTATTCAAAGTTAACTCAGGAACAAGTTGTTTAGTTTTTATTTAATTGTGCGGTTTTGAGACTTTCTCTTGGTCATGATTTCTAATTTCATTTTGCTTTGATGTGAGAAGATATTTTAGATTATTTTAATGTTTTTAGCTTATTGGCACTTTATGGCCGAGCACATGGTCTATTTTGGAGACTATTCTATGTGCATATGAGAAACATATATATTCTGCAATTATCTGGGTATAATGTTGGAAAAATATCTATTAGGTCCTTTTGATCTATGGTCATGTTTATGTCCAGAGTTACATTGTTGATTTTCTGCCACAATGATCTGTCTAGTGCTGTCATTGGGGTGTTGAAATTTTTATTATTATTATATATTTGTCTATCTTTTATCTTAGATCTAGTAGTATTAGTTTTATAAATCTCTGTGTTACAGTTTTGGGTTTATATATACTTAGTGTAGTTAAAACTCTTTGTTGAATGGAACCTTTTTTTATTATATACTGACTTTCTTTGTCTTTTTGTACTATTGTTGATTCAAAGTCTGATTTTATCTGATATGAGTATAGCTACTAGTGCTCATTTTCATTTTCCCTTTGCATGATGTAACTTATTTCACCCTTCTACTTTGAAACTTTAGGTGCCTTTGCTTGTTAGGTGGGTCTGTTGTGGTTACCAAATCATTGAATCTTGATTTTCTATCTATTTTTTCCAGTCTACATGTTTTAAGTAGAACATTTGGGCCATTTATTTTCAAAGTTAATATAATATGTGAGGGTTTGTTCCCATCATAGTGTTTTTAGCTAGTTTCTTTGTCATTTCAATTGTGTAATTGCTTTATAGAATCTGTGATCTTTGTACTTACATGTGATTTTATGATGGTGAATATCATTCTTTTGTGTCAGTGTGTATTAGCCCATTCTCACCCTGCTATGAAAAAATACCAGAGACTGGATAATTTATAAAGGAAAGAGGTTTAATTGACTCACAGTTCTGCATTTCCAGGGAGGCCTCAGGAAACTTACAATCATGGTAAATAAGAAGCAGACACCTTCTTCTCAGGGCAGCAGGATGGAATTTGTGCAAGCAGGAGAAATGCCGGATGATTACAAAACCATCAGATCACTCACTATCACAAGAACAGCATGGGGGAACTTGCCCTCATGATCTAGCTACCTCCACCTAGTCCTGCCCTTGACACATGGGGATTATGGGGATTACAATTCAAGATGAGATTTTTTGGGGGGACACAGCCAAACCGTATCACAATGCTTAGGACTTCTTTGAGCATTTCTTGTAAAGGCTGTATAACAATGACAAACTCTCCTAACATTACTTGTCTGAGGAAGATTTAATTTTCCCTTTATTTATGAAACTCAGTTTGGAAAAATATAAAATCCTTGGATGACATTTTTTTCTTTAATAAGGTTGAAAATAGTCCCTGAGTGTCTTCTGGCTCGTAAGGTTCCATGAAGAAGTTCACTATTAGTCTGATGGGGTTGCATTTGTAAGTAATTTGATGCTTCTCTCTAGCTGCTTTTAAGATGTTTTTTCACATTAATATTGGAGAGTATGATGACTATATGTCTTGATGCTGTTCATCTTGCATAATATCTTCCAGGTGTTTTCTGATCTACAACTCTAGCAAGGTTACAGAAATTTTCCCAAATTATCACCCCAAATAGGTTTTCCAAACTTTTCTTTTTTCTTTTTTACCTCTCAGGAATACCTGTAAGTCATACATTTGGTTGCTTTACACAATCCCATATTTCTTGAAGTCTTTGTTCATTTTTATTTTTTTCTTTATGTTTGAATGGGTTAATTTGAAATACTGGACTTCAAGATCTGTAATTTTTTCTGCTTGATCTAGTATAATTTTAATGCTTTCAACTATATTTTGAAATTCTTCAGTAAATTTTTGATTTCCAAATTTTAGATTGTTTATTTATTTCATCTTTCATATAATTAATCATCTTTCAAAATTTTTTCCTGAATCTCTGACCTTCCTTAAAATCTATATTTTCAATGCTTTACCTTTCATTTCAAAAGTTTCATTGCAGTTAAGATCCATTGCTAGAGAGCTCATATGTTCCACTGGAGGTATCACAACACACTGTTTCTTCATGGTGTTGGAGTTCTTATGCTATGTCCTTTTTATATGAAGAAGCTGTCACTATTTATTTTGGAATTCACTTTCAGTTCTGTGGAAATTTTTCCCCATTGAGGGTAAGACCTTTGCTTATGTTGAGTAGGGTCCTTTGGCTTTGCTTGTTAGTGCCTTATGAGGCCAAAGCTTTTGATTAATTCCTTGGTGATAAATAGCTTTAGTGTAGTGGTTTTCTCCAGTGCTATTTGTAGGTTGTAGTAGTGGTGTGTTGTGTATGCAAGCAGATGCACTGTCTTCTGCAGAGATGAGAGGGTGGAGCTCTTGGGAGGCTACTCTCGTTTTTCGGTTCGGTGCACTTCGGGAAGCAGGAATTATATTGAGCCGTGCAGTTTACCCTTCAGGCCAGTAATTGACACTTGTGGATAAGAGTCTCCCAAGCACTGTAAATGGTGTCAGCAGTTTAATGGGCCATGCAGGTTAACCTCTTAGCAAGTCAGTGGTTCTTGCAGGCTAAAGGCATTTGTGGGGGTGGTAGCAGAATTTTGGTTGGCTACTGGTCATCAGGGGAATTACCAGAGTATCTTGTGCAATAGGCGGGGCTATGAGGCTTCCAGTGTTTCCTGTTTTGTGCTATCCTGCCAAGGAGGCTGGAGGTTGCAAAGCTAGCTGGGAGTGGGTTAGCAAGCCTGCGACAAGGCTCTCTGACTTGTGAGAAGGGGGCAACTTTGGTTATGGTCCAGGGGCAGCATTCAGACTACTTGGACAACTCTCCAGGGAGGGACAGAAACATCTCTCCTACGTCACAGACCTTGCTTAGGGGAAGAGGAGTGACCCAGGTTTTGCAGCCCAGCAGAGAGCAGTGGGACCTTCCCAGTTCCCATGCAATTCCCCCCAGCATGTAGCTGCTGGTGGTAGGCCAGGAGAGTAAGGCTTGTCCCAGACAATCTGAATTCAGTTCGTAGAGATGTTCCAGATGTTTTGAGATGCAAGACACCCTGAAAAAGAAACCATGGCTATCAGGCCACAACCTTCCTGGCCCAGTCTTACTAATGGAGGGGCACTCATCCCCTTCGCCCCTACAAAAAGCTATGTTACACTCTTCTCTGTGTTTTGACAGTAGGGGCTTCTCCTGGCTTCAAACTCAGGACACAAATCTTATCTCCATTCCTCTGCCTGGTGAGCTCAAGTCCAGATGAACTTGAACCAGACCCATGGATTTGTTTTCTCTTACCTCCAGCTCAACCACTGGCTGTTATAAGGAAGCTTGAAGTGCTCCAAAGCTATCAAAAAACTCTCAGGGGAGGCAATGGTGGCTATGCTCTGGCCCCCCCGCTTGAAGAAACAAGTAGACAGGTAATCTTGAGAGAGACCGCCAGGCATAGGGTGTGTGTTTCTGATGCATCTCAATCCTGCAGCAATGGTGACCAAGTCTGTCTTTGGTGCACATTATAGTGACTGGACCCTGTCCTCTCCCCAAACTGGCTGACATCAGCAGTTTCAGGAGGTCAGGGAAGAACACAGTGCCTTGGTGATTAGGCACCCAGAGTCATGCTTTGCTGCAGCTACCCAGTGAACTCAAGCCTTTGGGGCTCCACACAAGTTTCAGCAGTTCCTCTGAGTGGTAATCCAGTAAATTGCTTGGCCAATCTAAAGGTCTGCAGCAGTCATGGAATTCTGTAGCTAGAATCTCAGTGGGAATATGGTGACCTGGGGTTTCCTCACACACCCATTCCTGGATCTGGGTCCATAATCTGGTTCTGGCACCCAACAACATTGAACAGGCAACCAGGCTTTCTGACTCTTCAACTGTGTTGTCTTCCATCACCTCTCTGTTGAATCATACTGTTTTTTTTTTCTCAAAAGATCCATTTTAAATGTGAATATTTACCTGATATTTTGGTTTCTCTCCATGAAAGAGAAATATTGCATCTAGTAAGCTGTCTTAAACCATCCTCTTAAGAGTATCTTCATTTTCCCTTACTCCCTGAAGGATATTTAACTGGGTTTAATTTTGATTGACAGATTTTATCTTTCAGCAATTAAAAATTATTGCCCTGAATATACATTTCTAAGAATACAACATACAAATGGCCAGCAGATAAAAGGCAAATTACTCAACATTACTAATCATTAGGAAAAGGCAAACAAATCAAAACCAAAATGAGATATCACTTTGCCTTAGAATGAACTATAAGAATGAGTTAGAATGACTATCAGAAAATTAGCAAATTCTGGTGAGGATATGGAGAAAGGAGAACTGTTATATACTCTCGGTATGAATATAAATTAGTACAGCTATCATGATAAAAAGTATGGAGATTCCTCAAAAAATCAAAAACAACTACTATATGATTCAACAATCTGTGTGTTGGGTACATAGAAAGTCGTGGAAGCCAGCATGTCAAAAAAAAAAAAAAATCTGCACTCCATGTTTGTTGCAGCACTATTCACAGTAGCAAAGAGATGAAATTAACCTACATGTCCATCAATAGATGAATGGGTAAAGAAAAAGTGATATACATACAACATGGGATGCTATTCAGCCCTGAAAAATAATAAAATTATGTTATTTGTGGCAACATGGATGAACCTGGAAGACATAATGTTAAGGAAAATCAGCCAGACACAGAAAGACAAATACCGCATAACGTCACTCATATGTGATTTTTTTTTTCCAAAATGGAGTCTCAATCTGTTGCCAAGGCTGGAGTGCAGTGGTGCGATCTCGGCTCAGCCTCCCAGGTTCAAGCGATTATCCTCCCTCCACCTCCCGAGTAGCTGGGATTACAGGCACATGCCACTACACCCAGCTAATTTTTGTATTTTTAGTAGAGACAGGGTTTCACCATGTCGGCCAGTCTGGTCTTGAATCGTATATGTAATTTTAAAATGTTAGTCTCATAGAAGTAGAGAGTAGAAGAGTAATTACAAGAGGCTGGGGAAAGGAGAAAAGGAAAAATGAAGAGAGTTCGGTCAATGGGTACAAAATTATAGTTATATAAAAAGAGTAAGCTGTGCATGGTGGCTCACACCTGTAATCACAGCACTTTGGGAGGCCGAGGCGGGTGGATCACGAGGTCAGGAGATCAAGACCATCCTGGCTAACACGGTGAAACCCCGTCTTTACTAAAAAACTACCAAAAAAAATTAGCTGGGTGTAGTGGCGGGTGCCTGTAGTCCCAGCTACTTGGGAGGCTGAGGCAGGAGAATGGTGTGAACCCAGGAGGTGGAGCTTGCAGTGAGCTGAGATCGCACCACTGCTCTCCAGCTTGGGCGACAGAGAGAGACTCCGTCTCAAAAAAATAAATAAATAAATAAATAAAAGTAATTTATGATGATCTATTACATAGAAGGGTGAATATAGCTAATACAAGGGTATTGATTTTTAAAAATTGTATATTGCAAAGTAGCTAGAAAAAAGAATTTTGAAACTTATCACCAAAAAGAAATGATAAATATTTGAGGTAATTAACATGCTAACTTCCCTGATTTGATTATTATATAAGATGCACATGTATTGAAATATTATACCAAGAAATATGTAAATTTATGTCATTAATGAAAAAACTTCTAAGAATTAAAAGTGAAAACATTAACTCTTGCAGCACTTGCTTCAGGTATTCTTGTGTAATCTAGCTTTTGTATAAACATAGATTTGGAAATTATGTATTTTAAATATATACAAATATATATTTATATATACATACATATATTTATACACATATATTTATAATATACAGATTTTATATGTATTTATAAATTTGGGGTGCAAGTGCACTTTTGTAACATGTATATATTGCATCGCAGTTTGGTCTGGAATTTTAGTATAACACCCAAATAGTGTACAATGTACACAACAGGAAATGTTTTACCCCTGAACTTGCTCTTACTCTTTCACTTTTTGAAGACCCCAATGTCTACTAATCCACTGTGCATGTTCATATGTACCCATTGTTTAGGTCTCTCTGGTAAGTAATAGCATGTGGTATTTGACTTTATGTTTCCGAGTTATTTCACTTAGGATAATCGTCACTAGTTGCATCCATGTTGCTGCAAGACATATAATTTTACTATTTTTTATAGAAGAGTAGTATTCTATGTCATATATTTGCCAGATTTTCTTTATAAAATGCACCATTGATGTGCACATAGGTTGACTCCATGTCCTTGCTGAGTAGTGCTGCAACAAACATGTGAATACAGGTGTCTTTTTAATATAATGATTTCTTCCCCTTTGAGTTGATAGCCAGTAGCAGAAATACTGAATCAAAATGTGGCTCTATTTTTACTTCTCTGAAAAATCTTCATAAGCTTTTCCATAGAGGTTGTACTTACATTCCCACCAACCGTGTACAAGAGGTTTATTTTCTCTGCATTCTCATCAACATCTGTCTTTTTTTTTTTTGAATTTTTAATAATAGCCATTCTGACTGATGTAAGATGGTATCCCACTGAAGTTTTTTACACTGTTAATTTAGATTTGGGGGTACATGGTGCAGGTTTGTTACATGGCTATATTGTGTAATACAAAGGTTTGTGCTTCCAGTGAACCGATCACTCAAATTGTAAAAATAGTACCCAATAGGAAGTGTTTGAGGCCACTCTCTTCTACAATTATCCCTTATTTTGGTGTCCCCAGTGTCTATTATTTTTATCTTTGTTTTCATATGTACCCATTTAGCTCCCACTTATAAGTGACAACATGCAGTATTTGATTTTTTATTTTTGAGTTATTTTATGTAGGATAATGACATCCAACTGCATCCATGTTGCTGCAAAGGACATGATTTCATTCTCTGTAATGGCTGAATAGTATTCCTTGTTGTATATATACCACATTTTCTTTATTCAAACCACCATCAATGATACATAAGTTGATTTCATATCTTTGCTATTGAGTATAGTGCTGCAATAAATGTATAAGTGCAGGAATCTTTTTGAAAAATATGATTTTTTTTATGGGCAGATACCCACTCATGGTACTGCTAGGTTGAATGACAGTTTTATTTTTAGTTTTTTCAGAAATCTCTGTATTGTTAGAAAGCAATATTGAACTATTTTAAATTCATGTCAACAGTGTATAAGCATTCCCTTTTCTCCACATTCTTCACAATATCTTTCTTTTTTCGTACTTTTTACTAATAGCCATTTTGACTGGTGTGAGATGGTATCTCATCGTGGTTGTAATTTGCCTTTTACTGAAGATAACTTATGTTGACATTTTATCATGTTTGGTGACTGCTTCTATGTCTTCCTTTAAAAGTGTGTGTTCATGTCCCTTGTTCCCTTTTCAATGGGATTATTTGTCCTTTTCTTGTTTAGTTGTTTAAGGTTCTTATAGATTCTGTATATTAGTCCATTGTCAGGTGCATAGGTTGCTAATATTTTCTCTTATTCTGTAGGTTATCTGTTAACTCTTTTGATTAATTTTTTTTGGTTGGGCAGAAGCTCTTTAGTTTAAGTCCCATTTATTAAGTTATTTTTAGTTTAAATTTGGGAGTAAATGTGAAAATTTGTTGCATAGGTAAACACGTGTCCCGGGGGTTTATTGTACATATTATTACATCACCCTGATACTAATCTCAGTATCCAATAATTGTCTTTTCTGTACCTCTCCCCGCTCCCACCTTCCCCCTTTATGTAAACCCCAGTAACTGTTGTTTCCTTCTTTGTGTTCATAAGTTCTTACCATTTAGCTCCCACTTATAAGTGAAAACCTGCAGTATTTGACTTTCTGTTCCTGTGTTAGTTTGCTAAGGATAATATTGTTGCATTTGATTTTGTGATCATAGTCATGAATTATTTGCCTAGGCCAAATGTACAGAAAAATTTCCTTGGTTCTCTTCTAAAGTTTCTATAATTCCATGTCCTACATTTGAGTCTTTAATACATATTAAGTTAATTTTTGTATATAGTGAGAGGGAGGGCTCCAGATTAACTCTTCTGTATATGGCTAGCCAGGTTTCCCAGCATGAATTTAATAATGTACTTTCCCTATTGTATATTTATGTTGACTTTGTTAAAGACTAGTTAAATGTAGATGTGTGGCTTTATTACTTAGTTCTGTACTCTGTTCTATTAATTTATGTGTCCCCCCCTTTTTTGTTTTTACCAGTACTATGTTGTTTTGTTACTATTGCCTTGTACTATAGTTTGAAGTCTGCTAATGTGGTGCCTCTGGCTTTGTTCTTTCTGCTTAGAATTACTTTGATTCTTAGGGTCTTTTTTGGTTCCACATGAATTTTAGAATTGTTTTTTCCTAAATTCTTTGACAAACAATGTAGTAATTTGATATAAATTGCATTGAATCTATAGATTGCATTGGGCAGTATAGTCATTTTGATGATACTGATTCTTCCTATCCAGGATCTTGAGAGGTTTTTAGTTTGAGTCATCTACAATTTTTTTCATTAGTATTTTGTGCTTCTCATGGTAGAGGTCTTTCACCTCTTTGGTAAAATCCTAGGTGTTTAATTCTTTATGTCTATTATAAATGGGATTGAGTTATTCATTTGGTTCTCGGCATAAGCATTGTTTCTGTATAAAAAATGCAACAAATTTGTGCATTAATTTTGTGTCTTGAAACAGTACAGAAGTCATTTATAAGATCTAGAAGTCCTTTGAAGGAATATTTAGCATTTTCTAGGTATAGGATATTGTCACTAGCAAACAGAGATTATTTCTCTCACTCTTTTTCTGTTTGTATGACTTTTATTTCTGTTTCTTTTCTGATTACTCTGTGTGGGACTTCCCAGTACTATATTGAATAGGAATGATAAGAGTGAATATCCTTGTGTTGTTCCAGTTCTTAGAGGGAATGGTTTCAATTTTTCCCATTCAATATGATTTTTTTTTGTGGCTATGATTGTGACATATATGGCTCTTATTATTTTGGGGTATGTTTCTTTGATGTTTAATTAGTTGAGAGTTTTTATCATGAAAGGATGTTGGATTATATCAAATGTGTCTTTCTGTATCTATTGTGGTGGTCACATGGTTTTTGTTTTTAATTCCCTTTATGTGATGAGTCACATTTATTAATTTGCATATGTTGAACCATCTATTGCTTCCAAAAAAAACACACTTGATCATGATGTATTATTTTTTGATGTGCTGCTACATTCTGTTAGGAATTGTTTTGTTGAGAATTTTTGCATCTATATTTATCAGCAATATGGCTCTGTAGTTTTCTTTTTTTGTTTTGTCTTTGACAGATTTTGATATCAAGATGATGCTGTTTTTATAGAATGAGTTAGGGATGCATTCCCTCTCCTTGTGTTTTTGGAATAGTTTGAGCAATATTGGTACCAGTTCTTTGCATATTTGGTACAATTCAACTGTGGATCTGTCTAGTCCTGCACTTTATTTGGTTGGTAGATTTTTTATTACTGATTCAATATTTTATCACTCATTATCATACTGTTTAAGATTTCAATTTCTCCTTGGTTCGTTCTTGGAAAATTGTGTGTTTCCAGGACTTTATCAGCTTATTGTAGCTTTTCTAGTTTGTGTTGTAATCCAAAAAGTATCTGAGACCATCAATCAATTTAGAAGTTTATTTTTGTAAAGGTAAAGGACAATGCCCAGAAAAAAAAAAAAAAAAAAAAACATGAACACAGAATCACAGAAACAATCTGAGGCCTGTGCCTTTCTTTAAAGATGATTTTTAGAGTTTTAATATTTACAGGGATAAAATGGGCTTGAGAGGAAAGGGGGAGGGTATGGTAATCCACATGTTGCCAGAGTAAAGGAGTAGCTAGGGAAATAGTCAATTATGCATTCATCTCATGCTTAGTAAATCAGCATTTTGCATAAGATAAGGTGAACATAAAGGAGCTACAAGTGAAGATATTTAGTCTTTGATCTGTAGCTATCTGCTAAGAAATAAAAGGAAAGGTAACTTCTTGCAAGATCAGATTTCAACTTATTTTTTTTTTCTTTTGGCACAGTGAATTGGGATTCCACGTTTTTCCTTTCATTTTACAGTGTGCAAAGCCACAGGGGCAGATCTGCCCAAGGCCATGGCAACCCACTTTTTGCATCGGCCTGACCTGGATATGAGACCTGGAGTCAAAGGAGATCATTTTGGAGATTTAAAGTTTGACTGCCCCATGGGATTTCAGACTTGCATGGGCCCTTAATCCCTTTGTTTTGGCCAATTTCTCTCATTTGGAATGGTTGTATTCACCCAATACCTGTACCCCCGTTGGATCTAGGAAGTAATTAGCTTGCTTTTGATTTTAGAGTCATAGGTGGAAGGGACATGACTTGTCTCGGATGAGACTTCAGACTGTGGACTTTTGAGTTAATGCTGAAATGAGTTAAGACTTTGAGGGACTGTTGGGAAGGCATGATTGTCTTTGAAATTTGAGGACATGAGATTTGGAGGGGCCAGGGGTGGAATGATATGGTTTGGCTCTGAGTCCCCATCCAAATCTCATCTTGAATTGTAGTCCCATAATTCCCACTTATTGTCAGAAGGACCCAGTGGGAGATAATTTAAAACATGGGGCGGCTTCCCTCATACTGTTCTTGTGGTAGTGAATAAGTCCCATGAGATCTGATGGTTTCTGCTTTTGCATCTTCCTCATTTTCTCTTGCTACTGCCATGTAAGAGGTGCCTTTCATGTCCCACCATGATTCTGAGGTCTCCCCAACCATATGGAAATGTAAGTCCAATTAAACCTCTTTTTCTTCCCATTCTTGGGTATGTCTTTATCAGCAGTGTGAAAACAGAGTAATACAATTTCTTCCCAACCAAAACCATGAGTGACTAGAACATGTATAGTATTTATTCCCAGGTGAGAGCAATCACGTATTCCCTTAATAATGTTCCATTGACAACGCTGGGTAAGCAGGATCTCATGTGTCCAGCAGCCATTAAGTTTTTTGCTCTACCCCCTCTTCATTGCCCATTCTATCTCAGGTTGGATATATTCTGGATGTGGCTCTTGATCATTGGGCTGTGGCCATAAGGCCAGTTCTGAGATAGGCTCAATGGCCCCTCTTTTGCCAGCTTTATCTGCCAGTATGTTTTTCTTGGTTATCATAAACTCCCCCTTCTAATGTTCCATGCAATGGATAATGGCCACTTCCAATGGATCCTGAACTGTCTGGAGTAATGATAAAATTTCATGACTGTATTTCATAGGAGAATTTTTGGCCATCAGCAATTCCCTGTGTATAGCTGTGTGAACACGCAGAATGATAAAAGCATATTTAGAACCAGTATATATATTTGCCCACCAGTCTTTTCCCAATTATAACACACGTGTGAGAGAAATAAGCTCAGTTTTGGGAGCAGATGTATTTGCTGTTAAAGGCTTTGCCTCTATTTCCTGCTGAAGACTTATTATTGCATATCCTGCCCTTCTAGACTTATCTTTCATGAAGCTACTCCCATCTATGAACCATTCTTTATCAAGGTTGTCTAGAGATTTGTCTTTGTTATCTGACCAGCTGGAGTAAATTTGATCAATTGTTTCTATGCAAGAATGGGTTAGACCTACTGTTGCTCATATGGACATGAGAGTAGCAGAATTGAAGGTTTGACAGACCTTAAGAATTATTTCATGGGAACCTAATAAAAGAGCCTGATATTATTTAATTACTTGTCTCTCCATCAACCATTGATGGCCTTTAATTTCTAAGTACCCCCGCACTTGATGAGGGGTTTGGACTTCAAGAGTGAGCCTATCCTAATATCAATTTAGTGGCTTCCTCAATGAGGAAAGCAGTGGCTGCTGTGATCCATAAACATCCTGGCCAGCCAGCTGCCACATAATCTGTCAGTTTGGAGAGATGTGCCACTGGCCTAGGTATATTATCCAATCATTGAGTAAGTACACCTAGGTAGAGTCCCTGTTTCTCAGACCCATAGAGTGAAAAAGGGGTTTTCCAAGTTGGGAAGTTCCAAGGCAGGAGCTGTGGAGCTAAGCAAATTTTTAATACTCTGAAAAGCCTCTTTTTTATTGACCATTTGAAGGGTTCATATTCATCTTTATAGGGTTCATATTCATCTTTATAGGGTTCATATTCATCTTTTTAATGGTTTGTCAATACACCCAAATCCTGGGATCCAAAGTTGCTTCTTTGCTTGTGAAGTTTCCACCTTTAAGATGGCCTCTTTTGGCTCAATTGATGAAGTTCAGCTCCCTAGGTTAAGACAAAGCCCAAAGCCCAAATATTTTACCCCATCTTGAAAAGTTGAGCTTTAAATGGGAAAACCCAATATTCGCTCTTGCCCAGGAAATTTAGAACCGGAATAGCATTCTTATCTAAGTTCTGTTTTGTAGGGCTACCAATAAGAATGTCATCCATATATTGGAGTATGGCACCCCTCTGTAGTTCAGTTTCTCTCATTTCCTTCTCCAAGGCATTTCAAAAGAAATGGTGAGACCTACCTCTAAAGCCCTGAGATATTGTGGTTCAAGTACAACACCAGGTTGTGTTAGTCTTTGGGTCTTTCCATTCAAAGGCAAACAAGTGTTGTGAGTCAAGTTGCAAATGGATACAGAAAAAAAGGCATATTTGAGATCTAGTACAGTGAATCATTTAGCATCTTTTGGTATCTAAGTTAATACAGTGCAGGGGTTGGGTACTAAGGGATGTAAAGGAACCACTGCCTTATTTATAGTTCAAATGTCTTAGACTAAGTAGTACCCTCCATTTGGCTTCAAGATAAAGATAATAGGTGCATTGCAAGGAGACTTATAGGGATATAATAGGCCATGTTCTATAAATTTTTCAATGAGGGGCTTAAGTCTTTGCCTCGCTTCTGGTTTAAGGGGATAATGGCATGTATATGGAAAGTTAGTATTGTCCTTTAAGAAAATTACCACTGGCTGGGCACATATTGATTTACCTTGGATTCCCTGGTCCCACACCTGTGGGTCAACTTGAGACAAAGCTTTAGAAAGACCTTCCTGTTTTCCTGAGAGCAATTCAGAAGGGACAAGCATTGGTAATAGAAGAGGTGTCCCTGGATCTTGTAAATGTAGAGTGGCCCCAAGGGCAGTCAGAAAATCTAATCCTAGCAGATGGGTTGGACACTTTGTCATAACTAGAAATTCATGAGTCACCAATATCTTCCCAGCCTGCAGAAAAGGAATAGGGTAAAATGTTTGCATTTGGGGGTACCATTGACACCTCCATCAACATCTGTGACAACACAGATTTTGGAGAATAAGGGCCCAGAGTGACCAACCAAAAAAGAGTAAGTGTCCCCTGTATAGATTAGGAAGTCAATATTCTTACCTGCTATTAATACATCAAGAATTACCTGAGGTTTCTCAGTTGTGATGACCATGCCTTTTGTGGAAGCCACTAGGAACATTATAGGCCCCTTCTGTCCTTAGTCATGGTCATTATAGAATCAGTAGTCTCTCCTCCCTTTGGAGTTTGGGGCAATACTTCTTCCAATGGGCTCTTTGCCCTGAGGACAAGATTCAGGTAGGCTTTCCTGGCTAGGATAGTTCTTGCTCCAGTGTTTTGGCATCCCATGTGTAAAGCAGCAGCCATCACCTGTTGGTTTACTGTTAGGCCTATTTGGTTTTTGGTTGAAATGTCTTCTTGGGTTACACCAAGTTGGAAGGGCAATGCTTACAGCAACTGCTATCAGTCGTGCCTACTGCATATCCCATAGCAGTCAATGCTTACAGCAACTGCTATCAGTTGTGCCTATTGCATATCTCATAGCAATTGCCACACTGGGTCCTTTCAGCCTCCTCAGTCCTGTCTGTGTTATTAAAGAACCCAAAGGCCACATCAAGAATCAAAATAATGGGTTTCTGAGGTCCCATGGATAATTTTTGAAGTTTTTTTCTAATATCTTGGGCTGATTGGCTAATAAAGTGTGTATCCAGCACGGTTTGGCCATCCAAGGTCCCTGAATCAGTGTTAGTATTTTTTAGGGCCTCTACAAGGAGTCCATTGAATAGTGTCAGGTTTGTATCTTTTCTTTGTGTAATTTCTTTTATCATTATTCACAGGCTTAATAACACATCTTTTCACTATCTACAAAAGACAAGTCACCATGTAATTCCTCTGCCTTAGGTCAGCATGCCCTTATTGATAGTTCCAGGCATGTCTTGGTTGGGTACAGAAGTTGTTCTATTGTCATAGTCTAGGTCTTCCAATCCAAATATGATGTTTGTCCCCAGGGGTGCAACAGGTAGACAAGAAAAAGTGACTACTTCCCCAAGTTAATTCAAATGAGAGGGAGAGAGCCCAAAACTCCTTTATAAATTTGGATGGGTATTCCAAAAATCAGCCCAGTCTCTGCTTGCATTGTTTTAGACCAGACATAACCTTGAATGGTCCCAACATCGCCATTTACCACTGCACTAAGTGAACTCAGCTTTGAACTGTCAGAAAGTTGTGACATGCTGCCACGGGTTACATAGGGCCTCTACAAGAAGTCCATTGAATAGTGTCGGGACTATCTGACACTCTTTAATTGATTCCTTGAACAAATCCCTGTGGTGATTTGTTTCTCTGGCAAAGGAATGTAAATAAGGTCAGTAAGAAGGTGGACTAACAAGAGTTTGGGGACTAGAAACAGCAGAGCTGGAAGGATACTAGGGGGTAGGTTGTAGGGAGGTAATATCTCCTTGACTCCCACCTACAAGATGAGAAACTGCAGGTGCTGGACCTGGGTCTGGTTCTGGATTAGGTAGATATTGCAGAGGGGCATTTTCCAAAAGGGAATAACCTAGAATATCTGGTTCTCCTTCTCCCTTATTTGGCCCCACCAAAGGGATGGGAGCATAGTAGAGACAGCAATTTCCATGAAGGTCTGGATTTTGATAAAGAACTATAAATGCCTGAGCATATGAAATTTCACTGTATGTCCCCTGATGCTTAAAAATGTGTTCTAGGTGTGGTATGGTGTTATAATTCAAGATTCCATTCCTCAGCCATTCTTCCCCATCTCCCACTTGTATTGGGTCCAAGCATTATGGCAAAATATTTTTTTTCACATAAGGCCATCTTGTTCAACGGTTTTCCTGTTCTTACTAATACATCATAGAGGAGAGTTAGCATAAATGAAGGGAGAATTACCCATAGTTTTGGGTTGTCTTTGGTACAACCTGAAAAAGAAAAGAAGAAAGTAACAGTGCTTCTCTTATGCGGATACCAATCAAGCCTGGCTTTTATGAAAGGCAAGTTCCTTGGAATGGCTCCCTCCTGGAAGGAACACTGGGCCACCCCAAAGGGAATGCTGAAACAAGGCCTCCACAAAAGACCAGTCCCATTGAGTGGCTTTTTTTTCCAGTGGGAGAGCTGACCCCTGCCAGAGGGAATGCTGAAACCTGGCTCCCACAAAATGCCAATCCCATGGAATGGTTCACTCACAGAGGGAGTGCCACCCTCTCTTGGAGGAAGTGCAACTCCCTCCCAGAGGGAGTGCTGAAAGCTGGCCCCCACAAAAGGCCAGTCCCATGGAGTGGCTCCCTCCTGGAGGGAGAACCACCCACTTTTGCAGGGAGAGCAGCTTCCTCCCAGAGAGAGTGCTGGAACCTCATGGAGTGGCTCCATTCTGGAGGAAGCCCTGGAAACTGCCCCCCATGGAAAGCCAGTTTCCACAGCCAAGTCAGGGATATAAGGTATCCTCATTGCCCTGCCTGGCTGCCTGTCACCCAGGTATCCCTGGTTCCCTCATGTTGTCCAAGCATCCATGGCACTTGGGGCTTTGGAAATAAAGGGTTTTTTTGAGATCAGATAGGACAAATACAATAGTAGGCCTGATTCTGTGGTGACAGGAATGTTGATATCCATCATAATGCCTTTTTTTCCAAGGAAGCTTGAGAGAGGAGTCAATTCGGTAAAACAATAAGGCAAAGCCACTGGAAAGATTTCCTGAAGGGCACAGGCCCTTTACTTATAAGGTAGGGGAGAGTCTGTAGGGAATAGCTCTTAGTTTGGGAGCATGTCCTGTCCTACGATCAATTTCAATGTAAGAGGTTTTTGTTGTTGTTGTTGTTGTTGTTGTTGTTGTTGTTGTTTTAATCTGGTAAGGATGAGGTTTAAGGAAACATGCAATAAAATGGTAGAGGAAGCAACACCCTGTGGTACATGACCCACAGAGTCTGCCAAATATTGACACCAAAGACGTGAACCAGAATGGAGCTTAGAAGAGTCTCAACAAAGGTGACATTTCCATACTGGGTGTTGTAGATGGCAATACTGTGAGGCAAAGCAGTAGCAGACCTTGGAAAAACCAGATCCAAAGAGTTCAACAAACATTTTCATATAATAAAACAAGAGTCAGAGAAGGAAAAAAGTTATAAAGAGTTCAGAAAAATACAGGAGGTAGACAACATTCCCCAGTCAGACCTAGCATACTTTCCTGGCTGATACACTGGGGAGTTGGAAAACTCCTCCTTAACAGACATTATGGCTGATGAGGACTCCTTAAGGAAAAAGGAAAGTTTAGAAGCAGTCTGGCAGATTTTCTGAAAGGCTTGGCCATACAGGAGCCATCCTGTCTGGGACACCCAGATGACAGAAGTTACTTCTGCACTAGCTGAAAAAGACAAAGAGTAAATAGTAGGATGAACAAGAAATATATGGGCATGGCAGTCTTCTTCTCAGTGTAAGGCCATAAGGCTCCACCAGACTCCATGGATGGCACTAGCCACCACCAACCAGTGATTGAATCTGCATTACCTGAAAGAGATCTACAGCCACCCACCCAAAAAAGGAGCCACAACTATGTTGGCAAGTAGAGATTATGCTTTTTGCCCCATAAATAAAAGCAATAGGAGAAAAATCGCAATGCCAAAAAAAGATTGCAGACTGCTCACCTGATTTAGTGTAAAGTACTTTGCTCCTGGCTGGCTCACCACAGAGCTGAAGTCAGAGGGCTTAGGTGGGCCTTCAGATGCCAGACAGACCCTAGACCCAGCCAATGTTCCAGGTTCTTGACACTATCACAAAAAATAATTCAGGGATGGATCAGAATCATGCAAAAGGCAAAAAAACTTCTATGGCAAAGAAAAAGTAAACACTTGAAAGAAGTGTGGGCAGACTCAGGAGAGTGAGATGTGCAATGGAGTTTGGATTTCTAATTTTACAGGCTCTTCTAATTAGAGGGCGGAATAATCATGAGTTCTTTTAAGAAAAAGATGGAGATTTCTTAGAACTGGGATGCCACCATTTTTATACTAAATCTGGGAATGTTTGGATCTGTCATGGCGCTTGTGGGTGTGTTATTTAATATTCTAATGAGCATATAATTAATTCTGAGGTAGAGCATGGATCAAATTCAGTGCCATGTTTGACTTAGCTGGTTTTAACGAGTGTAACCTTCTTTCTACTTTTAGGGTCTTATCAGCCCAGGGTTCTACTTCTCCTTGTAGGTAATACAACTCCTTTCTTGCTGTTATGTGAAATCGCTGCTTAATATTTCCCCACTTCTGTCATCATTGAGTATTCCTACCTCAGCATCAGTAATAATTCCACCTCTATAATTTCTAATTTTGCTTATTTGAATCATTTCTTTTTTCTTGGTTAATATAGCTAGTTGTGTGTCAAATTTTTTATGCTTTCAAAAAACCAACTTCTCATTTTATTGATCCTTTGTATCATTTTTTGGTCTTGATCATATTTAATTGTGTTCTGCTCATTGTTATTTCTTTTCTTCTGCTAGCTTTAGGTTTGATTAGTTCGTGTCTTTCTAGTTCTTTTAGTGTGACATTTAATTGGATGTCTTTCTATCTTTTTGATGTAAGCATTTAGCACTGTAAACTTTCCTCTTAACACTATTTTGGCTATGTCCCCGGAGCTTTTGGTGTATTGTGTCTCTATTTTCATTTGCATCAGTTTTTTTTATATCTTCCATAATTTCTTTGTTTACTTAAAATTTATTCAGGAGCAAGTTGTTTAGTTTCCATGTACTTGTGTGTTTTGAGAGATTTTCTTTGGGTAATGATTTCTAATTTTATTTCACTGTGCTTCAATATAATGGTTGATATTATGTTGATTGTTTTGAATTTACTGATATTTTCTTTATGACCATGATTCTGGTCAATTGTAGAGAATGTTCCATGTATAGATAAGAAAAATGTATATTCTGCATTTGTTGATTGACTGTTTTGTCAGTCTATTAGGTCTGTTTGTTCAAGGCTCCAATTTAAGTCCAGACTGTTTTTGGTAGGTTTTCTGCCTGGATGATCTGTCTAGTCCTGTCAGTAGGGTGTTTTAGTTTTCCATTAACATTGTATGGCTTTGTAACTCTTTTCTTAGTTTTAGAAAAAAATATTTGTTTTATTAATCTAGGTGCTCTAGTTTTGGATGTGTATATATTTAAAATAGTTAATTTTTGTTGGTATAATAAACACTTTATTATTATATAATTCCCCTCCCTTTTTAACCATTGTTCGCCTGAAGTCTGTTTTATCTTATACAAGAAGAAAAACACTTGCTTTTAAAAAAATTTTCTAATTGCATGACAGACCTTTCTCCACCTGTTTATTTGAGCTTGTGGTGGTCATTAAGTTTTGATGGGTCACAGGAAGGCAGTAGATGGTTGGGCCTTCTTTTTTATTCACATTGAAAATCTATATCTTTCAAGTGGAACATTTAGGCATGTAGGTTGAAGGTTAATATTGGTATGTGAATAAAAATTCCTGTCATAGTCTTGTTAGCTAATTGCTTTTGTAGTCTCAGTCTACAAAGCAATTACAAAGCAATTAGCTAACAACGCTATGTAGTTGCTTTACAGGATTTGTGAGCTTTCTACTTCCATGTGATTTTTGTAATAAAGTACATCATCCTGTTCTTTTTACATTTAGAATTCCTTTGAGTATCTTTTTAGCCCAGATCTGGTGGTGAGGAATTATCTTAGTGTTTGCTTTTCTTAAAAAGACTATATTTTTCCTTCATTTTTGAAGCTTAGTTTGGTGAGATACAAAATTCTTGGCTGGTATTTTTTTAAGAATGCTAAATATTGGCCACCAATCTAATATGGCATGTAATGTTTCTGCTGAGAGTTCCACTGTTAGTCTGATGGGATTTCCTTTACAGGTAATTTGGCCTTTTTTTCCACCTGTGCTGAAGTCTTATTTTTCTTAGTTGACATTTAATAATTTGATGACTATATGCCTTGGCAATGACCATTTTGTATAGTATCTTGCAGGTATTATCTAAATTTCTTGTATTTGTATGTCCTTACTTCTACCAAGATCAGATAAATTTTCCTGAATTAATATGTTTTCTGAATTGCTTACTTTTTCTTCTCTCTCAGGAATGCCTATCAGTTGTAGGTTTGGTCACATAATCTCATATGTCCTTAAGTCTTTGTGGTTTTTTAAAATTATTTTTTCACTATTTTTGTGTGACTGGATTAATTCAAAACATCAGTGGTGAGCTCTACATTTTTTTCTTCTGCTTGGTCTAGTCTATTGTTAAAACTTCAAAATATACTTTGACATTTCTTCAGTAAATTTTTCCATCCCTGAACGTATATCAAAATAATAAGAGCTATCTATGACAAACCCACAGCCAATATCATACTGAATGGGCAAAAACTGGAAGCATTCCCTTTGAAAACTGGCACAAGACAGGGATGCCCTCTCTCACCACTCCTATTCAACACTGTGTTGGAAGTTCTGGCCAGGGCAATTAGACAGGAGAAAGAAATAAATGGTATTCAATTAGGAAAATAGGAAGTCAAATTGTCCCTGTTTCCAGATGACATGATTGTATATCTAGAAAACCCCATCGTCTCAGCCCAAAATCTCCTTAAGCTGATAAACAACTTCAGCAAAGTCTCAGGATACAAAATCAATGTACAAAAATCACAAGCATTCTTATACACCAATAACAGACAAACAGAGAGCCAAATCATGAATGAACTCCCATTCACAATTGCTTCAAAGAGAATAAAATACCTAGGAATCCAACTTACAAGGGACATGAAGGACCTCTTCAAGGAGAACTACAAACCACTGCTCAATGAAATAAAAGAGGATACAAACAAATGGAAGAACATTCCATGCTCATGGGTAGGAAGAATCAATATTGTGAAAATGGCCATACTGCCCAAGGTAATTTATAGATTCAATGCCATCCCCATCAAGCTACCAATGACTTTCTTCACAGAATTGTAAAAAACTACCTTAAAGTTCATATGGAACCAAAAAAGAGCCTGCATCACCAAGTCAATCCTAAGCCAAAAGAACAAAGCTGGAGGCATCACACTACCTGACTTCAAACTATAGTACAAGGCTACAGTAACCAAAACAGCAGGTACTGATGCCAAAACAGAGATCTATTAGGTTTTTATTTTAATATAGCTGTCTCTTCTTTAATACCTTGAATTGTTTTTTTGTTTGCTTATTTGTTTTGTTGGTTTTCAACATTATCTTGGATCTAATGCAGTTGCCTTGCAATTCATATTTTGAATTCTTTATCTGTCATTTAGGCTTTTCATTTTTTATAGAATTTATTCTTAAGGAGCTAGTGTGATCATAGGTGTCAAAACACTCTCTTTTGTACTGCAAAATCCTTTTACTGATTTCTTCTCATATGAAGGAGCTGTGCTTCTTATTTTTGAATTTTCTATCATTTAGATGCATCTTCATTTTTATTCTTTTTTTTCTTGAGGGTATGAATGTGGTGTATGTTGTGTATGATCATTTGACTTTATTTCGGGGTGCCTTCAGTTGGTCAAGGTTTTGTGTGGGTTCCTTGATTGTGAATAGCTTCTGTGCAGTGGCTGTTTCAGATGATGTTTGTTGTAGTGATGCATTGCATGTATGATCCAACACACTGTCTCCTGCGGGGCTGAGAGTGTGGAGGCCTCAGGGAGCTTTTCTCATGCACTAGCAGGATGCTCATCTAGCAGCAGGTTTTGTATTTGGTGGTGCAGTTTAGGTTCCAGTCCAGTAGGTGGCACTTAAATGTAAGAGCCACCTCACATTCAGGTAGGCAGATGAAGAGAGGAAGCACCTGTTGTTCTGGAGTGGTGGTGAGGGATTTTCTGATGGGGTTAATTGAGGCCTTAAAAACATAACTGGGGAGCTGCACCAGCTTCTTGCCCAGGGCACTCAGAAATAAAATTCACTTTCCTATCATACCCCCGTTACAGGACTCAGGAACTTCAGTTCATAGACTGTCCATTGTCTCCCAGCCACAGTGGGTTTTGGATTATGGATACAGCCCTCTGTTGGCTACCACTAAAATGAGCTTGGGACAAAGCCTCTTCCTCCAGGCAGACCAGACGATTCTGCAGCTTGTCTGGTCTCTATTGCTGGGACACTGCTGCACTATGTAGGGAGCACAGTTGAGTCCTGCCCTGTGTGCAAGCCCAAATGGTGTGTGCTCACATCCAATGAGGCTGAAGTCACTGTGAAAAGCAGGAAAAGTGTTTTCTTTGAGTGTGCATGTGATAGCCTCAGTAAATGAACTTCTACTTTATCTTCAACAGGAGACAGTGGGAGCAGGAGGTGACTCCCTTTCTATGTCTGTTCCCAGCTTCCAGTGCCATCCCCTTCCACTATTGACACCACACCCTCATTTCCATTGTCCCAAGTTGGGGGTTGGCAGAATTTGCTTACTCCCTCAGAGTCCACACAGAAGGTTATATTTCCAGGGTTTCTGCAGCTACCCAGGGACCCACTCTTTTCCTGTGCTTGCCAAGAATGGATTGGCCTGGAGGTATGTTTGAAAGGGGTCTGGTGGTGAGATAACTCAGGGCCACAGATTCCCTGGGCAGGGCATTTACCCGCTAAGGGGGCAGAATGAGTATGACACCTACCATCTAAGTTTAAGCCTAAGGAGAATGTGGTCATGTTTGTGCAAGCTGTCCACCCAGTTCTCTGTTCCTGGGAAGTTCCCAAACTGCCACTGACAGCATTGCTCAAAGTTGTGAGGGCAAAGGGTTTCCTCAGCAATTTTGCAGTATTCAGATTGTTTCAGGGCATAGGGGAGGAGAGAAGCACCCCTATCTAACCCCTCCACAGGGTTCCAAGTTCCTCTGGAGTCTATCTGTCTACTCTCCTTTTCTGAACCCCAGCTTCTTCCTGTGGCCTCTCCAAAAGATCTCGTCTGTCTTCTTTCAATTTTCCATTAATAACGTATCCACTCACCAGTAGATTTGATCTTCCTTCAGAGGAGAAATGGCATCTGCCATAGTAAAAAAATTGCTGTGATTTTAATTTGCACTTATGGGATAATTAGTAATTTTGAAAATTTTGTCTTGTTTTTGGCCTCTTGTCTGCCTTTAAAAATGTTTGTTTATGTTCTTTGCCCAATTTTAATGGAGCTATTTATTTTTATTTAGTTGAGTTCCTTGTGATTCTGGATATTAGCCCTTTGTCAAATGCATAATTTCCAAATATTTTCTCCCATTCTGTAGAATGCTTGTTAACTCTGCTAATTACATATTTTACTACACAAAATCTTGTTAGCTTAGTTAAGTCATATTGGTCTTTTTTGTTTTTGTTGTGTTTGCTTCCAAGGTCTTAGGCATAAATTATTTTAATAGTTCAATGTCCAGAGGAGTTTCTCCTAGATTTGCTTATTTTTCAGTTTTTCTTTTTTTAATTTATAATTTGTATAGCTTTAGATATTACAGTTAAGTATTTCGCTCATCTTGAGTTACTCTTGTATATGTTAAGACATATGGTTCCAGTTTTATTCTTCAGCATATGTCTATAAAATTTCCCACCATTATTTAGTGAAAAAAGGTGTCCTCTGTGACACCTGTATACCTGTGTAACAAACCTGCATGTTCTGCACATGTACCCCAGAACTTAAAGTATAATAATAAATTTTTTTTGAGACACAGAATCAACCTAGGTGCCCATCAAAGGTGAATTTGATAAAGAAAATATAGTACAAATACAGTATGGAATACTATACGGCCATAAAAAGAACAAAATCATTTCCTTTGCAGCAACATGGATGCTGTTGGAAGTCATTATCCTAAAGGAATTAATGCAATATCAGAAAATCAGATACAGCATGTTCTCAATTATAAGTGAGAGCTAAACAATAGGTACTTATGGACATAAAGATGGCAACAATTGATACTGGGACTACTGGAGCGGGGAGGGAGGAAAGGAGGAAAGGGTTGAAAGATAAAGTATTGGGTACTATGCACACCTGGGTGACGGGATCAGTTGTACTCCAAACCTTATCATCACACAATATACCCAGGTAAAAATGTGTACATGTATCCCCTGAATCTAAAATAATGTTGAAAAACTACCAAAGCAAAAATTAAATATAAATAAATAAATTTAAATTTATTTTTTTAAAAAAGCGTCCTTTGCCAAGTTTATATTTTCACTGGCTTTGTCAAAAAAATCAGTTCAGTGTACATATGTGGCTTTATTTCTGGCTTTTCTATTCTGTTTCATTTATCTGTGTGTTTATTTTTATATCAGACCCATGCTGTTTTGTTTACTATAGCCTTGTAGCATAATGTAAAGTCAGGTAAAGTGATGCCTCCAGTTTTGCTCTTTTTGCTTAGGAGTGTTTTGTCTATTTAGGCTATTTTCTGGGTTTCTCTAATTCCATGAAAAATGATGTTGGTAGTTTGATAGAAATTACATTGAATTTGTAGATAACTTGGGGCAATGTGGTTATTTAAATGATCGTGATTTTTTTCAATCTATGGACATTGGACTTTTTTATTTGTTTGTTTCATCTATAATTTCTTTCATTGGTATTTTGCAGTTTTCTTGTGCAAACCTTTCTCCTCCTTGGTTAAATGTCTCTTAGTATTTTAATTTTTAGCTATTGTAAATGAAATTGAGTCTTTTATTTCATTCTTAGCTTGATTGTCATTGGTGTATATAAATGCTACTGATTTTTGCATATTGATTTGTATCTTAAACTTTATGGAAATAATTTATCAAACCTAGAAGTCTTTTGGATTTCCTAGAATTTTCTAAGTGTAAGATCATATTGTCAGTGAAAAGTGATAATTTGACTTCCTCTATTCCAATTTGCATGCCTTTCATTTCTGTCTCTTCCCTGATTGCTGTGGGAAGGACTTCCCGTACTATGTTTAACAGGAGTGGTGAAAGTACGCATTCTTGTTTTGTTTGAGTTCTTCTGGGAAGTACTTTCAACTTTTTCCCATTCAATATGATATCTGCTGTGAGTTTTCTTATTTGGCTTTTATTATTTTGAGGTATGTTTCTTCAATGTTTAGTTTGTTGGTAATTTGCAGTATGAATGGATGCTGTATTTTATCATTTTTTTCTACCCCTATTGAGATGATCATATTTTTTTTGTTTCTAATTCTGTTTATGTGGTGAGTCACATTTATTAATTTGCATATTTTAAAGCATTCTTTAATTCCTAAAATAAAACCCACTTGGTCATGGTGTATTACATTTTTGACATACTGTTGTATTCCATTTGCTAGCATTTTGTTGAGAATTTTTGCTTGTATCTTCATGAGAGATATTCTCCCCTAGTCTTCATTTGTTGTTATGTCATTGCCTGCCTTTGGAATTCCAGGTGTCACTGGCTTTAAAGAATGAGTTAGGGAGAATTAATTTTGGGCAGGACAAATTTAGTAGGATTGGTACCAGTTATTTGTACAACTCATAGAATTTAGCCGTTAATCCATCTGGTCCTAGGCTTTTAAAATTACCAATTCAATCCTGCTGCTCAATATTGGGATGGTCTGGATTTTTGTTTCTTTCAGGTTCACTTATAGAAGGTTGTCAGTTTCCAATAATTTATTTATTTCCTCTTGGTTTTCTAGTTTGTATGCATAGATGTTTTTATAATATTCTCTGATAATGTATTGTATTTATGTGGTATCAGCTGTAACGTCACCTTTATTATTTATAATTGTGTTTTCTGAATCTTCTCTCTTTTTTGCTTAATCTACCTGGTCATTTATCAGTTTTGTTTATCTTTTCAGAAAAACAACTTTTTATTACAGTGATCCTTTCTATCATTATTTTTTTGGTCTCATTCTCATTTAGTTATCCTATAATCTTTTCCTTTAATTATTTCTGCTGGATTTTTATTTGGTTTTCTCTTGTTTGCATTTGATTTTCTCTTCTTTACCTAGTTACTTAACATGTAATGTTATATTGTTAATTTGTGGTCTTTCTATGTTTCAGATGTAGGCATTTAACACTATGAAATTTCCTCTTAGTGCTTATTTTGCTGCATCCCTGAGGTTTTGTTATGTTGTTTCAGTTTCATTTCTTTAAAAAAAAATTAAACGTATATCTTTATTTTATTATTAAACCAAAGATTATTTAGAAGCAGATTGTTTAATTTCCACATATTTGTATCTTTTGGGAGCTCCTCTTAGTATATATTTGTAACTTTATTCCACTATGGTCCAACAAGATACTTGATATAATTTCAATTTTTTTTTTAATTTATTGAATCTTGCTTTGTCACCTATTATGTGGTTTATTTGGAGGAAAGTTCCAAGAGCAATGAGAAGAATGTGTATTCTTCAGTTTTTGAGTAGAATGTTCTGTAATTGTCTGTTATGTACATTTGTTGTAGACTCCAATGTAAGTCCTGAGTTTCCTCGTTTTTTTTTTTTTTGTTTTTGTTTTTTTTTTTTGGTGTGATCTTTCAAGGGCTCTGAGTTGAGTGTTGAAGTTCCACACTATTATGACATTGCTGTCTACTTTTTTCTTAGGTCTAGTAGTATTTCTTCTATGAATCTGTGTGTTCTGGTGTTGGGTGCACATATATTTAGGTTTGTTATATTTTTGTGGTAAAGTGAACCTTTATCATTATATAATTACCTTCTTTGTCTTTTTAAACTGCTTTTGAATTATAGTTTGTTTTATCTAATGTAAGTATAGCTACTCATGCTTGTTTTTGTTCTGTTTGCATGGAATATCTTTTTCTACCCTTTGTAAATGTCTTTAACAGTGCAATTTGACTTTTGTAAGCAGCATGTGGTTGAATCTTGTTATTCATTTATCCATTCCAACCACCTATATCTTTTAAGTGGAGTATTTTGTCAATTTATTTTAATGGCTAACAATAATATGTGAGGTTTAATTCCTGTTATGATGTTGTTAGTTGCTTTGTAGTGTCACTTGTGTAATTGCTTTATAGAACCTGTGAATTTTTTTACTTTTGAGTGTTTTATGGTACCTTGTATCACTATTTTATTTTCATGTTTAGATCCTTTGACAATTTTTGTAGCTCTGGTTCAGTGGTGACTAATTTCCTTAGTGTTTGCCTTGGAAATAATTTATTTACTTTTTTTGTTTATGAAGCTTAGTTTTGCAGAATAGAATATTTTTGGCTGACAGTTTCTTTCTTTAAGAAGACTAAAAATAGGATCCCAATCTTTTCTGGCTTGTAAGATTTCTACCAAGAAATCCACTGTCAGCTTGATGGGATTTCCTTTATAGATAACTAGGTCTTGTTCTCTTACTTTTTACCTTTACGTTGACTTTGAATAGTCTAATGAGTTGGTGTCGTCTTGGTAAAGTTTATCTTGCAACAAATGTTCGGGGATTCCTGAGCTTCTTATATCTGGCTGTCTAAACCTCTAGGAAGACCAAAGAAATTATTCTAAAATATTCCCTCAGGTAGATTTTTCAAGACTATTTTAAATCTTTTTACTCTTCTCCCTCAGGAATACCTATTACTCATAGGTTTGGATAATTTGCATAATCCTACATTTCTCAAAGGTGGTTCACTTTTTTATTCTATTTTCTTTATTTTTGTCTGACTGTATTAATTCTAAAAACCTATCATCATGATCTGAAATGACTTTTTTCTGTTTTATCTAATTTATTGTTAAAGCTCCCAGCTGTGTTTTATAATGTCTTTAATAAAATTTTCATTTCCAGAAGTTCTGTATGTTTTTTCTTAAATGCCTATCTCGTTCATAATTTTTATTTATATTCTGATTTGTTTTTCTGATTCAACTTTCTTTTGAATCTCATTGAGCTTTCTTTAAATCCCTATTTTGAATTCTTTGTCTTTCATTTCATAATTATCATTTTGGTTAAAATATCCATTGCAAGAAAGCCAGTGTGATCCTTTTGGTGTTTCATAAAACAATGTTTTTTTTTTTAATACTGTCATAGTTCTTATGCTTTTTCTTTCTCTTCTGGAGAAGCTGTCACTTCTTATTTTTTAATTTTCTTTCATTTTAATAGGGCATTTGTTTTCTCTTTTTGAGAGTGTTACTGCTGTGTATGTTTGGTAGGGTTCTTTGCCTTTGATGCTTTTAGGGAGCCAAAGCTCTGTATAAATTCATTGCTTATAGATAGCCTTGGTGTGGTAGTTTTCTCAAATTCTAGTTGTTTTTGTCCATGGTGAAGGCTGTGCACTGAGGGTGTCAGCAGGCTCACTGCAGCTTGCTGAGATGGGGTGGTGGAGGTTTGAAGCTTGTTTTCTAGTGCTGTGCCTTTCTGTCAGCATGAATTGTATTTGGTTGTACAGTTCAACCTTTGGGCCAGTAAGTGACACTGGCGGGTAAGGTCCAGGCAAGCACTGTGCAATTTATCAGCAAATGTTTTAAAGGAATGTGGAGGTTGACCTCCCAAAAAGTAGATTGTGTTTGCAAGAGACAGACAACTGTGGTGTTGGCAGCAGGATTTATGTGTGTCCTTTGTTAATCAGGAGAAGTACTTAGAAGTCCTACATAATGGGCAGAGACATGGAACTCTCAGGAGACCCTGTCCTGTGTTCTACCACTTTGGCAGGTGGGTAGTACAAAGTTGAGGTGAGCTGGGTTCATGACCATGTTCCTCAATCATGGTCACGGATGCTGACCCCAGTGGAGGAAGGGGGATGTTTACAGACTACAGGGACAACTTTTTGGGAAGGGTAGAGGCACTTCTACTGCACCAAAGAGCCCACATTGGGGGAAAAGGGAAGACTGAAATTAATAGCCCAGGAGATGGTAGTGGGATCCACCTAGCTCACATGACCCTGAGTTAGCAGGTCTCCCTTTGGCATCTGGCCACTGTAGGCAGGCAAAAATGGCTAGCCTTGTCCCAGAAAGTCTATGTTCAGATTGGAAAGACACACCAGGGTGTGAGACTCCTGGCTTGGAACAGAAACCATGACTCCTTTGCCATACCCTTCTTGGTCCAGTCCCATAGAGCAAAGTGTGACTAGCTTTCATGATGTGGCATAAACCTACATCACATTCCTCTCAGTTATGACTGTGAGTGCTCTTCCCCTACTCAAGAGCAGACAGAAAACCTCATCCCCATACCCCTGCATAGCATGCTTGAGTCCTGGGGGAATGGGACTATGTCAGCAGACTTGTCCTCAGTTCCCCTGGATTCAAGCATTGATGTAATAGTTAGGGGTCAGAAAGTCCCAAGCCACTGGTTGTAATAATCATGCAGGGCAATGATGGTTACACTGTGGGCCTGCCACCAGGAAGGGCTGGTCTCTCTCAGCAGGAACACCCAGGCGGGCAGCTTCGAGGGAAGTCAACAGGCATGGTGTGCATGGTCCAAACTCATCTCTTTCCCACAGCAGCCTCCAGCAGTGGTGGTAAAACCTGCTTTTGAAGTGTGTGAGAGCACAAAGCCTCCCTTCTCCCTCTGCAGTCTGGCAGCTATCAGTGTCAGCAGCAGCCTCAGAAGAGGACACAGAGACTTGGGGAATGGGCTCCAATGGTGAGATTATTCTGCACTTGCCTAGTCTTGAAGGCCTGTAAAACTTCACGTGACTTCAAGCAATGCCTCTCTATGATCTACAGGCAGCTTCCTATGGTGATATGGAGGCTTGTGGTGGACAAGGAGCTCCTGTATAGCTATGATTATAGAGATCCATCATAAGAATATGGAACTCGAGGGGTCTCTCACTTATTCCTTGCTTGGGTTCAGGGTCTGGGGGACTTCTGTGACCCTGGCCAAGCAGGCAGTCTCACTTCCTCTTCCTTCATCTTCAGCATCTGCCATTGCCTCTCTGTTGAATTGTGGTATTATATTCTCAGATGATCTATTCAGAGTATGAATATTTACTTAATTTTTCGGTTCCCTTCCATGAAAGAGGTGAAATGCAGCTGCATTTAGTCAGCCATCTTAAGGCTTGCCCATTCAATTATTTAAAAATATTGACAATGAGTTAGTATTAGACATCTGTGACATATGTATTTAATTGCATTTAGATTGCAATTCTATATGACATTATTCTATCAGAAGCATTATTCTATCACAAGCAAAGGATCATGATGGATCCTTGTGATATTTATTGAAGTATCACTAGAAAAACTTTCACTTTTGGAATTTCAGTCAAAATGTCAAACTGGTTTACTTTCAGTTACCATGTTGTTACTATGGTTCTTCAGTTGTAGTTGTAACAAATTATGTTCTTGTTATTTAGAAGAATAAAAAACTTGATGTTTTAGAACACAAAAGATAATGTACAGATTTAAGGTTGATGGTGTGCAATAAAACCCATGTGGTGCTGAATTTTCATTGAAAGTATTATAAGGAACAAGAAATAGCTTCTCCTTTGCCTTCTGAAGTTTCCCGAAAAAATGAAATGACAAAAGGCAGATTGATAGGAAAAATGGCATCGAAATTTATTAGTGTGCATGAGAGAGAATAAGAGTGATTACCCAAAGTTTCAATGAAAATCCAGTACTACATGGCCTTATTTAAAGAAGGGAGGGTGATATAGGGAATATAGGTGATTCTGTTTGGGGGACTACATGATTACTAAGAAGAATGAATGGTTTGAGACACAGAGATTGACTTGTTAATGGTTCTTTTTGGAAATTGAATGACCCTCAGAGACAAACATTGTTTTGTCAGGGTCTGTTCAGGTGTTGTTACATTCTTGTTCTTCCTGTCTGTGATACATAATGTGAAGACAATGAGGGGAAGAAGAAAATTGTTCTATTTTGTGAGTCCATACAGTGTTGGTGTAGATGAAGGAAAAGTCTCTTGCAGCATATGTTGATTTCTAGGGAGCTTTAATTCAAAATACTCACTATACCAGGTAACCATATTTTGGGATGAGGATTTCTGCATTCTTTTATTTCCTGTGTCTATAACTTTCATAAAAATTTTATACATTAAAAGCTAAGGCCAAGCGTGGTGGCTCACGCCTGTAATCCCAGCATTTTGGGAGGCTGAGGTGGGTGGATCAGAAGATGTCAGGTGTTCCAGACCAGCCTGGCTAAAGTGGCGAAACCCCGTCTCTACTAAAAATATAAAAATTAGCCAGGAGTGGCTGCACACACCTGTAATCCCAGCTACTCAGGAGGCTGAGGCAGGAGAATCGCTTGAACCCAGGAGGCAGAGGTTGCAATGAGCCGAGATCGTACCACTGCATTCCAGCCTGGGTGACAGAGCGAGACTCCATCTCAAAAAAATTAAAAAATAAAAATCAAAAAATAAAAGCTAAGTCAGTGACTGTGGATGGATTTTAGTTATAGATTGATAAGAGATAGGCAAAGGAAAGAAAAAACAAATTTTGTTAATCAGAAACACGTTGAAATGTAACATTTCATGTTTTCTTGAATCAATCTTTTAGTCCTGAGAACAGATTAGTTCAGTTAAATTGGTATGTCCCATAATAACAGGTGACAGTGCAGATGTGCTAAACCTCTACATATATTGCAGGCAAATAGATATTTAATAAGAGGCATTTCAATGGAAACAGAAGGTAAACTAAGATTAGTGTCTGGAGTATTGTGTACTAGTCTTCCTAGAGTTTCCAGAGCATCTTCATATTGCAGTGACAGTCTGACAGCTTTTCCTGGATTATGGTTCAAATCATATGCTCAGTGAATTTTATGAATAGTCCATACACCAACAGACATGAAGGCTGTTTATACATAAATTAGTGTGGTGATTTCTCCTGAAGTTTACATCAAGTAGTCTAACTTATAAGTGCAGTACTTGAAGAAAGGCAGTTTTAATTACTAGTAATTCCTAGTGAGAAAAATGAAAGAAAAATTCAAAATTTTTAGTTTGCAGGTTGTAGCTAGGAAAAAATTCAAAATCCATTCAAAACTATAGACAAATCAAAAAAACTCAAAAACAATGGTCAGGGCTAGCATTTAACAACAACTATACTATAATTTTTTTCTGAAACATAATTTTTCTTTCTCAGTTCTCTGTTCTACCAAAGAAAAATTACATTCAAACCAATTTATTTGCAAAATATGGTTTAATATTATTGTAGGGTTCCTTATTATTTTTACAAAGTTCAGCAACAATAGTGGTTAGGGGGTTAGCTACATAGACCTATAGACTCTTTCAAAGTTGGCTTTGCTGAAGCTTTTTAATAAAGAATCTCAGATTAGAATTTTAAAAAAACAGAAAAAGAGTGAATCCTCCCTAACTCATTTTATGAGGCCAGCATCATGCTGATACCAAAGCCTGGCAGAGACACAACAAAAAACGATAATTTTAGACCAATATCCTTGATGAAGATGGATGCAAAAATCCTCAATTAAATACTGGCAAACGAAATCCAGCAGCACATCGAAAAGCTTATCCACCATGATCAAGTGGGCTTCATACTGGGGATGCAAGGCTGGTTCAACATACACAAATCAATAAACGTAATCCAGCATATAAACACAACCAACGACAAAAACCACATAATTTTCTCAATAGATGAAGAAAAGGCCTTTGACAAAATTCAACAGCCATTCATGCTAAAAACTGTCAATAAATTAGGTATTGATGGGACGTATCTCAAAATAATAAGAGCTATTTATGACAAACCCACAGCCAATATCATACTGAATGGGCAAAAACTGGAAGCATTCCCTTTGAAAACTGGCACAAGACAGGGATGACCTCTCTCACCACTCCTATTGAACATAGTGTTGGAAGTTCTGGCCAGGGCAATCAGGCAGGAGGAGGAAATAAAGGGTATTCAGTTAGGAAAAGAGGAAGTCAAATTGTCCCTGTTTCCAGATGACATGATCGTATATCTAAAAAACCCCATCTTCTCAGCCCAAAATCTCCTTAAGCTGATAAGCAACTTCAGCAAAATCTCAGGACACAAAATCAATGTGCAAAAATCACAAGCATTCTTATACACCAATAACAGACAAACAGAGAGCCAAATCATGAGTGAACTCCCATTCACATTTGTTTCAAAGAGAATAAAATACCTAGGAATCCAACTTACAAGGGAGGTGAAGGACCTCTTCAAGGAGAACTACAAATTAATGCTCAACGAAATAAAAGAGGATACAAACAAATGGAAGAACATTCCATGTTCATGGGTAGGAAGAATCCATATCATGAAAATGGCCATACTGCCCAAGGTAATTTATAGATTCAATGCCATCCCCATCAAGCTACCAATAACTTTCTTCACAGAACTGGATAAAACTACTTTAAAGTTCATATGGAACCAAAAAAGAGCCTGCATCGCCAAGTCAATCCTAAGCCAAAAGAACAAAGCTGGAGGCATCACTCTACCTGACTTCAAACTATACTACAAGGCTACAATAACCAAAACAGCATGGTACTAGTTCCAAAACAGAGATATAGATGAAAGGAACAGAACAGAGCCCTCAGAAATAATACCACACAACGACAACCATCTGATTTTGAAAAACCTGACAAAAACAAGCAATGGGGAAAGGAGTCCCTATTTAATAAATGGTGCGGGGAAAACTGGCTAGCCATATGTAGAAAGCTGAAACTGGATCCCTTCCTTACACCCTATACAAAAATTAATTCAAGATGGATTTAAGACTTACATGTTAGACCTAAAACCATAAAAACCCTAGAAGAAAACCTAGGCAATACCATTCAGGACATAGGCATGGGCAAGGACTTCATGTCTAAAACACCAAAAGCAATGGCAACAAAAGCCAAAATTGACAAATGGGATCTAATTAAACTAAAGAGCTTCTGCACAGCAAAAGAAACCACCATCAGAGTGAACAGGCAACCTACAGAATGGGAGAAAATTTTTGCAACCTACTCATCTGACAAAGGGCTAATATCCAGAATCTACAATGAACTCAAACAAATTTACAAGAAAAAAACAAACTACCCATCAAAAAGTGGGCGAAGGACATGAACAGACACTTCTTAAAAGAAGATATTTATGCAGCCAAAAAACACATGAAAAAATGCTCATCATCACTGGCCATCAGAGAAATGCAAATCAAAACCACAATGAGATACCATCTCACACCAGTTAGAATGGCAATCATTAAAAAGTCAGGAAACAACAGGTGCTGGAGAGGATGTGGAGAAATAGGAACACTTTTACACTGTTGGTGGGACTGTAAACTAGTTCAACCATTGTGGAAGTCAGTGTGGCGATTCCTCAGGGATCTAGAACTAGAAATAGCATTTGACCCAGCCATCCCATTACTAGGTATATACCCAAAGGGTTATAAATCATGCTGCTATAAAGACACAGGCACACATATGTTTGTTGCAGCCCTATTCACAATAGCAAATACTTGGAACCAACCAAAATGTCCAACAACGATAGACTGGATTAAGAAAATGTAGCACATATACACCATGGAATACTATGCAGCCATAAAAAATGATGAGTTCATGTCCTTTGTAGGGACATGGATGAAACTGGAAACCATCATTCTCAGCAAACTATCGCAAGGACAATAAACCAAACACTGCATGTTCTCACTCATAGGAGTGAATTGAACAATGAGAACACATGGACACAGGAAGGGGAACATCACACTCTGGGGACTGTTGTGGGTTGGGGGGAGGTGGGAGGGATAGCATTAGGAGATATACCTAATGCTAAATGACTAGTTAATGGGTGCAGCACACCAACATGGCACATGTATACATATGTAACAAACCTGCACATTGTGCACATGTACCCTAAAACTACAGTATAATAATAATAAAATAAAAAAATTGAGAAAAAAATGCTCATCATCACTGGCCATCAGCGAAATGGAAATCAAAACCACAATGAGATACCATCTCACACCAGTTAGAATGGTGATCATTAAAAAGTCAGGAAACAACAGGTGCTGGAGAGGATGTGGAGAAATAGGAACACTTTTACATTGTTGGTGGGACTGTAAATTACTTCAACCATTGTGGAAGACAGTGTGGTGATTCCTCAGGGATCTAGAGCTAGAAATACCATTTGACAAAGCCATCCCATTACTGGGTATATACCCAAAGGATTATAAATCATGCTGCTATAAAGACACATGCACATGTATGTTTATTGCAGCACTATTCACAATAGCAAAGACCTGGAACCAACCCAAATGTCCAACAATGATAGACTGGATTAAGAAAATGTGGCACATATACACCATGGAATACTATGCAGCCATAATAAATGATGAGTTCATGTCCTTTGTAGGGGCATGGTTGAAGCTGGAAACCATCATTCTCAGCAAACTATAGCAAGGACAAAAAACCAAACAACGCATGTTCTCATTCATAGATGGGAATTGAACAATGAGAACACTTGGACACAGGAAGGGGGACATCACACACCGGGGCCTGTTGTGGGGTGGCGGGAGGTGGGAAGGATAGTTTTAGGAGATATACGTAATGTAAATGATGAGTTAATAGGTGCAGCACACCAACATGGCACATGTATACATATGTAACAAACCTGCACATTGTGCACATGTACCCTAGAACTTAAAGTATAATAATAAAAAAAAAAAAGAAAAAAAACTCAAAAAAAAAAGAAAAAAATATAAAACCTCTCAAAGCCAGGAAGCCAACTCAAGGATTCATCACGAGACTGGGCTTTTAATGTCTATATGAATTGGGTGAATTCTTCTTCTGTCAAGTTCTCAAAATATCTTGAGGTTCCTAGGCCTGTCGGAAAGTTACATTTTACAACAATATTAAGAACCTTGTGATGGAACACTGTAGACAAGTTACTGGACCAGACTTTGCAAGGGGCATATTATCAGCTCTGTAAAGTCAACCTCAACTACTCAAAGCAGTCTTTTCATATCTGAAAATATCACATTCCTGTAAAACTTTCATTAAAATAACCCGTTTCTCTAATTGTATCTTATTACAGAAAAAACAACAGATTCATATTGAACTTATGTAAATAACCATGTTGCCATAAAATAAAAATAATCATAATTAGTTTTCAAATTCTGGATAAACCAGGTAGAGGAAATTTAACACGTTTCAGTTTTGCTCACTAAAGTATACATTAAAAAAAAATTAGACTCGAGGTACATGTGCAGTTTGTTACATAGGTAAATCACATGTCATGTAACTTTGGTGTACAGATAATTTTATCACCCAGATAATAAGCACAGTACCCAATCAGTAGCTTTTTGATCCTCACCCTCCTTCCACCCTCCACCCTCAATTCCTTGAAGTTATATATAGCTCAAATTAAAAAAAAATTGTTGACTCTGGAAGATAAAACAGAAAAAGAATCAGCAATATTTTAAATTAAAAGTCATAAAAATTGTTTTAGTTTCATACCAATTCATTCCTATGTAATTAATTCTTGTTCTGCTTGATGTTGGGCTGGCAATCTTCATAAACCTTTCAGCAGTTTTATTAGAATACTTAAAGTTTTTAACCAATCTAATGTCATAATCACCAAAAGTATTTGAAATCTGTACGCAGGAATAATTTCAGAGTCTTTCCCATAAATTTTCTGAAGAAGAAGCACATTTTGGACTGTACGTGATTATAAACTACTTTTTGAAAAGAATTTTTAAAAACTGTGTATGACAAAAGACTTAGAATAATGATAATAAAAGATGCAATTGACCACAATTTCGGTTATATTTGTGGCATATAACAATCTAGTATTATAATTATGACTGATAACATATACCAAGACATACAAAAATTTTAGGAATTTCATGTGTATTAGTCCATTTTCATGCTGCTGATAAAGACATACCTGAGGTGGGCAAGATGGCCGAATAGGAACAGCTCCGGTCTGCAGCTCCCAGCGAGATGGATGCAGAAGGCAGGTGATTTCTGCATTTCCAACTGAGGTGCCCAGTTCATCTCACTGGGACTGGCTGGACAGTTGGTGCAGCCCAAAGAGGGGAAGCAGAAGCAGGGTGGGGTATTGCCTTACTGGGGAAGTGCAAGGGGTTGTGGGATCTCCCTCCCCCCAGCCAAGGGAAGCCATGAGAGACTGTACCAGGAGGAATGGTGCACTCCAGCCCAGATATTGCACTTTTCCCAAGGTCTTCACAACTAGCAGACCCGGAGATTCCCTCTGGTGTCTACACAACCAGGACCCTGGGTTTCAAGCACAAAACTGGGTGGCCGTTTGGGCAGACACCGAGCTAGCTACAGGAGTTTTTTTTTTTTTTTTTTTTCATACCCCATTGGCACCTGTAATGCTAGCAGACAAGACTGTTCACTCCCCTGGAAAGGGGGCTGAAGCCAGGGAGCCAAGTGGTCTGGCTTGATGAGTCCCACCCACATGGAGCCCAGTAAGCTAAGATCCAGCGACTTGAAATTCTCATTGCTAGCACAGCAGTCTGAGGTTGACCTGAGATGCCGGAGGTTGGTTGGGGAAGGGGTGTCCACCATTGCTGAGGCTCAAGTAGGCCATTTTACCCTCACAGTGTAAACAAAGCCACCAGGAAGTTCAAACTGGGCAGAGCCCACCACAACTCAGCACGGCCAGACTGTCTCTCTAGATTCCTTGTCTCTGGGCAGGGCATCTCTGAAAAAAGGCAGCAGCCCCAGTCAGGGACTTATAGATAAAACCCCCATCTCCCTGGGACAGAGCGCCTGGGGGAAGGGGCGGCTGTGGGCGCAGCTTCAGCAGACTTAAACTTCCCTGCCTGAAAGCTCTGAAGAGAGCAGCAGATCTCTCAGCACAGCGTTCAAGCTCTGATAAGGAACAAATTGCCTCCTTAAGTGGGTCCCTGACCTCTGTGTATCCTGACTGGGAGAAAGCTCCCAGTAGGGTCAACAGACACCTTATACAGGAGAGCTCCAGCTGACATCTGGTGGGTGTCCCTCTGGGACGAAGCTTCAAGGGGAAGAAACAGGCAGCAATCTTTGCTGTTCTGCAGCCTCTGCTGGTAACAACCAGGCAAACGGGATCTGGAGTGGACCTCCAGCAAACTCCAGCAAACCTGCAGCAGAGGGTCCTGAATGTTAGAAGGAAAACAAACAAACGGAAAGGAATAGTATCAACATCAACAAAAAGGATGTCCACTCAGAGACCCATCCGAAGATCGCTAACGTCAAAGACCAAAGGTAGATAAATCCACAAAGATGGGGAGAAACCAGCACAAAAAGGCTGAAAATTCCAAAAACCAAAATACCTGTTCTCCTCCAAAGGATTACAACTCCTCACCAGCAAGGGAACAAGACTGGATGGACAATGAGTTTGAAGAATTGACAGAAGTAGGCTTCAGAAGGTGGATAATTACAAATTTCTCTGAGCTAAAGGAGCATGTTATAATCCAATGCAAGGAAACTGAGAACCTTGAAAAGAGATTAGGTGAATTGCTAACTAGAATAACCAGTTTAAAGAATAACTCAGTTCAAATAAGAACATAAATGACCTTATGGAGCTGAAAAACACAGCACGAGAACTTCATGAAGCATACCCAAGTATCAATAGCCAAATCGATCAAGTGGAAAATACAATATCAGAGACTGAAGATCAATTCAATGAAATAAAGCAAGAAGACAAGATTAGAGAAAAGAGTGAAAAGAAATGAACAAAGCCTCCAAGAAATGTGGGACTATGGGAAAAGACCAAACCTACCTTTGTTTGGTGTACCTGAAAGTGACGGGGAGAAAGGAAGCAAGCTGGAAAACACTCTTCAGGATATATCCAGGAGAACTTCCCCAACCTACCAAGGCAGGCCAATATTCAAATTCAGGAAATACAGAGAACACCACAAACATACTCCTCAAAAAGAGCAACCCCAAGACACAAGAGGGAAATTTATAACACTAAATGCCCACAACAGAAAGCAGGAAAGATCTAAAATCGACACCCTAACATCACAATTAAAAGAACTAGAGAAGCAAGAGTAAACAAATTCAAAAGCTAGCAGAAGGCAAGAAATAACTAAGATCAGAGGAGAACTGAAGGAGATACAGACACAAAAAACCCTTCAAAAAAATCAATGAATCCAGGAGCTAGTTTTTTTAAAGATCAACAAAATTGATAGACCACTAGCAAGACTAATAAAGAAGAAAACAGAGAAGAACCAGATAGACCCAATAAAAAAATGATAAAGCAGATATCACCACTGATCCCACAGAAATACAAACTACCATCAGAGAATACTATAAACATCTCTACGCCAATAAACTACAAAATCTAGAAGAAATGGATAAATTCCTGGACACATACACCACCCCAAGACTAAACCAGGAAGAAGTTGAATCCCTGAATAGACCAGTAACAAGCTCTGAAATTGAGGCAATAATTAACAGCTTACCAACCAAAAAAATCCAGGACCAAACAGATTCACAGCCGAATTCTACCAGAGGTACAAAGAGGAGCTGGTACCATTCCTGCTGAAACTATTCCAAACAATAGAAAAAGAAGGACTTATCCCTAATCCATTTTATGAGGCCAGCATCATCCTGATAGCAGAACCTGACGGAGACACAACAACAACAAAAAAAACATTTCAGGCCAATATCCCTGATGAACATCGATGTGAAAATCCTCAATAAAATACTGGCAAACCGGATCCAGCAGCACATCTAAAAGCTTATCCACCACAATCAAGTCAGCCTAATCCCTGGGATGCAAGACTGATTCAATATATGCAAATCAATAAACATAATCCATCACATAAACAGAACCGATGACAAAAACCACATGATTATCTCAATAGATGCAGAAAAGCCCTTCGAAAAATTCAACAGCCCTTCATGCTAAAAACTCTCAATAAGCTAGGTGTTGATGGAACATATTTCAAAATAATAAGAGCTATTTATGACAAACCCACAGCCAATATCATGCTGAATGGGAAAAAACTGTAAGCATTCCTTTTGAAAACCAGCACAAGACAAGGATGCCCTCTCTCACCATTCCTATTCAACAGAGTATTGGAATTTCTGGTCAGGGCAATCACGAAAGAGAAAAAAAATAAAGTGTATTAAATTAGGAAAAGAGAAAGTCAAATTGTCTCTGTTTGCAGATGACATGATTGTATATTTAGAAAACCCAAAGGTCTCAGCCCCAAATCTCCTTAAGCTGATAAGCAACTTTAGCAAAGTCTCAAGATACAAAATCAATGTGCAAAAATCACAAGCATTCCTATACACCAATAACAGAAAAACAGACAGCCAAATCATGAGTGAACTCCCAGTCAAAATGGCTACAAAGAATTAAATACCTAAGAATACAACTTACAAGGGATGTAAAGGACCTCTTCAAGGAGAACTACAAACCATTGCTCAAGGAAATAAGAGAGGGCACAAACAGATGGAAAAACATTCCATGCTCATGGAGAGAAAAAATTAATATCGTGAAAATGGTCATACTGCCCAAAGTAATTCATAGATTCAATGCTATCCCCATCAAGCTACCATTGACTTTCTTCACAGGATTAGAAAAAACTACTTCAAATTTCATATGGAACCACAAAAGACCCCGCATACCCAAGAAAATCCTAAGCAAAAGGAACAAAGCTGGAGGCATCACGCTACCTGACTTCATACTATACTACAAGGCTACAGTAACCAGAACAGCATGGTATTGTTAAAAAAAACAGATATACAGACCAATGGAACAGAGCAGAGGCCTCAGATATAACACCACACATCTACAACCATCTGATATTTGGCAAACCTGAAAAAAACAAGCAATGGGGAAAGGATTCCTTATTTAATAAATGATGTTGGGAAAACTGGCTAGCCATATGCAGAAAGCTGAAACTGGGTCCCTTCCTTATACCTTATACAAAAATTAACTCAAGATGGATTAAAGACTTAAACGTAAGATCTAAAACTTACCCCATCAAGCTACCATTGACCTAAAACCATAAAAACCCTAGAAGAAAACCTTGGCGATACCATTCAGGGCATAAGAATGAGCAAGGACTTCATGACTAAAACACCAAAAGCAATGGCAACAAAAGCCAAAATAGACAAAAGGGATCTAATTAAACTAAAGAGCTTCTGCACAGCAAAAGAAACTATCATCAGAGTGAACAGGCAACCTACAGAATGGGAGAAAATTTTTGCAGTCTATCCATCTGACAAAGGGCTAATATCCAGAATCTACAAAAACTAAACAAATTTACAAGAAAAAAACAAACAACCCCATCAGAAAGTGGACGAAAGATATGAACAGACACTTCTACAAAGAAGACATTTATGCAGCCAACATACACGTGAAAAAAAGCGTATCATCACTGGTCATTAGAGAAATGCAAATCAAAACCACAATGAGATACCATCTCACACCAGTTAGAATCATGATCATTAAAGAGTCAGGAAAACAGGTGCTGGAGAGGATGTGGAGAAAGAGGAATGCTTTTACACTGTTGATGGGAGTGTAAATTAGTTCAACCATTGTGAAAGACAGTGTGGAGATTCCTCAAGAATCTAGAACCAGAAATACCATTTGACCTAGCAATCCCATTAGTGGGTATATACCCAAAGGATTATAAATCATTCTACTATAAAGACACATGCACACATATGTTTACTGAGGCACTGTTCACAATAGCAAAGACTTGGAACCAGCCCAAATGTCCAACAATGATAGACTGGATAAAGAAAATGAGGCACATATACACCGTGAATACTATGCAGTCATAAAAAAGCATGAGTTTGCAGGGACACGGATGAAGCTGGAAACTATCATTCTCAGCAAACTAACACAAGAACAGAAAAGCAAAGACCACATATTCACACTCATAAGTAGTAGTTGACCAATGAGAACACCTGGACATGGGGGCGGGGCAGGGGCGGATCTCACAACAGGGCCTGTTGTGGGGTGGTGGCCTAGGGGAGGGATAGCATTAGGAGAAATACCTAATGTAGATGACAGGTTTTTGGGTGCAGCTAATCACCATGGCACATGTATACCTATGTAACAAATCTGCACATTTTGCACATATACCCCAGAACTTAAAGTATACTTTAAAATAAATAAATAAATAAATAAATAAATAAATGGGAAGCAATAGCAAAAAAAAATGGCCTAATTGCCTTTTTAATATAGTTACATAGTTACAGGCATGCTCACTTTATTCCTAAAATGCCTTAATCTATATTTTTATTTTTGATGACTGAGGCTCTTGAAATCTATTTTCTATGTTGGTAATCATTAAATAGTTAAAAACGACTTTAATGTGACATTTTCAGCTCATTATTTACAGTGTGTCCAGGAATTACATGTATTTGTCTGTAATCTGAAAATAGGAACCACCAAAGTGTGAGGAATTTCTTATTTTCATATGAATCAATGACAGAATTCACACCTGGCTGCAGTCATGTGACTTTTATGAAGAAAATGAATATTTATGGATATCTAGATAGTGCTGTATTCCTTTCCTGCTGATTGCTGTTTGCTAGAATGGCTCCCTGATACTCTCAACTAAATAAAGCCTTCCGCCTTATTAAAAAAGAAAAGAAGAAAGAAAGAAAGAAACAGAAAGAAAGAAAGAAAGAAAGAAAGAAAGAAAGAAAGAAAGAAAGAAAGAAAGAAAGAAAGAAAGAAAGAAGGAAAGAAAAAAAAAAGACATACCCGAGACTGGGAAGAAAAAAAGGTTTAATTGGACTTAAGTTCTGCATGGCTGGGAAGGCCTCAGAATCATGGGGGAGGTGAAAAGCACATCTTACATGGCAGTGGCAGGGGAAAAATGAGACAGAATCAAAAGCAGAAACCCCTGATAAACCCATCAGATCTCGTGAGACTTATTCACTATCAAGAGAATAGCATGGGAAAGATCAGCCCCCTTGATTCAATTATCTCCCCCTGGGTCTCTCCCACAACATGTGGGAATTCAGGGAGATACAATTCAAGTTGAAATTTGGGTGGGAACACAGCCAAACCATATCTTTCCACCCCTGGCCCCTCCAAATCTCACGTCCTCACATTTCAAAACCAATCATGCCTTCCCAACATTTTCAAAAAGTCTTAACTCAGTTCAGCATTAACCCAAAAGTCTACAGTCCAAACTCTCATCTGAGACAAGGCCAGTCCCTTCCACCCGTAAAATCAAAAGCAAGGTAGTTACTTCCTGTATACATTGGGGGTACAGGTATTGGGTGAATACAGCCATTCCAAATGGGAGAAATTGGCCAAAACAAAGGGGTTACAGTACCCATGCAAGCCCGAAGTCTATCAAGGCAGTCAAATTTTCAAGCTCCAAAATGATCTCCTTTGATTCCAGGTCTCACATGCAGGTCATGCTGATGCAAGAGGTGGGTTCCTATGGTCTTGGGCAGCTCTGCCCCTGTGGCATTGCAGGGTACAAACTCTCTCCCATCTGCTTTCATGTGCTGGCGTTGAGTATCTGTGGTTTTTCCAGGTGAATGGTGCAAGCTGTCAGTAGCTCTACCATTGTGGGGTTGGGAGGATGGTGACCCTCTTCTCACAGCTCCACTAGGCGGTGCCCCAGTAGATACTTTGTTTGGGGGCTCCGACCCCACATTTTCTTTTTGCACTGCCCTAACAGAGGTTCTCCAAGAAGACCCCTCCCCTGCAGCAAAGTTTTGCCTGGGCATCTAGATGTTCCCATACATCCTCTGAAATCCAGGCAGAGATTCCCAAACCTCAACTCTTGACTTCTGTGCACCCGCAGGCTCAACACCACATGGAAGCTTCCAAGGTTTGGGGCTTGCACGCTCTGAAACCATGAGCCAAGCTGCACCTTGGCCCCTTTTAGCAATAGCTGAAGTGGGTGGGACACAGGGCACCAAGTCCCTGGGCTGCACACTGCAGGAGGACCCTGAGCCCAGCCAACGAAACCACTTTTTCCTCCTAAGTTCCAGGTCTGTGATGGGAGGAGCTGCCATGAGTACCTATGGCATGCCCTAGAGACATTTTCCCCATTGTCTTGGGGATTAACATTCGGCTCCTTGTTACTTATGCAAATTTCTGCAGCCAGCTTGAATCTCTCCTCAGAGAATTTCTCCTCAGAAAATGGGTTTTTCTTTTCTACTGCATCATCAGGCTGAAAATTTTCTGAACTTTTATGGTCTGTTTTTCTTTTAAAATTGAATGTTTTTAACAACTCACAAGTCATCTTTTGAATGCTTTGCTGCTTAGAAATTTCTTCCACCAGATACACTAAATCATCTCTCTCAAGTTCAAAGCTCCACAAATTTCCAGGGGCAAAATGCTGTGAGTCTTTTTGCTAACACATAACAAGAGTCTCCTCTGTTCCAGTTCCCAACAAGTTTCTAATCTCCATCTGAGACCATCTCAGCCTAGACCTTATTGTTCATATTACTATCAGCATTTTTGTCAAAGCCATTCAACAAGTCTCTAGGAGGTTCCAATCTTTCCCACGTTTTTCTTTCTTCTTCTGAGCCCTCTAAACTGTTCCAACCTGTGCCTGATATCCAGTTCCAAAGTTACTTCCACATTTTCAGGTATCTTTTCAGCAATGTCCCCCTCTACTGGTACCAATTTAGTGTATTAGTCCATTTTCATGCTGCTGATAAAGACATGCCCGAGACTGGGAAGAAGAAGAGGTTTAATTGGATTTACAGTTCCAGATGACTGGGGAAGCCTCAGAAATATGGCAGGAAGTGAAAGGCACTTCTTTCATGGTGGCAGCAAGAGAAAAATGAGAAAGAAGTGAAAGCAGAAACCCCTGATAAACCCATCAGATCTCTTGAGCCTTATTCACTATCACGAGAATAGCATGGGAAAGACCAGACCCCATGATTCAATGACCTCTCTCTGGGTCCCTACTACAACACGTGAGAAATCTGGGAGATGCAATTCAAGTTGAGATTTGGGTGGGGACACAGCCAAATTATATCATCATACAGTTTTGAAGCACATATTTATGTTAATGTAACTCGAAGGAAATAAAACACCATTTCTTATTTGAAAATGCTTTCTGTATCGTTTTTATATACCAAATAAGCCTATTTCATCTCTCTTAGACTTCCAGGGTCTCTAAAGTCCAAAAAAAAAGGTAATTGAATGTCAAAAAGACTAAATTTAATGATTTGAAATTTGATTATCAGAAGTTTATCTTAAAAAGTTGTAGTTAATATGATAAATATAAAAACATCTACTTACAATGAAATCACAGTTTGATGAAAAATAACAGATATTTAGCAACAGTCATAATTCAAATATTTCATAAATCAAAAATTTATACTCTTTCATAGAGACTCCATTTTTTAAACAATTAAATTAACAAATACAGACAGTATGTAACAAACACTTCTCCCCTTTTTTTGCAGTTTTCTTAAAAGTTAAACTAAAATGTTTTACTGTCATTTATTACTACTACATGAAAATCTTGTTCAAAAGAGAAAACAAATTCTACCTTTTTGCATTATTGTATTATTAATGCTAAAGATAATTTTAATAAAACCTTATAAACAATTCTATCCAATCTCAATCACTTTTGATCATACAAGATATTTTTATAAAGCTTTTATAGCCTCTTACATATGTCTCCAGTTTTTAATCCAACATTCTATATCTATTTAGCTTTATCTATTATTTTCTGTATTTTTTCAAATTAACACATCTTCTAAAAACCTCTAAACTACACTAACTACCTTCTGTTTAACAAAATCCCATTCTTGTGTCTTCTTTAAAACTTTCCTCAACAAAAACACATCCTATATTTCTTGTACGCTTTTCATACAGAAGTGTTGCTATTGTATCTGAGGATAGAGATCATTTCTCCTACTGTCCCCTGTCTCCAAAGAAAAGGAGGAAGTAAAAACTGAAAAATAACAGACTGATCGGCACCACTGGCCAGGCCTATAGGTTAAAGATTGTCACCCACCCTAACACCTTGTTCTATCTATAAATCACAGACAATAGTATGGAGAAATACTTGCCTTGCTCACCACCCCCACCTAGTCATGTGCCCCATGCTTGCTCAATCTATCACGACCTTTTCACATGGACCCCTTAGAGTTGTAAGCCCTTAAAAGGGCCAGGAACTCCTTCTTCAGGGAGCTTGGTTCTTGAGATCCAAGTCTGCCGACACTCCCAGCCAAATAAAGCCTCTTCCTTCTTTAACCTGGTGTCTGAGGGGTTTTGTCTGCAGCTCGTCCTGCTACATATCCGTTAGTTTTAATTATATTAATTACAATATTAACAAATATATCAACTATAAATAATTATAACTAATATAATTACTAATTATATTAGTTACAAATATATTAATTACAATGTTAACTTTATTAACCCTTATTTTTTGTGAAAAAGAAAAATCCTAAAAGGTAAGAATTTTTAGTTGTTATTTACTAGATGCAGAACCCAAGACAAAAGACAGCCTCTGAAGACAATGTTTTAAGCATCCTACCACTCCCAGCATGGCCAGGAGACACAGTTGGGACAGGAAAGACATACTGGGTTTGGCTCTACCTAAGCCTCACCGTGGCCACATATATCTTAAAACCTAAGAGATAAACTTAAAGATAAATATAGCAAGTATCAAAAATATCAAAAAAGTAACAGTTTTATGATTTTAAAACATCTACTGGAGACAGTATAATCTTTTAAAATAAATGGACCCCGGCAAAAATTTCTGAATTATATTTAATCCTAATAGTTCTAAAGATATTCTAATTTTATTTTACCAACAATTTTTAAATTAGCTTTATTTAGCAAAGATTACTAAAGTCACATAAACTTGAAAAGCATTTGGGCTTACTTAATTCATTTATTAGTATTCATTTATGTATAAGTGAATTTGGCACAACATAGAAGATATATAAACATAGACATGTACACATGTATACATAAAAATACAGACAAATATAAATAAAGGCTGCAAATCTTCGATTTTAAAATTCTAGCCATAATACTGGTAAATCTTTCTAGATTAAAAGGAAAGTTGGATTCAAACTGTGCCTTTGTAAATGCAAAAAGTTAATGTTTATCTGTGTCTCATGGCTGAAGTTGTGACCAAGTTTTAGAGAAAACCGGGTAGTAAATTTACATTTCAAAGCACAAAGAGAATTTCAGCTTTCTTTGAGAAGGAGTTAGGGTGTGTTCATCAGAGGAAGATTAAAAATGGATGCCAAGGTGACAAAAAATTATGCAAATTTACCACAGGTTTGTACAAGGAGACAAACATATGAGCATAGATAAAATTCAGAAATCTTTTCAAAATAACCAGTGGAATGTTAGAAAGTCATATTTTGGAGATCAAACCAGTTAGGTTTAGTCTCTTTTATAGTTTGACCACTGAGCTAAGGGTGGAGATCATCAATGAATTGAGCCAATGAAGCATTTGGAGTCTTTAGGGTCTAATACCAATTTATATAAAAAGCAGGAACAGCTGGATGGCAGAACAATTTGTAAAGTTAAAAATTCAGCTGGGCATGGTTGCATGCATCTGTACTTCCAGCTAAATGAGAGGCCAAGGTAAGTGGAATATTTGAAGCCAGGAGTTCATGGCTAGTGTAGGCAACATAGTGAGACTGTCTCTAAAATTTAAAAAAATTAAAAATTCTACATTTACACTGAACCTCAAGTTCCTCAAGACGGGGAAACACTATGGTAATGGGCCCACAATGTTTCTATAGTGCAGATCACTATGGAGACATTTCCCTTTGGCTGGTGGGCAACCCATCACCAATCAGCCCATTCTTTCATAAGTCTATACCCCATGAAAGTCTTATCTCTCAGTGGCCAGAATTTCCACAGCCTCCAAGTGTTTAAATGTGACTATTTATCTAAAACTGCAAAGAAAATAGTAGTTTCCTGCAGTGATAACAATTCACTGTAACCTCTCTACCTACACCCCTTCCAAAATTGCATTTCTTCCCAATGACTTGTGATCTATTACACACACAAAAGTCAAATTCTTTCTCACAGTACAAAGTACTCCCTGGTACATCCAAAAGCCAAAGAGATGAGGTAATGCAATTCAAAAGAGAGAAGAGCTTTAGATCTAAGAGGAACCCATCTATGACTTCTTGGACTCAACAAGAAAGAAACCCCCAAAAGGGGGTGTGTGCCATCATTTTCTTTTTTCCTCAAGAAGTCTCAGAGTCCTTACAAGTTTCCTCTATATTCCTTCATGTGGTACTGAAGACAGCAAAGAGGGAGTAGGGAGACGAGGAAGTAAATGGGATAATATTCCCAAAGGAGCCAATTTGAGATGTTAAGCTTTTGAGAAGACCAATACTTTTTTTTCCAGACAGTCTTGTTCTGTCACCCAGACTAAAGTGCAATGGCATGACCTCAGCTCACTGCAACCTCCACCTCCTGGGTTCAAGTGATTCTCCTGTCTCAGCCTCCTGAGTAGCTGGGATTACAGGCATGTGCCACCACTCCAAGCTAATTCTGTATTTTTAATAGAGACAGGCTTTCACCATGTTGGCCAGGCTGATCTCAAACTCCTGACCTCAGGTGATCCACCTGCCTTGGCCTCCCAAAGTACTTGGATTACAGGCATGAGCCACCACTCCTGGCAAGACCAATAAAATTTACATTTTTTATGTGCAAAAATCTTAACAAGCAGAGAAGTAAACAGAAGGACACAACATAATGCAGTTTTTAGTCAACTGAAAACAAATTATCAGAAACAAGATTCAAAAAAGAAAAAGCAGAAAGACCACACACACACACACACACACACACACACACACACACACACACACACACACACACACACACACAGATATTAAAGAACAGAGCTTTAGACCTGAGAGAAACCCCTCTTTTAATTAAGGGGAGTTCTGACCATAGAGATATTTAAAAATCATTTTACATCTCTTATTATCAAATTTTAACCTGGACAAACAGCAAATATTTCTGGCTTTCAAATTTTTTCTTTTACCAAAGGTGTTAGAATAGGTAGCTAAGCCAGCATGAGCAGGACAGGAGAGCTCCCCACCCCCAGGAATGTCAGGGAAACATCAGGTGATGATCAGGTGATTGTCTCTTTAAGCTGTTTCTCTAAAATTATAATTAACTACAGATGATGCCAGGGGAAGACGTGTCCCAATAGATAGAAAACACCTGGATCTGGTGATCAGCAGCTCCCTGAAAAGATCTCAGGAATTGGGCAAACGTGCTCAAGCACGCATATTAGGAGGCAAAATGGTAGAGTTTAACCAGTATTTGATCTTCCTCTGGAAACACTTGACTGGTGAGGGAAAAAAAATGCCTCAAGTGAGCATGCACACAACTTCAGTAAACACACTGTGCACGTGGTTCCTCCCAAGTGCTGACAGGCCATTGTGCATGTGGACAGCCTTTCCCAAAGGAAGAATCATGGGAGAAGAAATGCAAATCCTGAAACTATGCCAAGGTATAAAATCCCAAGCCAAGGGCCTAACAGGGCAATTGGATCTCTCATGTTGCCTGCTTGGCCCTCTTCCAAGTGTACTTTATTTCCTTTCACTCCTGCTCTAAAACTTGTTTGTAAACTCTCATATCTGCTCTAAAATTTGTCTTGGACTATTCCTCTACCTAAAACCCACGTCTGCCTCTTGGCCAAATTCATTTTGCCAAGGAGGCAAGGATTGAGATGCTGCAGACCTGTATGAATTTTCTGCTGGTAACATACTTTGGTGCCAGATGACTCAGATACATTTCCTAGTGGTAATGCTTCTATGCTTCACCTTCATGGGCTGGATGCATTCAACCTCCATACATGGTTTTCTTCTCCCCTTTCACTCTCCTGCTTATTAACCGATGGCCAGAATGATTCCTCCTAGCCACAGTGGCTCTGCTCCCTGCAGCTGATCTCTAATCTCACTGTGATGGGTATTTCACAGAGGTAGGAAGGACCTCAGAGTCCACACCGAGTAGATCTAAGACACTAATGGCCCTTCTGGACAGGGGGCTTATGAGAGTGGTAGAGCTAAAACCTAAAACCATGTAATGTATGGGGTTTCCTCTGCTTATTCAACTAAAATTGGCTCTTTACCAAAACCCAACACTGCGTATTCTCTTGTTTTCTCTCTGTGTGTTCTGAAATGGCCATGAGCACCTGCTGGATTATCCACCTTGGGGGCAAGTCCGCCTTTTCCCTGCTTTGACTTTGAAAGCCATGAGCATTTTCCCTACCTCAAACACACTCCTAGTTTGTTATTCATGTGTCCATCGCCTTTGTTGCATTTGTGCAGCAGCAAAGACATGAGCTTCACTGCAGATGTCAGCTGGCTGATTGCTGGGACAGACACCAACCGTAACCCCAGCTCTGCCAACTTCTTATGGCTTACCATATGCTTTTTATGCATTACGCTACAAGGCCAAGTTTTTCGATGGCCTTTGAAGTAGATTGTCCCCTGTATAGAACCTCACTCTACAGGATTTTGAAAACCCCACCTACCTGTTTTGAGTTAGCATCTCTTTGGGAGGAGAGAAAGTTCTTTCTTTTACATTTGCAAGGCTTTATCTGAAGCCCCAAGTCCCCCAGAAGTACCTCCTTTATGTCATGAGAGCAAGTAAATGTTGCCCTCTCCAATCCAAGGGCTGCCGTTTTTGAAAGCATATGAAGATTTTCCGTGAATATTCCTCTTGCTTCCTCCCACTTCCTCTTGTAGCAGAAATATTGTCCTGTCTGTTTAAACATTTGTTCTGCACATTACCCTGGGGAGATGAGGAACCCTAATACAAATTTTCCTCCATTTCTCTAATCATTTCCACACCCATTTTCATATTCATCAGGACCTTCAAGGCTATATTTGAAGGGAGGGAAGTCCAGCTCCCTTGAGACAGTTGGCTAAAAAACAGGCTTCTCGTTTACTTAAAGAACATGGAAAATGGGAATATAAAAAAGAGATAATAATTTTAAGGCTAGAATGCACCAAACAAGAGTTGCTATGTGGTCATGGAGACAAGGATATAGACTGGCCCAAGGCCACAAGCATTGGAGGCCAAAGTACTCACAGAACAGAGATGAAGGCTAGTTCCAGGCTATCAATGCAAAGCAGATCACTACTAGAACAGAAATGAAGGCTGCTCCCTGAAATGGGATGGGACCTGGGTCAGGGGTATCCAGTAACCACTGGTTAATTCCAGAACCCTTTGGTTGAATGGAGGGTACCCTGATCACTCCAGTTTGCCATAGGTTCAGGATTAAGGAAAGAAGGGGGAACACCTTCTTATTCCCTTCTTTCCTATGGTATCTCTTCACAAATGGGTAATTGCACCACTATAAAACAATATGGGACCAAGCTTTGGGGTACCTGGTAAGCACTGGTTCATTCTGGAACCCCTAAAATAGATGAGAGACACCCTATTCACTCTGGTCTGTCATAACTGCAGGAAAAATGAATAAATGAAAAAATGCCCTATTCACTCCAGTCTGCCATAAGTACATGAAAAATGGATAAATGACGGAAGGTCCTATTCACTTAGACCTGCTATAAGTTCAGAAAAAAGTAAGAAAACTACAGGGGATGTCTTCTTTATTCCTTCTCTGTTCTCTTTTTGCAGATGAGTAATTACATCTCCATAACACAAGGCACACCCCTGGTATACATCCTCAAGAACTGGTAAAATTTAAAACCTTAAAAGGAAAAGGCAAATATTTTTTGTAACAGCCTGTGTTCAACGCAAGCTCTGGGACCAGGAATCTTAGTTTGGAGAATGGAAGCATAAATTTTAATATGATCCATTGCTATGGTTTTGCTGTGTCTCCACCTAAATCTCACCTTGAATTGTAATAATCTCCACATGTCAAGGCTTGGGCCAGGTGGAGATAATTGAAACATAGGGGCAGTTTCCCCCACACTCTTCTCATGGTACTGAATAAGTCTCACAAGATCTGAGTTCCCCTGAACAAGCTCTCTTGTCTGCTGCCATCTAAGATGTGACTTTGTTCCTCATTCACCTTCTGCCATGATTGTAAGGCCTCCCCAGGAATGTGAAACTGTGAGTAAATTAAACCTCTTTTCTTTATAAATTACCCAGGCTTTATTAGCATCATGAGAACAGACTAATACAGTACACTGGTACTGGGCATGGGGAACTGTTATAAAGGTACCCAAAAATGTAGAAACAACTTTGGAACTGGGTGACAGGCAGAGGGTGGAACAGTTTGGAGGGCTCAGAAGACAGGAAAATGTGATAAAGTTTGGAACTTCCTAGTGACTTGTGGTAGGCTTTGACCAAAATCTTGATAGTGATATAGACAATAAAATCCAGGCTGAGGTGGTCTCAGATGGAAATAAAGAATATTGGGAACTGAAATAAAGGTCACTCTTGGTATGCAGAGACTGGAGGCATTTTTTCCCTGCCCTAGAGATCTCTGGAACTTTGAATTTGAGAGAAGTAATTTAGGGCACTGGTGGAAGAAATTTCTAAGCTGCAATGTGTTCAAGAGGAAGAGAGCATATAAGTTTGAAAAATTTGCAGCCTGACAATGCAGTCAAAAAGAAAAGCCAATTTTCTTGGGAGAAATTCAGGCCAGCAATAGAAATTTGCATAAGTAATGTGAAGACAAATGCTAATCGCCAAGACAGTGGGAAAAATGTCTCTAGGGCATGTCAGAGATTTTCATGGCAGCAGCGGTTCCCATCACAGGCATAGATGCTTAGGAAAGAAAAAATGGTTTACTGGGCTGGGTCCAGGGCCCCCCTACTGTGGGCAGCCTCAAGACTTGGTGCCCTGCAACCCAGCCAGTTCAGCTATGGCTAAGGTACAGGTCAGGCTGTAGCTTCAGAGGGTTCAAGCTCCAATCCTTGGCAACTTTCATGTGGCGTTGAGGGTGTGGGTGCAAGAATTGAGGTTTAGGAACCTCTGCTTAGATTTCAGAGGATCTATGTAAATGCCTGGAAGCAGAGGTGTGCTGCAGGGGCAGGACCCTCATGGAGAACCTCTGCTAGGCAGTACAGAAGGTAAAGGTGGGGTGGAAGGCCCCACACAGAGTCCCCACTGGGGCACTGCCTAGTGGAGCTGTGAAAAGAGGACTACTATCTTCCAGATCCCAGAATGGTAGATTCATTGACAGCTTGCACCATGCACCTGGAAAAGCCACAGACACTCAACATCAGCCCATGAAGTCAGCCAGGAGGAGGGCCATACCCTGCAAAGCCACAGAGATGGAACTGCCTAAGACCATGGGAACCCACCTCTTACATCAGCATGACCTAGATGTGAAACATGGAGTCAAAGGAGATCATTTCAGAGCTTTAAGATTTGACTGCCATGCTGGATTTCAGACTTGCAAGGGACTTGTAGCGCCTGAATTTTGGCCAATTTCTCCCATTTGGAATGGGTCTATTTACCCAATACCTCTATGCCCATTTCATCTAGGAAGTTACTAACTTGCTTTTTATTTTACAAGCTCATAAGTGGAAGGGACTTGCCTCATCTCAGATGAGACTTTAGGCTGTGGAATTTTGAGTTAATGCTGAAATGAGGTAAGACTTTGGGAGACTGTTGGGAAGGCATATTCGTTTTGAAATTTGAAGATATGAAATTTGGGAGGGGCCAGGGGCAAAATGATATGCTTGTGAGGCCTCTCCAGCCACGTGGAACTGTGAGTAAATTAAACCTCTTTTCTTTATAAATTACCCAGTCTCAGGTATGTCTTTATCAGCAGTGTGAGAATAGACTAATACATTCACCAACTAGATTCGTTTTGCTGCCAGCAGGGAAAATGAACAGAAATTTCCTATGTACAGGCTTTTATGGCCGTAAGAAACAACCATGACATTTGTCAGGCTTGTAAAATGGATCCATTGATGATAGCAGCCATAGTCAGGCAGCTCTCTCTGGTTTGTTTGGAAGACCCCTCATCAAGTTTACCCAGGGCTCAAGCCCGGAAGGAATGAAGGGTGGCATTTATTTCAAGCCCCATTACCCCTTCTACTCCATTATATCCAAGTCCCCTAGTCTTTGAGCCTTTTCCTTACACCCAGGACAATTCTCTAGACACCATCTCCTTAAGTTATTCCCCCATCCAGAGATTAGTAGCCCCAGGAAACCCACTAGAGCCAAGACACCATTCACTATGCAGGAATTGTGCCAAATCAAAACAGAACTAGGGAAGTTTATGAAGGACGCTGACAGATACATTGAAGGATTCTGTAAACTGGGCTTAACATCTACATCACCTGGAGAGAACTCACAGTCATATTAGAGACTACTGTCTAAGGGAGAACATGACTCCATTATGGAGGCAGCCCAGCAGTTTGCAAATGACCGACCCTGGTACCTTCCCTGTGGAAGCCACTGCACTTCCCCCGGTTGACCCCAATTAGGATTATAATATCCAGAGGTGGTATATGGGAAAGAAACCACATGTTTCTCTGTTAGAAGGAATAAAAGTTAGCAGAAAAAAAAGCCTGTAAACTATAATAAATAGACCAAGATACTCTTGAAAACACCACTTTCCTAGAAAGGTTACAAGAGGCTCTAGTAAGATATATTAACTTAGACCCAGACTCACTAGAAGGACAATTGATCTTAAAGGACCATTTCCTAATTCAGGCTGCTACAGATATTAAGAGAAAATTCCAAAAACTAGCACTAGGCCTCAACACTCCTATGCCTGGCATCCTTAAAGAAACTCCCTTGGTCTTTTCCAACTGCAACCAGGAGAAGTAGGAAAGGGCTCAGGAAAAGGAGCAGATAAAAGAAAAAGCAATAGCTCAACTACTGGCTGACTGCATACCCATCAGCCACCTATGGCAGACCCCAGGCAGATCCCTTTGCCTAAATGTTACCTCTGCAGGAAGCCAGGCCACATAAGAGTCCCTGAACAAATGGAAATCACCAAGTACTCCATGCCCCAATTGTCACAAGCTCAATCATTGGCAATGGGACTGCCCTGAGAGCCAAAGGGCCTCCTAGACATAATTCCCTCCCCTGATGGCCTTGAGCTCCTTGAGCTAAAGGAGCTCTATGCTCTGTTTGGCTCCCTGATTAAACATTGCTACTGAAGGAGCCAAGGGCTGCTTCAGACATGGCAGGTAATACTATAAGTTTTCTTTTGGATATGGGAGCTGTATACTCAGTGGTTACTTCTATCCCAGGGGTTTATCCCCCAAATCTTGCTAGGTAATGGGGGTAAATGGAGTGCCCATAACCTGGAGATTTACCCCTTCCTCTGTGCTGCTTGTGGAGAGAAACTGTCTTTTCTTGTTTATTTTTAGTAATGCCAGAATGTCCTATGATCTTTTTGGGTAGAGATATTTTATTCAGACTAGGGCCTCAGCCTTTTCTCCAGGGCTAACAACACCCCCTTTTTAAAATATAATTTTATTCTTTAGGGAAACCACAAATAATGATGAACTGCCAACAAGCATTCCCATTAATCCAGAGATCTGGGCCTCAGCAATACCAGGAAAGGCCATAACAGCAATGTCTATACTAATTCAGTCCAAGAATCCTTCTAGCTGTCTTTGTAAGAGGCAGTCCCCTCTTCAGCTGGAGACTAGAGGGACATTTTCTCCTGGTTAAAACATTTCTAAAATATGGACTATTAATATCCTGTAACTCACCCTGTAACATCCTTATCTTACCTGTTAAAAAGATCAATGGTGAATACAGGCTAGTCCAGGACCTGTGGATCATAAATGAGGCTGTAGTCCTTATACACCCAATAGTCTTCAACCCATGCATAATTCTAGGAAAAGTAGCTCCAGATGATCAGTGGTTTTCAATCTAAACCCTCAAAGACACTTTCTTTTGTGTTCCCCTAGACCCATCCTCCAGATTTCTATTTACATTTGAGTGGGAGAATGAAGAAGGAAGGAGTCAACAGCTCACCTGGACAGTGATTCCACAAGGTTTCAGAGATAGTCCCCATTTGTTTGAGAATCACTTGGCTAAAGATTTGTAGAATCTAACTCTTAAGTGGGGAGGGCATTATCTAGTATGTGGATGACCTGTTAATCTGCTGTCACACAAAAAAGTTGGGAATCCAACATCTAGTCAAGACACTAAATTTCTTCACATATAGAGGATACAATGTGTCCAATGCCAAAGCACAGCTAGTAACACAAGAGAAGAGGTCCAATACCAGGGAATAATACTCACCGCTGGAGAACATAAGCTCTCCCCTAAACAGACACGGGCCACCCTTAGAATACCTAACCCAACCATCCAAAAGCAACTTCAGGCCTCTCTGGGGATCACAAAATGTTAGACTTTGAATACTGGAGTATGGTGAAATTGTTAAATCCTTTTATCAGGCTCTAAAAGAAAGAATTGATAAGGACCCACTGGCTTGGGAAATGATCAGGAACAAGCCTTCAGGCCGGTAAAAACTGCCCTGTAACAAGCCCCAGCCCTTGGGCTACACATACTAGCCAAATTGTTTCAGCTTTGTATCACTAATATGCATGGCGTAACTCTAGGAGTTCTAGCTCAAACCATCAAGCAAGCAAATATCCTGTCGATTACTTTTCAAAGACCTTAGACTATTAGTACCTCAAAATTGCCATGGAACAATCAATCCAGGTCCTGAAATCACACCAAATAGGACCCCTATTGAACATAAAAGGGTCTGAATGGCTCACTGACAACAGACTGCTGAAGTACCAAGTGTTGTTGTTAGAAAACCCACAGGTAACAATTGAGCAGTGTTTCACCCTTAACCCAGCCTCCTTACTACCACTACCAGGAGACAATAACTCAACACATTTGTTTTGTGAGATACTTAACCAAATTTATGCCAACCAGAAAGACTTAAAAGATCAACTCCTAGATAATCTGGAGAAAATATGGTTGTCATATGGGAGTAGCTTTGTCAAAAATGGAACTAGCTATACAGGGTACATTATAATGTCTCTTCACCAAGTTATAGAAGCTAAAGCTCTGTCCTTGGGACCTCAGCATAAGTAGCCAAACTTACTGCACTAACCAGAACCCTAAAACTAGGGAAAAGAAAAAAAAACATGTATACAGATTCCAAATATGCCTTTCTGGTGCTTCACAACCATGTGGCTGTCTAAAAGAAAAGGGTGCACCTAACAGCTCAGGATACACTTATTAAGTGTGGACCTCAAATCTTAGAGATACTAGAAGGCTGTTCATTTGCCTCAGGAGGTGACAAATGTGCACTACAAGAGACACCAGAGGAGCTCTGATGAAATTCCATGGAGAAATAGTTTAGCCAACCAAAATGCTAAAGAGGCAGTTGTCTCAGAAGTTACATTCATGGGGTACTTTCTCCCCTCTCTCCCCGGTGAACTACCTCCTCTCTAATACACTAAGGAAGAAATCAATTGGGCCACAAAACATGGGTATCAAAAAAAAAAAAAAAAGAAAAAGAAAAACAATGAATGGTTTAGGTTGGGAGAACTTCTCCATCTACCTAAAGCCTCCCAATGGAAAGTCATCAAAAGTTTACACAACTTCTGCCACTTTAGAAAGGACAGTGTAGGGCAAACGGGTGCTCAGTGGGAAGGGACTAAACAAAACTATTCAACAGGTTTATCGAGCCTGCACCCTGTGCAACATAAATAATCCCCAGAGAGGTAATCCCACTCCATCATATGTCTAATCCAAAGGAGAGATGCATACAATGGGGTGAAATGGCAGATGAACTTCACTCAGCTTCCCACACGCTTCAGGTACAAGTACCACTTGGTCTGTGTAGACTTCTTCACAGAATGGTTAGAAGCCTGCCCAACAATGACTAAAAAGGCACAGAAGGTAACTGAATTCCTCCTAAAAGAACTCATTCCCAGGTTTTGGATTCCCATGTCATTGCAAAGCAACAATGGCCCATCCTTAATTTTCCAAGTGACTCAACAAGTTAACAGTGTCCTAGGCATAAAGTGGTTCCTTCACTCTGCCTGGAGATGATACTCTTCAGAAAAAGTGAAAAGAATTAACCAAACCCTAAAACACATCCTCAGTAAACTCTGCAGGAAATGGCACAGTCATGGGTGGACCACTTACCTTTAGCCCTCCTTCAGATCTGTGTTGCCCCTAAGGCTACCTTGAAATTAAGTGCCTTTGAGGCCTTATATGGTAGGCCATTTCTATATTACAACTTATAACTAGATAGAGAAACTGCCAAAATCACCCTGTATGTCTCTTGTTAAAGAGACTTCCAGCAGGCTTTCTGGCTATATGGGTTACAAACAAACCCAAAATTAAAAGGGGAAAACTCCCCACCTCTATATCCCCCAGGATTACTAGTTCTCATTAAAGGTTTAAAGGATAAAACCCCAAATTCCCAACTAACTCCGGCCTGGAAGGACCCCTTTGCTTTTCTATTATCTACCCTCACAGCCATTAAAGTACCAGAGATTGCCAGCTGAATTCGTGACACCCAAGTGAAGCTGTGAAAAAGCCTTGAAACACTAGAGCTGGAACCAAAAACCTCATCTCCAGAATACATTTGCAAAGCACTGGAAGATCTGAAATTCCTTTTTAAGTGAAAAGATAAGTAATGTCTCCCCCAGCATCCTTGCACCTCAAAGTAAGGTAATCCCAATATTAGTAATTTTACTCATTATTGCTCTAATTTCATTATTTTAACCTGAATTTGTATACCAGCAGGAGTTGCAATGTCATCTTGCTTTCTGATCAATTTATCTCTTTCATAATCACCTTAACTTGCCATGGACCCACTCGTGCTGGTTCTCATTTTCACCTATTTACTAGCAGTGCACTACCATCCTAATTTTCCTTTATTGGAGAAAGCTCAGAAATTTCTCTGAAGCTTAGGATCCCCTTACTCTACCAATTACTCATCCAAAGATTGGACAAGCATAGAGGCAGAATTGCATATTTTCTATCAATGGGACCCTAATCTAAATGAAATAAGCCTACACATAGCCTTCTTACAAAAGTAAAGCAAAATTTTACTGATATCTACAAAGAGACTCCAATTTTTGACCCATCTTTACTAATATTGCTTTAAGGGGAATAGCCACTATTTGTGTTATGACCAAGGAATAAAATGGAATGAATGTAGGCACTCTTGTAAGTACAGTTTGTAAATAATATTACTTTCACTGTAGATCCTAACCAGCAGTCTTACCAAGTATACACCCACTACCAATTCTGCCATCAAATAAGATTTTCCAAACATCCAAATATTACTTTTCCTCAGGAAACTTTACTAGATAAATCAACCAAGTTTTGCCAGGGACACCTAAGCTCATGCTGTGCTCAAAATTTCTGGTTCCAGCCTGCTGATTACACCCAGTGTCTGCAAATTGCCAACCTCAGCTTTACAGCAGAATGGACTCTATTGGACCACACTAAAATTTCTCTATTTGGGGAGAATAAAAACAAGAGAGCTAACCAGAGCCAAACACCATACACACAAGTCTTCACAGGCATGACTACAGCCACGAGCTACCCAGCCATGTTGGCAAACTAGGGATTTTATGGAACTATACTCAGGCCCTTATTTTGTTTTGACATCTCGACTTGTCTTGAAACCCAAGGAGTCTTTTATATTTGCGGCCAATCTGTTCTCCAATACCTCCCCAATAACTTGACTGAAACTTGTACCCTAGGCTATGTATCCCCAGATATCTTCATAGTCCCTGACAATCTCTCTCTTAACAATGCCAACCTACAAGTTTTCCACCCTGCCCAAGGTAACAAGGACTATCCAATTAATTCTCCTTTTTGTGAGACTAAACATTATAGCCACTAAAGAAACTGGAATTGCCAGAGTCAATAAAGCCTCTTTGTTTTATAGCCAAGTCCCAAATGAAATAGCCAATAACATTGACACCATGGCTAAAACCTTAACAGTCATGCAAAAACGAATCAACTCTAACAGCCATAGTCCTCCAAAATTTTCAAGGACTCAATATGTTAATGGCAGCACAGCGAGAAATTTGTTTAGCCTTAGATGAAAAACGTTGCTTTTAGGTAAACAAATTGGGAAAAGTAAAAGATAACACTAAACATCTCATAAATCAAGCCTCTCATTTATGGAAACAAGCCTCTCATTTATGGAAACAAGCCTCTCAGTGTTGTTTAAACTGGGAAGAAACCTGGAAATGGTTCTACTGTGTTCTTTCCTCCTTAGACCCACTTGTTAGTGTCCTACTTTTGCTCCTTTTTGGACCATGTCTTTGAAATATAATAACTCAATTTGTCTCTTCTCACCTTCAGGCCATCAAGCTCCAGGTAATCCTCAGTGAGGAATACCATTTTCTCAACATTCAAGAGTCACACTTCTACAGAGAACCCCTAGGCTGTCCATCAGTGAGACACTACAAAGGCAAAATCCTGCCCCTATCTCTCTTGGATGTGGCTAGATATGATTTGCACCAACCCATGGAGCCATCCTGCCCTGGCAACTAGCAAGAGGCCAGGGCCCACAGAACAACTACCACCACCCGCCTTTCAGCAGGAAACAGTAGTCTTTTCCTACTGGGGCAACAGCTGGCACATACGTATGCAAGCTTCCAGCTTGCTTATTTATATTTGCACCTTGGTTTTTACAGGCTTCTCTTTGTTAGAAAAGAAATGATTTGGGGGCTGCTTTTTGTTAAAAAGGAAGCCTTACCAAGGACTTTTTACCCTCACTAATTGCCTAAATAATTTCTTTTTAGTTCTTCTATCAATGAGATAAATAAAACAAACACACATAGACACCAGAGTACAACAGAACACTAAAGAGAAAGAGAAAGAGAAAAGATAAAAAGAAATCTTATTACGACAAAGGTTAGATTATTTACAGGGAGCAACAATAAGACTAGAATCAAAGGTTTTATTATTAATAATAGCTATTAAATAAACTAAAGATGTTTTGAACATGCAAAGAGTATTTATTCATAGAGTGATGCTGAAGAATTACTACAAAATAAAATTTGAATCCAGGTAGAATGTGAACTATGCAAGAAGCAGTGGTAGGCAAAGAAATTGATCAATTGTAAAAAAAAGGAGCAATTTTTTAAATAAAATTAATTAAATGTGTAAAACAAGATAAAATTAAAATTCTGAAACAAAGAAGGTACCAGCAGATTACATTAATATTATAATTATTAATATTCTTATAAGGAAGTAGTGTAGATATTTATTTCATTTATTTCAGAATGTATTAGCTCAAAAGTCAACATGAAAACAGAAAAAGTCAAACTGAAAACTGATAACTGTATTTTAAATGCATAGCTTTGCCTCATTGCTAGAGGAGTGGGGAAAAAAAGTTGTTAATCTAAGTAACTTTGAAATTCTCTTCAGATGGCAGCCAAGATGGCCGAATAGGAACAGCTGCAGTCTACAGCTCCCAGCATGAGTGACACAGAAGAAGGGTGATTTCTGCATTTCCATCTGAGGTACTGGGTTCATCTCACTAGGGAGTGCCAGACAGTGGGCACAGGACAGTGGGTGCAGCACACTGTGTGCAAGCCGAAGCAGGGTGAGGCATTGCCTCACTTGGGAAGTGCAAGGGGTCAGGGAGTTCCCTTTCCTAGTCAAAGAAAGGGGTGACAGACAGCACCTGGAAAATCGGGTCACTCCCACCTGAAGACTGTGTTTTCCGATGGGCTTAAAAAATGGTGCACCAGGAGATTATATCCTGCACCTGGCTCAGAGGGTCCTATGCCCATGGAGTCTCGCTGATTGCTAGCACAGCAGTCTGAGATCAAACTGCAAGGCAGCAGCGAGGCTGGGGGAGGGGCGCCCACCATTGCCCAGGCTTGTTTAGGTAAACAAAGCAGCCGGGAAGCTCGAACTGGGTGGAGCCCACCACAGCTCAGTGAGGCCTGCCTCCCTCTGTAGGCTCCACCTCTGGGGGCAGGGCACAGATTAAAAAAAAGACAGCAGTAACCTCTGCAGACTCAAATGTCACCGACAGCTTTGGAGAGAGCAGTGGTTCTCCCAGCACGCAGCTGGAGATCTGAGAATGGGCAGACTGCCTCCTCAAGTGGGTTCCTGACCCCTGACCCCAGAGCAGCCTAACTGGGAGGCACCCCCCAATAGGGGCAGACTGACAACTCACACGGCCGGGTACTCCTCTGAGACAAAACTTCCAGAGGAACGATCAGACAGCAGCATTCACGGTTCATGAAAATCAGTTGTCCTGCAGCCACCGCTGCTGTTACCCAGGCAAACAGGGTCTGGAGTGGACCTCTAGCAAACTCCAACAGACCTGCAGCTGAGGGTACTGTCTATTAGAAGGAAAACTAACAAACAGAAAGGACCTCCACACCAAAAACCCATCTGTACATCACCATCATCAAAGACCAAAAGTAAATAAAACCACAAAGATGATGGGGAAAAAACAGAGCAGAAAAACTGGAAACTCTAAAGAACAGAGTACCTCTCCTCCTCCAAAGGAACGCAGTTCCTCATAAGCAATGGAACAAACCTGGATGGAGAATGACTTTGACGAGTTGAGAGAAGAAGGCTTCAGACGATCAAACTACTCTGAGCTACAGGAGGAAATTCAAACCAAAGGCAAAGAAGTTAAAAACATTGAAAAAAATTTAGACGAATGTATAACTAGAATAACCAATACAGAGAAGTGTTTAAAGGAGCTGATGGAGCTGAAAGCCAAGGCTTGAGAACTACATAAAGAATGCAGAAGCCTCAGGAGACAATGAGATCAACTGGAAGAAAGGGTATTGGTGATGGAAGATGAAATGAATGAAATGAAGCGACAAGGGAAGTTTAGAGAAAAAAGAATAAAAAGAAATGAACAAAGCCTCCAAGAAATATGGGACTATGGGAAAAGACCAAATCTACGTCTGATTGGTGAACCTGAAAGTGACGGGGAGAATGGAATCAAGTTGGAAAACACTCTGAAGTATATTATCCAGGAGAACTTCCCCAATCTAGCAAGGCAGGCCAACATTCAGATTCAGGAAATACAGAGAATGCCACAAAGATATTCCTCAAGAAGAGCAACTCCAAGACACATAATTGTCAAATTCACCAAAGTGGAAATGAAGGAAAAAATGTTAAGGGCAGCCAGAGACAAAGGTCGGGTTACCCACAAACGGAAGCCCATCAGACTAACAGAGGATCTCTCAGCAGAAACTCTACAAGCCAGAAGAGAGTGGGGGCCAATATTCAACATTCTTAAAGAAAAGAATTTTCAACCAAGAATTTCATATCCACCCAAACTAAGTTTCATAAGTGAAGGAGAAGTAAAATCCTTTACAGACAAGCAAATGCTGAGAGATTTTGTCACCACCAGGCCTGCCCTAAAAGAGCTCCTGAAGGAAGCACTAAACATGGAAAGGAATAACCGGTACCAGTCACTGCAAAATCATGCCAAATTGTAAAGACCATCAAGGCTAGGAAGAAACTGAATCAACTAACGAGCAAAATAACCAGCTAACATCATAACGACAGGATCAAATTCACAAATAACAATATTAACTTTAAATGTAAATGGACTAAATGCTCCAATTAAAATACACAGACTGGCAAATTGGATAAAGAGTCAAGACCCAACAGGGTGCTGTATTCAGGAAACCCATCTCACTTGCAGAGACACACATAGGCTCAAAATAAAGGGAAGGAGGAAGATCTACCAAGCAAATGGAAAACAAAAAAAGGCAGGGGTTGCAATCCTAGTCTCTGATAAAATAGACTTTAAACCAACAAAGATCAAAAGAGACAAAGAAGGCCATTACATAATGGTAAAGGGATCAATTCAACAAGAAGAGCTAACTATCCTAAATATATATGCACCCAATACAGGAGCACCCAGATTCATAAAGCAAGTCCTCAGTGACCTACAAAGAGACTTAGACTCCCACACAATAATAATGGGAGACTATTTTTTTCTTTTCTTTTTTTTTTGAACTGACATCCAAGCATCCTTTTTTTAATTATTATTATTATTATTTAAGTTTTAGGGTACATGTGCACAACGTGATTGTTTGTTACATAAGTATACATGTGCCATGTTGGTGTGCTCCACCCATTGACTCGTCACTTAGCATTAGGTATATCTCCTAATGCTATCCCTTCCCCATCCCCCCACACCACATCTGTCCCCAGTGTGTGATGTTCCCCTTACTGTATACATGTGTTCTCTTTGTTCAATTCCTACCTATATGAGTGAGAACATGCAGTGTTTGTTTTTTTGTCCTTGCGATAGTTTGCTGAGAATGATGGTTTCCAGCTTCATCCATGTCCCTACAAAGGACATGAACTCATCATTTTTTATGGCTGCACAGTATTCCATGGTGTGTATGTGCCACATTTTCTTAATCCAGTCTATCATTGTTGGACATTTGGGTTGGTTCCAAGTCTTTGCTATTGTGAATAGTGCCACAATAAACATAAGTGTGCCTGTGTCTTTATAGCAGCATGATTTATAACCCTTTGGGTATATACCCAGTAATGGGATGGCTGGGTCAAATGGGATTTCTAGTTCTAGATCCCTGAGAAATCGCCACACTGAATTTCACAATGGTTGAACTAGTTTACAGTCCCACCAACAGTGTAAAAGTGTTCCTATTTCTCCACATCCTCTCCAGCACCTGTTGTTTCCTGACATTTTAATGATTGTCATTCTAACTGGTGTGAGATGATATCTCATTGTGGTTTTGATTTGCATTTCTCTGATGGCCAGTGATGATGAGCATTTTTTCATGTGTCTTTTGGCTGCATAAATGTCTTCTTTTGAGAAGTGTCTGTTCATGTCCTTCACCCACTTTTCGATGGGGTTGTTTGTTTGTTTCTTGTAAATTTGTTTGAGTTCATTGTAGATTCTGGATATTAGCCCTTTGTCAGATGAGTAGGTTGTGAAAATTTTCTCCCATTCTGTAGGTTGCCTGTTCACTATGATGGTGGTTTCTTTTGCTATGCAGAAGCTCTTTAGTTTAATTAGATCCCATTTGTCAATTTTGGCTTTTGTTGCCATTGCTTTTGGTGTTTAAATATGAAGTCCCTGCCCATGCCTATGTCCTGAATGGTGTTGCCTAGGTTTTCGTCTAGGGTTTTTATGGTTTTAGGTCTAACATGTAAGTCTTTAATCCATCTTGAATTAATTTTTCTATAAGTTGTAAGGAAGGGATCCAGTTTCAGCTTTCTACATATGGCTAGCCAGTTTTCCCAGCACCATTTATTAAATAGGGTATCCTTTCCCCATGGCTTGTTTTTGTCAGGTTTGTCAAAGATCAGATGGTTGTAGATAAGTGGAATTATTTCTGAGGGCTCTGTTCTGTTCCATTGGTCTATATCTCTGTTTTGGTACCAGTACCATGTTGTTTTGGTTACTGTAGCCTTGTAGTATAGTTTGAAGTCAGGTAGAGTGATGCCTCCAGTTTTGTTCTTTTGGCTTAGGATTGACTTGGCAATGCGGGCTCTTTTTTGGTTCCATATGAACTTTAAAGAAGTTTTTTCTAATTCTGTGAAGAAAGTTATTGGTAGCTTGATGGGGATGGCATTGAATCTATAAATTACCTTGGACAGTATGGCCATTTTCACGATATTGATTTTTCCTACCCATGAGCATGGTATGTTCTTCCACTAGTTTGTATCCTCTTTTATTTCATTGAGCAGTGGATTGTAGTTCTCCTTGAAGAGGTCCCTCACATCCCTTGTAATTTGGATTCCTAAGCATTTTATTCTCCTTGAAGCAATTGTGAATGGAAGTCCACTCATGATTTGGCTCTCTGTTTGTCTATTATTGGTGTATAAGAATGCTTGTGATTTTTGTACATTGATTTTGTATCCTCAGATTTTGCTGAAGTTCCTTATTAGCTTAAGGAGATTTTGGGCTGAGATGATGGGGTTTTCTAGATAGACAATCATGTCATCTGCAAACAGCGACAATTTTCCTCTTTTCCTAATTGAATGCCCTTTATTTCCTCCTCCTGCCTGATTGCCCTGGCCAGAACTTCCATCACTATGTTGAATAGGAGTGGTGAGAGAGGGCATCCCTGTCTTGGGCCAGTTTCAAAAGGGAATGCTTCCAGTTTTTGTCCTTTCAGTATGATATTGGCTGTGGGTTTGTCATAGATAGCTCTTACTATTTTGGGATATGTCCCATCAATATCTAATTTTTGAGAGTTTTTAGCATGAAGTGTTGTTGAATTTTGTCAAAGGCCTTTTCTGCATCTATTGAGATAATCAGGTGCTTTTTGTCTTTGGTTCTGTTTATATGCTGGATTACATTTATTGATTTTCGTATGTTGAACCAGCCTCGCATCCCAGGGATGAAGTGCACTTGATCATGATGGATAAGCTTTTTGATGTGTTGCTGGATTCTGTTTGCCAGTATTTTATTGAGGATTTTTGCATCAATGTTCATCAAGGATATTGGTCTAAAATTCTCTTTTTTTGTTCTGTCTCTGCCAGACTTTGGCATCAGGGTGATGCTGGCCTCATAAAATGAGTTAGGGAGGATTCCCTCTTTTTCTGTTGATTGGAATAGTTTCAGAAAGAATGGTACCAGCTCCTCCTTGTACCTCTGGTAGAATTCGGCTGTGAATCCATCTGGTCCTGGACTCTTTTTGGTTGGTAAGCTATTAATTATTGCCTCAATTTCAGAGCCTGTTATTAGTCTATTCAGAGATTCAACTTCTTCCTGGTTTATTCTTGGGAGGGTGTATGTGTCGAGGAATTTACCCATTTCTTCTAGATTTTCTAGTTTATTTGCATAGAGGTGTTTATAGTATTCTCTGGTGGTAGTTTGTATTTCTGTGGGATCGGTGGTGATATCCCCTTTTTCATTTTTTATTGCGTCTATTTGATTCTTCTCTCTTTTCTTCTTTATTAGTCTTGCTAGTGGTCTATCAATTTTGTTGATCTTTTCAAAAAGGCAGCTCCTGGATTTGTTGATTTTTTGCAGGGTTTTTTTGTGTCTCTATTTCCTTCAGTTCTGCTCTGATCTTAGTTATTTCTTGCATTCTGCTACCTTTTGAATGTGTTTGCTCTTGCTTCTCTAGTTCTTTTAATTGTGATGTTAGGGTGTCAATTTTAGATCTTTCCTGCTTTCTCTTGTGGGCATTTAGTGCTCTAAATTTCCCTCTACACACTGCTTTGAATGTGTCCCAGAGATTCTGGTATATTGTGTCTTTGTTCTCATTGGTTTGAAAGAACATCTTTATTTCTGCCTTCATTTCATTATGTACCCAGTAGTCATTCAGGAGCAGGTTGTCAGTTTCCATGTAGTTGAGCAGTTTTGAGTGAGTTTCTTAATCCTGAGTTCTAGTTTGATTTCACTGTGGTTTGAGGGACAGTTTGTTATAATTTCTGTTCTGTTACATTTGCTGAGGAGTGCTTTACTTCCAACTATGTGGTCAATTTAGGAATAGGTGTGCTGTGGTGCTGAAAACAATGTTTATTCTGTTGATTTGTGGTGGAGAGTTCTGTAGATGTCTATTAGGTCCGCTTGGTGCAGAGCTGAGTTCAATTCCTGGATATCCTTGTTAACTTTGTGTCTTTTTGATCTGTCTAATGTTGACAGTGGGGTGTTAAAGTCTCCCATTATTATTGTGTGGGAGTCTAAGTCTCTTTGTAGGTCACCCAGGACTTGCTTTATGAATCTGGGTGCTCCTGTATTGGGTGCATATATATTTTTTGGATAGTTAGCTCTTCTTGTTGAATTGATCCCTTTACCATTATGTAATGGCCTTCTTTGTCTCTTTTGATCTTTTTTGGTTTCAAGTCTGTTTTATCAGAGACTAGGATTGCAACCCCTTGCCCTTTTTTTGTTTTCCATTTGCTTGGTGGATCTTCCTCCATCCCTTTATTTTGAGCCTGTGTGTATCTCTGCATGTGAGATGGGTTTCCTGAATACAGCACACTGATGGGTCTTGTCTCTTTTTGCAATTTGCCTGTCTGTGCCTTTTAATTGGAGAATTTAACCCATTTACGTTTAAGGTTAGTATTTTTATGTGTTAATTTGATCCTGTCATTATGATGTTAGCTGGTTATTTTGCTTGTTAGTTGATGCAGTTTCTTCCTAGCCTTGATGGTCTTTACAATTTGGCATGTTTGTGCAGTGACTGGTACCGGTTGTTCGGTTGTTCCTTTCCATTTTTAGTGCTTCCTTCAGGAGCTCTTTTAGGGCAGGCCTGGTGGTGACAAAATCTCTCAGCATTTGCTTGTCTGTAAAGGATTTTATTTCTCCTTCACTTATGAAGCTTAGTTTGGCTGGATATGAAATTCTGGGTTGAAAATTCTTCTCTTTAAGAATGTTGAATATTGGCCCCCACTCTCTTCTGGCTTGCAAAGTTTCTGCTGAGAGATCCGCTGTTAGTCTGATGGGCTTCTGTTTGTGGGTAACCTGACCTTTCTGTCTGGCTGCCCTTAACATTTTTTCCTTCATTTCAACTTTGGTGAATCTGACAATTATGTGTCTTGGAGTTACTCTTCTCGAGGAGTATCTTTGTGGCTTTCTCTGTGTTTCCTGAATTTGAATGTTGGCCTGCCTTGCTAGATTGGGGAAGTTCTCCTGGATATATCCTTCAGAGTGTTTTCCAACTTGGTTCCATTCTCCCCGTCACTTTCAGGTACACCAATCAGACATAGATTTGGTCTTTTCACATAGTCCCAGATTTCTTGGAGGCGTTCTTCATCTGTTTTTATTCTTTTTTCTCTAAACTTCTCTTCATGCTTCATTTCATTCATTTCATCTTCCATCACTAATACCCTTTCTTCCAGTTGATCGCATCATTTACTGAGGCTTGTGCATTCATCACGTAGTTCTCGTGCCGTGGTTTTCAGCTCCATCAGGTCCTTTAAGGACTTCTCTGCATTGGTTATTCTAGCTATCCCTTCGTCTAATTTTTTTTTCAAACTTTTTAACTTCTTTGCCATTGGTTCGAACTTCCTCCTTTAGCTCAGAGTAGTTTGATCTTCTGAAGCCTTCCTCTCTCAACTCGTCAAAGTCATTCTCCATCCAGCTTTGTTCCATTGCTTATGAGGAACTGCGTTCCTTTGGAGGAGGAGAGGCACTCTGATTTTTAGAGTTTCCGGTTTTCTGCTCTGTTTTTTCCCCATCTTTGTGGTTTTGTCTACCTTTGGTCTTTGATGATGGTGATGTACAGATGGGTTTTTGGTGTGGATGTCCTTTCTGTTTGTTAGTTTTCCTTCTATCAGTCAGGACTCTCAGCTTCAGGTCTGTTGGAGTTTACTGGAGGTCCACTCCAGACCCAAAGCAAACATTTTTTTCACACAAAAACCAAATAAGAATACCACCATAAAATTGTTAGAACTTGTAAACAAATTCAGTAATGCTTCAGTATAAAAACGTCAACATATGAAATTAGTAGCATTTTTATATGCCAACAGTAAACAATCTAAAAAAAAGAAAGCAATGCCAGTTACAATAGCTACAAAAATTAAATGGCCTACAATAAATTTAAACAAAGAAGTGAAAAATGTCTACATTGCAAAGTGAAAAGAAAATTAATGAAAGAAAATGAAGAAGTCACTATTAAATGAAAAAGTTGGTCTTTGTTTATAGATTAGAATTATTTATAGTGTTCAAAATGTCCATACTACCTAAAGCAATTTACAGATTCAATCTAATCTCTATTAAAATTCAAACCATATGTTTCAGAGAAATAGAATAATAATCTTAAAACATCTCTCTAACCAAAAAAAGATCCCAAATAGACAAAGCGATCTTGAACAACAACCAAACCAAACAAAAGAAAAACAAAGTTAAAATAGTCATACTATTTGACTTCAAAATATGCTTCAAAGTCAAGGTAACCAAACAGCATGGTACTCGCAAAATAAATAGACACATAGACCAATGAAATAGAATAGGCAGTCTGGAAATATATCTATACATTCAGAGTCAACTCATTTTTGATAGAGACATCAAAAGTAATTCTCAAAAACCACAGTCTTCAATAAATGGTGGTAGAAAAAATGAATTTTCACGTGTAGAAAAATGCAAATAAATCCCTATGTCTCATAATGTACAAAAGTCAAATAAAAATGGATGATATTCTTAAATATCAGACCCAAAACTATAAAACTACTAGAAAAAAAATTGGGAAAATGCTGTAGGCTATTTGTTTTGGCGAAAATTTTTGGTAAGTCTTCAAAAGCACAGTTAAATAAATCAAAAATAGACAAACAGGATTGCATCAAGTTAAAAAGCTTCTCCACATCAAAGAAACCAATTCTCAGAAATAGCCAAGCTATATAATGGGAGAAAATATTTGCAAACTGTTAACAAGAAATTAATAACCACAATATGTAAGGAAGTCATACAACTCAACAGCAAAAAAATGAAATAATATGATTAAAAATGAACAAATGATCTCAACGTATCTCAAAAGATGACACACAAATGGCCAAAACATATATGAAAAACTGCTCAACATTACTAATCATCAGGGAAATGCAAATTAAAACCACAATGTCCCCAGTTAAAACAGCTGTTATCAAGAAGGAAAAAAAAAAAAGAGATGCTTACAAAGATGGAAAGAAAGAAAAACGCTAGTACACTGTGAATATGTATGTATATTAATACAGCCATTATGAAAAACAGTATAGCGTCTCCTTTAAAAACTAAAAATAGGATTGCTGTATGATCCACCAATCTCACTGCTGAGTATACATCAAAAAGAAGTAATTATATTGAAGAGATAAGATGGGAGTGGTGGTACACACTTTTCCCAGCAACTCAGGTATCTGAGTTGGAAGGATTGCTTAAACCAGGGAGTTTAAGGCTGCAGTAAGCCATGATTACACCACTGCACTCTAGCCTGGACAACAGAGCAAGGCCCTGCCTCAAACCAAGAGAAATATTCACACTCTCATATTTATCATAACACTTTTTACAATAGTCAAGATATGGAATCGAACTTTGTTTACCAATGAATAAATGGATCTAAAATGTGATATATATATATATATATATATATATATATATACACACATATATGTGTATGTTACAATAGTATTCAGCTATAAAAAATAGTATCTTGTCATTTGCAGAATCATGGTTTAACCTGGAAGACATTATATCAAATGAAATAAGCCAGGCACAAATAGGCAACTATCACATGCACTCTGTCAAATGTGGGAGTTAGAAAAAGTTGGTATCAAGGAGCTGGAGAAAGAAATGATGGCTCCTGATGGCAGGGTAGTGTAGGGCAAGGGAGAAATGAAGATAGGTTTATCAATGTGAACAGAAATACAGTTGAATAAAAGAAAAATATTCTAGTTTCAATATCATAGTAGAGTGACATTTGTGATAATTTATTGCATATTTCAAAATAGGTAGAAGAGAAGATTTGTAATATTCTAAACAGAAATAAATGATCAAAGACTGAAGTGATGAATATCCTGAATACCCTGGTTTGATTAATACACATTGTATGCATCTATCTAAATCTGATATACCTCATATGCAGTTATAATGTATTAAAATTAATTCTTATTCAAACATAATGATGTTTGAAGAAATACATATTTATAGAAAAATAAAACAGCATAGAGAGCCCAGAAGTAAACTCAAACATATATGGATAATTACTATTTGATATAGTCATCAAGAAAACACAATGAAGTGGCATCATTTTCTGGTGTGATATCCAAGGTTCACTGCTTCATACCAAGAAAATTAAGGATGCAGACACACACAAGGAGTGAATTTAAGAGTGGAGGTTTAATAGGCCAAATAAAGAGAAAGGAGAATAGCTCCCCCTCCTGGGAGAGAGAGGGGTGCCAGAATGGGATTTCCGGCCGTGGCAGAGTGCACCAGATTTTACAGAAAGGCTTGAGGAGGTGGTGTCTGATTTACATAGGGCCCAAAATTGGTTGGACCAGGTGTGATGTTTACATAACACACAGGGAAGGTGGACACCCCACACTAATCTTACCATGCAAATGGTGTCTTTACTTGACCCCTGTCATGTTGTCTGCTCCTTATTGTGCACGTGGTTGACAAGGGAAAGATGGAGCCACCATATTGGACATGCCTAGCCCCCAGGTAGCCTTTTCTTATTGGCACAGCTGCTGGCTTTCACCCGTACAATCCTCCAGCTTGCTTGTCTATGTCTGTATCTCGATTTTAAAGGCTGCTCTTTGTTAGAAAAGAAAATGATTTAGAGGCTGCTTTTCATTAAAAGGAAAACTTTACCAAGGACTTCCTTACCCTCACGATCTTTCTCAATAATTTCTTCTTAACTCCCATATCAGTCTCTTCAAAAAGTACCAGGACTAATGAATATTTACATAAAAATGAATGAAATTTGACACCTATTAATATATCATACACAGAAAATAAACTCAAAATGGTTTGAAAATCTAACATAAGACCTGAAACTGTAAAACATTTGGAAAAAGTATAGAAAAGAATTTTCTGGCATTAGTCATGGAAATTATTTTTTTTGAAAGGTGACACTCTTGTTGCCCAGGCTGGAGTGTAGTGGTGTGATCTTGGCTCACTGCAACCTCCACCTCCCGGGTTCAAGCAATTCTCCTGCCTCAGCCTACTGAGTAGCTGGCATTGCAGGTGCCCGGCACAAGGCCCAGCTAATTTTTTGTGTTTTTAGTAGAGAGAGGTTTTCACCATGTTGGCCAGGCTGGTCTCGAACTCTTGACCTGAGGTTATCCACCCACCTCGGCCTCTCAAAGTGCTGGGATTACAGGCATGAGCAGGTAACAAGAGTGAAACTCCGTCTCAAAAAAAAAAGAAAAAGAACAAAACCGCAGTGCATGACGGCTCACGACTGTAATTCTAACACTTTGGGAGGCCGAGGCTGGGGGATTGCCTGATCTCAGGAGTTGAAGATCAGCCTGGGCAACAAGGTGAAACCCCGTTTCTACTAAAATACACACACACACACACACACACACACACAATTAGCCAGGCGTGGCGGCATGCACCTGTAGTCCCAGCTCCTCTGGAGGCTGAGGCAGGAGAATTGCTTGAACCCAGGAGGCAGAGGTTGCAGTGAGCCGAGATTGTGCCACTACACTCCAGCGTGGGCAAAGAGCGAGACTCTGTCCCTGAAAATAAAAATAAAAAGAAAGGACACAAAAGCTAAAATAAACAAGTGAGGCTTGAGAGGACAAGATGGCTGACTAGGCGCAGCCTGGTGGAAAAGCCGCCACTGAGGGACAAAGATGACTGGCCTACTCTTAACAGATCTACAGAGAAAAAGCACCAATAGTAGACGGAAGGAACAAACAGAAGCTGGGCTGAAGGAACAGAAAGCTGGAAACTCTATATGGGGCTACTGTGCATCTGGGCTTGTTTCTGGCCCCAGTGACTCCCAGGAAATGGGTGAATTGAACGGGCAAGAAGCAACTGTCTCTCTCCCTAGGCCCCTGGAATCCCAGCAGGGGGAGAATCCTCAATCACCATGGACACTTGAGTCAGCGGGAAAGCTGCTTAGAGAAGTGGTAGGGGAAGCAAGACAGCTAATGTGGACCCTAGAGGGTTTGGTATGGGAGTGTCTGTAGCAGAGCATGACCAGTGATGGCCATCCCCACTGGATTCAACTTGCTCCCATAGAACACTTTAGCCCTAGGGAAACTCTCTGCCAAACACTGCAGGATGTTCTTCATCAGACGAGGCTGCTCTGACCTGAGCGACCCATGGTCTGCTAGCCTCTCCTGTGGCCCCAGCCTGGCCATGCCTGCTTGCAGGGCAACCTTAGGTGGTCTGGAGGCCAGCAACATAGCATCTGTGTAGCAGCAGACCATACGTGACTAACAGAGAACACCAGTGGCCCCACAGTCACACACCATTTGGCACACTCCCTCCCCACACTGCCACTTTCCCTGAACCTAAAGAAAGTCTCCAAATCACTTTGCTGATGCATTTCTGTGTGGGTGAGTTTTGATTTCCTTGCCCTGCCAGCAAGTAAGTGTGTATGCACCCTGCCCTGCCACTGATGTGGCAGGAGTGCAGTTCACACCCTGACCCCTACCAACTAACATTGCAGATGGAGCCTTGGCAGGAACAGAGTCAGCCAGCCCTGCACCCACAAGCACCCCACCCTTGTGTCAAAACTGTCACAGTAGTGAAACTAGGCACAGAGAAGAACAGATTATCCCCCGCCCTAAGCAACCACTCCTGCTTGCTGTGCACAGAGAAGGCAGATAGACCCACACTTGCCAGAACACTGCCTCTGATCCAACGTCATCACAAACATGACCACGCAAAAAGTCACCAGAAGGGGCCCCTGGCGCCCACAGCTGCTTTGCCTCTGCCATGGTGGGGAACGCCCACAGGGAGGTAGGCAACCTAGCACCCACTAGCACCCTGCACAGCTGATGAACATGAACCCAACTATACTGCCACTACCACTGCTGCTAGCACATACAAACAAGGACAGATCTCAATGATACCACACTAGGAAATGCTTTAACTGAAACCAACCATCAGAGTAGAGTGTCCAGTGGTCCAAAAGAACATCGGACATCCCAGAACAGTGTATTCCTAATGTCAAAGAGCCAGAGAACAAATCAGGAACTAATACAAGTCCCCCACAGTTAGAGCACATAGTCCAGAAGTTGGGAGCTAAGTGTTGGCCCTATAAAATCTTCCAGAAATAGGATGCTGCTCCAAGATGACCGAATAGGAACAGCTCCAGCCTACAGCTCCCAGTGTGAGCGACGCAAAAGACAGGGTAATTTCTGCATTTCCAATTGAGGTACCAGGTTCTTCTCACTGGGACTTGTTGGACGGTGAGTGCAGCCCATGGAGTTTGAGCCAAAGCAGGGTGGGGCATCGCCTCACCTGGGAAGCACAAGCAGTTGGGGAATTCACTTTTCTAGCCAAGGGAAGCTGTGTCAGACAGTACCCGGAAAATCGAGACACTCCTGCCCTGATACTGCTTTTCCAATGGTCTTCACAAACAGCACACCAGGAGATTATATCCTCAGCATGGCTCAGCGGGTCCCATGCCCACAGAGCCTTGCTCACTGCTAGCACAGCAGTCCCAGATGGAATTATGAGGTGGCAGCGATGCTGGGTGAGGGGCGTCCACCATTGCTGAGGCTTGACTAGGTAAACAAAGCAGCTGGGAAGCTTGAACTGGGTGGAGCCCACTGCAGCTAAATGAGGCCTGCCTGCCTCTGTAGACTCCACCTCTCGGGGCAGGGCATAGCTGAACAAAAGGCAGCAGAAACTTCTGCAGACTTAAACATCCCTGTCTGACAGCTTTGAAGAGAGTAGTGGTTCTCCAAGCATGGAGTTTGAGATCTGAGAATGGACAGACTGCCTCCTTAAGTGGGTCACGGACCCCCGAGTAGCCTAACTGGGAGACACCTCCTAGTAGGGGCAGACTGGTACCTCATAAGCCAGGTGCTCTTCTGAGACAAAGCTTCCAGAGGAAGGATCAGGCAGCAACATTTGCTATTCTGCAATATTAGCTGTTCTGAAGCCTCTGCTGGTGATACCCAGGCAAAGAAGGTCTGCAGTGTACCTCGAGCAACCTCCAACAGACCTGCAGCTGAGGGTCCTGACTACTAGAAGGAAAACTAACAAACAGAAAGGAATAGTATTAACATCAACAAAAAGGACATCCACATCAAACCCCATCAGTAGGTCACCATCATCAAAGACCAAAGGTAGATAAAACCACAAAGATGGGGAGAAACCAGAATAAAAATCTGAAAATTCTAAAAATCAGAGTGCCTCTTCTCCTCCAAAGGAACACAGCTCCTCACCAGCAATGGAACAAAGCTGGACAGAGAATGATTTTGATGAGTTGACAAAAGTAGGCTTCAGAAGATTGGTAATAAAAAACTTCTCCAAGCTAAGGAGGATGTTCAAACCTATCAAAAAGAAGCTAAAAACCTTGAAAAAAGATTAGATGAATGACTAACTAGAATAAACAGCATAGAGAAGAACTTAAATGACCTGAAAGAGCTGAAAACCAAGGCACAAGAACTACGTGACACATGAACAAGTTTCAGTAGCCGATTCAATCAAGTGGAAGAAAGGGTATCAGTGATTAAAATCAAATGAATGAAATGAAGTGAGAAAAGAAGTTTAAAGAAAAAAGAGTAAAAAGAAATGAACAAAAGCTCCAAGAAGTATAGGACTACGTGAAAAGACCAAATCTACTTTTGATTGGTATACCTGAAAGTGACAGGGAGAATGGAACCAAGTTGGAAAACACTCTGCAGGATATTATCCAGGAGAAATTCCCCAACCTAGCAAGGCAGGCCAACATTCAAATTCAGGAAATGCAGAGAATGCCACAAAGATACTGCTCGAGAAGAGAAACCCCAAGTCACATAATTGTCAGATTCATCAAGGTTGAAATGAAGGAAAAAATGTTAAGGGCAGCCAGAGATAAAGGCCGGTTTATCCACAAAGGGAAGCCCATCAGACTAACAGCGGATCTCTCAGCAGAAACTCTACAAGCCAGAAGAGAGTGGGGGCCAATATTCAACATTCTTAAAGAAAAGAATTTTCAACCCAGAATTTCGTATCCAGCCAAACTAAGCTTCATAAGTGAAGGAAAATAAAATCCTTTACAGACAAGCAAATGCTGAGAGATTTTGTCACCACCAGCCCTGACTTACAAGAGCTCCCGAAGGAAACACTAAACATGGAAAGGAACAACCGGTACCAGCCACTGCAAAAACACGCCAAAATGTAAAGACCATTGATGCTAAGAAGAAACTGCAACAACTAATGAGTGAATAACCAGCTAACATCATAATGACAGGATCAAATTCACACATAACAATATTAACCTTAAATGTAAATGGGCTAAATGCCCCAATTAAAAGACACAAACTAGCAAACTGGATAAAAAGTCAAGACGCATCAGTGTGCTGTATTCAGCAGATACATCTCACATGCAGAGACACACATAGGCTCAAAATAAAGGGATGGAGGAAGATCTACCAAGCAAATGGAAAACAAAATAGCAGGGTTGCAATCCTAGTTTCTCATAAAACAGACTTTAAGCCAACAAAGATCAAAAGAAACAAAGAAGGCCATTACATAATGGTAAATGGTAAAAGGAAATCGAATTGATATTCAACAAGAAGAGCTAACTATCCTATATATATATGCACCCAATACAGGAGCACCCAGATTCATAAAGCAAGTCCTTAAAGACACACAAAGAGACTTAGACTCTCACACAAAAATAATGCGAGACTTTAACACCCCATTGTCAACATTAGACAGATCAATGAGACAGAAAGTTAACAAGGATATCCAGGAATTGCGCTCAGCTCTACACCAAGCGGACCTAATAGACATCTACAGAACTCACCACCCCAAATCAACAGAATATACATTCTCAGCACCACATCGCACTTATTCCAAAAATGACCACATAGTTGGAAGGAAAGCACTCCTCAGCAAATCTAAAAGAATGGAAGCTATAACAAACTGTCTCTCAGACCACAGTGCAATCAAATTGGAACTCAGGATTAAGAAACTCACTCAAAACCACACAACTACAAGGAAACTGAACAACCTGCTCTTGAATGACTACTGGGTAAATAACGAAATGAAGGCAGAAATAAAGATGTTCTTTGAAACCAACAAGAACAAAGACACGACATACCAGAATCCCTGGGACACATATAAGCAGTGTGTAGAGGGAAATTTAGAGCACTAAATGCCCACAAGAGAAAGCAGGAAAGATCTAAAATTGACACCCTAACTTCACAATTAAAAGAACTAGAGAAACAAGAGCAAACACATTCAAAAGATAGCAGAAGGCAAGAAATCACGAAGATCAGAGCAGAAAAAAAGGAGATAGAGACACAAAAATCCCTTCAAACAATCAATGAATCCAGGAGTTGGTTTTTTGAAAAGATCGACAAAATGGATAGACCACTACCAAGACTAATAAAGGAGAAAAGAGAGAAGAATGAAATAGACACAATAAAGAATGATAAAGGGGCTAACACCACCGATCCCACAGAAATACAAACTACCACCAGAGAATACTATAAACACCTCTATGCAAATAAACTAGAAAATCTAGAAGAAACGGATAAATTCCTGGACACATATACTCTCCCAAGACTAAACCAGGAAGAAGTTGAATCCCTGAATAGACCAATAACAAGCTCTGAAATTGAGGCAATAATTAATAGAATACCAACCAAAAAAAGTCCAGGACCAGATGGATTCACAGCAAAATTCTACCAGAGATACAAGGAGGAGCTGGTTCCATTCCTTCTGAAACTATTCCAATCAATAGAAAAAGAGGGAATCCTCCTTAACTCATTGTATGAGGGCAGCATCTTCCTGAAACCAAAGCCCAGCAGAGACACAACAAAAAAAGAGAATTTAGGCCAATATCCCTGATGAACATTGATGTGAAAATCCTCAGTAAAATACTGGCAAAGCAAATCTAACAGCACATTAAAAAGCTTACCCACAACGATCAAGGTGGCTTCATCCCTGAGATGCAAGGCTGGTTAAACATATGAAAATCAATAAATGTAATCCACCACATAAACAGAACCAAAGACAAAAAACACATGATTATCTCAATAGATGCAGAAAAGGCCTTTGACAAAATTCAACAGTACTTCATGCTAAAAACTCTCAATAAACTAGGTATTGATGGGACGTATCTCAAAATAATAAGATATATTTATGACAAACCCAAAGCCAATATCATACTGAATGGGCAAAAACTGGAAGCATTCCCTTTGAAAACTGGCACAAGACAGGGATGCCCTCTCTCACCACTCCTATTCAATATACCATTGGAATTTCTGACCAGGGCAATGAGGCAAGAGAAAGAAATAAAGGGTATTCAATTAGGAAAAGAGGAAGTCAAATTGTCCCTGTTTGCAGGTGACATGATTGTATATCTAGAAAACCCCATCATCTCAGCTGATAAACAACTTCAGCAAAGTCTCAGGATACAAAATCAATGTGCAAAAACCACAAACGTTCTTATACACAAATAACAGACAAACAGAGAGCCAAATCATGAGTGAACTCCCATTCACAATTGCTTCAAAGAGAATAAATACCTAGGAATCTAACTTACAAGGGATGTGAAAGACCTCTTCAAGGAGAACTACAAACCACTGCCCAATGAAATAAAAGAGGACACAAACAAATGGAAGAACATTCCATGCTCATGGGTAGGAAGAATCAATATCGTGAAAATGGCCATACTGCCCAAGGTAATTCATAGATTCAGTGCCATCCACATCAAGCTACCAATGACTTTCTTCACAGAACTGGAAAAAACTACTTTAAAGTTCATATGGAACCAAAAAAGAGCCCGCATTGCCAAGACAATCCTAAGCCAAAAGAACAAAGCTGGAGGCATCACTCTACCTGACTTCAAATTATACTACAAGGTTACATTAACCAAAGCAGCATGGTACTGGTTCCAAAACAGAGATGTAGACCAATGGAACAGAACAGAGCCCTCAGAAATAATGTCACACATCTACAACCATCTGATCTTTGACAAACCTGACAAAAACAAGAAATGGGGAAATTATTCCCTATTTAATAAATGGTGCTGGGAAAACTGGCTACCATATGTAAAAAGCTGAAACTGGATCCCTTCCTTACACCTTATACAAAAATTAATTCAAGATGGATTAAAGACTTACATGTTAGACCTAAAACCATAAAAACCCTAGAAAAAAACCTAGGCAATACCATTCAGGACATAGGCATGGGCAAGGACTTCATGTCTAAAACACCAAAAGCAATGGCAACGAAAGCCAAAATTGACAAATGGGATATAACTAAACTAAAGAGCTTCAGCACAGCAAAAGAAACTACCATCAGAGTGAACAGGCAACCTAGAGAATGAGAGAAAATTTTTGCAATCTACCCATCTGACAAAGGGCTAATATCCCGAATCTAAAATGAACTTAAACAAATTTACAAGAAAAAAACAAACAACCCCATCAACAAATGGGTGAAGGATATGAACAGACACTTCTCAGAAGACGACATTTATGCAGCCAACAGACACATGAAAAAATGCTCATTATCACTGGTCACCAGAGAAATGCAAATCAAAACTACAATGAGATACCATCTCACACCAGTTAGAATGGTGATTATTATAAGTCAGGAAAAAACAGGTGCTGGAGAGGATGTGGAGAAATAGGAACACTTTTACACTGTTGGTGGGACTGTAAACTACTTCAGCCATTGTGGAACACCGTGTGGTGATTCCTCAAAGATCTAGAAATAGAAACACAATTTGACCCAGCAATCTCATTACTGCGTATATACCCAAAGAATTGTAAATCATGCTGCTATAAAGACATATGCAAACGTATGTTTATTGCGGCACTATTCACAATAGCAAAGACTTGGAACCAACCCAAAAGTCCATCAATGATAGACTGGATTAAGAAAATGTGGCCCATATACACCATGGAATACTATACAGTCATAAAAATGGATGAGTTCATGTCCTTTGTAGGGTCTTGGATGAAGCTGGAAACCATCAATCTCAGCAAACTATCACAAGGACAGAAAGCCAAACACCACATGTTCTCACTGATAGGTGGGAATTGAACAATGAGAACACTTGGACACAGACTGCGGAACATCACACACTGGGGCCTGTCGTGGGGTGGGGGAAGAGGGGAGGGATAGCATTAGGAGAAATATCTAATATAAATGATGAGTGAATGGGTGCAGCACACGAGCATGGCACATCTGTACATATGTAACAAACCTGCACGTTGTGCACGTGTACCCTAGAACTTAAAGTATAATAAAAAAAAATTTAAAAAAATCTTCCAGAAACAAAGCTAGTCAGTTGAATCCACCTTATACCACAATCAAACTTTCAAGGTCATCAAATAGAATATAGAGAAAAAAAATCCAAAGGTCAGCAACCTCAAAGACTGAAAAAATATCATCTCACAAAGAGGAGAAAGAACCAGTGCAATAACTCTGACATCTCAAAAAGCCTGAGTGCCTTCTTTCCTTCAAATGACATCACCTTTCCAGCAAGGGTTCTGAACTGGACTGAAATGGCTGAAATGACAGAAATAATATTCAGAATATGAATAAAAACAAAGATAATTTAGCTAAAGGAGTACATTAAAATCCAATTGAAGGAAGCTAAGAATTATGATAAAACAATCCAGGAGCTGACAGACAAAATAGCAAGTATAGAAAAAATATATAAATGATCTGTGTCAGAGCCGAGAAACACACTACAAGAATTTCATAATACAAACACGAGTAGTAATAGCAGAATAGACCAAGCAGTGGAAAGAATCTGAGTTTGAAGGCTGGCTTTCTGAAATAAGATAGTCTGACAAGAACAGAGAGAAAAAAAAAGAATGAGTAAAACCACCAAGAAATATGGGATTATGTAAAGAGACCAGATATGTAACTCACTGGTGTCCCTAAAAGAGATGGGGAAAGTGTAAGCAACTTGGAAAAATATTTCAAGACATTATCCACAAGAACTTCCTCAAACTAGCTAGAGAGGAAAACATTCAAATTCAGGAAATGCAGAGAACCCCAGTAAGATACTTTACAAGAATATCATCCCCAAGATACAAAATCATGCTAAAAATGTTAAAAGCAGCTAGAGAGAAAGGTTAGGTTACCTACAAAGGGAAGGCCATAAGACTAACAGCAGAACTCTCAGCAGAAACACTACAAGCCAGAAGAGATTGAGGGACAATATTTAACATTCTTAAAGAAAAGAAATTCCAACCCAGAATTTCATGTTTTGCTGGAAACAAAACTAAGCTTCATAAGTGAAGAAGAAATAAGATTGTTTTCAGACAACCAAATGCTGAGGTAACTTGTTACCACTAGACCAGTCTTATAAGAGCTCCTGAGGAAGCACTAAATATTAAAAGACCACTACTAGCCACTACAAAAACACACTGAATATACAGACCAGTGAAACCATAAAGCAACCACATAAAAAAGTCTGCAAAATATCCAGTTAATATCATTATGACAGGATCAAATCCACACACATTAATACTAATCTTAAATGGAAATGGGCTAAATGTCTCAAATAAAAGGCACAGAGTGGCAATCTGGATAAATAATTAAGATGCAATGGTATGCTGTTTTTAAGAGACACATCTCACATGCAGTGACACACATAGGTTCAAAATAAAGAGATGGAGAAATATCTACCAAGCAAATGAAATACAGAAAAACAGCAGGGGTTGCACTGTGAGTTTCAGTCAAAATGGTCTTTAAACCAACAAATATTAAAAAAAAAAGACAAAGAAGGGCATTACGTAATGGTAAAGGGTTTGATTCAACAAGAAGAGCCAACTATCATAATTACCCAACACAGGATCACCCAGATTCATAAAGCAAGTTCTTAGAGACTGTCAAAGAAACTTACACTCCCACACAATAACAGTGAGAAAATTCAACACCTCACTGACAACATTAGACAGATCACTGAGACAGAAAATTAACAAAGGTATTCAGGGCCTGAACTCAACACTGGATCAAATGGACCTGATAGACATCTACAGGACTCTCCACCAAAAAAAAAAAAAAAAAAAAAATAGAATATACATTCTTCTCATTGACACATGGCACATACTCTAAAACCAATGACATAATCAGAAATAAAACAGTCCTCAGCAAATGCAAAAGAGCTGAAATTATAACAAACAATCTCTTGGACCATACCAAAATTAAATTAGAAATCAAGACTAAGAAATTCACTCAAAACTATACAATTACATGAAAATTGAATGACCTACTCCTAAATGACTGTTGGGTAAATGATGAAATAAAGGTAAAAATCAAGAAGTTCTTTAAAACTAACGAAGACAAAGATGCAACATACCAGAATCTCTTGGAAAGAGCTAAGGTGGTGCTGAGAGAAATATTTACAGCACTAAATGCCCACATCAAAAAGTTGGAAATATCACAAGCTAACAACCTAACATCAAAACTAAATTTACTAGAGAACCAAGAGAAAACTAACCCCAAGCTGGCAGTAGACAAGAAAAAACCAAAACTAGAGCTAAACTGAAGGAGATTGAGACACAAAAAACATCTAAAAGATCAACATATCCATGAGCTGGTTTTTTGAAAAAAATAATAAAATAGACTGCTAGCTAGACTAATAAAGAAATAAAGGAGAAAAGATAAAAATAAACACAATCAAAGAGAATGAGGGGAATATTACCACTGACCTCCACAGAAACACAAATAACCATCAGAGAATATTATAAACATCTCTATGCGCACAAATTATAAAATTTAGAAGAATTGGATAAATTCCTGGACACATACACCTCCCAAGACTGAACCAGGAAGAATTCAAATACCTGAACAAACCAATAACGAGCTCTGAAATTGAATCAGTAACAAATAGCCTACCAACCAAAAAAATAAAAGCCCAGGACCAGACACATTCAAAGCTGAATTCCACCATAGGTACAAAGAAGAGCTGGTCCCATTCCTGTAGAAACTATTCCGAAAAAAAATGAGGAGGAAGGAGTACTCTCTAACTCATTCTGAGGCCAGCATCTTTCTGATACTGAAACCTGGAAGAGACACAACAATAAATGAAAATTTCAAGCAGTATCTTTGATTAACATTAATGCAAAAATTCTCAACAAAATACTAGCAAACTGAATCCAGAAGCACATCAAAAAGCTTAATCACCAAAATCAAGTAGGCTTTATCTCTGGAATGCAAAGTTCCTTCAACATATGCAGATAAAAAAAGGTGATTCATCATATAAACAGAACTAAAGACAAAAACCACATGATTATCTCAATATATGCAGAAAAGACTTTTGATAAAATTCAACACATTTTATATTAAAAAGAACTCTCAATAGACTAGTTATTGAGGGAACATACAGCAAAATAATAAGAGCCATTTATGACAAACCCTCAGCCAACATCATAATGAATGGGCAAAAGCCAGAAGCATTCCCCTTGAAAACAAGCACAAGAATAAAGATGCCCTCTCTCACCACCCCTATTCAAATTAGCTTTGGAAGTCCTGGCCAGGGCAGTCAGGCAAGAGATAGAAATAAAGCACATCCAAATAGGAAAAAAAGAAGTCCAACGGTTCCTGCTTGCAGATGACATAATGCTATTACTAGAAAGCCCTATAGTCTTGGCCCAAAAACTTCTTAAGTTGATGAACAACTTCAACAAAGTCTCAGGATACAAACCAATGTACAGAAGTCATTAGCACTCCTATATATCAAAAATATTGAAGCCAAGAGCCAAATTAGGAATGTGATCTTATTCGCAATTGCCACACACAAAAAATAAAATACCTAGGAATATATCTAATCAAGGAGGTAAAAGACCTCCAAAAGGAGAACTACGAAGCACTTCTCAAATAAATCAGAGATGACACAAACAAATGAAAAATCATTCCATGCTCATAGTTAGGAAGAATAATGGCTATACTGCCTAAAGCAATTTATAGATTCAATGCTATTGCTGTTCAACTACCAATGATATTATTCAGAGAACTAGAAAATACTATTTTAAAATTCATACAAAACCAAAAAAGAGCCTGAATAGCCAAGGGAATCCTAATTTAAAAAGAGTGGCATCATGTTACTCCACTTCAAATTACACTAAACGGCTACAGAAATCAAAACAGCATTATATTGCTGCAAAAACAGTCACATAGACCGATAAAACAGTATAGAGAACCAGGAAATAAGGCCACACACTTACAACTATCCGATTTTCAACAAAGCTGGAAAAAGAAAAACAACCAATGGAGAAGGACTCCCTATTCGATAAATGGTGCTGGGATAACTGGCTAGCCATATGCAGAAGATTGAATTTTGACCCATTTCTTATACCATGCACATAGTTAACGGAAGGTGGATTAAAGATTTAAATGTAAAACCCTAAACCTTGAAGACAACCTAGTCAATACCATTCTGGATAAAGAAATGGGCAAAGATTTTATGATGAAGACATTAAAAGCAATTGCAATATAAGCAAAAATGGACAAATGGGGTCTAATTAAGCTGAAGAGTTTCGGCACAGCAAAAGAAACTGTCAACACAGTGAACAGACAACCTACAGAACAGGAAGAAATATTTGCAAACTATGCATCTGACAAAGGCCTGATATCCAGCATCTATAAGAAACTTAAACAAACTTACAAGAAAAAAAAACAGTTTTAAAGTAGGCAAGCAACATGAAGAGACACTTTTTGAAAGAAGGCATACACATAGCCAAAAATCATATTTAAGAAGTTCAACATCACTCCTCATTAGAGAAATTCAAATCAAAACCACAATGAGATACCATCTCACACCAATCAGAAAGGCTATTCTTAAAAAGACAAAAAAGTAACAGGTGCTGGTAAGGTTGCAAAGAAAAGCGAACACTTATACACTGTTGGTGGGAGTGCAAGTTAGTTAAACTATCGTGAAAGACAGTGTGGTGATTCCTTCAAGACCTAAAAACATAATTACCATTTCACCCAGTAATACCATTACTGGGTATAGACCCAAAGGAATATAAATTATTCTATCATAAAGACATATGCATAGGTATGTTCATCACAGCACTATTCACAATAGCAAAGACCTGGAATCAACTTAAATCCCCATCAACAGTAGACTGGATAAAGAAAATGTGGTACATATACAGCATGGAATACTAAGAAACCATAAAAAGAATGAGATAACATGCTTTGCAGGAACATGGATGGAGCTGGAGGCCATTATTCTTAGCAAACTAATACTGGAACAGAAAACTGAATACTGCAAGTTCTCACTTATAAGTGGGAGCTAAAATGATAACACAAGGGCACATAGAAGAGAACAACACACACTGGAATCTATTGGAGGATGGAGGGTGGGAAGAGAGAGACCAGGAAAAATAACTAATGAGTACTTGGCTTAATACCTGAGTGATGAAATAATCTGGACAACAATCCCTCATGACACAAGTTTACCTATGTAACAAATGTACACACGTACCCCTGAGCTTAAAATAAAAGTTAAATATAGAAAGAGCATGTGGACATAGGAGATGGAGGCATTTCTTTGCTTCCCTCACCCCTGTGGCAGACTGCTGACTGCCAAGTTATCATAAAAACCCTCTGCCCTGTATGCCCAGGCATCATTGCCATTGTTGACAGAGAGTTGAAAAGTTTTTGAGAGCAGAACATCAGGCAACCAACTTGCACAGGTTCATTCATTTCTCTTCAAACTTGAGCTAAGGTGTTGGTTGGCATTCTGGTTGTGCACTCATTGTGGGACACTATCCTGCCCAGGGAATCTCAGCCCTTGTGTCTCTGCATCCCTAGATTCTCCACAAATATTTACCAAAAACTTCTCTGACTCTGGCAACCACAGGGAACTGGCAGGATTCTGGGGACCTTAGGATCCCTGAAGAACTATCCTTCGGTATGGGACAACCCTGGAGGAAAGGGGAGCACAGCTCATGAAAGCACCCACTAGGACAGAGGAAAGTTGATTACAAGCCCTTCCCTGCCCAAGAGCCCCCTGCTTGTGACCAAAGTGTGCTTCTCCAAGCATAGAGAGATGAAGGCTTAGTGCTTATCTGTGAATGGGGGGGAGTGTTGTTCCAACAGGGTGGACAGGGAACACCAGTGTCCCAAAAGGGTCATAGAGAGGAGGTCTCCTTCCAGTCCACTGATCCACTGCTATGAATGTAGCTGTTACGTTTCCTACTAGGGCTTGATATCAATGCACTCAGACACAAACTTTTCAGCACTATCTGGGGCAGCGGCATTACCACTGAAAGTCTGCAGTATGCATTCCCAGACTTGCATAATGGATGGGGCTTATCACCCCCTCTCTATATTCCTGCAGTGAGTGCAGAACAGCCACAGAGCTGTCTGCCATTTCCTGAGAGAAGAGGTTCTGTCCCAAAGTCATTTATGGGGTACCTGCCAGATGGGCATTTTCCACAGATCTAAGTTCCACTGTGGCCTGGAAAAAAAGGACAGTGTCTATTTGAACTAAAAGTCATGAAACCTAGGACAAGAGTGTGGTAAGAAAGTTGGTCATGTTCCTGCCTTCTCAGGATGAGAAGATGGTTCAGCCCCTTCTTCCTTCCACCACAGAGACCACAGCCCATCCCACCATGAGCTCACCCTGCCACCAACATCAGGGAGGGTGCTTTTACTTGTCACCTAGCTATCTAGGGGTGAGCTCATTTGTAAGTGCCACCTAATGGAATAGAGATTAAACTGCACACCCAAATAAAAATGTGCTGACAGAAGGACATAATACTAGGAAACAGGATGAGAAAGCCACCACACACACACAAAAATCTACCTATAACCAACGAACTTAATACAAGCCTTGATCTTCAGAAATCACCCAAAATTGAAGACAAGCATAAACAACATAAATTACTGTCACATCTCAAGAAAGAAAAGAATAAAAAATTAAAAAGTCCTCTTTAAAGGAAAGCAAACTCAAAAATAAGAAGTGACAGTCCACGTGAGAATAAATCAGCATAAGAACTTCAGCAGTAAAAGCAAACAGAATATTTTGATGCCCCCAAAAGATTATATAATCTCTCTAGCAAGGGATCCTAACCAAAATGGATTTTTTAAAATGACAAATAAATAATTCAAAATATATATTGTAAGAAATATCAATAAGATCCAAGATAAAGTGAAAAAGCAATGCAAAGAAATCAGAAAAACATTCAGAATATGAATGAAAAATTTACTAATGAGACATATCTTTAAAAACACAGAATTTGTAGAAATAAAAGTTAAAGAAATTATAAAATATAGTTAAAAGCTTTAATAATAGACTAGACTAAGTGGTAGAAATAATTTCAGAACTTGAAGACTGGTCCTCTGAATTAACCCAGTCAGACAAAAATAAAGAAAGAGGTATTTAAAAATAAGCCAAGTCTTTGAGAAGTATGGGATTATGTAAAGAGACCAAATCCATGAAGTGTAGGCATTCCTTAGGAAGAAGAAGAAGAAAAAGTAAAAAGCTTGGAAAATGTAATTGATGGGTTAATTCAAGAAAATTTTAATGGTGAAACTTAGAGAATTAAACATCCAGCACAAGAAGCTCAAAGAACACCTGGGAGGTTCTCTGCAAGACAAATCTTACCAAGGTCTGTAGTCATCAGACAATCCAAAGTCAATATGAAGGAAAAAGGTTTAAAAGCAGCCAGAGAGAAGCATCTAGTCACATATAAAGAGAATCCCATCAGACTAACAGCAGACATCTCAGTAGAAACCATACAAGCCAGAAGAAATTCTAGGCCTATTTTCAGACTTCTTTTAAAAAATATGCTAGCCAAGAATTTCACATCCTGCTAATCTAAATTTCAAATATGAGACAGAAATAAATTCTTCCCAAACAAGCAAACACTAAGTAAATTAATCACCCACATTACTGACACCTAAAGAAATACCCAAAAAAAGTTCTACACATGGAAACAAAAGGATGAAACTAATCATCAAAAAAGCACACATAAGCACAAAGCTCACAGATTCTAGAAAGCACTTCCAAAATTGAGACTACAAAGCAAGTAGGTAACCACATTATGAGAGGACAAACTCTCACATACCAATATTAACTTTGAAAGTAAATGTACTAAATGCTCCACTTAAAAGATATGGGCTGGCAAATTGGATTTAAAAGAAACCACAAAATCCAGCAAATTGCTGCCTACAAGAGACCCACCTAATGGGGTATAAACACCCACAGACTGAAGGTAAAATGGTGGAAAAAGATATACCACACAAATGGAAAACAAAAGTGACCAGGAGTAGCTATAGACACACAAAGTTATTATATATTAATAAATAATTCAATTCAACAAGAAGATGTAACTATCCTAAATATACATGCACCAAACATCAGAGTATGCATATTCACAAAACAAGTACCACTAGATCAAAAAATAGAGATAGACAACAATACAATAATAGTAGAGAATGCAGCACCCCATTGACAGCACTAGACACATAATTATGAAACAAAATCAACAAAGAAACTCTGGATTTAAGCTTGACTCAACCCCAAGTGGACCTAAAGAGACATTTATAGGACACTCTACCCAACATCTTAAGAATATAAATTTTTCTTCTTTGAGTATGCATTCTTCTTGAAAGTAAACCATATCCTTGGCTATAAACAAAGTTTCAATAAATTCAAAAAATAAAATAATATCAAGTATCTACTTGGATCACAGTTGAACAAAATTAGAAATAAATACCAAGTAGAATTCTCAAAGCTATATAAATAAATAAAATCTAAACAATGTGCTCCTGAATGATCATTGGGTAAATGATGAAATTGGGCAGAAACGAAAAACTTTGTTGAAACAAATAAAAATAAGCACAACATACAATAACCTCTGAGACACTGCTAACAGAAATGTTAACAGCATTAACTGCCTACATCAGAGAGATAGAAAGATCTCAAATTAACAACCTAATATTGCACCTAAAAACTGGACAAACAATAACAAACTAAATCCAATGCTAGCAGAAGAAAGGAAGTGATAAAGATCAGAGCAGAACAAAATGAGACAAAGACCAAAAAGAAGGATAAATAAAATCAAATTTTTTTTGAAAGATACTCAAAATTGGCAGGCCAGTAACTAAACAATAAAAATGAGAAATGTTTTAAATAAGCACAATGAGAAATGATAAAGGTGAGATTACAACTGATACCACAGAGATACCAAGCAATCATCCAGGACTATTATTAAAATCTCTATGTGTACAAACTTAAAAACATAGAGAAAATGAATCAATATAGATAAATTCCTGGAAATATCCAACCTCTCAAGATTGAACCAGGGAGAAATGAAAATTCTGAACTCAATAATGTGTGATGATATTGAATCAGTAATAAAAAAATCTCTCAAGGGAGAAAAAAAGCCCAGGACCAGATGGAATCACAGCCAAATTTTACCAGACATGTAAATAAAAGTTGATAACAATCTTACTGAAACTACTCAAAAAATCACAAAGAAGGATTTTTCCTTAACTAATTGTCTGAAACCAGTATCACCCTGATACCAAAATCAGGTAAGGGAACACACACACACACACACACACACACACACAAACCAAAAAAACCTCTCATTGGCCAATATCCCTGATGAACCCAAGTGCAAAAATTCTAAAAAAATACTAACAAATTAACTACACATCAAAGTGATAACACATCCCAGTCAACTGGGTTTTATTACATTGATGCAAAAATGGTTCAACATAGACAAAACAAATAAATGTGTTTTACCACATAAACAAAATAAAAATGAAAACCATAAAATCATGTCAATAGATGCAAAAGAAGAATTCAATACAATTTAACATCTGTTCTTGATAAAAATTCTAAAATATCTATACAATGAAAGATCATACCTCAAAATAATAGGAGGTATATATAACTAACCCACAACCAACATTACACTGAATGAGGAAAAGTTGAAATCATTCACCTTAAGAATTGGAACAAAACGATGTCCACTCTTTTTTTTTTTTCCGAGACCGTCTCACCCTGTTGCCCAGGCTGGAGTGCAGTGGTGCAAGCTCAGCTCCCTGCAGCCTCTGCCTCCCGGGTTCAAATGATTCTCATACGTCAGCCCCATGAGGAGCTGGGACTACAGGCATGCACCATCATGGCCAGCTGATTTTTTCCATTTTTAGTAGAGATGGGATTTCACTGTGTTGGCCAGGCTGGTCTCAAACACCTAGCTTCAAGTGATCTACCCAGCTAGGCCTCTGAAAGTGCAGGGATTACAGTTGTGAGCCACTGCACCCAGCCTCCACTCTTACCACTTCTATTTAGCAGAGTATTCTGGGTCCTAGCTAAAATAATCAGGCAAGAAAAAAAGTAAAAGGCATCCAAATTGGAAAAGAGGATGTCAAATTATTTCTCTTCACTTATGACATAATCTTATACAGAGAAAACTCTAAAGACTCCTCTAAAAGGCTTCTAGACTTGAAAAATGACTTCACTAAGGTTTTAGGATACAAAATTGATGTACAAAAATCAGTAGAATTTTTATATGCCAATAATAACGAAGCTGAGAGCTAAATCAAGAACTCAATACCATTTACAATAGTCACAAAAATTTAAATACCCAGGAATCAATTTAATAATAGAGGTGAAAGATCTTTTCAAGGAGAGCTATAAAACACTGATGAAAGAAACAAATGGAAATCATTTCATGCTCATGCTTTGGAAGAATCAATATTGTTAAAATGATTATACTTTTCCAAGCAATCTACAGATTCAGTGCAATTCTTATCAAATTAACAACATAATATTTTACAGAATGACAAAAAAAATCCTAAAACTCACTTGGAACCAAAAATAAAAAGCATAAATGTTCAAAGCAATCCCAAGCATAAAGTACAAGCATGGAGGCACCACATTACCTGACTTTGAATTATATTACAAGGCAATAGCAATCAAAACAGCATAATAATGATACAAAAATATATATGGAACAGATCAATGAAACAGAATAGTGAACCCAGGAATAAAGCCACATACCTACATTCAACAGATCTTCAACAATGTCACCACAAATATATAATGGGAAAAGAACACACTATTCAATAAATTATGCTGGAAAAAATGGATAGTCATATGCGGAAAAATAAAACTGGGCCTTTATTTCTCACCATATACAAAAATTACTCACAATGGATTAATGGCTTAAATGTATGGACTGAAACTACAAAATTCTTAAAAGAAAACCTTGACTGAGTTCTCAATAGCAAATTCAACAGAAACAAAATAGACAAATGGAACTAAATTAAAGAGCTGCTGCATAGCAAAATAAACAGACTATACAGATAACCTATAGTAAGGGAGAAAAATATTTACAAACTATGCATTTGACAGATGCTTAACATTAAGAACCTACAAGAAACTCAAAAAAACAAGAAATAAACAAATAACAGTTAAAAAGTGAGCAAAGTACATCAACAGATATTTATCAAAAGAAGATCTAGAAGCATCATCCAACAAACATGAAAAATGGTCATCACTAGTCATCAGAGAAATGCAAATTAAAACAACAATGATATACCATTTCATAACAGTTATAATGGCTACTATTAAAACATAAAAAAACAGATATTGGTGAGGGTGCAAAAAAAGAAAACATTTACACACTGTTGGCAGAAATGTAAATTAGTACAATCTCTATGAAATACAGTATGGCAATTTCTCAAAGAACTAAAAACAGAACTGCTATTTGACCTAGCAATTTCACTACTGGAGATCTGCCAAAGTGAAAAAAATATATATTATATCAAAAAGATACCTGCACTTATATGTTTATTGCAGTACTATTTTAAAAAGCAAAGTCGTGAAATCAATCAAAGTGTCCATCAAGAGATAACTGGATAAAGAAAATGTGCTATATATGCACTATGAATTACTACACAGCCTTAACAAAAAAATTAAATCATCTCCTTTCCAGCAACATGAATGGAACTGGAGGCCTTTATTCTAAGAGAAATAGCATTAGAAAATCTAATGCCTCTTGTTCTCACTTAGAAGTGGAAGCTAAACAATGGCTACACATGAGTATACAGAGGAAAATAACAGACACAGATGACTACCAAAGGGAGAAGGGTGGGAGCAGGTGGAGAGTTGAAAAGCTACCTATTGGGTACAATGTTTACTGTTTGGGTGATAGGCACACTAGAATTTCAAACCTCACCATTACACAATATATGCATGTTACAAACTTGCACATTTACTTTCTGAGTGTATATATATATATATAAAATATTCCATATATTATATATATAAAAAATATTCCATATATTATATATATATAAAATATTCCATATATTATATATATATAAAATATTCCATATATTATATATATATAAAATATTCCATATATTATATATATAAAATATTCCATATATTATATATATAAAATATTCCATATATTATATATATGGAGTCATATTACTTACCTTTAGCCTATTGAGTTGTGTGTGTTCCACATATGTATAGCTTAACAATATATTTAATTTAATTATATATATATATACATACACACACACACACACACACACACACAAAACTAGCTAGGAGATAATCACACCTAAAAACAGATCATCTAGGAAAGAACACTGGAATTCAACAGAGGAATAATGACAAGCGCAAAAAGAAAGGAAGTAGGGAAGCAAGGCAGCCTATTTGCCTATATGGCCAGGATTGTTGGGGAGCCTGGAGAGCCTTCCTAATGCAGGACAGGTAAGTGAGAGATCCTCAGCAGTCCACTTTCCTGCAGAGGACTCCTAAAATCATAGCCGCAAGAGAGTACCTAGACCCTCGGGAACACCAAGAAAAATATAAGCAGCTGCCTGGAAACTGCACAAAGACACTGCTCCAGAAAAAGAGAGAGAAAGAGAGACAGAGCTCACCCTGGGTCCCACAACTCCCTAAATCATAAGCAGCTGCAGCACGGTGCCATTTTTAACAGCACAACACCCACCAAACTGTGTCCTTCTTGGGGTTTAACAGCTTCTGCATCTCAACATCCATGGAGCCCTATTGGCATTCCTCACCTACAACCACTGATTTCCCCAGCAGGAAAGCAGCCAGAAATTTCCAATCACCCTAAGGATAAATTTCATTGCCCACATTTGCCACTGCTGCAGGCAGATGTGGCACCAAGAAATGACCAAAACATAGCCCTCAGCTGCCTGCCTAAAGCTGCTTCCACTCAAAAAAGAAAAACCTGCACTCCCCATGACAGAACCACAGCACAGTGGCAAGTGCTACCACCTGAGCATTCTGCTGGGAGTCTGGGTTTTATGCTGCTCCTGTCTACAAGAAGTAATACCTGAACATATCACTGAGAAGCCTGAGGGAAGATTTTTTTTGGCCTGGCTACACACCCCTAGTACGTGAGCATGACATCTAGGGGCCTGAAGATTACCCAGTTCAGTCAACCATTGATTGGTCCTTGAGCACTTCTCTTAGTGTCTGAGGTCAGGCTCACTAAACCTGCTGCTACCACCACAGCTGGCACCCAACTGCTCATGCCACATATGAAGGTGGAGAGCAGTCTGCCAGGCCCAACAAAGCCACCATTGATACCAGCATGAACAGCTTTGATTTCAAAGAGTTGTCTCAGAACAGCTACTTCCTTCATCTACTTCACACCTACTGCTCAGGTGATCAAATCCTGTCCATCTACCTAACTTACTACTGTCACTACCAGCATCTAAGAAAGCCACCTGGAGACCTGATATTTGGTCAGCCTAGACCTGATAACACTGCTGCCAGCATACACTGCTCTGAGGACCAAGAACTGCCATACTCAGCCTGCCACTGCCTCCAGTGTGGCCTGAATACTGAACCATATGGCATCCTAGCTCCCAGGAAAAATTTACCATACTCTTCACTAACAACCACAACCAAAGCCACCAAGGAAATCAAAGCTATCACTGATGCTATTTACAGCTGGAAAATATATACAGAGACTAAACTACTAAACACACTCAGAACCAAAGCCAAAGTGATCTGCACAAGCAAAATCATAGATACATCTTCAGGAATATTCCTCCCCTACGAAAACAAATTCAAAAAAATAGAAGTGGTGACTGTTACACCAGTGTTCAAATATTGATGTAAAGACACAAGAAACATTTAAAAACGCAAGAAAATATGACTCTTCAAAAGGAACAAATTAATTCTCCAGCATAAGATTCCAATAAAAAAAATGAGTAAATTTCTAGAGAAACAAATCAAAATGGTGGTACTAAAGAAGTTCATTGAGATACTAGAAAATACTGCAAGACAATCCAATGAAAACAAAAAAAAAATCAGTATCTGAATGAGAAATTTAACAAAGATGTAGCTATAAAAAGCAAACAGAAATTCTGGAACTGAAATTTATGGAATAACATACAAAATACATTTGAAAGCTTCAGGAATAGAGTAGATCAAATAAAGAAAAATTTCAGAATGTAAACCCAGGTCTTTTAAAATAACACATTCAGACAAAAATAAAGAAATAAATGTTAAGAAGAATTAGCAAAGCCTACGTGACACGTGGAATACCATAAAGTGATCAAATATTCAAATTTTTGGAGTCTTAGAATGCAAAAAACAACAGTTAAAAATATTTGGAAAAATTATAGATTAAAATTTCCCAAAACTGGCAAGAGATTTAGACATCCACATAGAGGAAACTCAAAGATCCCCAAAAACACAATTCAAAACAGTCTTCTCCAAGGCACATTATACTCAAATTGTCAAAAGTCAAATACAAAGAGAAAATTTTAGAAACAGCAAAAAAAATGGCTAGTCACTTGTAAAGAAACCCACATCAGCAAATTTCTCTGCAGAAATCTTACAGGCCAGGAGAGAATAGGATAGTATATTCAAAGTGATAAAAAAAAATGGCAGCCAAAGATACTCTACACAGCAATAGTATCCTTTATAAATGAAGATGAAATACTTTCCCAGACATGCAACAGCTAAGTAAGTCAATCACAGCTTGGCCAGTACTACAAGACATGCTTAAGAAGTCCTGCGTCTTATAGGAAAAGGCTGATGACTATCATCACAAAAACAGAGCAAAATATTGAAATCACTGGTACAGCAAACACAAAAGTACAGAGGAGAAAAAAATTCAGTGTTATCACTACAGAGTAGCCTCAAGCCACAATATTATACAATCAAGGAGAAAGAAATAAATAAATGATATCCAAAACAAACAAATAAATTAACAGACAGAAGTAAGCCCTCACATATCAATAACAGCATTACATGTAAATGGATTAAATTTTCTACTGAAAATATATAAAGTGGTTGAAGGGAATGGATTTTTAAAAATTACCAAACTGTATGCTACCTACAAAAAACTAATTTCATCTGTAAAGACACATGCAAACTGAAAGTAAAGGTATAGAAAAAGATATTTTATACAAAGAGAAAACCAAAGGGAGAAGGAGTAGCTATACTTATACCAAATATAAAAGACATTAAGTCAAAAACAGTAAAAAGAGACAGAAAAGGTCATTATATAGTGGCAAAAACAACAATTCAGAAAGAGAATATAAAAACTTTAAATATATATGCATTCAACACCTGAGCACCAGGTAGGTAAATACTAGATCTAAAGGGAGAGATAGCCTCCAATACAAAAATAGTTAAGGACTTCAAAATGTGACTTAATGTTAGACAGATCATCTTAAAAAATTAACATAGGAACATGGATTTAAACTGCACATTAGATCATATGTACACAACAAACATTTAAAGAACACTTTATCCCACAGCTACAGAATACACATTGTTTTCATGAGCACATAAAATATTCTCCAGAACCCCGGCAAAGTGGCTCCTGCCTGTAATCCCAGCACTTCAGAAGGCCGAGATAGGAGGATAACTTTAGGCCAAGAGTTCGCAACTAGCCTGAACAACATAGCAATACCTTGTCTCTACAAAAAAAAAAAAAAAAAAAAAATGTGTTTAATTTGCTAGGTGTGGTGACGCACACCCGTAGTCCTAGCTACTCAGAAGGCCAAAGTGAAAGGTTCCCTTGAGCTCAGGAGTTCAAGGCTGTAATGAGCTGTGATCATACCACTGTACTCCAGCCTGGGTGACAGAGCAAGACCCTGTCTTACAAAAAATAATACTATCCAAGATAGACCATATGTTAGGACACAAAACAACTCTCAACAAATTTTTAAAAATAGAAATAAAATAGAAATTATACTATGTATCTTCTCAGACCACAATAAAATGAAACTAAAAATCAGTAACAAGAGAAACTTTGAAAACTATACAAGCACATGTAAATTAACCCACATTATCCTAAGACACCCTTGGGTTAAGGAAAACATTAAGGAGGGAATCAAAAATTTCTTGAAACAAATGAAAATCGAAACAACATGCCAAAATCTCTGACACACAACAATAGCAACACTGACAAAAGTTTATAACAAAAAATACCTAGATTTAAAAAGTAGAAAGATTTCAAACAATCTAATGGTGCAGCTCAAGGAACTAGAAAAGAAAAGACAAACCAAATCCAAAAGTAGCAGAAGTAAAGGAATTAAAAGATAAGAACAGAATCAAATATATAGAGACTAAAAGAATAAACGAAGTATTACCAAAATTAGGCAGGATGCGGTTGCTCATGTCTGTAATCCCAGCACTTTGGGAGGCTGAGGCCGGTGGATCACCTGACGTTAGGAGTTTGGAACCAGCCTGGCCAACATGGCAAAACCCCATCTCTACTAAAATGTAAAAATTAGCCAGGTGTGATGGTGCATGCCTATAATCCCAGCTACTTGGAAGGCTGAGGCAAGAGAATTGCTTGAACCCGGGAGGCAGAGGTTGCAGTGAGCCTAGATCACGCCACTGCATTCCAGCCTGGATGACAGAGTGAGACTCTGTCTCAAAATAAACAATCAAACAAAAGAATACATAAATAATTAAAATGAAGTATTACCAAAATTAAAAGCTGATTGTTTATAAAGATAAAAAATGATAAGCCACCAGCCAAACCAAGAAAAAGAAAAAAGAGTCAGATAAGTAAAATCAGAAATGAAAAAAGAGACATTAAAACTGATACCACAGAAATAAAAAGAAGATCATTAGAGGCAATTATGAACAACTATACACTGACACTGGAAAATGTAGAGAAAAAGAAGAAATTCCTGGACACATACGGCCTATCATGATGCAATCCAGAACAAACAGAAAACCTTAACGGACCAATAACAAGTAATGAGATTAAATCCGTTTTTAAAAATCTCTCAACAAAGAAATGTTCAGGTCCAGATAACTTCACTGTGAATTCTACCAAGCATTCAAAAGAAAACTAACACCAATTTTTCTCAAACTATTCTTAAAAAGTAAGGAGGAAGGAATTCTCACTAACTCATTCTATGAGGACAGCATTACCCTGATATCAAAACAAGACAAGAATGCACAAAAAGAAACCTACTGGCCAATATCCCTCATGTCCACAGATGCAAAAATTCTTAACAAAATACCAGAAAACTGGATCCAAAGTGCTTCAACAAAATAATGCATCATGATTAAATTAAATAGGATTTATCCCAGTGATTCAAAGACGATTCAACATATGCAAACAATAAATGAAATACATCAAATCAATGGAATGAAGAACAAAAAAAGATAATATGAATAGATGCAAGAAAATATTTGATAAAAATTAACTCTTTCATAATAAAAACTCAAACAGTGACAGAGGAAATAACCCTAAACACAATAAAGATTATATATGACAAACCCACAGCTAACATACTGAATGTGGAAAAGCTAAAATTATTTCCTTTAAGAACTAGGACAAGAATTCTCACTTTCAACACTCACATTCAACATCATACTAGAAATCCCGGCCAGATAAATCAGGTAAGAGGAGACAACGAAAGGCATTCAAATTGAAAAAAAAAAAAAAAAAAAAAAAAGTCAAATTGTCCATCTTTGCTGATGATATGATCTTACACCTCAAAAAAAAAAAAAAAGAAAAAAGAAAAAACTAAAGACTCCACCAAAAAATTATTAGATCTAATAAATAAATGTAGTAAATTTGCAGGACACAAAATCAAAATACAAAAATCTATAGCAATTATATATATCAGTAATGAATTACCTGAGAGAAAAAAATCAAGAAAGCAAACCCATTTAAAATAGCTACAAAAATACAATATACTGAGAAATAAATGTAACAAAAGAGATGAAAGTTCTCTGCATGCAAATCTGCAAAACATTTATGACAAAAATTGAAGAGGACACAAACAAATGGAAAGACATCCCATGCTCATCGATTGAAAGAATTAATATAATTAAAATGACAATACTGCCCAAAGAAATCTACCAATCTATGCAACCCATATCAAAATACCAAAGTCATATTTCACACAAAAAGAAAAAAATATAAAGTGTATATGGAACCCCAAAAGCCTTGAAGGTCAATGCAATCCTAAGTGAAAAAGAATAATCCAGAGGCATCACACAAGCTGATTTCAAAATATATTACAAAAAAATGCAGGAGGTTGAGCAAGATCACTAGATAGATCCTTCTAGCAATTGTACCTCTGCAGGAACACCAAATTGAAAAAGTAAAAAGGAATATCTTCATGAGAACCAAAAAATCATATAAGCAATCATAGTACATGGTGTTAACCTAATATGAAGGAAAGTGGTACTGAAGAAGATAGAAAGAACAATCTTGTATTGCCTACACCATTCCTCCCCCATCCCACAGCAGTGCTGTATGGAGAGGTATTGTGTGAGCCTGAGGGAGAAACAGCAAAGTGATTGTAAGACTTGGCATTGGAACTTAGTGCTGCTCTGTAACAGTGCGATGCAACATAAGGCAGAATTCTGCCAACACCCATGGAAAAAGCATTCAGACCAGCTCTGAATCAATGACAATTCTTAATGTCAGCAGGAGAAAGCCAAGAAATACCTGGCTCCACCACTAGCTGGCTAGTGTGGCCCCTGGGACCTAGAATTAATTTGTGTATCCATCATGCCACAAGGACTGTAGTCCTTGTCCAAGCCCTGGTTATGTGCTGGAGTTGGAGGCAGTGGACTTGGAATGCAGAAGACCCAGTGAAACATCAGCTGTGGCAGTCAAGGTAGTGACTGTATAACACCGCCCGAATTCCAGGAAGTGCAGATCACAGATAGAATCTCCTTCCACTTTAGAAGATGACAGGGAAGAGTACAGAGAAGTTTATCTTGCAACTAAGGTACCAGTTTAGCCATATTGAAATAAAGCACCAAGCAGATTACTGAAGCTACAGATTTCAGGCTTTAGCTACTGGACAGCATTTCTAGACCCACACTGGACCAAAAGAAAACTTTGAAAATTGGTGCTGATTTTGGAACATTTGGTAGAATTCATCAGTGAAGATAGCTGATTGTGGGCTTGTTTTGGTATGGGAAGTTTTTGATTATTGCTTAAATTTCCTTACTAGTTATAGTCCAGTTCAGAATTTTTTTCATTTCTTTGTGATTCATACAGACTAGGTTGTATGTTTATAAGTTTATCGTTTTTTCCTATATTATTCAATTTGTTAGTTATAATTTTTATTGTAGCGTTTTATACTCCTTTTTATCTCTGTCACATCAGTTCTTATATCCCCTCTTTCATTTCTAAATTCAGTTATTTGAGTCTTCTACTTTTTGTAATATTCTAACTAAAGATTTGTCAATTTTATTGATCTTGTCAAAAAACTATCTTTTGGTTTTGCTTATTTTTTTCTATTGCTTTTCTGTTCTCTAATTTATCTCTTCTCTAATCTTTATTAATTATTCTTCTTCTGCTAATATTGGGTTCAATTTGTTTTCCTCTTCTAGTTCTTTGAGGGCTTGTGAATGTTTCCTAAGTGAAACAACATGCATGTTTCTGCTTAGGAAATCCCTCTAGTGTCGCTCTGCGATATTGCAGCCTCTAAGTGGGGGCAGTAAGCTATAGAACTGAAGCCTGCTAACTCTAGTTGTAGAATTAGTCATGTTCTTGTTTTCAGTGGTCTGCAATTTAGCCACTTATTCTTGTCATCACTTAGATGCAGGCAAGTTAGAAAATAGTTGCTTGGACAGCACCATGAGAAGTCAAAATGTTAGCTGTGGATTCCACTCCTTTCCATTTCAAAGGAGAAGTTAGAAATTAGGGATTTCCTCCCAATCACATTGTACTGTACTGGGGAAGGAGGTGCTCTGTTGAGTAAATGCCATATTTTCTTTTTCCTGGCTTCAGCTCACCTTGGTGCAGGAACCTTTTAACTGGTTTTTGGATTTGTCACAAAGGCTACTGACTCATATGTTTTAGTTAAATTCTTGTTTCCTTGGGTGAAGAAGCATATGGGGCTTTAATATTCTGCCACCCTGCTGAAGTTACTGCTTACATCATGCAGTGTTTCAGAATGGTCAATCTGACTGAAAGTTGTAATAGAGATCTTAAAAAATATTATTTATTTTTGAATAAACAAAAATTTTTCATGAGGCCACTACATCTAAATTTCCATGTAAAGCATCCAATGGCCATGAAGTGTTGATAATCTGGATAGATTCCTTATGGTTTCTATGGGTCTGCTAACCAGAGAAGGCCAATTCCAGATACCTGATAAATAATTAAAGATATGCTTCAAAACCATATAAATAAAACATGTCCAGGGAAAAGTCATGAAATCTCAAGCACTTTTAAATTGAATTACTTCCCCTTTGTGATTTTATTATCTTGCTTTATCCTGAAGATTCCATTAAGTGGCTGCTGGGTATATACAGCGAAGTAATATTTTCAGGATTTCACTGTTTCTATTTGATGGTAAGGTGAATTAAATCCACTTATTTAAATTTTAAGGCATTAGTAGAAGGCAAGCTCATTAGGAATGGATGTGCATATGTTCTGAAAAATGCAGATGAGCCTTTATGAATCTTCATTTGCAGAAATGTGACAATCATTTATCAGAAATTCCCAATTTTTCCAGTTGGCACTGATAACTTTAAGGCTCAGATGAAGAACTCATGGAAATGAGTCATCAAAATCATGAAATATTTTTGGTTTGTTTGTTGAAAGGTTCATGTCAATGAGAGTGAGGTATATTTGATGTATACATTTCTTATCAAAGGTCACATAAGTGGGACAGGAAGAATGACCCCAGCATTGACATGAGAGATCTAGAAGTAATATTAGCCACATTGAGAAGGTAGCTGCTTGTAAAGGGAGGAACAAATCATTGGGCAGGATGCTCTAAGGTAGCAAAGGACTCCACATAGTGTTACAGAATATCCTATAACATTACAAGGGTAAATGAAAAGGGCTATTAGGACTAAAATTAAAATCAATTCCAGTGCTTACTAGTAAATATTAGCCTATTGTGGTCCTCCAGAATTCTGGTTTAGAATAATATTCGCACACTTAAATTGTCAAATTAGCAATATCAGTGATATACACCTCAAAGAGTTATTTTGAGAATGAAATAAGATAATATGTAGGAAATATGCAGCAGAGTCACTACCTAAAGGTGGGGTGTATGGCAGCATGGGGAATTGCTAATACACATATACACATTCCAATATAAAATACCTTTTTGAATCATGGCAATGATAACAGTGTAGTATAATGAGCCAAAGATGACCTATGTGTATTGAACCCTAGGTTGTTTAATTCTTTTCTCCTGTGTGTGTGTTTTTTTTTTAATTTTCATTTTTCTTTATTTCTTCTAAAAAAAAAAAAACAGGATACATGTGCAGAATGTGCAGGTTTGTTACATAGGTATACATGTGCCATGGTGGTTTGCTGTACCCAGTGACCCATCCTCTAAGTTTTCTCCCCTCGTCCCCCAATCCTGCATAGAATTCCATGGTGTATATGTACCACATTCTCTTTATCCAGTCTCTCATTGATGGGCCTTTGGGCTGGTTTTATGTCTTTGCTATTGTAAATAGTGCTGCAATAAACACATGTGTGCATGTGTCTTTATAGTAGAATGATTCATATTCCTTTGGGTATATACCCAGTAATGCGATTGCTGGGTCAAATGGTATTTCTGGTTCTAGATCCTTGATGAGTCACCATACTGTTTTCCACAATAGTTGAATTAATTTACATTTCCACCAACAGTGTAAAAGCGTTCCTATTTCTCCACAGCCTCGCCAGCATCTAATGTTTCTTGACTTTTTAATAATCGCCATTCTGACTGGCGTGACATGGTATCTCATTGTGGCTTTGATTTGCAATTCTCTGATGATCAGTGATGTTGAACTTTTTAAAATATATTTGTTGGCCACGTTAATGTCTACTCTTGAGAAGTGTCTGTTCATATCCTCTGCCCACTTTTTGATGGGGCTGTTTTTTTCTCGTAAATTTGTTTAAGTTGCTGTTTACTTCTTCACTGCAATATGATAACTGTTAGCTCAAAAACCTGCTGGTGCCAAATGAATTTTTGCACATCAAAATTGCTTTTTTCCTTTTGAACATCTGATCCAGAGACTTCTTTCTATAATACTGAGTGACATCGCCTAGACATATAGGCCCCTCTCTGATACATCTGTGCTCTCTTCAGAGAGTTCCCTTGTCTTTTCCCCTTCTGTGTCATGGACCCCTGGCCATATGCTTCGGGACAGTTTCAGGCTGTGAAAGTTTTATCCTGTCATGTGAAAGCACTGCCTAATAAAGCTTCTTGAGTGTTACTGCCTCTCATCATCATAGCTTCTTCCTTGATTAGCCCCAAATCCCTGGACTCAAACAGGTGATGACAAAGATGGGATTTTGGCGATTAGAGTATGGGCATGAAGACTGCCTAGCCAGTGAGACCATCCATTGACATAATGATCCTGGATAGCTTTAAGTGGTTGGGGCTTAAAATGTAAAACACCTCTGCTTTAGTTTGACATGGCATTGCTTCATGCTGTATTATACTCTATAGTTTTCATGGTTTTCTCCTGTGTCTCATTAGTCTGACCGAGGAAGCACCAAAATGTCTTTGAACCTACATCATGAAAACTGAATTTCTGTGTTACAGGTGTTGAGATACTCAGGGAAGGAGGCTAAACCATTTACTGGGACCCCTCACTAGGCAGGCTCTGAATATTGTAATACCTGTGGGCCTTAATAAGAAAGAGAAGAAATGCAGGCCTCTAGAGAAAAAAAATGGATTTTCTTTGATCCCATAATGGAGATTCCTGCAGTGGGACTGGTGGTTTGGGGAATTCTTTAATGAGAAGGCATCTTCATCCTTAGGGACTACTATGGCAGGTTAAGGAGCCAGTGAAGCTGAGATGCAGGACTAGGCCAGTCAGCTAAGTGAAGTTAGGGGCAGCAGCTTTGTAAATATCATGCCTCTGCTGTTGTCCCATCTGATCTGCTGCTAAAAGTGATGTAAATTCTAGTCTCTCCCCAGCGGGATATGGCCACACCAAACCTTTGGACTGAGCCAGCTAAATCATTACTTAAAACGAGTAAATACATGGAAATCTATATTCCTGATTCTCTAAAGACTCCAAAGGAGGTGGCTACTCATGAAAAAATGTTGCATGGCCGGGCGCGGTGGCTCACGCCTGTAATCCCAGCACTTTGGGAGGCCGAGGCGGGTGGATCACGAGGTCAGGAGATCGAGACCATCCTGGCTAACACGGTGAAACCCTGTCTCTACTAAAAATACAAAAAATTAGCCGGGCGTGGTAGCGGGCGCCTGTAGTCCCAGCTACTCGGGAGGCTGAGGCAGGAGAATGGCGTGAACCCGGGAGGCGGAGCTTGCAGTGAGCCGAGATCGCGCCACTGCACTCCAGCCTGGGCGACAGAGCGAGACTCCGTCTCAAAAAAAAAAAAAAAAAAAAAAAAAAAAAAAAAAAAAAAAGAAAAAATGTTGCAAACCGTGAGACATATGTTGGGCCCTGTCTTTGACAATTTCTCACCAGGGTGCCACTCAGAAGGGATTTAAAAGCTCAAACTCCCCAGGGGAAATAAGTTAAGCTGAGCTGGCAAGGAAAATCATGGGAAAACAACCAGCACCCTTTTTTAAGAAGTAGAACTGTGTCACCATAATAGGAACTGGGATAACTGGGATAATGTACCCACTACATTGCCAGTAACTACATGCAAAATAATAAAATAGAAAAGCCAAAAGGAAAAGACCAACAAGGAGGAACTAGTTATCAGCTGGAGGAAGAGACTTGTTCCATCTATTGTCCTAAGGCCCAGTAACTTCTTAAGGATTTAACCCATAAACCACTCGCGGTTTAAAGTGTGAACCCAAAATACCTGAGACAGGTCTCAACCAATTTAGAGAGTTTACTTTGCCAAGGTTAAGGACATGCCCATGAAACAGCCTCAAGAGGTCCTAATGACTTGTGCCCAAGGTTGTCTGGGCACAGCTTGGTTTCACACATTTTAGGGAGACAGGAGACATCAATCTGTATTTGTAAGATGTACACTGGTTCTGTCCAGAAAGGCAGGAAAACTGGAGGAGGGGGAGGTGACTTCCAGGTCATAGATAAATAAGAAACAAAAGGTTGCATTCCTTTGAGTCTCTGATTAGCCTTTTACCAAATACGCAATTTACATGTGAGAGGAGGTATAGTAATAGTCACTTATCCCTTAGTCTGACCTTAGTAAAACAATAGGGTAGAGGAAGAAATCAGACATGCCCTTGGCCTAAGAGGGATGACTTTGAGGTCTGTCTGTCCTTTGTCCACAAATAATTTCTTTGTGGGCAAATAATGAGGGAGATATGTAGCTTTTTTTTTTTGTTTTTAATCTTTGTAGCTATCTTGTTTAGGAATAAAATGGGAGACAGATTTGCCTGACATAGTCCCCAGCTTGATGTTTTTATTGGCTTAGTGATTTGCCGGGGGTGGGGGGGGTCCCAAGATTTATTTTCCTTTGACATTTAACCCCTTTTTAAAATCTTTTGGAGAAAGCATTTTAGAAGAAAAAGAGGTTTTTTTTGTTCCAGATTTGCCTCATGGCTAGGATGGTTTTTTCCTAGACAGGTAGGTCTCACGTTATCAGGAAAGGTCATTTTTAGTAGGTTGTGAATTCTTACGTTCTACAAAGAAAAAACAGGAGGAAGAAGGGAGAAAAACAACAGCAAAAAAAATATGAAGAGCAATCCTGAAAAATCAATATAGGCCATCTTACTCTGAAGTTCATACATCAGTAGGCAGGTATGCAAGTGGTTTATATATGTAAGTAGGTTGCTGCCATTTCATTTTCTTCTGAAGTTTACCTTTTCTCGCTTCAGTTTGCAGGGCTTAAAGAAAGCACAGGTTAATTTTTGGTGATTTCAAATCAGGAAAAGTTGGGAGGGGGAAGGAAAGAAAATAAAATTGTAAGTATTATTTTGAAGACTTGTAGCCAGGAAAAATTTTAGAATTCAGTCCATGCTGTAGAAAATAATAAAAATTCAAAAACATGAGGCAAGACTAGAATCTAACAACAGGTGTACTGTAGTGCAAAAGAAAAATAAATCGTGGGACCCCCAAATCACTGAGCTAAAGGGAAAGTCAAGCTAGAAACTGCTTAGGGCAAACCTGCCTCCCATTCTATTCAGTCATCCTTCTGCTCACTGAGGTAAATGCATATCTGATTGCCTCTGTTGGAAAAGCTTATGAGAAACTCAAAAGAATTCAACCTTTGTCTCTTATCTACCTATGACCTGGAAGCCCACTCCTCAATTCTAGTCATCCCACCTTTTTTGGACCTAACCAATGTTCATCTTTCATATATTGATTTAATTCTCATGTCTCCCTAAAATGTATAAAACCAAACCGTTCCCTGACTACCTGGGCACATGTCTTCAGGACCTCCTGAGGCTGTGTTACGGCACATGTTCTCACTTGGCAAAATAAACTTTCTAAATTTGCTGAGATCAGTCTCAGATATTTGGGGTTCACAGTTTGGTAACCATTAAGGGATTCTTAGTGGAGGTGCCCTGACATTGACAAAACTCCTATTGGTGTCCGGTACCAGCTTGAGCTATCCTTAAGGCTCAAACTAATAGAACATTTTGCTGAGGTCTGGAAGCCACCTTCCCCCTCCCCGCCAACTTCCCCCGTGCTTCCAGAGAATCCCTGATCTTCAATAATTTGGTTAAAGTCTAAAGTGTATTTTGCTGTACAGCTCCTTTTTTTTGGAGTTTTACTTGCTTCCAATAAGGAAGGCAAGTTTTCCTGTTTCCATGATGATGAAAGGCAGGTAACTCCTTTCTGGAGTTTGAGCTTGTTTCCAACGGGAGAAAAGTTTAAGTTTTTTCCTGCTTCTAGGATGGTAGAGAACAGTCTTCAGCCTGAGATCCATCCCTAGGTATGTAGCTGAATTGGGGTATTTTTCTTGGCTAAAGTTAAGACTAACAACAAGCTGGTCTTAATTTCTCCTTAACATTAGAGCACTCAGTAATCAGATAAATTGGGAGATCATTTGTTTTGCTTAATGGTTTCTTGTTGTTCTTTGTTTGTTTCTGTATTTGTTGTTGATTTGGTCTTTTTCCCATTGGGTTTGACCAACTCTATCCGACTTGATCAAATCCAAAGGAAAGTTCCAAATTATGGAGAACAAGGCCTCTGAAGTGGCTAAATTTCCACACACAAAAAATAAAAATAAAAAAGATGGGGAATGGGTTGGGAGAAAAACAGCAAACAACAAAAACGATTTTTTATTTTGACTACTTAACTGGCTTTATTTACATAATAAGCCCATCTTTTTGCTAGACAAACCAAACTGAAAGAGCAAGGGCTGTCACCCCATGCTGCAGTTTCATAGCTGAGGTTCTCCTTTCTTTCTTATTTTCCCTATGACAGCCTGAGTTTGCTTCCTAAATCAAGACCTTTGTGTTTTGATACTTGTTACCTCTGAAATATCAACAATCTGTCCTAGCTAAAATGTGGTAATGATGTCAGAGGTGTTTAAACCAGAGCAACTCCATCTAAAATGGGGGATGGGTAAAATACGACTGAGACCTACTGGGCTGAATTCCCAGGAGGTTAGGCATTCTAAGTCACAGGATGATCTAGTAGGTCAGCACAAGATACAGGTTATAAAGTCTTCCTTTGCTGATAAAACAGGTTGCAGCAAAAAAAGCCGGCCAAAACCCACCAAAGCCAATTTGGGGATGAAAGTGACCTCTGGTTGTCCTCACTGCTCATTATATGCTAATTATAATACATTAGCATGCTAAAAGCCACGCCCAACAGCACCATGACAGTTTACCAATGTCATGACAATGTCAGGAAGTCACTCTATATGGTCTAAAAAGGGGAGGAACCCTCAGTTCCTAGAAGCACACATCCCTTTCCCAGAAAGCTCATGAATAATCCAGCCCACGTTTAACATATAATTGAGAAATAACTAGAAGTATCCTTAATGGAGCAGTGCAAGCCACTGCTCTGCCTATGGAGTAGCCATTCTTTTATTCCCTCACTTTCTTAATACATTTGTGTTTACTTTATGGACTTGCCTTGATTTCTTTCTTGTGTGAGATCCAAGAACCCTCCCTTGGGGTCTGGATTCAGACTCCTTTCTGGTAACATCTTTCTGGCAAACCACTAAGGGATTATACTGAAATGACCCCCGACCCAAAGGAAAATCTTCTGTGTGCAGCACCACTTGGCCAACTTTGGGTAAGTGAGGCGCATTTAACTCGGTAAAGAATGGAATTGGGTTAGAGACCCAACTTAGAAAAGTTAGAGTCTGCCCTAAGATAGAGAGGGTTAAAGACCCCCTCTTAATAAAAGGCAAGGGTGCTTGACTGAACCTGTTTGGGGCCCAACTTAGGAAGGTTAGAGCCCTTCCTAAGATTTATGGGGTTGGAGGCCCCTCTCAGTAAAGTTCCTCTCGGCTAAAAGTGGGTTTGGCACTACTGGATGTTAACTGCTATTTTCTTTGGACTTATCTGCCTTGCACTCTTTGCTGATGGCTACGGGAGACAGAATTAAACATATTCAGGATCAAAGGACATGGCGAGCTATTTTTCCCCAAAAGGGAGACACTCGAGAGCTGATGGGACTTCTGGGTAAGATCCGTTTGTGACTGAAAAGCAGCTGCTTGAACTTTTGATTAAGTCTAACTGCAGTGGGTGGGTCTTTCTCTGGCCTCCCTGAGTTCCTCACCTTCCCCACTCTGCTTCAGGCAATGCTTTTCTCTCTTTCTCTTCTTTCCCTGTCCTATCTTTTCTGTCATTCAGGGGAACCTTCTTGCCCAGAGATCGCATGTTGAAAAATGTCCTTGGGAGCTTTGTCTTGGTCTCTGCCATATCTTGTATACATGTGGTGGTACTTTCTCTTGGTCTCTGCCATCCAGGGAAGAGGAATTTGGGGGTACATGTCATAGTTATCTCTGAAAATTAAATTGAGCAGTTAAAAGCCAATGCAATCTCAAAATTGACTGCTCTAGTCTCCTGGGAAGAGCAATAAAATATTTCCAATTCTGCAGCTTAGCAGCTAAGGCTTTGTGTTTTTCCAGTGGTGGCACAGGTTCAGGGTTCAATTCCTGGCTTAGGGAATAAGCCCTTTCTGGTTTGATATCTGCATGACATTTACCATTTGTTGATTATCTTCCCCTCCACAAACCATGTTGAATTTTTCTTTCTTTGAGGACAGAAATATTGGCCATTTGGCCTGGCTAAATTTGGGTAATAAGAAATTTAAAAGGATCTTTTTAAAAAGAGTATTACATTTAAAAGTCAGCCTAATTAAAAGAGGATATTCAAGCTCTAAAAGCCTGGGACTCCTTGTGAACAACAAGTAGTGCCACAGACCTTGTTTTGGGAAAAAACTCTTTTTTTTTTTTTTTCTCATGAAACCCCAGGAACCAGAAGTGGAGAGATCCCTTCACAATCTAAGGCTCTTTTCTCTTTTGCATTGCATTATCAGGTGTTTTTAACCCTTGGGGGGATCAGAAATTGCTCCACATTATAATAGAACTTTGGTGTGTAATAACTGGGTAGGAAATATGCTTTGGGGAATAGCTAATGACAGTTAAAGGTGAATACTTGGCTTTTCACATGTTTGGATCAGAGGAGCATGCTCTTGGCCACCTAGAAGGTATGGCAATGTGCTCATCCCTGCCCCACACTGAGACCTAAGACTCCCATGGAAGATGGGGTAATCACAGAGTAGGTTGAGTGGCTTTGAATTGCTTTGCAGTGAAATGCACAGTAAAATCATTGCACTGTCTTGTTCTGTAGCATTTGTCTTTTTTGGGATTTAAGATATGATATAAAATGGGACCCTTAAATTTTGGGGGATCTTTTTTGCTTTCCAGCTCTGCCTATTTATTAAGCCATAGAAACTGCATGTTTTCCTGGCCCTGTTCCTCCAAGGGCTCCACCCTGAAGCAGTAATCTGATTAAGAACCTGGCAAATAAAAAATCTTAAAACTACTGGAACATTTCTGTCTATGTATTTATATGTGTTGTGTGTGTGTGATATGAAAGAGCTTTGATTGTTTTCAAAAATCATAAGAGCTTAAATCTAACATTCTATCAGAAAATAAAAACGAATGAATGCCTTTTAGTCCATGTGACTTTAGTAAAGTTTCAGAAATAAAAACAGTTTTGAAGATCATTGGTAAAATTCAAATGTCTTCAAAATTCAGACATTTGGTCTGAAGTAGGTTAAATATTAAGTTTGCTAGATGTGTTAGGGTCATAAACGGCTTCTTTGATTTTTGAAAATTGTTCAACCTACTTACTTTGAAGCAGATTCTAGGTAAAGCCTGGGGATATGTGGTGTTAGCCATGCCTCCTAGTTATGCTGGATAGTCAAACCTTATCTGCACTTCTTTCTGTGTCCTAGGCTCCAAAGGTAGTACATAGTTAAAATCACCTACAATCCAGGTTTTTCCACCAATGGTTCCTAAGAGTTCTTTCTTTAGGCTGTATTTGTGAATATATGTTTTTGGTAGGTGTTCCAAAATTATTAGAAACTTCTGTAACTCTGATATAACTTAGTGTATGCTATTAATAGTTATAATAATTGTTATGTAAAATTGTTGTATGCCACAGAAGTCACCAAAATTCTTAGTCAATTGTGGCTTTAATAGAGACTGCCCTAAAGTGTTTTGTCATCCAGGGACAATTGTTGCCTTGTTTTTTTTTTTTTTTTTTTTTTTTTTTCTTTAGAGGTGGTTTCATAATCAGCTACAGAACTCTAATAGGTGTTCTTAAATGCAGGTTTCTGATAAATTTGGAGATTTTGATGTTAGAATAGAAGAAAAAACTTTCAGGATCTCCTGGAGTGCTGAAATGTTCACGAATATCAGGCAGAACAGGAGTTAACAACATGGACTGGACTAATAGAAGACTAAAGTAATCTTTTTGACTTTTTGCTTAAAAGGATCCTCTGTTTTGTTTTTCAGAGCCAATAAAACTTTTCTTTTGAGTGATTTGCAGCTTTTAACAAGTAAGTAAAATATACTCCTGTGAACAAAATTTGGAGCATATTTGTTTCTCTCTACCTGATTTCTCCAGAATTTGGAAACTATTTGTGAGTATTCTTAACTTATGACAATATAGTTATTTGCATAAGTGCAATAAGAATGTTTTCTTTTGTAACAGGACAAAATAAAAGAAACCAGTTATTTTACCAAGGCTTTGACTGGAATGGCATGCTTTCCTTTAAGGAATCGAATTTGGCTTACAGGGCCAATAAAAGCCCCTTGGGAAAACTGGCCTCATACCCTGTCTACACTGTCCCGTACAGGGTTCCTGACCTGTAGTAAATAAAGAATGTCACTTTCTAACAGGCCCAGGAGCCCTAGGTTATCTTGGGACCTCGAAAAAAGAGGAATTTACCTAACTGATAAATATTTGATAGTACAAACCTATGGCTAGGCTTGGCTTTGGAAAAAAACCTTATCTGAGATTCCTTTTGTGGAACAAAGTCCAATCAAAGCCAATTTAAAAAGCCTATGTGAAAAATGATTATTTTTGCTGTACTTTACACAAATAATCAGGCTAAGTGTAAGACTATGGCGTATTTTTGCAAACAAATCAGCCCTGTTAGGATTTGTCTTTAGTAAAAATGGGAGAATGGAGAGATAGAAAAAACATATTTTAAAAACAATGGTACACTTGTTATAAAATTGTGATCTCATCAGTTATTTTTGAGTTTTCTTTCTACGATTTAGACTGAACCTGCTTATTTCTGTGAACCAACCAGTGATCTCTTATGGCTGTTCAAAAGTAACAAGAGAGGTGGGTAATGTAAAAAATCTGGATCAATATTCTAATTCTGAGCACATATTGGAATGTATAGCATGTATAGCAACTCCATATCACTTTGGTTCCAAAGTCTCCCAGTTCATGAAAAGCCTTCTTATTTAGTTTACTTGGGATAATTTTACTTATTTTGTTTTACTGTTGTGAAATATAGTGCTGTCGTACTCTTTGCGTAGGAATGCAGGATAAGCTTACTGAATGTATTCTTAAATTGAACACTTATTAATCTTCCAGATATCACCTTTTGTCATAACTCAAGTCTTATGAATGGCCCTCACCATAATGATGCTTTTTGACTGAGCTCTTCTCTAACCTGAATGCAAGAGGTTAGGCATGAATATCATCCCCCCTGTTCAGCCTGAAGAAGTTACAGAAGATGAATCTTCCACTCTCTACAGCCCTTAGGATTAAGGGTTCTCTTACTGAATGTATTCTTAAACTGAACACTTATTAATCTTCCAGATATCACCTTTTGTCATAACTCAAGACTTATGAATGGCCCTCACCATAATGATGCTTTTTGACTGAGCTCTTCTCTAACCTGAATGCAAGAGGTTAGGCATGAATATCATCCCCCCTGTTCAGCCTGAAGAAGTTACAGAAGATGAATCTTCCTCTCTCTACAGCCCTTAGGATTAAGGGTTCTCTTACTGAATGTATTCTTAAACTGAACACTTATTAATCTTCCAGATATCACCTTTTGTCATAACTCAAGACTTATGAATGGCCCTCACCATAATGATGCTTTTTGACTGAGCTCTTCTCTAACCTGAATGCAAGAGGTTAGGCATGAATATCATCCCCCCTGTTCAGCCTGAAGAAGTTACAGAAGATGAATCTTCCTCTCTCTACAGCCCTTAGGATTAAGGGTTCTCTTATAAAAGGGAGGGGGTAAATATGTCAGAGGCATTTGAACCAGAGAAACTCCATCTTGAATAGTCCCTGTGTAAAATAAGACTGAGACCTACTGGGATGCATTCCCAGGAGGTTAGGCATTCTAATTCACAGGATGAGATAAGAAGTCTCCACAAGATACAGATTATAAAGATTTGGCTGATAAAACTGTTTGTGATAAAGAAGCTGGCCAAAACACACCAAAACCAAGATGCCAACAAAAGTGTCCTCTGGTTGTCCTCACTGCTCATTATATGCTAATTATAATGCATTAGCATGTTAAAAGACACTCCCACCAGTGCAATGACAATGTACAAATGCCTTGGCAACATCAAGAAGTTACCCTATATGGTTTAAAAATGGTAGGAACCCTCAGTTCTGGGAATTGCCCACCCCTTTTCTGGAAAACTCATGAATAATCCACCCCTTATTTAGCATATAATCAAGAAATAACTGGAAGTATCCTTAGTGAAGCAGGCCAAGCCACTACTCTTCCTATGGAGTAGACATTCTTTCATTAGTTAACTTTATTAATAAACTTGCTTTCACTTTATGGATTCACCTCAAATTATTTCTTGCATGAGATCCAAGAACCCTTTCTTGGGGTCTGGATCTGGACTCCTTTACAGTAACAATGAGATTTAAAAATATTATTTTAAGGAGCTCAATGGTTAAAAGTCAGCTTAATTAAAAGCTAACATCCAAGATGTGTGCATGTGTGTGTGTGTGTGTACATGTGCACGTGTGTGTATGTTTGCATTAAAAGACTTTATGGTTTTTTTTCTCTCCTAAGACCTTGTCTCCTCTGAGCAGAAGTTTATTATTTTTTTCTCAGTTTATTGAATTTCATTGTCTTCATTTAGTTCTGCTGTCTCTGCTTTCTCTTGCCTCCGTCTGCTGCATGAGGGGCCTAAAACAGCTTATAATAGCCCAGGATTCACTGAAGAAAACAGACAAAGCACCAGACTCTTTTCTGGGGAGAAACTTGTTTTTCTTTATGGAACCCCGAGAGTGGGTAAAGAGAAAAGTTTGTCTCAGATCATAAAGTACTTGCTTTTGCATTGTGTTACCAGATTTTTTGACTAAAATAGTTATTGTAACGGAGGCTATTCTTGGGTACTTAAGAAAGAGGATAGTTTAGACATTTAGAACGGTCTTTGTTAATGTTTTTAAAAGTGCACTGTAAAAGCATCATGTGGTCTAGCCTCATAATAATTCTCCCTGTCTGGAGACCCAGGATTCAGTATGGGCCCTATCCAGAGCTCAGAGATACAGTTAAAAGATAGGTAGTCTCTATCTAAATACAACCGGTCTCCCCTTACAGTCCTATGACGGATTTCTATAATTTTTATTTGGCATCCATTTTTAATCTCCCTCTAGCACCAGACTACTTCTCTCTGTACTATGAGATGTAAATGTCATTACCATATTTTTTTTAACGTAAGATTTCCTTTAATATGCAAGCTTAGGACTATCTAGCAGACAATTGCCTAGGGTAATAAAATAGTTTATTAAGACTGTGTAACAGCTCCCCAGTTCCAGGCAGTGCAGCTCAGGGATAAAATTTTTCCACTTTAGAAAATGAGAGGGAAGAGTACAGAGAAATTCATCTTGCAACTCGGGTACCAGTTTAGTCACACTGAAATAAAGCACCAAGCAGATTACTGAAGCTCTAGATTCCAGGCCTTAGCTACTGGACAGCATTTCTAGACCCACTCTGGACCAAAAGAAAATCCACCGTTCTGAAAGAAATTAAAAAAAAAATAAAACTTAGTTCTGACAGAGTTCACCACATTCAGACATAAGAGCTTCTGGGCCTTGAATAACCATAAGCAGTAGCCAGGCAGTCATTGCCATGAGCCTTGGGTGCAATCCAACAGTGTACTGGCTTCAAGTGTCATCCAGTGCAGTGCTACCTGCGGTGGCCATGGGATGGCTTGTGGCACTCCTCCAAAAACTTCAGGCAGCCCAGCATGTAGAGAGAGAGAGAGAGAGAGAGAGAGAGAGGGAGAGGGAGAGAGAGAGAGAGAGAGAGAGAGAGAGGGAGAGAGAGAGAGAGAGAGAGAGAGAGAGAGACTCCTTTTGATTAGGACAAAGAGAGGGAAGAGAGTGAGATAATTTTTCTGGTAACCCGGGAAATTTTCCCTTAACTTAACCAACACCACCAACATGGTGCTTCAAGGAGTCAGCAAGAGCTGCGCTGTTACTGAATTTAGAACTTAGTGTGCCTTACAATCCTGATATGGCTGCAGTGACCACAAAGTTAAATTACCACTCTAAATACCCTTTGAATATGTAAACAGCCTTCTCGAGAAGTATGGGTAAAAATAAGTGCAGAATACTAAGATTAGAGTACATACCTAACTCTTCAATGAGCAGACACTGAAAAATATCCACAAGCATCAAGAACATACAGAAAAACATGACCTCACCAAATGAACTAAGTAAGGCACCAGTGACCAACTATGAAGTGTCAGATATATGTGACCATTCAGACAGAGAGTTCAAAATACCTGCCTTGATGAAGCTCAACAAACTTTAAGATAATACAGACAATAGAGTCACAATTTTATTAGATGAATTGTAAAAAGAGACTGAGAAACTATGAAAAATCTAGCAGAAATGCTGGAGCTGAAAAGTACAATTAACATACTGAAAAAAATGCATTAGACCCTAGCAACAGCAGAATTGATAAAGCAGAAAAAAAATAGTAAGCTTAGAGACAGGCTATATGAAAATACACAGAAGAGAAAAAATAATTTAAAAATTAAAGCATGACTATGAGATATAGAAAATACCTGCAAAGGGGCAAATCTAAGAGTTCTTAGCCTTGAACAAGACGTAGGGAGAAAGGGGATAAAGTTTATTCAAAGATATAGTAACAGACAATTATCCAAACCTAAAGAATCATAGGAATACCGAGGTACGAGAAGGTCCTAGAACACCAAGTGGATTAAAGCCAAATGAAACATCTCCAGGCATTTAATAAATTCTCAAAAGTCAAAGATAAAGAGAGGATACTAGAAGCACCAAGAGAAAAATAAACAAATAGCACATAAAGGAGCTCCAATATGTATGGCAGCAGACTTCTCAGCAGAATTCTTATAGACCAGGGGAGAGTGAGATAGCATATCCAAAATGCTGAAGAAAAACAAATCCCAACATGGAATATCGTATTCAGCAAAATTATCCTTCAACTATGAAGAAGAAATAAACACTTTCCCAGACAAACAAAAGCTGAGAGATCATGTCTACATCAGACCTGTCCTACAAGAAATGGTAAAGAGAGTGCTTCAATCAGAAAGAAAAGGCAGTTACAAAATGACAAAGAAATTATCTGAAGATATAAAACCTGTCAGTAATAGCAAGTACACAGAAAAGTACACAATACTATAACACTGCAATTGCAGTGTCTTAGCCACTCATATCTTTAGCAGGAAGACAAATAAACTGCCAAAACTGATAGTGACAAACATCTTTCAATAGATAGACAATATAAAAAGATACAGAGACAGACAAAGTCATAAATCAGAGGAAATGAAGTTAAAGTGTAGAATGTTTTCATAGTTTTCTCTTTGCTTATTTGTTTTGCTCTTTTTGGCAATCAGAGTTGTCATCAGTTTAAAAATGGGTTATAAGATGTTATTCATCAGCTTCATGGCAACCACAAACAAACCCCTATAACATAGATTTAAATATTGAAAATCAAGAAATCAAAACAAGCTACTAGATAAAATCCTTTTTTACACAAAGGAAGACAAGAAAAAAGAGAGCACCACCGACAACGGAAAAAAAAAAAAAAAGTAAAAAAGTGGCAGTACTACTCTTTACCAATGAATAATCAGGTTAAATTTACACTAAATTATTCAGTAAAAGTTAAGAACAGCTGAATGGATAAAAAACAAGATTCAGCTATATGCGGCCCACAAGAAAGTGGCTATACCTGTGAAGATATGCATAGATTAAAAATAAAGGAATAGAAATGGTTATTCCATGGAAATCAGAATCAAATAACACTAGGAGTAGTGCACTTATATCAGGTAAAATAGATTTCAAGACAAAAACTACACAAAGAGACAAAGAAGATCATTACATGATGATAAAGTGGTCAAATCAGGAAGAGAATATAACCGTTGTATGGAACCCCGATATATAAAGAAAATACTATTAAAAAAGAGAGAGACAATGGTAGCAGGTGACCTAAACACCTCATTTTAATCATTGCACAGATCAACCAGACAGAAACTCAACAAAGAAAGGTTCAACTTAATCGTCACTCTAGATCAGGTGAACCTAATATACATTTATAGAACATTTCATGCAACAGCTGCAGAATACACATACTTCTCATCAGCACATGGAATATTCTCCAGGATAGACCAAATATTACTCCACAAAGCAAGTCTCAAAAAATTCAAAAAAATTCTGAGCAAGCAGCCTGACTAGATGCAGCTGAGAAGTCCTGCTCCCACGGAAAGAAAATATGATTTCAACTACACCAACATAAATTGAACAGATCTTTGGACAGAAAATGCCAAATGTGGACGGAGAAGAGAAGCAGATGCTGAGGCTGTAAAGGGAGGAAACTGGGAACACGGCACGGAGTACCTGAACACCAAGTCTGGTTCCCAGCCCCGGACAGTGCCTGGGAAAGGGGACTTCCCCTTAAAGGAGCCCCCCCCCCATGGCCCAAAAGACCCGACAACAACATCAATAACAACAAAATTGTGGGCACAGTGCCAGTGATTGTAGGTGGCTCCTGAAAGGCCCAGGAGCAGGTCTGGCGAGAGGGTTAACTATCTTCCCCTCGCACCTCACAACAGAACTGCAAGCACAAGGATGCACAAAGAAACCACGCAACTAACAGCCTACCTACCGCCCATTGCTCTCAAGCGCCATCTACTGGAACACAGACAAAACTACAAGAGCAAAAAACTACTCGCTGTGAAACCGAAGGGGCAAGAATTCAACAACGAACACCCCGTGCAGAGACTTGGTCCTCTGAAAACTTCCAGAAACAAAGCCAACTAGCCATACTCAATTTACATCACAGTTAAAAATATGAGCCTCCCAAGATGAGGAAGAATAAATGCAAGAACTCTGAGAATGCAAAAAGCCAGAGTGTCGAGCATTCTTATACACGAATAACAGACAAACAGAGAGCCAAATCATGAGTGAACTCCCATTCACAATTGCTACAAAGAGAATAAAATACCTAGGAATCCAACTTACAAGGGATGTGAAGGACCTCTTCAAGGAGAACTACAAACCACTGCTCAATGAAATAAAAGAGGATAGAAACAAATGGAAGAACATTCCATGCTCATGGGTAGGAAGAATCAATATCGTGAAAATGGCCATACTGCCCAAGGTAATTTAATAGATTCAATACCGTCCCCATCAAGCTACCAATGACTTTCTTCACAAAATTGGAAAAAACTACTTTAAAGCTCATGTGGAACCAAACAAGAGCCCGCGTCGCCAAGTCAATCCTAAGCCAAAAGAACAAAGCTGGAGGCATCACGCTACCTGACTTCAAACTATACTACAAGGCTGCAGTAACCAAAACAGCATGGTACTGGTACCAAAACAGAGATACAGAACATATGGAACAGAACAGAGCCCTCAGAAATAAAGCCGCATATCTACAACCATCTGACCTTTGACAAACCTGACAAAAACAAGCAATGGGGAAAGGAGTCCCTATTTAGTAAATGGTGCTAGGAAAACTGGCTAGCCATATGTAGGAAGCTGAAACTGGATCCCTTCCTTACACGTTACACAAAAATTAATTCAAGATGAATTAAAGACATAAATGTTAGACCTGAAACCATAAAAACCCTAGAAGTAAACCTAGGCAACACCATTCAGGACATAGGCATGGGCAAGGACTTCATGTCTAAAACAGCAAAAGCAAAGGCAACGAAAGCCAAAATTGACAAATGGGATCTAATTAAACTAAAGAGCTTCTGCACAGCAAAAGAAACTACCATCAGAGTGAACAGGCAACCTACAGAACGGGAGAAAATGTTCGCAACCCACTCATCTGACAAAGGTCTAATATCCAGAATCTACAATGAACTCAAACAAATTTACAAGAAAAAAACAAACAACCCCATCAAAAAGTGGGCAAAGGATATGAACAGACACTTCTCCGAAGAAGACATTTATGCAGCCAAAAAACACATGAAAAAATGCTCATCATCACTGGCCATCAGAGAAATGCAAATCAAAACCACAATGAGATACCATCTCACACCAGTTAGAATGGCGATCATTAAAAAGTCAGGAAACAACAGGTGGTGGAGAGGATGTGGAGAAATAGGAACACTTTTACACTGTTGGTGGGACTGTAAACTAGTTCAACCATTGTGGAAGTCAGTGTGGCGATTCCTCAGGGATCTAGAACTAGAAATACCATTTGACCCAGCAATGCCATTACTGGGTATATAACCAAAGGATTATAAATCATGCTGCCATAAAGACACATGCACATGTATGTTTATTGCGGCACTATTCACAATAGCAAAGACTTGGAACCAACCCAAATGTCCAACAATGATAGACTGGATTAAGAATATGTGGCACATATACACCATGGAATACTATGCAGCCATAAAAAATGAAGAGTTCATGTCCTTTGTAGGGACATGGATGAAACTGGAAACCATCATTCTCAGCAAACTATCGCAAGGACAAAAAACCAAACACTGCATGTTCTCACTCATAGGAGGGAATTGAACAATGAGAACACATGGACACAGGAAGGGGAACATCACACTCCGGGGACTGTTGTGGGGTGGGGGCAGGGTGGAGGGATAGCATTAGGAGATATACCTAATGCTAAATGACGAGTTGATGGGTGCAGCACACCAACATGGCACATGTATACATATGTAACAAACCTGCACATTGTGCACATGTACCCTAAAACTTAAAGTATAATAATAATAAAATTAAAATGAGACCAGTAATGGCTCTTAACCAGTCTGAAATAAATGAAATGACAGACATGGAATTATCTGGATGGCAAGGCCGCTCTTCAAGATTCAGTATAAAGCTGAAACCCAATCTAAGAAAACCAAGTAATCCAGTGAAATGATTCAAGAGCTGAAAGACAAAATAGCCATTTTAAGCCAATCCCAGGCTAGACTTCTTGAGTTGAAAGGATTCACTGCAAGAATTTTATAACACAATCAGAAGTATTAATACCAGAATAAACCAAGCTGAGAAAGAAATCTCAGAGCTTGAAAACCAGTTCTTCAAATCAACTTAGTCAAAAACAAATAAATAATTAAAGAGAAAAAAACTAACAAAAATGAACAAAACCTCTGAGAAATATGGAATTATGTGAAGAGACTCAATCGATGATTAATCAGCATCCCTGAGATAGGAGAGAGAATAAACATCTTGGAAAATATATTTGAAGTTATAGTCTATGAAAATTATCTTCCTCTCACTAGAGAGGTTTACATGCAAATCCAAGAAATACAGAGAACTCCAGGCAGATACTATACAAGACAACCATCCCCAAGGCACATGGTAATCAGGTTCACCAAGGTCAATGCCAAAGAAAAAAATTAAAGGCAGCTAGAGAGAAGGGGCTGGTCACCTACAGAGGGAACCCCATCAGGCTAGCAGTAGACCTCTCAGTAGAAACCTTGCAATACAGAAGAGATTGGGCGCATATTTTGAACATCTCCAAGGAAAAAAAAAATCAACCAATGATTTTATATTTTGTCAAACTACACTTCCTAAGTGAAGGAGAAATAAAATCCTTTTCATTCAAGCAAATGTTGGGGGAATACATTTCAACCAGATCAGCATTACAAGAGGCCCTTAAGGGAGTGCAAAACGTGGATTCGAAAGAACAATACCTGTTACCACAAAAGCACACTTCAGCACATAGCACACAGACACTGTAAAGCAACTACGTCATCAAGTCTACATAACGGCCAGCTAAGAAAATGACGAGATGATCAAAATCACATATATCAACAGTAACCTTGAATGTAAAAGGGCCAGATATCCCACTTAAAAGACACAGCATGGAAGGCTGGATTAAAAAAAAAAAACAAAACTCAATCATTTGTTGTCCTCGTGAGACCTATCTCACATGTAGAAACACGTAAAGGCTCAATGTAAAAAGGGAGAGTAATATCTGCCATGCAAATGCAAAATTAAAAGAGCAGGAGTCGCTGTTCTTATATCAGATAAAACAGACTTTAAACCAATAAAAGATAAGAAGAGTAAAGAAGGACATTACATAATGATAAAGACTACAATCCAACAAGAAGCTTCAACTATCATCCTAAATATATACATACCCAACATTAGAGCACGCAGTTTCATATAACAAGTTCTTCTTGGCCTACAAAAAGACTTATACAACCACACAATAGTAGTGAAGGACTTCAACATCCCACTGACAGCAGTAGGCATATCATCAAGGTAGGAAATGGTAAACTCTGGACTTGAACCAGTCACCTGACTAATTGACCTAATAGACATCTGCAGAACATTCATCCAACAATAAAAAAAAAAATACATTCTTCCCATCTGCACATAAAATACTTTCTAAGATTGACCACATGTTCAGTCATAAAGAAAGCCTCAATAAATTCAAAAATTTTGAAATCATACCAAGCATACTTTCAGACCACAGTGCAATAAAAATAGAAATCAAAGTCAAGAAGACCTCTCAAAACTACATGCACACCTGAAAATAAAACAACTTACTCTTGAACAGCATCAAAATTATGGCAGAAATTTAACAAAAATTAAATTAATAAAAACAGGAACACAACTTATTGAAATCTCTGGGATGCAGCCAAATCAGTGTTTGTTAAGAGCAAAATGTATAGATCTAAACGTCTTCATCAAAATGTTAGAAATGTTTCAAGTTATCAATCTAACTTTTCACATAAAGGAACTAGAAAGGAAAGAACAAACCAACCCAAAATCCAGCAGAAAATTAAAAGAAAAAACTAAAATTAGAGAATAACAGAGCCAACGACAAAAACCACATGATTATCTCAATAGATGCAGAAAAGGCCTTTGACAAAATTCAACAACCTTCATGCTAAAAACTCTCAATAAATTAGGTATTGATGGGACTTATCTCAAAATAATAAGAGCTATCTATGACAAACGCACAGCCAATATCATACTGAATGGTCAAAAACTGGAAGCATTCCCTTTGAAAACTGGAACAAGACCGGGATGCCCTCTCTCACCACTCCTATTCAACACTGTGTTGGAATTTCTGGCCAGGGCAATCAGGCAGGAGAAGGAAATAAAGGGTATTCAATTAGGAAAAGAAGAAGTCAAATTGTCCCTGTTTGCAGATGACATGATTGTATATCTAGAAAACCCCATCATCTCAGCCCAAAATCTCCTTAAGCTGATAGGCAACTTCAGCAAACTCTCAGGATACAAAATCAATGTGCAAAAATCACAAGCATTCTTATACACAAATAACAGACAAACAGAGAGCCAAAACATGAGTGAACTCCCATTCACAATCGCTTCAAAGAGAATAAAATACCTAGGAATCCAACTTACAAGGGATGTGAAGGACCCCTTCAAGGAGAACTACAAACCACTGCTCAGTGAAATAAAAGAGGATACAAACAAATGGAAGAACATTCCATGCTCACGGGTAGGAAAAATCAATATCGTGAAAATGGCCATACTGCCCAAGGTAATTTATAGATTCAATGCCTTCCCCATCAAGCTACCAATGACTTTCTTCACAGAATTGGAAAAAAAAAAACTACTTTAAAGTTCATATGGAACCAAAAAAGAGCCCGCATCGCCAAGTCAATCCTAAGCCAAAAGAACAAAGCTGGAGGCATCACGCTACCTGACTTCAAACTCTACTGCAAGGCTACAGTAACCAAAACAGCATGGTACTGGTACCAAAACAGAGATATAGACGAATGGAACAGAACAGAGCCCTCATAAATAATGCCACATATCTGCAACCATCTGATCTTTGACAAACCTGACAAAAACAAGCAATGGGGAAAGGAGTCCCTATTTAATAAATGGTGCTGGGAAAACTGGCTAGCCATATGTAGAAAGCTGAAACTGGATCCCTTCCTTACACATTATGCAAAAATTAATTCAAGATGGATTAAAGACATAAATGTTAGACCTGAAACCATAAAAACCCTAGAAGTAAACCTAGGCAACACCATTCAGGACATAGGCATGGGCAAGGACTTCATGTCTAAAACAGCAAAAGCAATGGCAACGAAAGCCAAAATTGACAAATGGGATCTAATGAAACTAAAGAGCTTCTGCACAGCAAAAGAAACCACCATCAGAGTGAACAGGCAACCCACAGAATGGGAGAAAAGTTTTGCAATCTACTCATCTGACAAAGGGCTGATATCCAGAATCTACAATGAACTCAAACAAATTTACAAGAAAAAAACAAACAACCCCATCAAAAAGTGGGCGAAGGATATGAACAGACACTTCTCAAAAGAAGACATTTATGCAGCCAAAAGACACATGAAAAAATGCTCATCATCACTGGCCATCAGAGAAATGCAAATCAAAACCACAATGAGATACCATCTCACACCAGTTAGAATGGCGATCATTAAAAAGTCAGGAAACAACAGGTGCTGGAGAGGATGTGGAGAAATAGGAACACTTTTACACTGTTGGTGGGACTGTAAACTAGTTCAACCATGGTGGAAGACAGTGTGGCGATTCCTCAGGGATCTAGAACTAGAAATACCATTTGACCCAGCAATGCCATTACTGGGTATATACCCAAAGGATTATAAATCATGCTGCCATAAAGACACATGCACACGTATGTTTATTGCGGCCCTATTCACAACAGCAAAGACTTGGAACCAACCCAAATGTCCAACAATGATAGACTGGATTAAGAAAATGTGGCACATATACACCACACCGTGGAACACTATGCAGCCATAAAAAATGATGAGTTCCTTTCCTTTGTAGGGACATGGATGAAGCTGGAAACCATCATTCTCAGCAAACTATTGCAAGGACAAACTGCCACATGTTCTCACTCATAGGTGGGAATTGAACAGTGAGAACACATGGACACCCGAAGGGGAACATCACACACCAGAGCCTGTTGTGGGGAGGGGGGAGGGTGGAGGGACAGCATTAGGAGATATGCCTAATGTTAAATGACGAGTTAATGGGTGCAGCACACCAACATGGCACATGTATACGTATGTAACTAACCTGCACGTTGTGCACATGTACCCTAAAACTTAAAGTATAATAAAAAAAATAAAAAAGAATAACTTAATAAATTTGAATTGCAAAAATCTATACAAACTATCAGTGAAACCAAGAATTGGATCTTCAGAAAAATAGATACGATTGATAGACCCTTTCTTAGGTTAACAAAGAAAAAGAGGGATACCAGACATGCGAAGAAGAACTGGTACTAACCCTGCTGAAACTATCTCAAAAATTTGAGAAAGAAGGGCTCCTTTTTAACTTATTCTATGAAATGAGCATCAGACCTGTATCATAATCTGACAGAGACACGCACACACACAAAAGAAATCTCAGACCAATATTCATTGTGAACATAGATGTAAAAATGCTCAACAAAATAATACCAAACCAAATCCAGCAGCAGAGCAACACCTCAAAAAGTTAGTACACCATAATCAAGTAAGCATTATTCCTGGGATGAAAGGATGATTCAACTTATGCAAATTATAAATGTGCTTTAGCACATAAACAGAATTTAAAGCAAAGACAATGTGATCATTGAAATAGATGCAGTAAAAGCTTTCAATAAAATTCAATATCTGTTCATGATAAAAAAAAAAAACCTCAACAGACTAGGCATCAAGGGAATATACCTCAAAATAATAAAAGCTGTCTCTGACAAACCCATAGCCAACATTATATGAGTGAGAAAAGGCTGGAACAATTCTCCTTGAGAAGTGGAACAAGACAAAGATATCTACTCACACTACTCCTATTCAGTACTGGAAGCCCTAGCCAGAGCAATCAGAAAAGAGAAAGAAATAAAAGGCATCCAAATAGGAAAAGAAAAAGTCCAACCATCTCTCTTCCCTGACAATATGATTCCATACGTAGAAAATCCTAAAGGCTATGCCAAAAGGTTCCTAGAACTGATCAGCTACTTCTGTAAAGATTCAGGATACAAAACCAATGTACAAAAATATCAGTAGCATTTTTACCAACAACACGTAGGCTGAGAGTGAAATCAAAAACGGAAGTTCCCTTATAGTAGGCTCAGAGAAAACAGAGTACCTAGGAATACAGTTAACCAAGAAGGTGAAAGATTACCATAAGAATAACTACAAAACACTATTTTAAAAAATCAGAGATGACAGAAACAAAACAAAACAAAAATATATGCTCATGGACTGGAAGAATCAATATCATTAAAATGTCAACATGACACAGAGTAATTTACAAATTCAATGCTATTTCTATCAAATGACCAATGTCATTCTCCACAGAATTAGAAAAACTTTTTCTAACATTCAGACAGAACCAAAAAAGACCTTAAATAGCCAAAGACATCTTAAGCAAAAGAACAAAGCCGGATGCATCACACTACCTGACCTCAAATGATACTACAAAGTTACAGTAATGTAAACAGCATGGTTCTGGTACAAAATCAGACACATAGACTAATGGAAAGAAAAGAACAGAAAATTTAGAAATAAAATGAAACACCTACTGCCGTGTGATCTTCAAGAAGGATGATAAAAACAAGCAATGGGAAAACGACTCTTTATTCAGGAAATGGTGCTGAGATAACTGACTAGCCACAGGCAGGTAAAGCTGGACCCTTGCTTTTCACCATATACAAAAGTTAACTCAAGATGAGTTAAAGATTTAAATGTAGGACCTCAAACTACAGAAGTCCTAGGAGACAACCCAGGCAATACTCTTCTTGACATTGGCTTTGGCAAAGAATTTTTGGCCAAGTCCCCAAAAGCAGTTGCAACAATAACAGAAACAGATATATGAGACCTAATTAAAATAAAGAGCTTATACACAGCAAAAGAAACTATCAACACAGTAAACAGACAACATACAGAATGGGAGAAAACATCCACAAACTATGCATTCTACGATGGCCTAATATCTAGAATCTATAGAGAACTTTAAAAAAATCATTAAGAAGAAACAAATAACTCCATTAAAAATTGGCAATGACAGCGACACTATTCACAATAGCAAAGACTTGGAACCAACCCAAATGTCCATCAATGATAGACTGGATTAAGAAAATGTGGCACATATACACCATGGAATTCTATGCAGCCATAAAAAAGGATGAGTTCATGTCCTTTGTAGGGACATGGATGAAGCTGGAAACCATCATTCTCAGCAAACTATCACAAGGACAGAAAACTAAACACCACATGTTCTCACTCATAGGTGGGAATTGAACAATGAGAACACTTGGACACAGGAAGGGGAACATCACACACCGGGGCCTGTTGTGGGGTGGGGGGAGGGGAGAGGGATAGCATTAGGAGATATACCTAATGTAAATAACGAGTTAATGGGTGCAGCACACCAACATGGCATATGTATACATATGTAACAAACCTCCACGTTGTGCACGTGTACCCTAGAACTTAAAGTATAATAAAAAAAAATTGGCAATGACATTGAACAGACACTTCTCAGAAGAAGACATATAAGCAACAAAAACTCATGGAAAATGCTCAGCATCACTAATCATCAGAGAAATGCAAATGAAAACCAAATTGAGACAACATCTCACACGAGTCTGAATGGGTATTAAAAAGTCAAAAAACAATAGATGCTGGTGAGGCTGCAGAGAAAAGGGAACACTTATGCATTCCTGGTGGAAATGTAAGTTAGTAGAGCCACTGTGGAAAACACTCTGGAGATTTCTCAAACATCTCAATACGGAGTTACCCTTTGATGCAGCAGTTCAATTACTGGCTATGTACCCAAAGGAAAATAAATCATTCTACCAGAAAGGCATATGCACTCTTATGTTCATTGCTGTGCTATTCACAGTAGCAAAGACATGGAATCAACCCAGATGACAATCAACGGTAGATTGGATAAGGAAAATGTGGTACATATATATACCATGGAATACTATGCAGCCATAAAAATGTAATAAAATCTTTTTTCTTTTTCTTTTTAGCAGCAACATGGATGCAGGGGGAGGCCATAATCATAAGGGAGTTAACACAAGAAGAAACAACAAAATTCCACATGTTTTCATGGATAAGTGGGAGCTTAACACTGAGCATGGGAACATGAACATGAACACGAGAAATATAGACACTGTGGACTCCTAGAGGTAGGTGGTAGGGAATGGAATGTTGGTTGAAAAACTACTTATTGAACGTTAGGCTCACTACCTGGGTCCAAAATTGCCATGTAACAATCCTACACATGTAACCCCTGTATCTCCCTGTATCTTAAACAAAAGTTGAAATTCGGAAAAGAAACTGCCTTCACGGTATCCCTTATGTGTTGCTATATCGTGTTTTCAGTTTCATTTGTCTCAAGATATTTCATGATTTCCCTTTTTTGATCCATTGCTTATTCATGTGTGTGTTGTTTTGTTTCCACATATTTGTGTATTTTCCAATTGTCCTGTTGTTATTAATTTCTAGATCCATCTTATTCTGATTGAAAAAGAGGTTTGCTATTATTTCAATCTTCTTAAATTTGTTAAGACTTGGTTTGTGGTGTAACATGTAACTTGTCCTGGAGAATGTTCCAGGTGTGCTTGAAAAGGATGTCTATTCTGCAAAATGGATATGCAAAAATGGCTAGCATTCCTATACACCAACAATAGGCAAGCAGGGAGCCAAATCATGATTGAACTCCCATTCACAATTTCTACACAAAGACGGAAATACCTAGAAACACAGCTAACAAGGGAAATGAAGGACCTCTTTAAGGAGAACCACAAACCACTTCTCAAAGGAATCAGAGAGAACACAAAAAAAATAGAAAAGCATTCCATGCTCATGGCCAGGAAGAATCAATATCATAAAAACGGCCATACTGCCCAAAGTAATTTCTAGATTCAATGCTATTTCCATTAAACTACCATTGACAGACTTCACAGAAATAGAGAAAAAAAAAAAAAAAACGACTTTAAAATTCATAGGGAACCAAAAAAGAGCCCGAATAGCCAAGACAATCCTAAGCAAAAAGACCAAAGCTGCTACCTGACTTTAAACTATACTACAAGACTGCAGTAAACAAAACCACATGGTACTGGTACAAGGACAGACACACAGACCAATGGAACAGAATAGAGAATGCAGAAATAAGACCACACACCTACAACCAACTGATCTTCGACAAACCTGACAAAAATTAGCAATGGGGAAAGAATTCCTTATTTAATAAATGATGCTGAAAGAACTGGCTAGCCATAGGCAGAAAACTGAAACTGGACCCCTTCCCCACACCATATGCAAAAATTAACTCAAGACGGATTAAAGACTTAAACGTAAAACCCAGAACTATAAAAACCCTAGAAGAAAATCTAGATAATACCATCCAGGACATAGGCATGGGCAAAGATTTAATGATGAAAACACCCAAAGCAATTGCAACAAAAGCAAAAACTGACAAATGGGATCTAAATAAACTAAAGAGCTTCTGCACAGCAAAAGAAACTATCATCAGAGTGAACAGACAACCTACAGGATGGGAGAAATGCTTTTTCAATCTATCCATCTAGCAACGGTCTAACATCCAGAGTCTGCAAGGAACGTAAGCAAATTTACAAGAAAAGATATAACCATTAAAACGTGGGCAAAGGACATGAACAGACACTTCTCAAAAGAAGACATACATGCAGCCAACAAACATATGAAAAAATGCTGAACATCACTGATCATCAGAGAAATGCAAATAAAAACCACAATGAGATAGCACGTCACACCAGTCAGAATGGCTATTATTAAAAAGTCAAGAAACAACAGATGCTGTCAAGGTTGCAGAGAAAAAGGAACGCTTTTACACTGTTGGTAGGAGCGTAAAGTAGTTCAACCATCGTGGAAGACAGCATGGCGATTCCTCAAAAGACCTCCAGGGAGAAATACCATTTGACCCAGCAATCCCATTACTGAGTATATACCCAAAGGAATATAAATAATTTTATTATAAAGATACATGCAATGTGTGAGTTCATTACAGCTCTATTCAAAATAGCAAAGATATGGAATCTACCTAAATGCCCATCCGTGGTAGACTGGAGAAAGAAAATGTGGTACATATACACCATGGGATACTATGCAGCCATAAAAAGGAACAAGATCATGTCCTTTGCAAGGACATGGGTGGAGCTGGAAGCAATTAGGCTCAGCAAACTAATGCAGAAACAGAAAACCAAACAACGCATGTTCTCACTTACAAGGGGGAGCTGAATGATGAGAACACATTTACACATGGAGGGAACAACACACACTGTGGCCTGTCAGGACGGTGGGGTCAGGGAGAGCATCAGGAAGAATAGCTAATGGACACTGGGCTTAATACCTAGGTTATGAGGTGATCGGTGCAGCAAACCACCACGGCACACGTTTACCTACGTAACAAACCTGCACATCCTGCACACGTGAACTTAAAATAAAAGTTGAAGACAAAAACAAAAAAAAAGAAGAAGAAGAAGAAAAGAGTGTGTATTCTGGGACTGTTGGTTGCAGTGTTCTGCGTATATCTAAGTTCATCTGTTTATAATGTTGTTCAAGTTTGTTATTTCCTCATCAATTTTCTGTATGCATGTCCTATGCATTGTTAAAAGTGCAGTATTAAAATCTCCTATGATTATTAAATTGCTGTATATTTTTACCTCTCAGTTATTCACTGTATGCTTTATATATTTATGTTCTCTGATGTTTGGTATGTATGTGTTTATAATTATTATATCTCGTTGGTGAGTAGGTTCTTTAATTTTATACCATATACATAAATCAACTTAAAATAGATTAAAGATTTAAGTATAAGACCTGAAACTGTTCAACTCTTAAACAAGAGTATAGATAAAAACTCGCTGACATTAACCTGGGCAATGATTTTTTTGATATGTCACTAAAATCAAAGGCAACAAAAGCAAAAAGATACAAGTGGTATTACATCAAACTGGAGAGCCTCTACACAGCAGAGAAAACAATCAACAAAATAAAATACAGCCTATTGAAAGGGAGAAATGTTTATAAATGCTATATCTGTTACTGCGTTAGTATAAAAATATATAACAAATTCCTGCAACTCAATAGCACAAATCAAACAACACAATTTAAAAAATCATCAAAGGACTTGAATAGACACTTCTCCAATGAATACATACAAGCAGCCAACAAGTATATGAAAAGGTGTTCCACATCACTAACCTGAGAAATGCAAATCAAACCATGGTGAGATGTCACTTCACACTAGTTAGGATGGCTACTATGAAAAAGACGGGAGATAACAAGTTACGAAGAAAATGTTAAATAATGGGACCCCTTGTACTCTGTTGGTGGGAATGTAAAATGGTGCAGCTGCTATGGAAAATAGTATGGAGGTTCTGCAAAAGATTAAAAATAGGACTACTATATGACCCAGCAATTCCACTGCTGTGCATATACCCCGCAAAATAGAAATCAAAATCCTGAAGAGAAATTTGTACTCCCATGTTCATTACAACATCATTCACGGTAGCCAACATATAGAAACAATCCAAGTAGCCATTGACTGATGAATAGTGAAACAAATGTGGTATATACAAAATAGAATGTTATTCAGACTTCACAAAGGAGAGTATCATGCCGTAAACAACAACATAGATAATCATAAAGGATATTATGCTAAGGGAAATAAGCCAGTTAGAGAAAGATAAACACTGCATGACTGTCCTTGTATATCTGAAATATTAAAAATTAAAGAAGCAGAGAATAGAATGGTGATTTCAAGGGGCTAGTGGCATTAAAAATGGGAGGTTGTTGTTTACCAGGTTTAAAATTTTTGTTATGCAGGATAAATAACTCCTAGAGATTTGCTGTACAACCCAGTAACAGTAGTTACCAGTATTGTATTGTACAATTAAAAATTTGTTAAATGGAACTTCTTATGTTAAGTGGACTTACCACAATAAGAATATATGGTACAAATATTGAGCTCCGTGTAATAGATTTGTTCTGTATAGATTTATGGGTTAGAAATTTCAAAATTATTTAATGTGTATTGAAATTGTATTTTGTTGATAATTGAAACCAAATTTTCTATTCTTAGAGAAGTGAATTACAAATGTGGTAAAGGAAATGCGAAAATGAGCCCGGTGGTGTTGGACTAGAATTATAGATGTTAGTATGAACAAACAAACATGTAGCTTATGTTCTATCTCTATCTCTATCTATCATCTATCTATCTATATCTATCTATCTATCTATCTATCTATCTATCTATCTATCTATCTATCAATCTATCATCTATAGATATTATGCACACGCTTCTATGTGTTTTTGTGTGTATGTGTGTAAAAATTATCTAATTTTTATTTCTGTATCTATATTTCTCTATCTATACATTATTATATATAATCTTCTATGTTTGCATTCTTGCCCCCTGAGAGGAGTAAGTAGAAGCATGGACACCTCAACAGCAATAAGCACATCTAGCACAAAGATCTTGGCTTCCATTTACTGTTATCTACTCAATGGAACCAGAGCTCCTTGGAGAAATGGCTAACTCTATGTTTAGTACAGAGAAAATACAAGATGAACCAGACATATATTTTTGTGCCATTAATTAAGGAAGTTTCAAAGACTGATAAGTACACACAAAGAACACGGAAGACAGTTTGAACAGGATTTCCCTTACCAAATCAGGGACATATCCGTGTATTCATACTTAGATAGATAAATGAATAAATAAGTACTGGAAACATCAAAGGTCATTTTTACAATATAATTGCAAGTAAATGTAGAAGAAAATGTTGATATGAAAAAAAATCACAAGTTGGCCACCACCATAAAGCTATTTATTTCTGATGAAAATCATCAATAAATACTAGAATTATTGGGTGAAAGTATGGTGAGACTAGAGATATTTACATATTCTCACATTATATCTCCCTAAAAGTATTTATTAATTACAAAGGAAAACACAGTAACTTGGCAGTGGACAAATCTAGCAGATATCACCTTAGCCAAGCGATCAAATTTAATATCAAGATTTAATGGTGCAAATAGTTATTCTTTGCTTCCTGTTATGACGTACTGAGAATAACATAGTAACAATGGTGTGCTAATCCTTCCTAAACTGTACAATATCGAGTGAATTAATAGGAAAAAAACCAGCAAAAAGCACAAATTGAAGGACAGTCTACAAAATACTGGCCTTTATATTTTAAGTATTAAAGTAATAAAAAACAAATGTTAAACAACCAATCCACATCAAGAGAGACTAAAGAGACATTACAACTAAATGTGGTACCTGATAATGTATCAGATCCTGGACCAGAAAAAGGAATATATTTATTTGGCTTTAAATGACATTAGTGGGATAGATGGTGAAATTCAAATGAGGATTTTAGATTATCAGGGTAGGAGTACTTCTTCTTAAATTGCCAGAGAGTAAATATTTTAGACTTTCTGGGTCATGGGATCACTGTTGAAACCACTGAACTCTGTCCTTGTAAAACAAAAACAGCTGTAGACAAGAGGTAAGCCAGTAGGCTTGGCATTGCTCCAACACAATTTTATTTACAAAAACAGGCAGTTGTCCCACGGGTTTTAGTTTACTAACACCTAAATTAGATAACAGGACTACATTAATGTTAGCATACTCATTTTCAAAATTCTTATCCTGAGAGTGTGCATATCTTGCTTTTAAGATTATATATTAATGGTAAGAATATATGCACATATATATGTGTGAGTGTATTTCTGAAATATACATATATACATAACAAAACAGATGTACTATGTTATGTTTTAAAATGTAATGTATTAATAGAAAATTTCAGGTATAGTGAGTAAGTCGAACATACAAGGAGATGATTGCCATTAATAAGATAGTTTACTAGCTACAGTTCCCACAAGGAAGGGGCACACCGTGCCACGGGAGGCCAAATAAAAAAGCACTAGGGTCTGCCAGAAGGTAGAGGAAGAGGAGAGAATTGTGGTCAAGAACCTCTGTTGTTGTTCTTATGGGAAGAAATTGGTGAGCCTATTTAAGCTGGTTTACAAGTGTCTGGTTTTAATAATTTCAAGAATACCTTGCATTGGCAGTGATTAAGGCAGAGGGATAGTGGCCCAGAGATAAAAGACCAAAAAAGGAAGTGGTTAACCGTGTATCCTCTGTATTGATTGACTTGTATTTGAAAAGCACACTGTCAGATTAGTTATTTTCTTGCTCTAGGAAATGGCTAACCCTGGGATGAGCAGTCCCTCCAGGGTCAGCAGGGCCCCAGATCTCAATACATCAGAAAAGAGAAAATTAAAAAATATATATATTTTATATATATATGTATATATATATGTATATGTGTATATATATACATATATATACATATATATACATATATATGTATATACATATATATATACATATATATACATATATATGTATATACATATATATACATATATATACATATATATGTATATACATATATATACATATATATGTATATACATATATATACATAGATATGCATATATATACCCACATATATATGCATATATATATATACACACACACACACACATATATATATATATATATATATATATGCTTAATACAAGTAGCCCTATGTTGCTTTGACATAATATTATGGAACATTTGAAATGACAACAGGGGAGAAATTTAGTGAATAGTGCATACGTTTCTCTAAACAACGCAGAAAACATTTTATTATGAGAGTAAAAATGAGAAACTCAAGACAAAGTATAAAGAGTCTTAGGCTAGCTCATAGATAAGATTATTGTTTATATGGCATTAGCCAAGAAAATTGATCTAAATTTTTTGAAACAAAAGGGGGTTTCAAGATGACTGACTAGAAATATTTTATGCCTACCTCTTTCACTTGGATGAACCAGAGTAGTGCATAGACAGTAACACTTCCTAGAGAAAATGCTGGAATTCAACATAGAAGTGACAGGGGGCACTAAAAACAGGAAAGGAGAAGGAGGAGAGGCAGCCTCCCTGGCCAGGATTGGCCAAGAGCCAGTACTGACTCCCCAGTGCAGGGGAGGGATGAGTAAGAGACTGCCAGTGTCCCATGACCCCACCATAGAAGTGTGCAATCCTGGCCACTTGAAAAATGCTTAACCTTCTCGAACCTGGAAACTAACAGAGAAAGTTGCCAGGAGACTGTGGGGACAGAACTGCTCCAGGGAGGGAGTTCATGCTGACACCCTTTCTGAGATCTAAGTTGATAGAAAGGTGCCATTTTCAAAACTAGCCTCCAGCAAACTGCATGCTTTTCTGAGACCCAGAGGCACCAGGACTAGACGTTCCGGAAACTCAGGCTGCCACAGCTGGGACTGGGCAGGGAGCTAGCACTACCCCTTTAGCTGGGGCTAAGAAGTGCATGAGGCCTGGATGGTAGCAGCCAGTGCCATAAAATGAGTATTGCACTGCCAGGACCTAAAATGAAGTCATGAAGAGGGCATGAGTTGCCACTGGGACTTGATCATGAGCTGAGTGTGGGCTCCTGCAGTCTGGGCAAGAAGTTGAGTCTCACTGGGACTGAGCTGTGAAGGGGAGAACATGCATTCTCCACACCATGGCCCAGGCTGTGACTACCGAGGGTAGCCCATCATCTCTGGGCATTATCCCCAACACAGAGGCCACCACCCTCACCCAATGACTCTCCCTGGGGCATGAGAAATACCCTTACCCCCTGCCCACCGTGGCTGGTGAGTACTCTCAAAATAGGGGGCCTGAGCACAAGACTGTCCAGCCGAGTTTGCTCCCCATTCCAAGACAGATCACATAATCTAGAGACCTGAGTATTGCACAAGCCAAACCACCACCTTGGGCACGTGAGCATTCCTCCAAGGGTCCTGAGATTGGGCGTAAACTTCACGCTGCTACCACCTCACCTGGAAACTATCTGTAAGAACCACCCGCGGGCCTGGAGACTTGCCCACCCAGAACATTGCAGCCAGTGCCAACATCAATGCACACCACGTGAGACCCAGAGAATCTTCCTGCCATTGCTACTCCCATTCCCCATGCAACACCAGTTGCCCATAGGACGGAGAACTCACCCAACAATCTCGTCCACCACTGCCACGACAGGAATCCTAGCAAGCCATCTGGAGCTCCAAAAATCAACCCATTAGTAACTGCCAGCACAGGTGCCAGTGTGCACCACCCTGGGGCACAAGATAGGCATGCTAAGCCCACCACTGTCTACACTGGGGCCGGAAGACTGGCCCAACTGGCATTCAAGTCCCCAGCACAATACCATCACAGCCTCCATAAACAAACGTGCCCTAACCCACTGAGGAAATCACAGATACCACTAATGCTGTTTACGGCCAAATTGATCATAAAGAGACTACACTACTGTATGCCCCCAGGAGCAAAGCCAAAGTAGCCAATCCAGCCAAAAACCATAGATGCATCTTCAAAAATTCCTCCTCATCAAAAGTAAATTAAAAAAATAGAAAGGAGTGACTGTTACACCAGATGTACAGATGTCAATGGAAGGCCACAGAAAACATGAAAAAGCAAGAAAACATGGCATATTTAATAAACACAATAATGCTCCAGGGAAGGATTTTGATTAAAAAAGAATTTTTTGAACCCCAAAGTCAAGAAGTCAAAATATTAATTTTGAAGAAGTTCGGTGAGAGTCAAGAGAATTCTGAAAATAATATGAAGAAATCAAAAAAACCAATTTAGTATATGAATGAGAAACTTATAAAGAGAAAGGTATTTTTTAAGACCCTAATAAAAATTCTGAAACTGAATAACTCATTGAAGAAAAGACAAAATACATTTAAAAGCTTCAAGAGGCCGGGCGCGGTGGCTCACGCCTGTAATCCCAGCACTTTGGGAGGCCGAGGCTGGCAGATCACCTGAGGTCGGGAGTTCGAGACCAGCCTGAACAACATGGAGAAACCCCATCCCTACTAAAAATACAAAATTAGCCAGGCGTGGTGGCACATGCCTCTAATCCCAGCTACTCGGGAGGCTGAGGCAGGAGAATCGCTTGAACCCGGGAGGCGGAGGTTGCAGTGAGCCGGGATCGCACCATTGCACTCCAGCCTGGGCAACAGGAGCGAAACTCTGTCTCGAAAAATGAATGAATGAATGAATGAATGAATAAATAAATAAATAAAAAAGCTTCAAGAATAGACTAGATCAAGTAGAAAGAAGAATCACACAACTTGAAGACAGGTATTATAAAATATTCCAGTCAGGCAAACATTTTAAAAAGAATTAAAATGAATGGTCAAACCCTTGGTGACATTTAGGAAAACATACAGTGACCGAGTTTATAAAGTATTGGTATCCCTGAAGGTAAAAATCAAAGAAAGGATTAGAAAATCTACTAACAAAACAATAGATGAAAACTTTTCAAGTCTAGCAAGAGATTAGAGATTCAGATACAGGAGTCTTAATGATCCTTAGGTGGATACAATGCAAAACTATACACAGCCCATTATAATCAGACTGTCTCAAGTCATAGTTAAAGAGGAAATTCTAGTCTCCTATAAAGCAAGAGAATGACTCATTGAAGAAAATATAGAGATGTACAGACATCAATGGAAGGACACAGGAAACATGAAAAAGCAAGGGAAAAGCATCTAGTCCTCTATAAAGAAAATTTCAAAAAAATAAAGAGAAGAAAAATAAGCAGAAAATTTCTAAGCAGAAACCTCATAGACCAAGACAGAATAGGATAATATATCCAAAGTGCTGAAATAAAAAATAATCTCCCACTAAAGAATATGACACCCAAGAAAATTATCCTTCACAGATGAAGGATAAAGTCACTCCCACACAAAGAAATGCTGAGGGAATTAAGTACCATTAGACCAGCCCTAGAAAAAAGTGCTCAAGGGAGTCCTAAGCCTGGAGGTGAAAGCACAACATTTACCATTATAAAAACACAGGAAAGTACAAAACTCATTGGTAAAACTATCACACAAAAGAGAAAAGGCCCAAATCATACCACTGCCAAACTTCACCAATTCACAATGACAAACTATAAGAGAAAAAAGAAACAAATAATAGATAAGACAACCAGAAAGCAATGAATAATATAACAGAAATAAAGACTAACATATCAATAATAACCTTGAACGCAAATGGCTTAAATTATTTTCTTAAAAGATATAGCTTGGATAAATGGATAAAAACAAACATAATCTAACTACATGTTGGTTACGAGAAACTTACCTTACCAGTAAAGACACATCTAGGATGAAAGTAAAGAAATGGAAAAAAGATTCCACATAAAAGAAAACCAAAAGTAAGCAGTAGTGGCTATACTCATATCAGATAAAACACACTTTAAGTCAAGAACAATAAGAAACAGATGGTCATTATATAATAATAAAGAAATCAATCCAGCAAGAGTATACAAAAATTCTAAATATACATGTACCCAACACTGTAGCACCCAGATTTATAAAGCAATTATTACTAGACCCAAGGAGAGAGATGACTAAATTATAATAACAGCAGGGGACTTTGACACCCCATTCTCGGCATTAGACGGATCATCTAGACAGAAAATCAAAAAAGAAACATTAGATTTAAAGGGAATGTTAGACCAAGTAGACCTGAAAGACATTTACACAACATTCTATCCAACAACTGCAGAGCATACATTCTGTTTTTTTTTTTTTTCCTTTTTCTTTTTTCTTTTTTTTTTTTTCTTTTTTTTACCAAGTTTTCGCTCTTGTCCCCCAGGCTGGAGTACAATGGCGTGATCTTGGCTCACTGCAATCTCTGCCTTCAGGTCCAAGCGATTCTCTTGCCTCAGCCTCCCACGTAGCTGAGATTACAAGCACCCACCACCACGCCCGGCTAATTCTTGTATTTTTAGTAGAGACGGAGTTTCACCATGTTGGCGAGGCTGGTCTCAGACTCCTGACCTCGGGTGATCCACCTGGCTCGGCCTCCCAAAGCGCTGGGATTACAGGCATGAGCGACCGTGCCCGGCCCATACATTCTTTTTATCAGCACACAGAACATTCTTTATGATAGACCACATGTGAGGCCACCAAAAGAGTATGAACAATGTTTTAAATCATAGCAAGTGTATTTTAAGGTAACCATGAAACAAAACTAGAAATCAATACCCAGAGAAACCCTGGAGACTATACAAATACGTGAAAATTAAACAAGATGCTCCTAAATGACTGTTGGGTAGATAAAAACATTAAGATGGAAACAAGGAAGTTTAAGATGGCTGACTAGAGATGACAGATGCAAGTTCTCCCTAGAAAGAAGAACCTAAATTATGAATAGATAATCATACCTCTAATAGAATATCAAAGAGAGAATACTAGAATTCAAAATATAATTTATGAAAAACAAAACCCTAAGCCACAGAAGAAAAAAAAAAAGAAAGAAAAGGAAAGAAAAGAAAAGAAAAGAAAGCTAGAGGCCAATGCAGCTGACATTGGTTAGGAGTCCAGAGGAACTCAGTGTTCAGGGAAAGGGTAAGTTGAAGTATTTTGATAGTCCTCATTCTTGCTGTGAACTGCCAAGATCCTTACAGTGGGAAAGCTCCTCTGTCCTCCCAAATCCTGAAAATAGCATGGACCGCAATTTGGAGACCCCTGAGGGCAGTGCACTGGACTGTGGATTCACACTGGGTTATTATTTACCATTTCCCCAGACCCAAGCAGGTGCTATGCTGTGCTACTGTTGAAGGTGCATCCGTAAGGGAACTGTATCCTCTTCTGGGAACCACAGTCCTTGTGTATCCAAAACCCAGGAGCTCCTGCTCACATTCTCCAGTCCTGCTCAAAGGGCTGCAGTGGCAGAGTGCTGGCTGGACCCAAAGGAGCTGCAGGGTCCCCAGTAACCTAACCTTCAGGGAATGCTACTCCTAGGAGAAATAAGAGTGCAGTACACCAAAAAGGCAACCCCTGAGAGAAAGGAAACCAAAGTGCATGCTTTCCAGGGCCCAAAAGCTTCCTGACTGGGGCTGTGAAAAGTGACTTCATTTTTAGCAGTGGCACAAAATTTGTGCTTGGCTCTCCAAGCAAACAGTGAAATCCCCTTTCATCAGATGAGCAGCCTTAGTGTCATAACCAGGCCTAGAGGAGACCCTTCTTCCCCATGCACACTGTTGAAACCACAAGCACTGCTGCTGTCCCAGGAGGCTGGGGCAGATGTACTGTATGGCATTCCATCTGGGGCTGTGAGGGGCAACTGTGACCCCAATGGCCAGGCTTGTGTAAACAGTGGGTTCCCGCCCTCTCTCTGTGCAGAGATGCAGTACTGCTGCTACAGAGAGCAGGAGAGCCCAAGAGCTGTGTTTGGAGCCATGGAGGGAGACTTCACACTACATCCACTTCCAGCCACCACAGGGGTTTAGTGTGGAGCGGCTGGGCTGATTTCTCCTGTGTTCGCGGGCTACATTGGTGCTTAAAAGCAAACTGTAGTTCCTAACCTATATGAGTACCCCAAATTCTAAGACGGGCGTGAGGGGAAGGCTGATCCCTTTCCTTCCTGCCATGACTATGGCACTGGCACCTCTCCTACCTCCCCATACAGACACCTCAGTGATTGCTCATTGCTCAAGCATTTTACCAGGAGGCCGAAGACTCCCTTGCCACCCCTGTCAAAGCTGTTGCTTGTGCCTGTCATTGGAAAGACTTAGTGCAGGCTTTCTCATTCTGGCATCACTCAGCTTTGCCAATCCCCTCCATGACAGCGGGTGAAACCCAGGCTCTTGTTTGCTCCAGGGCCCAACTGACCAACTGGGACATGGGTGCACTTCTCAGGGCTTACAAAGGTCAAGCATAAAGCATACCACCTCCACTGAAGTTGGCTTTTACCTGCAAGTGACACCTGCTGGTCTGAAGGTCAACTTGCACATCCCATCACCACATCAGCTGACACCTGCGCACAGCACTTAGGAACAAGACGAGCTTCTCGCAACCTCTGCTACCATGATTGCTCATGCAATCCAAGCTACCCAAGAGGGCATGAGCCTGCTCACCATCCTGGTACACCACTATTACAACTGGCATTTGAGAAAACTCCACACTAAAACTATTTATAACCATGGAAAACATAGTGTCTTTGCCACTGAATGCACACAGAAACAAAGCCAAACAGACTTGTTCAGCATACATCATAGTCGCATCCTCAAAAGAAAACAACAACAACAACCACAACAACAACAAAAAACAGGTCCTACCACAACAAAAGTAAATTAAAAAATAAGATGTAACTGTTTATTCAGATGTGAATAAATCAGTGTAATAACAGGGGAGGGTGGATTTTCAAGATGGCTGACTGGGAACATTGAATGCCAGTTTTCCCCAGTAAGAAGACTACAGGTGCTGGAAAATGGACATGATCTGTATGAAAAACTGATGGAAGAGAGCCAGGACCTGTTGGAGCGCACATGGGCAGAAGCTGGAATACAGAAAAATAGAGCAGCAAGAGTTTGGCAGGGAATGACCCTTGAGGAACTTGGAGCCCCACGGAAAGAACGGGTGGGAGTGCTTGTCTAATCTCATCACCCCTTCAGCAACCTGCTGAATGCCAAACTGTTGGGAAGCCCCTCTGCCCTTGTGACCAAGGACAATTCTGTTTTGGGTGACTTGAGAACTTCCCAGGGACAGAAAACTGGATGGCCAGCTGGCACAGGTGTGCTTGCTCTTCCTTCAGGCCTTAAACGAGATGAAGGGCACCATATTGGTTGTGCACCCATGGTAGGCCACTTCCCTTCCTGGGAAATCTCTGCTCTTGATTCACCACACCACCAGATTTCCCACAAACACACCCCACAACCTTCTCTGGCTGGCCAGTCCCCAGGAAGCTGTGTGACCCCTGACAATCTATCCTGTGGAGTGAGCAGCCCCTGAGAGAAGGGGGACAGGGTCCATCATAGCCCACCTTGGGACAAAGGAAGTATGGGCATGGTGTCAATTACTGAAGGGGCATCACCAGCTGCCAGGAACCGTCATAGAGAGAAGGTCATCTTCCAATTCCCTGTCTACTGTTGTGGGTGCAGCACAGGTTCTCCCCACTAGGGGCCAGCATGTATGCACCAGGAGAAAGCACTTCTCATACTTTTAATAGCAGCTTCATTCTTGTTGGAAGGGAGCCTCTGCTGCTTGCACTTGCAAGAAGGTGGGGCCCAACTGCCCCTCACTACACAGAACTACAGCTTCCCAGCAACAGAGGCCAGACAAGCTGCAGAGCTGCCTGCTCAGGACTGGTGAGAGAGGCTCTGCCCTGAGCCCATTTTGGTGGCAGCTGCCACAGAAGCATGTCCTTCAGTCCACAGCCACACTGAGGCCAAGAATCAAAGGACAAAGTTTATACAAGTTGAAGGTCATGAGCCCTGTGACCGGGGTGTGATAGGAAAGCAGATAGCATTCCTTCCTTCTATTGATGAGAAGCTGGTGCACATCCCTTCCCCTAAGACTTCTGTACACCCCCACATGATCTCCCCCCACCACCACACTATCAGGACAGAAGCTTCCAGTCATCATCAGCCTACCTGAGGGTGAGTTAGCTTTTACTTTTAAGTGCCACCTAGCGGACTAGAGCCTAAACTGCACCACCAAATTAAAAGCTTGCTGTCAGAAGGGCTTAGTGCTAGTGCACGAGGCTTCCTGGGACCTCTGCACTCTCAGCCCTGCAAGAGATAATGTGTTGGCCCATATGTCTGATCTATCACGATAAGAAGTGACATCTAAGAAAACCATCCTGCAGAAGCTATACATAACCAAGAAACACACACAGACCGTTGGCCCCCTGAAAGCGCTCAGAATAAAGCCAAACTATTATACACAACATACACCAGTCATACACTCGAGGGAAAAAAGAATTAAGAAAAAAAAACAAAATTACCATCTAAATAATAGCAAATTCAAAAACAAGAAGTGGCAGTTCCCTCAGAAGAGAAGAAATTGGAACAAGAATGCTGGCAGTACCAAAAGACCGTGTCTTGACAAGTTCCAAAGGTCACGCTAGTTGTCTAATAATGAATCCTAACCAAAATGAAAAGTCTGAAATGACAGATAAAGTATTTAAAATATAGACTGCAAGAAAACTCAACAAGATCCAATAGAAAATTTAAATCCAACACAAAGAAATCAGAAAAACAACACAAAGTAAGAAAGACAAAATAGTTATATTTTTAAAAATAAAATGGAAATCCTAGAATTAAACATCTCACTATAGAAATTTCAAAATATATTCAGAATACATTTGGAAGCTTTAATAATAGACTACACACAGCAGAAAAAAATTATTTGACTTTGAAAAACGCCCTTTTGAATTAACTCAGTCAGATAAAAAAATAAAGAAAACATGTTTAAAACAATGAACAAAGTCTTCAAGTTTCAAATATGAAACTATGTAAAACGACCAAACCTATGACTTATTGGCATTACTGAGAGCAAAGGAGAAAAAGTAAGTAACTTGGAAAACACAGCTGAGGGAATAATTTAGGAAATTTTCTCTAATCTTGTTAAACAGGTTGACATCCAGATAGAAGGAACTGAAAGAACACCTGCAAGATACAATGCCAAGATGACTATCACCAAGGCATATAGTCATCAGACTTTACAAGGTCAATGTGGAAGAAAAAATCTTAAAGCAGCTAGAGAAAAAGGGTCAAATTACCTGTAAAGGGAATTCCATCGGATAAATAGTAGACTTCTCAGAGAAACCTTACAAGTAAGAAGAGATAGGGAGCCCAATTCTAGCCTTCTTAAAGGAAAAAAAAAAAGCCAGCCAATAATTTTATAACTTGACAAACTAAGCTTCATAAATGAAGGAGAAATAAAGTCTATCCTAGACAGGCAAATGCTAAGAACATTATTCAGCACCAGACTGGGATTACAAAAATGCTCCGAGGAGTTCTAAACATGGAAAGGACATTACTTGCTACCAGACAACAACACATAAGTACAAATTCACAGATCTCATAAAGCAATTACACAATTGAGAATACAAAGTGAATACTACTATGACAGGAACAGAACCTCGAATGTCAATATTAACCTTAAATGTAAATGAACTTAATGCTCTACATAAAATACATAGATTGACAAATATAATTTAAAAAAGAACACCCAACCATCTGCTTCCTTCAAGGGACCCATCTCTCATGTAACGACACCTACAGGCTCAAAGGAAAGAGATGGAGTAAGATTTACCTGCAAATGAAAAACAAGAAAGAGCAGGGGTCACTATTCTTGTGTCAGATAGAACAGAATTTAGGCCAGCAACATTAAAAAGGACAAAGAAAATCATTACTTAATAATAACGGGTTTGTTTAATACTACAAGAATAAATAACTAACTTAAATATATACGTATTCAATATTGGAGTACACAGATTTATAGAACAATTACGAATAGACCTATGAAATGATGTAGACAACCAAACAATGATAACCCCACTGACAGCAATAGATACGTCAGGGCAGAAAAGAAGCCAACAGTATTTCTAAACTTAAATTTGACATTTGACCAACTAGACCTAAAACATCTATAGAATACTCCACTCTACAATAATAGAATACACGTTTTTCTCATCTGCACAAGAAGGGTACTCATGCCTTCACCACATGCTTGGCCATAAGGCAAGTCTCAGTGAATCAAGAAAAATTGAAATCATACCAAGCATCTTATTAACCACAGTGAAATAAAAATAGAAATCAATTCCAAGAGGAACTCAAAACCATGCAAATACTTGGAAACTAAACAACTTGCTTCTGAAAGACTTTGGGGTAAATAAGGAAAGTAAACAAAAATCTAAAAATTATTTGAAATAAATGAAAATGGAGACACAACATACCATTTGCATTAGTCAGAAAAAAATAAAATACCTAGGAATACACCTAACCAAGGAGGTGAAAAATCTCTGCAAGGAGAACTAAAAAAACACTGTTGAAAGAAACCAGAGACAGCAAAAACAAATGGAAAAACCTTAAATGCACATGGATCGGAAGAATCAATATTGCTAAAATGTCCATTTTGCCCAATGCAACCTACAGAGTCGATGCTATTATTATCAAAGTTACCAAGGTCATTTTTTACAGAATTAGACAAGAACTATTCTAAAATTTATATGGAACAAAAAATGAGCATGATTACATAAGGTGAGGCTAAGCAACAAAACAAAACAAAACAAAGCCAGAGGCATCACACTGCCCAACTTTACACTGTACTACAAGGCTACACTAATCAAAGTAGCATGACACCGGTACAAAAACAGACACGTACACAAATGGAACAGAATAGAGAACCCAAAAATGAAGCTGCAAATGTACAACCAACTGATCTTTGAAAAAGTCAACAAAAATTAACAACGGAGAAAAGACACACTATTCCATGAATGATGCTGGAAAAACTGGCTAACCATATGCAGAAGAAAGAAACTGGATGCCTACCTCTCACTATATATAGAAATTAACTCAAGATGGATTAAAGACCTAAATGTAAGATATCAAATTATATATGAAAAAAAAAAAAAACCTAGGAAACACTGCTCTGGGCAGTGGTTTAGGCCAAGAATTTATAATTATGTTCTAAAAAGCCAAGGTAACAAAAGCAAAAAATGACAATTTGGACCTAATTAAACTAAAGAGCATATTCAGAGCAAAACAAACTATGACTAGATTTTTAAAATAACCTGCAGAATACAAGAAAATATTAAAAGACTATGGATCCCACAAAGGACTAATATCTAGAATCTATAAGGAAATTAATCAAACCAGTAAGAAAATAACACATGATCTCATAAAATGTGGGCAGCAGACATGAGCAGACACTTCTCAAAAAAGACATAAAAGCAGTCAACAGACATGAAAAAATGCTCAGCATCACTAATCATCAGAGAAATGAAAATCAAAACCATACTGAGACATCCTTTCAAACCAGTGAAAATGGCTATTACTGAAAAGTGAAAAAATAGCAGATGTTGGTGAGCCTATGAAGAAAAGGGAATGCTCATACACTGTTGGTGGGAATGTGAATTAGTTCAGTCACTGTGGAAAGCAGTTTTCATATTTCTCCAAGGGCTAAAAGTGGAACAACCCTTCAACCCAGCAATCCCACTACAGCATACATACTCAAAGGAAAATAAATCGTTCTACCAAACAGACACATGCACTCATATGTTTATTGCCAGACTACTCATATAGTGTTGACATAGCGAAGACATGAAATCAACTTATGTGTTCATCAGTGGTAGATTGGATAAAGAAAATGTGGTGTATATACACTGTGGAATACTACACAGCCATTGAAAAAATAAAATCATGTCCTTTGCTGCAACATGCCTGCAGCTGGAGGCCACTATCCTAAGTGAACTAATGCAGAAACAAAAAACCAAATACCACATATTCCCACTTATAAGGAGCATGTAAACACTGGGTACACATGGGCATAAAGATGGGAACAACAGACACTGGGGACTCCAAATGGGGGAAAGGAGAGAAGCGAGCAAGGGTTTAAAAACTACCTAGTGGGTATTATGGTCACTACTTGGGTGACGGGAGCAATAAAAACCCAAATCTCAGTATCATACAATATACCCATGTAGCAAACCTGCACATGACCCCCTGAACTTATTTTAAAAAATAAAAAGGTAGAAAGATCACAAGTAAACATAGCATTATAAATCAAGTGACTAAAACAAAACAAGGACAAACCCAAATCATAGTTAACAGAGGAAAAGAAATAACAAAGATCAAAGCACAACTGAATGAAATAGAGATCAGAAAACAATACAAAAGATTAATAAAACGAAAAGTCAAATCTTCAAAAAGATGAACCAAATGTGCCAACCACTAGCTAGACAAACCAAAATAGAAGATCCACATAAACCAAATCAGAAATAAAAAAGGAGACATTACAACTGATACCACAGAAATACAAAAGATCCTCAAAGACTACTGTGAACAACTATGTACTCATAAACTGGTGTTGTAGTCTCGCCAGTTCACCAAGATGTAACAGTCTCTCATTGTCTGAGATAATACCTGGAGTTCTTTGTCTCATGTCCAAGGTGACTAAGAAGCGGGGACACAAGGGTGAGGTTGGAATGAAAGTTTAATAAGTGAAAGAAGAAAGCTCTCTGCAGCAGAGAGGGGAGCCCGAATGGGTTGCCCACTATGAGGCTGGGGTCTGGGGATTTTATGGACTGGAAAGGGGAAAGAAATGTGCTTAGTCTGTGGGCTGTCTTGGAGAAAGCATGATTCAGCTTGGCCCAGGACCTTGGCCCGGGACCAATCAGGAGTTGATGATTCATAGAGGCTAGTCAGCTTGGCCTGGGACCTATCAGGAGCTGAAGTGAAAGTTTGGCCCGGGACCAATCAGGGGCTGAAGTGATGATTCATAGAGGCTGGGATCACAGTCCAAAAATGAAAGGAAAGTGCCCACTTGAACCCAACGAAGCACACCATGTTCATGCCCACAAAAGGAGAGGAAACTTTTTCCTTGGAGCCTGTTGATTATACATAGGACAAAGGCATTTCTATGTTGGGCCTTGTTCCCTTATCTGAGTGAGCCAGGGGTTTGTGCAAGTTTTTGTCTGAATGGGCTGGAGGTTCTCCTATCCATGCAGCCACGGGCATGTCTCCAGGCACAACCCCCTGTGCTAGTTCCCTTATCAGTGCCAGCAGCTTATTTTTTTTTCCCCCAGGCAGCTTTTTGTGTTATATGGGGATGAGGCACTGACCCGTGGGTCAGGGGCTCTCCAGGGACCCTTCCCTTGCTGTCTACCTAAGGCAAGCTAGTTAACTCCTCTCACTAGAAAACAGAGAAGAAATGTATAAATTCCTGGGGGAAAAAAATTGAACCTCTCAAGATTGAACCAAGGAGAACAAGAAATCCTGAACAGCCCAATATTGCGTAGTGAGACTGAACCAGTAATAATAATCTCCCAACAATAGCAACAAAAATGCCCAGAATCAGAATGATTCACAGCTCAATTCTAGCAAATGCACAAAGAACAGATACCAATCATTCTGTAACATGTCAAAAATAGAGAAGCATGGAATTCTTCCTAACTCATTCTGTGAAGCCGGTACTACCCTGATACTAAAGCCAGATAAGAACACTACCAAAATAAATGAGAAGTGCATACCATAATTCCTGATGAGCACTGATGCAAAAATCACCAGCAAAATACTAGCAAATAAAATGTAACAGCACATCAAAAAGATAAGACACCATGACCAAGTGAATTTTATTACTGGGATACAAGGATGTTTCAACATATGCAAGTCAATAAATGTGATACAGTACATAAATATATATCAAGGGCACAAACCATGTGATTATCTCAATAGATGGAGAAAAATTATTTGACAAATTTCAACATTTCTTCATGATAAAAACTCTCAGCAATCTAGGCATTGAAGAAACATACCTCAAAATAATAACGGACGTATATGACAAATCAACAGTTGACATCACCTTGAATAGGAAAATGTTGAAGGCATTTTCATTAGAAACTGGAACAATATAAGGATGTCCACTTTCACTACTCCTATTCAACATACTGGTGGAAGTCTTAGCCAGATCGGTCAGGCAAAATGAGGAAATAAAGGAGTTCCAAGTTGGAAAAGTGGAAGTCAAATTCTTTCTGTTTACTGATGATATGATTTTATACCAAAACACCCTAAAGATTCCCCAAAAAGACTCTAGATTTGTTAAATGAATTCTTCAGGGTCTCAGGACACAAATCAAAATACAAAAATCAGTAGCATTTCTAAGCACCAATAACAAGGAAGCTGAGGACGAAATCAATAAGGCAATCCCATTTACATCGATTACAAAATAAGTAAAGTAGCTAGAAATACATTTAACAAGGGAGGTGAAAGATCTCTACATAAAGAATCACAAGACACCCATGGAAAAACATCTCATGGTCATGGATTGGAAGAATCGATATAATTAAAAAGACCATACTTTTTTTTTTTTTTAACATGGTGGATTAGAGGCATTGCTAGCATATCTCTCCCTCTTGGAAGGACAAAATAGTGTGCAGAGGTTCACACTGTGAACTATTTTTCATGAAGCAATGCAGGAACTGAACAGGAAAATGGAAGGAATCCACAGACCCTTTGAAGGAAGTGGCAGGTTGCAGCCTACACCACGAGTCAAGTGTGGGTCCTCAGTGTGTGAGAGGGGAAGAAACTGCCTCTGGGATACACACCCCTCCCAGGGAGCCTGAAAATCCAGGCCGCAGTGGGAAGCCTTAACCCTACTCAGTGCAGGAACCAAATTGGAGAAGGTCATGGAATATAAAAGTAGGAGCAGCAGCAGGAAGACCCTGGCGTGCACTCCCAATCTCCAGAGCAGACTGAAAGAAGCCAGTCTTTATTGTTTCTCACAGGGGACCCTGCAAAGGTCAGCCAAATAGTTCAGGCAGTGGTTGTAGGCTGAAAGAAGCCCCTGACCGTGTTTCATGGTATATCCTTGGATGGAGACAAACTCCTTTGGCCAGCGCCAGGATGGGGGTAAGTGAAAAGTGAGCTGCAGCCAGAAGTGCAGGAATGAGGTGCCTGGCTTTGTGAGCAGACAGGGAGGGGCATGGCCTAAAAGCCATGGTTGTTATCCCCATGGGGAAAGCTTACAACCTGGGGCAGTTGTTAGTTCTGAGTGCAGGCTTCCTGGAACTTAGCTCACTGCTACCAGTGGAACACTGCAGGGGTGGATCTGCCTCACCAAGTGCGTGGGATCTGTGTGGGGCTTACTGCCACCTGCTACTCCCCACTTCCTGCATGAGCCCTTCTATGCGGCAGAGGCAACAACAATCCCCTCTGTAAAAACCAGGGGCTTGAGAATCACCCCCATTCCCTGACACCGACAGAGGTGCCTCCTTGCCCTGAACACGGTGAGTCAGAGAAAAGATCTGACTGACCAAGCTCCCACCTGCCCTTGCCCCACCACCTGCCCTGGTGGCTTAACACAAAGGACAGAAACATAGTCCAATAAGTGCTATATGAAAATTAATAAATACTATATGGTCCCGCCCATTGCCTGAGAAACCAGAGCACACCCTTTGGGCAACATAAGGCAAGCAGAAACCCCCACGGTTACTACCAGAGCTGATACTCCTTTGAAAGTGCCACTTTCTTGCTGGAGGCCAAGAAACACAGTCCATTAAGCATCTCCTGGTAGAATAACACTGCACCTAAGAAGAAGAAAATGGCTGCACAACCTCAACTATCACCACTGCCTGCACCACTATGCCTAAGCAGAAGGTCCTGAGTTTGTCCACATGACCAGTTCATTACTACTGTAAATGGCATTTGAGAAAGCCAACACACTAAGGGTATCGTTAACTAAAAAATCTCACATAGTCTACATCAGTCACCTGCCACTCCCATTAGAGCTGGTGCTGCTACCCACCGCTGGGAAACTTGAGGACAGATCACATCACCGAACCCCTCGCACACATGGCCCAGTAGCAGGCTGAAGTGTGGCAACTTCACTGGGTGGCTAGACCCAGAAGAGCAACAACACTCACAATAGTCTGGCTTTCAGTGACTCCCACTCCTACGGGAAGGGAAGGGAGAGTGCACCACATCAAGGGAACACCCCATGAGACAAAAGAATCTGGAGAGCAGGCCTTGAGTGGCAGGTCCTTCCACTGGTGGGAAGTTTCTTTCAGCAGAGGCGCAGTTTTAGTGCTGGGCTCAGAGAGGAAAGTCTGCAGCTACAACCCAACAGTCAAACAGCCCTGGTGCATATGAAGGTCTTGAAGAAGAGGACATGACATTCAGGGTGACTCCATTCCTGAAGAAGGAACACTTTACAGGTTCAGGCTTGCATGACAGACAGAGCCACAATTCCTCTCTACTTGAAATATCAACATTCCTGCATATGAAAAAAAATGGTGCCTCTCTAATTTGAATAACTTGAGCACTGGGACAGGAGAGTGACTGAGAGGTGGATAGCTTTTCTGCTGTCCTGGCAGGAGACTCAGGTGGCTCCAACTCCTCCCCATGTTAAGACCTCAGTGGAACTCTCTGAGAGCTTCTCTAGCCACTTCTGTCAAGGCTGAGACAACTGCCCAACATTGGGTGTTGCAAAATTACCCAACTGCTTTAGCCACAACCGGTTTCTACACAGGGACACTTTCCCTACTGTCCTGAAGCCTGAAACATCACACAATTCGCAAGTGCAAAAATATTGAACCAGCCCAAATGCCCATCAATAAATGAGTGGATAAAGAAAATATTACATATCTATATATGCGTATGCCATGGAATACTACTCAGCCATAAAAAGGAATGAAATAATTTCATTCACAGCAACCTGGATGGATTTGGAGATCATTATTCTAAGTGAAGTAACTCTGTGATGAAAAACTAAACATCTTATGTTCTCACTCATAAGTTGGAGCTAAGCTATGAGGACTCAAAGGCATAAACGTAATACTGTGAACTTTTGGGACTTGGGGAAAAGGGTGGGAGGGGGTGAATGATAAAAGACTACCCACTGGATACAGTGTACTCTGCTTAGGTGATGGTTGCACCAAAATCTCAGAAATCATCACTAAAGAGCTTATAGATGTACCCAAACACCACCTATTCCCCCAAAACCTATTGAAATAAAGAAAAAGATTCTTTCTCGTATAAAATTATTTTCTTTTAACCTTTCTTTTCAAAAATACCTTTTTGTATTTATTAATATACATATATAAATATATATATTCTTTACATTGCTCTTATTTACTGATTACCTTTACCTTGTTTTATAAATACCTTTTAAAATGACCTTTAGACAACATTTATTTTCTTTTAAATAAGAACACATTTATTTTTTTAATGTTTTTCTATAATATAACTTGTAAAATGGAAAGTAACCCAGACATTTAATAAACATGTATTATTTAAGTTAATATAACTTTAGATTTTAAATCATATGGCAAGATTATTTACAAGCATTTATTCCATTAAATTTACCCAGTTGATTAATTTTTTAATAGTTTACCTAGATTACTTATGAAAACTCTGATAGTTATTATTTTAAGTTATTTTTTTGTTTACACATTTTATAACTTGTGAATTTCAGGTTTTTCCAAGTATAAACCTTGAGGTTACATTAATAGGGTTGTTTTTTTGCCAATCACTCAGGATTTAGCTGTTTTCATTAAACAAAAAATATTAAATGCCTTATTTATCAAATTCTATATAAGCAACGATAATTCTTTTTTGAACTGCATTTACAGCTGTATAACCCTCATGACATATTTTGACATCAAGCAGAGATAAACATAAAACCACTTGAAAAGTAAATTTAAACGATTATGTATGTTGGCAATTCTAAAGCCATTTCTAATTCTATTTCACCAACATTGTACAAACCAGCTTATTTGTTAGAGATTTACTTAACTCACATGAACTTGAAAAAACATTTGTCTTAAAGTCTCTGTTTATCTGATAAAGCATTTGATTTTAGTGCTTTTTAAAGCCAATCAATCAGAGTTCTTTTAGTATTCTTAGTAGTGAAACATCATATACATGACACATAAATACACAGAAGTATTAGACACATTGATAGAAGTAGATCTTATAAATTCATAAGACCTCTTTTTTTTTCTCTTCCTTTAGACTTCCAATTTCTTGATAACCGATTTCATTACCCTAGGCAATTGTCAGCTAGATAGTCCTAAATTTGCGTATTAGAGGAACAACTCTTAGGAGAAAAACCAGATAGCAAAATGACGTACAACTCAAAGTACAGAGAGAAAGAGTTTGGTGGTACTAGAGAGAGATTAAAAATGAATGGCAAATCAAACACAAATTCATAGAAATCTATGATAAAATTGTATGAGAAGATCAATTTTATTCAGATACATCGTGTAAATTTGTTCTGTACCTTTTAACTGGATCTCTGATCATGAATCCTGGGTCTTCAAAAAGAGAAAATTATTATGAGGTTATACCACGTGACACTTTCACAGTGCACCTTTTCTTAAACAAAGACATTTCTGTAAGTGTCTAAACTGCATGCTTCCGTAATTTAAACCTCAAAATAGCCTCTGTTGTAGTAACTATTTTAGTCAAAGGTTAAAAAAAGTCAGGTAACAAAATACAAAATACAAAAGCAAGCAGTTTAAGATCTGACACAAACTTGTGTGTTTGCACTCTTGGAGTTTCATAAGGAAAAATAGAATTTTTTTTTTTTTTTTTTTTTTTTTTCCAAAAGGGAGTCTGGCACCTCCTCTGTTTTACTTAAGGATTCCCAGGGTGTTAGAAACTGTCAGAGGCTTTTGAACCAAAGGGACTCCAACTTGAGTAGGGGCTGAGTAAAATAAGTCTGAGACCTACTGGGCTGCATTGTCAGGAGATTAAGGCATTCTTAGTCACAGAATGAAATAGGAGGTCAGTACAAGATACGGGTCATAAAGACCCTGCTGATAAAACAGCATGCAATAAAGAAGCTGGCCAAAACCCGCCCAAACCAAGATGGTGATAAAAGTGACCTCTGGTCATCCTCACTGTTCATTATATGCAAATTATAATGCATTAGCATGCTAAAAGACACTCCCACCAGCACCATGGCAGTTTACAAATGCCATGGCAACATCAGGAAATTACCCTATATAGTCTAATAAGGGAAGGAACCCTCAGTTCCAGGAATTGCCCACCCCTTTCCTGGAAAACTCATGAATAATCCACCCCTTGTTTAGCATATAATCAAGAAATAACTAGAAGTATCCTTAGTGAAGCAGCCCAAGCCACTGCTCTGCCTTGGAGTAGTCACTCATTTACTCCTTTACTTTCTTAATAAACTTGGTTTCACTTTACTCTATGGATTCACCTCAAATTCTTTCTTGGGTGAGACCCAAGAACTGTCTCTTGGAGTCTGGATCAAGGCACCTTTTCAGTAACATCTTCCTGGCTACCATGAAGGGGTGATACTGAGGAGACCCCCCCGCCGACCCAAAAGAAATACACTGCAGTGCTGATTGGATGACGTTGAGTAAGTGGTGGGGTACCCAGGTAGAGGATGGAACTGGGTTAGAGGCCCAACTTAGGGGAGTTAGAGTCTCTTCTATGACTGAAGGGGTTAAAGGCTCCTCTCAATTACAGGCAAGGATGCTTGACCAAACTTGGGTTTGAGGCCCAATTTAAGAAAGTTAGAGTCCTTCCTAAGATTTAGGGCATTAGAGGCCCCCTCTTGGTAAAGTCCTTCTCGGCTAAGAATGGGTTTGGCACCATGGGCTGTTAACTGCCATTCTCTTTGGATTAATCTGCCTTACACTCTTTGCTGACAGCTATAGATGACAGGATTAGGCATGCACAGGATTATAAGTCATGGGTAGCTTTTTCCTCCCCAAAGGGGTAAAACTGAGAGCTGCTGGGACTGCTGGAAAAGATACCTTTGAGATTGACAAGCGGCTGCCTGAACTTTTGATTCAGTGTTACAGGGATGGATGGGTCTTTCTCTGGCCTCCTTGAGCACCTCACCTTCCCCACCCTACTGAAGACAACGATTTTCTCCCTTGTCTTTCCCCTCTCTGTGCAAACCAGTTGAAGGAATGGTAAAAATCACTGCTTATCGCCTCTGTAAAGTTGTTATTAGTTGGAAAAAGAATTAGTGAGGCTAGTCTTAAGCCGTAGCAAATCGGTTGTACTTTGTGCTATGAATTTCTCTTTCTGCATCTTTCTGTTAGAAAAAGGGGTATCTTAGGATAGAACACAGGCTTAAGATGGCTTGTGCCTTGAGCAAGATGGCCCAGCAAACTCGTCAGTTAGGCCCTTGGGAGCTTGACCTTGTAACCAAGTGCCAGTACTTTCTCTTGGTCTCTGCCATCCAAAAAACAGGAAATTGGGGGTTCATGTCATAGCCCTAAAAATTATCTCAAGCAGCTAAAAGCCATTACAAGCTCAAAATTGACTGCTCTAGGCTCCTTCAGGGAAGGGCAATGGAAACTGCCCAATGCTGTGGCTGAGCAATTTTACAATGACAGTCCGGGTTTAATCCTGGCTTAGGGTATGAGTCCTTTCTGGTTTGATATCTGTGTGACCTTTACCATTTGTTGACTCTCTTCCGCTCCATGTACGTCTTCTGGCTCACCTTCTTGAACCTTCCTTTCTCTGAGCCACCACTGGAAATTCTAGATCTTGTAAAAACTGCTTACCACCCCTTTGAAAATACCTTGTACACTCGTGGTTACATCATAACCTTTATTTAAGGCTTATTGGTTTCACCTGGGAAGTTACCTTTGGTGAAGTGCAAAAGCCAGAAATATTGGGGGTTTGGCATGGCTAAAGTTGGGTAATAAGAGATTTAAAGGTACTTTTAGAGAACTATGGTTAAAAGTCAGCTTAACTAAAAGCAGATATTCAAGTTCTAACAGCTTGGGACTCCTTGGGAAAAACAGGAGGTGCCATAGACCCCCGTTTTGGGAAAAACCTCTGTTTTCCTCATGAAACCTCAGGAATTGAAAGTGGATAGATTCATCTCAAAATCTAAGGCTCTGTTCTGTTTCACATTGCATTATCTGATGTTTTTAACTTTTGGGAGTATCAGAAATTGCTTGGCTTTATGAGAGAACTTTGGTGTGTGCTAACTATGTAGGAAATATACTTTTGGGGACAGACAACCAATGGCAGTTATGGGGGGCGGTATATTCGGTTCTTTGCGCACTTGGAGTTTGGATCAGAGAAGCATGCTGTTGGTCACCTGGAAGGTATGGCGATGTTCCCACTCTCCACCTCCACCGTGAGCTGACACCCCCATGGGGGATGGGCTAATCACAGAATGGGCTGATTGGCTTTGGGTTGCTTTGCAATTAAATGCACAGTAAATTTATTGCACTGTCTTGTTCCATAGCATTTCTTTTTTTGGGAATCCAAGACCTGGTATAGGATAGGATTCCTAATATGGGGGATCTGTCTTAGCCTTCCAGCTATGCCTGCTTATTAAGTCATAGAAACTGCATACTTTCCTGGCCCTGCTCCTCCAAGGGCTTCACCCTGAAACCAGTAATCCAATTTAAAAACTGGCAAATGGAAAACTTTACAACTACAGGATCTTGTGTCTGTGTATTTACATGTGTTGTGAGTGTGATGTCTATATATGCAAAAGTTTTATTAATTTGTTTAAAATAATAAGCACTTAAATATTTTGTCAGAAAAGTAAAAAGTGCAATGCCTTTTAGTTCACATGACTTAAGCAATCTTTGGGAAATAAAAACAGTTTTACATGCAAGGTTTATAAGGAAAGTAAAATGTGCTTCATGGGAATGTGAATTTTTGTTTGCCTAGTGTGGAGGGTTAAAGGATTATTTTAAGTTATATAGGAAAAAACTGGAGGTTTCTGCAAGTTGTGGAAAGTTTGTGAAAAATTAATCTGGTAAAAGAAATTGTGTGTGTGAACATTAACAAAATTAAAAGGGTATTATCTCATTGAAATTGAACATTAAAATAAAAGCACAACAAGTTTCTCAAAGAGCACTGACATGCTCTTTAACAAAAATTTGTAAAGGGTTACCAAATGTTAATGAAAATCTTACCTTATAGTCAGGCATTAAAACTGAATAAGGTTATATTAAGAATTGGAGTTGACATTAATAGTACACTAATGTAAAGAGTAAAAAAGCATATAGATGGGATGCATCTCAAAATAATGAGAGCTACTTATGACAAACCCACAGCCAATATCATACTGAATGGGCAAAAACTGGAAGCATTCCGTTTGAAAACTGGCACAAGACAGGGATGCCCTCTCTCACCACTCCTATTCAACATAGTGTTGGAAGTTCTGGCCAGGGCAATCACTCAGGAGAAAGAAATAAAGGGTATTCAATTAGGAAAAGAGAAAGTCAAATTGTCACTGTTTGCAGATGAGAAGGAGAACTACAAACCACTGCTCAACAAAATAAAAGAGGACAAAAACAGATGGAAGAACATTCCATGCTCATGGATAGGAAGAATCAATATCGTGAAAATGGCCATACTGCCCAAGGTAATTTATAGATTCAATGCCATCCCCATCAAGCTACCAATGACTTTCTTCACAGAACTGGAAAAAAACTACTTTAAACTTCATATGGAACCAAAAAAGAGCCCACATTGCCAAGACAATCCTAAGCCAAAAGAACAAAGCTGGAGGCATCACACTACCTGACTTCAAACTATACTACAAGGCTACAGTAACCAAAACAGCATGGTACTGGTACCAAAACAGAGATATAGACCAATGGAACAGAACAGAGCCCTCAGAAATAGTACCACACATCTACAACCATCTGATCTTTGACAAACCTGACAAAAACAAGCAATGGGGAAAGGAGTCCCTATTTAATAAATGGTGCTGGGAAAACTGGCTAGCCATATGTAGAAAGCAGAAACTGGATCCCTTCCTTACACCTTATACAAAAATTAATTCAAGATGGATTAAAGACTTAAATGTTAGACCTGAAACCATAAAAACCCTAGAAGAAAACCTAGGCAATACCATTCAGGACATAGGCATGGGCAAGGACTTCATGACTAAAACACCAAAGGCAATGGCAACAAAAGCCAAAATTGACAAATGGGATCTAATTAAACTAAAGAGCTTCTGCACGGCAAAAGAAGCCACCATCAGAGTGAGCAGGCAACCTACAGAATGGGAGAAAATTTTTGCAATCTACTCATCTGACAAAGGGCTAATATCCAGAATCTACAATGAACTCAAACAAATTTACAAGAAAAAAACAAACAACCCCATCAAAAAGTGGGCGAAGGATATGAACAGACACTTCTCAAAAGAAGACATTTATGCAGCCAAAAGACACATGAAAAAATGCTCATCATCACTGGCCATCAGAGAAATGCAAACCAAAACCACAATGAGATACCATCTCACACCAGTTAGAATGGCGATCATTGAAAAGTCAGGAAACAACAGGTGCTGGAGAGGATGTGGAGAAATAGGAACACTTTTACACTGTTGGTGGGACTGTAAACTAATTCAACCATTGTGAAAGACAGTGTTTTGATTCCTCAGCGATATAGAACTAGAAATACCATTTGACCCAGCCATCCCATTACTGGATATATACCCAAAGGATTATAAATCATGCTGCCATAAAGACACATGCACACGTATGTTTATTGAGGCACTATTCACAATAGCAAAGACTTGGAACCAACCCAAATGTCCATCAATAGTAGACTGGATTAAGAAATTGTGGCACATGTGCACCATGGAATACTATGCAGACATAAAAAAGGATGAGTTCATGTCCTTTGTAGGGACATGGATGAAGCTGGAAACCATCATTCTCAGCAAACTATCACAAGAACAAAAAACCAAACACCACATGTTCTCACTCACAGGTGGGAATTGAACAATGAGAACACTTGGACACAGGAAGGGGAGCATCACACACTGGGGCCTGTTGTGGGGTGGGGGGAGGGGGGAGGGAAAGCATTAGGAGATATACCCAATGTAAATGATGAGTTAATGGGTGCAGCACACCAACATGGCACATGTAGACACATGTAACTAACCTGCACGTTGTGCGCATGTACCTTTGAACGTAACGTGTAATAATGAAAATCTATTCTCTTAGCAATTTCCAAAAATATATTTATTAACCATAGTCAGTATGTTGTACAATAAACCACTTGAACAAAAAAAAAAAGAATAAGAATCAAGAAGAATTGTTATTTTAAAAATCTGAATCAATATTCTAATTTTTGGCACCTATTGGAATCTGCTAGTAATCCCACATCAGCTTGGTTCCAGCAATTTTCCAGTTCACAGAAAGCTTTCTAATTTAGTTTGCTTGTGATAATTTTACTTATTTTGCTTTGCTGTTGTAGAAGACTTTACTATTTTACTCTTTGTGTAAAAATATCAGATAAACTTACTGAATGTTCTCTTAAATTGAACACTTATTGATCTTCCACATATCACCTTTTGTCAGAACTCAGAGTTATGAATGACTCTCAGCATACTGATCCTTTTTGAGTGAGCTCCTTTCTACCCTTAATGCAAAAGATCCAATAGTTAGGCAAAAATATTATCACCCCTATTCAGCCTGAATAAGTTACAGAAGATGGATCTTTGTTCCTCAACAAAGCTTAAGATTATTGATTCTCTTTTAAATAGAAAGGGAGAAATATTTCAGAGGTGTTTGAAACAGAGTGACTCCATCTTGATTAGGGGCTGGGTAAAATAAGGCTTAGACCTATGGGGCTGCATTCCCAGGAGGTTAAGTCATTCTCAGTCACAGGATGAGATAGGAAGTTGGCACAAGATACAGGTCATAAAGACCTTGCTGATAAAGGTTGCAGTAAAGGAGCTGGCCAACAGGTTGCAGTAAAACATATTTGTGGTAAAGAAACCAGCCAAAACACACCAAAACCATTATGGCAATAAAAGTGACCTCTGGTTGTCTTCATTGCTCATTACACGCTAATTATAATGCACTAGCATAAGAAAACACACTCCTGCCAGCACCAGGACAGTTTACAAATGCCATGACAATGTTAAGAACTTAACCTCGATGGTTTAAAAATGGGAGGAACCCTCAGTTCCGGGAATTGCTCTTTCCTGAAAACTCATCCCGACCCTTTCCTGAAGAACTCATCAATAACCCAGTCCTTGTTTAGCATATAATCAAGTAATAACTAGAAGTATCCTTAGTGAAACAATCTAAGCTGCTGCTCTGTCTATGGAGTCAACAATTTTTAATTTCTTTACTTTCTTAATAAATTTTCTTTCACTTTACTCTGGACTTGTCTCAAATTCTTTCTTGGGTGAGATCCAAGAATGCTCTCTTGAGGTCTGAATCAGGACCGCTTTCAGGTAACAAAACTATTTTAGGTCTCTCATGCAGCAGAGGTTGACAAAAGAAAAGAGAGACAGCAGAAGTAAAAGAAGAAAACAGAATTTTGTCAATTGAGAAGAAAAAAATATATTTCTCAAAAAAAAAAAAAAAAGAAAACAAGAACCTAGGAGATGAAGGAAAAAATGTAAAAGCCTTTTAAATACGCACACACACACACACACACACACACATATCACATATCTTGGATATCAGCTTTTAATTAAGCTGACTTTTAATCATTAAGCTCCTTTAAAAAATCAATTTAAATAACATTACCATATTTTTGTTAGAAAAAATTGCCAACGTTTTAAAAGTAACACAATTATCTAACCAGAAAGGGGCTTGATTTAGTAATCAAACCCAGTCTGTCGGGGTGAAAAAAAAAATGGCAGAACTTTAGTTACTAAATGGCAGCATGGGGTGATGGCCACTGCTCTTTCAGTTTGACTTCGCTAGAAGAAAAAGTGGCGTTATCATGTAATAAGGTCCCTCAGGTAGTCAAAATAAAAATATATATATACATTTATTGGCTGGCCATTATTTTTGTTTTTCTGCTGTGGGAATTTAGAAAATTTATAGTCCTTGTTCCCCATAATTTGGAAATTTCCTTCGGATTTGATCAAGTCATATAGAGTTGGTCAAACTCAGTGGGGAATAAACCAAAACAATAATAAAAGCAGAACCAAACAAACAAATTAAGCAAAACAAACAATCACACAATTTATATGGTTACTGAATGATAGAAATTAAGACCAGCTCGTTGTCAATCTCAACTTTAGCCAAGCCAAAACCTCAATTCTGCTATTTACGTAGGCATGAGTCTCAGGCTGAAGATTGCTCTCTGCCATCCTAAAAGCAGGAAAAACTCAAACTCACTTTCCCTGTTGGAAGCTAGCTGAAACTCCATAAAGAAGTTATGTGCTTTCAATTGTCATGGAAGCAGGAAAACTTGCCTTTCTTTTTGGAAAAAGGTAAAACTCCAAAAAAGGAGTGGTACAGCAAAATAAACTTTAGACCTCAACCAAATTTTGTGAGATCAGGGATTCTCTGGAAGGGGGAGCTCCCAGGTCATAGCAAATTGTTCTGTTGGTTTGAGCCATAAAGATAGCTCAGGCTCTTACCAAGCACTGACAGAAGATGTTTCAAAGATTGGGCACACCTCCACTCAGAATACCTTTGTGTTTGCTAAATTGTGAATCCAAAATATCTGGGAAAGATCTCAACCAACGAATTTAGAAAGTTTATTTTGCCAAGATTAAGGATGCACCATGACACAGCCTCAGGATGGTCTGGTGACATGTGCTCAAGGTGGTCAGCACACAGCTTGGTTTCATACATTTTAGAGAGATGCAAGACATCAATCAATATGTGTAATATGTATTTTGGTTCAGTCCAAAAAGGAGGGATAGCTCGAGGTGGGGGAGGGGACTTCCAGGTCATAGATAAGAAACAAATGGTTGCATTTCTTTGAGTCTCTGATTAGCCTTTTATTGAATACACAATTTATATGTGAGAGAAGGGTAGAGGAATGGTCACTTATGCTATAGCCTGGCTTAGTAAAACAATAGGGGAGAGGAAGCAATCAGGCATGCATTTATGTCACGTGAGCCTCAGAGGGATGACTTTGAGTTCTGCCTGTCCTTTCTCCACAAGAAAATTTCTTGTGGACAAAGGACAAATTGTGACGGAGGTATATAGCTTTTTATTTTTTATTTTTTTTATTTATTTTTTCAATTTATTTTTTTATTGATAATTCTTGGGTGTTTCTCACAGAGGGGGATTTGGCAGGGTCATGGGACAATAGTGGAGGGAAGGTCAGCAGATAAACAAGTGAACAAAGGTCTCTGGTTTTCCTAGGCAGAGGACCCTGCGGCCTTCCGCAGTGTTTGTGTCCCTGATTACTTGAGATTAGGGATTGGTGATGACTCTTAACGAGCATGCTGCCTTCAAGCATCTGTTTAACAAAGCACATCTTGCACCGCCCTTAATCCATTTAACCCTGAGTGGACACAGCACATGTTTCAGAGAGCACAGGGTTGGGGGTAAGGTCACAGATCAACAGGATCCCAAGGCAGAGGAATTTTTCTTAGTGCAGAACAAAATGAAAAGTCTCCCATGTCTACTTCTTTCTACACAGACACGGCAACCATCCGATTTCTCAATCTTTTCCCCACCTTTCCCGCCTTTCTATTCCACAAAGCCGCCATTGTCATCCTGGCCCGTTCTCAATGAGCTGTTGGGCTCACCTCCCAGACGGGGTGGTGGCCGGGCAGAGGGGCTCCTCACTTCCCAGTAGGGGCGGCCGGGCAGAGGTGCCCCTCACCTCCCGGACGGGGCGGCTGGCCGGGCAGGGGGGCTGACCCCCCCCACCTCCCTCCCGGACGGGGCGGCTGGCCGGGCGGGGGACTGACACCCCCACCTCCCTCCCGGATGGGGCGGCTGGCCGGGCAGAGGGGCTCCTCACTTCCCAGTAGGGGCGGCCGGGCAGAGGCGCCCCTCACCTCCCGGACGGGGCGGCTGGCCGGGCGGGGGGGCTGACCCCCCCCACCTCCCTCCCGGACGGGGCGGCTGGCCGGGCAGGGGGGCTGACCCCCCCACCTCCCTCCCGGACGGGGGGGCTGGCCGGGCGGGGGGCTGACACCCCCACCTCCCTCCCGGACGGGGCGGCTGGCCGGGCAGAGGGGCTCCTCACTTCCCAGTAGGGGCGGCCGGGCAGAGGCGCCCCTCACCTCCCGGACGGGGCGGCTGGCCGGGCGGGGGGCTGTCCCCCCCACCTCCCTCCCGGACGGCACGGCTGGCCAGGCGGGGGGCTGACCCCCCCACCTCCCTCCCGGACGGCACGGCTGGCCAGGCGGGGGGCTGACCCCCCCACCTCCCTCCCGGATGGGGCGGCTGGCCGGGCGGGGGCTGACCACCCCCACCTCCCTCCCGGACGGGGTGGCTGCCGGGCGGAGACGCTCCTCACTTCCCAGATGGGGTGGCTGCCGGGCAGAGGGGCTCCTCACTTCTCAGACGGGGTGGTTGCCAGGCAGAGGGTCTCCTCACTTCTCAGACGGGGCGGCCGGGCAGAGACGCTCCTCACCTCCCAGACGGGGTCTCGGCCGGGCAGAGACGCTCCTCACATCCCAGATGGGGCGGCGGGGCAGAGGCGCTCCCCACATCTCAGACGATGGGCGGCCGGGCAGAGACGCTCCTCACTTCCTAGATGTGATGGCGGCTGGGAAGAGGCGCTCCTCACTTCCTAGATGGGATGGCGGCCGGGCGGAGACGCTCCTCACTTTCCAGACTGGGCAGCCAGGCAGAGGGGCTCCTCACATTCCAGACGATGGGCGGCCAGGCAGAGACACTCCTCACTTCCCAGACGGGGTGGCGGCCGGGCAGAGGCTGCAATCTCGGCACTTTGGGAGGCCAAGGCAGGCGGCTGCTCCTTGCCCTCGGGCCCCGCGGGGCCCGTCCGCTCCTCCAGCCGCTGCCTCCCGGGCGGCGCTCGCCGGCGCGGCGGCAAAGACTGAGACAGCTCCGCTGCCCGCTGAACTCCATCCTCCCGGCGGTCGGGCGGCGGCGGCTGCCGCCAAAATTTGAAATTGAATCTAATCAAGCCTCCAGATCTACCATTATCTTTCTATACAGGGGACAGAAGAATCCTGACTCTTAAAAAGAAATCAAATTCAAGAGAAGGAAAAGACAAGCCACACACTAGGAGAAAATATTTGCAAAAGATGTATCTGGCAAAGACTGTTATCTAAAACATAAAAAGATCTGTTAAAACTCAATAAGAAGAAAACAAACACCTCATTTAAAAATAGGCCGAAGACCTTAACACACACCTCATCAATGGAGGTTTACAGATGACAAATCTAGCTTTTTAAAATCTCTGTAGCTATCTTATTTAGGAATAAAATGGGAGGCAGGTTTGCCTGACATAGTTACCAGCTTGATATTTTTATTGGCTTAGTGATTTGGGGGTCCTGAAGTTTATTTTTCTTTCACAAAAGGAACCCCCATCCAGGAGTTTACAACTTTGGGAGAGGGGTTAATTAATGCATGGGTAATTACCCACTTGATCATTAAAATTGGCCTAATTTTGCTAAAAAGTGCCTCTTTCCTGGTAGTGCCCCTAGGGACTACCTTATTTTCCCATTATTAAAGTGGACCTCTTCAGCCAACAAGTAACTTATGGAACAAGCCTTAGGCTTTTATGCTATTGGTTGGTGCTTCCCAGTGGTAACTAGTTAACCTTTCTCTAACAGTATGTGTGGTAAATATGCCACATACTAACTAATGCAAGACACTGAAGGATTATGACCTGTCACAACATGCAGTTGAAAAAGAGATATTCTACCATCTCAAATTTCAATTTCCCAGTATGACATATGCTTAAAGCCACTTTTAATAACTGGAGGCTAACTATAGTTTACAGAGTGTTAAAAAAGACTACTTCCTTTATTAGAACCCCTCTGCCAAATATCATCACCTTAATGGTTGATATTAACAATAACATGAATTAGTTATTTAAAGTTATAGGTTTGGCTAACACAGAACAATGTTCTTTTGTAAAAGTTTCACAGGAGTGAGAGGCATCCTATCTGCTGCTCACATACTTTGCTCAACTAAAGCACTGGACAACAAACTGAGACATACTTCCAATGCCGAGGTGGAACAGTGTCCGGAATTGGTAGGTTCTTGGTCTCACTGACTTCAAGAATGAAGCCGCGGACCCTCGCAGTGAGTGTTACAGTTCTTAAAGGTGGCATGTCTGGAGTTTTTTCCTTCTGATGTTCAGATGTGTTCAGAGTTTCTTCCTTCTGGTGGGTTCGTGGTCTCGCTGGCACAGGAGTGAAGCTGCACACCTTCACGGTGAGTGTTACAACACTTAAGGCGGCACATCTGGAGTTGTTCGTTCCTCCCGGTGGGCTCGTGGTCTTGCTGGCTTCAGGAGTGAAGCTGCAGACCTTCCCAGTGAGTGTTACAGCTCATAAAGGCAGTGTGGACCCAAAGAGTGAGCAGTAGCAAGATTTATTGCAAAGAGCGAAAGAACAAAGCTTCCACAGTGTGGAAGGGGACCTAAGCGGGTTGCCACTGCTGGCTCGGGCAGCCTGCTTTTATTCTTTTATCTGGCCCCACCCACATCCTGCTGACTGGTAGAGCCCAGTGGTCTGTTTTGACAGGGCACTGATTGGTGCATTTACAATCCCTGAGCTAGACATAAAGGTTCTCCAAGTCCCCACCAGATTAGCTAGATACAGAGTGTTGACACAAAGGTTCTCCAAGGCCCCACCAGAGTAGCTAGATACAGAGTGTCCATTGGTGCATTCACAAACCCTGAGCTAAACACGGGGTGCTGATTGGTGTGTTTACAAACCTCGAGCTAGATACAGAGTGCCGATTGGTGTATTTACAATCCCTGAGCTAGACATAAAGGTTCTCCAAGTCCCCACCAGAGTAGCTAGATACAGAGTGTGGACTGGTGCATTCACAAACTGTGAGCTAGACACAGGGTGCTGATTGGTGTGTTTACAAACCTTGAGCTAGACACAGAGTGCCGATTGGTGTATTTACAATCCCTTAGCTAGACATAAAAGTTCTCCACGTCCCCACCAGACTCAGGAGCCTACCTGGCTTCACCCAGTGGATCCCGCATCGGGGCTGCAAGTGGAGCTGCCTGCCAGTCCCGTGCTGTGCGCCCACACTCCTCAGCCCTTGGGTGGTGATGGGACTGGGTGCCATGGAGCAGGAGGTTGTGCTCATTGGGGAGGCTCGGGCTGCACAGCAGCCCACGGAGAGGGTGGGAGGCTCAGACATGGCGGGCTGCAGGTCCCGAACCCTGCCCTGCAGGAAGGCAGCTAAGGCCTGGCGAGAAATCAAGCACAGCGCCCGTGGGCCGGCACTGCTGGGGGACCCAGTACACCCTCCGCAGCCGCTGGCCCAGGTACTAAGCCCCTCATTGGCCGGGGACAGCAGGGCCGGCCGGCTGCTCCGAGTGTGGGGCTCCAAGCCCACGCCCATCCGGAACTCCAGGTGGCCCACAAGCGGTGCGCACAGCCCAGGTTCCCGCTCCTGCCTCTCACTCCACACCTCCCTGCAAGCTGAGGGAGCCGGCTCCGGCCGTGGCCAGCCCAGAAAGGGGCTCCCACAGTACAGCGGTGGGCTGAAGGGCTCCTCAAGTGCTGCCAAAGTGGGAGCCCAGGCAGAGGAGGTGCCAAGAGCGAGCGAGGGCTGTGAGGACTGCCAGCATGCTGTCACCTCTCAGAACTAATCACCCTCAGAATGAATACTCCATTTAGGCAGTGCTCAGGAGATGATTAAATACCCTCCTGCTGCCACAGAGTTCAACTTTTAAAAAAATAACGTATTTTACTTAACCCAGTACATCCAAAATATTATCTTGAAACATAATTAGTATAAAAAGCATTAAGGAGATATTTTAGACTCTCTTTTGTACTAATTTTTCTTTTTTTTTATACGTTAAGTTCTAGGGGTACATGAGCACAACGTGCAGGTTAGTTACATGTGTCTACATGTGCCATGTTGGTGTGCTGCACCCATTAACTCATCATTTACATTGGGTATATCTCCTAATGCTTTCCCTCCCCCCTCCCCCCACCCCACAACAGGCCCCAGTGTGTGATGCTCCCCTTCCTGTGTCCAAGTGTTCTCATTGTTCAATTCCCACCTGTGAGTGAGAACATGTGGTGTTTGGTTTTTTGTTCTTGTGATAGTTTGCTGAGAATGATGGTTTCCAGCTTCATCCATGTCCCTACAAAGGACATGAACTCATCCTTTTTTATGTCTGCATAGTATTCCATGGTGCACATGTGCCACAATTTCTTAATCCAGTCTACTATTGATGGACATTTGGGTTGGTTCCAAGTCTTTGCTATTGTGAATAGTGCCTCAATAAACATACGTGTGCATGTGTCTTTATGGCAGCATGATTTATAATCCTTTGGGTATATATCCAGTAATGGGATGGCTGGGTCAAATGGTATTTCTAGTTCTATATCGCTGAGGAATCAAAACACTGTCTTTCACAATGGTTGAATTAGTTTACAGTCCCACCAACAGTGTAAAAGTGTTCCTATTTCTCCACATCCTCTCCAGCACCTGTTGTTTCCTGACTTTTCAATGATCGCCATTCTAACTGGTGTGAGATGGTATCTCATTGTGGTTTTGGTTTGCATTTCTCTGATGGCCAGTGATGATGAGCATTTTTTCATGTGTCTTTTGGCTGCATAAATGTCTTCTTTTGAGAAGTGTCTGTTCATATCCTTCGCCCACTTTTTGATGGGGTTGTTTGTTTTTTTCTTGTAAATTTGTTTGAGTTCATTGTAGATTCTGGATATTAGCCCTTTGTCAGATGAGTAGATTGCAAAAATTTTCTCCCATTCTGTAGGTTGCCTGCTCACTCTGATGGTGGCTTCTTTTGCCGTGCAGAAGCTCTTTAGTTTAATTAGATCCCATTTGTCAATTTTGGCTTTTGTTGCCATTGCCTTTGGTGTTTTAGTCATGAAGTCCTTGCCCATGCCTATGTCCTGAATGGTATTGCCTAGGTTTTCTTCTAGGGTTTTTATGGTTTCAGGTCTAACATTTAAGTCTTTAATCCATCTTGAATTAATTTTTGTATAAGGTGTAAGGAAGGGATCCAGTTTCTGCTTTCTACATATGGCTAGCCAGTTTTCCCAGCACCATTTATTAAATAGGGACTCCTTTCCCCATTGCTTGTTTTTGTCAGGTTTGTCAAAGATCAGATGGTTGTAGATGTGTGGTACTATTTCTGAGGGCTCTGTTCTGTTCCATTGGTCTATATCTCTGTTTTGGTACCAGTACCATGCTGTTTTGGTTACTGTAGCCTTGTAGTATAGTTTGAAGTCAGGTAGTGTGATGCCTCCAGCTTTGTTCTTTTGGCTTAGGATTGTCTTGGCAATGTGGGCTCTTTTTTGGTTCCATATGAAGTTTAAAGTAGTTTTTTTCCAGTTCTGTGAAGAAAGTCATTGGTAGCTTGATGGGGATGGCATTGAATCTATAAATTACCTTGGGCAGTATGGCCATTTTCACGATATTGATTCTTCCTATCCATGAGCATGGAATGTTCTTCCATCTGTTTTTGTCCTCTTTTATTTTGTTGAGCAGTGGTTTGTAGTTCTCCTTCTCATCTGCAAACAGTGACAATTTGACTTTCTCTTTTCCTAATTGAATACCCTTTATTTCTTTCTCCTGAGTGATTGCCCTGGCCAGAACTTCCAACACTATGTTGAATAGGAGTGGTGAGAGAGGGCATCCCTGTCTTGTGCCAGTTTTCAAACGGAATGCTTCCAGTTTTTGCCCATTCAGTATGATATTGGCTGTGGGTTTGTCATAAGTAGCTCTCATTATTTTGAGATGCATCCCATCTATATGCTTTTTTACTCTTTACATTAGTGTACTATTAATGTCAACTCCAATTCTTAATATAACCTTATTCAGTTTTAATGCCTGACTATAAGGTAAGATTTTCATTAACATTTGGTAACCCTTTACAAATTTTTGTTAAAGAGCATGTCAGTGCTCTTTGAGAAACTTGTTGTGCTTTTATTTTAATGTTCAATTTCAATGAGATAATACCCTTTTAATTTTGTTAATGTTCACACACACAATTTCTTTTACCAGATTAATTTTTCACAAACTTTCCACAACTTGCAGAAACCTCCAGTTTTTTCCTATATAACTTAAAATAATCCTTTAACCCTCCACACTAGGCAAACAAAAATTCACATTCCCATGAAGCACATTTTACTTTCCTTATAAACCTTGCATGTAAAACTGTTTTTATTTCCCAAAGATTGCTTAAGTCATGTGAACTAAAAGGCATTGCACTTTTTACTTTTCTGACAAAATATTTAAGTGCTTATTATTTTAAACAAATTAATAAAACTTTTGCATATATAGACATCACACTCACAACACATGTAAATACACAGACACAAGATCCTGTAGTTGTAAAGTTTTCCATTTGCCAGTTTTTAAATTGGATTACTGGTTTCAGGGTGAAGCCCTTGGAGGAGCAGGGCCAGGAAAGTATGCAGTTTCTATGACTTAATAAGCAGGCATAGCTGGAAGGCTAAGACAGATCCCCCATATTAGGAATCCTATCCTATACCAGGTCTTGGATTCCCAAAAAAAGAAATGCTATGGAACAAGACAGTGCAATAAATTTACTGTGCATTTAATTGCAAAGCAACCCAAAGCCAATCAGCCCATTCTGTGATTAGCCCATCCCCCATGGGGGTGTCAGCTCACGGTGGAGGTGGAGAGTGGGAACATCGCCATACCTTCCAGGTGACCAACAGCATGCTTCTCTGATCCAAACTCCAAGTGCGCAAAGAACCGAATATACCGCCCCCCATAACTGCCATTGGTTGTCTGTCCCCAAAAGTATATTTCCTACATAGTTAGCACACACCAAAGTTCTCTCATAAAGCCAAGCAATTTCTGATACTCCCAAAAGTTAAAAACATCAGATAATGCAATGTGAAACAGAACAGAGCCTTAGATTTTGAGATGAATCTATCCACTTTCAATTCCTGAGGTTTCATGAGGAAAACAGAGGTTTTTCCCAAAACGGGGGTCTATGGCACCTCCTGTTTTTCCCAAGGAGTCCCAAGCTGTTAGAACTTGAATATCTGCTTTTAGTTAAGCTGACTTTTAACCATAGTTCTCTAAAAGTACCTTTAAATCTCTTATTACCCAACTTTAGCCATGCCAAACCCCCAATATTTCTGGCTTTTGCACTTCACCAAAGGTAACTTCCCAGGTGAAACCAATAAGCCTTAAATAAAGGTTATGATGTAACCACGAGTGTACAAGGTATTTTCAAAGGGGTGGTAAGCAGTTTTTACAAGATCTAGAATTTCCAGTGGTGGCTCAGAGAAAGGAAGGTTCAAGAAGGTGAGCCAGAAGACGTACATGGAGCGGAAGAGAGTCAACAAATGGTAAAGGTCACACAGATATCAAACCAGAAAGGACTCATACCCTAAGCCAGGATTAAACCCGGACTGTCATTGTAAAATTGCTCAGCCACAGCATTGGGCAGTTTCCATTGCCCTTCCCTGAAGGAGCCTAGAGCAGTCAATTTTGAGCTTGTAATGGCTTTTAGCTGCTTGAGATAATTTTTAGGGCTATGACATGAACCCCCAATTTCCTGTTTTTTGGATGGCAGAGACCAAGAGAAAGTACTGGCACTTGGTTACAAGGTCAAGCTCCCAAGGGCCTAACTGACGAGTTTGCTGGGCCATCTTGCTCAAGGCACAAGCCATCTTAAGCCTGTGTTCTATCCTAAGATACCCCTTTTTCTAACAGAAAGATGCAGAAAGAGAAATTCATAGCACAAAGTACAACCGATTTGCTACGGCTTAAGACTAGCCTCACTAATTCTTTTTCCAACTAATAACAACTTTACAGAGGCGATAAGCAGTGATTTTTACCATTCCTTCAACTGGTTTGCACAGAGAGGGGAAAGACAAGGGAGAAAATCGTTGTCTTCAGTAGGGTGGGGAAGGTGAGGTGCTCAAGGAGGCCAGAGAAAGACCCATCCATCCCTGTAACACTGAATCAAAAGTTCAGGCAGCCGCTTGTCAATCTCAAAGGTATCTTTTCCAGCAGTCCCAGCAGCTCTCAGTTTTACCCCTTTGGGGAAGAAAAAGCTACCCATGACTTATAATCCTGTGCATGCCTAATCCTGTCATCTATAGCTGTCAGCAAAGAGTGTAAGGCAGATTAATCCAAAGAGAATGGCAGTTAACAGCCCATGGTGCCAAACCCATTCTTAGCCGAGAAGGACTTTACCAAGAGGGGGCCTCTAATGCCCTAAATCTTAGGAAGGACTCTAACTTTCTTAAATTGGGCCTCAAACCCAAGTTTGGTCAAGCATCCTTGCCTGTAATTGAGAGGAGCCTTTAACCCCTTCAGTCATAGAAGAGACTCTAACTCCCCTAAGTTGGGCCTCTAACCCAGTTCCATCCTCTACCTGGGTACCCCACCACTTACTCAACGTCATCCAATCAGCACTGCAGTGTATTTCTTTTGGGTCGGCGGGGGGGTCTCCTCAGTATCACCCCTTCATGGTAGCCAGGAAGATGTTACTGAAAAGGTGCCTTGATCCAGACTCCAAGAGACAGTTCTTGGGTCTCACCCAAGAAAGAATTTGAGGTGAATCCATAGAGTAAAGTGAAACCAAGTTTATTAAGAAAGTAAAGGAGTAAATGAGTGACTACTCCAAGGCAGAGCAGTGGCTTGGGCTGCTTCACTAAGGATACTTCTAGTTATTTCTTGATTATATGCTAAACAAGGGGTGGATTATTCATGAGTTTTCCAGGAAAGGGGTGGGCAATTCCTGGAACTGAGGGTTCCTTCCCTTATTAGACTATATAGGGTAATTTCCTGATGTTGCCATGGCATTTGTAAACTGCCATGGTGCTGGTGGGAGTGTCTTTTAGCATGCTAATGCATTATAATTTGCATATAATGAACAGTGAGGATGACCAGAGGTCACTTTTATCACCATCTTGGTTTGGGCGGGTTTTGGCCAGCTTCTTTATTGCATGCTGTTTTATCAGCAGGGTCTTTATGACCCGTATCTTGTACTGACCTCCTATTTCATTCTGTGACTAAGAATGCCTTAATCTCCTGACAATGCAGCCCAGTAGGTCTCAGACTTATTTTACTCAGCCCCTACTCAAGTTGGAGTCCCTTTGGTTCAAAAGCCTCTGACAGTTTCTAACACCCTGGGAATCCTTAAGTAAAACAGAGGAGGTGCCAGACTCCCTTTTGGAAAAAAAAAAAAAAAAAAAAAAAAAATTCTATTTTTCCTTATGAAACTCCAAGAGTGCAAACACACAAGTTTGTGTCAGATCTTAAACTGCTTGCTTTTGTATTTTGTATTTTGTTACCTGACTTTTTTTAACCTTTGACTAAAATAGTTACTACAACAGAGGCTATTTTGAGGTTTAAATTACGGAAGCATGCAGTTTAGACACTTACAGAAATGTCTTTGTTTAAGAAAAGGTGCACTGTGAAAGTGTCACGTGGTATAACCTCATAATAATTTTCTCTTTTTGAAGACCCAGGATTCATGATCAGAGATCCAGTTAAAAGGTACAGAACAAATTTACACGATGTATCTGAATAAAATTGATCTTCTCATACAATTTTATCATAGATTTCTATGAATTTGTGTTTGATTTGCCATTCATTTTTAATCTCTCTCTAGTACCACCAAACTCTTTCTCTCTGTACTTTGAGTTGTACGTCATTTTGCTATCTGGTTTTTCTCCTAAGAGTTGTTCCTCTAATACGCAAATTTAGGACTATCTAGCTGACAATTGCCTAGGGTAATGAAATCGGTTATCAAGAAATTGGAAGTCTAAAGGAAGAGAAAAAAAAAGAGGTCTTATGAATTTATAAGATCTACTTCTATCAATGTGTCTAATACTTCTGTGTATTTATGTGTCATGTATATGATGTTTCACTACTAAGAATACTAAAAGAACTCTGATTGATTGGCTTTAAAAAGCACTAAAATCAAATGCTTTATCAGATAAACAGAGACTTTAAGACAAATGTTTTTTCAAGTTCATGTGAGTTAAGTAAATCTCTAACAAATAAGCTGGTTTGTACAATGTTGGTGAAATAGAATTAGAAATGGCTTTAGAATTGCCAACATACATAATCGTTTAAATTTACTTTTCAAGTGGTTTTATGTTTATCTCTGCTTGATGTCAAAATATGTCATGAGGGTTATACAGCTGTAAATGCAGTTCAAAAAAGAATTATCGTTGCTTATATAGAATTTGATAAATAAGGCATTTAATATTTTTTGTTTAATGAAAACAGCTAAATCCTGAGTGATTGGCAAAAAAACAACCCTATTAATGTAACCTCAAGGTTTATACTTGGAAAAACCTGAAATTCACAAGTTATAAAATGTGTAAACAAAAAAATAACTTAAAATAATAACTATCAGAGTTTTCATAAGTAATCTAGGTAAACTATTAAAAAATTAATCAACTGGGTAAATTTAATGGAATAAATGCTTGTAAATAATCTTGCCATATGATTTAAAATCTAAAGTTATATTAACTTAAATAATACATGTTTATTAAATGTCTGGGTTACTTTCCATTTTACAAGTTATATTATAGAAAAACATTAAAAAAATAAATGTGTTCTTATTTAAAAGAAAATAAATGTTGTCTAAAGGTCATTTTAAAAGGTATTTATAAAACAAGGTAAAGGTAATCAGTAAATAAGAGCAATGTAAAGAATATATATATTTATATATGTATATTAATAAATACAAAAAGGTATTTTTGAAAAGAAAGGTTAAAAGAAAATAATTTTATACGAGAAAGAATCTTTTTCTTTATTTCAATAGGTTTTGGGGGAATAGGTGGTGTTTGGGTACATCTATAAGCTCTTTAGTGATGATTTCTGAGATTTTGGTGCAACCATCACCTAAGCAGAGTACACTGTATCCAGTGGGTAGTCTTTTATCATTCACCCCCTCCCACCCTTTTCCCCAAGTCCCAAAAGTTCACAGTATTACGTTTATGCCTTTGAGTCCTCATAGCTTAGCTCCAACTTATGAGTGAGAACATAAGATGTTTAGTTTTTCATCACAGAGTTACTTCACTTAGAATAATGATCTCCAAATCCATCCAGGTTGCTGTGAATGAAATTATTTCATTCCTTTTTATGGCTGAGTAGTATTCCATGGCATACGCATATATAGATATGTAATATTTTCTTTATCCACTCATTTATTGATGGGCATTTGGGCTGGTTCAATATTTTTGCACTTGCGAATTGTGTGATGTTTCAGGCTTCAGGACAGTAGGGAAAGTGTCCCTGTGTAGAAACCGGTTGTGGCTAAAGCAGTTGGGTAATTTTGCAACACCCAATGTTGGGCAGTTGTCTCAGCCTTGACAGAAGTGGCTAGAGAAGCTCTCAGAGAGTTCCACTGAGGTCTTAACATGGGGAGGAGTTGGAGCCACCTGAGTCTCCTGCCAGGACAGCAGAAAAGCTATCCACCTCTCAGTCACTCTCCTGTCCCAGTGCTCAAGTTATTCAAATTAGAGAGGCACCATTTTTTTTCATATGCAGGAATGTTGATATTTCAAGTAGAGAGGAATTGTGGCTCTGTCTGTCATGCAAGCCTGAACCTGTAAAGTGTTCCTTCTTCAGGAATGGAGTCACCCTGAATGTCATGTCCTCTTCTTCAAGACCTTCATATGCACCAGGGCTGTTTGACTGTTGGGTTGTAGCTGCAGACTTTCCTCTCTGAGCCCAGCACTAAAACTGCGCCTCTGCTGAAAGAAACTTCCCACCAGTGGAAGGACCTGCCACTCAAGGCCTGCTCTCCAGATTCTTTTGTCTCATGGGGTGTTCCCTTGATGTGGTGCACTCTCCCTTCCCTTCCCGTAGGAGTGGGAGTCACTGAAAGCCAGACTATTGTGAGTGTTGTTGCTCTTCTGGGTCTAGCCACCCAGTGAAGTTGCCACACTTCAGCCTGCTACTGGGCCATGTGTGCGAGGGGTTCGGTGATGTGATCTGTCCTCAAGTTTCCCAGCGGTGGGTAGCAGCACCAGCTCTAATGGGAGTGGCAGGTGACTGATGTAGACTATGTGAGATTTTTTAGTTAACGATACCCTTAGTGTGTTGGCTTTCTCAAATGCCATTTACAGTAGTAATGAACTGGTCATGTGGACAAACTCAGGACCTTCTGCTTAGGCATAGTGGTGCAGGCAGTGGTGATAGTTGAGGTTGTGCAGCCATTTTCTTCTTCTTAGGTGCAGTGTTATTCTACCAGGAGATGCTTAATGGACTGTGTTTCTTGGCCTCCAGCAAGAAAGTGGCACTTTCAAAGGAGTATCAGCTCTGGTAGTAACCGTGGGGGTTTCTGCTTGCCTTATGTTGCCCAAAGGGTGTGCTCTGGTTTCTCAGGCAATGGGCGGGACCATATAGTATTTATTAATTTTCATATAGCACTTATTGGACTATGTTTCTGTCCTTTGTGTTAAGCCACCAGGGCAGGTGGTGGGGCAAGGGCAGGTGGGAGCTTGGTCAGTCAGATCTTTTCTCTGACTCACCGTGTTCAGGGCAAGGAGGCACCTCTGTCGGTGTCAGGGAATGGGGGTGATTCTCAAGCCCCTGGTTTTTACAGAGGGGATTGTTGTTGCCTCTGCCGCATAGAAGGGCTCATGCAGGAAGTGGGGAGTAGCAGGTGGCAGTAAGCCCCACACAGATCCCACGCACTTGGTGAGGCAGATCCACCCCTGCAGTGTTCCACTGGTAGCAGTGAGCTAAGTTCCAGGAAGCCTGCACTCAGAACTAACAACTGCCCCAGGTTGTAAGCTTTCCCCATGGGGATAACAACCATGGCTTTTAGGCCATGCCCCTCCCTGTCTGCTCACAAAGCCAGGCACCTCATTCCTGCACTTCTGGCTGCAGCTCACTTTTCACTTACCCCCATCCTGGCGCTGGCCAAAGGAGTTTGTCTCCATCCAAGGATATACCATGAAACACGGTCAGGGGCTTCTTTCAGCCTACAACCACTGCCTGAACTATTTGGCTGACCTTTGCAGGGTCCCCTGTGAGAAACAATAAAGACTGGCTTCTTTCAGTCTGCTCTGGAGATTGGGAGTGCACGCCAGGGTCTTCCTGCTGCTGCTCCTACTTTTATATTCCATGACCTTCTCCAATTTGGTTCCTGCACTGAGTAGGGTTAAGGCTTCCCACTGCGGCCTGGATTTTCAGGCTCCCTGGGAGGGGTGTGTATCCCAGAGGCAGTTTCTTCCCCTCTCACACACTGAGGACCCACACTTGACTCGTGGTGTAGGCTGCAACCTGCCACTTCCTTCAAAGGGTCTGTGGATTCCTTCCATTTTCCTGTTCAGTTCCTGCATTGCTTCATGAAAAATAGTTCACAGTGTGAACCTCTGCACACTATTTTGTCCTTCCAAGAGGGAGAGATATGCTAGCAATGCCTCTAATCCACCATGTTAAAAAAAAAAAAAAGTATGGTCTTTTTAATTATATCGATTCTTCCAATCCATGACCATGAGATGTTTTTCCATGGGTGTCTTGTGATTCTTTATGTAGAGATCTTTCACCTCCCTTGTTAAATGTATTTCTAGCTACTTTACTTATTTTGTAATCGATGTAAATGGGATTGCCTTATTGATTTCGTCCTCAGCTTCCTTGTTATTGGTGCTTAGAAATGCTACTGATTTTTGTATTTTGATTTGTGTCCTGAGACCCTGAAGAATTCATTTAACAAATCTAGAGTCTTTTTGGGGAATCTTTAGGGTGTTTTGGTATAAAATCATATCATCAGTAAACAGAAAGAATTTGACTTCCACTTTTCCAACTTGGAACTCCTTTATTTCCTCATTTTGCCTGACCGATCTGGCTAAGACTTCCACCAGTATGTTGAATAGGAGTAGTGAAAGTGGACATCCTTATATTGTTCCAGTTTCTAATGAAAATGCCTTCAACATTTTCCTATTCAAGGTGATGTCAACTGTTGATTTGTCATATACGTCCGTTATTATTTTGAGGTATGTTTCTTCAATGCCTAGATTGCTGAGAGTTTTTATCATGAAGAAATGTTGAAATTTGTCAAATAATTTTTCTCCATCTATTGAGATAATCACATGGTTTGTGCCCTTGATATATATTTATGTACTGTATCACATTTATTGACTTGCATATGTTGAAACATCCTTGTATCCCAGTAATAAAATTCACTTGGTCATGGTGTCTTATCTTTTTGATGTGCTGTTACATTTTATTTGCTAGTATTTTGCTGGTGATTTTTGCATCAGTGCTCATCAGGAATTATGGTATGCACTTCTCATTTATTTTGGTAGTGTTCTTATCTGGCTTTAGTATCAGGGTAGTACCGGCTTCACAGAATGAGTTAGGAAGAATTCCATGCTTCTCTATTTTTGACATGTTACAGAATGATTGGTATCTGTTCTTTGTGCATTTGCTAGAATTGAGCTGTGAATCATTCTGATTCTGGGCATTTTTGTTGCTATTGTTGGGAGATTATTATTACTGGTTCAGTCTCACTACGCAATATTGGGCTGTTCAGGATTTCTTGTTCTCCTTGGTTCAATCTTGAGAGGTTCAATTTTTTTCCCCCAGGAATTTATACATTTCTTCTCTGTTTTCTAGTGAGAGGAGTTAACTAGCTTGCCTTAGGTAGACAGCAAGGGAAGGGTCCCTGGAGAGCCCCTGACCCACGGGTCAGTGCCTCATCCCCATATAACACAAAAAGCTGCCTGGGGGAAAAAAAAATAAGCTGCTGGCACTGATAAGGGAACTAGCACAGGGGGTTGTGCCTGGAGACATGCCCGTGGCTGCATGGATAGGAGAACCTCCAGCCCATTCAGACAAAAACTTGCACAAACCCCTGGCTCACTCAGATAAGGGAACAAGGCCCAACATAGAAATGCCTTTGTCCTATGTATAATCAACAGGCTCCAAGGAAAAAGTTTCCTCTCCTTTTGTGGGCATGAACATGGTGTGCTTCGTTGGGTTCAAGTGGGCACTTTCCTTTCATTTTTGGACTGTGATCCCAGCCTCTATGAATCATCACTTCAGCCCCTGATTGGTCCCGGGCCAAACTTTCACTTCAGCTCCTGATAGGTCCCAGGCCAAGCTGACTAGCCTCTATGAATCATCAACTCCTGATTGGTCCCGGGCCAAGGTCCTGGGCCAAGCTGAATCATGCTTTCTCCAAGACAGCCCACAGACTAAGCACATTTCTTTCCCCTTTCCAGTCCATAAAATCCCCAGACCCCAGCCTCATAGTGGGCAACCCATTCGGGCTCCCCTCTCTGCTGCAGAGAGCTTTCTTCTTTCACTTATTAAACTTTCATTCCAACCTCACCCTTGTGTCCCCGCTTCTTAGTCACCTTGGACATGAGACAAAGAACTCCAGGTATTATCTCAGACAATGAGAGACTGTTACATCTTGGTGAACTGGCGAGACTACAACACCAGTTTATGAGTACATAGTTGTTCACAGTAGTCTTTGAGGATCTTTTGTATTTCTGTGGTATCAGTTGTAATGTCTCCTTTTTTATTTCTGATTTGGTTTATGTGGATCTTCTATTTTGGTTTGTCTAGCTAGTGGTTGGCACATTTGGTTCATCTTTTTGAAGATTTGACTTTTCGTTTTATTAATCTTTTGTATTGTTTTCTGATCTCTATTTCATTCAGTTGTGCTTTGATCTTTGTTATTTCTTTTCCTCTGTTAACTATGATTTGGGTTTGTCCTTGTTTTGTTTTAGTCACTTGATTTATAATGCTATGTTTACTTGTGATCTTTCTACCTTTTTATTTTTTAAAATAAGTTCAGGGGGTCATGTGCAGGTTTGCTACATGGGTATATTGTATGATACTGAGATTTGGGTTTTTATTGCTCCCGTCACCCAAGTAGTGACCATAATACCCACTAGGTAGTTTTTAAACCCTTGCTCGCTTCTCTCCTTTCCCCCATTTGGAGTCCCCAGTGTCTGTTGTTCCCATCTTTATGCCCATGTGTACCCAGTGTTTACATGCTCCTTATAAGTGGGAATATGTGGTATTTGGTTTTTTGTTTCTGCATTAGTTCACTTAGGATAGTGGCCTCCAGCTGCAGGCATGTTGCAGCAAAGGACATGATTTTATTTTTTCAATGGCTGTGTAGTATTCCACAGTGTATATACACCACATTTTCTTTATCCAATCTACCACTGATGAACACATAAGTTGATTTCATGTCTTCGCTATGTCAACACTATATGAGTAGTCTGGCAATAAACATATGAGTGCATGTGTCTGTTTGGTAGAACGATTTATTTTCCTTTGAGTATGTATGCTGTAGTGGGATTGCTGGGTTGAAGGGTTGTTCCACTTTTAGCCCTTGGAGAAATATGAAAACTGCTTTCCACAGTGACTGAACTAATTCACATTCCCACCAACAGTGTATGAGCATTCCCTTTTCTTCATAGGCTCACCAACATCTGCTATTTTTTCACTTTTCAGTAATAGCCATTTTCACTGGTTTGAAAGGATGTCTCAGTATGGTTTTGATTTTCATTTCTCTGATGATTAGTGATGCTGAGCATTTTTTCATGTCTGTTGACTGCTTTTATGTCTTTTTTGAGAAGTGTCTGCTCATGTCTGCTGCCCACATTTTATGAGATCATGTGTTATTTTCTTACTGGTTTGATTAATTTCCTTATAGATTCTAGATATTAGTCCTTTGTGGGATCCATAGTCTTTTAATATTTTCTTGTATTCTGCAGGTTATTTTAAAAATCTAGTCATAGTTTGTTTTGCTCTGAATATGCTCTTTAGTTTAATTAGGTCCAAATTGTCATTTTTTGCTTTTGTTACCTTGGCTTTTTAGAACATAATTATAAATTCTTGGCCTAAACCACTGCCCAGAGCAGTGTTTCCTAGGTTTTTTTTTTTTTTCATATATAATTTGATATCTTACATTTAGGTCTTTAATCCATCTTGAGTTAATTTCTATATATAGTGAGAGGTAGGCATCCAGTTTCTTTCTTCTGCATATGGTTAGCCAGTTTTTCCAGCATCATTCATGGAATAGTGTGTCTTTTCTCCGTTGTTAATTTTTGTTGACTTTTTCAAAGATCAGTTGGTTGTACATTTGCAGCTTCATTTTTGGGTTCTCTATTCTGTTCCATTTGTGTACGTGTCTGTTTTTGTACCGGTGTCATGCTACTTTGATTAGTGTAGCCTTGTAGTACAGTGTAAAGTTGGGCAGTGTGATGCCTCTGGCTTTGTTTTGTTTTGTTTTGTTGCTTAGCCTCACCTTATGTAATCATGCTCATTTTTTGTTCCATATAAATTTTAGAATAGTTCTTGTCTAATTCTGTAAAAAATGACCTTGGTAACTTTGATAATAATAGCATCGACTCTGTAGGTTGCATTGGGCAAAATGGACATTTTAGCAATATTGATTCTTCCGATCCATGTGCATTTAAGGTTTTTCCATTTGTTTTTGCTGTCTCTGGTTTCTTTCAACAGTGTTTTTTTAGTTCTCCTTGCAGAGATTTTTCACCTCCTTGGTTAGGTGTATTCCTAGGTATTTTATTTTTTTCTGACTAATGCAAATGGTATGTTGTGTCTCCATTTTCATTTATTTCAAATAATTTTTAGATTTTTGTTTACTTTCCTTATTTACCCCAAAGTCTTTCAGAAGCAAGTTGTTTAGTTTCCAAGTATTTGCATGGTTTTGAGTTCCTCTTGGAATTGATTTCTATTTTTATTTCACTGTGGTTAATAAGATGCTTGGTATGATTTCAATTTTTCTTGATTCACTGAGACTTGCCTTATGGCCAAGCATGTGGTGAAGGCATGAGTACCCTTCTTGTGCAGATGAGAAAAACGTGTATTCTATTATTGTAGAGTGGAGTATTCTATAGATGTTTTAGGTCTAGTTGGTCAAATGTCAAATTTAAGTTTAGAAATACTGTTGGCTTCTTTTCTGCCCTGACGTATCTATTGCTGTCAGTGGGGTTATCATTGTTTGGTTGTCTACATCATTTCATAGGTCTATTCGTAATTGTTCTATAAATCTGTGTACTCCAATATTGAATACGTATATATTTAAGTTAGTTATTTATTCTTGTAGTATTAAACAAACCCGTTATTATTAAGTAATGATTTTCTTTGTCCTTTTTAATGTTGCTGGCCTAAATTCTGTTCTATCTGACACAAGAATAGTGACCCCTGCTCTTTCTTGTTTTTCATTTGCAGGTAAATCTTACTCCATCTCTTTCCTTTGAGCCTGTAGGTGTCGTTACATGAGAGATGGGTCCCTTGAAGGAAGCAGATGGTTGGGTGTTCTTTTTTAAATTATATTTGTCAATCTATGTATTTTATGTAGAGCATTAAGTTCATTTACATTTAAGGTTAATATTGACATTCGAGGTTCTGTTCCTGTCATAGTAGTATTCACTTTGTATTCTCAATTGTGTAATTGCTTTATGAGATCTGTGAATTTGTACTTATGTGTTGTTGTCTGGTAGCAAGTAATGTCCTTTCCATGTTTAGAACTCCTCGGAGCATTTTTGTAATCCCAGTCTGGTGCTGAATAATGTTCTTAGCATTTGCCTGTCTAGGATAGACTTTATTTCTCCTTCATTTATGAAGCTTAGTTTGTCAAGTTATAAAATTATTGGCTGGCTTTTTTTTTTTCCTTTAAGAAGGCTAGAATTGGGCTCCCTATCTCTTCTTACTTGTAAGGTTTCTCTGAGAAGTCTACTATTTATCCGATGGAATTCCCTTTACAGGTAATTTGACCCTTTTTCTCTAGCTGCTTTAAGATTTTTTCTTCCACATTGACCTTGTAAAGTCTGATGACTATATGCCTTGGTGATAGTCATCTTGGCATTGTATCTTGCAGGTGTTCTTTCAGTTCCTTCTATCTGGATGTCAACCTGTTTAACAAGATTAGAGAAAATTTCCTAAATTATTCCCTCAGCTGTGTTTTCCAAGTTACTTACTTTTTCTCCTTTGCTCTCAGTAATGCCAATAAGTCATAGGTTTGGTCGTTTTACATAGTTTCATATTTGAAACTTGAAGACTTTGTTCATTGTTTTAAACATGTTTTCTTTATTTTTTTATCTGACTGAGTTAATTCAAAAGGGCGTTTTTCAAAGTCAAATAATTTTTTTCTGCTGTGTGTAGTCTATTATTAAAGCTTCCAAATGTATTCTGAATATATTTTGAAATTTCTATAGTGAGATGTTTAATTCTAGGATTTCCATTTTATTTTTAAAAATATAACTATTTTGTCTTTCTTACCTTGTGTTGTTTTTCTGATTTCTTTGTGTTGGATTTAAATTTTCTATTGGATCTTGTTGAGTTTTCTTGCAGTCTATATTTTAAATACTTTATCTGTCATTTCAGACTTTTCATTTTGGTTAGGATTCATTATTAGACAACTAGCGTGACCTTTGGAACTTGTCAAGACACGGTCTTTTGGTACTGCCAGCATTCTTGTTCCAATTTCTTCTCTTCTGAGGGAACTGCCACTTCTTGTTTTTGAATTTGCTATTATTTAGATGGTAATTTTGTTTTTTTTTCTTAATTCTTTTTTCCCTCGAGTGTATGACTGGTGTATGTTGTGTATAATAGTTTGGCTTTATTCTGAGCGCTTTCAGGGGGCCAACGGTCTGTGTGTGTTTCTTGGTTATGTATAGCTTCTGCAGGATGGTTTTCTTAGATGTCACTTCTTATCGTGATAGATCAGACATATGGGCCAACACATTATCTCTTGCAGGGCTGAGAGTGCAGAGGTCCCAGGAAGCCTCGTGCACTAGCACTAAGCCCTTCTGACAGCAAGCTTTTAATTTGGTGGTGCAGTTTAGGCTCTAGTCCGCTAGGTGGCACTTAAAAGTAAAAGCTAACTCACCCTCAGGTAGGCTGATGATGACTGGAAGCTTCTGTCCTGATAGTGTGGTGGTGGGGGGAGATCATGTGGGGGTGTACAGAAGTCTTAGGGGAAGGGATGTGCACCAGCTTCTCATCAATAGAAGGAAGGAATGCTATCTGCTTTCCTATCACACCCCGGTCACAGGGCTCATGACCTTCAACTTGTATAAACTTTGTCCTTTGATTCTTGGCCTCAGTGTGGCTGTGGACTGAAGGACATGCTTCTGTGGCAGCTGCCACCAAAATGGGCTCAGGGCAGAGCCTCTCTCACCAGTCCTGAGCAGGCAGCTCTGCAGCTTGTCTGGCCTCTGTTGCTGGGAAGCTGTAGTTCTGTGTAGTGAGGGGCAGTTGGGCCCCACCTTCTTGCAAGTGCAAGCAGCAGAGGCTCCCTTCCAACAAGAATGAAGCTGCTATTAAAAGTATGAGAAGTGCTTTCTCCTGGTGCATACATGCTGGCCCCTAGTGGGGAGAACCTGTGCTGCACCCACAACAGTAGACAGGGAATTGGAAGATGACCTTCTCTCTATGACGGTTCCTGGCAGCTGGTGATGCCCCTTCAGTAATTGACACCATGCCCATACTTCCTTTGTCCCAAGGTGGGCTATGATGGACCCTGTCCCCCTTCTCTCAGGGGCTGCTCACTCCACAGGATAGATTGTCAGGGGTCACACAGCTTCCTGGGGACTGGCCAGCCAGAGAAGGTTGTGGGGTGTGTTTGTGGGAAATCTGGTGGTGTGGTGAATCAAGAGCAGAGATTTCCCAGGAAGGGAAGTGGCCTACCATGGGTGCACAACCAATATGGTGCCCTTCATCTCGTTTAAGGCCTGAAGGAAGAGCAAGCACACCTGTGCCAGCTGGCCATCCAGTTTTCTGTCCCTGGGAAGTTCTCAAGTCACCCAAAACAGAATTGTCCTTGGTCACAAGGGCAGAGGGGCTTCCCAACAGTTTGGCATTCAGCAGGTTGCTGAAGGGGTGATGAGATTAGACAAGCACTCCCACCCGTTCTTTCCGTGGGGCTCCAAGTTCCTCAAGGGTCATTCCCTGCCAAACTCTTGCTGCTCTATTTTTCTGTATTCCAGCTTCTGCCCATGTGCGCTCCAACAGGTCCTGGCTCTCTTCCATCAGTTTTTCATACAGATCATGTCCATTTTCCAGCACCTGTAGTCTTCTTACTGGGGAAAACTGGCATTCAATGTTCCCAGTCAGCCATCTTGAAAATCCACCCTCCCCTGTTATTACACTGATTTATTCACATCTGAATAAACAGTTACATCTTATTTTTTAATTTACTTTTGTTGTGGTAGGACCTGTTTTTTGTTGTTGTTGTGGTTGTTGTTGTTGTTTTCTTTTGAGGATGCGACTATGATGTATGCTGAACAAGTCTGTTTGGCTTTGTTTCTGTGTGCATTCAGTGGCAAAGACACTATGTTTTCCATGGTTATAAATAGTTTTAGTGTGGAGTTTTCTCAAATGCCAGTTGTAATAGTGGTGTACCAGGATGGTGAGCAGGCTCATGCCCTCTTGGGTAGCTTGGATTGCATGAGCAATCATGGTAGCAGAGGTTGCGAGAAGCTCGTCTTGTTCCTAAGTGCTGTGCGCAGGTGTCAGCTGATGTGGTGATGGGATGTGCAAGTTGACCTTCAGACCAGCAGGTGTCACTTGCAGGTAAAAGCCAACTTCAGTGGAGGTGGTATGCTTTATGCTTGACCTTTGTAAGCCCTGAGAAGTGCACCCATGTCCCAGTTGGTCAGTTGGGCCCTGGAGCAAACAAGAGCCTGGGTTTCACCCGCTGTCATGGAGGGGATTGGCAAAGCTGAGTGATGCCAGAATGAGAAAGCCTGCACTAAGTCTTTCCAATGACAGGCACAAGCAACAGCTTTGACAGGGGTGGCAAGGGAGTCTTCGGCCTCCTGGTAAAATGCTTGAGCAATGAGCAATCACTGAGGTGTCTGTATGGGGAGGTAGGAGAGGTGCCAGTGCCATAGTCATGGCAGGAAGGAAAGGGATCAGCCTTCCCCTCACGCCCGTCTTAGAATTTGGGGTACTCATATAGGTTAGGAACTACAGTTTGCTTTTAAGCACCAATGTAGCCCGCGAACACAGGAGAAATCAGCCCAGCCGCTCCACACTAAACCCCTGTGGTGGCTGGAAGTGGATGTAGTGTGAAGTCTCCCTCCATGGCTCCAAACACAGCTCTTGGGCTCTCCTGCTCTCTGTAGCAGCAGTACTGCATCTCTGCACAGAGAGAGGGCGGGAACCCACTGTTTACACAAGCCTGGCCATTGGGGTCACAGTTGCCCCTCACAGCCCCAGATGGAATGCCATACAGTACATCTGCCCCAGCCTCCTGGGACAGCAGCAGTGCTTGTGGTTTCAACAGTGTGCATGGGGAAGAAGGGTCTCCTCTAGGCCTGGTTATGACACTAAGGCTGCTCATCTGATGAAAGGGGATTTCACTGTTTGCTTGGAGAGCCAAGCACAAATTTTGTGCCACTGCTAAAAATGAAGTCACTTTTCACAGCCCCAGTCAGGAAGCTTTTGGGCCCTGGAAAGCATGCACTTTGGTTTCCTTTCTCTCAGGGGTTGCCTTTTTGGTGTACTGCACTCTTATTTCTCCTAGGAGTAGCATTCCCTGAAGGTTAGGTTACTGGGGACCCTGCAGCTCCTTTGGGTCCAGCCAGCACTCTGCCACTGCAGCCCTTTGAGCAGGACTGGAGAATGTGAGCAGGAGCTCCTGGGTTTTGGATACACAAGGACTGTGGTTCCCAGAAGAGGATACAGTTCCCTTACGGATGCACCTTCAACAGTAGCACAGCATAGCACCTGCTTGGGTCTGGGGAAATGGTAAATAATAACCCAGTGTGAATCCACAGTCCAGTGCACTGCCCTCAGGGGTCTCCAAATTGCGGTCCATGCTATTTTCAGGATTTGGGAGGACAGAGGAGCTTTCCCACTGTAAGGATCTTGGCAGTTCACAGCAAGAATGAGGACTATCAAAATACTTCAACTTACCCTTTCCCTGAACACTGAGTTCCTCTGGACTCCTAACCAATGTCAGCTGCATTGGCCTCTAGCTTTCTTTTCTTTTCTTTTCTTTCCTTTTCTTTCTTTTTTTTTTTCTTCTGTGGCTTAGGGTTTTGTTTTTCATAAATTATATTTTGAATTCTAGTATTCTCTCTTTGATATTCTATTAGAGGTATGATTATCTATTCATAATTTAGGTTCTTCTTTCTAGGGAGAACTTGCATCTGTCATCTCTAGTCAGCCATCTTAAACTTCCTTGTTTCCATCTTAATGTTTTTATCTACCCAACAGTCATTTAGGAGCATCTTGTTTAATTTTCACGTATTTGTATAGTCTCCAGGGTTTCTCTGGGTATTGATTTCTAGTTTTGTTTCATGGTTACCTTAAAATACACTTGCTATGATTTAAAACATTGTTCATACTCTTTTGGTGGCCTCACATGTGGTCTATCATAAAGAATGTTCTGTGTGCTGATAAAAAGAATGTATGGGCCGGGCACGGTCGCTCATGCCTGTAATCCCAGCGCTTTGGGAGGCCGAGCCAGGTGGATCACCCGAGGTCAGGAGTCTGAGACCAGCCTCGCCAACATGGTGAAACTCCGTCTCTACTAAAAATACAAGAATTAGCCGGGCGTGGTGGTGGGTGCTTGTAATCTCAGCTACGTGGGAGGCTGAGGCAAGAGAATCGCTTGGACCTGAAGGCAGAGATTGCAGTGAGCCAAGATCACGCCATTGTACTCCAGCCTGGGGGACAAGAGCGAAAACTTGGTAAAAAAAAGAAAAAAAAAAAAAGAAAAAAGAAAAAGGAAAAAAAAAAAAAACAGAATGTATGCTCTGCAGTTGTTGGATAGAATGTTGTGTAAATGTCTTTCAGGTCTACTTGGTCTAACATTCCCTTTAAATCTAATGTTTCTTTTTTGATTTTCTGTCTAGATGATCCGTCTAATGCCGAGAATGGGGTGTCAAAGTCCCCTGCTGTTATTATAATTTAGTCATCTCTCTCCTTGGGTCTAGTAATAATTGCTTTATAAATCTGGGTGCTACAGTGTTGGGTACATGTATATTTAGAATTTTTGTATACTCTTGCTGGATTGATTTCTTTATTATTATATAATGACCATCTGTTTCTTATTGTTCTTGACTTAAAGTGTGTTTTATCTGATATGAGTATAGCCACTACTGCTTACTTTTGGTTTTCTTTTATGTGGAATCTTTTTTCCATTTCTTTACTTTCATCCTAGATGTGTCTTTACTGGTAAGGTAAGTTTCTCGTAACCAACATGTAGTTAGATTATGTTTGTTTTTATCCATTTATCCAAGCTATATCTTTTAAGAAAATAATTTAAGCCATTTGCGTTCAAGGTTATTATTGATATGTTAGTCTTTATTTCTGTTATATTATTCATTGCTTTCTGGTTGTCTTATCTATTATTTGTTTCTTTTTTCTCTTATAGTTTGTCATTGTGAATTGGTGAAGTTTGGCAGTGGTATGATTTGGGCCTTTTCTCTTTTGTGTGATAGTTTTACCAATGAGTTTTGTACTTTCCTGTGTTTTTATAATGGTAAATGTTGTGCTTTCACCTCCAGGCTTAGGACTCCCTTGAGCACTTTTTTCTAGGGCTGGTCTAATGGTACTTAATTCCCTCAGCATTTCTTTGTGTGGGAGTGACTTTATCCTTCATCTGTGAAGGATAATTTTCTTGGGTGTCATATTCTTTAGTGGGAGATTATTTTTTATTTCAGCACTTTGGATATATTATCCTATTCTGTCTTGGTCTATGAGGTTTCTGCTTAGAAATTTTCTGCTTATTTTTCTTCTCTTTATTTTTTTGAAATTTTCTTTATAGAGGACTAGATGCTTTTCCCTTGCTTTTTCATGTTTCCTGTGTCCTTCCATTGATGTCTGTACATCTCTATATTTTCTTCAATGAGTCATTCTCTTGCTTTATAGGAGACTAGAATTTCCTCTTTAACTATGACTTGAGACAGTCTGATTATAATGGGCTGTGTATAGTTTTGCATTGTATCCACCTAAGGATCATTAAGACTCCTGTATCTGAATCTCTAATCTCTTGCTAGACTTGAAAAGTTTTCATCTATTGTTTTGTTAGTAGATTTTCTAATCCTTTCTTTGATTTTTACCTTCAGGGATACCAATACTTTATAAACTCGGTCACTGTATGTTTTCCTAAATGTCACCAAGGGTTTGACCATTCATTTTAATTCTTTTTAAAATGTTTGCCTGACTGGAATATTTTATAATACCTGTCTTCAAGTTGTGTGATTCTTCTTTCTACTTGATCTAGTCTATTCTTGAAGCTTTTTTATTTATTTATTTATTCATTCATTCATTCATTCATTCATTTTTCGAGACAGAGTTTCGCTCCTGTTGCCCAGGCTGGAGTGCAATGGTGCGATCCCGGCTCACTGCAACCTCCGCCTCCCGGGTTCAAGCGATTCTCCTGCCTCAGCCTCCCGAGTAGCTGGGATTAGAGGCATGTGCCACCACGCCTGGCTAATTTTGTATTTTTAGTAGGGATGGGGTTTCTCCATGTTGTTCAGGCTGGTCTCGAACTCCCGACCTCAGGTGATCTGCCAGCCTCGGCCTCCCAAAGTGCTGGGATTACAGGCGTGAGCCACCGCGCCCGGCCTCTTGAAGCTTTTAAATGTATTTTGTCTTTTCTTCAATGAGTTATTCAGTTTCAGAATTTTTATTAGGGTCTTAAAAAATACCTTTCTCTTTATAAGTTTCTCATTCATATACTAAATTGGTTTTTTTGATTTCTTCATATTATTTTCAGAATTCTCTTGACTCTCACCGAACTTCTTCAAAATTAATATTTTGACTTCTTGACTTTGGGGTTCAAAAAATTCTTTTTTAATCAAAATCCTTCCCTGGAGCATTATTGTGTTTATTAAATATGCCATGTTTTCTTGCTTTTTCATGTTTTCTGTGGCCTTCCATTGACATCTGTACATCTGGTGTAACAGTCACTCCTTTCTATTTTTTTAATTTACTTTTGATGAGGAGGAATTTTTGAAGATGCATCTATGGTTTTTGGCTGGATTGGCTACTTTGGCTTTGCTCCTGGGGGCATACAGTAGTGTAGTCTCTTTATGATCAATTTGGCCGTAAACAGCATTAGTGGTATCTGTGATTTCCTCAGTGGGTTAGGGCACGTTTGTTTATGGAGGCTGTGATGGTATTGTGCTGGGGACTTGAATGCCAGTTGGGCCAGTCTTCCGGCCCCAGTGTAGACAGTGGTGGGCTTAGCATGCCTATCTTGTGCCCCAGGGTGGTGCACACTGGCACCTGTGCTGGCAGTTACTAATGGGTTGATTTTTGGAGCTCCAGATGGCTTGCTAGGATTCCTGTCGTGGCAGTGGTGGACGAGATTGTTGGGTGAGTTCTCCGTCCTATGGGCAACTGGTGTTGCATGGGGAATGGGAGTAGCAATGGCAGGAAGATTCTCTGGGTCTCACGTGGTGTGCATTGATGTTGGCACTGGCTGCAATGTTCTGGGTGGGCAAGTCTCCAGGCCCGCGGGTGGTTCTTACAGATAGTTTCCAGGTGAGGTGGTAGCAGCGTGAAGTTTACGCCCAATCTCAGGACCCTTGGAGGAATGCTCACGTGCCCAAGGTGGTGGTTTGGCTTGTGCAATACTCAGGTCTCTAGATTATGTGATCTGTCTTGGAATGGGGAGCAAACTCGGCTGGACAGTCTTGTGCTCAGGCCCCCTATTTTGAGAGTACTCACCAGCCACGGTGGGCAGGGGGTAAGGGTATTTCTCATGCCCCAGGGAGAGTCATTGGGTGAGGGTGGTGGCCTCTGTGTTGGGGATAATGCCCAGAGATGATGGGCTACCCTCGGTAGTCACAGCCTGGGCCATGGTGTGGAGAATGCATGTTCTCCCCTTCACAGCTCAGTCCCAGTGAGACTCAACTTCTTGCCCAGACTGCAGGAGCCCACACTCAGCTCATGATCAAGTCCCAGTGGCAACTCATGCCCTCTTCATGACTTCATTTTAGGTCCTGGCAGTGCAATACTCATTTTATGGCACTGGCTGCTACCATCCAGGCCTCATGCACTTCTTAGCCCCAGCTAAAGGGGTAGTGCTAGCTCCCTGCCCAGTCCCAGCTGTGGCAGCCTGAGTTTCCGGAACGTCTAGTCCTGGTGCCTCTGGGTCTCAGAAAAGCATGCAGTTTGCTGGAGGCTAGTTTTGAAAATGGCACCTTTCTATCAACTTAGATCTCAGAAAGGGTGTCAGCATGAACTCCCTCCCTGGAGCAGTTCTGTCCCCACAGTCTCCTGGCAACTTTCTCTGTTAGTTTCCAGGTTCGAGAAGGTTAAGCATTTTTCAAGTGGCCAGGATTGCACACTTCTATGGTGGGGTCATGGGACACTGGCAGTCTCTTACTCATCCCTCCCCTGCACTGGGGAGTCAGTACTGGCTCTTGGCCAATCCTGGCCAGGGAGGCTGCCTCTCCTCCTTCTCCTTTCCTGTTTTTAGTGCCCCCTGTCACTTCTATGTTGAATTCCAGCATTTTCTCTAGGAAGTGTTACTGTCTATGCACTACTCTGGTTCATCCAAGTGAAAGAGGTAGGCATAAAATATTTCTAGTCAGTCATCTTGAAACCCCCTTTTGTTTCAAAAAATTTAGATCAATTTTCTTGGCTAATGCCATATAAACAATAATCTTATCTATGAGCTAGCCTAAGACTCTTTATACTTTGTCTTGAGTTTCTCATTTTTACTCTCATAATAAAATGTTTTCTGCGTTGTTTAGAGAAACGTATGCACTATTCACTAAATTTCTCCCCTGTTGTCATTTCAAATGTTCCATAATATTATGTCAAAGCAACATAGGGCTACTTGTATTAAGCATATATATATATATATATATATATATGTGTGTGTGTGTGTGTATATATATATATGCATATATATGTGTGTATATATATGCATATATATGTATATATATGTATATACATATATATGTATATATATGTATATACATATATATGTATATATATGTATATATATGTATATACATATATATGTATATATATGTATATATATATGTATATACATATATATGTATATATATGTATATATATGTATATATATACACATATACATATATATATACATATATATATAAAATATATATATTTTTTAATTTTCTCTTTTCTGATGTATTGAGATCTGGGGCCCTGCTGACCCTGGAGGGACTGCTCATCCCAGGGTTAGCCATTTCCTAGAGCAAGAAAATAACTAATCTGACAGTGTGCTTTTCAAATACAAGTCAATCAATACAGAGGATACACGGTTAACCACTTCCTTTTTTGGTCTTTTATCTCTGGGCCACTATCCCTCTGCCTTAATCACTGCCAATGCAAGGTATTCTTGAAATTATTAAAACCAGACACTTGTAAACCAGCTTAAATAGGCTCACCAATTTCTTCCCATAAGAACAACAACAGAGGTTCTTGACCACAATTCTCTCCTCTTCCTCTACCTTCTGGCAGACCCTAGTGCTTTTTTATTTGGCCTCCCGTGGCACGGTGTGCCCCTTCCTTGTGGGAACTGTAGCTAGTAAACTATCTTATTAATGGCAATCATCTCCTTGTATGTTCGACTTACTCACTATACCTGAAATTTTCTATTAATACATTACATTTTAAAACATAACATAGTACATCTGTTTTGTTATGTATATATGTATATTTCAGAAATACACTCACACATATATATGTGCATATATTCTTACCATTAATATATAATCTTAAAAGCAAGATATGCACACTCTCAGGATAAGAATTTTGAAAATGAGTATGCTAACATTAATGTAGTCCTGTTATCTAATTTAGGTGTTAGTAAACTAAAACCCGTGGGACAACTGCCTGTTTTTGTAAATAAAATTGTGTTGGAGCAATGCCAAGCCTACTGGCTTACCTCTTGTCTACAGCTGTTTTTGTTTTACAAGGACAGAGTTCAGTGGTTTCAACAGTGATCCCATGACCCAGAAAGTCTAAAATATTTACTCTCTGGCAATTTAAGAAGAAGTACTCCTACCCTGATAATCTAAAATCCTCATTTGAATTTCACCATCTATCCCACTAATGTCATTTAAAGCCAAATAAATATATTCCTTTTTCTGGTCCAGGATCTGATACATTATCAGGTACCACATTTAGTTGTAATGTCTCTTTAGTCTCTCTTGATGTGGATTGGTTGTTTAACATTTGTTTTTTATTACTTTAATACTTAAAATATAAAGGCCAGTATTTTGTAGACTGTCCTTCAATTTGTGCTTTTTGCTGGTTTTTTTCCTATTAATTCACTCGATATTGTACAGTTTAGGAAGGATTAGCACACCATTGTTACTATGTTATTCTCAGTACGTCATAACAGGAAGCAAAGAATAACTATTTGCACCATTAAATCTTGATATTAAATTTGATCGCTTGGCTAAGGTGATATCTGCTAGATTTGTCCACTGCCAAGTTACTGTGTTTTCCTTTGTAATTAATAAATACTTTTAGGGAGATATAATGTGAGAATATGTAAATATCTCTAGTCTCACCATACTTTCACCCAATAATTCTAGTATTTATTGATGATTTTCATCAGAAATAAATAGCTTTATGGTGGTGGCCAACTTGTGATTTTTTTTCATATCAACATTTTCTTCTACATTTACTTGCAATTATATTGTAAAAATGACCTTTGATGTTTCCAGTACTTATTTATTCATTTATCTATCTAAGTATGAATACACGGATATGTCCCTGATTTGGTAAGGGAAATCCTGTTCAAACTGTCTTCCGTGTTCTTTGTGTGTACTTATCAGTCTTTGAAACTTCCTTAATTAATGGCACAAAAATATATGTCTGGTTCATCTTGTATTTTCTCTGTACTAAACATAGAGTTAGCCATTTCTCCAAGGAGCTCTGGTTCCATTGAGTAGATAACAGTAAATGGAAGCCAAGATCTTTGTGCTAGATGTGCTTATTGCTGTTGAGGTGTCCATGCTTCTACTTACTCCTCTCAGGGGGCAAGAATGCAAACATAGAAGATTATATATAATAATGTATAGATAGAGAAATATAGATACAGAAATAAAAATTAGATAATTTTTACACACATACACACAAAAACACATAGAAGCGTGTGCATAATATCTATAGATGATAGATTGATAGATAGATAGATAGATAGATAGATAGATAGATAGATAGATAGATAGATATAGATAGATAGATGATAGATAGAGATAGAGATAGAACATAAGCTACATGTTTGTTTGTTCATACTAACATCTATAATTCTAGTCCAACACCACCGGGCTCATTTTCGCATTTCCTTTACCACATTTGTAATTCACTTCTCTAAGAATAGAAAATTTGGTTTCAATTATCAACAAAATACAATTTCAATACACATTAAATAATTTTGAAATTTCTAACCCATAAATCTATACAGAACAAATCTATTACACGGAGCTCAATATTTGTACCATATATTCTTATTGTGGTAAGTCCACTTAACATAAGAAGTTCCATTTAACAAATTTTTAATTGTACAATACAATACTGGTAACTACTGTTACTGGGTTGTACAGCAAATCTCTAGGAGTTATTTATCCTGCATAACAAAAATTTTAAACCTGGTAAACAACAACCTCCCATTTTTAATGCCACTAGCCCCTTGAAATCACCATTCTATTCTCTGCTTCTTTAATTTTTAATATTTCAGATATACAAGGACAGTCATGCAGTGTTTATCTTTCTCTAACTGGCTTATTTCCCTTAGCATAATATCCTTTATGATTATCTATGTTGTTGTTTACGGCATGATACTCTCCTTTGTGAAGTCTGAATAACATTCTATTTTGTATATACCACATTTGTTTCACTATTCATCAGTCAATGGCTACTTGGATTGTTTCTATATGTTGGCTACCGTGAATGATGTTGTAATGAACATGGGAGTACAAATTTCTCTTCAGGATTTTGATTTCTATTTTGCGGGGTATATGCACAGCAGTGGAATTGCTGGGTCATATAGTAGTCCTATTTTTAATCTTTTGCAGAACCTCCATACTATTTTCCATAGCAGCTGCACCATTTTACATTCCCACCAACAGAGTACAAGGGGTCCCATTATTTAACATTTTCTTCGTAACTTGTTATCTCCCGTCTTTTTCATAGTAGCCATCCTAACTAGTGTGAAGTGACATCTCACCATGGTTTGATTTGCATTTCTCAGGTTAGTGATGTGGAACACCTTTTCATATACTTGTTGGCTGCTTGTATGTATTCATTGGAGAAGTGTCTATTCAAGTCCTTTGATGATTTTTTAAATTGTGTTGTTTGATTTGTGCTATTGAGTTGCAGGAATTTGTTATATATTTTTATACTAACGCAGTAACAGATATAGCATTTATAAACATTTCTCCCTTTCAATAGGCTGTATTTTATTTTGTTGATTGTTTTCTCTGCTGTGTAGAGGCTCTCCAGTTTGATGTAATACCACTTGTATCTTTTTGCTTTTGTTGCCTTTGATTTTAGTGACATATCAAAAAAATCATTGCCCAGGTTAATGTCAGCGAGTTTTTATCTATACTCTTGTTTAAGAGTTGAACAGTTTCAGGTCTTATACTTAAATCTTTAATCTATTTTAAGTTGATTTATGTATATGGTATAAAATTAAAGAACCTACTCACCAACGAGATATAATAATTATAAACACATACATACCAAACATCAGAGAACATAAATATATAAAGCATACAGTGAATAACTGAGAGGTAAAAATATACAGCAATTTAATAATCATAGGAGATTTTAATACTGCACTTTTAACAATGCATAGGACATGCATACAGAAAATTGATGAGGAAATAACAAACTTGAACAACATTATAAACAGATGAACTTAGATATACGCAGAACACTGCAACCAACAGTCCCAGAATACACACTCTTTTCTTCTTCTTCTTCTTTTTTTTTGTTTTTGTCTTCAACTTTTATTTTAAGTTCACGTGTGCAGGATGTGCAGGTTTGTTACGTAGGTAAACGTGTGCCGTGGTGGTTTGCTGCACCGATCACCTCATAACCTAGGTATTAAGCCCAGTGTCCATTAGCTATTCTTCCTGATGCTCTCCCTGACCCCACCGTCCTGACAGGCCACAGTGTGTGTTGTTCCCTCCATGTGTAAATGTGTTCTCATCATTCAGCTCCCCCTTGTAAGTGAGAACATGCGTTGTTTGGTTTTCTGTTTCTGCATTAGTTTGCTGAGCCTAATTGCTTCCAGCTCCACCCATGTCCTTGCAAAGGACATGATCTTGTTCCTTTTTATGGCTGCATAGTATCCCATGGTGTATATGTACCACATTTTCTTTCTCCAGTCTACCACGGATGGGCATTTAGGTAGATTCCATATCTTTGCTATTTTGAATAGAGCTGTAATGAACTCACACATTGCATGTATCTTTATAATAAAATTATTTATATTCCTTTGGGTATATACTCAGTAATGGGATTGCTGGGTCAAATGGTATTTCTCCCTGGAGGTCTTTTGAGGAATCGCCATGCTGTCTTCCACGATGGTTGAACTACTTTACGCTCCTACCAACAGTGTAAAAGCGTTCCTTTTTCTCTGCAACCTTGACAGCATCTGTTGTTTCTTGACTTTTTAATAATAGCCATTCTGACTGGTGTGACGTGCTATCTCATTGTGGTTTTTATTTGCATTTCTCTGATGATCAGTGATGTTCAGCATTTTTTCATATGTTTGTTGGCTGCATGTATGTCTTCTTTTGAGAAGTGTCTGTTCATGTCCTTTGCCCACGTTTTAATGGTTATATCTTTTCTTGTAAATTTGCTTACGTTCCTTGCAGACTCTGGATGTTAGACCGTTGCTAGATGGATAGATTGAAAAAGCATTTCTCCCATCCTGTAGGTTGTCTGTTCACTCTGATGATAGTTTCTTTTGCTGTGCAGAAGCTCTTTAGTTTATTTAGATCCCATTTGTCAGTTTTTGCTTTTGTTGCAATTGCTTTGGGTGTTTTCATCATTAAATCTTTGCCCATGCCTATGTCCTGGATGGTATTATCTAGATTTTCTTCTAGGGTTTTTATAGTTCTGGGTTTTACGTTTAAGTCTTTAATCCGTCTTGAGTTAATTTTTGCATATGGTGTGGGGAAGGGGTCCAGTTTCAGTTTTCTGCCTATGGCTAGCCAGTTCTTTCAGCATCATTTATTAAATAAGGAATTCTTTCCCCATTGCTAATTTTTGTCAGGTTTGTCGAAGATCAGTTGGTTGTAGGTGTGTGGTCTTATTTCTGCATTCTCTATTCTGTTCCATTGGTCTGTGTGTCTGTCCTTGTACCAGTACCATGTGGTTTTGTTTACTGCAGTCTTGTAGTATAGTTTAAAGTCAGGTAGCAGCTTTGGTCTTTTTGCTTAGGATTGTCTTGGCTATTCGGGCTCTTTTTTGGTTCCCTATGAATTTTAAAGTCGTTTTTTTTTTTTTTTCTCTATTTCTGTGAAGTCTGTCAATGGTAGTTTAATGGAAATAGCATTGAATCTAGAAATTACTTTGGGCAGTATGGCCGTTTTTATGATATTGATTCTTCCTGGCCATGAGCATGGAATGCTTTTCTATTTTTTTTGTGTTCTCTCTGATTCCTTTGAGAAGTGGTTTGTGGTTCTCCTTAAAGAGGTCCTTCATTTCCCTTGTTAGCTGTGTTTCTAGGTATTTCCGTCTTTGTGTAGAAATTGTGAATGGGAGTTCAATCATGATTTGGCTCCCTGCTTGCCTATTGTTGGTGTATAGGAATGCTAGCCATTTTTGCATATCCATTTTGCAGAATAGACATCCTTTTCAAGCACACCTGGAACATTCTCCAGGACAAGTTACATGTTACACCACAAACCAAGTCTTAACAAATTTAAGAAGATTGAAATAATAGCAAACCTCTTTTTCAATCAGAATAAGATGGATCTAGAAATTAATAACAACAGGACAATTGGAAAATACACAAATATGTGGAAACAAAACAACACACACATGAATAAGCAATGGATCAAAAAAGGGAAATCATGAAATATCTTGAGACAAATGAAACTGAAAACACGATATAGCAACACATAAGGGATACCGTGAAGGCAGTTTCTTTTCCGAATTTCAACTTTTGTTTAAGATACAGGGAGATACAGGGGTTACATGTGTAGGATTGTTACATGGCAATTTTGGACCCAGGTAGTGAGCCTAACGTTCAATAAGTAGTTTTTCAACCAACATTCCATTCCCTACCACCTACCTCTAGGAGTCCACAGTGTCTATATTTCTCGTGTTCATGTTCATGTTCCCATGCTCAGTGTTAAGCTCCCACTTATCCATGAAAACATGTGGAATTTTGTTGTTTCTTCTTGTGTTAACTCCCTTATGATTATGGCCTCCCCCTGCATCCATGTTGCTGCTAAAAAGAAAAAGAAAAAAGATTTTATTACATTTTTATGGCTGCATAGTATTCCATGGTATATATATGTACCACATTTTCCTTATCCAATCTACCGTTGATTGTCATCTGGGTTGATTCCATGTCTTTGCTACTGTGAATAGCACAGCAATGAACATAAGAGTGCATATGCCTTTCTGGTAGAATGATTTATTTTCCTTTGGGTACATAGCCAGTAATTGAACTGCTGCATCAAAGGGTAACTCCGTATTGAGATGTTTGAGAAATCTCCAGAGTGTTTTCCACAGTGGCTCTACTAACTTACATTTCCACCAGGAATGCATAAGTGTTCCCTTTTCTCTGCAGCCTCACCAGCATCTATTGTTTTTTGACTTTTTAATACCCATTCAGACTCGTGTGAGATGTTGTCTCAATTTGGTTTTCATTTGCATTTCTCTGATGATTAGTGATGCTGAGCATTTTCCATGAGTTTTTGTTGCTTATATGTCTTCTTCTGAGAAGTGTCTGTTCAATGTCATTGCCAATTTTTTTTTATTATACTTTAAGTTCTAGGGTACACGTGCACAACGTGGAGGTTTGTTACATATGTATACATATGCCATGTTGGTGTGCTGCACCCATTAACTCGTTATTTACATTAGGTATATCTCCTAATGCTATCCCTCTCCCCTCCCCCCACCCCACAACAGGCCCCGGTGTGTGATGTTCCCCTTCCTGTGTCCAAGTGTTCTCATTGTTCAATTCCCACCTATGAGTGAGAACATGTGGTGTTTAGTTTTCTGTCCTTGTGATAGTTTGCTGAGAATGATGGTTTCCAGCTTCATCCATGTCCCTACAAAGGACATGAACTCATCCTTTTTTATGGCTGCATAGAATTCCATGGTGTATATGTGCCACATTTTCTTAATCCAGTCTATCATTGATGGACATTTGGGTTGGTTCCAAGTCTTTGCTATTGTGAATAGTGTCGCTGTCATTGCCAATTTTTAATGGAGTTATTTGTTTCTTCTTAATGATTTTTTTAAAGTTCTCTATAGATTCTAGATATTAGGCCATCGTAGAATGCATAGTTTGTGGATGTTTTCTCCCATTCTGTATGTTGTCTGTTTACTGTGTTGATAGTTTCTTTTGCTGTGTATAAGCTCTTTATTTTAATTAGGTCTCATATATCTGTTTCTGTTATTGTTGCAACTGCTTTTGGGGACTTGGCCAAAAATTCTTTGCCAAAGCCAATGTCAAGAAGAGTATTGCCTGGGTTGTCTCCTAGGACTTCTGTAGTTTGAGGTCCTACATTTAAATCTTTAACTCATCTTGAGTTAACTTTTGTATATGGTGAAAAGCAAGGGTCCAGCTTTACCTGCCTGTGGCTAGTCAGTTATCTCAGCACCATTTCCTGAATAAAGAGTCGTTTTCCCATTGCTTGTTTTTATCATCCTTCTTGAAGATCACACGGCAGTAGGTGTTTCATTTTATTTCTAAATTTTCTGTTCTTTTCTTTCCATTAGTCTATGTGTCTGATTTTGTACCAGAACCATGCTGTTTACATTACTGTAACTTTGTAGTATCATTTGAGGTCAGGTAGTGTGATGCATCCGGCTTTGTTCTTTTGCTTAAGATGTCTTTGGCTATTTAAGGTCTTTTTTGGTTCTGTCTGAATGTTAGAAAAAGTTTTTCTAATTCTGTGGAGAATGACATTGGTCATTTGATAGAAATAGCATTGAATTTGTAAATTACTCTGTGTCATGTTGACATTTTAATGATATTGATTCTTCCAGTCCATGAGCATATATTTTTGTTTTGTTTTGTTTCTGTCATCTCTGATTTTTTAAAATAGTGTTTTGTAGTTATTCTTATGGTAATCTTTCACCTTCTTGGTTAACTGTATTCCTAGGTACTCTGTTTTCTCTGAGCCTACTATAAGGGAACTTCCGTTTTTGATTTCACTCTCAGCCTACGTGTTGTTGGTAAAAATGCTACTGATATTTTTGTACATTGGTTTTGTATCCTGAATCTTTACAGAAGTAGCTGATCAGTTCTAGGAACCTTTTGGCATAGCCTTTAGGATTTTCTACGTATGGAATCATATTGTCAGGGAAGAGAGATGGTTGGACTTTTTCTTTTCCTATTTGGATGCCTTTTATTTCTTTCTCTTTTCTGATTGCTCTGGCTAGGGCTTCCAGTACTGAATAGGAGTAGTGTGAGTAGATATCTTTGTCTTGTTCCACTTCTCAAGGAGAATTGTTCCAGCCTTTTCTCACTCATATAATGTTGGCTATGGGTTTGTCAGAGACAGCTTTTATTATTTTGAGGTATATTCCCTTGATGCCTAGTCTGTTGAGGTTTTTTTTTTTTTATCATGAACAGATATTGAATTTTATTGAAAGCTTTTACTGCATCTATTTCAATGATCACATTGTCTTTGCTTTAAATTCTGTTTATGTGCTAAAGCACATTTATAATTTGCATAAGTTGAATCATCCTTTCATCCCAGGAATAATGCTTACTTGATTATGGTGTACTAACTTTTTGAGGTGTTGCTCTGCTGCTGGATTTGGTTTGGTATTATTTTGTTGAGCATTTTTACATCTATGTTCACAATGAATATTGGTCTGAGATTTCTTTTGTGTGTGTGCGTGTCTCTGTCAGATTATGATACAGGTCTGATGCTCATTTCATAGAATAAGTTAAAAAGGAGCCCTTCTTTCTCAAATTTTTGAGATAGTTTCAGCAGGGTTAGTACCAGTTCTTCTTCGCATGTCTGGTATCCCTCTTTTTCTTTGTTAACCTAAGAAAGGGTCTATCAATCGTATCTATTTTTCTGAAGATCCAATTCTTGGTTTCACTGATAGTTTGTATAGATTTTTGCAATTCAAATTTATTAAGTTATTCTTTTTTATTTTTTTTATTATACTTTAAGTTTTAGGGTACATGTGCACAACGTGCAGGTTAGTTACATACGTATACATGTGCCATGTTGGTGTGCTGCACCCATTAACTCGTCATTTAACATTAGGCATATCTCCTAATGCTGTCCCTCCACCCTCCCCCCTCCCCACAACAGGCTCTGGTGTGTGATGTTCCCCTTCGGGTGTCCATGTGTTCTCACTGTTCAATTCCCACCTATGAGTGAGAACATGTGGCAGTTTGTCCTTGCAATAGTTTGCTGAGAATGATGGTTTCCAGCTTCATCCATGTCCCTACAAAGGAAAGGAACTCATCATTTTTTATGGCTGCATAGTGTTCCACGGTGTGGTGTATATGTGCCACATTTTCTTAATCCAGTCTATCATTGTTGGACATTTGGGTTGGTTCCAAGTCTTTGCTGTTGTGAATAGGGCCGCAATAAACATACGTGTGCATGTGTCTTTATGGCAGCATGATTTATAATCCTTTGGGTATATACCCAGTAATGGCATTGCTGGGTCAAATGGTATTTCTAGTTCTAGATCCCTGAGGAATCGCCACACTGTCTTCCACCATGGTTGAACTAGTTTACAGTCCCACCAACAGTGTAAAAGTGTTCCTATTTCTCCACATCCTCTCCAGCACCTGTTGTTTCCTGACTTTTTAATGATCGCCATTCTAACTGGTGTGAGATGGTATCTCATTGTGGTTTTGATTTGCATTTCTCTGATGGCCAGTGATGATGAGCATTTTTTCATGTGTCTTTTGGCTGCATAAATGTCTTCTTTTGAGAAGTGTCTGTTCATATCCTTCGCCCACTTTTTGATGGGGTTGTTTGTTTTTTTCTTGTAAATTTGTTTGAGTTCATTGTAGATTCTGGATATCAGCCCTTTGTCAGATGAGTAGATTGCAAAACTTTTCTCCCATTCTGTGGGTTGCCTGTTCACTCTGATGGTGGTTTCTTTTGCTGTGCAGAAGCTCTTTAGTTTCATTAGATCCCATTTGTCAATTTTGGCTTTCGTTGCCATTGCTTTTGCTGTTTTAGACATGAAGTCCTTGCCCATGCCTATGTCCTGAATGGTGTTGCCTAGGTTTACTTCTAGGGTTTTTATGGTTTCAGGTCTAACATTTATGTCTTTAATCCATCTTGAATTAATTTTTGCATAATGTGTAAGGAAGGGATCCAGTTTCAGCTTTCTACATATGGCTAGCCAGTTTTCCCAGCACCATTTATTAAATAGGGACTCCTTTCCCCATTGCTTGTTTTTGTCAGGTTTGTCAAAGATCAGATGGTTGCAGATATGTGGCATTATTTATGAGGGCTCTGTTCTGTTCCATTCGTCTATATCTCTGTTTTGGTACCAGTACCATGCTGTTTTGGTTACTGTAGCCTTGCAGTAGAGTTTGAAGTCAGGTAGCGTGATGCCTCCAGCTTTGTTCTTTTGGCTTAGGATTGACTTGGCGATGCGGGCTCTTTTTTGGTTCCATATGAACTTTAAAGTAGTTTTTTTTTTTCCAATTCTGTGAAGAAAGTCATTGGTAGCTTGATGGGGAAGGCATTGAATCTATAAATTACCTTGGGCAGTATGGCCATTTTCACGATATTGATTTTTCCTACCCGTGAGCATGGAATGTTCTTCCATTTGTTTGTATCCTCTTTTATTTCACTGAGCAGTGGTTTGTAGTTCTCCTTGAAGGGGTCCTTCACATCCCTTGTAAGTTGGATTCCTAGGTATTTTATTCTCTTTGAAGCGATTGTGAATGGGAGTTCACTCATGTTTTGGCTCTCTGTTTGTCTGTTATTTGTGTATAAGAATGCTTGTGATTTTTGCACATTGATTTTGTATCCTGAGAGTTTGCTGAAGTTGCCTATCAGCTTAAGGAGATTTTGGGCTGAGATGATGGGGTTTTCTAGATATACAATCATGTCATCTGCAAACAGGGACAATTTGACTTCTTCTTTTCCTAATTGAATACCCTTTATTTCCTTCTCCTGCCTGATTGCCCTGGCCAGAAATTCCAACACAGTGTTGAATAGGAGTGGTGAGAGAGGGCATCCCGGTCTTGTTCCAGTTTTCAAAGGGAATGCTTCCAGTTTTTGACCATTCAGTATGATATTGGCTGTGCGTTTGTCATAGATAGCTCTTATTATTTTGAGATAAGTCCCATCAATACCTAATTTATTGAGAGTTTTTAGCATGAAGGTTGTTGAATTTTGTCAAAGGCCTTTTCTGCATCTATTGAGATAATCATGTGGTTTTTGTCGTTGGCTCTGTTATTCTCTAATTTTAGTTTTTTCTTTTAATTTTCTGCTGGATTTTGGGTTGGTTTGTTCTTTCCTTTCTAGTTCCTTTATGTGAAAAGTTAGATTGATAACTTGAAACATTTCTAACATTTTGATGAAGACGTTTAGATCTATACATTTTGCTCTTAACAAACACTGATTTGGCTGCATCCCAGAGATTTCAATAAGTTGTGTTCCTGTTTTTATTAATTTAATTTTTGTTAAATTTCTGCCATAATTTTGATGCTGTTCAAGAGTAAGTTGTTTTATTTTCAGGTGTGCATGTAGTTTTGAGAGGTCTTCTTGACTTTGATTTCTATTTTTATTGCACTGTGGTCTGAAAGTATGCTTGGTATGATTTCAAAATTTTTGAATTTATTGAGGCTTTCTTTATGACTGAACATGTGGTCAATCTTAGAAAGTATTTTATGTGCAGATGGGAAGAATGTATTTTTTTTTTTATTGTTGGATGAATGTTCTGCAGATGTCTATTAGGTCAATTAGTCAGGTGACTGGTTCAAGTCCAGAGTTTACCATTTCCTACCTTGATGATATGCCTACTGCTGTCAGTGGGATGTTGAAGTCCTTCACTACTATTGTGTGGTTGTATAAGTCTTTTTGTAGGCCAAGAAGAACTTGTTATATGAAACTGCGTGCTCTAATGTTGGGTATGTATATATTTAGGATGATAGTTGAAGCTTCTTGTTGGATTGTAGTCTTTATCATTATGTAATGTCCTTCTTTACTCTTCTTATCTTTTATTGGTTTAAAGTCTGTTTTATCTGATATAAGAACAGCGACTCCTGCTCTTTTAATTTTGCATTTGCATGGCAGATATTACTCTCCCTTTTTACATTGAGCCTTTACGTGTTTCTACATGTGAGATAGGTCTCACGAGGACAACAAATGATTGAGTTTTGTTTTTTTTTTTTAATCCAGCCTTCCATGCTGTGTCTTTTAAGTGGGATATCTGGCCCTTTTACATTCAAGGTTACTGTTGATATATGTGATTTTGATCATCTCGTCATTTTCTTAGCTGGCCGTTATGTAGACTTGATGACGTAGTTGCTTTACAGTGTCTGTGTGCTATGTGCTGAAGTGTGCTTTTGTGGTAACAGGTATTGTTCTTTCGAATCCACGTTTTGCACTCCCTTAAGGGCCTCTTGTAATGCTGATCTGGTTGAAATGTATTCCCCCAACATTTGCTTGAATGAAAAGGATTTTATTTCTCCTTCACTTAGGAAGTGTAGTTTGACAAAATATAAAATCATTGGTTGATTTTTTTTTTCCTTGGAGATGTTCAAAATATGCGCCCAATCTCTTCTGTATTGCAAGGTTTCTACTGAGAGGTCTACTGCTAGCCTGATGGGGTTCCCTCTGTAGGTGACCAGCCCCTTCTCTCTAGCTGCCTTTAATTTTTTTCTTTGGCATTGACCTTGGTGAACCTGATTACCATGTGCCTTGGGGATGGTTGTCTTGTATAGTATCTGCCTGGAGTTCTCTGTATTTCTTGGATTTGCATGTAAACCTCTCTAGTGAGAGGAAGATAATTTTCATAGACTATAACTTCAAATATATTTTCCAAGATGTTTATTCTCTCTCCTATCTCAGGGATGCTGATTAATCATCGATTGAGTCTCTTCACATAATTCCATATTTCTCAGAGGTTTTGTTCATTTTTGTTAGTTTTTTTCTCTTTAATTATTTATTTGTTTTTGACTAAGTTGATTTGAAGAACTGGTTTTCAAGCTCTGAGATTTCTTTCTCAGCTTGGTTTATTCTGGTATTAATACTTCTGATTGTGTTATAAAATTCTTGCAGTGAATCCTTTCAACTCAAGAAGTCTAGCCTGGGATTGGCTTAAAATGGCTATTTTGTCTTTCAGCTCTTGAATCATTTCACTGGATTACTTGGTTTTCTTAGATTGGGTTTCAGCTTTATACTGAATCTTGAAGAGCGGCCTTGCCATCCAGATAATTCCATGTCTGTCATTTCATTTATTTCAGACTGGTTAAGAGCCATTACTGGTCTCATTTTAATTTTATTATTATTATACTTTAAGTTTTAGGGTACATGTGCACAATGTGCAGGTTTGTTACATATGTATACATGTGCCATGTTGGTGTGCTGCACCCATCAACTCGTCATTTAGCATTAGGTATATCTCCTAATGCTATCCCTCCACCCTGCCCCCACCCCACAACAGTCCCCGGAGTGTGATGTTCCCCTTCCTGTGTCCATGTGTTCTCATTGTTCAATTCCCTCCTATGAGTGAGAACATGCAGTGTTTGGTTTTTTGTCCTTGCGATAGTTTGCTGAGAATGATGGTTTCCAGTTTCATCCATGTCCCTACAAAGGACATGAACTCTTCATTTTTTATGGCTGCATAGTATTCCATGGTGTATATGTGCCACATATTCTTAATCCAGTCTATCATTGTTGGACATTTGGGTTGGTTCCAAGTCTTTGCTATTGTGAATAGTGCCGCAATAAACATACATGTGCATGTGTCTTTATGGCAGCATGATTTATAATCCTTTGGTTATATACCCAGTAATGGCATTGCTGGGTCAAATGGTATTTCTAGTTCTAGATCCCTGAGGAATCGCCACACTGACTTCCACAATGGTTGAACTAGTTTACAGTCCCACCAACAGTGTAAAAGTGTTCCTATTTCTCCACATCCTCTCCACCACCTGTTGTTTCCTGACTTTTTAATGATCGCCATTCTAACTGGTGTGAGATGGTATCTCATTGTGGTTTTGATTTGCATTTCTCTGATGGCCAGTGATGATGAGCATTTTTTCATGTGTTTTTTGGCTGCATAAATGTCTTCTTCGGAGAAGTGTCTGTTCATATCCTTTGCCCACTTTTTGATGGGGTTGTTTGTTTTTTTCTTGTAAATTTGTTTGAGTTCATTGTAGATTCTGGATATTAGACCTTTGTCAGATGAGTGGGTTGCGAACATTTTCTCCCGTTCTGTAGGTTGCCTGTTCACTCTGATGGTAGTTTCTTTTGCTGTGCAGAAGCTCTTTAGTTTAATTAGATCCCATTTGTCAATTTTGGCTTTCGTTGCCTTTGCTTTTGCTGTTTTAGACATGAAGTCCTTGCCCATGCCTATGTCCTGAATGGTGTTGCCTAGGTTTACTTCTAGGGTTTTTATGGTTTCAGGTCTAACATTTATGTCTTTAATTCATCTTGAATTAATTTTTGTGTAACGTGTAAGGAAGGGATCCAGTTTCAGCTTCCTACATATGGCTAGCCAGTTTTCCTAGCACCATTTACTAAATAGGGACTCCTTTCCCCATTGCTTGTTTTTGTCAGGTTTGTCAAAGGTCAGATGGTTGTAGATATGCGGCTTTATTTCTGAGGGCTCTGTTCTGTTCCATATGTTCTGTATCTCTGTTTTGGTACCAGTACCATGCTGTTTTGGTTACTGCAGCCTTGTAGTATAGTTTGAAGTCAGGTAGCGTGATGCCTCCAGCTTTGTTCTTTTGGCTTAGGATTGACTTGGCGACGCGGGCTCTTGTTTGGTTCCACATGAGCTTTAAAGTAGTTTTTTCCAATTTTGTGAAGAAAGTCATTGGTAGCTTGATGGGGACGGTATTGAATCTATTAAATTACCTTGGGCAGTATGGCCATTTTCACGATATTGATTCTTCCTACCCATGAGCATGGAATGTTCTTCCATTTGTTTCTATCCTCTTTTATTTCATTGAGCAGTGGTTTGTAGTTCTCCTTGAAGAGGTCCTTCACATCCCTTGTAAGTTGGATTCCTAGGTATTTTATTCTCTTTGTAGCAATTGTGAATGGGAGTTCACTCATGATTTGGCTCTCTGTTTGTCTGTTATTCGTGTATAAGAATGCTCGACACTCTGGCTTTTTGCATTCTCAGAGTTCTTGCATTTATTCTTCCTCATCTTGGGAGGCTCATATTTTTAACTGTGATGTAAATTGAGTATGGCTAGTTGGCTTTGTTTCTGGAAGTTTTCAGAGGACCAAGTCTCTGCACGGGGTGTTCGTTGTTGAATTCTTGCCCCTTCGGTTTCACAGCGAGTAGTTTTTTGCTCTTGTAGTTTTGTCTGTGTTCCAGTAGATGGCGCTTGAGAGCAATGGGCGGTAGGTAGGCTGTTAGTTGCGTGGTTTCTTTGTGCATCCTTGTGCTTGCAGTTCTGTTGTGAGGTGCGAGGGGAAGATAGTTAACCCTCTCGCCAGACCTGCTCCTGGGCCTTTCAGGAGCCACCTACAATCACTGGCACTGTGCCCACAATTTTGTTGTTATTGATGTTGTTGTCGGGTCTTTTGGGCCATGGGGGGGGGGCTCCTTTAAGGGGAAGTCCCCTTTCCCAGGCACTGTCCGGGGCTGGGAACCAGACTTGGTGTTCAGGTACTCCGTGCCGTGTTCCCAGTTTCCTCCCTTTACAGCCTCAGCATCTGCTTCTCTTCTCCGTCCACATTTGGCATTTTCTGTCCAAAGATCTGTTCAATTTATGTTGGTGTAGTTGAAATCATATTTTCTTTCCGTGGGAGCAGGACTTCTCAGCTGCATCTAGTCAGGCTGCTTGCTCAGAATTTTTTTGGATTTTTTGAGACTTGCTTTGTGGAGTAATATTTGGTCTATCCTGGAGAATATTCCATGTGCTGATGAGAAGTATGTGTATTCTGCAGCTGTTGCATGAAATGTTCTATAAATGTATATTAGGTTCACCTGATCTAGAGTGACGATTAAGTTGAACCTTTCTTTGTTGAGTTTCTGTCTGGTTGATCTGTGCAATGATTAAAATGAGGTGTTTAGGTCACCTGCTACCATTGTCTCTCTCTTTTTTAATAGTATTTTCTTTATATATCGGGGTTCCATACAACGGTTATATTCTCTTCCTGATTTGACCACTTTATCATCATGTAATGATCTTCTTTGTCTCTTTGTGTAGTTTTTGTCTTGAAATCTATTTTACCTGATATAAGTGCACTACTCCTAGTGTTATTTGATTCTGATTTCCATGGAATAACCATTTCTATTCCTTTATTTTTAATCTATGCATATCTTCACAGGTATAGCCACTTTCTTGTGGGCCGCATATAGCTGAATCTTGTTTTTTATCCATTCAGCTGTTCTTAACTTTTACTGAATAATTTAGTGTAAATTTAACCTGATTATTCATTGGTAAAGAGTAGTACTGCCACTTTTTTACTTTTTTTTTTTTTTTCCGTTGTCGGTGGTGCTCTCTTTTTTCTTGTCTTCCTTTGTGTAAAAAAGGATTTTATCTAGTAGCTTGTTTTGATTTCTTGATTTTCAATATTTAAATCTATGTTATAGGGGTTTGTTTGTGGTTGCCATGAAGCTGATGAATAACATCTTATAACCCATTTTTAAACTGATGACAACTCTGATTGCCAAAAAGAGCAAAACAAATAAGCAAAGAGAAAACTATGAAAACATTCTACACTTTAACTTCATTTCCTCTGATTTATGACTTTGTCTGTCTCTGTATCTTTTTATATTGTCTATCTATTGAAAGATGTTTGTCACTATCAGTTTTGGCAGTTTATTTGTCTTCCTGCTAAAGATATGAGTGGCTAAGACACTGCAATTGCAGTGTTATAGTATTGTGTACTTTTCTGTGTACTTGCTATTACTGACAGGTTTTATATCTTCAGATAATTTCTTTGTCATTTTGTAACTGCCTTTTCTTTCTGATTGAAGCACTCTCTTTACCATTTCTTGTAGGACAGGTCTGATGTAGACATGATCTCTCAGCTTTTGTTTGTCTGGGAAAGTGTTTATTTCTTCTTCATAGTTGAAGGATAATTTTGCTGAATACGATATTCCATGTTGGGATTTGTTTTTCTTCAGCATTTTGGATATGCTATCTCACTCTCCCCTGGTCTATAAGAATTCTGCTGAGAAGTCTGCTGCCATACATATTGGAGCTCCTTTATGTGCTATTTGTTTATTTTTCTCTTGGTGCTTCTAGTATCCTCTCTTTATCTTTGACTTTTGAGAATTTATTAAATGCCTGGAGATGTTTCATTTGGCTTTAATCCACTTGGTGTTCTAGGACCTTCTCGTACCTCGGTATTCCTATGATTCTTTAGGTTTGGATAATTGTCTGTTACTATATCTTTGAATAAACTTTATCCCCTTTCTCCCTACGTCTTGTTCAAGGCTAAGAACTCTTAGATTTGCCCCTTTGCAGGTATTTTCTATATCTCATAGTCATGCTTTAATTTTTAAATTATTTTTTCTCTTCTGTGTATTTTCATATAGCCTGTCTCTAAGCTTACTATTTTTTTTCTGCTTTATCAATTCTGCTGTTGCTAGGGTCTAATGCATTTTTTTCAGTATGTTAATTGTACTTTTCAGCTCCAGCATTTCTGCTAGATTTTTCATAGTTTCTCAGTCTCTTTTTACAATTCATCTAATAAAATTGTGACTCTATTGTCTGTATTATCTTAAAGTTTGTTGAGCTTCATCAAGGCAGGTATTTTGAACTCTCTGTCTGAATGGTCACATATATCTGACACTTCATAGTTGGTCACTGGTGCCTTACTTAGTTCATTTGGTGAGGTCATGTTTTTCTGTATGTTCTTGATGCTTGTGGATATTTTTCAGTGTCTGCTCATTGAAGAGTTAGGTATGTACTCTAATCTTAGTATTCTGCACTTATTTTTACCCATACTTCTCGAGAAGGCTGTTTACATATTCAAAGGGTATTTAGAGTGGTAATTTAACTTTGTGGTCACTGCAGCCATATCAGGATTGTAAGGCACACTAAGTTCTAAATTCAGTAACAGCGCAGCTCTTGCTGACTCCTTGAAGCACCATGTTGGTGGTGTTGGTTAAGTTAAGGGAAAATTTCCCGGGTTACCAGAAAAATTATCTCACTCTCTTCCCTCTCTTTGTCCTAATCAAAAGGAGTCTCTCTCTCTCTCTCTCTCTCTCTCTCTCTCCCTCTCTCTCTCTCTCTCTCTCTCTCTCTCCCTCTCCCTCTCTCTCTCTCTCTCTCTCTCTCTCTCTACATGCTGGGCTGCCTGAAGTTTTTGGAGGAGTGCCACAAGCCATCCCATGGCCACCGCAGGTAGCACTGCACTGGATGACACTTGAAGCCAGTACACTGTTGGATTGCACCCAAGGCTCATGGCAATGACTGCCTGGCTACTGCTTATGGTTATTCAAGGCCCAGAAGCTCTTATGTCTGAATGTGGTGAACTCTGTCAGAACTAAGTTTTATTTTTTTTTTAATTTCTTTCAGAACGGTGGATTTTCTTTTGGTCCAGAGTGGGTCTAGAAATGCTGTCCAGTAGCTAAGGCCTGGAATCTAGAGCTTCAGTAATCTGCTTGGTGCTTTATTTCAGTGTGACTAAACTGGTACCCGAGTTGCAAGATGAATTTCTCTGTACTCTTCCCTCTCATTTTCTAAAGTGGAAAAATTTTATCCCTGAGCTGCACTGCCTGGAACTGGGGAGCTGTTACACAGTCTTAATAAACTATTTTATTACCCTAGGCAATTGTCTGCTAGATAGTCCTAAGCTTGCATATTAAAGGAAATCTTACGTTAAAAAAAATATGGTAATGACATTTACATCTCATAGTACAGAGAGAAGTAGTCTGGTGCTAGAGGGAGATTAAAAATGGATGCCAAATAAAAATTATAGAAATCCGTCATAGGACTGTAAGGGGAGACCGGTTGTATTTAGATAGAGACTACCTATCTTTTAACTGTATCTCTGAGCTCTGGATAGGGCCCATACTGAATCCTGGGTCTCCAGACAGGGAGAATTATTATGAGGCTAGACCACATGATGCTTTTACAGTGCACTTTTAAAAACATTAACAAAGACCGTTCTAAATGTCTAAACTATCCTCTTTCTTAAGTACCCAAGAATAGCCTCCGTTACAATAACTATTTTAGTCAAAAAATCTGGTAACACAATGCAAAAGCAAGTACTTTATGATCTGAGACAAACTTTTCTCTTTACCCACTCTCGGGGTTCCATAAAGAAAAACAAGTTTCTCCCCAGAAAAGAGTCTGGTGCTTTGTCTGTTTTCTTCAGTGAATCCTGGGCTATTATAAGCTGTTTTAGGCCCCTCATGCAGCAGACGGAGGCAAGAGAAAGCAGAGACAGCAGAACTAAATGAAGACAATGAAATTCAATAAACTGAGAAAAAAATAATAAACTTCTGCTCAGAGGAGACAAGGTCTTAGGAGAGAAAAAAAACCATAAAGTCTTTTAATGCAAACATACACACACGTGCACATGTACACACACACACACACATGCACACATCTTGGATGTTAGCTTTTAATTAAGCTGACTTTTAACCATTGAGCTCCTTAAAATAATATTTTTAAATCTCATTGTTACTGTAAAGGAGTCCAGATCCAGACCCCAAGAAAGGGTTCTTGGATCTCATGCAAGAAATAATTTGAGGTGAATCCATAAAGTGAAAGCAAGTTTATTAATAAAGTTAACTAATGAAAGAATGTCTACTCCATAGGAAGAGTAGTGGCTTGGCCTGCTTCACTAAGGATACTTCCAGTTATTTCTTGATTATATGCTAAATAAGGGGTGGATTATTCATGAGTTTTCCAGAAAAGGGGTGGGCAATTCCCAGAACTGAGGGTTCCTACCATTTTTAAACCATATAGGGTAACTTCTTGATGTTGCCAAGGCATTTGTACATTGTCATTGCACTGGTGGGAGTGTCTTTTAACATGCTAATGCATTATAATTAGCATATAATGAGCAGTGAGGACAACCAGAGGACACTTTTGTTGGCATCTTGGTTTTGGTGTGTTTTGGCCAGCTTCTTTATCACAAACAGTTTTATCAGCCAAATCTTTATAATCTGTATCTTGTGGAGACTTCTTATCTCATCCTGTGAATTAGAATGCCTAACCTCCTGGGAATGCATCCCAGTAGGTCTCAGTCTTATTTTACACAGGGACTATTCAAGATGGAGTTTCTCTGGTTCAAATGCCTCTGACATATTTACCCCCTCCCTTTTATAAGAGAACCCTTAATCCTAAGGGCTGTAGAGAGAGGAAGATTCATCTTCTGTAACTTCTTCAGGCTGAACAGGGGGGATGATATTCATGCCTAACCTCTTGCATTCAGGTTAGAGAAGAGCTCAGTCAAAAAGCATCATTATGGTGAGGGCCATTCATAAGTCTTGAGTTATGACAAAAGGTGATATCTGGAAGATTAATAAGTGTTCAGTTTAAGAATACATTCAGTAAGAGAACCCTTAATCCTAAGGGCTGTAGAGAGAGGAAGATTCATCTTCTGTAACTTCTTCAGGCTGAACAGGGGGGATGATATTCATGCCTAACCTCTTGCATTCAGGTTAGAGAAGAGCTCAGTCAAAAAGCATCATTATGGTGAGGGCCATTCATAAGTCTTGAGTTATGACAAAAGGTGATATCTGGAAGATTAATAAGTGTTCAGTTTAAGAATACATTCAGTAAGAGAACCCTTAATCCTAAGGGCTGTAGAGAGTGGAAGATTCATCTTCTGTAACTTCTTCAGGCTGAACAGGGGGGATGATATTCATGCCTAACCTCTTGCATTCAGGTTAGAGAAGAGCTCAGTCAAAAAGCATCATTATGGTGAGGGCCATTCATAAGACTTGAGTTATGACAAAAGGTGATATCTGGAAGATTAATAAGTGTTCAATTTAAGAATACATTCAGTAAGCTTATCCTGCATTCCTACGCAAAGAGTACGACAGCACTATATTTCACAACAGTAAAACAAAATAAGTAAAATTATCCCAAGTAAACTAAATAAGAAGGCTTTTCATGAACTGGGAGACTTTGGAACCAAAGTGATATGGAGTTGCTATACATGCTATACATTCCAATATGTGCTCAGAATTAGAATATTGATCCAGATTTTTTACATTACCCACCTCTCTTGTTACTTTTGAACAGCCATAAGAGATCACTGGTTGGTTCACAGAAATAAGCAGGTTCAGTCTAAATCGTAGAAAGAAAACTCAAAAATAACTGATGAGATCACAATTTTATAACAAGTGTACCATTGTTTTTAAAATATGTTTTTTCTATCTCTCCATTCTCCCATTTTTACTAAAGACAAATCCTAACAGGGCTGATTTGTTTGCAAAAATACGCCATAGTCTTACACTTAGCCTGATTATTTGTGTAAAGTACAGCAAAAATAATCATTTTTCACATAGGCTTTTTAAATTGGCTTTGATTGGACTTTGTTCCACAAAAGGAATCTCAGATAAGGTTTTTTTCCAAAGCCAAGCCTAGCCATAGGTTTGTACTATCAAATATTTATCAGTTAGGTAAATTCCTCTTTTTTCGAGGTCCCAAGATAACCTAGGGCTCCTGGGCCTGTTAGAAAGTGACATTCTTTATTTACTACAGGTCAGGAACCCTGTACGGGACAGTGTAGACAGGGTATGAGGCCAGTTTTCCCAAGGGGCTTTTATTGGCCCTGTAAGCCAAATTCGATTCCTTAAAGGAAAGCATGCCATTCCAGTCAAAGCCTTGGTAAAATAACTGGTTTCTTTTATTTTGTCCTGTTACAAAAGAAAACATTCTTATTGCACTTATGCAAATAACTATATTGTCATAAGTTAAGAATACTCACAAATAGTTTCCAAATTCTGGAGAAATCAGGTAGAGAGAAACAAATATGCTCCAAATTTTGTTCACAGGAGTATATTTTACTTACTTGTTAAAAGCTGCAAATCACTCAAAAGAAAAGTTTTATTGGCTCTGAAAAACAAAACAGAGGATCCTTTTAAGCAAAAAGTCAAAAAGATTACTTTAGTCTTCTATTAGTCCAGTCCATGTTGTTAACTCCTGTTCTGCCTGATATTCGTGAACATTTCAGCACTCCAGGAGATCCTGAAAGTTTTTTCTTCTATTCTAACATCAAAATCTCCAAATTTATCAGAAACCTGCATTTAAGAACACCTATTAGAGTTCTGTAGCTGATTATGAAACCACCTCTAAAGAAAAAAAAAAAAAAAAAAAAAAAAAACAAGGCAACAATTGTCCCTGGATGACAAAACACTTTAGGGCAGTCTCTATTAAAGCCACAATTGACTAAGAATTTTGGTGACTTCTGTGGCATACAACAATTTTACATAACAATTATTATAACTATTAATAGCATACACTAAGTTATATCAGAGTTACAGAAGTTTCTAATAATTTTGGAACACCTACCAAAAACATATATTCACAAATACAGCCTAAAGAAAGAACTCTTAGGAACCATTGGTGGAAAAACCTGGATTGTAGGTGATTTTAACTATGTACTACCTTTGGAGCCTAGGACACAGAAAGAAGTGCAGATAAGGTTTGACTATCCAGCATAACTAGGAGGCATGGCTAACACCACATATCCCCAGGCTTTACCTAGAATCTGCTTCAAAGTAAGTAGGTTGAACAATTTTCAAAAATCAAAGAAGCCGTTTATGACCCTAACACATCTAGCAAACTTAATATTTAACCTACTTCAGACCAAATGTCTGAATTTTGAAGACATTTGAATTTTACCAATGATCTTCAAAACTGTTTTTATTTCTGAAACTTTACTAAAGTCACATGGACTAAAAGGCATTCATTCGTTTTTATTTTCTGATAGAATGTTAGATTTAAGCTCTTATGATTTTTGAAAACAATCAAAGCTCTTTCATATCACACACACACAACACATATAAATACATAGACAGAAATGTTCCAGTAGTTTTAAGATTTTTTATTTGCCAGGTTCTTAATCAGATTACTGCTTCAGGGTGGAGCCCTTGGAGGAACAGGGCCAGGAAAACATGCAGTTTCTATGGCTTAATAAATAGGCAGAGCTGGAAAGCAAAAAAGATCCCCCAAAATTTAAGGGTCCCATTTTATATCATATCTTAAATCCCAAAAAAGACAAATGCTACAGAACAAGACAGTGCAATGATTTTACTGTGCATTTCACTGCAAAGCAATTCAAAGCCACTCAACCTACTCTGTGATTACCCCATCTTCCATGGGAGTCTTAGGTCTCAGTGTGGGGCAGGGATGAGCACATTGCCATACCTTCTAGGTGGCCAAGAGCATGCTCCTCTGATCCAAACATGTGAAAAGCCAAGTATTCACCTTTAACTGTCATTAGCTATTCCCCAAAGCATATTTCCTACCCAGTTATTACACACCAAAGTTCTATTATAATGTGGAGCAATTTCTGATCCCCCCAAGGGTTAAAAACACCTGATAATGCAATGCAAAAGAGAAAAGAGCCTTAGATTGTGAAGGGATCTCTCCACTTCTGGTTCCTGGGGTTTCATGAGAAAAAAAAAAAAAAAGAGTTTTTTCCCAAAACAAGGTCTGTGGCACTACTTGTTGTTCACAAGGAGTCCCAGGCTTTTAGAGCTTGAATATCCTCTTTTAATTAGGCTGACTTTTAAATGTAATACTCTTTTTAAAAAGATCCTTTTAAATTTCTTATTACCCAAATTTAGCCAGGCCAAATGGCCAATATTTCTGTCCTCAAAGAAAGAAAAATTCAACATGGTTTGTGGAGGGGAAGATAATCAACAAATGGTAAATGTCATGCAGATATCAAACCAGAAAGGGCTTATTCCCTAAGCCAGGAATTGAACCCTGAACCTGTGCCACCACTGGAAAAACACAAAGCCTTAGCTGCTAAGCTGCAGAATTGGAAATATTTTATTGCTCTTCCCAGGAGACTAGAGCAGTCAATTTTGAGATTGCATTGGCTTTTAACTGCTCAATTTAATTTTCAGAGATAACTATGACATGTACCCCCAAATTCCTCTTCCCTGGATGGCAGAGACCAAGAGAAAGTACCACCACATGTATACAAGATATGGCAGAGACCAAGACAAAGCTCCCAAGGACATTTTTCAACATGCGATCTCTGGGCAAGAAGGTTCCCCTGAATGACAGAAAAGATAGGACAGGGAAAGAAGAGAAAGAGAGAAAAGCATTGCCTGAAGCAGAGTGGGGAAGGTGAGGAACTCAGGGAGGCCAGAGAAAGACCCACCCACTGCAGTTAGACTTAATCAAAAGTTCAAGCAGCTGCTTTTCAGTCACAAACGGATCTTACCCAGAAGTCCCATCAGCTCTCGAGTGTCTCCCTTTTGGGGAAAAATAGCTCGCCATGTCCTTTGATCCTGAATATGTTTAATTCTGTCTCCCGTAGCCATCAGCAAAGAGTGCAAGGCAGATAAGTCCAAAGAAAATAGCAGTTAACATCCAGTAGTGCCAAACCCACTTTTAGCCGAGAGGAACTTTACTGAGAGGGGCCTCCAACCCCATAAATCTTAGGAAGGGCTCTAACCTTCCTAAGTTGGGCCCCAAACAGGTTCAGTCAAGCACCCTTGCCTTTTATTAAGAGGGGGTCTTTAACCCTCTCTATCTTAGGGCAGACTCTAACTTTTCTAAGTTGGGTCTCTAACCCAATTCCATTCTTTACCGAGTTAAATGCGCCTCACTTACCCAAAGTTGGCCAAGTGGTGCTGCACACAGAAGATTTTCCTTTGGGTCGGGGGTCATTTCAGTATAATCCCTTAGTGGTTTGCCAGAAAGATGTTACCAGAAAGGAGTCTGAATCCAGACCCCAAGGGAGGGTTCTTGGATCTCACACAAGAAAGAAATCAAGGCAAGTCCATAAAGTAAACACAAATGTATTAAGAAAGTGAGGGAATAAAAGAATGGCTACTCCATAGGCAGAGCAGTGGCTTGCACTGCTCCATTAAGGATACTTCTAGTTATTTCTCAATTATATGTTAAACGTGGGCTGGATTATTCATGAGCTTTCTGGGAAAGGGATGTGTGCTTCTAGGAACTGAGGGTTCCTCCCCTTTTTAGACCATATAGAGTGACTTCCTGACATTGTCATGACATTGGTAAACTGTCATGGTGCTGTTGGGCGTGGCTTTTAGCATGCTAATGTATTATAATTAGCATATAATGAGCAGTGAGGACAACCAGAGGTCACTTTCATCCCCAAATTGGCTTTGGTGGGTTTTGGCCGGCTTTTTTTGCTGCAACCTGTTTTATCAGCAAAGGAAGACTTTATAACCTGTATCTTGTGCTGACCTACTAGATCATCCTGTGACTTAGAATGCCTAACCTCCTGGGAATTCAGCCCAGTAGGTCTCAGTCGTATTTTACCCATCCCCCATTTTAGATGGAGTTGCTCTGGTTTAAACACCTCTGACATCATTACCACATTTTAGCTAGGACAGATTGTTGATATTTCAGAGGTAACAAGTATCAAAACACAAAGGTCTTGATTTAGGAAGCAAACTCAGGCTGTCATAGGGAAAATAAGAAAGAAAGGAGAACCTCAGCTATGAAACTGCAGCATGGGGTGACAGCCCTTGCTCTTTCAGTTTGGTTTGTCTAGCAAAAAGATGGGCTTATTATGTAAATAAAGCCAGTTAAGTAGTCAAAATAAAAAATCGTTTTTGTTGTTTGCTGTTTTTCTCCCAACCCATTCCCCATCTTTTTTATTTTTATTTTTTGTGTGTGGAAATTTAGCCACTTCAGAGGCCTTGTTCTCCATAATTTGGAACTTTCCTTTGGATTTGATCAAGTCGGATAGAGTTGGTCAAACCCAATGGGAAAAAGACCAAATCAACAACAAATACAGAAACAAACAAAGAACAACAAGAAACCATTAAGCAAAACAAATGATCTCCCAATTTATCTGATTACTGAGTGCTCTAATGTTAAGGAGAAATTAAGACCAGCTTGTTGTTAGTCTTAACTTTAGCCAAGAAAAATACCCCAATTCAGCTACATACCTAGGGATGGATCTCAGGCTGAAGACTGTTCTCTACCATCCTAGAAGCAGGAAAAAACTTAAACTTTTCTCCCGTTGGAAACAAGCTCAAACTCCAGAAAGGAGTTACCTGCCTTTCATCATCATGGAAACAGGAAAACTTGCCTTCCTTATTGGAAGCAAGTAAAACTCCAAAAAAAAGGAGCTGTACAGCAAAATACACTTTAGACTTTAACCAAATTATTGAAGATCAGGGATTCTCTGGAAGCACGGGGGAAGTTGGCGGGGAGGGGGAAGGTGGCTTCCAGACCTCAGCAAAATGTTCTATTAGTTTGAGCCTTAAGGATAGCTCAAGCTGGTACCGGACACCAATAGGAGTTTTGTCAATGTCAGGGCACCTCCACTAAGAATCCCTTAATGGTTACCAAACTGTGAACCCCAAATATCTGAGACTGATCTCAGCAAATTTAGAAAGTTTATTTTGCCAAGTGAGAACATGTGCCGTAACACAGCCTCAGGAGGTCCTGAAGACATGTGCCCAGGTAGTCAGGGAACGGTTTGGTTTTATACATTTTAGGGAGACATGAGAATTAAATCAATATATGAAAGATGAACATTGGTTAGGTCCAAAAAAGGTGGGATGACTAGAATTGAGGAGTGGGCTTCCAGGTCATAGGTAGATAAGAGACAAAGGTTGAATTCTTTTGAGTTTCTCATAAGCTTTTCCAACAGAGGCAATCAGATATGCATTTACCTCAGTGAGCAGAAGGATGACTGAATAGAATGGGAGGCAGGTTTGCCCTAAGCAGTTTCTAGCTTGACTTTCCCTTTAGCTCAGTGATTTGGGGGTCCCACGATTTATTTTTCTTTTGCACTACAGTACACCTGTTGTTAGATTCTAGTCTTGCCTCATGTTTTTGAATTTTTATTATTTTCTACAGCATGGACTGAATTCTAAAATTTTTCCTGGCTACAAGTCTTCAAAATAATACTTACAATTTTATTTTCTTTCCTTCCCCCTCCCAACTTTTCCTGATTTGAAATCACCAAAAATTAACCTGTGCTTTCTTTAAGCCCTGCAAACTGAAGCGAGAAAAGGTAAACTTCAGAAGAAAATGAAATGGCAGCAACCTACTTACATATATAAACCACTTGCATACCTGCCTACTGATGTATGAACTTCAGAGTAAGATGGCCTATATTGATTTTTCAGGATTGCTCTTCATATTTTTTTTGCTGTTGTTTTTCTCCCTTCTTCCTCCTGTTTTTTCTTTGTAGAACGTAAGAATTCACAACCTACTAAAAATGACCTTTCCTGATAACGTGAGACCTACCTGTCTAGGAAAAAACCATCCTAGCCATGAGGCAAATCTGGAACAAAAAAAACCTCTTTTTCTTCTAAAATGCTTTCTCCAAAAGATTTTAAAAAGGGGTTAAATGTCAAAGGAAAATAAATCTTGGGACCCCCCCCACCCCCGGCAAATCACTAAGCCAATAAAAACATCAAGCTGGGGACTATGTCAGGCAAATCTGTCTCCCATTTTATTCCTAAACAAGATAGCTACAAAGATTAAAAACAAAAAAAAAAAGCTACATATCTCCCTCATTATTTGCCCACAAAGAAATTATTTGTGGACAAAGGACAGACAGACCTCAAAGTCATCCCTCTTAGGCCAAGGGCATGTCTGATTTCTTCCTCTACCCTATTGTTTTACTAAGGTCAGACTAAGGGATAAGTGACTATTACTATACCTCCTCTCACATGTAAATTGCGTATTTGGTAAAAGGCTAATCAGAGACTCAAAGGAATGCAACCTTTTGTTTCTTATTTATCTATGACCTGGAAGTCACCTCCCCCTCCTCCAGTTTTCCTGCCTTTCTGGACAGAACCAGTGTACATCTTACAAATACAGATTGATGTCTCCTGTCTCCCTAAAATGTGTGAAACCAAGCTGTGCCCAGACAACCTTGGGCACAAGTCATTAGGACCTCTTGAGGCTGTTTCATGGGCATGTCCTTAACCTTGGCAAAGTAAACTCTCTAAATTGGTTGAGACCTGTCTCAGGTATTTTGGGTTCACACTTTAAACCGCGAGTGGTTTATGGGTTAAATCCTTAAGAAGTTACTGGGCCTTAGGACAATAGATGGAACAAGTCTCTTCCTCCAGCTGATAACTAGTTCCTCCTTGTTGGTCTTTTCCTTTTGGCTTTTCTATTTTATTATTTTGCATGTAGTTACTGGCAATGTAGTGGGTACATTATCCCAGTTATCCCAGTTCCTATTATGGTGACACAGTTCTACTTCTTAAAAAAGGGTGCTGGTTGTTTTCCCATGATTTTCCTTGCCAGCTCAGCTTAACTTATTTCCCCTGGGGAGTTTGAGCTTTTAAATCCCTTCTGAGTGGCACCCTGGTGAGAAATTGTCAAAGACAGGGCCCAACATATGTCTCACGGTTTGCAACATTTTTTCTTTTTTTTTTTTTTTTTTTTTTTTTTTTTTTTTTTTTTTTGAGACGGAGTCTCGCTCTGTCGCCCAGGCTGGAGTGCAGTGGCGCGATCTCGGCTCACTGCAAGCTCCGCCTCCCGGGTTCACGCCATTCTCCTGCCTCAGCCTCCCGAGTAGCTGGGACTACAGGCGCCCGCTACCACGCCCGGCTAATTTTTTGTATTTTTAGTAGAGACAGGGTTTCACCGTGTTAGCCAGGATGGTCTCGATCTCCTGACCTCGTGATCCACCCGCCTCGGCCTCCCAAAGTGCTGGGATTACAGGCGTGAGCCACCGCGCCCGGCCATGCAACATTTTTTCATGAGTAGCCACCTCCTTTGGAGTCTTTAGAGAATCAGGAATATAGATTTCCATGTATTTACTCGTTTTAAGTAATGATTTAGCTGGCTCAGTCCAAAGGTTTGGTGTGGCCATATCCCGCTGGGGAGAGACTAGAATTTACATCACTTTTAGCAGCAGATCAGATGGGACAACAGCAGAGGCATGATATTTACAAAGCTGCTGCCCCTAACTTCACTTAGCTGACTGGCCTAGTCCTGCATCTCAGCTTCACTGGCTCCTTAACCTGCCATAGTAGTCCCTAAGGATGAAGATGCCTTCTCATTAAAGAATTCCCCAAACCACCAGTCCCACTGCAGGAATCTCCATTATGGGATCAAAGAAAATCCATTTTTTTTCTCTAGAGGCCTGCATTTCTTCTCTTTCTTATTAAGGCCCACAGGTATTACAATATTCAGAGCCTGCCTAGTGAGGGGTCCCAGTAAATGGTTTAGCCTCCTTCCCTGAGTATCTCAACACCTGTAACACAGAAATTCAGTTTTCATGATGTAGGTTCAAAGACATTTTGGTGCTTCCTCGGTCAGACTAATGAGACACAGGAGAAAACCATGAAAACTATAGAGTATAATACAGCATGAAGCAATGCCATGTCAAACTAAAGCAGAGGTGTTTTACATTTTAAGCCCCAACCACTTAAAGCTATCCAGGATCATTATGTCAATGGATGGTCTCACTGGCTAGGCAGTCTTCATGCCCATACTCTAATCGCCAAAATCCCATCTTTGTCATCACCTGTTTGAGTCCAGGGATTTGGGGCTAATCAAGGAAGAAGCTATGATGATGAGAGGCAGTAACACTCAAGAAGCTTTATTAGGCAGTGCTTTCACATGACAGGATAAAACTTTCACAGCCTGAAACTGTCCCGAAGCATATGGCCAGGGGTCCATGACACAGAAGGGGAAAAGACAAGGGAACTCTCTGAAGAGAGCACAGATGTATCAGAGAGGGGCCTATATGTCTAGGCGATGTCACTCAGTATTATAGAAAGAAGTCTCTGGATCAGATGTTCAAAAGGAAAAAAGCAATTTTGATGTGCAAAAATTCATTTGGCACCAGCAGGTTTTTGAGCTAACAGTTATCATATTGCAGTGAAGAAGTAAACAGCAACTTAAACAAATTTACGAGAAAAAAACAGCCCCATCAAAAAGTGGGCAGAGGATATGAACAGACACTTCTCAAGAGTAGACATTAACGTGGCCAACAAATATATTTTAAAAAGTTCAACATCACTGATCATCAGAGAATTGCAAATCAAAGCCACAATGAGATACCATGTCACGCCAGTCAGAATGGCGATTATTAAAAAGTCAAGAAACATTAGATGCTGGCGAGGCTGTGGAGAAATAGGAACGCTTTTACACTGTTGGTGGAAATGTAAATTAATTCAACTATTGTGGAAAACAGTATGGTGACTCATCAAGGATCTAGAACCAGAAATACCATTTGACCCAGCAATCGCATTACTGGGTATATACCCAAAGGAATATGAATCATTCTACTATAAAGACACATGCACACATGTGTTTATTGCAGCACTATTTACAATAGCAAAGACATAAAACCAGCCCAAAGGCCCATCAATGAGAGACTGGATAAAGAGAATGTGGTACATATACACCATGGAATTCTATGCAGGATTGGGGGACGAGGGGAGAAAACTTAGAGGATGGGTCACTGGGTACAGCAAACCACCATGGCACATGTATACCTATGTAACAAACCTGCACATTCTGCACATGTATCCTGTTTTTTTTTTTTTAGAAGAAATAAAGAAAAATGAAAATTAAAAAAAAAACACACACACAGGAGAAAAGAATTAAACAACCTAGGGTTCAATACACATAGGTCATCTTTGGCTCATTATACTACACTGTTATCATTGCCATGATTCAAAAAGGTATTTTATATTGGAATGTGTATATGTGTATTAGCAATTCCCCATGCTGCCATACACCCCACCTTTAGGTAGTGACTCTGCTGCATATTTCCTACATATTATCTTATTTCATTCTCAAAATAACTCTTTGAGGTGTATATCACTGATATTGCTAATTTGACAATTTAAGTGTGCGAATATTATTCTAAACCAGAATTCTGGAGGACCACAATAGGCTAATATTTACTAGTAAGCACTGGAATTGATTTTAATTTTAGTCCTAATAGCCCTTTTCATTTACCCTTGTAATGTTATAGGATATTCTGTAACACTATGTGGAGTCCTTTGCTACCTTAGAGCATCCTGCCCAATGATTTGTTCCTCCCTTTACAAGCAGCTACCTTCTCAATGTGGCTAATATTACTTCTAGATCTCTCATGTCAATGCTGGGGTCATTCTTCCTGTCCCACTTATGTGACCTTTGATAAGAAATGTATACATCAAATATACCTCACTCTCATTGACATGAACCTTTCAACAAACAAACCAAAAATATTTCATGATTTTGATGACTCATTTCCATGAGTTCTTCATCTGAGCCTTAAAGTTATCAGTGCCAACTGGAAAAATTGGGAATTTCTGATAAATGATTGTCACATTTCTGCAAATGAAGATTCATAAAGGCTCATCTGCATTTTTCAGAACATATGCACATCCATTCCTAATGAGCTTGCCTTCTACTAATGCCTTAAAATTTAAATAAGTGGATTTAATTCACCTTACCATCAAATAGAAACAGTGAAATCCTGAAAATATTACTTTGCTGTATATACCCAGCAGCCACTTAATGGAATCTTCAGGATAAAGCAAGATAATAAAATCACAAAGGGGAAGTAATTCAATTTAAAAGTGCTTGAGATTTCATGACTTTTCCCTGGACATGTTTTATTTATATGGTTTTGAAGCATATCTTTAATTATTTATCAGGTATCTGGAATTGGCCTTCTCTGGTTAGCAGACCCATAGAAACCATAAGGAATCTATCCAGATTATCAACACTTCATGGCCATTGGATGCTTTACATGGAAATTTAGATGTAGTGGCCTCATGAAAAATTTTTGTTTATTCAAAAATAAATAATATTTTTTAAGATCTCTATTACAACTTTCAGTCAGATTGACCATTCTGAAACACTGCATGATGTAAGCAGTAACTTCAGCAGGGTGGCAGAATATTAAAGCCCCATATGCTTCTTCACCCAAGGAAACAAGAATTGAACTAAAACATATGAGTCAGTAGCCTTTGTGACAAATCCAAAAACCAGTTAAAAGGTTCCTGCACCAAGGTGAGCTGAAGCCAGGAAAAAAAAAAATATCTATATATATATATGTGTGTGTGTGTGTATATATATTATATATATATTATATATATTTTTATGTATATTATATATAAAATATATATTATATATATAATATATATAATATAATATATATTATATATATATAATATATATATAATATATAATATATATATATATATAATATAATGTGTATATATATATATATATGTGTGGCATTTACTCAACAGAGCACCCCCTTCCCCAGCACAGTACAATGTGATTGGGAGGAAATCCCTAATTTCTAACTTCTCCTTTGAAATGGAAAGGAGTGGAATCCACAGCTAACATTCTGACTTCTCATGGTGCTGTCCAAGCAACTATTTTCTAACTTGCCTGCATCTAAGTGATGACAGGAGTAAGTGGCCAAATTGCAGACCACTGAAAACGAGAACATGACTAATTCTACAACTAGAGTCAGCAGTACCACAGAGAGACACTAGGTAGGGCTTCAGTTCTATAGCTTACTGCCCCACTTAGAGGCTGCAATATCGCAGAGAGACACTAGAGGGATTTCCTAAGCAGAAACATGCATGTTGTTTCAATTAAGAAACATGCACACTCAAAGAACCAGAAGAGGAAAAAAAACTGAACCCAATATTAGCAGATGAGGAATAATTAATAAAGATAAAGAAGAGATAAATTAGTGAACAGAAAAACAACAGAAAAAATAAAACCAAAAGATAGTTTTTTGACAAGATCAATAAAATTGACAAATCTTTAGTTAGAATATTACAAAAAGTAGAAGACTGAAATAACTGAATTTAGAAATGAAAGAGGGGATATAACAACTGATGTGACAGACAAAAAGGAGTATAAAAATTATATAGCAAAAATTATAACAACAAATTGAATATAGAAAAAAACGATAAACTTAACAGACATACAACCTACTGTATATGAATCATAAAGAAATGAAAAAAATTCTGAAAGGACTATAACTAGTAAGGAGATACAAGCAATAATCAAAAACTTCCCATACCAAAACAAGCCCACAATCAGCTGTCTTCACTGATGAATTCTACCAAATGTTCAAAAATTAGCACCAATTTTCAAACTCTTCCAAAAAATTGAAGAAGAGGGAACACTTTCAAACTCATTTTATGAGGCCAGTATTATTCTAATACCAGAACCAGAGACAAGAAGAAAATAAAACCACAGAACATTATCCGTGATGATTATTGATGCAAAAAATACTCAGGAAAATAGCAAATCAAATGCAGTAGCACCTTAAAAGTATTATACATGCTGATAAAGTGGGATTTATACCTGGAATGCAGAAATGGTTCAAAACAAAAAATCAATCAATATAATACACTATATTAACAAAATAAAGAGCAAAAATTGTGTCCTGGCCTCATTTAATGAAAATTCAACATACCTTTTTTTATAATATAAAGCACTCAACAACTGGAAATAAAAGAAAAATACCTTATCGTAATAAAAGCCATATATAAAAAACCATCAGATAACATTATACTTCATGGTGAAAGATTGAAATAGCTCTCTCTAATATCCAGAAGAAGGCAAGGAGGCCATTATTTCCACTACTGTTCAACATAGCACTGGTAGTCTTAGACAGAAATATCGGATAATAAAAAGTAATGAAAGACATCCAAATTGACAGAATCGTTTGGCAGAAAACACTAAAGATTACATGCACAAAAAAAAACTGTTGAAACTGATACATGCTTTCAAAAAAATTTCAGTAACCAACACAAGCATACAAAAATCAGTTGTTTCTATGCACTATAAATTACCAATGGGAAAAGGAAATAAAGAAAACAATTCCACTTACTATAACATCAAAAGGATAAAATACTTGGCAATAAACAAAGAGGTAAATGATGTACGGCGAAAAAAACAAAACATTACTAAAAGACTCAAATAAGAAACAAAAATATTAAAAACAATCTGTGCTTATGTATTGGACCACTTAATATTGTGAAAATGTCCAGAATATGTAAAGCAATCTACAGATTCAATTGAATCGCTACCAAAATCTCAATTTTTTATTATTTTACAGAAATACAAGAAAAAAATCCTAAAATTTATAAGGAATGTCAGGAAATCCAAATAGCCGGAACAGTCTTGTAAAAAAAATAATAAAATGAGAGAACTCACACTTCCTGATTTCAAAAAAGTAATCAAGATAGTAAATAATTTTTACAAAGTTAGAGAATTAATCAGTAATACAAAACAGAGAGCCAAGAAATGAACCTTGCATATATAACCAAATTATTCTTGAGAAGGGTACCAAACTACACAATGAGAAAGGAACAGACTCTTCAATAAATGGTGTTGAGAAAACTGGATATCTACACACAAAAGAATAAATGTGGACCCTTAAATTACACCATACAGAAAAGTTAACTGTAAAAGAATTAAAGATCTAAATGCAAGGCCTGATAATATAAAGTCATAGAAGAAAACATAGGGATAACTCTCAAGGCATTAGATTTGGCAATTATTTAATAAAGATGACATGAGAAGCGTAGGTAACAGAAGTTAAAATAGACAAATCAAACTATATCGAACTTAAAAACTTGCACACGTCAAAGAAAAAACAACATAGTGAAAAAGACAACATGGAAGAAAATATTTGCATATTATATATCTGATAAGGAGTTAAAAAGAATATATAAAAAACTTCAATTCACCACCAACGACCAAAATAAATTACCCAATTAAGATATAGGTAAAATAACACGAATAGACAAATAGGTATACAAATAGTCAACAAACATATGAAATGATGCCCAACATCACTATCATAAGTTGAATGCAAATCAAAACCACATTGATATATCACCTCCATACCCCTTAAGATGGCCACTATTAAAATTACATACAATAACAAATGTTGGAATGGATGTGGAGAAACTGGAATCTTTTTGCACTGTTGGCGGGTATATAAAATCATGCAGCCATTATGTAAAACATTATGGAGGTTCCTAAAAAATTAAAAAATTTAATTTCCAAGTGATCTGGCAATTCCACTCCTGGGTATATATCCAAAAGAACCCAAAGTGGGACCTCAAAGAGATAGTTGCATGCCCATGTTCACTGCAGCACTGTTCTCAGTAGCCAAGAGGTATAAATAACCTAAATGTCCATCAACAGATAAAATGATAATGAGAAAGTATATAAACAACAGTCTGATATTAAAGCCTTCAAAAAAAAAAGGGAAAATACCGTTATGTGCTACAACATGGGTGAGCCTTGAGGACATTATGTTAAGCAAAATAAACCAGTAACAAAAGGACAAATATTCTGTAATTCCACCCATATGAAGTATCTAATGTGGTCAAAATTATAAAAACAGAGAATAGGAAGGTGGTTATCAAGAGCTGGGGGAAGGAGTCAGGGACTTCATGCTTAGCGTATAGTTTCAGTTTTGAAACATAAAAAACCCAAAATCTCTGTTGCACAACACTGTAAATATACTTAACATGAAAAGACCTGAAAAACGTACTTCAGTAAGTGGGACTTCTCCAGGATGCGCACATAGATGTTCAATGATGTGGTCTCTGAGCCTTAAAATTACATGTCTTATTAAATTACCCCTTCAAGAAAGATAATAAAAGTATTATTCAAAGGGTATCTCTCATTGATGTGGACAAATTATTTCCATGAAGATCTTTTCTGATTATAAAGTATACATCATGCCCTCAAATTTATCTCTGCAGATGTAGAAAACTAACTTTGTCTTAAAAGATTTCCTGTTGTTTTAAATATTGCATGAATCACAGGTCCAGGAATTTGATGATGTACTCAAATTCCATAAAGAAGCTTCTCTAAATGAACTAAGAAAAAATCCTCCCTAATAGACCTGCTTTCTTCTAGGGAACCACAATTTTTTACATCCATATATTACTTTAAAGAGACCCTTACATTTTATAGATACAACAAATTCTTGATAAGATTTTCTAAATATGAACACATACTCATTTAATGGAGGCATCCAGCAAATTACAAAAGTATACTTCATTTAGTTTTGACTTATTTTAGGCCCATTTTGCCTTTTCCACTGGAATTTTGAATATTCTTAACTCTTTAGAATTTTATTACACTTCAAAAACAGTAGACTCTTGAGTGGACCTTTTCTAGCACACAAACATAAAAACTAATAAATACACAATTCACAGGAGTATTCTTGTACAAATCACTCCTCTTTCTAGATTCTACTATGCAATTTCTAGGCGCAGAGGCCCTTCTGCAGTGTTTCTGTTCACTCCAAACATACAAGCCCCACAAAAAGGTTCATTACTCTTTTCACATGAAAATCCTATAAAGTTGATTGGTAAATCTAAAAGAAAATAGCACTTCTATGAATGTGGATATAGGCAACCTTGGAGATCCTTTATATATTCAAGTCTTAGCTGCTCTATAAAATGTGATTCCTATGATTCACAGATACCTCCACAACAATTATGGGGGCTATTCTATCTTGCATATTTATCTTACCTATGATTTGATCTTGATGCTTTAAGAATACATCAGTTACATTAAAAATTCAATAAAAAATTATTCATTTCAAAGGGCATTTTCAAGTTTTTATTTAAATTACTCCAAGCAGGTGATAAAAATTATGGAACTAAATAGTAATGATTGCTGTACATATTTGTAAATATATTCAAAACCATTAACTGTATACTTTAAATGGGTGGATTTCATGGTTTGTAAGTTATACCTCAATAAAGCTGTTACAAGAAATTACTCACAAGTAAATGTATCTTATTAATTAATGACCTAGTTTCCTTTTAAGTTTACTCTGTGTAGCTGGGACTTAAGCATTGTGAAAAATACACTAATGTTTTATGAAAACACAAAATTAATAAATGGGAACCCAGTCTTTAGCAGTACCTTCCTGCCTAAAAATAAGCAATTTTTTTCCACAAAATGTCTAATATGGTTTACCATATTATATTTTCCATAAATTTTATTTACACTATATTTTAATAATGAAATGGCAAGGTTTTGTAAAATTTTACAGTAACAACTAATTCACTAAAACATCATCTGCCATTATGCACATACCACTATTATTATAAACTCAACTTTCCATTAAAGAAGGGTAAATTCACAGTGGGAAATTCCTCCCATGTAACTACACTTCAGACTCATATGGTATTCCCTGAAGATTCTTGGCGTACCTGACCAGTCATGATTTCTTGCCTCTTTAAAATAACACAAAAAATTTGAGTGAGCTCTCTGTGCATTAGAAGCCTACAGACACCCAATTGATGTCTGTTATGTAGACTTAAACACACTGTTATAAAATTTAAGACCTAATATTCTAAGAGTGTCAACAAAAAGAGTCAAATTCTGTAAAATATTTTAAGAGATTTATTCTGAGCCAAGTATGGGTGAACATGGTCCATGATACAGCCCTCAGGAGGTCCTGAGAACATGTGCCCAAGGTGGTTTGGGTACAGCTGGGTTTCATATATTTTAGATAGGCATGAGACATCAATCAAATAAATCTAAGAAATACATTGGTTTTGTTCAGAAAGGCAGGACAACTCAAAGCTGGGGGGGTTTCCAGGATATAGGTAAATTTAAACAACTTCTGACTGACAATTGGTTGAGTTTGTCTAAAGACCTGGAATTGAAGAAGGAAAATGTTCAGATAAGACAATAAATGTGGAAAAGGCGTTTGACAAAGTTCAACACCCCTTCATGCTAAAAACTCTCAATAAACTAGGTATGATGGAACGTATCTCAAAATAATAAGAGCTATTTATGACAAACCCACAGCCAATATCATACTGAATGGACAAAAACTGGAAGCATTCCCTTGGAAAACTGGCACAAGGCAAGGATTCCCTCTCTCACCACTCCTATTCAACATAGTATTGGAAGTCCTGGCCAGGGCAATCAGGCAAGAGAAAGAAATAAAGCATAGTCAAATAGGAAGAGAGGAAGTAAAATTGTCTCTGTTTGCAGATGAAATGATTGTACATTTAGAAAACCCCATTGTCTCAGCCACAAAACTCCTTAAGCTAATAAGCAACTTCAGCAAATTCTCAGGATACAAAATCAACGTACAAAAATCACAAGCACTCCTATGCACCAATAATAGACAAACATAGAGCCAAATCATGAGTGAACTCCCATTCACAATCACTTCAAAGAGAGTAAAATACCTAGGAATCCAACTTACAAGGGATCTGAAGGACCTCTTCAAGGAGAACTACAAACCACTGCTCAAGGAAATAAAAGAGGACACAAACAAATGGAAAAACAGTCCATACTCATGTATAGGAAGAATCAATATCGTGAAAATGGCCATATGGCCCAAAGTAATTTATAGATTCAATGCCATCCCCATCAAGCTATCATTGACTTTCTTCACAGAATTAGGAAAAACTACTTTAAATTTAATATGGAACCAAAGAAGAGCCTGCATACCCAAGACAATCCTAAGCAAAAAGAACAAAGCTGGAGGCATCACACTACCTGACTTCAAACTATACTACAAGGCTACAGTAACCAAAACAGCAAGATACTGGTACCAAAACAGAGATATAGACCAATGGAACAGAACAGACACCTCAGAAATAATGCCACACATCTACAACCATCTGATCTTTGACAAACCTGACAAAAACAAGCAATATGGAAAGGATTCCCTATTTAGTAAATGGTGTTGGGAAAACTGGCTAGCCATATGCAGAAAACTGAAACTGGACCCTTTCCTTACACCTTATACAAAAATTAACTCAAGATGGATTAAAGACTTAAATGTAAGGCCTAAAACCATAAAAATGCTAGAAGAAAACCTAGGCAATACCACTCAGGACATAGGCATGGGCAAAGACTTCCTGACTAAAACACCAAAAGCAATGGCAACAGAAGCCAAAATTGACAAATGGGATTTAATTAAACTAAAGAGCTTCTGCACAACAGAAGAAACTATCATCAGAGTGAGCAGGCAACCTACAGAATGGGAGAAAATTTTTGCTATCTATCCATCTCACAAAGGGCTAATATCCAGAATCTACAAAGAACTTAAACAAATTTACAAGAAAAAAACAAACAACCCATCAAAAAGTGGGCAAAGGATATGAACAGACACTTCTCAGAAGAAGACATTTATGCAGCCAACAAACAAGAAAAAAAGCTCATCATCACTGGTCATTAGAGAAATGCAAATCATAACAACAATGAGATACCATCTCACACCAGTTAGAATGGTGATAATTAAAAAGTCAGGAAACAACAGATGCTGGAGAGGATGTGGAGAAATAGGAATGCTTTTACTCTGTTGGTGGGAGTGTAAATTAGTTCAACCACTGTGGAAGACAGTGTGGAGATTCCTCAATGATCTAGAACCAGAAATACCATTTGACCCAGCCATCCCATTACTGGGTATATACCCAAAGGATTATAAATCATTCTACTATAAAGACACATGCACACATTTATTGCGGCACTGTTCACAATAGCAAAGACTTGAAACAAACCCAAATGTCCATCAATGATAGACTGGATGAAGAAAACGTGGCACATATACACCATACTATGCAGCCATAGAAAATGATGAGTTCATGTCCTTTGCAGGGACATGGATGAAGCTGGAAACCATTATTCTCAGCAAACTAACACAAGAGCAGAAAACCAAACACCATGTGTTCTCACTCATAAGTGGGAGCTGAACAATGAGAACACATGGATGCAGAGAGGGGAACATCACACACCAGGGCCTGTCAGGGGGTTGAGGGGTAAGGGAGGGATAGCCTTAGGAGAAATGCTTAATGTAGATGATGGCTTGATGGGTGCAGCAAACCACAATGTCACATATGTACCTATGTAACAAACCTGCACGTTCTGCCCATGTATCCCAGAACATTAAGTATAATTTAAAAAAAAATTAAAAAAAGATTGTGGAGACCAAAGTTCTTTTGAAGTCTTATAGTGGCTGTCCTTAGAGACAATAGGTGAAAAATATTCCCTATTCAGATCTTTAAAAGGTGCTACTTTCAGTTAATCTATTCAGGATTGGAAGGGCCTGGAAGAAAAAGATCTAACTATGTTAATAGAGATTCTTCACAGATGGAGATTTTCAGGGCCATTAGAGAAACATGTTTTGGGGTAAAATACTTTTATTTTCTTCCTTGTCTCAGAATGTTATGCCAGAGTCAGATTGGAAAGTAAGTCATGATATATAGGGTTAAATAAAACCCATCTGATGAGAATTTATGGTTTGTAGGGCATGACTCCCCAGACTCCTTAGATAGGAATTTGGGCAAGGTAAAAAAATCAGAGCTTATTCTTCAGTGCCACCTCTTGGCCAAAAAGCATTCCATGGAATGCATATGCAGGCCAAAAAACTCCCACAGCACTAGGGAGGCTCATTCCTAAAGTTGTCTGATTTGGCCATTTGGCAGGGTCCCATGGTGCTAGGAAGACTTGTTCCTAGAGTTCTCTGACTTGATGGTAATAATTTTAAATATTAACGATTTGGACAATGTGGGGAGGACATGGTCTGACCTGATGTAATAGCCAATTGTTTAAGGGGTGAGATGGAGTCAGGCCAAGGGTTTAGTCTAAAAAAATTCCAGATCAGATCTATTTTCTGAGCTATCATGATCCAGGTCTTTAACTGTGCCTTTTCCTTCTGCTGTATCTGGCATAACATTTACAAGAAATGTCTAATGTTAATATAGTAACAAACATCATAAAGATAGTGAATATTTGGGTGTCCAAGGTTATAGGTAGAATCAGAGGGCAGTAAACAACCCAACCAAACAGAAAAAAAAACTCTGCATGCATCATTATATTATTTGATCAGACTCACAATGTGTTTACCCTCCTTATCAAGGGTTACTTGACCTTTATGGTAAATCTTATTTGAGAATTGTAGGACCAACATTAAGTTTGAATTTAATAAATTTAATTTCTCTTCCAGCCAATTTATCTCCATAGATATAGCATCCTGAGAAGGGTATATATTACATGCAAGAAACACCTCATCCTCATTGTGTAAATTGTTATAGACTTGTTAACAGTAGACAAATCTATTTTTCCCAATACTTTTGTATTGCACCATATACTGGTATTCGGGAGAGAAAAGGTTCTGTCACAGGAGAAGTCATGTAATTCTACAGTGTCATTTTTTCCTCAGCAGGACTCCCTATGGCCGAGGACCTTCAGAGTCAAAAGACTTATACCCAATTATTTTAGGCCATATAGGAATGGATGTGGAAAGGCATTCATTACTTCTTAAAATTATTATTTTAAGTTTAAAAAGCTGACAATAAAACCAAAAGGCAAAGTTACAAGACTGACTTATTTTTAACTTTTATGTGTTGAGCTACAGTAAGCTTGGTTTCTGTTACAGACTTACAGCAATTAGCTATACAAAACATAAGCATTATTTTAAAATATAATAAAAAATATGTATAAATATATTTTTATCTTTACAACTTATACTTGGAGTATGATACTCAGGAGGCTTTGTTTCAAGTTATTTTATCCTGTTAGTAAATATTTTTCTTTAATTTTATCGTAAGCAGAAAATTTTTATGGTTGGTGTGGATGCAAAAGTGACATATTATAATTTAGAAGGCAACTAAAGTTGTTTTACTAATTGTTTAGGCATTTTTTTGTACCCCCTTCTTGATTTGGAGGGTTTGATCTTGACCTAATTTATTACTGAAAACCGGCCCTTACAATCTTATGCACCCACCTCTTCTGTGATAGTCCCTGGGCCTAGGGGTGAGGCAGCTTGTATAGTTTTGGCAGCAGAACATTAGCAGTGAAACAGATCGGGGCCGGTGGGATGCCAAATGAAGGAGATTCATATCTCTGGTCTTCAGAATACCATGATTTTGGTTTCCTTGGAAGTAAAACAAGGAGAGATAAATAACATTTATAGTTTGACAATTATAGAATAATTTGTATGTTAGAACAGAAAAAGGAAATAGAAAGGTGCCCTATTCTATTAGGGCACCAACTAAAAATATGAAGAAAAATTACAATCTGGTACTTTCTAGAGGATTATTGTAGCCAAGAACAATAATTTAATCTGCACTTAAAAAGTTAGGACTGAAATCTAGTATTAAGTGTCACACTTTTCCCTTAAAACAATTATTTTTTAATTATCATTAAACTAATGCAGACAATTATAATGTTATAAAATCACAATCTGAATTTTGGAGAACTCAGAAAGGTAAATTTGCTTACAAAAACATACTTTTTCCAAATAACTTAAAAAAAAATGTCTTGACCCTCTTTTAACCAGAGCAGCAGCTTTTAAGACAAGATGTTTGTTTACCTTGGAAATGTCATTTACAAACCAAACAGCTCATGAGAGCTATTTGGCACTATAGAATTTAGCAGCTTCTTACAATTAGTCCTAGAAAAAGGCTCTCTGCTTATTATATAGCAAGATTTTATGTAAACCATTTTTATTTTACCATGGAACTTTTTGGAAAACATTATTCCCATTAGTATAGGGGTAGCTCCAGTTAATATTCCACAGCAAGGCAGTAAATGCCCCACGAAGTAGAAATTCTCTAGCTCAGTCGTTGTTACTGAAAAGTACACACGGTTTTTACCATAAGCCCCATAAATGCTCCAAACAAAAGACTATGCAGTGGAGGATTTACATGAGCAGATTTACATGTCTTCAGCTTTACAGTACTAGAAAGAGGAAAACATTCCACAGTTAGATATACTATCCATTTTCATAAGACATTTAGGTAAAAGGGGTTACAACTACCTCACAGAGAGCTTGTTTAAACATCTTACATTTTATAATTCTATTAATCTGTATGTTTTATGTTCTGGTCCCCAGAAGTCTTTTTTAACCCCAGACCACTTTAATTTTTCTGGTGAAAAAGACTTGGGTTCCCAGCAGGGAGTTGCATCTTTAAGGCATATGAGGGACAGATTTGATAAGCCTTCTTAAAAAGACCCATAATTCTGTGAGAGGGGCACCCATATAAAAGGGCCCCCCTTAACCATCAAATATACCATGACCCAGACGATAGACAAATTTGGTGGGAGGATATCACAGTTATTATAAAGCTAGTCTCTCACAGCTTGCATATGAAATATATTAACGGCTTCATCTGGGGTACTTCACTTGCTATTTTTTTTTATTATTATTACATTTTAAGATTTAGGGTACATGTGCACAATGAGCAGGTTTCTTACATATGTATACAGGTGCCATGTTGGTGTGCTGTACCCATTAACTCAACATTTAGCATTAGGTATATCTCCTAATGCTATACCTCCACCCTCCCCCCACCCCACAACAGTCCCCGGTGTGTGATGTTCCCCTTCCTGTGTCCATGTATTCTCATTGTTCAATTCCCACCTATGAGTGAGAACATGTGGCGTTTGGTTTTTTGTCCTTGCGATAGTTTGCTGAGAATGATGGTTTCCAGTTTCATCCATGTCCCTACAAAGGACATGAACTCTTCATTTTTTATGGCTGCATAGTATTCCATGGTGTATATGTGCCACATATTCTTAATCCAATCTAGCATTGTTGGACATTTGGGTTGGTTCCAAGTCTTTGCTATTGTGAATAGTGCCACAATAAACATATTTGTGCATGTGTCTTTGTAGCAGCATGATTTATAATCCTTTGGGTATATACCCAGTAATGGGATGGCTGGGTCAAATGGGATTTCTAGTTCTAGATCGCTGAGGAATCGCCACACTGACTTCCACAATGGTTGAACTAGTTTACAGCCCCACAAACAGTGTAAAATGTTCCTATTTCTCCACATCCTCTCCACCACCTGTTGTTTCCTGATTTTTTAATGATCACCATTCTAACTGGTGTGAGATGGTATCTCATTGTGGTTTTGATTTGCATTTCTCTGATGGTCAGTGATGATGAGCATTTTTTCTTGTGTTTTTTGGCTGCATAAATGTCTTCTTTTGAGAAGTGTCTGTTCATATCCTTTGCCCACTTTTTGATGGGGTTGTTTGTTTTTCTCTTGTAAATTTGTTTGAGTTCATTGTAGATTCTGGATATTAGCCCTTTGTCAGATGAGTAGGTTGCAAAAATTTTCTCCCATTCTGTAGGTTGCCTGTTCACTCTGATGGTGGTTTCTTTTGCTGTGCAGAAGCTCTTTAGTTTCATTAGATCCCATTTGTCAATTTTGGCTTTTGTTGGATTGCTTTTGGTGTTTTAGTCATGAAGTCCTTGCCCATGCCTATGTCCTGAATGGTATTGCCTAGGTTTTCTTCTAGGGTTTTTATGGTTTTAGGTCTAACATGTAAGTCTTTAATCCATCTTGAATTAATTTTTGTATAGGGTGTAAGGAAGGGATCCAGTTTCAGCTTTCTACATATGGCTAGCCAGTTTTCCCAGCACCATTTATTAAATAGGGAATCCTTTCCATATTGCTTGTTTTTGTCAGGTTTGTCAAAGATCAGATGGTTGTAGATATGTGGCATTATTTCTGAGGGCTCTCTTCTGTTCCGTTGTTCTATATCTCTGTTTCGGTACCAGTACCATGCTGTTTTGGTTACTGTAGCCTTGTAGTATAGTTTGAAGTCAGGTAGCGTGATGCCTCCAGCTTTGTTCTTTTGGCTTAGGATTGACTTGGCAATGCGAACTCTTTTTTGGTTCCATATGAACTTTAAAGTAGCTTTTTCCACTTTTGTGAAGAAAGTCATTGGTAGCTTGATGGGGATGGCATTGAATCTATAAATTACCTTGGGACACATGGCCATTTTCACGATATTGATTCTTCCTGCCCATGAGCATGGAATGTTCTTCCATTTGTTTGTATCCTCTTTTATTTCATTGAGCAGTGGTTTGTAGTTCTCCTTGAAGAGGTCCTTCACATCCTTTGTAAGCTGGATTCCTAGGTATTTTATTCTCTTTGAAGCAATTGTGAATGGGAGTTCACTCATGATTTGGCTCTCTGTTTTTCTGCTATTGGCTTATAAGAATGCTTGTGATTTTTGCACATTGATTTTGTATCCTGAGACTTTGCTTACTTTGCTTATCAGCTTAAGGAGATTTTGGGCTGAGACGGTGGGGTTTTATATATATACCATCATGTCATCTGCAAACAGGGACAATTTGACTTCCTCTTTTCCTAATTGAATGCCCTTTATTTCCTTCTCCTGCCTGATTGCCCTGGCCAGAATTTCCAACACTATGTTGAATAGGAGTGGTGAGAGAGGGCATCCCTGTCTTGTGCCAGTTTTCAAAGGGAATCCTTCCAGTTTTTGTCCATTCAGTATGATATTGGCTTTGGGTTTTCATAGATAGCTATTACTATTTTCAGATAAGTCCCACCAATACCTAATATTGAGAATTTTTAGAATGAAGGGTTGTTGAATTTCGTCAGAGGCTTTTATGCATCTATATAGATAATCATGTGGTTTTTGTCTTTGTTTCTGTTTATATGCTGCATTACATTTATAGATTTTCGTATGTTGAACCAGCCTTGCATCCCAGGGATGAAGCCCACTTGATCATGGTGGATAAGCTTTTTGATGTGCTGCTGGATTCAGTTTGCCAGTATTTTATTGAGGATTTTTGCATCAGTGTTCATCAGGGATACTGGCCTAAAATTCTCTTTTTTTGTTGTGTCTCTGCCAAGCTTTGGTATCAGGATGATGCTGGCCTCATAAAATGAGTTAGGGAGGATTCCCTCTTTTTCTATTGATTGGAATAGTTTCAGAAAGAATGGTACCAGCTCCTCCTTGTACCTCTGGTAGAATTTGGCTGTGAATCCATCTGGTCCTGGACTTTTTTTGGCTCGTAAGCTACTCATTATTGCCTCAAATTCAGAGCCTCTTATTGGTCTAATTCAGAGATTCGACTTCTTTATACTTTAGTCTTGGGAGAGTGTATGTGTTGAGGAATTTATCCATTTCTTCTAGATTTTCTAGTTTATTTCTGTAGAGGTGTTTATAGTATTCTCTGATGGTAGTTTGTATTTCTGTGGAATCAGTGGTGATATACCCTTTATCATTTATTATAGTGTCTATTTGATTCTTCTCTCTTTTCTTCTTTGTTAACCTTGCTAACAGTCTATCAATTTTGTTGATCTTTTCAAAAAATCAGCTCCTGGATTCACTGATTTCTTGAAAGGTTTTTTGTGTCTCTATTTCCTTCAGTTATGCTCTGATCTTAGTTATTTCTTGCCTTCTGCTAGCTTTTGAATGTGTTTGCTCTTGCTTCTCTAGTTCTTCTAATTGTGATGTTAGAGTGTCAATTTTAGATCTTTCCTGCTTTCTCTTGTGGACATTTAGTGCTATAAATTTCCCTCTACACACTGCTTTGAATGTGTCCCAGAGATTCTGGTATGTTGTGTCTTTTTTCTTGTTGGTTTCAAGGAACATCTTTATTTCTGCCTTCATTTCGTTATGTACCCAGTTGTCGTTCAGGAGCAGGTTGTTCAGTTTCCATGTAGTTGAGCGGTTTTGAGTGAGTTTCTTTATCCGGAGTTCTAGTTTGATTGCACTGTGGTCTGAGAGACAGTTTGTTATAATTTCTGTTCTTGTACATTTGCTGTGGAGTGCTTTACTTCCATCTGTGTGGTCAATTTTGGAATAGGTGTGGTGTGGTGCTGAAAAGAATGTATATTCTGTTGATTTGGGGTGGAGAGTTCTTTAGATGTCTATTAGGTCTGCTTGGTGCAGAGCTGAGTTCAATTCCTGGATATCCTTGTTAACTTTCTGTCTCATTGATCTGTCTAATGTTGACAGTGAGGTGTTAAAATCTCCCATTATTATTGTGTGGGAGTCTAAGTTTCTTTGTATGTCACTAAGGACTTGCTTTATGAATCTGGGTGCTCCTGTATTGGATGCACATATATTTTGGAGAGTTACCTCTTCTTGTTGAATTGATCCCTTTATCATTATGTAATGGCCTTCTTTGTCTCTTTTGATCTTTGTTGGATTAAAGTCTGTTTTATCCAAGACTAGGATTGCAACCCCTGCCTTTTTTTGTTTTCCATTTGCTTGGTAGATCTTCCTCCATCCCTTTATTTTGAGCCTATGTGTGTCTCTGCATGTGAGATGGGTTTCCTGAATACAGCACACTGATGGGTCTTGACTCTTTATCCAATGTGCCAGTCTGTGTCTTTTAGTTGGAGCATTTAGCCCATTTACTTTTAAGGTTAGTATTGTTATGTGTGAATTTGATCCTGTCATTATCATCTTAGCTGGTTATTTTGCTCGTTAGTTGATGCAGTTTCTTCCTAGCCTTGGTGGACTTTACAATTTGGCATGTTTTTGCAGTGGCTGGTACCGGTTGTTCCTTTCCATGTTTAGTGCTTCCTTCAGGAGGTCTTTTAGGGCAGGCCTGGTGGTGACAAAATCTCTCAGCATTTGCTTGTCTGTTAAGTATTTTATTTCTCCTTCACTTATGGAGCTTAGTTTGGCTGGATATGAAATTCTGGGTTGAAAATTCTTTTCTTTAAGAATGTTGAATATTAGCCCCATCTCTCTTCTGGCTTGTAGAGTTTCTGCCAAGACGTCAGCTGTTAGTCTGATGGGCTTCCCTTTGTGGGTAACCTGACCTTTCTCTCTGGCTGCCTTTAGCATTTTTTCCTTCATTTCAACTTTGGTGAATCTGACAATTATGTTTCTTGGAGTTGCTCTTCTCGAGGAGTATCTTTGTGGCATTCTCTGTATTTCCTGAATTTGAATGTTGCCCTGCCTTGCTAGATTGGGGAAGTTATCCTGGATAATATCCTGCAGAGTGTTTTCCAACTTGGTTCCATTCTCCCCATCACTTTCAGGTACACCAATCAGATGTAGATTTGGTCTTTTCACATAGTCCCAGATTTCTTGGAGGCTTTGTTCATTTCTCTTTATTCTTTTTTCTCTAAACTTCTCTTCTCACTTCATTTCATTCATTTCATCTTCCATCACTAATACACTTTCTTCCAGGTGATCGCATCGGCTACTGAGTCTTGTGCATTCGTCATTTAGTTCTCGTGCCATGGTTTTCAGCTCCATCAGGTCCTTTAAGGACTTCTCTGCATTGGTTATTCTAGTTAGCCATTCGTCTATTTTTTTTCAAGGTTTTTAACTTCTTTGCCTTGGGTTCGAACTTCCTCCTTTAGCTCGGAGAAGTTTGATCTTCTGAAGCCTTCTTCTCACAACACGTCAAAGTCATTCTCTGTCCAGCTTTGTTCCATTGCTGGTGAGGAGCTGCGCTCCTTTGGAGGAGGAGAGGTGCTCTGATTTTTAGAGCTTCCAGTTTTTCTGCTCTGTTTTTTCCCCATCTTTGTGGTTTTATCTACCTTTGGTCTTTGATGATGGTGACAAACAGGTGGGGTTTTGGTGTGGATGTCCTTTCTGTTTGTTAATTTTCCTTCTAACAGTCAGCACCCTCAGCTGCAAGTGTGTTGGAGTTTGCCAGAGGTCCACTCCAGACCCTGTTTGCCTGGGTATCAGCAGTGGAGGCTGCAGAACAGCGGATATGGTGAACTGCAAATGCTGCTGCCTGATCGTTCCTCTGGAAGTTTTGTCTCAGAGGAGTACCCGGCCCTGTGAGGTGTCAGTCCGCCCCTACTGGGATGTGCCTCCCAGTTAGGCTACTCGGGGGTCAGGGACCCACTTGAGGAGGCAGTCTGCCCATTCTCAGATCTCAAGCTGGGTGCTGGGAGAACCACTACTCTCTTCAAATCTGTCAGACAGGGACATTTAAGTCTGCAGAGGTTACTGCTGCCTTTTGTTTGTCTGTGCCCTGCCCCCAGAGGTGGAGCCTACAGAGGCAGGCTGGCCTCCTTGAACTGTGGTGGTCTCCACCCAGTTCAAGCTTCCCAGCTGCTTTGTTTACCTACTCAATCCTTGGCAATGGTGGGTGCCCCTCCCCCCACCTAACTGCCCCCTTGCAGTTTGATCTCAGACTGCTGTGCTAGCAATGAGTGAGGCTCCATGGGTGTAGGACCCTCTGAACCATGCGCAGGATATAATCTCCTGGTGGGCCATTTGTTAAGCCTCAGTTAGAAAGGCAGAAATCTCCCATCTTCTGTGTCGCTCACGCTGGGAGCTGTAGACTGGAGCTGTTCCTATTCAGCCATCTTGGCTCTCTCCCACTTGCTATTTTATAGAGAGAGTTGGACAGTCCCCTTCGCGGAGCAAACAGACCTTATAATGGCATTATCTGGCCCACTAGGCTGATTGCTTTCTCAGGAATAACCCTCTATGCATGTGGATTGCAGATACTCAGTGATTGTTCAGTAATGAGCTGTGGGCCCTGCATTAATCCAAATAAGCCCTTAAATTCTGTAGCATTTAAAATTAATAATTTGGCCTTAAAGTGGTTATTTTTACAATCTACTACTTTTAAAGTAACTGAATGATACCAGTCTACAAAATTGAACAGTTCCTTTGCATTACACCATCTGGTTTTTAGTGGTTACTTGGTTGTACCCTTCCCCTATATCAACTATTTTTCTTGATAACCACAGGACTTAGAGTTAGTTTTTGTTGCCCTAGCTTATTTTTCTATCCATTTCATTTTATCTGTATAATTTCCTTCATTATAAAGCAACTCTTAAATAGTTCTTAACCAAAAAAACCTTGCTTTTTTGAAAATTGACATCCTTGTGTTTAATAAAATTTTTAATAGCATATTTTATGCTCCTACTATTTTAACTTTTAGTACCCCAAATTTCCAGTGGAGAAAAAAAACTGAAGTTTTAACATAATTTTAAGATATTAAATTACTACAGAGAGTTTTGAGATTTAATTTTCAAAATTTATTTTACCAAAGATTACCAAGGTCATGTGAACTAAAAGACATCTCAGCTAGGTTGTACAAATTTGGTAAGCATTCACATTTTTTAAGTTACTTGATTAGAGCTTTTTCATGTAGTTTGATAGTGAAATATCACTTCTACATGACACATAAAGATAGAGATATAACAGGCATGCACAATAAAAAGGCAGGCCCAAAAGATATTGTATTTGCCTATTTTCAAAAAACTTCCTCACTTACTTTAGATAATTAATAAAAGTTACAGTAGTCAACAAAAGGTGAAGGAGAGAGCTATTAAGGCCTTTCCAAAGGAGAAAGAATTGAACTTCTGAGATATCAGTCTGAAGAATGTTACAGAGACTGATCATAGAATCTTAAAATTTAAAAATTTTGCATTAAAAGTAAGTTAAATATTTATAATAATCTTGTTTTTTAACTAATTTTTCAGTTTTGTATTAGTGTATTTTTAATATCAAAACCCATCTCCAGAAAAACTATTATAATTTCTTCTTAATCACAGCCAATTGAATTATACAAACCCCTTTAAAAATTCCTTCTTACTAACCTTATTATTACTTACATAATTCATTCACAATTTGTTTAGACTCTTTTGTCTTAAATGTCCCTCTTTCTTGAGCAACCCCATCATTTTATTTTAGGATAAATATTTACTACACAAGATTCTTTCTTATATAACATTACTTTTTTAACCTTTTTTTTTTTTAACAAAAATACCTCTTTATATCCTTAACTCTTTTTACATCTCTTATTTCCTGATTCCTTTACCTTGTTTCATACATAACCCTTAAATAAGCTTTGAATTAGACAAAGATATTTTACCTTTAAATAAGAACATTTAAAAAATGTTTTCCTTTCAATGCCATCCCCATCAAACTACCAATGACTTTCTTCACAGAATTGGAAAAGACTACTTTAAAGTTCATATGGAACCAAAAAGGAGCCCGCATTGCCAAGACAATCCTAAGCCAAAAGAACGAAGCTGGAGGCATCACGATACCTGATTTCAAACTATACTACAGGGCTACAGTAACCAAAACACTGCTACCAAAACAGAGATATACAACAATGGAACAGAACAGAGCCCTCAGAAATAATACCACACATCTACAACCATCTGATCTTTGACAAACCTGGCAAAAACAAGCAATGGGGAAAGGATTCCCTATTTAATAAATGGTGCTGGGAAAAATGGCTAGCCATATGTAGAAAGCTGAAACTGGAATTCAAGATGGATTAAAGACTTAAATGTTAGACCTAAAACCATAAAAAACCTAGAAGAAAACCTAGTCAATGCCACTCAGGACATAGGCATGGGCAAGGACTTCATGTTTAAAACACCAAAACCAACGGCAACAGAAGCCAAAATTGACAAATGGGATCTAATTAAACTAAAGAGCTTCTGCACAGCAAAAGAAACTACCATCAGAGTGAACAGGCAACCTACAGAATAGGAGAAAATTTTTGCAATCTACTCATCTGACAAAGGGCTAATATCCAGAATCTACAAAGAACTTAAACAAATTTACAAGAAAAAGTCAAACAACCCCAACGAAAAGCGGGCAAAGGATATGAACAGACACTTCTCGAAAGAAGACATTTATGCAGCCAAAAGACACATGAAAAAATGCTCATCATCACTGGCCATCAGAGAATTGCAAATCAAAACCACAATGAGATACCATCTCACACCAGTTAGAATGACGATCATTAAAAAGTCAGGAAACAACAGGTGCTGGAGAGGATATGGAGAAATAGGAACACTTTTACACTGTTGGTGGGACTGTAAACTAGTTCAACCATTGTGCAAGTCAGTGTGGTGATTCCTCAGGGATCTAGAACTAGAAATCCCATTTGACCCAGTCATCCCGTTACTGGGTATATACCCAAAGGATTATAAATCATGCTACTATAAAAACACATGCACATGTATGTTTATTGCGGCACTATTCACAATAGCAAAGACTTGGAACCAACCCAAATGTCCATCAGTGATAGACTGGATTAAGAAAATGTGGCACATATACACTGTGGAATACTATGCAGCCAAAAAAAGGATGAGTTCATGTCCTTTGTAGGGACATGGATGAAGCTGGAAACCATCATTCTCAGCAAACTATCACAAGGACAGAAAACCAAACACCACGTGTTCTCACTCATAGGTGGGTATTGAACAATGAGAACACATGGATACAGGGTGGGGAACATCACACACCAGGGCCTGTTGTGAGGTGGGGGGAGGAGAGGAGATAGCATTAGGAGAAATACCTAATGTAAATGTTGAGTTAATGGGTGCAGAACACCAACATGGCACATGTATACATATGTAACAAACCTCCACGTTGTGCCCTAGAACTTAAAGTGTAATAAAAAAAAAGTTTTCCTATAATTTTTCAATTGGAATTTATCCAGATATTTAATACCAAATAATAACCTTAGATCCTAAATTATGTCAAGTTTGTTTACAAGCATTTATTCAATTACATTTACCTGATTAATTTAATAGTTTACCTAGATTATTTTAAAAAACTGTGATAAACAATATTTAAAGTTATTTTCCTGTTTACCATTTTTATAGCTCTGAATTTCAGGTATTTACTTATGTAATAAAACTTATGGTTAAATTTAAGGATATTTATACCAATAACTCAGGGTTTAGCTGTTTTCATTTAAGCCAACAATATTTCATAAGCATATACAAGCAATGATCATTCTGTCTTGGGCTGAGTTTTATAGTTTATAACCTTTATGGCAAATCTTATAGTACTCTGTGGGAATAAACATAAAACTACAATAAAGCAAACAAAAAATGCTAACATTGATGATATTATTTTACCAATAATTTTAAAGCTGGCTTATTTAAAGATTTTACTTAAGTCACGTGAACTTGAAAAAGCATTTGACTAGTCATTTAAGTATTTGATTTAAGCGCTTTTATATATTTTAAGCCCATTAATCAGAGCTCTTTATTTTTTTAGTAGTGAAAATACTGTATACACAACATATACATATATAGACGTGTTAGGCATGCTGATAGAAATACATCTTATAGATTCATAAAGACCTTTTTTTCCATGTTTCTATCTTAACTTAGTCAGTTGTCATTTAAATAGCCTCAGATTTGCATATTACAGGCAACTCAGGTGAAAATCAGATGATAGCAAAATTTACATTGTAAGGTAAGAAGAAAAAGTCTGGTGTGCTAGAGAGAAATTTTAAATGGATTCAGTTGCCAATTGAACATAAAAGTAAATAAGCCTATTATAAAGGCCTTCAAATATATACACACACATATACATACACACATTCACACACACAAAGTTCCCATTGCTATTGCTTCAGTACTTTAGTTATGAAATAAATATAATTTTGCCAGCTTGCAAAAAAAAGAAAAAAAGCAAAACAAACAAACAAACAAAAAACACTATTAGGTCGGGCACGGTGGCTCACGCCTGTAATCCCAACACATTGGGAGGCCAAGGCGGGCGGATCATCTGAGGTTTGGAGTTCGAGACTATCCTGACCAACACGGAGAAACTCCGTCTCTACTAAAAATACAAAACTTAGCTGGGTGTGGTGGCACATGCCTGTAATCCCAGCTACTCAGGGGACGGAGACTGGAGAATCTCTTGAACCCGGGAGGCGGGGGTTGCGGTGAGCCGAGATCACGTCATTGCACTCCAGCCTGGGCAACAAGAGCGAAACTCCATCTCAAAAAAAAAAAAAGAAAAAGAAAAAGAAAGTCACTGTTAGATCCAAACAGTGGTTTTTATCTCTGCAGAAAAGTAACAATAGACTTCAGGCAGAAAAGAAAATAGAACCTAGGAACTCTATAGCATGCAGGTCGACCTCAGGCCTATTTTTCCTCAATGTCAATGTGCACAAAGACCATATTACTTCCATTTTATGTAAACTCTGGCAAGCAGAGGTGCCATAAAACCTATGGATTGCCAAAAAGAGGGGTCATTCTCCTTGTTTTCTCCTCATTTAACCCCCCACCCTTTTTTTTTTTCTGAAAAGGAGGAACTGAGCTGTAGCCTAGGGTGTTTTTGTGATGGTTCAATGCGTGCTGCCTGTGGGCAGGACTCCACAGTGTGTTACCACTGACTTTCCACCCTCTTATGTGTCTCAGTTTCTCTCTCCAGAGGTCTATGACCTCTGAGAGGGCTCAAAACATCAGGTGTTCTGAAATATTTTCAAATAAATATTTGAAGAGATTTATTCTAAGCCAAATATGAGTGACCCTGGCCTGTGACACAGCCCTCAGGAGGTCCTAAGAACAGGAGCCCTAGGTGGGAGGGGTACAGTTTGGTTTTATATATTTTAGGGAGGCCTGAGACATCAATCAAATACATTTAAGAAATACATTGGTTTTGTTCAGAAAGGCGGGACAACTCACACATGTCCCGAAAGCAGAGTACCCAATACATAAAACTATAATTGAAGGAATTGAAGGAAGAAGTAGAGAATTCAACAATAATAGGGACTAAAGCAATCTAGTAATTGAACGATACAGAAATTCAGCCAAGACAGAGAAACTTTAAACAACATTTCTAACTAACTTTACCTAACAGACATCTATAAAACATTCCACACAACAACAGCAAAATATACATTTGTTTCTTTGCAACAGGGAATATTCTGCAAGACAAACCATATTCTAGTCCATGGAACAAGTATTATAAATTTTAAAGGTTTGAAATCATAAAAGATATGTTCTTCCACCACAGTAAAGTTAGAAAACAAAAATATATCTTTAATCATAAAATAATTAAAAATTAAAAAATACATTTATAAATTATTGGTGAAAGAAAAAATATGCACAATATTATAAAAGTATTTTTATCTGAACAAATATAAATACACAATATATTGTGGAGTCCTAATTTGGAAAAAGGAGTCAGGCTGGCAGGACCAGCGGAAAGCAAAGATATGAGGCAAATAAACTATGCCTTTTGCCTTTCTTCATGGTTCAGGACATATAAACAAAAAGAGGAAGCTGATAAATTATAGTTTTATGGCCCAGGACATATAGCCCTCCTGAACCAATAAGATACATAACTCACAAACTTCCTGCTTACCATCAAATTCCTCAATTTATCAAATATCCCAGCTGACAGAAGAATGCAAGTTCCCAAGTTCCATTCTATAGAATCCTGAGCAAGCCTTTTTGCTCCTGGCTGTCAGCTTCTCTTCTACTGATACTGTCTGTTGCCTTTTCACAATGTATTTTCATACTTTCTCTAATAAATCTGCCTTTTTTCTACCTACAACTGTCTTGGTAAATTCTTTCAGTCCTGCACCACCAGCCCAGATAGTCATTGCTCACCGGCAACATTCTGGTGGCCCATAAGGGGACTCTCTCTTCATGGGGAACTCTCTCCCCTCTCTTTTTTCGAACTTTGGACAGTGTCTAAGCACAGAGGCAATTGCACTGTAGCTGGAGCTACTCTCTAGTAGGACTGGAAGGTGTCTTTGCGAAAGCGTCTGACCACCATCGCCCGTTAGGGTGAGGGACCTGAGTCTACTTATTCTTTTCAGTCTTTTGTCTGCCAGCTTCTATTAGCTCTCTGGCAATTAAAAGTAACAGGCAGGGCCAGTCTATGGTGCCGCCTGAAGGCCAAAGAGTGAACAGGACTGGCTGCCCTGCCCAGAAAAAAGAAAGGCTCTTTCTTATTTTTTCTGATCAAAAGCCCCTGATGCCAAAATGTGAAGCAATTGACAGCAGAAGCTTGTTCAGGGTGAATTCGCACATGTTTTAGGTGACTCAGACCCTCTGTCACTCTAAATTCTCCTGTGGAGACAGCCAATCATCCTTTTCTGGATGTGCTAAATCAGGTGATCTCAGACAGCCTCAGAACAGTGAGTCTTCCCTTAACTACCCACTCTCCTGGGTCAACACCAGACAGAGATCTTCCTTTACCCTTTTTCTTCAAACCTGAGCTGATCACCCAGCATAAATGAGTACCTCAACTGGCCATCCAGCATGAGGCCTCCGATCAGCCAAGAGGACTTTTCTAATGACTGAGACACTCCTTTAGAAAGTGCACCCAGAGTCCCTCAGTGGACATAAATGGAACCTTCTTTTCATTTCGGCGAGATGTCTTGACAGAAAGTGTCGTTCATGCCCCAAGTGGAACTGCCCCAAAGTGGCATGTTTTTTCATTCCACAAACCCCATCTATTCCTGTAGACTCACCTCTAGACTGTATTTTGAAGAATCGGGACAAATTTGACCCTCAACCCCTCAAAAAGAAACACCTAATCTTTCTTTGCAACATAGCATGGCCTCCTTACCACCTCCCACAGAAATTGAAGTGGACCCAGAATGGGAGCCTAGACTCCAGTATTCTTTTAAATCTTGATCTCTTTTGCCATAACTCTTCCAAATGGTCTGAGGTGCCCTATGTTCAAGTTTATGTTTCTATAAAAAAAAAAAACCTAGACTTTAGAGACAATTGTAGAATGAGACTGGCAAAATTCTTAAGTCCCTTAGATTCCTCAGACATTTTGGATGACCCTTCTTTTACACTCTCATGTTCCAGACCTCTCCCACTTTGGTCTCTCCATTCATTTTCCCTGACTACACATCTTTCCCTTCAATACCTCCTTCCTCAGCTACACCTTCTGTCTCTCCCTCTTTACCTCCTCCATACCCAGAACCACTTCTCCTCCACATACCAGATCAGGAGTCACCTCTGATTCTCTCCCATCATCAGATAAAGGTTTGCAGCTCTGAGAAGTGGCCAAATGGGGGTGTAGGAATCATCAGGGCCCATGTCTCATTCCCTATGTCTGATTTGTCTGAAATAGAGGCAAATCTTGGCTCTTTTAGTTAGTACCCCTCCCATTTTATGAAGAAATTCAAGGGGCTTGCAGTTTCCTTTGATCTCAATTGGCAAAACATTTAGGTTATTTTTACCACCTGTTGCACTCATAAGGAAAAGACCCACATTTGGTCTCTAGCCCACTGATGGGCAGAAGAATTCCATGCCTGGAACATTTGGAACCCTGAACCAGGAAGAACAGTTGTTTATGATAGTGATCCTAGATGGGGCTGTCAAGAAGGAGACCCTGATAGAGTCCACCACAATTATATGATCACTTGCCTGATTGAGGGGATGAAAAAGGCTGTCATTAAACCTGCAAATTATGCTACATTAAGAGAAGTTACACAGGGGCCAAATGAAAACCCAGCCCTATTCCACTCTAGGGTAGCTGAAGCTATGAGAAAATGCACTAATATGGATCTCTAGAGCCAAGAGGGCCTCACTATTGTGGCTGTGTATTTTATTAGGCCTCTCCAGACGTTAGGCATAAGCTTGAAAAACTAGTTCAAAGGCCACAGACCCCTTTCCTTACTTTGCTATAAATGGCCTTTACATTCTTTAATAACTGGGAGGAAGCCTCAAGAACTGACAGGATAGGAAGGAAAGAGAAAGAGACAGGCAGCAAGCTCATTATATGGCTGCTGCCTTTGCTACCTGCCTGCCCAAACCAGGGACCACAGACCAAGCATCAGGATGTCACCCACTGACCAATAAAAGGCCCATTCTCTGTTATAGCTATAACCAGCCTTGGCATATTAACAGAAACTGCCAAAACCCTCCACGAGTGTCACCTGATTTTCTACTGCCACCACCTGGCCTTTGCCAATACTGCAAGCAACTGGGACACTGGAAACTGGAATGCTCCTCGCTCCCTCATGATAGGTAGTCATCCTCAAACAAGTCCCAATTATGGGCCAACTTGGGAGGAAAGCAAAGGCAAATGCCCTTAACTTTGTTCCTCAATTATGAAAAAGCTGAGGAGACCTTAAAAGAGAAGAAAAAGCCCCAAGAGGGGCCATTTCCTCACTGTCCCAGAGGCCATCCAGGCTCCTGTATTTTCCATCACTACTGCTGAATCTCAGGTAATCTTGTGTGTAGCAGAATATAAAATTGAGTTTTTTTATTGACACAGGATCTAGTTACACTGCCCTAATTAAATTCTCTGGACCTAACTTTTGGTCCTCAATCCTCACAAGCAAGGAGGGCCAACTGAAACAGAGCTATTTTACCCCATCTTTGGTATGCATTGGTATGCAACTAGGGAAAAAAATATTTTCACTCACTTATTTCTGGTCTTGCCCACTTGTTCCATCCCTTTGCTTGGGAGGCATATAATGGCAAAACTTCAAACTAGCTTTCAGTTTTCCAACCAGGCCTGTTCAATACTGGCATTATTACCTTTTAATACTGACTCCAATACATACAGCCTTTCATTGTACAACAAGTTCCCCCTGAAGTATGAAACTCATCCACTCCAGGATGTTCTTTGCGTGCAGACCCCAAAAAGGTCATCCTTAAGGTCTTCACCTCTTTCCCTAGGAAATCTCCATAGCCTCTAAATCTTGAAACCCAATTAGGCTTACAGCCCTTAATTTCACTCTTGTAATTCACCATGTAACACACCCACCTTAGCTGTCAAAAGCCAGAAGGCACCTATAGAATGATACAAGACCCAAGAGCCATCAATGATCCAGTAGTTCCTACACACCCCATTGTTTCGAACCCTTACATCCTGTTAGGACAAATTCCTTCTGGCAGTTTTGGTTCACAGTATTAGACTTAAAGGATGCTTTCTTTTGCATTCCAGTACATTCAGATTCACAATTTTTATTTGCCTTTGAATGGCGAGATCCTTCCACTCATACCTCCCAACAATTAACCTGGACAGGCCTCCCCTGAGGATTTAGAGATAGCTCACAACCATTTGGACAGGCTCTTGCCAAAGATCTGTTCACCATTCAGCTATCCCTTAATAGCACCCTGCTCCAATATGTTGACCACCTGCTTATCTGCAGTCCAACTGAAGGTATTAAATACTATTAATCTTAGAATATCTAAATGCTATTAAAACTCTTTAGAGGTTATCTTCCTGTGGTTATGAGGTTTCTCCTTCTAAAACTCAAATTTCCTCTCTGGAAGTGCAATTTCTGAGACTCACACTAACCCCAGGGTTTAAAAGTCTCTCTGATCACTGTGAAAGCCTCATCTTAAACATGGGCACACTAGCAACTAAACAACAGTTGCACTCCTTCTTGGGAATGCCAAGTTTCTGTCATATTTGGACTCCCCAATTTGGACTCATAGCAAAACCCTCTTTATGAGACACTATGGGGACCAGAGGAAGACCCCTTTACTGGAACTCTGAAATGAACAAAACCCTAAAACCCATTAAACAAGTTTTACAACTGCCCCACCTTTGACCTTACCATACCTTAGAAAAACTTTCTATTTATTTGTACCTGAAAGAAGGGGTATCGCCCTTGGAGACTTAATCCAGCCATTGGGGCCCTCCAAATGACCAGTAGCTTACTTATCAAAGAACCTCAATTTGGTGACACAGGGCTGGCCTCCATTCCCCCGGCACTAGCCTCTGTGGCCCGATTGATTGAGGAGGCCTCCAAGCTGAGGCCAAGGAATAACAGTGTATACCCCACACCAAATGGTGGATACTTTAAACTCAAAGGGCTCTCACTGAGTCTCAAATCAAATAAGAAGATATCAAACCCTCTTTCTACAAACACCACAATTAAACATTAAGCAGTGTGAAGTTCTTAATCATGCCATCCTGTTACCAGATCCAAATGTGGAAGGATCACTTAAACACTCTTGCTTAGAAACTCTTGATTTAAGGCTGGTCGCAGTGGCTCACACCTGTAATCCCAGCACTTAGGAAGGCCTAGGCAGGTGGATTACCTGAGGTCAAGAGTTGGAGGCCAGCGTGGCCAACATGGTGAAACCCCATCTCTACTAAAAATATAAAAATTAGCTTGGCATGGTGACACATCTGTAGTCCCAGCTACTTGGGAGGCTGAGGCATTAGAATAGCTTGAATCCAGGAAGCAGAGGTTGCGGTGAGCTGAAATTGCACCACTGCACTCCAGCTTGGGCGACAGAGCAAGACCCTGTCTCAGAAAAAAAAAAAAAAAAAAGAAAGAAAGAAAGAAAATATTGAATTAATTTGTAGCTCCTGATTTGACCTCCAAGATATTCCCCTTACCAATTGGGAGGCCACTTGGTTCATAGACAGCAATAGTTTCATGTTAGAAGGTACCCAGTTACCACGGTATGCTATTGTTAGCCTTACTGAAGTTACAGAATTTGGGCCCCTACCCTGTGACACCACCTCAGCCCAGAAGGCAGAACTTATTGCCCTTACCTGAGCCTTGCAATTAGGAGCATGCATGAAACTTAATACTTACACAGACTGACCTACGTCTTTCATGTAGTACATACCCATGCAGCCATTTGGCAAGAAAAGGGACTCTTAACAGCCCAAAATATTCCAGTTAGACATGCTCCTGAAATCATGGCCCCGTTAGAGGTAATTTTGCTTCCTGCACAGGTAGCTATCATTCACTGCAAAGCCCATCAGAGAAGCAATGATAAAATCTCTATTGTGAACAATCAGGCTGATAAACAAGCAAGAGTGACTACTAAGCTACCTCTTTAGGCAGTTTTAGTTGCTAACCTAACTCAACTGTCTCCACTGTATATGCAGGAATAAACCCAAAGGGCTCTAGAGAAAGGCTTCTCCCATACTTCGGAGGGCTGGCTAAAAAGCCCTAATGGCAAACTTTTGCTCCAAGGAGCCTCACAATGAAAATTTTTAAACAGTTTACACCAATCAACTCATTTAGGGGCTAAAGCCCTCCAAGACTTAATATGGTCACTGTTTATCGGTAAAGGAATAGCATAAACTTTAAGATCCATCTCACAGCCTTGCCCCACCTGCTGCCAAACCAGTCCTGAAGGGGCCCACAAACTTCCCCCTCTCCTCCAACTCATTCAAAGATTAGGGATCCTACCAGGAGAAGTCTGGCAGCTAGATTTTACACACATGCCTCCATGCAAGGGACTTAAATATTTGATAATCTTTGTAGATACCTTCGCCAGGTGGATAGAAGCCTTTCGCATCAAAACTGAACAGGCATGGCATCAGAAGTCACCACGGCCCTTTTGAACCACATTCTTCCCCATTGTTGGCTCCCTCACTCACTGCAGTCAGACAATAGCGCTGCTTTCATTTCTCAAATAACCCAAGAAGTTGCTAAGACCCTTCAAATCAAATACTAGTTTCAAGCAGCCTGACATCCACAATCCTCTGGAAAGGTAAAAGAGCCAATCAAAGCATAAAAAGGCATCTTACAAAACTGATAAACCCAACAGTCATGGCCAGCTCTGCTCCCTATTGCCCTCTTAAGGTCCCTTATACCCCCAAAATCAGAAACCCATCTCAGCCCATTTGAAGTTCTTTATGGAAGACCCTTCTTACAAACAGACCTCTTGTTAGAGCCAGAAAATCATTATCCCACACAATATGTTATAATTCTTGGACAGACCATTAAAGCCATTGGCCATTACCAAAATCTCCACAGCCCCAAACCCGATCCCTCCTTTTCAGGAAAGATACACTCTAAATTCACACCTGGAGACTGGGTATGTCTTTAAACTCTCCTGCAGGTCAAAAGGCTGTTAGAACCTGTCTGAACTGGGTGATATCAAGTTATTCTTACTATCCCAACATCTGTAAAGCTCCAAGGTCCCCATGGATCCACCACTCCAGGGGTCAAAGCTGCTCAGGCACCAAATGAAGAGCCCTCCACTACACACAGCTGTGAGCCAATCAGAGCCCTCCATCTGTTTAGACAAAACTCAGAGGCTAAGTTGGACTCAGGTTATATTAACCCTAATTCTCAACTCCACCTTAAAGGAGTTTCTTTCTTTCTCTTTTTTACTTGAGACGGAGAGTCTTGCTCTTGTCGCCCAGGCTGGAGTGCAATGGCACGATCTCAGTTCACTGCAACCTCTGCCTCCCTGGTTCAAGTGATTCTCCTGCCTCAGCCTCCTGAGTAGCTGGGATTACAGGTGCACGCCACCATGCCCAGCTAATGTTTGTATTTTTAGTAGAGACGAGGTTTCACCATGTTGGCCAGGCTGGTCTTGAACTCCTGACCTCAGATGACCCGCCCGCCTCAGCCTCCCAAAGTGCTAGGATTACAGGCATGAACCACCGTGGAAGACCAGGAGTTTCTTTTCCTTACTCCCTTTATTTTCCTTAAAATCAATGAACCTAATTTTTCCTGGCTTCTTAATTGAATCTGTGGGCTGCATCATGGTCATCGTTTTCATTGTTCTGCGCGTTATCTGTCTTCTTCCGTCTGGATGGAATAGCATTCTCCTTTGCCATTAAACTTCATTTTTAAGAATAAGTATTCTAATAACCCCACCATCATACCCTTGCCTGGCCACTGCAGCAACCTCGAGTTTTTGACCTTCCCTTAAGGTTGATGGAAATTAGCCCAATGTCTCTTTTAAATCTTATTGTTAGAGATTACTCTTTTTATTCAATTCTACTACAGGCTCTAAGCAATTATTCAACTGCCTAACTTAGGCAGCTTTACCCTCTTAATATTAATGCTTTCACAAGGGAGGTAGTATATGATTGCTATTTGCAGGAGGACTTCTAGATTACCACCCAGATGAAATTTCTTTATATTTGTTCTAGTAATCTGATATACACCACACCACAATGATGATGTGCTGTGGTACTAAAGTGGTTTTCTAACTATTTTTCTTATACAATTTATAGCCCTTCTCCTTTCCTGTGTCCCTGACTTCACTATATTTTGTCGCTTTTAACTTGTCAGGCTTCATCCTCATTACTTGGATATCTCTACACTTAGTGTTAACACTTACAATGAACTTTACTTTGCCAATCTTCCTGGATTACACCCTACTTACAGGGGCCCATAAGCTATTAAAGAAACAACATTCTCTGTGTACAAAAGATTGTTGGCTTTGCTTACCCTTAGCCCTCAAATGGTATGCTTCTTCACTTTTTTATACTCAGTATTAGATCCATTTTAATACCATCCTGCTCTCCAAATTCCTGTTCCCCCAACTTCCATGGAACCCCAAAAACACATGTGGAATGGTAGCTGCATTCTCTGCCTATTTAAGCCAATACACGACCAAGCTAAAAATAACAACCCCCTCAAAGGACTGGTCCTCTAACCCAAGAGACAACCGTAGACTCAAACACCCTGTTGTAGCCCCCCTTTTTAAATAAGTACAACTTAAACATCAAGCTATTTGCCTTAAAGCAACAGACAACAAACATTACTCCAACCCCATGGGTGATGTTTCTAAGCCCCTTTGCAACTACACCATATGTATAAATCACACCAACAGAAAATACATACCAAGGGAAAAACATAATATGGTACCAGTTAGAATATCAGGCCCAGCCGATCCCAATGTCCCAAATCTCCAAAATATAAACTCTCACTTCTGTACAGATCACTCCTCTCCAGACACTTGTTCTCACCTAACTCCGTGGCAAAATTTAAAGGTTGAAAATTCCCCTAATAATTACCTACAAATTCTCACACTTAGCAACCCCAAATCTCAGATGTCTCCAGGCATACAACACATCCATTTGTTTAGGGAAAACAAAACCCACCCAAATGCAAATTGTAACATCTACACCTCACAACCTCTTACAATTACTATGCTAGCTACTCAATACTTCTTCAGGTCAGAAGGCCGAAACACACTCCATTTCTTCACTGTAACTCTATTCTCTTGCCTTATATCTGAGAGAGCATTCTTCCTTTGCCGAACCAATGCCTATGTTTGTCTTCCAGCCAACTGGGCTGGAACACATACGCTAGTTTACTTGGCCCCAGACACCCAAATTGCTCCTTCCAATTAGTCCTTCCCAATCATGCTTTACAGTCCTAGCAGGGCAAAATGGCCAATCTATCTAATTCCCTTACTGCCTGGCACAGGCATTGTCACTGGATTGGGTATGAGAATAAAAGGTATGAGCCTCGCAGTGCATACTTATCATATCCTCTCAATCGAACTTGCCACTGAGCTCAAATGCGTCTCTGAGACCTTGGAAGTCCTCCAAAATCAGGTCGACTCCTTAGCAACAATTGTTCTCCAAAACTGCTGTGGCCTAAATCCGCTTATGGCAGCCCAAGAGGACATATGTTTAGCGTTTGAAAAAGAATGTTGCATTTATGTTAATCAGTCAGAAATACTGTGGGCTCATGTCAAACACCTCAGGGAGCTAGAGGCTGAAATTGAGAAAAAAGTGTCACAAGGATGGTATTAATGGGCATCTACTTGGAGATCGTTGTCCTGGTTGCTCTTATTCCTGGGGCCAAAAACAGGCATTTTATTATTCCTTCTTTTCATCCCTTGCATCCTAAATTTACTACTCAAATTTGTGTCTTATAGAATACAACAAATTCAAACCAACATATTACTGTAGTGAGGATATTGGCCACTAAAAGAACTCCATAACTCTCCTTTGGATGCAGCAGGTTAAAATTTTAGGCTGCAAATGCTGTTCCCCATTGGTCTCACAACAACTCTGCCAAATTTAACTCCCAACCCAAGGATTTAGGCCCATGTAATGTCCTAACTGAGTTACAATACTTGATAGAGACAACTCTACACCCCTGGTCAGCAGGAAGCAGTTGGAAGATAAGACCTATATCCACATGCCAAAGGTTTGTCATTGTTACTCTGTGAGGAAGGAAATGTGGCGTCCTAATTAGGAAAAACGAGTCAGGCTGGCAGGAGCAGGTGAAAGCAAAGAGATAAAGCAAATAAGCTATAACTATGCCTTTCTTCCTGCTTCCAGATATATAAACAAAAAGAGGAAGCAGATGAATTGTAGGTCTGTTTTTCTTTATGACCCAGGACATATAGCCCCCCTGAGCAAATAACATACATAACTCACAAACTTCCTGATTACCATCAAATAACTCAATTTATTAAACATCCCAGCTGACAGAAGAATGCAAGTTTCCAAGTTCCATTCTACAAAATCCTCAGCAAGCCTCTGTCTCCTGGCAGTCAGCTCCCTCCTACTGATACGGCCCATTGCCTTCTTGCAACATATTTTCATACTTTCTCTAATAAATCTGCCTTTCACTGCCTACAACTGTCTTGGTAAATTCTGTTTCCCTCATGCCACTGGCCTAGATAGTCATCGCGCACATATAAAAATTAATGGAATACAACTAAAGCAATTTAAATGCCTATATTAGAAGAGAAAAAACAGAAGCACCAAGGTGACTGATTAGAAGCAGCTAATGTGCACTGCTCTCAGGGAGATGAGACAAAGTTGCAAGTAAACACTAGCTGTTCAAGTAGATTGTCCAGAAGGCCAAGGTGGGATTCATGATAGAAGCACTGGTTGCCCTCAGAGAGCAGAGAAGAGCAAGGCAAGACAGCTGCCCACCCAAGTTTGGCACAGAGCCAGGGGAGGCTACTTACCATGGGGAAAGGGTGAGTGACTAAGAGCCCCTGAAGACCCACACTTCTGCCATGGACCTTTGCAATCCTGGGCACAGGAGAACTCTCAAACCTTGCCCATCCCCCTACACCCCATGCCCTCATGCCCACCTCCAGAATGGCACAGTCAACTGTCTGAAGTCTGGGCAGAGCCACCACTCAAGAACACATTGAGCTTCACAGTCTTTGGATCCCTGAGAAGCCTGGTACCAGCTGTCATAGCCAGCCAAAAAGGGAGGCCAGAGTCTCTCACACGCCCCAGAATAAGGGCTGCAACCATAGTGCTGAGGAGCAGACAGGCTTAGGGCCCTACCTCTGCTGCACCAGGAGGCAAAGCCCAGTGGCCTGTGGTACCAGTGAAGCCATCCCATCCCCACTTCACTACTTTAGCCAGTTGTAGTTCTGCATTTCTCTGAGAGGGAACTCCAAGAGGTAACAGACAAGCCCTCGGCCATTGCAGTTGCTGCGGTAACCACCCTTGCTTCCCCCAGGCTACAGAAGGAACAAACATCTTAATTGCTTTCATGTGCTTACTGCATGCTACAGTTACCCTATGCAGAGGAGGCCAGACTATCTTCTGTGGAAACTCCTGACTCTCCTGCTCTTCTCCCGGCAGGGATCTCTGGCTTGCGTTTGCAGCACAGCCACCCCACCTTCAGCTGATCATCCCAGATCCAGCAGCAGGTTCTGTAGTTCTCTGAGGTGGAGTTCCCAGAGTCAACTGACAGCTCCTCTGCCATGACACCTTGCCCTTGCTGCCCTTGGGCTGGGGACATAACGAAGAGTCTGATTGTTTTGGTTGCACCATCAGTACACGGCTCTAAGGAGAGGAGGTGAGACTGTCTTTCCCAGGAGCCCCTTTCCCCCTCTGCTCTTTGACAGGCAGGGCCCCCCAGTTTGGGACCAGAACACAGCTTTCCCCTCCCTGGGTAATTACTCCAATCAGCTGTGGCTCTGGATTTCTCTGGGATGGAGCCACACCCACTCAAGTCAACCTGACAGGCCCTCTGCCACTGCCACCACCATAGACCCCACCAGAGTTGCCCCAAGCTGGGGAGGGAACAAAAACACCTGAGCTCACCCCAGGGCTGTGGTTCCCAGCTTGGGAGTGTGGAGCTGAAATATGTCGTTGGTACTCAAGTGAAAAGAGGAGCCTACAATGTCAGATCATGGATAGGAGTGAGTTTCATGGACTCATGGGCTGCCATAGGAGTGGGGCCTGCCTTCTTCCACAAGGGCAGCCCAGAAGAGGTGGGGCCTATAACCATGCTGTGGACTCTGCTTGAGGGAACCCCACATCCTGGAATACCTAACAAAATAAATATGGTCTCAGTGCCAGTGATTGGAGGGTGCACCCTCAAAGCCCAGTAGTGTACCCAGAGAGGAGGTTACCTCTCTCACCACTGCACCAAATACCAGAGCTGAAAACACTATGAACTACAAAGGAGCCATGCACTAAGAGCCTATCTGTTACCAAAAAGGGATCTCAATCCAGACCCCAAGAGAGGGATCTTGGATCTCAGGCAAGAAAGAATTCAAGGTGAATAGATAAAGTGAAAGCAAATTTATTAAGAAAGTGAAGGAATAAAGAATGGCTATTCCATAGGCAGAGCAGCAGCATGGGCTGATCAACTAAGTATACTTAAAGTTATTTCTTGATTATATGCTAAACAGGGGGTGGATTACTCATGAGTTTTCTGGGAAAGAGGTGGACAATTCCTGGAACTGAGTGTTTCTCCTCTTTTTAGAGAATATAGGGTAACTCCCTAACATTGTCATGGCATTTGTAAATTGTCACGGCACTGGTGGGAGTGTCTTTTAGGATGCTACTGCATTATAATCAGCATATAATGAGCAGTGAGGATGATCAGAGTCGCTGAAGGAGTGTTAAACATGGAATCAAAGGAATGACATCTGCTACCACAAAAACACACTTAAGCACATAAAGCAAGCACTATAAAGCAACCACACAATCAAGTCTACATAACAACCAGCTAACACAATGATAGGATCAAAATCTCACATATCAGTACTAACCCAGAATAATAAATGGGCTAAACACCCCTCTTAAAAGATGTAGAGTGGCGAGCTGGATAAAAGACAGGATGCAACCATTTCTTAGTTTCAAGAGCCCAATCTCACATATAATGACACAACCAGACTCAGAGAAAAAGGGTGAAGAAAGATGGACTGTGAAAAAAAAAAGAGTTACTATTATTGTATCAGATAAAACATATTTTAAACCAATAAAAAACAAAGACAAAGAAGGAAATGCATAACATTAAGGGGTACAATCCAACAAGAAAACTTACCTGTCTTAAATGTATATTCACCCAACATTTGAGAACCGAGATTTAAAAAGCAAGTTCTTTTTGGTCTACAGAAAGACTTAGACAACCATATAGCAACAGTGGAAGAAATCAACACCCCACTGACAGCATAAGACAGAGGTCATCAAGGTATAAAACTAACAAAGAACTCTAGATTTAATCTTGACACATGACTCATTGGACCTAACAGACATCTGCAGAACACTCCACCCAACAACCACAGAATATACATCCTTTTCATCTGCACACAGTACATATTCTAAGATCAATCACATGCTTGGTCATAAAGCAAGTCTCAATGAATTCAAAAAAGCTGAAATCATACCAAGCACAATCTCAAACAAGGTGCAATAAAAATAGAAATCAGTATCAAGAAGGTCTCTCAAAACTACACAAACACATAGAAATTAAGCAACTTCTACATAGCTCCTGGGTAAATATCAAAATTAAGGCAGAAATTAAAAAATTCTTTGAAACTAATGAAAATATGGAAACAATTTACAAAAATCTCTGAGACACAGCTAAAGCAGCATTAAGAGGAATGTTTATAGTGCTAAGCACATTCATCAAGAAGTTAGAAATATGCAAATTAACAGTCTAACTTTGCACCTATAGGAATTTTTTTTTATTATACTTTAAGTTTTAGGGCACACGTGCACAACATGCAGGTTTGTTACACATGTATACATGCGCCATGTTGGTGTGCTGCACCCATTCACTCATCATTTAACATTAGGTATATCCCCTAATGCTATCCCTCCCCCCTCCCCCCACCCCACAACAGTCCCCGGTGTGTGATGTTCCCCTTCCTGTGTCCATGTGTTCTCATTGTTCAATTCCCACCTATGAGTGAGAACATGCGGTGTTTGTTTTTTTGTCCTTGCGATAGTTTGCTGAGAATGATGGTTTCCAGCTTCATCCATGTCCCTACAAAGGACATGAACACATCATTTTTTATGGCTGCATAGTATTCCATGGTGTATATGTGCCACATTTTCTTAATCCACCCTATCATTGATGGATATTTGGGTTTGTTCCAAGTCTTTGCTATTGTGAATAGTGCCGCAATAAACATACGTGTGCGTGTGTCTTTATACCAGCATGATTTATAATCCTTTTGGAATACACCCAGTAATGGGATGGCTGGGTCAAAGGATATTTCTAGTTCTAGATCCCTGAGGAATCGCCACACTGACTTCCACAATGGTTGAACGAGTTTACAGTCCCACCAACAGTGTAAAAGTGTTCCTATTTCTCCACCTCCTCTCCAGCACCTGTTGTTTCCTGACTTTTCAATGATCGCCATTCTAACTGGAGTGAGATGGTATCCCATGGTGGTTTTGATTTGCGTTTCTCTGATGGCCAGTGATGATGAGCATTTTTTCATGTGTCTTTTGGCTAAATAAATATCTTCTTTTGAGAAGTGTCTGTTCATATCCTTTGCCCACTTATTGATGGGGTTGTTTGACGTTTTCTTGTAAATTTGTTTGAGTTCATTGTAGATTCTGGATATTAGCCCTTTGTCAGATGAGTACATTGCAAAAATTTTCTCCCATTCCGTAGGTTGCCTGTTCACTCTGATGGTAGTTTCTTTTGCTGTGCAGAAGCTCTTGAGTTTAATTAGATCCCATTTGTCAATTTTGGCTTTTGTCGCCATTGCTTTTGGTGTTTTAGACTTGAAGTCCTTCCCCATGCCTATGTCCTGAATGGTATTGCCTAGGTTTTCTTCCAGGGTTTTTATGGTTTTAGGTCTAACACTTAAGTCTTTAATCCATCTTGAATTAATTTTTGTATAAGGTGTAAGGAAGGGATCCAGTTTCAGCTTTCTACATATGGCTAGCCAGTTTTCCCAGCACCACTTATGAAATAGGGAATCCTTTCCCCATTTCTTGTTTTTTTCAGATTTGTCAAAGATTAGATAGTTGTAGATATGTGGAATTATTTCTGAGGGCTCTGTTCTGTTCCATTGGTCTATCACTCTGTTTTGGTACCAGTACTGTGCTATTTTGGTTACTGTACCCTTGTAGTATAGTTTGAAGTCAGGTAGCGTGATGCCTCCAGCTTTGTTCTTTTGGCTTAAGATTGACATGGCAATGCAGGCTCTTGTTTGATTCCATATGAACTTTAAAGTAGTTTTTTCCAATTCTGTGAAGAAAGTCATTGGTAGCTTGATGGGGATGGCATTGAATATATAAATTATCTTGGGCAGTATGGCCATTTTCATGATATTGATTCTTCCTACCCATGAGCATGGAATGTTCTTCCATTTGTTTGTAGCCTCTTTTATTTCATTGAGCAGTGGTTTGTAGTTGTCCTTGAAGAAGTGCTTCACGTCCCTTGTAAGTTGGATTCCTAGGTATTTTATTCTCTTTGAAGCAATTGTGAATGGGAGTTCACTCATGATTTGGCTCTCTGTCTGTTATTGGTGTATAAGAATGCTTGTGATTTTTGCACATTGATTTTATATCCTGAGACTTTGCTGAAGTTGCCTATCAGCTTAAGGAGATTTTGGGCTGAGATGATGGGGTTTTCTAGATACACAATCATGTCGTCTGCAAACGGACAATTTGACTTCTTCTTTTCCTAACTGAATACGCTTTATTTCCTTCTCCTGCCTGATTGCCCTGGCCAGAACTTCCAACACTACGCTGAATAGGAGTGGTGAGAGAGGGCATCCCTGTCTTGTGCCAGTATTCAAAGGGAATGCTTCCAGTTTTTGCCCATTCAGTATGATATTGGCTGTGCGTTTGGCATAGATAGCTCTTATTATTTTCAGATATGTCCCATCAATACCTAATTTATCGAGAGTTTTTAGCATGAAGCGTTGTTGAATTTTGTCAAAGGCCTTTTCTGCATCTACTGAGATAATCATGTGGTTTTTGTCATTGGTTCTGTTTATATGCTGGATTACGTTTATTGATTTGTGTATGTTGAACCAGCCTTGCATCCCAGGGATGAAGCCCACTTGATCATGGTGGATAAGCTTTTTGATGTGCTGCTGGATTCAGTTTGCTAGTATTTTATTGAGGACTTTTGTATCAATGTTCATCAGGGACATTGATCTAAAATTCTCTTTTTTTGTTGTGTCTCTGCCAGGCTTTTGTATCAGGATGATGCTGGCCTCATAAAACGAGTTAGGGAGGATTCCCTCTTTTTCTATTGATTGGAATAGTTTCAGAAGGAATGGTACCAGTTCCTCCTTGTACCTCTGGTAGAATTTGGCTGTGAATCCATCTGGTCCTGGACTTTTTTTGGTTGGTAAGCTATTAATTATTGCCTTAATTTCAGAGCCTGTTATTGGCCTATTCAGGGATTCAACTAATTCCTGGTTTAGTCTTGGGAGGGTGTATGTGTCGAGGAATTTATCCATTTCTTCTAGATTTTCTAGTTTATTTGCGTAGAGGTGTTTATAGTATTCTCTGATGATTCTGATTCTTCTCTCTTTTCTTCTTTATTAGTCTTGCTAGCGGTCTATCAATTTTGTTGATCTTTTCAAAAACCCAGCTCCTGGATTCATTGATTTCTAGAAGGGTTTTTTGTGTCTTTATTTCCTTCAGTTATGCTCTGATCTTAGTTATTTCTTTCCTTCTGCTGGCTTTTGAATGTGTTTGCTCTTGCTTCTCTAGTTCTTTTAATTGTGATGTTAGGGTGTCAATTTTAGATCTTTCCTGCTTTCTCTTGTGGGCATTTAGTGCTATAAATTTCCCTCTACACACTGCTTTGAATGTGTCCCAGAGATTCTGGTATGTTGTGTCTTTGTTCTCCTTGGTTTCAAAGAACATCTTTATTTCTGCCTTCATTTCGTTATGTACCCAGTAGTCATTCAGGAGCAGGTTGTTCAGTTTCCATGTAGTTGAGCGGTTTTGAGTGAGTTTCTTTATCCTGAGTTCTAGTTTGATTGCACTGTGGTCTGAGAGATAGTTTGTTATAATTTCTGTTCTTTTACATTTGCTGAGGAGTGCTTTACTCCCAACTATGTGGTCAATTTTGGAATAAGTGTGGTGTGGTGCTGAAAAGAATGCATATTCTGTTGATTTGGGGTGGAGAGTTCTGTAGATGTCTACTAGGTCTGCTTGGTGCAGAGCTGAGTTCAATTCCTGGATATCCTTGTTAACTTTCTGTCTCGTTGACCTGTCTAATGTTGACAGTGGGGTGTTAAAGTCTCCCATTATTATTTTGTGGGAGTCTGTCTCTTTGTAGGTCCCTGAGGACTTGCTTTATGAATCTGGGTGCTCCTGTATTGGGTGCATATATATTTAGGAGAGTCAGCCCTTCTTGTTGAATTGATCCCTTTACCATTATGTAATGGCCTTCTTTGTCTCTTTTGATCTTTGTTGGTTTAAAGTCTGTTTTATCTGAGACTAGGATTGCAACCCCTGCCTTTTTTTGTTTTCCATTTCTTGGTAGATCTTCCTCCATCCTTTTATTTTGAGCCTATGTGTGTCTCTGCACGTGAGATGGGTTTCCTGAATACAGCACACTGATGGGTCTTGACTCTTTATCCAATTTGCCAGTCTGTGTCTTTTAATTGGAGCATTTAGCCCATTTACATTTAAGGTTAATATTGCTATGTGTGAATCTGATCCTGTCATTATGATGTTAGCTGGTTATTTTGCTCAATAGTTGATGCAGTTTCTTCCTAGTCTTGATGATCTTTACAATTTGGGATGTTTTTGTAGGGGCTGGTACCAGTTGTTCCTTTCCATGTTTAGTGCTTCCTTCAGGAGCTCTTTTAGGGCAGGCCTGGTGGTGACAAAATCTCTCAGCATTTGCTTGTCTGTAAAGGATTTTATTTCTCCTTCACTTATGAAGCTTAGTTTGGCTGGATATGAAATTCTGGGTTGAAAATTCTTTTCTTTAAAAATGTTGAATATTGGCCCCAACTCTCTTCTGGCTTGTAGAGTTTCTGCCAAGAGATCATCTGTTAGTCTGATGGGCTTCCCTTTGTGGGTAACCTTACCTTTCTCTCTGGCTGCCCTTAACATTTTTTCCTTCATTTCAACTTTGGTGAATCTGACAATTTTTTGTCTTGGAATTGCTCTTCTCAAGGAGTATCTTTGTAGCATTGTCTGTATTTCCTGAATTTGAATGTTGGCCTGCCTTGCTAGATTGGGGAAGTTATCCTGGATAATATCCTGCAGAGTGTTTTCCAACTTGGTTCCATTCTCCCTGTCACTTTCAGGTACACCAATCAGACATAGATTTGGTCTTTTCACGTAATCCCAGATTTCATGGAGGCTTTCTTCATTTCTTTTTTTCTTTTTTCTCTAAACTTCTCACTTCATTTCATTCATTCCATCTTCCATCACTGATACCCTTTCTTCCAGTTGATTGAATCAACACTCAGGCTTGTGCATTCATCATGTAGTTCTCATGCTGTGGTTTTCAGCTCCATCAGGTCCTTTAACGACTTCTCTGCATTGGTTATTCTAATTAGCTGTTCGTCTAATCTTTTTTCAAGTTTTTTAACTTCTTTGCCATGGGTTTGAACTTCCTCCTTTAGCTTGGAGTAGTTTGATCATCTGAAGCATTCTTCTCTCCACTTGCCAAAGTCATTCTCCATCTAGCTTTGTTCCGTTGCTGGTGAGGAGCTGCATTCCTTTGGAGTAGGAGAGGGGCTCTGATTTTTAGAATTTCCAGTTTTTCTGCTCTGTTTTTTCCCCATCTTTGTGGTTTTATCTACCTTTGGTCTTTGATGATGGTGACATACAGATGGGGTTTTGGTGTGGATTTCCTTTCTGTTTGTTAGTTTTCCTTCTAACAGTCAGGACCCTCAGCTGCAGGTCTGTTGGAGTTTGCTGGAGGTCCACTCCAGACCCTGTTTGCCTGGATATCAGCAGCGGAGGCTGCAGAACAGCAGATATTGGTGAACAGCAAATGTTGCTGCTTGATCGTTCCTCTGGAAGTTTTGTCTCAGAGGAATACCCAGCCATGTGAGTTGTCAGTCTGCCCCTTACTGGGAGGTGCCTCCCAGTTAGGCTACTCAGGGGTCAGGGACCCACTTGAGGAGGCAGTCTGTCTGTTCTCAGATCTCAAGCTGCATGCTGGGAGAACCACTACTCTCTTCAATGCTGTCAGACAGGGACATTTAAGTCTGCAGAGGTTTCTGCTGCCTTTTGTTTGGCTATGCCCTGTCCCCAGAGGTGGAATCTACGGAGGCAGTCAGGCCTCCTTGAGCTGCGGTGACCTCCACCCAGTTTGAGCTTCCTGGCTGCTTTGTTTACCTACTCAAGCCTCAGCAATGGTGGGCACCCCTCACCCTGCTTTGCTGCTGCCTTGCAGTTTGATCTCAGACTGCTGTGCTAGCAATGAGTGAGGCTCCATGGGCATAGGGCCCTCTGAGCCATGCACGGGATATAATCTCCTGGTGTGCCATTTGGTACGAACATTTGAAAAGTGCAGTATTAGGGTGGGAGTGACCCAATTTTCCAGATGCCATCTGTCACCCCTTTCTTTGACTAGGAAAGGGAATTCCCTGACCTCTTGGGCTTCCTGGTTGAGGCAATGCCTCTTCCTGCTTCAGTAATGCTTCGTGCGCTGCACGCACTGTCCTGCACCCACTGTCTGACACTCCCCAGTGAGATGAACCTGGCACTTCAGTTGGAAATGCAGAAACTACTCGTCTTCTGTGTCACTCATGTTGGGAGCTGTAGACTGGAGTTGTTCCTATTTGGCCATCTTGGCTCCAGCACCTATAGGAATTTTTAAAAACCAAAAGCTAAAAGTAAAAAATAACCAAAATTAGAGAACTGAATGCAACTGAGATGCAAAAACAAATACAAAAATCAAAGAAATCAAGAGTTGGTTCTTATAAAAAGAAAAAAAAGATCATATACCACTGCCTAGAGCAACAGAGAAAAAGAAGATTCACATAAGTACAATCAGAAATGACAAAGATGACATTACAACCTGTCACAGAGAAGTACAAAAGATTTTCAGAGAATATTATGAAGAACTCTGTGCACACAAATTAAGCAATGTGGAGGAAATGCACAAATTTCTGACAGCACACAATCTTCCAATATTGAATCAGGAAGTTGTAGAGAGTCTTAATAGACCAATATAGAGCTCTGAAATAGAATCAGGACCAAAAAAACCTACCAATCAAATAAAACCCTGGACCAGATGGATTCACAGCTGAATTCTAAGAGAAGTACAAACAAATGATGCTAATTGTACTGAAACTATTCCAAAATCTTGAGGAGGAGGGACTCCTCCTTAACTCATTCTATGAAGCCAGCATCAACTTAATATCAAGATCAGGGGAAAACACAGTGGAAAAAGAAATCTTCAGGTTAACATCATTGATAAATATAGACATGAAATTTCTAAAAAAAAAAAAAAAAAGAGTGACAAACTGAATTTAGGAGCACATTAAAGTTAATTCACCATAATCAAGTAGGCCTTATTTTGGGATGGAAGGCTGGTTCAACACATGCAAACCAATAAATTCAGTTCACTACATAAATGGAATTAAAACAAAAACCAAATGATTGTCTCAGAAGATGGAGGAGAAGCTTTTGATAAAGTCTAACTTCACCCAATAATAAAAAGCCTCAGTAGACTAGGCATTGAAAGAAGATACCTCAAAATAATAAGATTCACCTATGAAAAACCCACAGCGAAAATCATACTTAATGGTCAAAAGCTGGAACCATTCATTTCCCTTGAAAACTGGAACAAGACACGGATGGCCCCACTCATGATTTCTATTCAACACAGTACTGAAATCCTAGCCAAAGCAATCAGGCAAGAGGAGAGAAAAGACATCCAAGTAGTAAAAGAAGAAGTCAAAGTATCTCTCTTGCTTGACAATATAATTCTGTATCTGAAAAAGCCCCAAGGCTCTGTCAAAAGGCTAGTAGAACTGATAAGTGATTTTAGTGAGGTTTTGGGATTTAAAAAATCAGTGTAGAAAAATCAGTAGCACTTCTATACACCAATAATGTCTAGGCTGAGAGCTAAATAAAAAACACCATTTTATTTACAATAGCTACAAAGAATAATTAAATACTTACGTATATAGCTAACCAAGAAGGTGAAAGTTCTCTACGAAGAGAACTACAAAACACTGCTGAAACAAATCAGAGATGACACAAATACATTGAAAAAAATTCCATGTCAATGGATTGGAAGAATAAATATTAATAAAATGGCAATACTGACCAAAGCAATTTACAGATTCTGTGCTATTCTTATCAAACTATCAACATCATTCTTTATAGAAGTAGGAAAAAAAAGATTCTAAAAGTTACAAGGGACAAAAAAGGGCTTGAACAGCCAAAGCCATCCCAAGTAAAAAGAACAAAGTTGGAGGAACCAAACTACCCAACTTCAAACTACACTGCAAAGCTATTATAACCCAAACAGCATGGTATTAGTACAAAATCAGACACATAGACCAATGGAAGGCAATAGAAACCTCAGAAATAAAACCACACACTAGCAACCATCTGTTCATTGACAACCTCATAACAACTAGCAGTGAGGAAAAAAAATTGTCAGTAAATAGTTCTGGGATAACTGGTTAGCCACAGGTGGGAGATAGAAATTGGGCCCTACTTTTTATCATATACAAAAAATTAATTCAAAATGGTTCAAAAATCTAAATGTAAGACCTCAAACTACAAAATTGCTAGAAAACAACCTAGGAAATACCCTTCTTAACACTGGCTTTAAAAAAGCACAAAGCTGAGGGTATCACACTACCTGACTTCAAACTATACTACAAGGCTACAGTAACCAAAACAGCATGGTACTGGTACTAGAACAGACACATAGACCAATGGAACGAAACAGAGAACTCAGAAATAAGACTGCACACCTACAACCATCTGATCTTGTACAAACCTGACAAAAACAACCAATGAGGAAACCATTCTCTATTTAATAAATTGTGCTTGAAGAACTAGTCATTGGCAGAAAATTGAAACTGGACCCCTTTTTTACACCATATACAAAAATTAACTCAAGATAGATTAAAGCCTTAATTGTAAAACCAAAAACAATAAAAATTCCAGAATAAAATCTAGGTAATACCATTCAAGTTTTCATGAAAAAAACACCAAAAGCAATTGCAACAAAAGAAAAATTTGACAAATGGGATCTAAATAAATGAAAGAGCTTCTGCACAGCAAAAGAAACTATCATCAGCATGAACAGACAACCTACAAAATGGAGAGAATTTTTGCAATCTATGCATCTGACAAAGGTCTAATATCCAGAGTCTAAGAGGAACATAAACAAATTTACAAGAAAAAAACAACCCCGTTAAATAGTGGGCTAAGGATATGAGCAGACGCTTCTCAAAGGAAGATGTTCATGTGGCCAACAAACATGAAAAAAAAGTTCAACATCACAGATCATTAGAGAAATGCCATTCAAAACCACAATGAGATACTACCTCCTGCCAGTCAGAATGGTAGTTATTAAAAAGTCAAGAAACCACAGATGCTGGTGAGGCTGCAGGGAAAAAGTAATGCTTTTACACTGCTGGTGACAGTATGAATTATTTCAACCATTATTGAAGACAGATAAGGAAGCAGAAATACCATTTGACCCAGCAATCCATTACTGAGTATATACCTAAAGGAATATAAATCATTCTATTATAAAGATACATGCACGTGTATGTTCATTGCAGCACTATTCCCAATAGCAAAGACATGGACTCAACCCAAATGTCCATCAATGATAGACTGGATAAAGAACATGTGGTACATATACACCATGGAATACTATGTAGCCATAAAAAGTAATGAAATCATGTCCTTTGCAGGGACATGGATGGAGCTGGAAGTTGTTATCCTCAGCAAACTAATCCAGGAACAGAAAACCACACACCACATGTTCTCACTTTTAAGTGGGAGCTGAATGATGAGAACACATGAACATATGGGGGGAACAACACACACTGGGGCCTGTTGGGTGTTGGGGAGATGAATTGCATCATGAAGAATAGCTAGTGGGTGCTGGGCTTAATACCTAGGTGATGAGTTGATCTGTGCAGCAGACCACCATGGTCATGTATCCTGGAACTTAAAATAAAAGTTGATGAAAAAAACTAGAAAAATTTGCAGATTCTATAAAACTGACTAAAAAATAGATGCTATTACACAATATACCCATGTAACAACCTGCACCTGTACTCCCTATATTTAAAATAAAAGTTAAAATTAAAAAATAAAATTGGCTTTGACAAAAAATTTTTGCCCAAGCCCCCAAAAGCAATTGCATCAGAAACAGAAAATAGACAAGTGAGAACTAATTAAAATAAAGAGCTACACAGCAAAGGAAACTATCCACAGAGTAAATAGACAACATAGAGAATGAAAGAAAATATTCACAAACTATGCATTCCTACAAAGTCCTATTGTCCAGAATCTATAGATGACAAATCAACAAGAAAAAACAAACAACCCCATTAAAAATTGAAATTGACATGAACAGACACTTCTCAAAAGAAGACATACAAGCAGCCAAAAACTTATCAAAAAATTCTCAATATCACTAATCATCAGAGAAATGCAAATGAAAACCAAAATGAGACACCGTCTCACACCAGTCAAAATGGCCATTAGAAAAAGTTAAAAAGCAACAAGATGTTCATGAAGCTGGATATGAAATGAAATGCTTATACACTGTTTGTGATAATGTAAATTAGTTCAGCCACTTTGGATAGCAGTTTGGAGATTCCTCAAGAAAATTAAAACAGAATTACCATTTGATCCAGAAATTCCATTACTAAGTACATACCCAAAGAAAAATAGATCATTATACCAAAAGGACACGTGTACTTGTACCTTCATTGCTACACTATTCACAATAGCAGAGACATGGGATGAACCTAGGTGTCCATCAGTGGTCAATTGAATAAAGCAAATGTGGTACATATGCACCATGGAATATTATGCATCAGTAACAACAAATGAAATCATGTCATTAGCAGCAACATGGATGGAGGTGGAAGGCATAAGCAAACTAACACAGGTGCAGGAAACTAAACACTACATGTTCTCATTTATAAGTGAAAGTTACAGATAAAGCACACATGTACATAAACATGGGAAAAATAGACATTGTATTCTACTAGAAGTGGGATAGAGGAAAGGGGATGTGGGTTGAAAAACTACCTATTGTGTACTATGCTCACTACCTGAGTACAATATACCCTATGTCACAAACCTTTATGTGTAGCCCCTGTATCCTACATAAAAGTTAAAATTATTTTTTAAAATGAAATAAAAAAATCTAAGCATTAACATAAAAATTATGGAAAAAAGAGGAAACCAACAAAAAACAAGCAAAAAAAAAGAAAATTACATAAATTACTCCAAAAAAATATTAAATAGAGATCATAGAAACATTGAAATTGATTGAACTTAAAGTAGGCTCTTTGAAAATATCTACAAAATTGACAATACTTTAGCTAGACTAAGAAGAAAAATAAAGAAATTATAAAAGTTAGAAATCAAAGGAGATATTACCATGGGCCCTTTGGAAATTAAAAGTGTGAGGGAATAAATACTATGGGCAACTTTATGCCAATAAACTAAACAACTTTGAAAATAGGCTAACTTCTACAAAATTACTACTGTACCCCAAATGACTCAGGAATTAATATAAAATAATATTATAAATAATAATAATATTATTATTATTATAAATAACAGAGATAAAAAAGACATTTTCCTAGATATTAAAAATCTCAGCCCAAAGAAAAGTCAAAGACTATATGTTTTCACTGGTGACTTTTATGAAATATGTAAAGAAACAATTCCATTACTCAACAAACTTTTTTCAAAAATACATGAGTACAGAATATTTCTCAACTCTTTTTATGAGGCCAATATCATCCTGACACCAAAGCCAGACTAAGGCATGTCAAAGGAGAACTACACTTCAATATCCTTCATTAATAGAGATGACAATCTTTAACAAAATACAACAGTGTGTAAAGAAAATAACACATCAGTATATAAAGGGATTTAAATAGTATATACAGAAAATAATACATCATTGTCAAGTTATATTAATTATAGTAATGCATGGTTGCATTAATTGCCTCAAATTTAATTAATAAAACATGACACCTTAATACTACACAGCAAAAATATTAAATGAGCATCTTAATAGATGCAGAGAAGACATAAGACAAAATACAGTACCCATTCATTATAAAATCTCTTAGCAAGCTTGGAATATCAGGAAAGACTCTCTACTTGATAAAAGACATTAGTAAACAACACATGAAGTATTATATTAAATGGTTGTCTTAGTCCATTTTCTTTTTTTTTCAGGGATTATAAATCTATAGTTTTATTAAGACAAAAACTGACAGTGTAGTATGAAGTTTACATTTAAACAAAGTTTACACAGAAATCTAACACATGCCTAAAAGAATTTTACAATGTAGCTCTAGATGCAAGTCTAGACAATATCAAGAACTGATGGATCTCACGACTCAAGACAGAGCATTTTGGGTATGTTACTTCTTAGGATTTCTTAAAAAATTGTTTTGTGTGTGTCTGTGTGTGTGTGTGTGTGTGTGTGTGTGTGTGTGTTTTAAAGGGAACCACTGCCCAATATGAAAGTTTAATCTTCTGAGACCAAGGCTTTTGAAATCACTAAACTCTTGGATCAATTCGGTGAAACTTGTGCTGTCAGTGACTGAACCCTGCCAACAATGGTTTCAGTGTTCAAAGCTCAAAAAAGAGAATGGCTCCAAGAGTTCTCCCCACTAAAAATGGCTCCAAGAGTTTTCCCCACTAAAAGCATGGGCCCTTGTCTTTCCCTACTGTCTTATCTCCTCTACCACCCTCTTCCTCTTCCCTAACACCTCAGCCAGTGTCTTGGATGAACAAGCTGATATTTATAACTTCGTTACTGGAAAAGAAAGGGTCTTCTAATTTCAGGAATTAGCACCTCTAAGACAGAATGATCTGCTTGTACTGTATACTCTCCAATAAAAGACCTTCCCTCCTTGTCAATTTCCATCTCCAAAATGGCAACTTTGGTAACTTATGAACAGGCTTAGTCCTTTGTGGGAACAGCAATAAGTTTAGGCAGGGAACACCTTGGCTTATAGGTTTCAGACATTCACAGCTTTTAAACAGTCTCTCACAGTCCTTATTTATGGTGCCAATGACATTTTTTTTAAAGGTAAAATATTCTGGACATAGAAGCAAATCATTAGTTGTCTGTTCTTTTCCATTGCTTCACCATTTCCCCTATCAGGCCCCAAATGTTAATCTAAATGATACTACCCATCTCCCTTTCTCCCCTCCCCATCCCTCCCTCCCCCAAATAATACACCAGTAATAGCCAAAAACTACACACATGCTACACTGTAAAAATGCAGAGTTAACGCTATTGGGAAGAAGGCTGTGTGTTGTGGAGATGCTCTTTGAAGATCTACAGTATTTTTTTGCTCTCCCACACACCCAATTCTGCAAGTTTTGTCCTTCATAGAAGGCCCTTTGCTTTTTACAGCAAAGTGCAGGAAAGGTTGCCTTGAAACATCCCCTTTCCCCTCCACTGGGATGGGTGTGCAAACTATACAGCTTGAAACGGCTTTAAAGCACTTGGGCTGCTCCAGGGCACAGAAACTATACTGGCTCTTCAAAGGACATCTTCTCAAGCCACCTCTATGGTGTCAAGACAAGTCGAACTCCTTCCCTTCCCACTTGAAACCCACAGTCAGATGTGACAGGGGCTGGTACTCAAGAGCGTTAATTCTTGTCATTTTTTTTGTCATCATCCTCCGAGGGTTAGGAATGCCATGTCAGCCTTTCCTCATAGAAGGATATGACAACCTGTGGGCACTTGACACTGGCTTCCTTGGCAGGGACCAGGTCAGCCTCATGAGTTTTTCCATTTCATCAGGAACATGACCTCTCCACTGGAGTCTGTAGCTCCAATAATCCGCTCTGGCTCCAAACCTCGAGCAAAGCCTCGTGGCTTTTCTGACTCTTCTTTCTTCCCCTTTGGTTTGCTCTCCTCTCCCTTATCTTCAGAATCAGAATCAGCTTTGTGCTTGCCTCCCTCTGATTTATCTGTCTCATGTGCTGTTTTCTGTGACTGCAGAAACTCAGCAATGAGGTCGAGGCAATCCAGGTTCTCTTCTGGCTCCCATGTGTTATCCTCATCTGAGAATCCCTTCCACTTTAGGAGGTACTCCACTTTGTCCTTTACCACTCCACGGTCGAGAAATTTTTCCACCACATATTCCTTTTCCTCCTCTTCTAGCACTTCCTCCACTTTCTTCTTGTTTAGTTTTTTTCCCCATAGTGCCCGCCAGGTTTCTGGTGTAAAGGGTGACGCTGCTCAGAGCAGCGCCCAAGAGCCCGAGAGGAATCAGTGCTGTGCTACTGGCGTGTCACGTCGAGTCACCTGGGGGAGTGGCGCCCCGGAAGGCAGCAAGCCGGGTGGCCACAGTGGAGTCCCTCACTGAAGCGGCATACCGCAGGCCCCAGCCAATGGCCCTCCCCTCAGCCGAACCTGTCTTAGTCCATTTTCTATGCTATAACTGAATACCTATGACTTGGTAATTTATAAAGAAAATAAGTTCATTTAGCTTATGGTTCTGGAGGCTGGGAACTCCAAGAGCCATGGTGTTGATATCTGGTGAGGGCCTTCCAGCTGTGTTGTGATATGGTGAAAGGCACCACATGGAAAGAGAGCAAGAATGTCCATGTCAGTTCAGTTTCTCTTTCTGTTCTCACAAAGGCACCAGTTCCATCATGAAGGCCTCACCCTGACAACTGTATTTAATACTAATTACTTCCCAAAGGATCTACCTCCAATCAATATATGAATTTGAGGGTTAAGTTTCCATCACAGGATATTTGTGACATATTTCAGCCATTGCGTTCTAACCCACCCCTCAATATTTATGTCCTTCTCACATGCAAAATACACTCATTCTACATCAATAGCCCCAAAGTCTTAACTCTTTCTAGCACCAACTCAAAAGTCCTAAGCTCAGAGTCTCATCTGAATCAGATATGAATGAGACTCAATTCACAATTCATCTTGAGGCAAATTTCTTCCAGCTGTTAGCCTGTGAAATTAAACAAGTTATCTATTTCAAAAATAAAATGGTTGGACAGACATATGACAGATATTCCTATTCCAAAAAGGAAAATGGGCAAAGTGAAAATAATTACGAGTCTCAAGTAAGTCCAAACCCCAACAGGAAAAAACACATTCAGTCTTAAAGCCAAAGAATAATCTCCTTTGACTGCACACATACATCCTGTGCACACTGGTGTGGGTGTTGTGACCTCAAGGCCTTAAGGAAGCCCCACACACACCACATTGCTGGACTCACCCCACAATTAAGCCTTCCTGAGTTGGCTTTGCACATTAATAGCTCCGTAATTCTGGGATCTTTGTGGTGGTGCTGCTCCCAAGACTCCATTAGGCATTATGCTAGTGGGGACTCCCTGCAATGGCCTTGCTCCCATGGATCCCCTAGGCATTGCCTTGGTGAAGGCTCTCTTTGGTGTCTTTTCTTTTGTGACATCTCTTCCTTGCTCCTCAGGCTGTCTGTGACATCCTTTGAAATCAAAATGAAGAAATCCATCCTCCGACAGTTTTTGCATTCTGCATATCTTCAGTATTAGCACCACATAGATGCTGCCAAAGTTTATGACTTGCACCTTTCAGAGTAGCAGGCCAAACCACCTGAGGCCATTTGAGCCATAGCTGGGGTGGCTGAACACTGCTGCATTTCTGAAATGCTGGGAGCAGACACCTGAGACAATTAAAGCAGGGACCCATCCCCTAAATAAATTCTGCCCTCCTAGAGCTCTGGGCCTGTGATGGGAGGGGCCACATCAAATATCTCTGAAATATCTTAGGGTTTTCTCCCACTATTCTGATGAATAGCCCCTGGCTTTTTTCTATCCATACTAATCTTATCAATAGTTCACTTGGTCACACTCTTGGTTTCCTCTACTAAAAATGCTCTTTCATTCTCCACCATATGACTAGGCTGCAAATTTTCTAATTCTTTCTACTATGCTTTCTTTTAAAATTATAAATTCTGTTTTTATATTATCTTTTTCCTCTCTTATTTTATATAAGCAGTTAAAAGTAGCCATACAGCAGACTGAATGCTTTGCTACTTAGATATTTCTTTCACCAGATATGCTAGCTTCACTCTTTTTTCTGCCTTCTATAAAGAAATCAGAGATGACACAAGCAAATGGAAAAATTTCATGCTCATGGATAGGAAGAATCAATATTAAAATGGCCAAACTGCCCAATGCTATTTACAGATTCAATGCTATCCCTAACAAACTATAAGTGACATTCTTCACAGAACTAGAAAAAAACTATTTTAAAATTCATATGGAACCCAAAATGCTCAAGTAGCCAAGGCAATCTTAAGCAAATAGAACAAAGCTGGAAGTATCACATTACCTAACTTCAAACTATACTAGGGGGCTACACTAGCCAAAACAGCATGGTACTGGAACAGAAACAGACACATAGACCAATGAAACAGAACAGAGAGCCAAAAAATAAGACCACACCTGCAACCACCTGATCTTTGACAAAGGTGACAAAAAGAAGCAATGGGGAAATGACTCTCTATTCAATAAATGGTGCTGGGATGACTGGTTAGCCATATGCAGAAAATTGAAACTTGGCCCCTTCCTTACACCATATACAAAATTAAACTCAAGATGGATAAAAGACTTACATGTAAAATCCAAAAGGATAAAAACTTTGGGATGCAACCTAGGCAATACTATTCTGGACATAGGCGCTAGCAAATATTTCATGACTAAGACACCAATTGCACCAAAAGCAGAAAAATGGGATCTATTTTAAGTAAAGGGCTTCTTCAGAGAAGAGTATCAGTAGAGTAAAGAGACAACATACAGAATCAGATAAAACATTTGCAAACTATGCATCTGACAAAGTTCTAATATTCAGCATCCATAAGAAACAAATATGTTTACAAGAAAAAAAACACAGAACCCCATTAAAAAATGGTCAAAAGCCATGAACAGTTTTCAAAAAGGACATACATGTGACCAACAAGCATGTGAAAAAAAAGTTCAATATCACTAATCATTAAAGAAACAAATATCAAAACCACAATGAGATGCCATCTCACACTAGTCAGAATGGCTATTTTTTGTGTGTACCACTGGAAGGCCAGTTAATGTAATTTTACTTATTTATTTTTAATCTCAATAGTTTTGGGGAAACAGGTGGTGTTTGGATACAAGAATAACTTATTTACTGGCGATTTCTGAGATTTTGGTGCACCCATCACCCGAGTAGTGAACATTGTACCCAATGTGTAGTCTTTTATCCTTCACCCCCTCCCACCCTTTTCCCTGAGTCCCCAAAGACCATTGTATCATTCTTATGGCTTTGTGTCCTCATAGCTTAACTCCCACTTATGAATGAGAACAATGTTTGGTTCTCCATTCCTGAGCTACTTCACTGAGAATAATGGTCTCCAAATTGCTGCTAATGCCATTATTTCATTCTTTTTATGGCTGAGTAGTATTCCACGGCATATATATATATGCACACACACACACATATATACATATATATACACACACATATATACATATATATACCACATTTTCTTTATTTACTCATTGATTGATGGGCATTTGGATTGGTTCCATATTTTTACAATTTAGAAATGTGCTGCAATAAACATGCATGTGAAAATATCTTTTTTGAAAAGTGACTTCTTTTCCTCTGGATAGATACCCAGGAGTGGGATTGCTGGATCAAATGGTACATCTACTTTTAATTCTTTAAGGAAACTTCACACTGTTTTCCACAGCGGTTTTACTAGTTTACATTCCCACCAGCAGTGTAAAAGTGTTCCCTTTACATGACATCCATGTCAACATCTAATTTTTTTTTAATATGCCCATTCTTGTAGGAATTAGGTGGTATGGCATTATGGTTTTGATTTGCATTTCCCTGATAATCAGTGATGTTGAGCATTTTTTGAATATGTTTGTTGGCCATTTGTATATCCTCTTTTGAGAATTGTCTATTTATGTCCTTAGCACACTTTTTGATGAAATAATTTTTTTTCTTGCTGATTTGTTTGAATTCCTTATAGATTCTGGATGTTCATCCTTTGTCAGATGCATAGTTTGCAAAGATTTTCTCCACTCTGGGGGTTGTCTGTGTACTTTACTGATTATTTCTTTAGCTGTGCAGAAGATTTTTAGTTTAATTAAGTCCCATATATTTATGTTTGCGTTGCAATTGCTTTGGTGTACTTGGTCATGAAGTCTTTGCCTAACCCAATGTCTAGAAGAGTTTTTTCAATGTTATCTTCTAGAATTTTTATGGTTTTAGGTCTTACATTTAAGTCTTTGATCCATCTTGAGTTGATTTTTTTTATAAGGTGACAGAGGAGGATCCAGTTTTATTTTTCTACATGAGGGTTGCCAATTATACCGCACCATTTGTCGAATAGGGTGTCCTTTCTCACTTTATGTTTTTGTTTTTGTTTGCTTTGTCAAAGATCTGTTGGCTGTATATATTTGTATATATTTGGCTATATTTCTGGGTTTTCTATTTTAGTCCATTGGTGCATCTGCCTTTTTTTTTTTTTTTTTTTTGAGACGGAGTCTTGCTCTGTCGCCCAGGTTGGAGTGCAGTGGCGTGATCTCAGCTCACTGCAAGCTCCGCCTCCCGGGTTCACGCCATTCTCCTGCCTCAGCCTCCGGGGTAGCTTGGGACTACAGGCGCCTGCCACGACGCCCCGCTAATTTTTTGTATTTTTCAGTAGAGACGGGATTTCACCGTGTTAGCCAGGATGGTCTTGATCTCCTGACCTTGTGATCCTCCCGCCTCAGCCTCCCAAAGTGCTGGGATTACAGGCACGAGCCACCACGCCCGGCCGCATCTGCCTATTTTTCTAGCAGTACCATGCTGTTTTGGTGACTACAGACTTGTACTATAATTTGAATCATAATGTGATGCCTCCAGATTTTTTTTTCTTTGTCTTGCTTTGGCTAGTTTTGGTTCCATATGAATTTTAGGACTGAGTTTTCTAGTTCTGTGAAGAATGATGGTCGTATTTTGATGGGAGTTGAATTGAAATTGTAGACTGCTTTTGGAAGTATGGTTATTTTCACAATATTGATTCCTCCCATCCATGAGCATGGGATGTGTTTTCATTTGTTTGCATTCTCTATGATTTCTTTCAGCAGGGTTTTAGAGTTTTCCTTGTAGAGATCTTTCACTTCCTGGGTTAGGTATATTTCTAAGTATTTTCTTTTCTTTTCTTTTCTTTTTTTTTTTGCAGCTATTGTAAAATGGATTGAGTTCTTGATTTTATTCTCAGCTTGGTAGCTGTTGCTGTATAGCAGTACTACTGATTTGTGTACATTAATTTTGCATCCAGAAATTTTGCTAAATTCATTTATCAGTTCTTGGAGTTTTTTGGATGAGTCTTCGGGTTTTCTAGGTATATGATCATATCATCAGCAAACAGTGACAGGTTGACTTCCTCTTTACTGATTTGGATGCCCTTTATTTCTTTCTCTTGTCTGACTGCTCTGGCTAGGATTTCCAGTACTCTGTTGAATAGAAGTGGTGAAAGTGGGTATCCTTGTCTTGATCCAATTCTCAGGGGGAATGCTTTCAACTTTTCCTTGTTCAGTATAATGTTGGCTGTGGGTTTGTCATAGATGGGTTATATTACCTTTAAGTATGTCCCTTCTATGCTGATTTTGCCGAGCGTTTTAATTATAAACAGATGCTGAATTTTGTCAAATTTTTTTTAATCTATTGAGATGATCATGTGATTTTTGTTTGTAATTCTGTTTATATGGTTTATCACATTTATTGACTTGTGTATGTTAAACCATCCCTGCATCCCTGTTATGAAACCAACTTGATCATGGTGGATTATCTTTTTGATATGCTGTTGGATTTGGTTAGCTATATTTTGTTGAGAATGTTTGCATCTATGTTCATCATGGATATTGATCTGTAGTTTTCTTTTTCTGTTATGTCTTTTCCTGGTTTTGGTATTAGGGTGACACTGGCTTCATAGAATGATTTAGGAAGAAATTCCTCTTTATCTTTTGGAATAGTGTCAATAGAATTGGTACCAATTCTTCTTTGAATGTCTGATAGAATTCAGCTGTGAATCTGTCTGGTCCTGGACTTTTTTGTTGGCATTTTTTTTTATTACCATTTCAATCCCACTGCTTGTTGTTGGTCTGTTCAGAGATTCTATTTCTTCCTGGTTTAATCTAGGAGGGTTGTGTATTACCAGGATTTATCCATATCTTCTATATTTTCTAGTTTGTATGCATAAAGGTGTTCATGTGGTATCAGTTGTAATATTTCCATTTTCACTTCTAATTGAGCTTATTTGGGTCTTTTCTCTTCTTTTCTTGGTTAATCTCACTAATGATCTATCAATTTCATTTATCTTTCCAAGGAACCAGCTTTTTTAAATTTATTTTTTGTATTTTTTAAATTCCAGTTTCATTTAGTTCTGCTCTGATCTTTGTTATTTCTTTCCTTCTGCTGGGTTTGGGTTTGATTTGTTCCTGTTTATCTAGTTCCTTGAGTGGTATCTTAGATTGCCTATGTGTGCTCTTTCATAATTTTTAATGTAGGCATTTAAGGCTATGAACTTTCCTCTTTGCATAACCTTTGCTGTATCCCAGAGCTTTTGATTGGTTGTGTCACTATTATCATTCAGTTCTAAGAATTTTTTAAATTTCCATCTTGATTTCATTATTAACCCAATGATCATTCAGGAGCAGGTTATTTAATTTTCATGTTTTTGCATGGTTTTGAGTGTTCCTTTGGAGTTGATTTCCAGTTTTATTCCACTGATGTCTGAAAGAGTACTTGGTATAGTTTTAATTTTAATTTTCTTAAATGTATTGAGACTTATTTTGTGGCCCACAATATGGTCTATCTTAGAGAATGTTCCATGTGCTGCTGAATAGAATGTATATTCTACAGTTGTTGAGTGTAATGTTCTGTAAATATCTGTTAAGTCTATTTGTTCTAGGGTATAGTTTAAATCCATTGTTTCTTTGTTGATTTTCTGTCTTGATGAGCTATCTAGTGCTGTCAGTGGCCATACCACCCTGAACACACTCGATCTCATCAGAATGGCTATTAATAAAAAGTCAAAAAAAAAAAAAACAGATTCTAGTGAGTTTGCAGAGAAACAGAAATGTGTATACACTCTTAGTGGGAGTGTAAATTAGTTCAGCCATTGTAGAAGCAGCATGGCACGTATACACCATGGAATACTATGCAGCCATAAAAAAGGATGAGTTCATGTCCTTTGTAGGGACATGGATGAAGCTGGAAACCATCATTCTCAGCAAACTATCACAGGGACAGAAAACCAAACACTGCATGCTCTCACTCATAGGTGGGAATTGAACAATGAGAACACTTGGACACAGGAAGGGGAACATCACACACTTGGGCCTGTCATGGGGTGGTGGGAGGGGGGAGGGATAGCATTAGGAGATATACCTAATGTAAATGACGAGTTAATGGGTGCAGTACACCAACATGGCACATGTATACATATGTAACAAACCTGCACGTTGTGCACATGTACCCTAGAACTTAAAGTATAATTTAAAAATGCATAAGATAAAAAAATTGAAAAAGAAATAAAATAAAATAAAAAGAAAGTAGCATGGCAATTTCTCAAAGAGCTAAAACCAGAACTATTATTTGTCATTGCAGCACTATTCACAATAGTAAAGACATGGAATCAACTTAAATGCCCATCTATTGTAGACCAGATAAAGAAAACGCGTTACATATACACCATGAAATACTATGCAGCCATAAAAAGAATGAAATAATTTCCTTTGCAGGAAGAGGAATGGAACTGGAGGCCATGATTTTTAGCAAAGTAATCCAGAAACAGAAAAGCAAATACCATGTGATCCCAATTATAAGTGGGAGGCAAATAATGAGAATGCAATAACCCAAAGAGGGGAGCAACAGATACTAGGGTCTCCTTGAAGGAGGAGGGAGAGAATTAGGAAAAATAAACATTGAGTACTAGACTTGGTACTTGGGTGATAATCCTTATAAGAAACACCCATGACATGAACTTACCTATATAGGAAACCAGTTCATGTACTTCTAAACCTAAAATTAAAAATTAAAAAATAAGAAAGTAAACTCCACAACACATAAAAAGATCATCACTATAATCAAGTAAGATTTATTCCAGGAATGCAAGTATGTCCAACATGTGTGAATCAATAAATGATACATCATATTAAAATAATAAAGGACAAAAATTATATGATCATGTCAATAGATGCAGAAAAAGCATTTGACAACATTCATCCTTCTTCATGATAAAAAATTACTCAACATATTATGTGTAGAAGAAATGTACATGAACATAATGTGAAGGCCATATACTACAAATTGACAGTTAATTTCATATTGAATGGGGAAAAGTTGAAATCCTTTCCTCTAAGAACTGGAACAAGGCAAGGATTTCCACTTTCAATACTTCTATTTAATATAATAATAGAAGTCCTAAGCAGAGTAATTAGGCAAGCATAAAAAGGCATTCAAATTGCAAAGAAGAATTAAATTATCATTGTTTGCTTATGATATGCCCTTACGCATACAAAATCCTAAACACTTCACTGAAAAGCTGTTAGACCAACAAATAAATTCAGTAAATTTGCAGATTATAAAATCAACATACAAAAATTAGTAGAATTTCTATATGCTGATAGCAAATTATCTGAAAAGAAATCAATAAATTCTTCCAATTTACAAATACAATAAAGCAAAATGCCTAGGAATAAATTTAACCAAGTAGGTTAAATATTGATGCAGTTAAAACTCTACAACACTAATGAAAAAATTGAAAAATGTACAAATAAATGTCTACCTTATGTTCATGCATTGGAAGAACTAATATTGTTAAAATGTTCACACTACCTAAAAAGATTTACAGATTTAATGAATCCCTATCTAAACACCAATGCCATTCTTCATAGAAATAGAAAACAATCTTCTGAAATTAATATGAAACCACAAAAGTCCTTAAATAGCCAAATCAATTTTAATAACAACCAAAAAAGTTAATGGCCTTATACTACAGCCTGACTTCATAGTATACTGCAAAAATACAGCAAAGCAAAGAGCATTGCATTGACATAAAATAAGGCATATGGACAAGTGGAAAAGAATAGAAAGACCAGAAATAAATTCACACAGTTTACACCAACTGATGTTTGACAAAGGTGCCAAGAACATGTTATGGGGAAAGGACAGTCTCTTCAACAAATGGTGTTGAGAAAACTAGATATCTACATAGAGAAGAATAAAATTAAACCATTATATTTCAGAATCTACAAAAATTAACTCAGAATGTATTAAAGACTTAAATGTAAGATCTAAAACTATGAAACTTCCAGAAGAAAACATAGGGGAAATGTTTTATGACTTTTGTATGGGCAAATTTTTTTTGATAAAACCTCAAAAGCACTGGTAACAAATGCAAAAATAGACAAATGGAACCATATCAAAATAAAATCTTCACTGTAACAAAAGAACCAATCAGGAGAGTGAAGAGACAACCTACCAAATAAGAAAAAATGTTTGCAAACAATTTATCCAGCAATATACTAATATCCAGAATATACAAGGAACTCAAATAACTCAATAGGAAAAAACAAACAAGTAAATAACCTGATGTAAAAATGAAAAAAAAATCTGAATAAAAATTTCTCAATAAAAGACATACAAATGAAGAACAGGTATGTCAAAAAAATGTTCAACATCACTGATCATCTGAGAAATTCAAATAAAAACCTCAGTTAAATATCACCTCATCCCAGTTATAGTGATCATTATCAAATAGACAATATAAACCTACTAATGAGAATGTGGAGCAAAGAGGACTCATACAGTATGAACATCTCTCAAATAATTAAAAATAAAACTACCATATTGTCCAGCAATCCCACTACTAGGTATATATTGAAAGGAATTAAAATCAGTGGGTCAAGTAAATAGCTGCCATCTCATGTTTATCCCAGCACTATCACAATAGTCAAAATATAAAATCATTCATTAATCGAATATATTTTGTCATTCTACAATTTACATTTACTTAAAAACTATGTTGTACACGGTAAAAGCATACAACATTATCTGTAAATTTGTAAAATAAAAGTAAGTACACTAAGTAATATTACCAATGTTACTAAAAATTCTCTTTGGTTTTACAAATTTTAATTTACATTATCATGACACATGAGTTAAGCCAGTTTGAGTTTGTTGTAACGACAGAAAAAAGTGATAAATATGATTTGCCTTATTTCTTTAAAAGGCTGGAAACACATGTATTACTCAGGGTTCTCTAGAGGGACAGAACTAATTATATATATATATATATATGTACACACACACACAGTTTTATATATATATAGTTTTATATATATATATATACACATATATATATATATATAGTTTATTAAGCCTTAACTCACATGATCACAAGGTCCCACAATAGGCCATCTGGAAGCTAAGAAGCAAGGAGAGCCAGTCGGAGTCCCAAAACTGAAGAACTTGGAGTCCGATGTTTGAGGGCAGGAAGCATCCAGCATGGGAAAAAAATGTAGGCTGTGAGGTTAGGCTAGTCTAGTCTTTTCACATGTTTCTGCCTGTTTTAACTTCTAGCCACACTGGCAGCTGATTAGATGGTACCCACGAAGATTATGGGTGGGTCTGCCTTTCCCAGCCCACTGATTCAAATTTTAATCTCCTTTGGCAATACCCTCACAGATACACCCAGGGTCAATATTTTGTATCCTTCAATCAAATAAAGTTGAAACTCAGTATAATCATCACAAATCCACCCCTTGTCAACTTGAACCCATACACATCTCCTGAGACCCTCAAATAAAGACAATAATGTCATAATTATGCCTAACATAATACAACTATCCTTTGTACAACTGGAAACTCACCAATCCCCAACACAACTACTATCACATAAAGTTAATAAAACTTAAATGCTTATATGAAGTCAATAAATCTTATGTCACATGATAAAGAAAAAGGAAGTAAAATGATTTTTTTAGTACAAGTGTATACATGCACAAACATGTTTTTAACAAAAGAAGGAGAAAATACTCATGACAATTACAGTCTCGTTTCTGCAGCTGGGTTACGTTGTCGTAGCTGGTATTGATGACTACCTTCTTCTACTACCCATTCTGTATTCCCTTTTCCTTCAGCAAGCATCTCAGCAGGTCATGTTTTTTTCCCCTGGTGGAGTGACCCAAGCCTTTATTCCTGAAGGATATGGGCCATTTGTAGTTCTGTTGGATTGGGCTTGTTGTAGTTTCCCATTGACCTTAGTCACACGGAATGGTAACACTAAAAGACACCCTAATGAATCTCCTGCATTCCATGCGTACTCTTTTTTACCTCTGTTGTGGAATAGTAGACTGGTTTCATCTTGATAATCTCGGTCAATCACCCCAGTCAACACTTTAACTCCCTTCTTGGCCTGTTGACTTAAAGGCAGGAGGAGCCCAAAGTGTCCATGTGGCAATCTTGGCTTCCAGTTTAATGGAATCATTGTGTCTCCTGGTGGCAGCCTTCCTCCCTCTGGAACTAAGACCTCTAGGCCAGCAGAAAGTAATGTCACAGGAATAGGAAGCAAAAATTTTGCTAGTAGATCACTAGGAATGATGGTGAGTGGTGCCACTTCCACTTCCATCCCTTGATTCTTGGACCCGTGAATCCTGGCTATGGGAGAAACAGTACCATATATTGGACGCTTATTCAGAGCATACATAGCCTTCTGGAGAACTTTGCCCCAGCCCTGGAAAGTATTGTCATCTAGTTGGCATTGTAATTGTGACTTCAAAAGGCCATTCCACCATTCCACCAATCCATTCTCATGATGGGGAACATGGTAAGGCCAGTGAATTTCATGAGGAGGAGCCCACTGCTGCACTTCTTTAGCCATAAAGTGAGTGTCTTGGTCAGAGGCAATGCTGTGTGGAGTACCAGGACGATGGATAAGGCATTCCGTGAGTCCACAGATGGTAGTCTTGGCAGAAGCATTTCATGCAGGATAGGCAAACCCATAACTGGAGTAAGTGTCTATTCCAGTGAGGACAAACCTCTGCCCTTTCCACAATGGAAGAGTCCAATATAATCAACCTGCCACCAGGTAGCTGGCTAATCACTCTGAGAGGTGCTGCCATATAGAAGTTTCAGTGTTGGTCTCTGCTGCTGGCAAATTGGGTACTCAGTGGTGGCTGTAGCCAGGTCAGCCTTGGTGAGTGGAAGTGCATGTTGCTGAGCCCATGTGTAACCTCCATCCCTGCCACCATGGCCACTTTTTCCATGGGCCCATTGGGCTATGGCAGGGGTGGCTGGGGAAAGAGACTGAGTCGTGTCCACAGAACGGGTCATCCTATCCACTTTATTACTAAAATCCTCCGCTGCTGAGGTCACCCGTTAGTGAGTAGCCACATGGGATACAAATATCTTCAACGTTTTTGACCATTCAGAGTGGTCCATTTACATGCCTCTTCCTCAAATTTCTTTGTCACCCATTTTCCAATCATTCTCCTTCCAAGTCCCTGACCATCCAGCCAAACCACTGGCTACGGCCCATGAATCAGTCTATAATCGCACATCTGGCCATCGCTCCTTCCATGCAAAGTGCACAACCAGGTGCACTACTCGAAGTTCTGCCCACTGGGAAGATTTCCCTTCACCACTGTCCTTCAGGGATGTCCTAGAAAGGGGCTGTAGTGCTGCAGTTGTCCACTTTAGGGTAGTGCCTGCATATCATGCAGAACAATGTGTGAAACAGGCCCTAGTCTTTTGTCTTCCTCTGTCAACTGATCATAGGGATCTCCCCATGAGGCCATCGGTGCAGGCTGGGGGAGAGAAGGCAGGGTTACAGGAGTGCAGACCATGGGTATTTGAGCCACTTCCTCATGTAACTTACTTGTGCCTTCAGGACCTGCTCGAACCCGATCACGTGTATACCACTTTCATTTGATGATGGAATGCTGCTGTGCATGGCGCACTTTATATGTAGATGGGCCAGAAAGCACCCAGTTCATGACAGACAGTTCAGGTCCCATGGTGACTTGACGACCCATAGTCAAACATTCAGTTTCCACCAAAGCCCAGTAACAGGCCAAGAGCTGTCTCTCAAAAGGAGAGTAGTTATCTGAAGAAGTTGACAGGGCCTTGCTTTAAAATCCCAGAGGCCTCCGCTGTGATTCACTTATTGGAGCCTGCCAAAGGATCCAAATAGCATCCCTGTCCGCCACTGACACCTCAAGCACCATTTGATCTGCTGGGTCATATGGCCCAAGTGGCAGACCAGCTTGCACAGCAGCCTGGACCTGTTGCAGAGCCTTCTCCTGTTCTGGACCCCACTCAAAACTGCAGCCTGTTGGGTCACTCAGTAAATGGGCCAGAGTAACACACCCAAATGAGGAATATGTTGCCTTCAAAATCCAAATAGATCCACTAGGCACTATGACTTTTTCTTGGTTGTAGGAGGGACAAAATGCAGTAATTTATTCTTCACCTTAGAAGGAATATCTTGACAGGCCCCACACCACTGGACCCCTAGAAATTTCACTGAGGTACAATGTCCCTTAATTTTAGTCGGATTTATTTCCCATCCTCTGGCACGCAAATATCTCACCAATAAGTCCAGTGTGTTTGCTACTTCTTGCTCACTGGATCCAATCAGCATAATGTCATAATGTAATGAACCAGTGTGATATCTTGTGGAAGCAAAAAGCAATCAAGTTGTCTCCAAATAAGATTATGACACAAAGCCAGATAGTTGATATACCCCTGAGGTAAGACAGTAAAGGTATACTGCTGGCCTTGCCAGTTGAAGGTAAATTGCTTCTAGTGGGCTTTGTGAACAGGAATGGAGAAAAAGGCATTTGCCAAGTCAATGGCTGCATACCAGGTACCAGGAGATGTGTTAATATGCTCAAGAAATGAAACCACCTGCTGCATCTGGTACAGCAGCTGCAATTGGAGTCACTACTTGGTTAAGCTTACGATAATCCACTGTCATTCTCCAAGATTCATCTGTCTTCTGCACAGGTGTTCTGTGCAGGAAACGCACAAGGGGAGAAAATCACACACACAGTACCTTTAAGAGTAAACAAGCTGTATCTCACGTAAATGGCAATGCAGATATAATACGCAAATAATATAATAAGCAAATGATATAATAAGCAAATTAATATAGGCAAATTGATATGATAAGCAAATTGCAATGGTCGGGGAGAAGGGAAAAGATACATATATATATACATTTACACTCACCAAACTATGGAGGATTCACCACCAGATTGGGAAGCAACAGCCTGGGCTCCAGGGTCAGACACCGCACTCACCAGACTATGGAGGATTCACCACCAGACTGAGAAGCAACAGCCTGGGCTCCAGAGTTGGACACTCCCATATGCACAGACGAGGTCTCATGAAGCTTCAGCATAGTCTAGGACCCTAGCTCTTTTTGTGACAAGTTGTTTGGTATGAGGCCCAGTCACAAGGGCCCTTGATGACTGGGCTCAAGGAACACAAAAAGGTCAACTTTTTTTTTTATTATTGTCTACTGTTTTGCAATAACTAATATAGGTTTCTTTGAAACAGTGCCGAATGAACACCTCAAGGGGCTCACACCACCTGTTCCGGAAGTTGGTGACCATTGTTTGTGTCCATGTTCAATTGAGTTCAAATTTAATATTTAACTTTTCTTCCACAATAGGCCAAATCGGAGAGCTGAACGGGGATGTGGTGGGAATCACATCCCCTGCATCTTTCAAGTCCTTGATGGTGGCACTAATTTCCACAATCCCTCCAGGGATGAAATATAGTTTTTGATTTACCATTTTGCTAGATAGAGGCAGCTCTAATGGCTTCCATTTGGCCTTTCCCACCATAACAACCCTCATCTTACCAGTCATGGAGCTAATGTGGGGGTTCTATCAGCTGCTAAGTATGTCTATGCCAATTATGCATTCTGGCACTGGGGAAATGACCACAGATGAGCCTGGGGACTCACTGGACCCACTGTAAGTCGGACCTGAGCTAAAACCCCATTAATTGACTGACCTCCATAAGCCCCTACTTTAACTGGAGGACCACAATGACATTATGGGTCCCCTGGAATCAACATCAGCTCAGAGCCAGTGTCCAGTAGTCCCTGAAATGTCTGATCCCTTTCCCCAATGCACAGTTACTCTGGTAAATCGGTAGTGTAGTGGAGCCTTTCCTCAAGGGGTCCTGGCCTTCCCTTCATTCAAGGGGTTCTGGGCGTGTAAACTGGTTCAAGTTGGGAAATTGATTGAGGGGCCGTGATTCTGTTTTTACAATTCAAATTAGTCTTTTGTCCATTCTACCTAGAAGTTTTCTGCTTACATAAATTAAGTAGGAATGCAGTAGGCTTCCTATCAGTTTCACTTCTAGGAACACCATGATTAATTAGCCAATCCCAGAGCTCTACATGAGTCAGACTATTCTGATTACTGTTTTTTCTCTAGTGTCCATTATGATAGCTATGCTTACCTTGCCTTTGATGGTTGAGTGCTGCCACTTTTCCCCTGCCACCTCAGGATCCAATTATTCCCATTGTATTTAAATTTTGTAGTTGAGTGACTGTAGTTCCCTCTGTTAGATCTGAAATATAGAGAGGAGCAATTACAGGTCTCTTCAAAGATACAGGTGCTGTCCTCACAAATCTATTTTGCAAGGCATTGGTTGAGGGTATATTCTCCGGACCCTCCCAACTGGGATGAGTAGGTCAAAAGTAACTAATCCACCCTAGCATTCCAATCTCCCTAAGCCTTTTGATCCCTTCCTCTACATTTAACCAAGGGAGATCAGGCATTTCCAGCTCACTCACAGTGGGCCATATTTTAATACATATTTCAACCAACCAAGCAAATAAACTGTTAGAACCTTTTCTAACTCCTCGAGCTGCAACATTAAATGCAGAGTCCCTACTTAGTGGGCCCATCAATAAATTCAGCCTGATCCAACTCTATGTTTCTTCCACCATTATCCCTCACCCTTAATATCCAACCCCATGACTGTTATCCAGATTTCTGTCTTATTTAAACAGAAAAATAAAGCAGTTCTTTTCTAGTGTATTGCACTACCTCATGGGTCACACTCTCAAACTCACCTCTACAGGCCTGCTGGAACTTTAGTCTAGTTATAGGTCTAGAATCAAACAGTGGTGTTGGAGGTGGCTCCTGAGGAGAATCAGCATTATCTTGCCTGGCAACTGCCTTAGGGAGGCCATCACTGTTGCCTCAGGCAGCACAGGTTTCATCTTCGCAGACAACAGTGGAAAGGCTGATGGCAGCATTTGGGTCAAGGAGGGGATGTTCCCACTACTGGGGATGGGAAAGCTGTTCCTTCTGGCAAAAAAGGTTCATCAGAGTTTACAAATTTAGTGTCCACAGCTTCATCAGGGTTCTCCCACATGTTCCCATTCCAAGTTGCAGAGTCTCGTTCTTTTCTGATCAATGCCCTCACTTTAACAGTAGACACCTGGCAAGGCTGTGCATGCATTTTTCATTGCAGGTTAGCCATTTGCATGATAAGAGTTTGTGTCTATTTTCTACAATTTCAGCTCATTCTCTACAGGAGATAAGACTCTCACTTGGCAATCTTAGCAGATTTGAGGCTCAATATTTGCTTCTGAAGCTGGGAGTTAGAATCCCTGAGTTTATCATTTTCTTTCATCCCTTTGTCCACTGAACTTAGGAGCAATGAACCAGCTTCATTATATTCCTTGGTTCTTCACATATGGTCAAAGTTATTATGTACAGAATCACTGAACTCCTTGCCTCTCACAAGCAGTAAATCAAGAATGTTAAATGCATTTATTTTGCATAAATCTCTAAAAAGTATGCCAAGGACTATCAGTGTTTTCCATACTATTAGAAGCACAGTCCTTAGCATTTTTGGGTCTAACAATATTAAGCAGCCAAATCCAGAAACCCCAAAACCAATGAAAGAACTCCACCCTTAATATTCTGTTCCTGTAGAACCACTCCTGGTACCAAAATTTGTATTAGTCAGGGTTCTCTAGAGGGACAGAACTAATAGGATATATATATATATATATATAAACTGGATCCTGATATATATATATATATATATATCTCCTATTAGTTATGGGTATATAATAGAATATATCTATATAATAGAATATATATGGGAGTTTCTTAGGTGTTAAGTCACATGATCACAAGGTCCCACAATAGGCTATCTGCAAGCTGAGGAGCAAGGAGAGCCAGTCTGAGCCCCAAAACTAAAGAATTTGGAGTCCAATGTTTGAGGCCAGGAAGCATCCAGCATGGAAGAAAAGTGTAGGCTGTGAGGCTAAGCCAGTCTAGTCTTTTCACATGTTCCTGCCTGCTCTATCTTCTAGCTGTGCTGGCAGCTGATTAGATGGTTCCCACTGAGATTAAGGGTGCATCTGTTTTTCCAAGCCCACTGACTCAAATGTTAATCTCCTTTGGCAACACCCTCACAGACACACACAGGATCAATACTTTGCATCCTTCAATCCAATCAAGTTGACGCTCAGTATTAACCATCACAGCTCATTAGCATCTCAAGATATTTCCTAGAAAGTATCAATCCCTGTAGTGACTGGTAATCTAGATCCCTTTATATTAACATTATCAAGCTAAGGTAAGGGCTGAAAGTGTTTCTAATGTAGAGAAAGCATTTAAAAATTAATATCCTCTGTGGAATTATATTAAACATGCATTTTAAATTGGATAAAAATTGCAAAACAACATTGCAAGTTTTAACAGTTTTCATCATTCATATCTATGATAATTAATTTTAAGTGTTGACTTGGCTGCATTGATAAATACTTAGAAACCTGGTAAAGCATTATTTCACGGTATGTCTGTGAGGGTGTTTTCAGAGGAGATTAACCTATGAGTTGAGTAGACTAGGTAAGGAACGTCCACACTCAATGTGAGAGGGCACCATCCAATCTGCTGGGGATCCTGAAATAACACAAGCTGAGAAGTGGTAAATATGTCTATCCATCTTCATCTTCTATCCTTGGGACAACTACATGCTTTCTGGCCTTAGGACTCCAGGATTCACACCAGTGGCCTCATGGGTTCCCAGGCTATTAGCATCAGATTGAGAGTGACACCACCAGCTTTCATGGTTCTGAGGCCTTCAGACTTGAACTAAGCCACACTACAGCATTTCAGGAACTCCAACTTGCAGATGGCCTGTCATGGAATTTCTCTGGCTCCATAATCATATGAGCTAATTTCCCTAATAAAACCTCGCATGTATCTGTCTATCTAATATATCTATTTATTTATATCTATCTGTCTATATCCCATTGGCTCTGCCTTTCTGGAAAGCCCTAACACAGATTTAGGTACTAGAAGTGACTCTAGAGAAACAGAATTTTAAAGATTCATTTTCTTTAATTGGTTTTGGGTATCTGGAACTGGCTCTAATCTGATTAAATTTAAAAATACTAAGGCCTCATTTATAATAGTACAGAATGCAATGATAGCCCATGGTATAAACTGTTTATAGAGATACACAAAATAAATCCATTTCGTACTACTAATTCACCATTTATAAGAGGCACAAAATTAGTGACTCTATACATGATACTTTTTAACATTTGCAGAAAAGAAAGAAATATAATGATAGTTGGTTGCTCCTAGTATCACTGGACAAAGTGATAAAGAAAATCATGAGCTCCTACAAAAAGAACTACAAACCACTTCTTAAAAAAATCAGAGATGACACGAACAAATGGAAAAACATGCCATGCTCATGGTTAGGAAGAATCAATATTGTTAAAATGGCCGTATTGCCCAAAGCAATTCATAAATTCAATTTTTTTTTATTATACTTTAAGTTTTAGGGTACATGTGCACATTGTGCAGGTTAGTTACATATGTATACATGTGCCATGCTGGTGCGCTGCACCCACTAACTCGTCATCTAGCATTAGGTATATCTCCCAATGCTATCCCTCCCCCCTGCCCCCACCCCACAACAGTCCCCAGACTGTGATAGTCCCCTTCCTGTGTCCATGTGATCTCATTGTTCAATTCCCACCTATGAGTGAGAATATGCGGTGTTTGGTTTTTTGTTCTTGCGATAGTTTACTGAGAATGATGATTTCCAATTTCATCCATGTCCCGAAACTCTAAAAAGCAGAGCACCTCTCCTCCTCCAAAGGAACGCAGTTCCTCACCAGCAACGGAACAAAGCTGGATGGAGAATGACTCTGACGAGCTGAGAGAAGAAGGCTTCAGACGATCAAATTACTCTGAGCTATGGGAGGACATTCAAACCAAAGGCAAAGAAGTTGAAAACTTTGAAAAAAATTTAGAAGACTGTATAACTAGAATAACCAATACACAGAAGTGCTTAAAGGAGCTGATGGAGCTGAAAACCAAGGCTCGAGAACTACGTGAAGAATGCAGAAGCCTCAGGAGCCAATGCGATCAACTGGAAGAAAGGGTATCAGTGATGGAAGATGAAATGAATGAAATGAAGTGAGAAGGGAAGTTTAGAGAAAAAAGAATAAAAAGAAATGAGCAAAGCCTCCAAGAAATATGGGACTATGTGAAAAGACCAAATCTACATCTGATTGGTGTACCTGAAAGTGATGGGGAGAATGGAACCAAGTTGGAAAACACTCTGCAGGATAGTATCCAGGAGAACTTCCCCAATCTAGCAAGGCAGGCCAACGTTCAGATTCAGGAAATACAGAGAACGCCACAAAGATACTCCTCGAGAAGAGCAACTCCAAGACACATAATTGTCAGATTCACCAAAGTTGAAATGAAGGAAAAAATGTTAAGGGCAGCCAGAGAGAAAGGTCGGGTTACCCTCAAAGGGAAGCCCATCAGACTAACAGAGGATCTCTTGGCAGAAACCCTACAAGCCAGAAGAGAGTGGGGGCCAATATTCAACATTCTTAAAGAAAAAAATTTTCAACCGAGAATTTCATATCCAGCCAAACTAAGCTTCATAAGCGAAAGAGAAATAAAATCCTTTACAGACAAGCAAATGCTGAGAGATTTTGTCACCACCAGGCCTGCCCTAAAAGAGCTCCTGAAGGAAGCACTAAATATGGAAAGGAACAACCGGTACCAGCCGCTGCAAAATCATGCCAAAATGTAAAGACCATCGAGACTAGGAAGAAACTGCATCAACTAACGAGCAAAATAACCAGCTAACATCATAATGACAGGATCAAATTCACACATAACAATATTAACTTTAAATGTAAATGGACTAAATGCTCCAATTAAAAGACACAGACTGGCAAATTGGATAAAGAGTCAAGACCCATCAGTGTGCTGTATTCAGGAAACCCATCTCATGTGCAGAGACACACATAGGCTCAAAATAAAAGGATGGAGGAAGATCTACCAAGCAAATGGAAAACAAAAAAAGGCAAGGGTTGCAATCCTAGTCTCTGATAAAACAGACTTTAATCCAACAAAGATCAAAAGAGACAAAGAAGGCCATTACATAATGGTAAAGGGATCAATTCAACAAGAAGAGCTAACTATCCTAAATATATACACCCAATACAGGAGCACCCAGATTCATAAAGCAAGTCCTGAGTGACCTATAAAGAGACTTAGACTCCCACACATTAATAATGGGAGACTTTAACACCCCACTGTCAACATTAGACAGATCAACGAGACAGAAAGTCAACAAGGATACCCAGGAATTGAACTCAGCTCTGCACCAAGCAGACCTAATAGACATCTACAGAACTCTCCACCCCAAATCAACAGAATATACATTTTTTCAGCACCATACCACACCTATTCCAAAATTGACCACATACTTGGAAGTAAAGCTCTCCTCAGCAAATGTAAAAGAACAGAAATTATAACAAACTATCTCTCAGACCACAGTGCAATCAAACTAGAAGTCAGGATTAAGAATCTCACTCAAAACCACTCAACTACATGGAATTCAATGTTATTCCCATTAAATTACCACTGACATTCTTCACAGAACTAGAGAAAACTATTTTAAAATTCATATGGAACCAAAAAAAAAAAAAAAAAAAGCCCAAATAGCCAAGGCAATCCTAGGAGCCACCAACCAACATCGTAGTATGCCTTTGTTTTCTGCAAAAAGAACAAAGCTGAAGGTGTCACACTACCCAACTTCAAACTATGCTACAGGGCTACAATGAACAAAACAGCATAGTACTTGAACAAGAACAGACACATAGACCAATGGAACAGAACAGAGGACCCAGAAATAAGACTGCAGACCTACAACTATCTGATCTTTCACAAACCCAACAAAAACAAGCAATGGGGAATTTTTTTTCTATTTAATAAATGGTGCTGGAATAACTGGCTAGCCATATAAAGAAAATTGAAACTGGACCCCTTCTTTACACCATGTACAATAATTAACTCAAGAAGGATTAAAGACTTAAATGTAAAACTCAGAACTATAAAAACCCTGGAAGACAACCTAGGCAATATCATTTAGGACACAGGCATGGGCAAAAATTTCATGATTAAAGATGCCAAAAGCAATTGCAACAGAAGCAAAAATTGACAAATTGGATCTAGTGAAACTAAAGAGCTTCTGCACAGCAAAAGAAACTACCATCAGAGTAAACAGACAACCTACAGAATGGGAAAAAATTTTGCACACTATGCATCTGACTAAGGTCTAATAAGGAACTTAAACAAATGTACAAGCTAAAAACAAACAACCCCATTAAAAGGTGGGCAATAATATGAAAAGACAGTTTTCAAAAGAAGACATATATGTGGCCAATAAGCATATGAAAAAAAGCTCAACATCACTGATGATTAGAGAAATGCAAATCAGAACCGCAATGAGATACCATCAGAATGGCTATTACTAAAAGTCAAAAATAACAGATGTTGTCAAAGTTATGGAGAAAAAGGAATGCTTATACACCATTGTGGAAGACAATGTGGTGATTCCTCAGGGACCTAAAATCAGAAATACCAATAGACCCGGCAGTCCCATTACTGGATATATACCCAAAGGAGTATATAAATCGTTCTATTATAAAGACACTTGCATGCGTTTGTTCATTGCAGCACTATTCACAAAAGCAAAGACATGAAATCAATCCAAATGCCCAACAATGACAGACTGGATAAAGAAAACATGATACATATAAACCATGGAATAATATGCAGCCATAAAGGAACAAAATCATGTCCTTTGCATGGATGGAGCTAGAGGTCATTATCCTTAGCAAACTAACACTGGAACAGAAAACTAGATACCGCATGTTCTCACTTATAAGTGGGAGCTAAATGATGAGAATACATGGATGCATAGAGGGGAAAAACACAAACTGGGGCCTATTAGAGGGTGGACGGCGGGAGGAGGGAGAGGATCAGAAAAAATAACTAATGGATACTAGGCTTAATACCTGTGTGATAAAAAAATTGGTACGGCAAATCCCCATGATATACATTTATCTATGTAACAAACCTGCACATCCTTCACATGTACCCTGAACTTAAAAGTAAAAAAGAAAAGAATAAGCTCAAAAAATCTATGTAAATGATCTAAGAGTCTCTAAGTGTGCTCTGGTAAGAATCTTCTCTCCTATAGCCACAGGCTAAAATTGCTGAAAACTGAACACCAGCCCTCATTATCCCATTGGGTGAATTACAAGAAAAGTTGAACCCTCACCCTTGTAGAATATCTACTGTTAAAGTGAGGATATGAATTGGGGAAAAAAAATTCCTGAAAGTTAAGATAGGAATGTGTGGAAACACTTGATAAAGCTAGGGACATTGACCATGTATATTGTGATGAGTCTTGTTTGCCAGAAGTAACCTCCTCATTCCCACCCGCTTGAGCATTCCCACCCACAGTTGTGTATGCCTCTCTACTTTTGTCTCAGGGGATTAATTCTGCATTGCCTAAGAAAATGGTAATGACCTCCGGGGCATTTGCCAAGCAAGATGATGATTCTTCTTGGGACCAATTCCCACCACCCCGCTTTGCTTTTAGACCTATAAACTAGTCTCAAGTCATAACTGGCTCCTAAAGATGATAAAAAAGTGTAACGCATGAGGGGGTATACTACATCCCAAAGAACTACTTGATTTTTTTAATTTTATACAAGCAGAAATCCAGATAACGTGGGGGAATGCATATTAGGAGTGTGGAATTATTGTGGAAGAAACATAAAGTTAGATCAGGCTTATATGGATTCACTAAGCAGATATTCTCCATTTAATGTTACAGCTCAGGGAGTTAGAAAAAGCACTAAAAGTTTCTCTAGTTCATTGGCTGAAACAGGTATCAAAATATGGCCCATGGTAAGCATGTTGGAGATGCCCCATCTCCCTTGACTTACCATAGAGGAAGGAATTCAAAGCCGTAGGGATATTGGAATACTAGAGTAAATTTGTCATGTAAAATCTACTCACCTATGCCAGGAAAGTTCAGAAGATATACCTTTCACCAATACCTTGTGAAATAGATTTGTGAGGGGATCTCCAGTACCCCTGAAGTGCTCCATGGTTGCACTTCCTTGTAAACTGGACCTTACCATGGGATCCTCAGTCAATTATTTAAAAAACTTAAATGTAATAGGAATAATTAGATCTTGGGGTGGTAGAGGCCATGTTGTGGTACTCAGCTCTCAAAGGTAAGGTGTGCATAGTTACCATAATAGACAGCAAAGGCAAAGCAACAAACAGAATCGTCTGATTTTCATGGATCTATGGCATCGGCTAGTTAAACATGGTGTTCCTAGAAGTGGACAGATAGAAAACTGCTGAATTTTTACTTTATATAAGTAGAAAACTTTCAAGTCAAGTAAATAAAAGTTTAACCCAAGTAATAGAAACAGAGAACAATGGGTCCTAAATCAATTCCCAGACTTGAGCCAGTTTACAGACCTAGAAAACCTTGAATGAAAGGGAGACCAGATCTCCTCCAGGAGGAACACCAGTACACTACTAAAAATCTGTACCACTTATTTTTATCCCATTTTTTCTTCAAAGGGACCTATGGTGTTTTACCTGGGTAACTGCAGTGGAGAAAGAGAAATAATAATACTTTTCAGGGACTAGTGAACACTGGCTCTGAAGTGACACTGATTACATGAGATCCAAACATCACTGTGACCCTCCAGTTAGAGTAGGGCTTCACGGAGGTTAGGTGATTAATGCAGTTTTAGCTCAGATTCCACTCACAGTGGGTCCGGTGGGTTTCTGAATTCATTCTGTGATCATTTCCTCAGTTCCAGAATGCATAACTGGAATATACATATTTAGCAGCTGGCAGAATCTCCACGCTGATTTTTTAACCTGTGTAGTGAGGACTATTAAGTGGAAATGGCCAAATGTAAACCACTAGAACTGGTTCTATCTAGGAAAATAGCACAGCAAAAACAATACTGCAGTCCTGGAGGTAATGCAGAGATTGATGCCACCATCAAGGACTTCAATGATGCAGGGGTGGTGATTCCCACCACATCTCCATTCAACTCTCCTTTTTGGCCTGTGTAGAAGAAAGATGAATCCTGGAGAAGGACAGTGTGTTACTGTAAGCTTAACCAAGTGGGGTGACTCCAATTGCAGCTGCTGTACCAGATGTGGTTTCATTTCTTGAGCAAATTAACACATCTTCTGGTACTTGGTATGTAGCTAGTGATCTGGCAAAAACCTTTTTATTGATCCCTGCCCATAAGATCCACCAGAAGTAGTTTGCTTTCAGCTGTCAAGGCCAGCAATATGCCTTAATTGTCCTACCTTATCTCCAGCCCTGTGTCACAGTTTAGTTTGTAGATATCTTGATTGCCTTTTTCCCCTGACAATATATCACACTGGTGTGTTATATTGATGACATTTTGCTGACTGGACCTAGTGAACATGAAGTAGAAGCCACTCTGAATTTATTGCTAAAACATTTGCATGTGAATGGAAAATAAATCTAACTAAAATTCAGGGGGCTTCTACCTTAGTGAAACTTCTAAGGGTCCAATGGTGTGGTAATATCCTTTCTAAAGAGAAGGATAAGTTGTTACATCTGGCCCCTCCTACAACCAAGAAAGAGGCACAACATCTAGTGGGCCTATCTAGATTTTGGACAAATCATATTCCTCATGTGAGTATATTACTCTGTGCCATCTACTGAGACACCTGAAAAGCTGCTAGTTTTGAGTGGGACTTAGAACATAGTGCTCTGCAACAGGTCCAGGCTGCTGTGCAAGCTGTGCTGCCACTCGGGCCTTAGGATTCAACAGATCCAATGGTACTTGAGGTGTCTATGGCAGATATAAATGCTGTTTGGAGTCTTTGGCAAGCCTTTACAGGTGAATCACAGTAAAGGCCCCTGAGATTTTTGAGCAAGACCCTGTCATTATCTGAAGATAAATACTATCATTTTGAGAGACAGCTTTTGGCCTGTTACTTGGCCTTAGTAGACACTGAATGTTTGGCTATGGACCACCAAGTTACCATGAGACCTGAGTTTCCCATCCTGAACTGTGTGTTACTTTACCCACCAAATCATAGAGTTGGTTGGGCACAGCAGTATTCCATCATCAAATGGAAGTCGTATATACGTGATCAGGCCCCAGCAGATCATGAAGACACAATTAAGGTATATGAAGAATTGGCCCCAAAAACCCATGGTTCCTTCTCCTGCTATACCACCTTCTCTCTCTCAGCCTGCACCGATGGCCTCATGGGAAGTACCCTATAATCAACTGACACAGGAAGAAAGGACTAGGGCCTGGTTAGAGATGGTTCTACATGATATGTAGGCACCACCCAAAAGTGGAGAGCTGTAGCAGCATAGTCACTTTCTGCGACAACCTGGAATGGCAATGGTAAAGGGAAATCTTCTCAGTGGGCAGTAATTTAGGTAATGCACCTGAATGTGCACTTTGCTTGAAAGTAGAAATGCCAAATGTGTGGTTATATACTAATTCACGGGCTGTAGCCAATGATTTGGCCAAATGGTCAAAGACTTGGAAAGAACATGATTGAAAAACTGGTGACAAAGAATTTGGAAAAGAGATATGTGAATAAAACTCTGAGCAGGCAAAGTATATGAAGATATTTTTGTCCCATGTGAATGCACACCAAAGAATGACCTCAGCAGAGGAGGACTTTGATAATCAGGTGGATAGAATGACCTACTCTGTAGATACTAGTCAACCCCTTTCCTCAGCCACCCCATCATTGCTCAGTGGGTTCATGAACAAAGTGGCAATGGTGTGATGGTAGAGATTATGCAGGGACTCAGCAACATGGACTTCCACTCACAAAAGCCAGCCTGGCTATGGCCACTGCTGGGTGCCCAATCTGACGGCAGCAGAGATCAACATCTTAGATGATCATTTCCTGGGATAATCAGCAAGCTACCTGGTGGCAGGCTGATTATATTGGACCACTTCAATAATATAAGGAACTGTGTTTGGTCTTTAAAGGAATAGACACTAGATATGGATTTGCTTTCCCTGCACACAATGCTTCTGCCAAAACTACCATATGTGGACTCATAGGATGTCTTATTTACCATCATGGTGTTCCACACAGCATTGCTTCTGACAAAGGAACTCACTCCATAGCCAAAGGAGTATGGCAGTGGAGTCATGCTCATGGAATTCACTGGTATTTCCATACTCCTCATCATCCTGAAAAAGCTGGTTTAATTGAATGGTGGAAGAGTCCTTTGAATTCAAAATTACAGCACCAGCTAAGTGACAATACCTTGCAGAGCTGGGGAAAGGTTCTCCAGAAGGCTGTATATGCTCTAAATCAGTGCCCAATATATGCTACTATTCCTCCCATGGCCAGGATTCATGGATCCAGAAATTAAGAGGTGAAAATGGGAGTGGCATCACTCACTATTTATTATCCCTAGTGACCTGCTAGCAAAACTTTTGCTTCCTGTTCCTGTGACTTTATACTCTTCTGGCTCTAGACATCTTAATTCCAAAGGGAAGAATGCTTCCTCTATGAGACACAACAGTAATTCAATTGAACTGCTCGTTAAAGCTGCTGCTCAGCCTCTTTGGGCTTCTCATGCTTCTGAGATAATAGGATAAGAAGGGAGTTACACAGTTTGCTGGGGTGATTGATCCAGACTACCAAGGGCAAATTGAACTACTACTTCACAATGGAGTTAAGGAGATGTCTGGAATATGGAAGATCCCTTAGGGCATCTCTTAGTACTACTATGGCCTGTAATAAAGGTCAATAGAAAATCACAACAACCCAATTTAGGCAAGATTACTAATGGCCAGACTTCAGGAATAAAGATTTGGGTCACTTCACTAGATAAAGGACCACCACCAGCTAAGGTACTTCCTGAAGGCAAAGCGGGTACTAAATATATAGTAGAAGAAAGTAGTTACAAACACCAGCTAGGGCCATGTAACCAGTTACAGAAATGAAGACTAATTGTTATAAGAATTTATTTCCTAATGTGTTAAGAATATGTCTGTGTATATATATATACACATATTATGTATTATCTTTGTTTTCACTCTTATCTATCATGTAATATAAGATTGACTGAATTTATATCAGTATATAAGTATTGTTAATTGTACATAATAGTATTCAAGTCATAGTGTATAAGGAGAAGAATAAACATCACCAAAAAAACTTTACCTTTTCTTCTGGGAAAAGGACTAATGCATTTTACTTGCATGTAGAATAGGTGTATCATGTTAAGTGGAATTATTACCTTGTTATTGTGTTACTTGGAGATTAAGTATGGTTTAAGGAGATGTATATGGGTGCCAAGTTGACGGTGAGTGGGCTTGTGATAGTTAATTTTAGATGTCAACTTGACTGGACTGAGGAATACCTAATAACCTGATAAAACATTATATTTAGGCGTGTCTTTGAGGGTGTTTCCAGAGATAAGCCTGTGAGTCTGAGAGGACTAGGTGGGGAAGATCCACCATCAATGTGGGAAGGCATCATCCAATGTGTTGGTGGGCCAGAGATAACTACAACAGAGAAAAGGTGAATATGTCAATCTATTTGCTGAAGCTGGGATACTGTTCCTTTCCAGGCTCCCAGGCCTTTGGACTCCAGGACTTATTCCAGTGCCCCTCTGTGATCTCAGGCTTTCGGCCTTGGACTGAGAATTGCACCGTCAGTTTTCCTGGTTCTGAGATCTTCAGACTTGGACTGAGTTACACTACCAGCACCCCAGGGTCTCCAGCTTGCAAATGGCCTTTCATGAAACTTAGTATCCATAACCATGTGAGCCAATTTTCCTAATAAATTATCTCTCAATTTTTATATATATATATATATTTGTGTGTGTATACATATATATGTACACATACACACATACACGTATCATGGATGACATGGCCCATAAATAAGGTCAATGGAAAATTACAACAACCCAATAAAGACAAGACTATGAATGGTCCAGACTCTTCAGGAAGGAATAATACAAGAGACAGAATGAATATTCGATTAGTTCTGTGTCTCTGGAGAACCTTGAATAATATAAGAATATTTTTCTTCTAGAGATGAGTAAGGGCTGCTGGCATTCTCTTAGTAATGACTGGTTATTCACAGAGGACATGATTGTGTACAGAGAAAATTCAAAGAGATCTATAAAAACTACTAGATCTAACAGGCAAATTTAGCAAGGTCCCAGAATACAGTTAACATACAAAAAATCATTTATGTTTCTATAAACTAAAAAACAAATTGGAGAAAGAAATGATAAAAGACAATACCATACAGTTTGGCAGTAACTAATAAATTTTAAAATACATTTACCATATAAGCCAGCAGTCTCATTTTAGGTCATTACCCAAGTGAATTGAAAGCATACATTCACATAAAAACCTGTACATGAATGATTATAGTAGTTTTATTTATAATTGCCAAAAACTCGACAAATTCCAGATGTTTTTCAAGAGATGAATAGATAAGCAAAATTTAGTATATATGTATGATGGGCTAATATTTAGATTGACTCATACAACGTGATAAATCTTAAATGCTTTTGCTATAAAGCTAAATAAAAAGGCTAAACACTGTATGATTTCATTCAAATGACATTCTGAAAAAGACAAACCTATAGTGAAAAAGGAAACAGACCATTGGTAGACAAGGATTGGGCAGGGGTGTCTGAATGTCGAGGAGACAAATGTCAAGGAGAATTATTAGGATGATGGAACTCTACTATATCATATTGTGGTAGAAGATATATAAATCTATTCATCAAAACCCCTAGAACTGAACACAGCAGAAAGCAAAAATTGTAGGTTAAAAACAAATAAACAAAAGCAATCAGGATTTTGAAGGATCTTAGAATGACACACAGACTGTAATAAGTGAATCTAAATGTACTACAAATGTATAACTTTACCACATTTAAGGGAGAATAAGGAAGCTGGCCTAAATACTTTTTAAAGACTTGTTTTACCGATACTGTAAAGCTGAAGATAAAAGAATTATACACAAATGCTGTACTCTCTCACTGGTTAAATTTATTTTTCAGAAGGGTAAGTTTTACCAATTTTGAAAAAGTTAACATACATACAAATATGCAAGTAAATATGTTATAGTTAATGATAACCAGATTTCTTAATGTCAGAAAAAGAAGTTACACATTGATGCGATTTGGCTGTGTCCCCACCCAAATCTCATTTTGAATTGTAGTTGCCACAATCCCCTCATGTCATGGGAGGCACCAGGTGGAGATAATTGAATCATGGATGCAGTTTCCCCAATCCTGTTCTCATGAAAATGAGTTAGTTCTCATGAGATCTGATGGTTTTATAATGGGCATTCCCTTTCACTAGGCAGTCATTCTTCTCCTTCTTGCCGCCATGTGAAGAAGGACATCTTTGCTTCCCCTTCCATCATGACTGTAAGTTTCCTGACCCTGCCTCAGCCCTGTGGAACTTGAGTCAATTAAACCTCTTTCCTTTATAAATTACCAGTATCGAATTTGTCTTTATAGCAGTGTGAGAACTGACTAATACACACATAGGCAAGAGAGAAATGTTAGAATACAACAGGTAGTGTTGAATTAGAGTTGGAAACATTAGTTTGAACTCATGACTATTTTAGTATACCAAAATAAACACAAAACTAAATATAAAGATGGGCGTTATTGAAGGCTCAATAAAGCTCCCTCCTCAAAAAGATGTCCATGTCCTAATCCAGCTCCCTCCTCAAAAAGATGTCCATGTCCTAATCCAGCTCCCTCCTCAAAAAGATGTCCATGTCCTAATCCAAGGACCTTGTGAAAAGGTTATCTTAGATGGCTAAAAGAATGTGATTAAGGATGTTGAGATGGAGAAATCATCCTGGATTAACCACTTGAGTCCAACGTAATCTCAAGGGCCCTTATAAGAGGGAGGCATGTGGGTCATAATTCCAGGAGGCGATGTGAAGAGAGAAGCAAAGATCAGAGAGATGCAGGGCATACTATGAGCTCAGAAATGTGTGCAGACTCTAGCTGCTGGAAAAGGCAAGGAAAAGGATGCTTTCATAGCGTCTCCAAAAGGAACTCACACTATTTTGCATTTCTGACCTCCAAACATGTAAGATAACAAATTTTCATTGATTTAAGGCACAAAGTTTGTGCTGATACAGCAACAATAGGAAACTAATATAGATGTATACATGGATTAGAATGCATGCATGTATGGCTGGGCATGGTGGCTCATGCCTGTAATCCCAGCACTTTGGGAGGCCGAGGCAGGTGGATTGCCTGAGCTCAGGAGTTCAAGAACAGCCTGGGCAACACAGTGAAACCCATCTCTACTAAAATACAAAAAATTAGCCAGGAATGGTGGTGTGCGCCTGCAGTTCCAGCTACTTGGGGGGCTGAGGCAGGAGAACTGCTTGAACACAGGAGGCAGAGGTTGCAGTGAGCCGATATCATGCCACTGCACTCCAGCCTGGGCAACAGAGCAAGACTCTGTCTCAAAAAAAAAAAAAAAAAAAAGAATGCATGCATGTATTCCATAGCTCTTTCCTGTTGGAGAGCAAAAAGTAATCACATCCAGTAGAAACAGGCACATCTAACAACCAGATCAGGCTTCTAGATACCACTTTATAATAAAATGACCCAGGATGACTTGACAAAATTGTTGATTCTAGGGATAGGGCAAGGAAATTACAAGATGGTCCTGAAGCCTCTGTCATGCCACATAATAAGGAAGTACTAGAAAAGAAAGATTACAGAAAGAGTAAAGAAAAGAATTAAAGACTATAAAGATGCAGTTACCAAGGCAGCTGGCAAGATGGCCGAATAAGAACATCTCCAGTCTGCAGGTCTCAGCCAGATCAGTGCAGAAGGCAGGTGATTTCTGCATTTCCAACTGAGTACATGACTCATCTCATTGGGACTGGTTAGACAGTGGGTGCAGCCCACGGAGGGCGAGCCGAGGCAGGGTGGTGCAATGCCTCACCCAGGAAGTGCAAGGGGTCAGGGAACTCCCTCCCCTGGCCAAAGGAAATCATGAGGCACCGTGCCATGAGGAGTGGTGCATTCTGGTCCAGATACTACACTTTTCCCACGGCCTTCGCAACCTGAAGACCAGGAGATTCCCTCGGATGCCTACACCACCAGGGCCCTGGGTTTCAAGCACAAAACTGGGCAGCTGTTTGGGCAGATACCAAGCTAGCTGCAGGAGTTATTTTTCATACCCCAGTGGTGCCTGGAACGCCAGTGAGACAGAACCGTTCACTCTCCTGGAAAGGGGACTGAAGACAGGGAACCAAGTGGTCTAGCTCAGTGGATCCAAACCTCCACGAAGCCCAGCAAGCTAGGACGCACTGGTTTGAAATTCTCGCTGCCAGCACAGCAGTCTGAAGTCAACCTGGGACTCTAGAACTTGGTGGGGGGAGGGGCGTCCACCATTACTGAGGCTTGCGTAGGCAGTTTTTCCCTCTCACTGTAAACAAAGCCTCCAGGAAGTTTGAACTGGGCAGAGCCCACCATAGCTCAGCAAAGCCACTGCGGCCAGACTGCCTCTCTAGATTCCTCCTCTCTGGGCAGGGCATCTCTGAAAAAAAGGCAGGAGCCACAGTCAGGGGCTTCTAGACAAAACTCCCATCTCCCTGGGACAGAGCACCTGGGGGAAGGGGCGGCTGTGTGTGCAGCTTCAGCAGAAATAAACATTCCTGCCTGCTGGCTCTGAAGAGAGCAGATCTCCCACCACAGCGCTCGAGCTCTGCTAAGGGACACACTGCCTCTGCAAGTGGGTCCCTGACCCCTGTGCCTCCAGACTGGGAGACACCTTGCAGCAGGGGTCGACAGACACCTCAAACAAGAGAGCTCCAACTGGCATCTGGCGGGTGCCCCACTGGAAGGAAGCTTCCAGAGGAAGGAACAGGCAGCAATCTTTGCTGTTATGCAGCCTCCACTGGTGATACCCAGGCACACAGGATCTGCAGCGGACCCGGAGAATACTCCATCAGACCTGCAGAAGAGGGGTCTGACTGTTAGAAGAAAAACTAACAAACAGAAAGGAATAGCAATAACATCAAGAAAAAGAACGTCCACATACAAAAAAAAAAAAAAAAAAACAACTGAAGGTCACCAAAATCAAAGACCACAGGTAGATAAATTCACAAAGATGAGGAAAACCAGCGAAAAAAAGGCTGAAACTACCAAACACCAGAATGCCTCTTCTCCTCCAAAGGATCACAACTCCTTGCTAGCAAGACAACAAAACTGAACAGGGAATGAGTTTGACAAATTGACAGAATTTAGGCTTCAGAAGGTGGGTAATAACAAACTCCTCCAAGCTAAAGAAGCATGTTTTAACCCAATGCAAGGAAGCTAAGAACCTTGAAAAAAGGTTAGAGGAGTTGCTAACTAGAATAACCAGTTTAAAGAAGAACATAAATGACCTGATGGAGCTGAAAAACACAGCACAATAACTTCTTTCATACACAAGTATCAATAGCCAAATCAATCAAGTGGAAGAAAGGACATCAGAGATTGAAGATCAGCTTAATACAATAAAGCATGAAGACAAGATTAGAGAAAAACGAATGAAAAGGAACGAACAGAGCCTCCAAGAAATATGGGACTATATGAACAGACCAAACCTACATTCGATAGGTGTACATGAAAGTGATAGGGAGATTGGAACCAAATTGGAAAACACTCTTCAGAATATTATCCAGGAGAACTTCCCCAAACTAGCAAGACAGGCCAACATTCAAATTCAGAAAATACAGAGACCACCACAAAGATATACCATGAGAAGAGTAACCCCAAGCCACATAATTGTCAGATTCACCAAGGTTGAAGTGAAGGAAAAAATGTTAAGGGCAGCCAAAGAGAAAAGTCAGATTACCCACAAAGAGAAGCCCATCAGACTAACAGCGGATATCTCTGCAGAAATCCTACAAGTCAGAAGAGAGTGGGGGCCAATATTCAACATTCTTAAAGAAAATAATGTTCAACCCAGAATTTCATATCCAGCCTAACTAAGCTTCATAAGCGAAAAAGAAATAAAATCCTTTCCAGACAAGCAAATGCTGAGAGATTTTGTCATCACCAGGCCTGCCTTACAAGAGCTCCTGAAGGAAGCACTAGATATGAAAGGATAAACCAGTACCAGCCACTGCAAAAACACACCAAATTGTAAAGACCATCTACACTATGAAGAAACTGCAACAACTAACGGGCAAAATTACCAGCTAGCATCATAATGACAGGATCAAATTCACACATAACAATATTAACTTAAATGTAAACTGGCCAATTAAAAGACACAGGCTGGCAAATTGGATAAAGGGTCAAGACCCATTGGTGTGCTGTATTCAGTAGACCCATCTCACATGCAAAGACGCACATAGGCTCAACATAAAGGAATGGAGGAATATTTCCCAAGAAAATGGAAAGCAAAAAAAAGCAGGGGTTGCAATGATAGTCTCTGATAAAACAGACTTTAAACCAATAAAATTCAAAAAGACAAAGAATGGCAACACATAATGGTAAAGGGATCAATGCAACAAGAAGAGCAAACTATCCTAAATATATATGCACCCAATACGGGAGCACCCAGATTCATAAAGCAACCTTGAAAAAGGTTAGAGGAATTGCTAACTAGAATAACCAGTTTAAAGAAGAACATAAATGACCTGATGGAGCTGAAAAACACAGCACGAGAACTTCGTTCATACACAAATATCAATAGCCAGAATAATAAAGAAGAAAAGAGAGAAGAATCAAATAGACACAATAAAAAAATAATAAAGGGGATATCATCACTGATCCCACAGAAATACAAACTACCATCAGAGAATACTATAAACTTAGAGACTGAGACTCCCACACAGTAATAGTGGGAGGCTTTAACACCCCACTGTCAACATTAGATCAAAGAGACAAAAGGTTAATAAGGATATTCAGGACTTGAACTCAGCTCTGGACCAGGTGGACCTAATAGACATCTACAGAACTCTATGCCCCAAATCAAGAGAATACACATTCTTCTCAGAAACGTATCACACTTATTCTAAAATTGACCACACCATTGGAACTAAAACATTCCTCACCACACACAAAAGAACAGAAATCATAACAGTCTCTCAGACCACAGTACAATCAAATTAGAACTCAGGATTAAGAAACTCACACAAAACCACACAACTACATGGAAACTGAACAATCTGCTCCTGAATGATTACTGGGTAAAATACAAAATTAAAGCACAAATAAATAATTTCTTTGAAACCAATGAGAACAAGACACAACATACCAGAATCTCTGGGACACAGCTAAAGCAGTGTTTACAGGGAAATTTACAGCACTAAATGCCCACAGGTGAAAGTCGGAAAGATTGAAAATCGACACTATAACATCACAATTAAAAAGGCTAGAGAAGTAAGAGCAAACAAATTCAAAAGCTAGCAGAAAACAAGAAATAACTAATATCAGACCGGAACTGAAAGAGATAGAGATACGAAAACCCCTTCAAAAAATCAATGAATCCAAGAGCTGGTGTTTTGAAAAGATTATCAAAAAAGATAGACTGCTAGCCAGACTAATAAAGAAGAAAAGAGAGAAGAATCAAATAGACACCATAAAAAATAATAAAGGGGATATCATCACTGATCCCACAGAAATACAAGCTACCATCAGAGAATACTATAAACACCTCTATGCAAATAAACTAGAAAATCTAGAATAAATGGATAAATACCTGTACATATACACCCTGCCAAGAACAAACCAGGAAGAAGTCGAATCCCTGAACAGAAGAGTAACAATTTCTGAAACTGAGGCAGTAATCAATAGCCTACAAAAAAAAAAAAAAAAAAAAACCCAGGACCAGATGGATTCACAGCCAAATTCTACCAAAGAGGAGCTGGTACCTTTACTTCTGAAACTATTCCAAACAATAGAGAAAGAGGGACTCCTCCTTAACTCATTTTATGAGGCTAGCATCATCCTGATACCGAAACCTGGAAGAGACACAGCAAAAAAAGACAATTTCAGGCCAATATCTCTGATGAACATCAACGCGAAAATCCTCAATGAAATACTGGCAAACCGAATCCAGCAGCACATCAAAAAACTTATCCACCATGATCAAGTCGGCTTCATCCCTGGGATGCAAGGCTGGTTCAACATATGCAAATCAATAAACGTAATCCATCACATAAACAGAACCAATGACAAAAAAACACACAATTATCTCAATAGATGCAGAAAAAACCTTCGATAAAATTCAACACTCCTTCATGCTAAAAACTCTCAATAAACTAGGTATTGATGGAACGTATCTCAAAATAATAAGAGCTATTTATGACAAACCCATAGCCAATATCATACTGAATGAGCAAAAGCTAGAAGCATTCCCTTTGAAAACTGGCACAAGACAAGGATGCCCTCTCTCACCACTCCTATTCAACATAGTATTGGAAGTTCTGGTCAGAGCAATCAGGCAAGAGAAAGAAATAAAGGTCATTCAATTAGGAAAAGAGGAAGTCAAATTGTCCCTGTTTGCAGATGACAGGACTGTATATTCAGAGAACACCAAATACACAACTTCAGCAAAGTCTCAGGATACACAATAAATGTGCATTCCTATACACCAAAAATAGACAAACAGAGACCCAAATCATGAGTGAACTCCCATTCACAATTGCTACAAAGAGAATAAAATACCTAGGATTACAACTTTCAAGGGATTTGAAGGACCTTTTCAAGGAGAACTACAAACCACTGCTCAAGAAAATAAAAGAGAACACAAACAAATGGAAAAACTTTCCATGATCATGGATACGAAGAATTAATATCATGAAAATGGCCATACTACCCAAAGTAATTTATACATTCAATGCTATTCCCATCAAGCTACCATTGACTTTCTTCACAAAATTAGAAAAAAAACTACTTTAAATTTCATATGGAATCAAAAAGGAGCCCATACAGCCAAGACAATACTAAGCAAAAAGAACAAAGCTGGAGGCATCATGTTACCTGACTTCAAACTATACTACAAGACTACAGTAACCAAAACAGCATGGTACTGGTACCGAAACAGATATATAGACCAATAGAACAGAACAGAACAGAACAGAGGTCTCAGAAATAACACCACACATCTACAACAATCTGATCTTTGACAAACCTGACAAAAACAAGCAGTGGGGAAAGGATTCCCTATTCAATAAATGGTGTTTGGAAAACTGGCTAGCCATATGCAGAAAACTGAAGCTGGGCCCCTTCCTTATACCTTATACAAAAATTAACAAAAGATGGATTAAAGGCTAAACGTAAAACCTTAAACCATAAAAACCCTAGAAGAAAACCTAGGCAATACCATTCAGGACATAGGCATGGTCAAAGGCTTCATTACTAAAACACCAAAAGCAATGGCAACAAAAGCCAAAATTGACAAATGGGATCTGACTGAACTAATGAGCTTCTGCACAGCAAAAGAAACTATCATCAAGAGTGAACCAGCAACCTACAGAATGGGAGAAAAGTTTTGAAATCTATCCATCTGACAAATGGCTTATATCCAGAATCTACAAGGAACTTAAACAAATTTACAAGAAAAAAACAAATAACCCCATCAAAAAGTGGGCAAAGGATATGAACAGTCACTTCTCAAAAGAAGACATTTATGCAGCCAACAAATGTATGAAGAAAAGTTCATCATCACTGGTCATTAGAGAAATGCAAATCAAAACCACAATGAGAGACCATCTCATGCCAGTTAGAATGGCGATCATTAAAAAGTCAGGAAACAACAGATGCTGGAGAGGATGTGGAGAAATAGGTACGCTTTTACACGGTAGGTGGGAGTGTAAACTAGTTCAAACATTGCGGAAGACAGTGTGGCGATTCCTCAAGGATCCAGAACCAGCAATACCACTTGACCCAGTAATGCCATTACTGTTTATATACCCAAAGGATTATAAATCATTCTATTATAAAGACACATGCACACGTTATGTTTATTGCAGCACGATTCACAACAGCAAAGGCTTGGAACCAACCCAAATGCCCATCAATGATAGCCTGGATAAAGGAAATGTGGCAAATATACACCATGGAATACTATGCAGCCATACAAAAATGATGAGTTCACGTCCTTTGCAGGGACATGGATGAAGCTGGAAACCATCGTACTCAGCAAACTAACACAGGAACAGAAAACCAAACACCGCATGTTCTCACTCATAAGTGGCAGCTGAACAATGAGAATACATGGACACAGGGAGGAGATGATCACACACCAGGGCCTGTTGGGGGGTGTGGGGCTAGGGCATGGATAGCATTAGGAGAAATACCTAATGTAGATGATGGGTTGATGGGTGCAGCAAACCACCATGGCACGTATATACCTGTGTAACAGACCTGCACTTTCTGCACATGTATCCCAGAACGTAAAGTACGAAAAAAAAAAAAAAGATGCAATAACCTATTTAGGAGCATGAGAGAGGCTGCTAATATGAAAATCTCTATTTTCTTAGTGCTAATGTCCGAAAATGCCAAATTGTACAAACAGTTATAGTTTACTTCACCACACATATTTGCACATTAATATTTTTCTAACATTGACTTCCATAAAAATTGAAACTGTTTTTTTTTTGAGGAGTTGCACTCTTGTTGCCCAGACTGGAATGCAATGATGCGATCTCAGCTCACTGCAATCTCTGCCTCCTGGGTTCAAGCGAATTTCCTGTCTCAGCTTCCTGAGTAGCTGGGATTACAGGCATACACCACCATGCCCAGTTAATTTTGTATTATTAGTACAGATGGGGTCTCACCATGTTGGTCTGGCTGGTCTCGAACTCCTGTCCTCAGGTGATCCACCCACCTCAGCCTCCCAAAGTTCTGGGATTACAGACATGGGATGAGCCACCACGCCCAGCTAAAACATTTTTAATTATTAAAAACCATATGTATTTTTTAAAGTACATTTTACTTCATGTCATTTGTATTTATATTCACCCCAAACTGTAAGCACAGAACATCTACAGTTCTTCATGAAATATCTTTTAACTCTGTTAAAGAATGATGTTTGAGTAAGTGGGATGACGTAAAAGGCAAAGATCTTGTTTTCACTTCACTGAAAAGCTAATGCAGATAACAGAAACCCTATCCTAAAGCTAGTGGATTAAATTTCTACTGTTATTCAGCACTTACTATTCAGACAATAATGACATTTGGGGGCATCTTAATCTAAACAAGTACTTAGCATTACATCTCACCTGGGTCAACAGTCAAGGGTATCAGAGTTAAACTGTGTTACTGTAAATTAATGGAAAATGTAACTGCACTTTGCTGAAAGATAAATGTCCAATAAAGGCTGCATAATAAAAAAAAAAAAAAGACTTAAAAATGTTATAGAAGCCGGTCGGGCACGGTGGCTCATGCCTGTAATCCCAGCACTTTGGGAGGCCAAGGCAGGTGGATCACGAGGTCAGGAGATCGAGACCATCCTAACACAATGAAACCCCATCTCTACTAAACAAAATACAAAAAATTAGCCGGGCGTGGTGGCGGGTGCCTGTAGTCCCAGCACTTTGGGAGGCCAAGGCAGGTGGATCACGAGGTCAGGAAATCGAGACAATCCTAACACGATGAAACCCCGTCTCTACTAAACAAAATACAAAAAATTAGCCAGGCGTGGTGGCAGGCGCCTGTAGTCCCAACTACTCGGGAGGCTGAGGCAGGAGAGTGGCGTGAACCCAGGAGGCAGAGCTTGCAGTGAGCCGAGATCAGGCCACTGCACTCCAGCCTGGGCGACAGACCGAGACTCCGTCTCAAAAAAAAAAAAAAAAAAAAAAGTTACAGAAGCCAAGAAACTACCAATGGTCAAACCTAAAATAATCTAGGAATCAAAAACTACCAATGGTCAAACCTAAAATCATCTAGGAATCAAAAACTACCAATGGTCAAACCTAAAATAATCTAGGAATAAAATAAATACAAATAATATTGTGGTTTTAATTTACATTTCTCTAGTGGATGGAACTGGAGGCCATTATCTTTAGCAAACCAACGCAGGAAAAGAAACAAAATACTCCATGTTCTCACTTATAAGTGGAAGCTAAATAATGAGAACACATGGACAGAAAGAGAGGAACAACAGACACTGGAGCCTACTTGAGGGAGGAGGCTGAGATGAGGAAGAGGTTCAGAAGAAAAAAATGTTGAGGCTATGCTTAGTACCTGAGTGACAAAATAATGTGTACATCAAACCTCCAAATTATGAGTTTCCCTATATAAAAAACCTGCACATGTACTCCTGAATCTAAAATAAAACTTAAAATATGTAAAATACTGCTACTAATGGATTACTTCTTAAATAATAAGTATCCATAAGTCTATACTGATATAAACACATAATTGAATGAATAAACGAATGAATGAGAGAAGAGATTAGCTATTCCTTACAGAAGAGCTTCAGTTAATAAAGAAATAGGAAAATTTTTTTTTTTTTTTTGAGACACAGTCTCACTCTGTCACCCAGGCTGGGTGCAGTGGCGCAATCTCGGCTCACTGCAAGCTCCGCCTCCGGGTTCACGCCATTCTCCTGCCTCAACCTCCCGAGTAGCTGGGACTATAGGCACCCGCCACCACACCCCGCTAATTTTTTTTTTACTTTTAGTAGAGACAGGGTTTCACCGCGTTAGCCAGGATGGTCGTGATCTCCTGACCTCGTGATCCACCCACCTTGGCCTCCCAGAGTGCTGGGATTACAGGCCTGAGCCACCGCATCCAGCTGCCAGGAAATTCTTTTATAGAAAATTAATCATTACAACACCAAAGTAGTGATTGTTGTAGGCAAGATCTTTAGATGAATACTAAATTTAGCAAGTGACTTTAAATCAGCTATTATAAATCTGTCCAAAGAACTAGAGAAAATCCCATCTAAAGAATTAAAGAAATGTATGAGAATAACGTCTCATCAAGTAGTATATCAGTAAACAGATATAAAAAGAAACCAAATAGAAATTCTAAAGTTGAAAAATATAAGAACTGAAATTAAAAATAAACTGAAGAAGTTCAACAGCAGATATAAGCAGGCAGAAGAAAGAATTCGTGAACTGGAAGGTAGGACAATTGTGATTACCCAGTCTAAGGAACAGAAAGATAACAGAGTGAAGAAAAATGTACAAAACTCCAGAGACCTCTGAACACCATCAAGCATACCAAAATATACATAATGGAAGTCTGAGAAAAAGTAGAGAGTGAAAGAAGCATAAAGAATATTTGAAAAAATCATGGCTGAAAACTTCCAAAAATCGATCAACATTAATATATACATCCAAGAATCTCAATGAATTCCAAGTAAGATAAACTCAAAGAAAAGCACACCAAGACATCATAATTAAACTGTCAAAAGACAAACATAAAGAGAGAATCTTGAATGCAGAAAAAGAAAAATGACTGATTGTATATGAAAGATTCTCAGTAAGATTAACAACCGATTTCTCACCCAATACTGTGGATGACAATGGGATACCTACCATATTCAAAATACTGAAAGAAAAAACATGTGAACCAAACATTTTATATCCAGCAAAACTTACAAATGAAAGAGAAATAAAAACATGTCCAGATAAACAAGAACTGATAAAAATTTTTTACTATATCTGCCTGACAAGAAATACTAAAAAGAGACTTTTAGGCTGAAATGAAACAATACTAACTGTAATTTGAAGACCATGATAAAATAAAGAACACTGGTAAAGGTAACTGCATGAGGAAATATAAAAGATGAAAGAAGTATAATTTTTGTTTGTAGCTCTGTGTTTCATCCTACCTGATTTAAAAGACAAATGCATAAAATAATTATAAATCTGCATTGATGAGAAAATAATGCATAAATAAAATATTGGTATGATAAAATCATAGAAGATGGGGAAGAGAATGGAAATATATAGAATCAACAATTTTGTATACTATTGAAATTAAATAGAAATGAAACTGAACTAGACTATAATAATTTAATTGTAAACACCAGAGTGACCCAGAAGAAAATAACTCAGAATAAATAATAAATAAAATGACAAAGGCATTAAAAAGTTATACTAGGGGCCAGGCGTGGTGGCTAATGCTTGTAATCCCAACACTTTGGGAGGCTGAGGTGGACAGATCACTTGAGGTCAGGAGTTAGAGAACAGCCTGGCCAACATGGCAAAACCGCATCTCTACTAAAAAATACAAAAATTAGCCGGGCATGGTGGCATGCCTGCAATCCCAGCTACTCAGAAGGCTGAGGCAGGAGAATTGCTTGAACCAAGGAGGCAGAGGTAGCAGTGAGCCAAGATTGTGCCACTGTACTCCAGCCTGGGCGAAGTATACTAGAAAACATCTATTTAACACAAAAAAAGCAGTGTTGGAAGAATAGATAAAATGAAAAATAAGACATATAGAAATCCAAAGAAAAATAGCAGTAAATACCCACTTGTAAATTACCAAATTAATTGTACCTGGATTAAACACCCTAATTAGAAGGCAATATTGGTGGAATGGAATTTTTAAAAAGATACAACTATATGTGATCTACAGAAGACACAATTTAGATTAAAAGATATAAATAGGTTGGAAGTAATAGGATGGGAAATGATACTAGGCATACAGTACTCAAAAGAGAGCTGTTTTATTTTGTCTGATATTTATAACAGACAAAATAGACTTAAGACAAAAATTGTTAGTACAGATAATGAAGGGCATTGTATAATGATAAAACGGTCAATCAGGAAAATGTAGCAATTATGAAAATATATCACAGTTAACTTTAAAGCCCCCAAATATAATACGTAAAACAAAAAATGATTAAATTGAAGGGAGAAACAGACAAGTCCACAATAATAGTTGGAAATTTAAATTTAGTCACTGGTTAACTTAAGAAATTTGCAGAGCCTCAAAATATTGCCTCCAAATTATTTACTAATTGCTAGAAGTTTTAAAAATTATTTAATACTCCTCACAAGAAGTGGAGCTTAATTCTAGTCTCATTGAGTGTCAGCCAAAGTTAGTCACTGAATTTCAAATAACAGACTATGAAAAGGGAGAAAAAAAAACCTACCAAACTTTAAAGTGGAGAAACCACCTCAACAAAAGTGATCAACATTAATATCACCAATAAGTTATGCTGACATCGTACAATACCGGATATTATGCAATGAGAAAGACACATCACTTCTGTGATACTCTTATAAAAAATCTGTAACTCCCCTCTAGTCATGAGAAAACCACCAAACGACTTGAAATCAAGAGACATTATAAAAAACAACTAATGAATACTCCTTAATAGTGCCAAGGTCATAAAAGACTTTCAAGCTTAAAAAGCTGTCACTGATTGGAGGAGACTAAGGCAACATGAAGAATAAATGAAATGTAGTACTGACTCAAGTCTTGAATCCAAAACATAAAAGGACATTAGTGCAAAAACTGGGAAAAGGTGAATAAGAACAATGTTGAAGTACTTACATTATCAGATTCTAAAATATAGTATGAAGCTACATTAGTCAAGACAGAATGCCATTATCATAAGCATAGAAAGATAGAGCATTAAAACAGAAAAGAGTACAGAAATAAAAACACATATATGGTTCATTGATTTTTGTAAAAAGCACTAATATAATTCAGTGATTAAATGAAAGATTTTTCAAATGGTCCTGGAATAACTAAATATCTCTATTGAAAAACAAACTATGTTGTTATCCATGTATCTATTGACTGATCTACCTATTTATCTGGACACATACCTGACACCATAAACAAAAATTAACTGAAAGTGGATCAAAACATAAACGTGAAAGTTAAAGCCATAATGTTCCTATAACACAAATAGAAGATTATCTTTGCACCTTTGGATTATGAAACAAATCTTAAAATGCCAAAAAAAACCACACTGGACTTGATCACATTTAAAACATTTGCTCATTGAATTACATGATTACAAAAATAAATAGGCAACACACAGACAAGGAGAAAACATTTACTGTCTCTTTCTCTCTATATATATAATCTTTATGTATGTATGTACATATACATATACATATATCTGACAAAGAATGTGATGTCAACAAAATGAAAGAGTAGGCAGCTCTAGGCTCTCATCCCTCATAGAAACATAGAATAAGTGGATACTTTTGGAACCAGTTTTTTCAGAATTCTGAAAATCTGTCAAAATTTACAATAACCAAATGAACTCTGAAGAAAGAAAAAAAACCTCTTCAAAACAGTAGGAAGTAATGTGATGATTTTACTTACTCTTTTCCCACCCTCTTCCTGGCACAATAGTAGTCTTGGTTCAGAAGCAAGGACAGCTTGCATTCCCAGTGTGGCACCCTTTCCCTGGTTCCAAAGTAAGAAGAGTAGAATTATTTCATATGGTTTTTCTAACTTGTCTGGGCACTACGTGGATGACTGACACAAGGCTTTCATCTTTGTTTTACCTAAGTCAAACTCAGGCCAGAAAAAGAACAAGCATTGCTTAAAAACACTGAAAGTCATACAATCCTCACATGTCTGAAGCAAATGACTGTAATAGAAACAAACAGTAGATTGCTAAGGCAAAAATCTGGGAAGAGCTTTTTTACTTCCTACAGTATTAAGCTGACAAATTTATGAAGAATAATTATGATTCTCTATTATTGGATGCACATTGTATAAGTTATAATTTGTGACAACATAAAGGGTGGAAAATGGAGCTGTATAGGAGCAGAGATTTTGTATGTTATTGAAGTTATGTGGGCATCAAATCAACTAAATTATTATAAATTTAGGATGTCACATATAGTCCCCATATTAAACAAAATGTCTAAAAATCTATATACAAAAATATAAGAAGAAAATCAGTTCATAACAAAAAAGCAACTATCAACATTAAAGAAAGCATTAAGGGAGGAAAAGAGGGACAAAAAATTTCTAAGATATACTTAAACAGCAAAATGGCAAAGGTAAATCTTTCCTTATCAGTCATTACTTTAAATATAAATGGAATTAACTCTTCAATCAAAAGACATTGCTTGGCAGAATGCATTAAAATGTGATCCAACTATGTGCTGTCTACAAGGGATTCACTTTAGATATAAAAGACACAAATAGGTTGAAGCAAAAAAAAAGGAAAAAGATTTTCCTTGCAAATCTACAGCCACTGTAACAATATCAGACAAAGTAGGCATTAAATCAAAAAAAGCAAAAAAAAAGACAAGAAATGTCAATACTTATTAGTAAATGGATAATTCATCAAGGAGATATCAAAATTATAAAAATAAATATACTAACAACAGATACCCAAGATATATGAAGCACGGTTTCACAGAATTGAAGTGAGCAATAGACAGTCACACAATAACAGTTGGAGATTTCAATTGAAAACATTCAAAAATGGATAGAGCATGTAGGAATAAGGTCAATAGAAAATAGAGGATTTGAACAACACTACAAACAAACTAGACTTGACAGACTTATAACACCTCACCCAACAACAGGAGAATACATAATCTTTTCAAGTGCACATAGAACATTCTCTAGGATAGTACACGTTAGGCTACTAAACAATTCTCAACAAATTTTGAAAGATTAAAATAATACAAAGTGTTTTTTCTAATTACAATGGAATGATGCCGTAAATAAATGACAGAAGAAAAACTGAAAAGTCAGTGTGTTATATATTCAAGATACTGTGTCTTTTGCTCTATGTAATTATATCTCAATAAAATTATATATATATATATATAATTTGCTATGTTGGTACTATGAAATCATCAACTTAGAAACCCTCTTGCTTGTGTAACATAATGAAGATTAATATCAACTTCTATGAAATGAGCTCTCTCTCTGTCACCTGAATTAACAGTATATATGTACCCCTGTGACCCTTTAAATAACATTTATCACATTCTTTTTACGTTGTTATACAGGGTTTTATACCCATCTTTTGCCTCTGCTATTGCTTTAAAGGCAACTTTTTGTCTCTGCTATTGATTTGAAGGCCATAAAAGAACATATAAAAGACCATGTGTTATTCATCTTGGTTTCCCAGCATGGCACCCAGAAAAACATCTTGCACATTTTGTCAGAGGATCCTGGGTTATTATTTCATAAATAAATGAATGATTAAATAAACAAGTACTAATCAAAGTAATCATACCAGAAACCCTGATTTATGAGAAGCGCTAATGTCACTTCCTTTTGCAGTTATCTAGATGTCTTTAAAAATGAACCTAAATCTTTTATGGTATGAACAGTCAACAAGAGAATGAAGGATGCATGTGGAAAATTTGTGAAGGAGAGAAAACATGGATTCTTTACATTTTCAAAAGTCCTGAATATAGGTCATACAGTTAAAAGTAAAACCAGGGCTAAGCATAGTTGCTCACACCTGTAATACCAACACTTTGGGAGGCTGAGGCAGGTGGATTGCCTTGAGCTCGAGTTCGAGACCAGCCAGGGCAACATGGCGAAACCTCATCTTTATAAAATATCAAAAATTAGCTGGGCATGGTAGCTTGTGCCTGTACTCCCAGCTACTCAAGAGGCTGAGGTGGGAGGATTGCTTGATCTTGGGAGGTCGAGGCTGCCGTGAGCCATGATCGCCCACTGCACTTCAACCTGGATGACAGAGCAGGACACTGTTTAAAAAAAAAAAAAGAAATCCATACTTAGAATTAATTAGTTCAGTGAAATAGCCAATTTACAGATAGCAAACTTTTTTCTATCTTTAAAGAAAATATTTTGTCCAAACAATAGACAATGTAGACATTTCACACTTCATTCACTTTTTTGAGCCTATTTAGATACAGACTAAAATGGAGAAAAAGTATGATCACTGTACACCTATACTTACTTATCTAGCCCTTATTCTTGTGTTTTGTTTTAAACTGACTCTTAAAATCTTGTCCGTTCCCGTACATTAACTCTCTGATTTTTGCAGATAACTCATAATCCTGGAGGCCTTTGATTACTACATAGTCAGTTTCCTTACAAAATTAATCAGCTACAATGTTAACTCTCCCTCACAATGCACCTTAATATGCATTTCTAAAATTATTAACTAAAAATTTCTGTCTGACTTACTCCTGTAATCTTCTAGCCAGCATTCTTTGCTCTAGTCTCTGACATTTTTGCCATATCATTTCAGAATATACAGTGGAATTCTGAAGCTATGTAGGCTTGAATGTTCATTTTGACTTCATCTATCTCACTTTCATATCCTCAATCTATAGGAGTCAGAACTAGGGTCAAATCTTGCTCTGAGTGGCACATTGTGGGATATCCCCAAATTCCTATGAGACAATATAAAGCCTAAGGGCCAGGGATGTAAGAATGGTGATGGCTGTCTTCCTTACTCCTTTAGGATGTATGCTCTAAAGCAGTAGTGATTTTGTCTAGATAGTTCACTGTTCTATCTCCCAGCCCCAACCATCATCAATGGGAACAATATAATGCATGGTTCAGGACTTAGGGCCTAGTGGGAGAACAGGAACTAGGAAGCAATAATATTTATGTATGTTGTTGTTATCATTGTCTAAGAAAGGAAGATTTTTGTTTGATCTGCTATGTCCCAAACACTTGAAACAATGGCAGGATTAGAGCTAGCCTCCCTCTGAGTGTCAGAATGTGGAATAACACCAAAATCATCGTAAGACAACATAGGGCCTATGTCTGGCCTAAACATCAGGGGTGGGTGGCGGGTATATGCCTCCCATTAACAAGAAAGCAAGCTCTGTGAGAACTGAGATTTTTGTCATTTTAATTGAAACCTCAGGGCCTCAGTTAGGGCCACGCCTCTCTGCGTATCAGGAGTGGTAAAAGTGCCTGAAACAGTAACTAGCATTCTAAGGTCAGTCCTATTGGTTGTGTTGTTGCAATCTGTTTTTCCACTGGAGAAACACAGATCCTTACAACAAAACATAAAATAAACTCCACATGGTTTAAAGTTCATCATTCATGGGGAAATTTAAAAAAAAAAAAAACATAAAAATCAATACTATTATCAGTTATGGTGATAATATGTAGTAAAAACATAAAACATGGGCAAGAATCATACCAAATTAATTACAGTGTCTGCCTATTCAAAGAATGGAAGTGGGATGGTACTGGGAAAGATATTTATTATCTGTAATTTTCTGACTGTTTAATAATATATATCTCTATCTATATCAAATAGGCCAAAATGTTGACACTTATTAATTTTGGGTGGAGGTGAGAAAATGTTTGTCATATCTTTCATACTTTCCTATATTTTGATTTAATTTTGATAAATAAAATACAAAGATAATTGAAAATACCATTATAGCTAATTATTTTATTACAATGTTTTCAGAATTAGATCTAGGTGACATAAAATACACAAAAGCATAAAGCCATCTGAATAGTACAGTCAACAAGCAACAACCAGTACAATCAGCAATAATAGAGAACTTTTAACTTTGTATGTCACAGAGAATGTATATACCTTTTTAATAAAAAGCCTGAATAAACCAATAACTATTAAAGAAATCACAAAGCTGATTAAAAATCTACTATTAAAAGTGTCATCAGGATTAGATTGTTTTACACTTTGTCCTAGCTAACTTTTAACAAACAAATAATTCTAATGCTATTTAAATTATTCCAGACCACAGGAAAAAAATTGAAAACTCACATATTCATATTTTTTTAAAGCTAGCACAACTTCAATAACAAAACTTGATAAAGATAGCATCAGAAGGACAAAATACAATTTTACTTTGGAATGAAAATGCAATAATTCTAAATTAAATACTGGTAAATAAAATCCACTCATGTAGCAAATCATTATTTCACAATGACCAAGTAGTATTTGTTCCAGAAATACAAGTTTGGTTCCACATCAAATGCCTACCATTCTAATTCATTACATCAACAAATTAAAGAGAAAAAAAATCATACAATTTTATCAATAGATGCTGAAAAGGCATTTTATAAAATTCAGGAACCACTTCTAGCAATAACACTATAAAACAGGAATAGCGGAAACTCTTAAACATGTTAATGACTACCTACTAATAACCAAAAGTAAATGTCATACTAATAGGGAATACTATTCCCTATTAATATTTTGCATTCTTACTTCCATGAAAATTAAGAACAAGACAGTCACGTCTGTCATCACTCTTCAACATTGTTTTGAAAAATCCAGCTAATGTAACAGTAATCAGTATAAACATTAAGAGGAAATAAAATGATCTATATGTTCAGGTGAAATAATTTCATATCTAGAAAACCCAAAATATTATATTCTTAAAAATCTACTGTAATTTCAATGATTAAATAAGCTCATTAGACAGAAGATAAAAATACAAAAATCTATAGGTTGTCTATATTGTCAAAAATAGCTAATTACAAATGAGAAGAAAAAAACCAATTCACAATGTCAAAATATGAAATAAAACTGTAAAAATACTTAGAAATAAATTCAGTTAGCTATGATATACTTACGTGAAGAATATTCCAATAACAAGACCAAAAGATTTCAATGATGTACGAAGACTCTTGAGTGCTAAGATTTAATATTATTAAAGAGCCCTCTAAACAAAAATGCAGGATTTTAATTGTGATGTCAGCCATCATAATTAGAATTTTATTAAAATTCTGCATTTCATTTTTTCACATGAAAAAATGAATGTCTAGGACATATTATATAAAGAAAAAAAAAACTAATGAAGTGGGACTTGCTTTATCGGATTCTAAAACTTACGATGAAGCCACTATAATTAAATCATGATATTGGCTCAGAAATTTGAAAATGGGTAACATTTTAAATAAATGTCACAATCAGGTATCCAATGTGAACAAAATGTTATAGCTGGATCCCCATCTTACACCATATACAAAAATAAATTTCAGATGGATCAAACATTTAAACATTAAAAATAATAAAGTTATTAGAAGAAAATGTAGGTGAATATTTGTATGACTTTGGGTGGGGGCATCCATGTGATAAAAAAAGGAAACCAAAATCTATAAAAGAGATAAGGGTCTACCTAAAAAGTTTAAAAATTTTAAAGGAAAATATATCATCAATAAAGTCAAGATGAAAACGTCATAACACATTAGAGCTACAAATGATTAATATGCACTATGTAGTAAGAATTTCTACAAATTTATAATGAAAAACATCAATAGATACATGAGCAAAGGGTAAGAACAGGCAAATCAGAGAAAAATCCAAACAGAAACAAGGACAGCAACAACAACAAACCTCTTTGAACTCAGACAAAAGGCAATTAAACTAACAAGCAATACAATGCAATTTTTAGCCTTTCATATTTTCAAGCATTAAAGAGTGCTGGAGAGGACGCTGGAACGGGCGCTTTCATTTTGGATAGTAATCTTGTAATATTTCTGAAACATATGCCTACATAGTATTTCTGGGAATCCAACCTATATAAATAAAAGCACCAGTATGTATTACAGCAGTGTTATTTTGAAAAAAAATAAAAAAAGGAAATAAAAGACGATCAATAACGAAATGGTTGAATGCCTTTTTGGTACATCAACAAGTACTGTGTATTCAGCTGTTAGAGTAAGGGAGGGAGGGGGAGAGCAAGAGTGCAAGAGAGTAAGAGTGAGGGCCAGAGAGAGCCAGAGAGAGCAAGAAAGACTGAAGCTACTGATAAGAAGAGATATCATCTACATGTCAAGTGAGAAAAGCATGTGGCTTGCCATTTTTACAGAAACTACTAGAACATACTTTCTGCATGAAGATGGGGAAAATAGGTGGAAGGATGTACTTCGCATCCTCAACACTTGTTTTCTGGGAAGAAACAAGGTAAGGAAAGGAAGGGGTAAGGACGGGGTGTGGGTTTACACCATTAATTTTTCTTAATCTATTTTTGCATTGTTCCAATGGTTGCAAACACTTTTTAATTTTCTATTAGCACCCAATTTAACTGTTAAGTTACAGAACAAGGCAATATCAAAAGTAGCAAAGTACACTTGAGGCAAAATTGTGAAACTAGTCAAGGTAAGATTTGTTGGCACAATAAAATTTATCCACTTTCCTGAATTTCTGACACCTAAACTCTTCTCTGCGTTCACAACTACGAGAACACAAAATAATTCACATCTAACAGATCCACAACTTCTCTAAAGAGCACAAAGAATTTAAGGAGTTTTCACCAAACCATAGACATAAATGTGAATATCATCATCAAACTTAATGAAGTAAACAGATGGCTTCGCCACCACTTGATGTATAAAAATGCCAGTTCTCTTGGACCCGTCATCTTTGGCATGCTCCACCTGCTTGCCCACGAGACTGTCGACCACCTCTCCAGGCTCCTGTTCTGCTGTAGGGAAATAGTAGTTGGAATCTGGAATAATGCGTAAGTCACCATCTTTGTAGTCATCAAGCAGCGTGTACATATAGAGAACAGGATCTTTCTCGTAGGTGATGTAAAACCAAGTATCCATCACAGGAGCTCGCGCCAGGACCATACCCTTCCATTCATCCTTGGTACCATGTTCACCTTCAAACACATGCTCCACTGCCTTGCCAATCAGGGAATCTGCCAGTCGTGAATCGATACGAGGAGTTGGCACTCTCTCAGGAAGGATCTCTAGCGCTAAAACTCTCTTATCGCGGTGCAGTTCTAGTCCATACACACTATCTTTGCCATCATATTTAATGATGTAAAGAGTGGGCTTCACGGAAACCTGCTCGAGCACAGTACCCTTCCACTGCTCCACTGGCTCGTTGCCTTCCTTCCAGCCGTGTTGAATGCGGCAGCCCACGATGTTCCTACGAGTGAGGAAAGTGGGCTTGCGCCGTTGCTTCCTGTGGGTGTGCCTTTTCTTCATCAGGTATGCGGACACGCCATCTACCCCCATCGGAGGCACGGTTGGAGGAGACATAGCTCAGGGATTAAGAGGGCTTGGGGAAAGCTGCTGCCCTGGTCGATTAAACTGACAAAAAGTCAACACTATGCAATATGATATATATATTTTTTGCGATCTCAAAGACCTGGTCTGTGCTCCCTTCTCCAAGTGCAAGGCTCTCACCAAGGTTTTGGCAGAAACGCTCGAACTCTAACCGTGAGCACTGGGACAGCGTGTGCCTCTCCACAGTGCTTTCCTCTCTCGCCCTAGAAGGGTTACTGCAGCAGTGGCGGCTGACGTAGAGATGGCGGGCTCGCGAGTGCTGTTCGTGCCTTGCGTCCGCCCCAACCCCGACCCCAAGTCCCCGAATCGGCCACTTAGCTGTTGTCGATGCTGGTGCGGCTGCGGCACGGCGGCAGAGGAGACGACGGGGACGAAAGGCAAGGAGTAAGAGGGATGGCTGCAGCGGCAAAGGCGCAGGCGGCGGCAAGTCTCTGGGGAGTCCGCGCGGCCTGGGCTTCGCAGCGCTAGCTGGCTTGGCTTCACTCTGGCGACCGGGTCTTTGCGGCGCAGGGAACCCGCCCCCTCTGAGCCCGCCTGAGCCTTGGCCCCGCCCCCAGCCATCCCGCCTTCCGCTCTGCGGGCGGCAGCCGGGCTGGTCAGCGCGCGTGCCCGTGTTCAGTTTGTATTGACACACGCGCCCTCTCTTTCATTTCCTCCTCCGCCCCTCGACCGTTTCCCTCAAACGCCAGCCAGACAGGCCGACTCCCCTCCTCCTCCTTTCTGGCGGTCTGCTGCCCGCCAGCCTCCTACACAGTGGCTCCATCTGCTTTCTGTCTTCCAGGAATTCCTCACTTAAAAAAAAAAAAAATGTAAAACACACGCACACCCAGAAAGAGTTTGTGCATACAAATTATTTTCTTTCAGTTTAAGATATTTAAGATGAGAATAAAAACCCTGTGTACAATTTACAGACCACCATCTTAATCCAAAATCTGTTTTATATTTTCTACCTGATCATTTCTAGTAATTATTTTTATTTTTTTTTTTTTTGTCAGAATGTAAAGGTCATGTACTGACATTGTGGAGATCTTCTAAAATTCAGTGAAATAAAAGACGAAACTACCATTAATTTTACCATCCAGACTGCACCAAAATGTTAACAATACTGTTTTCTCTCCTATTAATAAACCTGTACTTATATTTTATAAAATTGGGAGCATATTTCATACTTTTATAACTTGTGTTTTTCATGTATATCATGAACATTTTCCAAGATTGTTAAATACTCTGAAAACATGATTTTTAATAGTAATATTAAATATTTGTAATATTCCTTTTGATAGTCCACTATTTATCCTACATGATCTATAACATAAGTATAAATAAAAACATTTTACCTTCATAAATGGATTTATTGTCTAAACCATTTTTTAAAAGAAGATTTAATGACATGGAGAGCTGCACATGAGATGAGTACAATGAAAAAGCAAAATATTGAAACAATATTGTGGTCTTAATTTTGTAGAGAGAGAAAGAAGGGATTTTTTGTGTATATATTTGCTGTTTTTCTGATTATAAAAGTGCTGCATGCTTATATCGAAAACCTGCAAGAAAAGAAAGTGTCCATAATTTCACTTACCTTAAGTCACAGAGCTGCTATGAGGATTAAATGAGAATGTCTGTAAAGCTTTTAACACTATATCCCACTTACAAGATGACATTAAAATCCAGAAGAGTCTAGGGTTCTCATTTTCATTCCTCTACTCTTCACTGGTGAAAAGAGAAAGCGTCATATAATCATGAGTAAAAAAGGCAATTAATTCACCTGGAAACAAAACCGGGGCAAAAGCTGCAAGGTGTCAATACTGGTTGCCTGAACATTTCATTACCTTCCAAGTCAGTGACAGAGAGACCTAGTCCTCATTCTGTTTAATAGCTGGTCACACAGAATGTGTAAGGATCCTCCAGTTCACCATGTTTCCCAGGCAAAGGACTTCAGAGATGGGATAATTCTTTAATGCCATATTACAAGATAGTAATTCCAAGGAAGAAGGTAAACTACATGTATGAACAGTTATTTCCAAACACTTAGAATGACATCGTGGTGTATATATATTCACACATATACACAACCTACACATTCATACTCAAAGTCAGAAGGTGAACGTATGTAAATGTTATGCCATTATGTTCCACAAATAATGTCTTCCAAATAATTCCCCAGACCAAGATACACCAAGCACTTTTTGCTCAGAAGAGCAGTTGACACATGAAAGAAGAAGATGACCCACAGGGCACACAAATGCAGGGAAAACAGTTTCCTCAGGCCTTTGGTTACATCCTTCAAGGGAATTCTTGCTTACAACCCCACAAAGTGGCCTGAAGAGACAAAAAAAAATTCGAATACCCTTTCTTCTCCAAAATTATGATTCTAATATTCAGACCATTCACTAACATATAGATTTAAAAGGCCTTATCATGCTGATATAATGTTCACTTTGTATGACTCCCACTGGACAATAAACTTATTCAAGAAGGGATTTTTATCTTGCATCCCAAATACCCTACACAGAATAGAGACTCAATAAACATTTGTTAAATGAATAAATAATTGCTTTCAGCTGCCCTGCCCCAATGCAAAGACATCTTCCACAGTGAAACAAGTAGCCTTACACAAGCTTTTGACGACTACAGTTCTGGCAACTCAGGCTCTCCCTCAGCAATTTTATCCTTTTAAAACACCTAAATCACTGACCCTGTGAATACATGTGCCCATAAGTCTGAAAATGCTTAGGAGAAAACATTAAAGCAAGTGGGGCGGGGGCAAGCTTTCATCAACCTACATGTGTGGATAACAATAAAACTTACCTCAAAGTGTAAGTGTGAGGATTAAATTAGATAAATACACACAAATCTCTCAGCACATGAACTGGTACATAGTAAGTACTCAGTTGTCTCCTAACTAGTCATCTCCTGAAAGAAGTTATTTTGTCTTATTACATCTTTTTACAAACCACCCAGCTCATACCCCACCTCTAAACCTTTCCTCTGTTTTACACTCAAGACCTCTTGGCCAGGGCTTGTGAATCAAGGAGGGCTATGGCATGATTTGTTCCTTATATCCAATTTCAGAGCAATATTTCAAATACTGGAAGCTTCTGGAAGATTGACTTCTTAATAAATAAACATTAGTGAAAATTAATTTGGAATACTCAGTGTTAATTTATAATTGGAGGGGTGGTGGAGGGAGGTATAACTATTGTTAATTCCAGTGTGCACAAAAGATTATAATGCATGCTATAAAAGAGGTACAACTGAAGCACTAGGGGACCCAAAGGAGGTAGTGATTTTTTATGGCTGGGGAGATCAGCAAAGACTACTTGAATGTCTAAAATAACAACAAAAGAAGATATTCAGAGGGTGGCAGTGTAGTGAGGTATTTTCAAAGAGCTCAAGGAACGACATAGAGGGTGAATGGTTACAGGATATGTGACAAACTAGTCAGGAGTTTGTGACAAGAGCACAGAGTTCGTTGTGATAAGGAAAAGGGGGTATAGTTTGTGGTGTGGAACAAAGTTAGTCAAAAACCTCAAAGTTGAGAACTGATATTTCATCCACTGTTGGTGGAAGTAGCTGACATTCCAGTTCCCCTAACAATGTAGTGTTGGTGTTACCAAGCAGAGAGCTGATCTTCCATGCTTCATCTGACAGAAAACAGGCAGTGTTTTTATTCCCCTGGAAGACAAATACTGGTGATGCTGAACAAAGAGCTGATCTACTACCTCTCTGGCAGAAGCAAATGGTACTCTGATTCCCCTGCCAGGATAGTGTCAGCAAGGTCAAATGGTAAGTTGCTCCACCACATTCATCTGGTAGTGTGAGGTAGTGCTAGTAATTGTTATGATACACTCACACCCCATATAAACCTGACAGCAATGAGATTGAATACAGTAGAGCAAGTCAGGGCTAGTCAGCACTCTGGTTCCCTATACCCCTAATGTCAGTGAAAACCAGTGAGTAGCTGACCTTCCATCCTCATCCACAGTCAGTGAGACAGAACAAAGGGAAACATGATGGGACTAGATGGTACTCAACTTTCCCTAAACCTTTTGTGTCAATGGGTCCCAGAGTTCAGATAAGCCCCCACTCCCACTTTGAGGTCATAAGATGGTATGAACCTGTAACCCATTATCACCACGAAGGTGTCAGCAAATTTGGGATGGGAGCTGAACTTCTGTACTGCCCATGTTCAATGAGGCAGTGTGAGTTAGTGCTGCATTTTTTCAAAGGTTGTGTCAGGGGAACCTAACAGAAGAAGCTGAACATATATACAAAAGCAGCCCTTCAGCCACAAAACAATAGGGGGGCTCTCCAATAAAAAGTTTACAGAGAACACAGAGTCTCATGATATAAAATTAAAAAGTGACTAAGATGCAATTAAAAAAAAATCATACAAGGAACAAGGGAAATCACAACTTAAAAGAGACAAGACAATTAACAGGTGCCCAAAACAGATAAAAAATCGATGTTGGAAATATTTGAAATAGATTTTAAAGCAGCCATCATTAAAAAAAGTGATTCAATAAGCCCAGGCATTGATGAATGTCTTTAAGTATCAAGAGCATTCAGGGAAATATGACCTCACTGAACTAACTAAAGAAGGTGCCAGTAACCAACCCTAGAAAGATGGATTTGTGTGACCTCTCAGAGAATTCAAAATAGCTGTTTCAAAGAAGCTCAGTGAACTTCACTGAGAAGCAATTAAGAAATTTATAAGAGAAATATAACAAAGAGATTGAAATAATAAAAAATCAAACAAATCATAGAGGTGAAAAATATAATGGATGGAATTACAAATGCATTATGGTATTACAACAGTAGATTTGATCAAGCAGAAGAAATAATCAGTGAGCTCAAATACAAACTATTTAAAAATATACAATCAGGCCGGGTGCGGTGGCTCACACCTGTAATCCCAGCACTTTGGGAGGCCGAGGCAGGTGGATCGTGAGGTCAGGAGATTGAGACCATCCTGGCTAACACAGTGAAACCCCATCTCTACTAAAAATACAAAAAATTAGCCGGGCGTGGTGGCGGGTACCTGTAGTCCCAGCTACTTGGGAGGCTGAGGCAGGAGAATGGCATGAACCTGGGAGGCAGAGCTTGCAGTGAGCTGAGATCACACCACTGCACTCCAGTCTGGGTGACAGACCGAGACTCTGTCTCAAAAAAAAAAAAAAAAAAAAAAAAAAAAAAATATATATATATATATATATATATATTTATTTATATATACAATCAGAAGTGACAAAAGAAAAGAAGAATTAAAAGCAATGAAAAATACTTATTAAACCTATGGGATAGCCTCATAAGACCAAATGTAAGAGCCATTGGCTTTAAAGAGGGCATAGAAAAAGAGAAAGGGGTAGAAAGACTATTCAAGAAAATAATAATAATAAACATTCCAAATGTAGGAAAAGACACAAATATCCAGGTATAGGAAGATCAAAGGTCACCAAGCAGATTCAACCTACTACTGCTACTGTAAGGCATATTATAATCAGATACTTAAAAGACAGGACAAAGATAAGATTATAGAAATGGGGAAAAAAAGCAAATAACCTATAAAGGACCTCTGATACATCTAGCTGCAGGTTTCTCAACAGAAACCTTTCAGGCCAGGAGGGAGTGGGATGACATCCAAAGTGCTAAAGGAAAAAAACCTGCCAGCTAAGAATACTGTACTTAGCAAAGAATCCCTTAAAAAGGACGGAGAGATAAAGACTTTCTCACACTAACAAAAGCTGAAGAAATTCATCGCCACCTGACCTGTCCTACAAGATGTGCTGTAGTTCTTTAATCTTTAAAAAGGACATTGATACACAACAACAACAATAAAAAACATTTGAAGGTTAAAAAAAATCATTTGTAAATGTAAGTACACAGACAAATTCAGCATACTCTAATGCTGTAATTGTAGTGTATAAACCACTCATACCTGTAGAATGAAGAAAAAAGACAAATCTATTAAAAATAATAACAACTACAACAATTTGGTTAAAAAATAGGCAAAATTAGAAGATGTAAGGTGAGATGACAAAAAGTAAAAATGAGGGGTGGATGGATTTAAAGTTTAGAGTTTTTTAGTTTATTTTTCCTTATTTTCTTTGTGATCAAAATTAAGTTGTCATCAGTTTAAAATAATTTGTGATAAGATTTTTTGTAAGCCTAATGGTAACCACAAAGCAAAAACCTGTAGTAGATACACAAAAAATAGAAAGCCAGGAATTAAAACGTGCTACCAAAGCAAGTCAACCACAAAGGAGGACAACAAGAAAGGAAGCGAGGAATTACAAAACAACCAGAAAACAAGTAACAAAATGGAAGTAGTGAGTCCACTAGTAGCATGGAATATAAATGGACTAAATTATCTAATTAAAAGACACAGAGTGGTTGAATAAATATTTAAAAACTTAACTATATGCTGCCTACAAGAAACTCCCTTCACCTATAATGACACACATAGACTGAAAGGGAAGGTACGGAAAAAGATATTTCATGCAGATGGAAACCAAAAATGATAGATGTTAAATCAAAACAGTAAGAAAAGATAGAGAAGGCCATTATATAATGATAAAGGGGTCAATAGAGCAGGAGGATATGAAAACTGTAAACATACATGGCCCAACAATGGAACTCCTGGATACATAAAGCAAGCATTAATGGTCCTAGGAGAGATAGAATGTGATGTGATAATATTAGGGTGCCTCAATATACACTTTCAGCAATCAACAGATTATCCAGATAGAGAATCAACAAAGAGATATTGAAGTCAAAGTGCACTCTAGACCAAATGGTCCTAACAGATTTTTTTTTTAAATTTCACCCAACAGCTGCAGAATACACATTCTTCTCAACAGCACAATAGAACATTCTCCGTGAGAAACTATATGTTAGGCCAAAAAACAAGTGTAATTTTTTTATTGAAATCATTTCAAGTATTTTTTTCTGACCATAATAGAATAAAACTATAAATAAATAACAGGAGAAACACTGAAAACCTTATAAATATATAGAATTAAACAAAATGTTTATAAACAACCAATGAGTCAATGAAGAAATGTAAACGGAAATTTGAAAATTCATTGCAAATGAAAATAGAAGCACAACACAGTGAATCATATGGGATACAACAAAAGTGGCTCTAAAATGGAAGTATATACTGTGGGGTCCAACCTGCAGACCCTGACTCAGCAACAGATGAGAGATGTACACTGACACAGATATTTTGCCTGTCAGTGTGGCTAAGGGGCTTCTGCTCCTAAAGCTGCAGCATCAGCCCAATAAGCCTCAAAGTTCGCATTTCTTTAATACAGGTTAAATGACAAAGGTCTCAAGTAAACACCACTAGAGGGTAATTAACATTGCCAACCCCCTGAGTAGAGAGCAATCATGCACCCGTGGGTAATCGAAGGTTGGTCTTAGGACCACATGAGTAAACATGCTATTTAGATAAACTCCCCCACATTCCCTTGTTATTTGCTCTTTTGCTATCAACTCAAGGTAAAGAGGATTAGGCTGCTTTCAGCCACATATTTTACTGAAGCTACGCAAATCTCCAGCCTTCCAAGAAAGTTTGCTTCTCTTTTCTATAATTTCCTCTTACAATTTTTCCCACCACCCTGACTGAACTCCTACATCTCCCCCTTTTCTGTTTTTTGCATTAGGCTTTATTAATTGAAGAGTGCAGATGTGTGCAGCAACAGGTGTGTCAGGCATGGTGGTTACTGCTCTTATTCTGGCTTTGCATCCTAGAATTAGCAAATAACATAAGACAAACATGAGTATAATCAGCAACATTCTTTTCCAATCAAGGAGTGACCCCCAGGACAGGGGTCTATCCAGGAGAGCTTATCTTGCACACCCTTCCATATGGCTGTTTGTTGGATGTGTAGATCTATGGTGTGAAGGGATTCTAAAATTTTAGTTTTAAGTTGCTTTACATCTGCTGTTAAATTGTCATGAAAGTTTCCCCAGAGGTGTTGTTTCACCTCATCTCAACTATTTGTTGATTGATTCCATGGAAGAGAAGTGACACAGATATGTTTATGCCTCTAGTTGCAGTTTAATTGCTGTAGGAATGCTAGCGCATCTTTTCGCTCCCTGACATATTCCAAGGCAGCCTTGAGGGCTTACAGACATGCTGCAAGAGAAGTTCATTCGACACATTTTTGGCCAAATTATCTACAAAAGCAGCTGGTTGTACTGATTCAGTAATAAGTGCTACAGCCACACTAGCAGTTGCTAGGATGGCTATGGCTGAGACTATAAAGGCTATAAGTATGCCTATGAATCTTTTGGGTCTGACCTGGGACAGGGCTTGTTCTAAGGTGGCAAGGGCAGAGGAACCTTGCCAATCGCGTGTCAAATTGACTGGTAGGAATGCCTCAGATTGTCTCCTCAATATCATGACACTGGTAATATTTCAATTAGATATATTGTAATTAGTGATACATGAGGCAAACCAAGCCTGTCTCTGCACCCGGGTCACAAACATGGAACTTGGAGGTGTAATAGAAATATTGGTTCCCATAAGGAAATCATATGGATGGGTAGTGCAAATCAGGCACAGATCAGTGTTATTATGAATAAAGGCTATAGTATAGTTGTTACTGGAATTATGATATATTCCATGCCAGGTGTCAAGGGAGGTGCTAAGATGTCCCAAGTGCCATAAAGTGTCTTGGGGTGGCATGGACTTTACTTGAGGTCTAGGATATACCATGCCCTGATCAGCCCAAATCATAGGGGAATGGGACAAGGCTATGATACTCTTATTGATGCCATGATGGATGAGGATATCAGTAAGGCTGCCCTGCAAATGGCCGTAGGGGTTCCAGTCTAAGATGTTATAATTGCCTAACTTGAGGCTACGGGCCTCTTCCCCATGACAGACCTCCCAGCTAAAGTGGAATCCATTACTTTCCCAGCTTTGTTCTTGAGCACAGGAAGGAATGTTTGGGAAAGTGGCATTGATTGCATTGCCCGGTTTGAGGCTACCTGCAGCTAAGGCTGTTAATGCATTTCTTTTGCCACGATGTAGCCATAATTGTGTTTGGGCAGGTACACAGTTAAGAGTTAGAACTTTTATAACTTACACACAGTGGGAGGATAGCAGAGTGATATGTAGTGTTACCTGGCACCTTAGTCCAATGTGTGTCATTAATGAGGAACCCCACTGGGGGCAAATCTATCCTTCCTGGCCAAGCAGTTACATTATTAAAGGCTGGGAAGGGGTGTCTGCCCAGGTGACAAGGTGAAAGAAAGGCGGATCTAAGATATCATCCCAATAGTGTGTAGCAGGTACAGGTTGCAGACAAAGAGCATAAAAAGGATCAATGCCCTATGCGAGTTGCAATGTACAACAGAGAGCATAGCAAGGAACAAATTATCTGCAGTAAATGTTGTCTTCATCCAGAGCAGGATTCATTAAGCCTCCTGAGTTGTCTTCTTCAGCATCCCCCAGGTAACATCCGGGGCTTGTGTGGTCCGAGGAAGCCACATCATCCAGGGCTGTGGGTCCTGTAGGGTTAAATCCTTCATTTCTGGTATCAGGTTGGGTCCTAGCCAAGCAATGATATGGCTTGATGTGTCATGCTGGAATCCAAAGAGGACCTGAGGGGGTGTGAACATGAGCATATCCTCTTCCCCATGTTAACAATTCATTCGGAACACACCATACATTACTGTTTACATATTTCCATAAAAGTGCAGGTTTTATGTCTTGAGAGGTTTTAGCAAAGTGCTTGTCTACAGCTGGTTGAAATTTGTCATCTAAACTTTAAAAATTAAGGGTAATAAGGCTTGTGGTATTAGTGTTGCAGGGTCCTTACTCATACTCCCCCTTTTTTGTTTTTTGAGCATATTTTTAAGAGTGGAATGGGCACATTTTACTATGGCCTGTCCTTGGGGTTATATGGGTTGCCTGTGGAGTGTTGGATGTTCCATGTGTGACAAAATTGTTGAAACTGTGAGCTGGCATAAGCTGGACCATTATCAGTTTTAATTTTTGTGGGCCACCCCATAAATGCAAAAGTTAAAAGAAGATGTTTAATGACATATCGAGTGGACTCTCTAGGAACAGCATGTGCACTATCAACAGATACATGTACATATCTTAGTTTTCCAAATCAGGGATGTGTGTAACATCTGTTTGCCATAACTGATTAGGTTCCAGTCCTCTAGCATTAACACCTGTTGAAGGAGGGGACATGCCTGTGAGCTAGCAATCTCAGATTGTAGAATAATTTGCATTGTAGAATAATTTGTTTAGCTAGACTCTGGGTAAGTTGAAATTGTTTAGATAAGTTTCTCCAATTTTGGTGGAAAAGTTGATGCATTTGAGTGGCTTGGTCAAGCAATGATGTCATAACCTGAAGTTCTGCTTGATCATTGCTGTAAGCCAATGGGCCAGGCAGTGAGCTGTGGGCTCGAATGTGTGTAATAAAAATAGGATGTGTACATTGATCTAGCAATTGCTGAAGTTGGAGAAAAAGAGCACACAGGGTGGGATCCAGTGTGGACTTAATTAGGGCTGCTTCAAGGTTCTGCAGTAAATAAACAGGGTAAGCCGAGTCACTAACAATATTGAAGGGCTGAGCGAAAAAAGTTTCCAAAGCCAATATTAAGGCCCCAACCTCAGCTCTCTGAGTGCTAGTAAACCCAGATCAAGTGAGGGAATTACATGGTCTCCACCAAACGGCTGCTTTTCCATGTTTACCCAAACCATCAGTAAACAGTGTTTAAGCATTAGGTATGGGGGAATGAACTATTTTTGTAGGCAACACCATTGAAGTACGAGATAAGAACTGAAGCAGTTTGTCAGCAGGGAGGGTATGCTCTAAATGGCCTGTGTAATCAGAGAGTGCTATCTGAAGATCTAAAGAGAGGGGCAATACTGCTTCAAATTGCTTTTTACTCAAAGGAATCCTGATGATATCAGGGTCACAATCTTGCAACTGATTCCATTGTTTGTGGCCTGAATATATGACTTTACTAAGTAGCTGGATATAGGGAGATTGTGTTTTAGTCCCAGTATGTGAGCAATAAACCCATTCTAGAAAGTGTAGCCCTGGGGTCATCTGTCCTATTAATCCTGTAGGGGAGTGTTTAGTGGGAAAGATAAACAACTGGATCGAATAGCCTGGGTTTATGTGATGTAGCTGCCTCTGAGAGATGGCTTGTTCTATTTCTTCAATCTCTCTTTTGGCTATAGGAGTTAAACACCTGGGAGAATCCAGGGCTGAATTGCCCTTTAAGATGGAAAACAGATTTTGCAATTTATCCGTAGTAATGCGCAAGGCACAGCAAAGCCAGTTAATATTGCCTAGTAATTTCTGATAATCATTTAAGCTATGTAAGTTGCTAGTATTTAATTTAACCTTTTGAGGTTTTACTGACTGAGAAGTCAGCATGTACCCAAGATATTTCCAAGGAGAGGACATTTGTACTTTTTTAGATGCTATGATTAAACCTCTTAACTGTGTATTCTTTATGACAGAGATATATACATTTAAAAGCATTGGCTCCATTGGGGCTGCTAGTAAAATATTATCCATAAAAGGAATAACCTTGCAGTCAGGAAACTTTGTCCTACTAGGGAGCAAAGCTTGATTTACATGATACTGACACATGGTAGGTGTGTTTAGCATTCCTTGAGGAAGCACTTTCCAATGAAATCAGCAATTTCAAAAGCTGGCCTTTTATTATTGATAGTTGCTATTGTAAACACAAATTTTTCTCTGTCCTTCTCTGCTAGATGAATGGTATAAAAACAATCTTTAAGTCAACAACGATTATAGGCCAATCTTCAGGAATTGCCACAGGGGAGGGGAGGACCTGTTGAAGAGACCCCATAGGTTGCAAATTAGCATTAATAGCAGTTAAGTAGTGCAAAAGTCTCCATTTACCAGACTTTTTGGGAATGACGAAAATGGGCGAATTCCAAAGGCTGTTTGATGGTTCTATATGGCCAGCTTTCAATTGCTCCTCAACTAATTCATGGGCTCTCTGTAATTTCTCTCCCTTCAGAGGTTACTGTTTTACTTAAATTGGATTTGGAAAGAGTCACGTTAGGGGTAAGTTTGGAGTAACAACAGTGGTCATTATCAGAAAAAGGTCTTTCAAATTCTTAATTTTTACTTTAATCTTAGCAGAGAATTATAATCTGGGATGTCGCTTGTATACAAGGAACACATGAAATTTTGCCATGGGCTGCGACTGGAGCCAGAGGGCAACGATCCCGGGGTGGCACCACATTGCACTCACCTAGGCACCACTTTTGGTCTGCACCACTTTTTGTTTGTGCCACTCCCTTCCCCCGTCCCCTGTGGCTGCTAACGGCCAGGTAGTCTGTCCCTCACACTCCTCCTGCCTGTCCTTAGCAGGCTAGCTCCCTCTCTCTAGCGTGCGCCTCCTCTCCTCCCTTAGCAGGCTAGCTGGGCCTGGCTCCCCAGTACACTGCAGGCCAAGTTCTCAGGAGCTCTTGCCAGCTCCAGGTCTGCGAGCTTCCCTGCTGCCGAGCCTTTCTATCTACCGCCTGCTTGGCCATACAGCTCCAGCCTCTAATGCCTTTTCTTATCTTTTTATAAGCATTAAAAGAAATGTGTTTATATACCTGATTGCCTTGTTGATCTTGCATTACCAGGCAGGCTAAGAGCTCCCCTTCTAATACAGCTTGCTTAAGACAGGTTCCCACAGCTGTAATGTATCCCTTGTTTTTTTCCTATTCATTGGAGGAGGGGGCTCAGGAAAAACCTCCGTTTTCTCTTTGTTGTTTTTACCCCAGTGATAGCGGGGCTGAGGGACAGGGAGGTAGGTGGTAAGGTAGGTGATGGTTCTTCCTCCTTCCCCTTTTTTGGCTCTTCTGTGCATAATGGGACCAAAGTCACCCTTACTGGAGCTCACAATGTTAGAGATGATACTGGGATCCATTGCCCTTGCACATGATGTTGTTTAAGATTTCTCCCCACTTTTTCTCAAAGCTCTACATCTAGTGGACCTTCTTCTGGGAATCATGGGTTATGGGATACCACAGTTTGCATGGGTCCCTTAATTGAGCCTGTGAAACCAAGGCTCCACTAGCTTTAAGCAGCTGTGTCAATACTTTTATATACTGTTTCTATTGAGCTGATAACTGTTGACTCATGATGAAACCTTAGCCTGAACAATTCCCCCCGGAACTTGGAAATCCCAAGTGTGCACCAATGACTTACTGACTCACTAACTACTCAGTCCTTTTCACCTTCATTTTCGAGGGGTCTGTCACAATCCTTCACAGCATTCCTCATGCAGGGTACCACCTGTGGGGGCCGGCCTGCAGACCCTGACCCAGCGGATGGATGAGAGACATACAGTGATACAGATATTTTCCCTGTCAATGCAGCTAAGGGGCTTCTGTTCCTGAATCTGCAGCATCAGCCAGATAACCCAGCAAAGTTTGCACTTATTTAGTACAGATTAAATGACAAAGGTCTCTAGGAAACACCACTAGAAGTTAATTAACATTGCAGACCCCCCAAGTAGACAGCAATCATGCACCTGTGGATAATCAAAGGTTGGTCTTAGGACCGCAAGAGTAAACAAGCTATTTAAGATAAAAACTCCCCCACATTCCCTTATTATTTGATCTTTTGCTATTAACTCAAGGTAAAGACGATTAGGCTGCTTTCAGCCAAATATTTTACTGAAGCTATGCAACCTCCCAGCCTTCCAGGAAGGTTTGCTTCTCTTTTCTATAATTTTCTCTTACAATTTTTCCCACCACTCTGACTGAACTCCTACAATATTCAAACAAATGCCTACAGAAAATGAGCAAAAAGATGTCAAACAATCCAATGTTATACCTCAAGGAAATAGAAAAACAAGAAAAATCTAAACCAAAAACAAGTAGAACAAAATAAACAACAAATATCACCACAGAAATAAATAAAATAGAGACAAAAATATACAAAAGATGAACAAAACAAAGAGCTGACTTTTTAAGACAAACAGAATCAACAAACCTTTCAATAGACTAAGAAAAAAAGAAAGAAATCCCAGTCAGAAATGTAAAGGAAGACATTATAACTGATAGCACAGAAATAGGATAAGTCACAACTATGAACTATGACAAAAAATTGAAAAACATAGAAGAAATAGATACATTCCAGGACACAGGCACCTTACCAAGATTGAATCTTGAAGAAATAAAAGTTCTGAGAGGAACAATAATGAATAAGACAATAGCAGCAGCAATAAAAAGTTTCCCATCAAGGAAAAGCCCAGGACATGATGGCTTCATTGCTGAATTCTACCAAACATTTAAAGAAGAACTACCAGCAATCCTACTCAAAGAATTTTCTTTTAATGAAGAGAAGGGAATACTTCTAAATTAATTCTATGAGGCCAGCATTACCCTGATTCCTAAACCATACAAGTACAATAAAGAAAGGAAACTTTAGGCCAGTATTCCTGATGAAGACAGATGCAAAAATCTTCAAGAAAACACTAGCAAACCAAACACAACTACACATTAAAAAAATATTCAACATAATCAAATAGAATTTCATCTAAGGCATGCAAGGATGGTTCAACATATGCAAATCAATAAACATAATATATATTAACAGAATAGAGGACAAAACCATATGCTCTTTCAGGAAATGCTGAAAAAGCATTTGGTAAAAAAGCATTTTATCTACTTCCATTTATGATAAAAACTCAAGAAATTGTGTATAGAAGGAAGGCACTTCAACAAAATAAAGAACATATATGAAAAACCTACAGGTAACATTACACTGAATGAGAACAAGTTGAATGGGAACAAGTCTCTCTAAGAACTGGAACAAGGATGTCTACTTTCACTAATTTTATTCAACATAGTACTAGAAGTTCTAGCTAAAGCAATTAGACAAGTGAAATAAATTAAGGGCACTGAAATTTGGGAAAAGGATGTGTTTTTTTTCAGCTTCCAGAAGACATGTTCATATGTGTGTGTATATGTATATATATATATATATATATATATATATTATATATACAGAGAGAGAGAGAGAGAGAGAGAATACCTTGTATATGCCATCAAAAATTGTTAGAATAAATGATTTAGTAAACTTGCAGGATACAAGGTCAACATTTAAAAATCAGTAGTGTCTCTATATGTCTATAGCAAACTGTCTGAAAAAGGAATCAAAAAAGCAATTCTCTTGACAAAAGTTACAAAAAATATACCTAGGAATAAATTTAACCAAGGAGATAAAAGTTATCTACAATGAAAAATATAAAATATTGATGGAAAATTTTGAAGAGAATGTAAATAAATGGAAAGATATTTCCTATTTATGAATTGGAAAAATTCATGTTAAAGTCTTTGTGTTACCCATAAGAATCTACAGATTTGATGGAATCCCGATCAAAATACCAATGGCATTTTTTATAGAAATAGACAAAACAGACACAGATACTTCAAAATAGATATAGATAAAATAAAAATAGATACTTCAGATACTTTGGCTATCGAGGGTCTCTTGGAAATGCAAAAAAAAAAAAAAAAAAAAAAAAACCCTAGATAGCTGAAGCTATCTTGATAAAAAAATAACTAACCTAGAGGCAACACACTATTAGACTTTAAAATATACCACAAAGTGCCAGGCACGGTGGCTCACACCTGTAATCCCAGCACTTTGGAAGGCTGAGGCAGGTGGATCACGAGGTCAGGAGTTCAAGACCAGCCCGGCAAGATGGCAAAACCCCGTCTCTACTAAAAATACAAAAATTAGCTGAGTGCAGTCACAGGTGCCTGTAATCCCAGCTACTCAGGAGGCTGAGGCAGGAGAATTGCTTGAACCTGAGGGGTGGAGGTTGCAGTGAGCCGAGATCATGCCACTGCACTCCAGCCTGGGCAACAGAGTGAGATTCTGTCTCAAAATAAATAAATACATAAATTAAATTAAATTAAACAAAATAAAATAAAATATACCACAAAGCTATAGTAACTATAACAATATGTAACTGGCATAAAAACACATAGACAAATTGAACAGAATGTAGAACCCAGAAATAAATTGATGCATTTACAAACAATTTATAACCAAGCCACCAAGAAAGCACATTGAGGAAAATAAACTTTTTAATAAGTCATGCTGTAACAATTATACATCCACATGCAAAAGGACGAGACTATACACTGTTTCTCACAACATCAAATTATCAACTCTAAATAAATTAAAGACTTAAATATAAGTCCTTCAGCTATGAAACTACTGGAAGAAAGCATAGGGGAAGTGCTTCATGAAATTGCACTGGGCAAAGAGTTTTTGAATAAGACCTAAAAAGTGTGGGTAAGAAAAACAAAAATAGGGAAATGGTATTTCAGTAAACCAGAAAGCATCTGAACTGCAAAGGAAATGGGGTAAAGAGACAACCTACATAATGGTAGCAGGTATTTGCAAACTATGCATCTGACAAGGGGTTAATATCCAGAATATATAAGAAACTAAAACAACTCAATAGCAGTTTAAAAAAGAAAACACAAACACATACACACACACACACACACACATGCACACACACAGAGACACAACAAAACAATCCAATTAATAAATGTGCAGGTTGGAGCCAAGATGGCCGAATAGGAACAGCTCCAGTCTACAGCTCCCAGCATGAGCCACACAGAAGACGGGTGATTTCTGCATTTGCAACTGAGGTACAGGGTTCATCTCACTGGGGAGTGTCGGAAAGTGGGTGCAGGACAGTGGGAACAGTGCACCGTGCATGAGCCGAAGCAGGGCGAGGCATCATCTCACCGAGGAAGCACAAGGAGTCAGGGAATTCCCTTTCCTAGTCAAAGAAAGGGGTGACAGATGGCACCTGGAAAATCGGGTCACTCCCACCCTAATACTGTGCTTTTCCAATGGTCTTAGCAAATGGCACACCAGGAGATTACATCCCGTGCCTGGCTCAGAGGGTCCTATGTCCACAGAGCCTCTCTCATTGCTAGCACAGCAGTCTGAGATCAAACTGCAAGGCAGCAGCGAGGCTGGGGGAGGGGCACCCGCCATAACCAAGGCTTCAGTAGGTAAACAAAGCGTCCAGGAAGCTCAAACTGGGTGGAGCCCACCACAGCTCAAGGAGGCCTGCCTGCATCTGTAGACTCCACCTCTGGGGGCAGGGCATTGCCAAACAAAAGGCAGCAGAAACCTCTGCAGACTTAAATGCCCCTGTCTGACAGTTTTGAAGAGAGTAGTGGTTCTCCCAGAATGCAGCTGGAGATCTGAGAACAGACAGATTGCCTCCTCAAGTGGGTTTCTGACCCCTGAGTAGCCTAACTGGGAGGCACCCCCCAGTAGGGGCAGACTGACACCTCACAGAGCCGGGTACTCCTCTGAGACAAAACTTCCAGAAGAACGATCAGGAAGCAACATTTGCTGTTCAACAAAATCTGCTGTTCTGCAGCCTCCGCTGCTGATAACCAGGCAAACAGGTTCTGGAGTGGAACTCCAGCAAACTCCAACAGACCTGCAGCTGAGGGTACTGACTCTTAGAAGGAAAACTAACAAACAGAAAGGACATCCACACCAAAACCCCATGTTTGTCACCATCATCAAAGACCAAAGGTAGATAAAACCACAAAGATGGGGAAAAAACAGAGCAGAAAAACTGGAAACTAAAAATCAGAGCACCTCTCCTCCTCCAAAGGAACACAACTCCTCACCAGCAATGGAATAAAGCTGGATGGAGAATGACTTTGAAGAGGTGGAGAAGGCTTCAGATGATCAAACTACTCCAAGCTAAAGGAGAAAGTTCAAAACCATGGCAAAGAAGTTAAAAAACTTGAAAAAAAGTTAGGCGAATGGCTAATCAGAGTAACCAATGCAGAGAAGTCCTTAAAGGATATGACAGAGCTGAAAAACATGGCACGAGAACTACGTGACAAATGCACAAGCCTCAGAAGCTGATTCAATCAACTGGAAGAAAGGGTATCAGTGATGGAAGATCAAATAAAGGAAATGAAGCAAGAAGAGAAGTTTACAGAAAAAAGAATGAAAAGAAATGAACAAAGCCTCCAAGAAATCTAGGACTATGTGAAAAGACCAAATCTATGTCTGCTTGGTGTACCTGAAAATGACGGGGAGAATGGAACAAAGTTGGAAAACACTCTGCAGGATATAATCCAGGAGAAATTCCCCAATCTAGCAAGGCAGGCCAACATTCAAATTCAGGAAACACAGAGAACACCACAAAGATACTCCTCGAGAAGAGCAACTCCAAGACACATAATTGTCAGATTCACCAAAGTTGAAATGAGGAAAAAATGTTAAGGGCAGCCAGAGACAAAGGTAGGGTTACCCACAAAGGGAAGCGCATCAGACTAGTGGCTGATCTCTCAGCAGAAATTCTATAAGCAAGAAGAGAGTGGGGACCAATACTTAACATTCTTAAAGAAAAGAATTTTCAACCCAGAATTTCATATCCAGCCAAACTAAGCTTCATAAGTGAAGGAGAAATAAAATGCTTCACAGATAAGCAAATGCTGAGAGATTTTGTCACCACCAGGCCTGCCCTAAAAGACCTCCTGAAGGAAGCACGAAACATGGAAAGGAACAACCAGTACCAGCCACTGCAAAATCATGCCAAATTGTAAAGACCATCAAGGCTAGAAAGAAACTGCATCAACTAACGAGCAAAATAACCAGCTAACATCATAATGACAGGATCAAATTCACACATAACAATACTAACCTTAAAAGTAAATGGGCTAAAAACTCCAATTAAAGGACACAGACTGGAAAATTGGATAAAGAGTCAAGACCCATCAGTGTGCTGTATTCAGGAAACCCATCTCATGTGCAGAGACACACATAGTCTCAAAATAAAGGGACGGAGGAAGATCTACCAAGCAAATGGAAAACAAAAAATGGCAGGGATTGCAATCCTAGTCTCTGATAAAACAGACTTTAAATCAACAAAGATCAAAAGAGACAATAAAGGCCATTACACAATGGTAAAAGGATCAATTCAGCAAGAAGAGCTAACCATCCTAAATATATACGCACCCAATACAGGAGCACCCAGATTCGTAAAGCAAGTCCTTAGAGACCTACAAAGAGGCTTAGACTCCCACACAATAATAATGGGAGATTTTTACACCCCACTATCAACACTGGACAGATCAACGAGACAGAAAGTAAACAAGGATATCCAGGAATTGCACTCAGCTCTGCACCAAGCAGACCGAATAGACATCTACAGAACTCTCCACCCCAAATCAACAGAATATACATTCTTCTCAGCACCACACCACATCTATTCCAAAATTGACCACATAGTTGGAAGTAAAGCACTCCTCAGCAAATGTAAAAGAACAGAAATTATAACAAACTGTCTCTCAGACCACAGTGCAATCAAACTAGAACTCAGGATTAAGAAACTCACTCAAAACCACTCAACTACATGGAAACTGAACAACCTGCTCCTGAATGACTACTGGGTACACAACAAAATGAAGGCAGAAATAAAGATGTTCTTTGAAACCAATGAGAACAAAGACACAACATACCAGAATCTCTGGGACACATTCAAAGCAGTGTGTAGAGGGAAATTTAGAGCACTAAATGCCCACAAGAGAAAGCAGGAAAGATCTTAAATTGACACCCTAACATCACAATTAAAAGAACTAGAGAAGCAAGAGCAAACACATTCAAAAGCTAGCAGAAGGCAAGAAATAACTAAGATCAGAGCATAACTGAAGGAGACAGAAGCACAAAAAACCCTTCAAAATATCAATGAATCCAGGAGCTGGTTTTTTGAAAAGATCAACAAAATTGATAGACTCCTAGCAAGACTAATAAAGAAGAAAAGAGAGAAGAATCAAATAGATGCAATAAAAAATGATAAAGGGGATATCACCAGTGATCCCACAGAAATACAAACTACCATCAGAGAATACTATAAGCACCCCTATGCACATAAACTAGAAAATCTAGAAGAAATGGATAAATTCCTTGACACATACACTCTCCCAAGACTAAACAAGGAAGAAGGTGAATCTCGGAATAGACCAATAACAGGCTCTGAAATTGAGGCAATAATTAATAGCTTACCAACCAAAAAAAGTCCAGGACTAGACGGATTCACAGCCGAATTCCACTAGAGGTACAAAATTCAACAGCCCTTCATGCTAAAAACTCTCAATAAATTAGGTATTGATGGGACGTATCTCAAAATAATAAGAGCTATCTATGACAAACCCACAGCCAATATCATACTCAATGGGCAAAAACTGGAAGCATTCCCTTTGAAAACTGGCACAAGACAGGAATGCCCTCTCTCACCACTCTTATTCAACATAGTGTTGGAAGTTCTGGCCAGGGCAATCAGGCAGGAGAAGGAAATAAAGTGTATTCAATTAGGAAAATAGGAAATCAAATTGTCCCTGTTTGCAGATGACATGTCTAGAAAACCCCATCATCTCAGCCGAAAATCTCCTTAAGCTGATAGGCAACTTCAGCAAATCTCAGGATACAAAATCAGTGTGCAAAAATCACAAGCATTCTTATACACCAATAACAGACAAACAGAGAGCCAAATCATGAGTGAACTCCCATTCACAATTGCTTTAAAGAGAATAAAATACCTAGGAATCCAACTTACAAGGGATTTGAAGGACCTCTTCAAGGAGAACTACAAACCACTGCTCAATGAAATAAAAGAGGATACAAACAAATGGAAGAACATTCCATGCTCATGGGGAGGAAGAATCAATATCCTGAAAATGGCCATACTGCCCAAGATAATTTATAGATTCAATGCCATCCCCGTCAAACTACCAATGACTTTCTTCACGGAATTGGAAAAAACTATTTTAAAGTTCATATGGAGCTGAAAAGGAGCCCGCATTGTCAAGTCAATCCTAAGCCAAAAGAACAAAGCTGGAGGCATCACACTACCTGACTTCAAACTATACTACGAGGCTACAGTAACCAAAACAGCATGGTACTGGTACCAAAACAGTGATATAGACCAATTGAACAGAACAGAGCCCTCAGAAATAATGCTGCATATCTACAAGTATCTGATCTTTGACTAACCTGACCAAAAAAAGAAATGAGGGAAGGATTCCCTATTTAATAAATGGTGCTGGGAAAACTAGCTAGGCCTATGTAGAAAGCTGAAAGTGGATCCCTTCCTTACACCTTGTACAAAAATTAATTCAAGATGGATTAAAGACTTAAATGTTAGACCTAAAACCATAAAAACCCTAGAAGAAAACCTAGGCAACACCATTCAGGACATAGGCATGGAGATGGACTTCATGTCTAAAACACCGAAAGCAATGGCAACAAAAGCCAAAATTGACAAATGGGATCTGATTAAACTATAGAGCATCTGCACAGCAAAAGAAACTACTATCAGAACGAACAGGAAACCTACAGAATGGGAGAAAATTTTTGCAATCTACTCATCTCACAAAGGGCTAATATCCAGAATCTACAATGAACTCAAACAAATTGACAAGAAAAAAACAAACAACCCCATCAAAAATTGGGCGAAGTATATGAACAGACACTTCTCAAAAGAAGACATTTATGCAGCCAAAAGACACATGAAAATATGCTCATCATCACCGGCCATCAGAGAAATGCAAATCAAAACCACAATGAGATACCATCTCACACCAGTTAGAATGGCGATCATTAAAAAGTCAGGAAACAACAGGTGCTGGAGAGGATGTGGAGAAACAGCAACACTTTTATACTGTTGGTGGGACTGTAAACTAGTTCAACCATTGTGGAAGTCAGTGTGGCGATTCCTCAGGGATCTAGAACTAGAAATACCATTTGTCCCAGCCATCCCATTACTGGGTATATACCCAAAGGATTATAAAACATGCTGCTATAAAGACACATGCACACTTATGTTTATTGCAGCACTATTCACAATAGCAAAGACTTGGAACCAACCCAAATATCCAACAATGATAGACTGGATTAAAAAAATGTGGCATATATACACCATGGAATACTATGCAGCCATAAAAAAATGATGAGTTCATGTCCTTTGTAGGGACATGGATGAAACCGGAAACCATCACTCTCAGCATACTATCGCAAGGACCAAAAACCAAACACCGCATGTACTCACTCATAGGTGGGAATTGAACAATGAGAACACATGGACACAGGAAGAGGAACATCACACATCGGGGCCTGTTGTGGGGTGGGGGGAGGGGGGAAGGATAGCATTAGGAGATATACCTAATGTTAAATGAAGAGTTAATGGGTGCAGAACACCAACATGGCACATGTATACATATGTAACTAAGCTGCACGTTGTGCTCATGTACCCTAAAACTTAAAGTATAATAAATAAATAAATAAATAAATAAATAAATAAATAAAACAGCCCAATTTTATGTGGATCAGTGCTCCTAATGGCTTAGGGTAAAATGACAGCTACAGTGTATCTAGAATGTTAAAGTGGCATGTCTTAGACAACGTGGATGTACATAAGGTATTTGAGAGAATACTCCATAATAGCAAAAAACTTTGTAAAGACTAAAATATTAAATAAGACCTTTTTTTCCTGAGCAATAATTTGCCCAGGCTGGTCTCAATCTCTTGGCCTCAAACGATCCTCCTGCCTTGGCCTCCTAAAGCATTGGGATTATAGGCGTGAGCCACTGCTCCTGGCCAGAATTCTTGATTAAACAATAGGGTCTAAATAAATTTAAAACCCTTTTATTCTTTTTATTCTTACAGGGTAGACTCAAATATTCTATTTCTTTCCAACTTTGTAGTCTTGTCATAACAACCCAATATTCTCTGGGGCAAGTGGATGCTTATGACCAACTGGCCTGAAATGGGGGAATATAGGGTTAGTGGTGAGTCACGTCTAAGAAAATGCAAGAGAATAGCACCGTATCACATTTCAAAATAAAATACAATCTACATATAAAACTGAAATAAATAAATAAATAAATGTGCAAAAGACCTGAATAGATATTTCTCAAAAGAAGACACACGGCTGGGCACAGTGGCTCAGACCTGTAATCCCAGCACTTTGGGAGACCAAGGTGGGTGGTTCACAAGGTCAGGAGATCGAGACCATCCTGGCCAACATGGTGAAACCCTGTCTCTTCTAAAAATACAAAAAAAAAAAAAAATTAGCTGGGCATGGTGACATGCACCTGTAGTCCCAGCTATTCAGGAGGCTGAGGCAGAAGAATCACTTGAACCTGGGAGGTGGAGGTTGCAGTGAGCTGAGATCACATCACTGCACTTCAGCCTGGGGGACAGAGCGAGACTATCTCAAAAAAAAAAGAAAAAAAAAAAAAGAAGACACACAAATGGCCAACAGATATATGGAAAAAGCCTCAACACCACTAATCATCAGGGAAATGCAAATCAAAACCAAATGATATATCTTCACACCCTAATTAGAACAGCTATTATCAAAAAGACAAAAAGATATAATAAATGCTGGTGAGGATGTGGAGAAAGGGGAATTCTTATGCACTGTTGGCAGGAATGTGAATTATTACAGCCATTATGGAAAACAGCATGGAGTTTCCTCAAATAATTAAAAATAGAGTTACTATATTCTCCAGCAATTCCACTATTGGATATATATCTACAAAAAGTAAAATTAGTATGTCAATTAGGAATCTAAAAACGTTGATTTCATAGAAGTAGAGAATAGAATAATGGTTACTAGAAACTGGGATGTGGAGAGCAGGCAGTGTCACTAGGTGTGAGACAAGAGGAATATCTATTACATGGTAGGGTGAGTATAGCAAATAAGAATGTAATGTATATTTCAGGATAACTAGAAATGAATAATAGTTAAAGTGATGGATATGGTAGTTATCAACATTTGATCATTATACAATGCATACCTACATTGGAAAACCACACTGTATCCCATAAATATATACAATTATTTTGTTCCAATTATACATTTTAAAATTACTTCACAGAAAGGAAAAAAGCTTCAATACATAGTTAATTATTTTGCATCAAATGGAAAAAATAGAAAATACTTGTAAAGAAATAGAACGCATAAAGAAAAGAACCATATGGAAAGTCTTAGAACTGAAAAATCAAATAAAAATAAAAATCACCTGTGGAAATGGTCAATGTAAGAATAGACATGACAGAAGATAGAATCAGCAAACTTGAGGACAGAAAAATAGAATTTACATCGTATGAACAACAGAGAAAATAGACTGAAAAATAATGAAAGTCTCAGAAACTTGTGAAACAATAATAAAAGAGTTAACATTTATAATTGCTTCAAATAAAGTAAAAATCTTAAGTAAAATCTGTCAAAACATGTAAAGGAACTGTGTCCTAAAGATTTCAAATATTAATGGCAGAAATTAAAGAAGAGTTAAATAAAAGTAAATACATACCGTATGCATAGATTGGAAGACCTAACATAGTAAAGATGTCAACTCTCCTATTTGATCTATAGGTTTAATGTAACATTTATGAAAGTTTGAGCTAAGCTTTATAGACATACACAATGTTCATTTTAGTTTTCTTTTTTTTTTTTTTTTTTTTTGAGATGGAGTCTTGCACTGTTGCCCAGGCTGGCGTGCGGTGGCATGATCTCGACTCACTGCAACCTCCACCTCCCAGATTCAAGCTATTCTCCTGCCTCAGCCTCCTGAGTAGCTGGGATTACAGGCGCCCACCACCACGCCTGGCTAATTTTTTGTATTTTTAGTAGAGACGGGGTTTCACTATGTTGGCCAGGCTGGTCTCGAACGCCTGACCTCATGATCCACCCACCTACGCCTCCCAAAGTGCTGCATCTTAGATTACATGCAAATGCACAATATCTAGAATAGCTAGAATAATTTTAAAAGGGAAGTATATGGCTGAAAAAAGTATTCTACTCAATGTTAAGGCTTACTGCATAGCTACTGTAATCAAGAAAGTACATTGTTTGGAGAACGAAAGAGATAACCCAGAAATACACTCACAGAAATATGTCCATCTGATTTTGACAGAGGTGCAAAAGCAATTCAGTGGAGAAAAGACAGTAATAAACTGTCTTTTATTCAACAAATCTCAACAAATGGAGGAATTGAACATACGTAGAAAAAAATGGAAGTCCCACAAACTATCACAGTGTACCCCATAAATATGTACAATTATTATGCTTCAATTTGAAAATAAAACATTAAAACTATTAGACGTAAACCTCATATAAATATTAACTCAAAATGGAAAACTGGCTAAAATGTGTATATATATTTATATATATGTATGTATATATGTATATAAGTATATATGTGTATATACATATACACATGTATAGATGCATATACATATATACACATGTATATATGTGTATACATATATGTATATATGTATATATGTTATATGTATATATATACACACACATATATATAAGTGTATATATATATATATATATATATATATATTTTTTTTTTTTTTTTTTTTCCAGACGGAGTTTCACTCTTGTTGCTCAGACTGGAGTGCAGTGGTGCAATCTTGTCTCACCACAACCTCTGCCTTCTGGGTTCAAGCAATTATTCTGCCTCAGCCTCCCAAGTAGCTGGGAATACAGGCATGTGCCACGAGGAACTTAAAAATTTACAAGAAGAAAACAATAACATTAAAAAGTGGGCAAAGGACAGCCAGGTGCAGTGTCTCACGCCTGTAATCCCAGCACTTTGGGAGGCTGAGGCGGATGGATCATGAGGTCAGGAGATCGAGACCATCCTGGCTAACGCGGTGAAACCACGTCTCTACTAAAAATACAAAAAATTAGCTGGGCCTGGTGGTGTGCGCCTGTAGTCCCAGCTACTCGGGAGGCTGAGGCAGGAGAATTGCATGAACTCGGGAGGCAGAGCTTGCAGTGAGCCAAGATTGCACCACTGCACTCCAGCCTGGGCGACAGAGCGAGACTCTGCCTCAAAAAAAAAAAAAAAAAAAAAAAAAAAGTGGGCAAAGGACATGAAGAAAGACTTCTCAAAAGAAGACATTCAAAACTCTACAAGCCAGAAGAGAGTGGGGGCCAATATTTAACATTCTTAAAGGAAAGAATTTTCAACCCATAATTATATATCCAGCCTAACTAAGCTTCATAAGCGAAGGAGAAATAAAATCCTTTACAGACAAGCAAATGCTGAGCAATTTTGTCACCACCAGGCCTGCCTTACAGGAGCTCCAGAAGGAAGTACTAAACGTGGAAAGGAAAAACCTGACCAGCCACTGCAAACACATATCAAATTGTGAAGACCATTGACACTATGCAGAAACTGCATCAACTAATGGGCAAAATAACCAGCTAGCATCATAATGACAGGTTCACATTCACACATAACAATATTAACCGTAAATGTAAACTGGCTAAATGCCCCTGTTAAAAGACACAGAGTGGCAAATTGGATAAAGAGTCAAGACCCATCGGTGTCCTGTATTCAGGAGACCCATCTCATGTACAAAGACACATATGGGCTCAAATAAAGGGATGAAGGAATATTTCCCAAGCAAATGGAAAGCAGAAAAAAGCAGGGGTTGCAATCCTAGTCTCTGACAAAACAGACTTTAAACCAACAAAGATCAAAAAAGACAAAGAAGGGGATTACATGATAATAAAGGGATCAACTTTACTTTTGCAGAAGTTCACCAATCCTTTCAGCAAATTGGTCAGCAATATAGTAGGCAAAAGTCATAAGTGAATATTGAGCACTTGAAATGTTGCCAGTTTGATAGGGAAATTGAATTCTTATTTTTATTTAGGTTTAATTAACTTAAATTTAAATAGCCACATGTGACTAGGGCCTAGCTAGAAAATGCAGAGCTAGAGGCAGAGCTCTGCATTTGCCTAGAAAGAGCAAAGCTAGTAAATGAAAACATTGTTTTATTGTAAAATAAGGAAGAAATGAATTAAGGGGCATGGAATAAAACTAAGGAAATGTAGGCATGATTTGTAATCTAGAAAATCAACGGGAAATGAAAACTTACTAGTGATAGCATACTATTTTATAAAAATGTATCCTTATCTTTATAGTTTGCTTTAATGTCTTTCTGAATTGAGAAAATAGGTTCCTGAAACTTATGAATGGTTTTGTGTGGCTGATAGCTCTTGCTAGTGAGTTTTTTGAAACTCAAAAATGTGTTAAGCAGATCCCTGTTTAAGATCATGCTAATTATAGAAAACAATAGAAAGCTTGAAAAGTTCTCAAGAACTACTAATGCTGATTGAATACTTTAAAAGAGGAGAGAGGAAGACCAAGAGCAGGATCGCTGGGAGGACAACACATCTTTAAGCTATACTTACCTTCTGGTCCTCTTTAAAAAGTGGCAAAGAAGCCCAAAAATTAAAGAAAGAAAATAAAGAAAAATGAAAGACCAGCCCTAGAAAGTTATTTTTATACAACCAGAGAGACCTCTTAAATACATTGTTGCTTACATCCAGTGGTGTGCTGGTAAACCTGCTCTTTAGGGGGGAAAAAAACTTAATTTGCAGTGTTTGCCAGTTTCCATTGTGTAAATACTTCCACCTTAGCCAATTTCAAGATACAGACAGTTTAACATCCAAATTTCGGAATATTTAACAATCAGCTCTTGTCATGCTGCCAATCATTAGACTAGTTCAGATCTCGAGATACAGGTGTGCGTGCGTGTGTGTGTGTGTGTGTGTGTGTGTGTGACAGAGAGAGAGAGAGAGGAGGTACTTGCCTTCCATAACTAAAGTGCTTCATTGCTTCATTTCTCTAGGTCTCTGTTTATGCTCATGCATGTATATTTGAACTCAGAAAGCAAGAAAATATAAGAAACAAAATTATAGTAAGGCATATTTAACATGTAGTGAATTTTCTCCCCTTTTAGCTTCAAAAATTAGGATGACCTTTTGTCTCCTTAAAGTATTGGCAGAATTGAGGCAAAGACTAAACTTTAGACAGGTTCCTCTTAGTCATATTTTTTACTAGGCGTCATCCTTGGTCCTTGTCTTCAGCCTATTTGTCCAGTTTAACAATAATTCTATTAATTTTGTTTACAGAGAGTTCCCCACCCTTGATATTTGATCATCCTCATTTCTGATCAAATTCCTCATTCCTCGCCTTGATATCTGATCACCTTGGCCATCAGCAAGAATCCTGTTACATTGGTTTAGCAAGAATTGCCTCCAATGTGAAGTCTCCTCTTAGTAATTCCATCTAGTGAACCTGCCATTCTGCTCATTGACTATATATTCCCTGGGTTCTTTGCTGTATTCAGAGTTGAACCCAATCTCTCACCTCTATTGTGACAGTCCTGATACCTACTTTAATAATCCTGAATCAAGTTTTCCTTACATTTTAACAAGTGTCAGAATAATTTTCCACAGTTATGGGGCTACAACTTAGCATCAAATGTGTCATTGGACCCCCAGACTTCTCACCCAAGACCCTAAGTGTACGCCATTGAAGCCTTTGTCTTCACTCCTTAGTTATTGATCAGAGATCCATTGGTGAGTCCAACTCTTGAGCCAGTGCTCTGGATGACAGTCCACTGAAGCATGTTAAGGACAGATTTTAATTCCTAGGATTCTGAGTACATTCTCCGAAGCTCAATTAGATATCTTGAAAGGTACTTCCTAAGCTGGAAGTTCCTCCTGGAACTTTTGAGTGGATATTCACTTACCCGTGGCTCGGAATTTTTTTTTTTCTTGGCTGCTTGTGAGGCCTCTTTGTTCTATTTGATCCTGCTTTTCCCATAGGAAATTTTCTGTCAACTGAACCTCCCTTTGTTGAACCCTTGGTAACTATATGTTCTACCACTATGGTGCTAACTGCCCACTTTCTACCTTGTTGGCATGATTTTACTGAGAAAATTGGAACTCCATTGGCTTCTTCAGAAAACTTAAATCTATCCAAACTTGCTCATCTATGACCTCTCCCTTCCGATAACTTCTGCTCCTCCCTCCTTCTTTTACCACCTTCCATCTTCCCTTCAGTTTCCTTGGATTCTTTGAAATGTCTTCCTTCACAACAGTCTACCTCCTCCACACATCCATCCATCCCTGCCAGACTTTTCCCTTCCCATTCCAGCTCCTAAATTCCCTACAGTCACTTGAACTTTAGGCCCCTCCTCCCCCATTAGGGCTCTCAAGGTATTTGGGGAACTTAAAACCAAGTACATATTGGAACAAAAGAAAATCTTAAAAGTCTCCTCCATGAATATTGTTAAAAAGAAATATTGAGAAGGTAACATTTTTTTATCACCAGCAATACAATTCAGATAAAAATATGAAGCAGAGAGAAGATGAGAACCAGCTATTTTAAATAAACTGTTGAGTTTTATATTACTGTATTTATCAGACTCATGACAAATTTCAGAATAAAAGCTATAGTGTCTATTTGCATCTGTCTGTGTATGTTTGGGTATGTATGTATGTTATGTATATGCAATATTTTTTATTTCCAAATAACATTACCAAATTAATTCCTAAAATCATATAGTCTTTTCTGATAGGCTTAGGGATAATCACATATGTAAATAAAACATTCCTTAAACTTCCAGAAATATAGAAACTAATCAAAATGTTTTTCAAGTATATGTAATTACATAAATTTGGTAAATAAGACTAGTTTGATATTATTGGTTTAACAAATATGGGTATGCCTTCTGAGTTATCAGCATTAAGTACATAGGGGAAGAAAAATACTTTCCACCCTTTCAAGTTCTCAGATAGGGCTCTAACAAGAGAAATATTGACAGATAAAAGCATACAAATGCATTTATTATTAGTTTTTTGTGACATGAAAGCCTTCATGATGAAATGAAGACCTGAAGAAATAATTAAACCTGAGTTTTTTTATGATAGGTTTGATGAAGAGTGGAAAGTTTTGGAAGAATGTCATAAGACAAAGGGTATGAGCTAAGTGTAGTAAACTGAAAGGATCTTAACATAGCTCGTTCATTCAAATTCCTCTCACTGTCCCTCCATCTTCAGAGATAAGGATGCTCCTTTCCTCTGGGTATTGGGAGGGAACCTGTTATATAAATCTGTTATTATCTACATTAGTGGAGAAGGACAGAGGAATGTCAGAGTCCTTCCTGACATTTCTCAAGTTCTTTTAGCTTAAAATAGTTAACATGCCAAGGTGCCATATTTTGTGATAGTGTCTTCTAAACCTATCGAGTATAATATGAACATACGTTTTTACTCTACTTGGTTTTACTAGTGAAATAAGGTAATATTGTAACAGTGAAAAGGAAGTTTAGCACAACTAACCGCATTTCGCTCCTAGCCTCTGCATGGTGATATCTTTTAAATTACTTTTGCTTATCTCTGCATGCAGGGCAAACTAACTATGGAAGGAATTTAATTTATAGTTCTACTTTAAATCAAGGACAATAATGATATCTTTTCCAATGCTAACCCCCCGAGGAAATAAGAAAGTATGTACATACTAATGATGTTATGCTAAAGATTGACAGGAACATTTGTGACCTGAATATTACACCATTCAAAGTCAACGGAAAAAGAATAAAGAAGTTTCACAGTCCTCTTAGACCCTTGCTGCTGCCCAGATGTCTGTGGTCATTGGTCACCTCTTGACCTCACCCCCCACTTTTTCCTCCCTCCTCAGAGGAGGAGCCTAAAATTTATATTACCTTAAGATAGTTCTTTAGGATACTAATTCTGCTATCTTTTCTGTTTGCTGGCTCTGAATAAAGTTGTTTTCCTTGTCCAAATACCTTCTACCAACTTATTGGCTGTCATGCAGTGAGTGCTACAAGCACTGGACTTGGTTACTAGATGTTCAAGATTATAAAAATTATAGATTCAACCTAAGAACAGAAGTCCAAGTAAACAGCAGTAAAAATAAAACAAAAAAATAGCTGGGCATGTGGCTCATGCCTGTAATTCCAGCACTTTGGGAGGCCAAGGCAGGAAGATCACCTGAGGTCAAGAGTTCGAGACCTGCCTGACCAACATGGAGAAACCCCATCTCTACTAAAAATACAAAATTAGCTGGGCGTGGTGGCACATGCCTGTAATGCCAGCTACTCGGGAGGCTGAGGCAGGAGAATCACTTGAACTTGGGAGGAGAAGGTTGCGGTGAGCCAAGACTACATCTCAAAAAAAAAAAGAAAAAAATAATAAGTTTTTTTGGTTTTAACTTTTTGATACATTTCTAACATGCATGTGCTGTAAAAATAATTAACAGGAAAATAATTTGAGATGATGACTAGCTAGTTTAATGTAATAATACATTTGCTTAAAAATACTTTTCAAAATCTTTTTGGTAACTTGCAAATTTAATGTTATGCTAAGTTAAGTAACATTAATTAAATATTTAGATCAATTCTAAGTAACATAAAATACAAATGTATTTATAAGTTTAAGTTTGTATACTCTTGGCCTCTTATTTTTATATAATACAAAAAAATTAAATATATTCAAGTCTGCTATTAAAATGTTCTTATTGTTGGCCAGGCGCAGTGGCTCACGCCTGTAATCCCAGCACTTTGGGAGGCCAAGGCGGGCAGATCACAATGTCAGGAGTTAGTTTGAGACCATCCTGGCCAACATGGTGAAACCTTGTCTCTACTAAAATACAAGGGAAAAAAAATTAGCTGGGCATGGTGGTGCGCGCCTGTAGTCCCAACTACTCGGGAGGCTGAGGCAGGGGAATTGCTTGAATCAGGGAGACAGAGGTTGCAGTGAGCCGAGATCACACCACTGCACTCCAGCCTGGTGACAGAGTGAGACCCCATCTAAAGAAAAAAAAAAAGGACAGAAAGGACTTCGACAAAGAGGGAGTATCTAAGAGACTCATAGAAAGGACTATGACTAGTATTACAGGGTACAGGCTTCTGAAGGCATTGCTTAAATAACTTGGAAATCATATCACTTGACTGCATGAGGATTTCCAGAATTTTAGTAGAGAAGATGATGGGTTCATCAAACTGTGAACCCAAGATTTAGAAGAATAGGAAGTAATTACACAGGATTGGATAAATTTATAAAGAATGCTTATAATTTATTATGACTTTTTGAGTGGAAACTGGCTAGTTCTTTAATATCAATGTTCTGGATGTAAGGAAACTGTTTCCCTTTTCTCTTAAATTATTTCTAATAATTAACAATTAGTAAATTATATATTTGTAAACAGAAATGCAACATTTAATTTTCTCCCTGTCTGTTCTCTCCAGAATCTGGAAATTCTTACTGAGTGATCTCATTTTTATTGTAATATAATTATTTGCATAAAGTAAATAAGAATATGTTCCACTTTTGAAGAGACATAATTGGAATCATTCATTGCATAACCAAGACTTTGACTGGAATGTCGTATTTGATAAAGATGTGCATAGTGTCAGATATGACCAGACAGTTTTAATAAACTAAGGTTGATTGAGTGGAGCCAGTTCTTACAAAGCTTTCTTGGGGAAACCAGCCTGGTATCCGGCTTACAGAGTTTCCAGCCTTACAATGAGTGAGAAAGGTCTTCTTGGCAGGCCTTTGAACCTTGAAATCTTTGAGGGATCTCAAAAAGAGAGGACTCCACCTAGATCTAAGGGTTAAATTTGGCAGGTAAAATCTGGTGGTGTGTTCTCGGCTTGTCTTTCTAGCCTGGAGAGGATTTTCAAAGTCTAATCTGAGATTTCACGTGAGAAGTTCCAGCAAAGCAGACTCAAAAAGACTTACGTGGTCAATTATCATTCTTGCCACCATTATGTAAATAATCAAGCCAAATCTAATAATTTGAGACTTATTAACTAAAGAAGAATAAAAAAGACTGGGGGAAACATAAAGAGGGAAACTTTATGATTCAATGGAAAACTGTAACACACCCTTGTAGGTTATTAGATTTGAGTCTTATTAATTGTCTTTGAGGTTTTTTTACTTAACGTATAACTGTACTGGATCTTTCAACCTTCCATATTTAATCAGTCCTTATCAACTTGTCAATTCTTCTAATTTTCTCTAATATCTGGCTACAACCTCCAAAACTAATGTTTTCAATTTTTCTTCCACTTTCCTGACTTGGAGTCACTAAGAACCGAAATCTTACTGCTCAGATTGAGACTATCTGAAAAAGCCCTGTTAGAAAAAGCTGGATGTTTCTATACTCTGCTCTTGGGAAATAACCATGACTGTGACACTGATGTTTATACCATCACCAGAGACATCCAAACTGCAGACCAGGAAATCCATCAGATGGTTCCTGCTGTCCTCACTTTATCATCTAAAGGTCTAAAGATGCTTTAATCCCAATATCTAGAAATGTTTAACCAACATCAAGAAATCTTCTCAACTGGCTGCTCTCTGGACTCAGAAACTGGGTTAATAGTCTGCTCCAACTATTAATCATTGTTATTTTATTTTATTTTCATATAAAATTTTCTCTTTAAATGCCAGGGGTGGGCAATTCTCAGAACTGAGGGTTCCTCCTCCTTTTATACCATATAGGGTAACTTCCTGGCATTGCCCCCTACAACTGGGGAACACACAGCAGTCATGAAAGTCCCAGTTGCTCCAGCCTTGGGACCAGGGGACCTTGCAGCCTGTCACTCAGAGAGCTGTTATGGAGCATCTGCTCTGTGCCAGCTCTGTACCAGGCAGTCAGCAGGGCAGGTGCAGTGGCTGCCCTCATGGATTGCCATGGCATCTGTAAACTGTTGTGGGAGCACTGATGGGAGTGCCTTTTAGCATGCTAATGCATTATAATTAGCATATAATGAACAGTGAGGATGACCAGAGGTCACTTTTATTGTCATCTTGTTTTTGGTGGGTTTGGGCTTGCTTCTTTACCACAACCTGTTTTATCAGCAAGGTCTTTGTGACCTGTACCTTGTGCCCACCTCCTATCCCATCCTGTGACTTAGAATGCCTAACCCCTGGGAATGCAGCCCAGTAGGTCTCAGCCTTATTATACCCAGCTCCTATTCAAGATGGAGTTACTCTGGTTCAAATACCTCTAACATAATATTATGTGTGAATATTCATTAACAAGAATGGTTTTTGAGAATATGTACCTATATCAATACAATTCCCTCTATATATTAAACAAGTCATTAAACACGATTGCTGGCCTAGCCTTTGCCTGTCATATGTGTCTTAGATATTTTTCCACTTTATTATTTGTTTTTTGACTCTTCTATCTTGCCCTTGCAAAAATATTAAATTTCCCAATTTAAAAGAAAAAAAAAAACACTTCTCTGAGAAAGAGAAGGGGAACAACAAACCTGGTCTCAAGGCCAGCAACTGTGATGTGGAAGGAAAAGATAACAGAGAAATAAAATTTACCCAAACCTTATAAAATAGAAGATTGTGGGGGTCAGATAAATACTAGTGAAAAAAAGAAAGGAGAGGGGTAAGGGAGTAAAACTCCAAAGCAAACCCATGATAATACTACCTAATTTTCAAAACAATGTAGCATTCACTATGTTCTACTATTTTTCTCATCACTATGTTCTACTATTTTTCGCATCATAAAATCTCCATTTTATAATGGAGAATAGAAGAAATTTTAAATTGGGTATATCAAGTTCTCTGATTGTCTACCAGGTTAAAACAGTTATTTTCTTTTGGCCTTATCTCTTTAGATATATATGCAGTTCTATTCAAAACTTCAAATCCCACTCTGAATCTTTGCACTGTATGATGTCAGCCACCTAATCTTTCAGACTCTGCTCTTTCTCTTAAGTGATGCTGTAAGTTCTATAAATATTTGGTGCATTGAAACCAAAAACGTGTCCAAAATCAGACCCTACTAACTTGGGAATTTTCATTCTCACAACTCCTTCTCTTAACTCAAATCAATCCCTTTCATATTCCAATTTCTTATTTTTTGTCAGGAAGGAGCTATTGATATTAACTCCTATCTGTACTTTCCTATACCCAGAGGGAGAAGAGAAAAAAAAAAAAAAAAGCAAGTGAGGCGATAACTCCAATAACAAACATTCCCGTGTCAACAACACTTTTTTTCACTTTTCCACTAGTTGTGCTTCTTTGGCTACAAGGTCCGCTCTATGTATTAATTCTGGAAGTATATCTGATAATATTAAGAACATTTATATTCCCCTTGAAAAAGCCTCCAAAGAAAAGACCCTAATAACTTCTGAACTTAATAACAAAAATTATATTTGAAAATGATACATTACAACAACTTTTGAATAAATATACTTCCTCTACATTTTTTGCCAACCTAGTATAACAAATATAAAAATTTAGTCTTACACATAGACTTTTTAAAAATGTTCTCTAGTAACTAAAATAGCTGACATTTGTCTGGGGCCAAGATTACTTTCTGCCAGTTTACTCTCACCCTTTGGGATACTAGTATAAAAGGTCTTCCTATTTATCATGGTGGCTGATCCAGGCTGTTTCATCTCAGGAAACATCACAGTGGCTGCTCTACTTAACAGTCTGCAGTTGCTGAGGAATTTTGCATTAATTACTTCAAAGGAGAGTTTCTATTGTTTCTACAGAGAAGACACTAGAACAAGGAAGAGAAGAAAAAGACCTCAAAGCTTTACCCTGACATTTATCAAATATCACCTCTCCCCTCACCCTTCATTCCTATTCAGAAATAATTCACTTTTTAGTTGATCTTTGCCAGTATCCTCAAAATATATGCTATTTAGAAAAATTTGAATGCAAGGCTTAACTGATTTATTAGCTATCAGCTAAAACTTCGGTTGTTCTAACAACAGTTACCAATTTGCACCCGTAACAACTCAATTAGATTGCCAAGAAAGCCCTTTTAAACAAATAGTTTGTTTCTCTGAGGAAACATAAATTAGCCAGGCAGAAATTTTAGAGATGAACTTTCATTGAGTCCTAACTCTAAACTTCATGGAAGATATATGATGGTATTTGAAATGTTGACAAATTTTAGTATTTCACATATATTAAAATTAAAATATAATTTAAAAAAATTATTCAAACTCCAAATAGATTTTACTTTTCAATTATTCGCTCCTTTACTTTTGTTTAATGTGAATCCTCTTCTACTAAAGTGAAAAGTTGAGAGCCACCTAGATATCTCATGACTGGCTTTTCTATCTTATCTATACTGTGGAATTTTTGTTTTTCACAAGAGATTATTTTTCTAAAGATCTTTTCAAAAATTATTGTGTGTAGAGTTATTTGATATATATTTAAAATATTTCATATGTACAGTTTCAAAGATTTTTACAATTTGAGAAATCATCACTACTATCAGAAGAGTGAACATATACACCACCTCCAAAAGTTTCCTCATAGCCCTTTGTAATCCCTCTCCAGCCTTGCACACATACACTCCCCAAGCAACAATGAATGTACTTTATGTTATTTTAGATTAGTTTGAGTTTTCTAGATGTTTATGTTAATGGAATTAAATAATATGTACTCCTTATTTTCAGGCTTCATTCATTCAGGATAGTTATTTTTATATTCATCCACATTATTGGCAATTTATTTCTCTTTATGGCTGAGTATTATTCCAACCTATGAATAAACAAATTGACCACAATTTGTTTATCTATTCATCCCTTGAGAGACAATTAAATTATTTCTAGTTTTTGGCTTTTACATACAAAAGTGCTATGAATATTCATGTACATGTATTTGTATGGACAATATTTCATTTTTCCTTAGATAAATATCTAGGAGTAGAATAGCTGGATCAGATGTTAGCTATGTGTTTAAATTTATAAGAAATTGTGAAACTGTCAGAGGTGTTTGAACCAGAATGACTCCATCTTGAATAGGCGCTGGGTGAAATAAGGCTGAGACCTACTGGGCTGCATTCTCAAGAGGTTAGGCATTCTAATCACAGGATGACACAGGAGGTCAGCACAAGATACAGGTCACGAAGTCCCTGTTGATAAAACAGGTTGCCATGAAGAAGCTGGCCAAAACCCATGAATATCAAGAAAGGTACGAAAGTCTGGTCATCCTCACTGCTCATTATATGCTAATTATAATGCATTAGCATGCCAAAAGACTTCCACTAGCACCACGACAGTTCACAGAAGTCATGGGAACACCAGGAAGTTATCCTATATGGTCTAAAAGGGGGAGGAACCCTCAGTTCTGGGAATTGTTCACACCTTTCTTGGATAACTCATGAATAATCCATCCTTTATTTAGTATATAATCAAGAAATAACTATAAGTATACTCAGTTGAGCAGCCCATGCTGCTGCTCAGCCTATGCAGTAACCATTCGTTCATTCCTTTGCTTCCTTAATAAACTTTTTTTTTATTTACTCTATAGACTCACCCCAAATTCTTTCTTGAGCAAGGTCCAAGAGGCTTCTTTTGGATCAGGATCAGGACCTGTTTCTGGTAACAAAACTATTTTCCAAAAAGGTTGTCCCATTTTACATTCTGACTAGCAGTATTTTAGAGTTCCAGTTTCTGCACACATCTTTAACAATACTTGGTATGGTCAGTCTTTTTCAATGTTAGCTATTCTAGTAAGTTTGCAGTGTTGTCATTGCAGTTGAATTTGTATTTTCACTATGCCTAATGATGTTGAATACCTTTTTAGGTGCTTGTTTGCCATTTATGTATTTTTCTTGTTTCAAATATTTTCTGACTTTTACTAGGTTGTTTGTTTTCTTATTGATAAGTTTTTTACTTTTCTCTGTATAATCTGGATACAAGTCCTTCATCAATTATATAATTTTCAAAGATCTTTTCTTAGTCTGTGGCTTTTGCTTTAATTTTCTTGTGTCTTTCAAAAAGCAACAATTTTAAATTCTGATAAAGTCAAGCATATTAATTTTTGTTTTATATATTGTATTTTTTCTGTTGAATCAAAAATATTTTTCTAACACAATGTTACAAAGATTTTTTTTTCTTCTAAAGTTTTCTAGTTTTGGCCAGGTGCAGTGGCTCACGCCTGTAATCCCAGCACTTTGGGAGGCTGAGACTAGCGGATCACGAGGTCAGGAGATCGAGACCATCCTGGCTAACACGGTGAAACCCCGTCTCTAATAAAAAAAAATACAAAAAAATTAGCCGGGCTTAGTGGCAGGCTCCTGTAGTCCCAGCTACTCAGGAGGCTGAGGCGGGAGAATGGCGTGAACACGGGAGGCAGAGCTTGTAGCGAGCCGAGATCGCGCCACTGCACTCCAGCCTGGGCGACAGACCAAGACTCCGTCTCAAAAAAAAAAAAAAAAAAGTTTTCTAGTTTTAGGATTTACATTTAGGTCTGTAATCTGTTTTAGAAGAATTTTTGTATATGGTATGAGGGTGGATCAAAGTTTATAATATTTGCCAATGACAGGATCTCATTCTTTTTTATGGCTGAATAGTACTTTATAAGACCTAATATCTATAAGACCTACTATATGATAGCACAACAGGGTGACTATAGTCAATGAAAATTTAATTGTACATTTTTAAACAACTAAAATAATATAATTGGATTGTTTGTAACACAAAGAATGAATGCTTGAGGGGATTGATACCTCATTTTCCATGATGTGAATACCATACATTGCTTGCATGTATCAAAATACCTCATGTACACCATAAATATATATACCTACTATGTACCCACAAAAACTAAATTTTTTTAAAAAGTTTATAATATTTACATAGATATATCCAATTACTCCATCCTTATTTGTTTACAAAACTGTTTCCTCCATTTAATGGTTAATTGCCATTAAATCTTTGTAAAAATCAGTTGTCTCTGTAGGTGTGGGTTCATTTCTAGACTTTTTTTTATTCCATGGATCTATTTCTCTGTCATTAGGTTAATCCCATACACTTTTGCTAACTGTAGCTTTATAATAATTATTGAAATTAAGTAGATTTAGCTCTCCAACTTTGTTCTTTTTCAAAATTTATTTAATTATTGTAGGGGCTTTACATTTCCATGTAAATTGTATAATCAGTTTGTTGATTTCTATAAAAACACTTCAGAAATTTAACTTGGATTGCATTGAAGTTATACATAAATTTAAAAAGAAATGACACCTTAACAGTATTAAAACATCTGATTAGTTAACAAAGTATATTTCTCAAATTATTTAGGTCTTATTTCATTTCTTTATCATGGTTTGGTAGTTTTTTTTGTTTTGTTTTGTTTTGAGACGGAGTCTTGCTCTGTTGCCCCAGGCGGAGTGCAGTGGCTTGATCTCAGCTCACTGCAAGCTCCGCCTCCCGGGTTCACGCCATTCTCCTGCCTCAGCCTCCCAAGTAGCTGGGACTACAGGTGCCCACCACCATGCCTGGCTAATTTTTTTTGAATTTTTAGTAGAGATGGGGTTTCACCATGTTAGCCAGGATGGTCTGGATCTCCTGATCTCATGATCCACCCACCTTAGCCTCCCAAAGTGCTGGGATTACAGGCGTGAGCCACCACGCCCGGCCCATAGTTTGGTAGTTTTAAAAGTATATGTCTCTCACATATTTCATCAGATTTACTTTTAAGTATTTTTATTTTTGATTCCATTATGAATAGTAATTTTTAAAATTTCAATATCCCATTTTCATTGTTAGTATACTCAAATACAATTTAATGTATACCAAATTTGCACCCTGCAACCTTGCTAAACACACAAATTAGTATATTCCTTTAGATTTGTAAAATATATGATCATGTTGTCTGAGAAAAAAAGAGTTTTACTTCTTCCTTCCAAATATAGGTGTCTTTTATTTCCGTGTCTTGTTATATGCCACTGGCCAAATCTCTAATTTAATGCTGAATTGAAGTGCAAAGAGCAAATCTTTCTGTATTTTTTTCTAATCTTAAGGAGAACCATTGAGTCTTTCATGGTCAAATATGATATTAGTTGCATGTTTTTCTTAGATGCCCATCATTAGGTTAAGGAAGTTTCCTTTCTTGAACATTAGTTCAAGTTTCCTTGAACATTAGTTCAAGAAGTTTCCTTCTGTTCCTAGTTTGCTGAGAGAATTTTCATGAAGAATGGATGATGAATTTTGCCACAATTTATTCAGTAACTATTCAGATGGTTATATGTTTGTCTTTGTGTTATTAATATGGAGAATTACTCTGATCGATTTTAAATGTGGATATAAACACAGATTACTAAGATAAATACCAACTGATTTTCTTTATACTTTTAAAATATTATTGCATTCAATTTGCTAATTTTTTATAATTTTATGTCAGTAAAATGGGATATTTATCTGTATTTTTTTCTTTTTATTTTCCTTTCTTATAATGCCTTTGGCTGATTTTGGTATCAGGGTTGAGGAAAGAAAATAACTTCCATCTGAGGAATACAAATTCTTTTAGTTAACAGGTCCAGAGAGACATTAATATGAAACAGAAATCATGTTTCACTTTCCCCTTGAAGCTACGTATTTATTTCTTGAAAGTGCATGCTATTGTTACAAGTAGCTATAAAATTCACCTAATTCATGCAGGACATTGTAACCCACACCCTATAGTTTAGTAATACATAACTAATCATTAATCAATGTTATTTTTGTAAACCACTGAGAATTCCTGAAAAACAATACTGTATTAGCCCATTCCCTGTCACCCATTTTTTGTCTTTAAACAGACAAGTCTAACTGCTGTTAATCAGAGTGCACATTCGGCAACTTTAATATATGTGCCTGGGTTGCAATGCTCAAGTTTGGCCCAAATATACTCTCTCCTTATATTAATTTTGCTTCAGCTTCTTCCCTTTAGGTTGACAGGGTGGTGCTTTTCTCATAAAATGGTTGGAGAAGTACTTCTTCTGATTCATTATTTGGACAAGTTAAAGTAGAATTGGTATTAAATATTTGGTAAAATCCATCAGTGAGCAATTTGACTCAGTGTTTTCTTGGTAAGATTTCTCACTAGAATTTTAATTTATTAAATAGCTATAAGTTTATTCATATTATGTATTTTTTTTAGTGAGTTTACCAGTTTCTGTATTTCAAGTAATTTATCCATTTCATCTAAGTTGTCAAATTAGTTGGCATAAGGTTGTTTATAGTATTCCCTTAATATCCTTAAAAAGATACCATAGAGTATACATAACTTGTACTATTTTAACTGTTTCTAAATGAACAGTATAGTGGCATTAAGTACTTGCACGTCATTGTGCAACCATCACAACCATTCATCTCAAGAAGAGTTTTATATTCCCAAACTGCAACCCTGAACCATTAATCAAAAACTTCCCATGTATCCCTCCTTTTAGACCTTGGAAACCACCTTTACACATTTTTATTCTGTGAATTTGGCTACACTAGAAACCATATATGTGTAAAATAAAACACAAATTATTCTTTTGTGTCTGGCTTTTTTCACTTGGCATAATGTTTTCAAGTTTAATCCATGTTGTAACATGTATCAAAACTCCCTTTTCTTTTGAAGCCTGAATAATATTCATTGTATGTATATAGCACATTTTGTTTATCCATTCACCTGTCCTTGGGTATTTGGATTGTTTCCACTTTTGGGCTTTTATGAGTAATGCTGCTATGAACAGTGCTGTGCAAATATCTGTTTGAGTCTCTGTTTTTAATTCTTTGAGATATGTATACACCCAGAAGTGGAATTTCTGGGCCATATGGTAACTCTATGTTTATTTTTTTTTAAGAACCACCATATGACTCTCCCTCTACCTCTCCCTCTCCCTCTCCCCACAGTCTCCCTCTCCCTCTCCCCACGGTCTCCCTCTCCCTCTCTTTCCACGGTCTCCCTCTGATGCCGAGCCGAAGCTGGACTGTACTGCTGCCATCTCTGCTCACTGCAACCTCCCTGCCTGATTCTCCTGCCTCAGCCTGCCGAGTGCCTGCGATTGCTTGTGCGCGCCGCCACGCCTGACTGGTTTTCGTAATTTTTTGGTGGAGATGGGGTTTCGCTGTGTTGGCTGGGCTGGTCTCCAGCTCCTAACCGCGAGTGATCCGCCAGCCTCGGCCTCCCGAGGTGCCGGGATTGCAGACGGAGTCTGGTTCACTCAGTGTTCAATGGTGCCCAGCCTGGAGTGCAGCGGCGTGATCTCAGCTCCCTACAACCTCCACCTCCCAGCCGCCTGCCTTGGCCTCCCAAAGTGCCAAGAGTGCAGCCTCTGCCCGGCCGCCACCCCGTCTGGGAAGTGAGGAGCGTCTCTGCCTGGCCGCCCATCGTCTGGGACATGAGGAGCCCCTCTGCCTGGCTGCCCAGTCTGGAAAGTGAGGAGCGTCTCTACCCGGCCGCCATCCCATCTAGGAAGTGAGGAGCGCCTCTTCCCGGCCGCCATCCCATCTAGGAAGTGAGGAGCGGGGTCTCTGCCCAGCCGCCCATCGTCTGAGATGTGGGGAGTGCCTCTGCCCCGCCACCCCGTCTGGGATGTGAGGAGCACCTCTGCCCAGCCGCGACCGCATCTGGGAGGTGAGGAGCGTCTCTGCCCAGCCGCCCCGTCTGGGAAGTGAGGAGACCCTCTGCCTGGCAACTGCCCCATCTGAGAAGTGAGGAGCCCCTCCGCCCGGCAGCTGCCCTGTCTGGGAAGTGAGGAGCATCTCCGCCCGGCAGCCACCCCGTCCGGGAGGGAGGTGGGGGTCAGCCCCCACCAGGCCAGCCACCCCGTCCGGGAGGGAGGTGAGGGGGTCAGCCCCCCGCCTGGCCAGCCGCCCCCTCCAGGAGGGAGGTTGGGGGGTCAGCCCCCGGCCCGGCCAGCCGCCTTGTCCGGGAGGTGAGGGGCGCCTCTGCCCGGCCGCCCCTACTGGGAAGTGAAGAGCCCCTCTGCCCGGCCAGCCGCCCCGTCCGGGAGGGAGGTGGGGGGGTCAGCCCCCCGCCCGGCCAGCCGCCCCGTCCGGGAGGTGAGGGGCGCCTCTGCCTGGCCACCCCTACTGGGAAGTGAGGAGCCCCTCTGCCCGGCCACCACCCCGTCTGGGAGGTGTACTCAACAGCTCATTGAGAAGGGGCCATGATGACAATGGCGGTTTTGTGGAATAGAAAGCGGGGAAAGGTGGGGAAAAGATTGAGAAATCGGATGGTTGCCGTGTCTGTGTAGAAAGAAGTAGACATGGGAGACTTTTCATTTTGTTCTGTACTAAGAAAAATTCTTCTGCCTTGGGATCCTGTTGATCTGTGACCTTACCCCCAACCCTGTGCTCTCTGAAACATGTGCTGTGTCCACTCAGGGTTAAATGGATTAAGGGCGGTGCAAGATGTGCTTTGTTAAACAGATGCTTGAAGGCAGCATGCTCGTTAAGAGTCATCACCACTCCCTAATCTCAAGTACCCAGGGACACAAACACTGCGGAAGGCCGCAGGGTCCTCTGCCTAGAAAAACCAGAGACCTTTGTTCACTTGTTTATCTGCTGACCTTCCCTCCACTATTGTCCTATGACCCTGCCAAATCCCCCTCTGCGAGAAACACCCAAGAATGATCAATTAAAAAATAAAAAAAAAAAAAAAAAAACAAAAAAAACAGTTGCTGAATCTAGATAGAAAAAAAAAAAAATGTTTTCCAAAAACCAACTGGGAAATATTCAGGGCACATATATAACATGACTGTGTTTAAACAAATTATTTATGTGCTAGGAAAATGTACCATAATGTGGGTAGCGAGATAATTTTGAGCTGTTGGTTTTGTTTTGTTTTGGGGGGGGCAGGGTGAGGGTGTGTCTTTGATACTTCTGTGTAACTTCAAAGTTTCCTGAGAATTGATACATAGTATTTCATCAGTTCTAAGAGGTACTTTCCCCACATGTCAACAACTTTTAAAACAAGATGTATCTTACAAAAAAAAAAAAATCTAGTGTAGTCCCTGGAGGGCATGGTTTTCCTTTTGGAAACCCCTTTCTCTGGCAAGGGAGAGAGCTGTTCTCCTTTCTCTCTCTCTCTTTTTTTTTTTTTTCTATTAAAGCTTCCCTCCTAAACGCCCCCCCCAAAAAAAAAGAACCACCATATGGTTTTCCATAGTGGATGCACCATTTTACATTTGCATCGGCAAAGTACAAGGGTTCCAATTTCTACACATCATCACCAACAATTATTTTCTGCTTTTGTATTATAGCTGTAGAGGCCAAGGGAAAACTTCCACTTTGTCCTCCAAGGGTTCACGAAAAGTCAACTAACAAAAGGAAGGTTAATGGAATAAAAGGTGTACAAAATTTATTAATGTGCACACATGTCCATGGGAGTCATACAAAATATGAACCACCCAGAATAAGGGCCAGATTGTTGATGTTTTTATACCCACTTCTGGTTTACAGAAAGAAGACAGGCTTGAAGGATGGCAAGACAGCTTATAGGAGGAAGGGAATAGGAAAAGTATGGCTAGCAAAGGTGGTATTGTCATGCAGATGAAACTTCACAGGTAAGAACTCTCTCTCTGAAAGAATAGATAGTAGCCCACAGTGAAGTTCGTCTTTCTTAGATCCAGACGAGGGAGGGAGTCCTCACAGAAAGCCTAGCTGTTTATTTTACCAATGTAGATTTTATCTACAGATGCAAATATCCCCCACAAAAGGCAGCTTTTCAGGCTATTTCTATCTGAAGGCTCTCTAAATAGCTACCTCAAAACATGTCAAAAACCTATATTTTGGATTAAAATAAAATATTTTTGGTTTACAGCCATCCAAATGACTAATTTGTGTAAAACGTTATTCTGCTGTGGTTTTGACTTGCATTTACATAACGTTTAATGATATATTTTTATGTATTTATTAGCCATCTGTATATATTATCTGGAGAAATGTCTATTTAAGTCGCTCACCTATTTCTAAACTGAATTATTTCTTTGTTGCTGCTGTTGAGTTTTAAGTGTTCTTTAAATATTTTGCATATAATCTCTTATATGATTTCCAAACATTTTCTCCCATTATGTGGTTGGCTTTTTCACTTTATTAATATGGTCATTGGTGCACAAAAGTTTTGAATTTTGATGAAATCTAATATATTGATTATTTTTTTTGTTGCCTGTGTTTTTTGGTGTTAAATCCAGGAAAGCACTGCCGATTCCAATGGCATGAAGCTTTTCCCGGTTTTTTTTTTTTTATAAGATATGTATACTTTTATCTCTGCTGCTTAGGCTTTTGATCAAAATTGAGTGAACTGTAATATACTGTATAAAATGAGGATCCACCATTATTCTTTTGTATGTATATATCTAGTATTCCCAGCACCATTTTTAAAAAAGATGGTCATTTTCCAATTGAATAATCTTGGCATCCATGTTGAAAATCTTTTCAGAACATATAAAAGGATTTATTTCTGGGCTCTCTATTCTGTTCCATTTGTCTGTATTTTTTGTATTTGTGCCAGTACCACATTGTTTTGATTATTGTAGCTTTGTAGTAATTTTTGAAATTAGGAAGTGTGAGACCTAAAATTTTATATTTATTTTATGTTATTTTTGGAGATGGTGTCTCATTCTATTACCTAGCCTGGAGTGCAGTGGCATGTACGTGACATACTGCAGCCTTAACCTAGTGGGCTCATGCAATCCTACAGCCTCAGCCTTCTGAGTAGCTGGGACCACAGGCACATGCTACCATGATAGCTTAATTTCTTTATTTTTTTGTAGAAATGGAATCTTGCCATCTCTGCATCTTGAACTCCTAGGCTCAAGAGATCATCCTGCCTCAGCCTCCCAAAATGCTGGGATTACATGTGAGAGCCACTGTGCCCAGCAAATTTTGTTTTTGTTTTTCAAGACAGTTTGGCAATTGGAATCCCTGATGATTCCATATGAATTATTGAATGTATTTTTGTATTTTTCAAAAAAAAGCAGGCATTTTGATAGAAATTGCATTGGATCTGTAGATCACTTTAGGTAGTATTGGCTTCTTAACAATATTCAGTCCTCCAATCCATGAACTCTGGATGACATTTCATTTATTTCCTGTTTTTTGATTTTTTTAAAAAAGCAATTATATATGGTTTTTAGTGTATAAGATTTTTACCACCTTGATTAAGTTTATAGTCTTAGTTCATTTTATGTTGCAATAACAGAACACTTGAGGCTGAGCAATTTATGAAGAAAATAAGTTTATTTGCTTCACAATTCTAGTGGGTGAAAAGTTCAAGATTGGACAGCTGCATCTGATGAGGGTTTCAGACTTGAAGCATGGCAAGACAGGTTATAGGAGGAAAGGAATAGGAAAGGTATGGCTAGCACTCATGGTGGAAAGAGGAACAGGAGAGTGTGTGTGCAAAGGAGCACATGGCAACAGAGGAAGCAAGATATAGAAACTAAAGGAGCCAGAATATTTTGCCATCACAATATCTTAGAAACTAGTCCATTCCCATGAGAGGGAGAACTCATTCATCCCCATGAAAAGGTATTAGTGTATTAATGAGGGATTCACCCCCATAGCTCAAATGCCTCCCACTGGAATCCTCCTCCCAACAGTGCAACATTGGAAATCAAATTCCAACACGAGTTTCAACAGAACAAACTATACCCAAACCATAGCATTCTGTTCCTGGCCCCCTAAAAGTCATGTTCTTCTCGAATACAAAATACAATAATTCCATCAGTCTCTAAAGTCTTAACTTGTTTCAGCACCAACTTAAAAGACCAAAGTCCAGTTATGAGCCTATAAAAAAAGTTATTTAGTTCTGAGATAAAATGGTGGAATGCACATAGTTTAGACATTTCCATTCCAAAAGGGAGAAATGAATCAAAGAAAGAAAGAAGTAAGAGGTTCTAAGCAAGTATAAAACCCAGCAGAGAGGCATTGAATCTTAAAGCTCCAGAATAATTTCATTTTTTAGAATTTCAACTTTTATTTTAGATTCAGGAGGTACATGTGTAGGTTTGTTACATGGGTATATTGTGCAGTGTCAAGGTTTGGAGTATGATTGATCCCATCAATTTAGGATAAACTTGATTTAACAATTCCCCCGTTTTGGTCATTCTCTAAATTGTGGGAGATTGACCAAAATGTTAGTCATTGATTTCACCATCACCACTGTAAAAGTACTTATTTCCTCTTGAAACCCACTAGGAAACAGCAGAGCAGTGGGTTTTGTAAGGTTTCACCTTACAAGGACTCCAGGTTATTATTCTTATTATTTTTGTAAGTGTTAGAGTAGAGGGTACCTCCTTATGTTGGAAGGTACTGTTTACAGGAGGAAAAAAAATACAAAAACCTGGTCTTTTCTAGGATTTGCTTGTTTCCTTAAAGTCTTAGTTTGATTATGTTACATTTAGCAAGAGTGACTGTATTTTAGTTTGGTCTAGGTGTACAGTTCCAAGAGTGTGGAGGGTCCCTTCTCAGTTGTGAAATTATGAACCCAGCATTTAAGGTCCTGAAGTTTTGCTGCAGTGTGGATGGCAAGGGAAGTCTTTTTCTGATGTTCTCAGAAGATCTGATCTTCAGGTTCTCGATTAAGAAGAGGTTTATTGTTCTCAGTCAGTGAACCATGCAAAGCTTTCTTTACTTGGTGAAAATACACTGTGGCACAACATGATCCTATTGTAAAATTAGCTATCTTGCATGGGAAAGCTTTTATAAAACCAGAAAACATGCATTGGAAATAATAATTGAATGAAATCCCTCTGTAAATGTTTCAGTGGGCCATCAGGTAACAGAATGTACCTGAAGCATTGTCTTCCCAGCAATATGGGTTTGACAAACCAAACATTGGTCAGAAACTATTTTAGCAATTGAGAAGTCACTATACCAATATATATTTAATTTGGATCATTTTATTTTTTCCACGATGTGTCGTGGAATGCATAACTTTTAATAACAAAAGGTTTAAGAACTCAGGAAGTACAAGGTGGCTGTCCTGGATCTCCAAGAGTCCGTGCTTAACATTGGACTTATGTTCTCTTGAATACCAGTTGTTTCTTCAATTTAGGTGCATAGCACTGAAAACTGATAGGTTATCACAGGTAATTTGACTTACACCATGGTGTTCAATTTCAGTATTGGCTGATTTAGCATGAAAATCTGGCAAGGTATTTTCATGGTATTCAATTAATTTTTGTACTACTTGGGTTGGCAGTTTTATAAACCAGTCTTTTTATCCAAGTTCCAGGAATTCTTACCCAGTCCAAATGATATGATTCTAAAGTTATCAGAAACATGTATTCAAGAGTGCTTTTCAGGGTCCCTTCCATCCTTTCATAAACCTCCTAAAACACACCATATTCTAGGGTTCTGTATGCTTGTGAAGTTTTCAGAAACTGCATCAGCATTAAGCAATGAACTGTGAAAATGACTTTAAATAATTATAGTTAAAGACACAAATGACAAGGAAATTTGGTTATTTCTGTGGCCTACAATAACAACATAATAACCATAATCATGATTGATAGCATATACTCAAACATATTATAATTTGATGAATGTAATATAATTTTACAACATATATTAATAACATTTACTGAAATATAACCTTCAAAACGTTAAACATTATTTCTTATTTTGACAATGCTTCTCTTGTAAGTTAGCATGTCAAATAATTCTGTTTACCTCTCTTTTTGATGCTTCATGGGCCCTCTGCAGCATCCCACAGTTAGAGGTTAAAAAATACTTAATTTTGAAGGTGAAATTTGATTTTGGGAAGCCTGTCAACTATGTTAAAGATTTAAAACACTTAATATTGTAGAATAGGATTCCAGGTCACCATAAGTTATTTATCTAGCCAGAATGATAATTTGAAAATTTTGAAAAGGCAAAAACCTTTATTCATTAATAGAGGGAAGACTTAGCTTTCCAAACAATCTTTTGTTGTATCTTTCTTTTTTTTTCCTGTAGTTTATTCAAAGTTGAAAAAAAACATTCATTATTCTTTAATATTACATGAAAATCTTGTTCAAGAGTGAAAGCCAAATTTTATCCTTGCATTATTGCCATTTACTACTGGTTTTCTTCTGACCCAGTCAGATGTAAGAGGCCTCTAACTGGATCCAAGCCACTTAATTACCAGATCTAATTTGATTCTGGACCCAGTTCAGTTTTTGGCATGACTTCCAAACGCAGTTTGGATTAGAAATGGGCTCATAGAAACTTGGAGAGCTCAAAACACAAATATGCGGAGCTTCTGAATCTGAGAGAGAACTTACCATGATGACCAGCTGCTCCAAGAGAACAATGGACATAATCGGCCTGGTGGGTACCTTGCTTGGTCACTCAGCACTCCTAGGTGTCATTATAAGCTCTACTTTGGATCCCACTTCTGACATCATCTGTTAAAACAGAAACAAACAAACAAACAAAAACTTCAGCTGAATTAAATGTAAAAGAGTTTAATTGAGCAATGAATGATTTGTGAATCAGGCAGCCTCCTGAGCCAGAGTAGGTTAAGAGACTGCAGCACAGCTCCATGGTAAAAGAAGATTTATGGAGAGATAAAGAATCATGATGTATAGAAAATGGAAGTGAGGTACAGAAACAGCTGGATTGGTTATAGCTAGGCTTTTGCCTTATTTGAACAAATTTCAAACTTCTGGCCACGTTTGACTGACCAAAACTTGATGATTGACACAAGAGTAGGCTACAGTTTGCTTACACTTACATGTAGGCTATAGTTCATGATATACAGAGAAACATTTAGCCCAAACTTAAAATATGTAAGGAGGCAGCTTTAGGCAAAACATAATCTAACAGGCCTCACATTTTTGCTTGGTATTGTCCTAGTAGAAGCTCTCTGTTGGGGCTTCACACTGTGAAAAGTGTCCCTGGGCCCACATGCTTTTTTATACATTCTTTTTAATCTCAGGGGAGAACACCAAGCCTCTGATAGATGCAGGAGGCATATAAGGGGAAGTGTACCCAGAGAATCTCTGACCTCCCTGCACACTGGGAGAATGGGGTGGAGCTATGGGAATTTTGTGCTGTGTGCAGTGTGGGGAGGATCCTGGCCTCTTCAGTTCCTGTGTGTTGCCTAGAATTAATCTGCAAGGTAGAGGGCCTGTTAGCAGGAGTCCCTCTTGCTTTACTGGGAGTTTTTTTTTTCCTTCTTTTCCTTTTTTGCCCAATAAATTCTGTCACCCTCACCCTTCAATGTGTCTGCATTCCTAATTCTTCCTGGTGATGTGTCAAGAACCCAGTTTTAGCTGAACTAAAGAGCAAAGTTCTACATCACCTCCACACCTTCATAGCTCTTGTATTCTTCTATCCAGCAGAATTAACACCACATATACATGAATGCTGCCAAGAATTAGACCTTGCATCCTTTGGCGAAATGACCCAAGTTGTTCCTGGAGTCATGTAAGTGAGGACTAAGCTCTGATTTTTTTTTTTTAATCTTGCCCAAACTCCTTTCTAAGGGGTCTGGGGAGTCATGCCCTACAAACCATAAATTCTCATCAGATGGGTTTTATTTAACCCTGTATATCATGATTTGCTTTCCAATCTATCTCTGGCATACAAGAGAAAAAAATCAATATGTTTTATCCCCAAATATATTTTCTTGCCATACCTTGGAATTTCCCTGCAAAGTCTCTTGTGGGAAAAATTTACATTCTATAGAGAATCCCCTTCCCCTTTATTTTCCTTCCTTCCTTTCCAGATCCAGGAGATAATCAACTAAGAGCCAGGCACCCCTTCAAGTCCGAAAAGAAACATTTTACAACCTGCTCTCTCTGAAGTCTGCTATCTGACAGCTTCCTCTGCACAATAAAACTTGGTCTCCACAATTCTTTATCCTAACCTGAACATTTCCTTTCATCCCAGGTCTTCAGAAAAACTCAACCAATTGTCAACCAGAAAATGTTTTAATTTACCTGTACCCTGGAAGCCCCCGCTTTGAGTTGTCCCACCTTTCTGAACCAAACCAATGATGTACTACTTAAATGTATTTGATTGATGTCTCATGCCTCCCTACAATATATAAAACCAAGCTGTAACCCAACCACCATGGACATATGTTCTCAGGGCCTCCTGAGGGCTGTGTCATGGGCCATGGTCACTCATATTTGGCTCATAATAAATTTCTTCAAATATTTTACAGTTTGACTCTTTTGTCAACATAAACCACAGTTGTTCCAGTTAGTGTGGCCAAAATGTGGGGAGCAGAGTTTCAAGGCAGCACAGGGCACTAGCATCTCAATTTGTTCTTGAAACAGTTTTGTCCTACTAGGCCTCTGGGCCTTCGATGGCAGATGCAACCTCAAAGATTTCTGAAATGACTCCAGGGCCTTTCCTTCATTGTTTTGAGCATTAACACTTAGGTTCCTTTTATCTTTGTTAATCTCTTTAGCACGTAGTTGCACTGTCACAACCTTGGATTGCTCTCCTGAAAATTCTTTTTCATTTTCTACCACATGTCCAGGCTTGGAATACTCCAAATCCTTATAAATTATAACTTTAGGTCATGCCTTTGCTCCCAAATCTTAACTATTTGAAGTTAAAAGTAAAAAAGCAGCTGTCTGAATGCTTTTCTGCTTAGAAATTTGTTCTGCCAAATATTCATCACTCTTAAATTGGCCTTCCACCAAGTCCTAGGCCATGGATAATGCAGCCAAGTTCTTTGGTAAGGTATAATAAGTGTGACTTTTGCTTCGGTTTCCAATAATTTTCTCCTTATTTCCATTTGAGTCCTTGTCAAAATGGCTTTCACTGTCTATACTCCTAACAGCATTTTGGTCACAATCACTTAATAATTATCTAAGAAGTCCCAGCTCATCTTCTAGGCCCCTTTCAGAATCTCCATTAGTGCTCTATTCACTGCAATATAGGCTTTTTCCACCCTGTTCTTCCAAATTCATTCAGCCACTACATGTCACTCAGTCCAAAGCCACTTCCACATTTCCAGATGTCTGCGTAGGTATACTCCACTCCTCAGTACTAACTTTCGTAGTCCACTTTGTGTTGCTGTCACAGAGTAGTTAGGGTGGCATATTTTATAAGAAAAAAAGGTTTATTTGGCTCACAATTCTGGTAGCTGAAAAGTCCAAGATTGTGCAGCTGTGCATCTTCGTCAGGGCCTCAGACTGCTTTCCCTCATGACAGAAAACGGAACAGGAGATGTATGCAAAGGGATCACATGGTGAAAGAGCAAAGAATAGAATTAGGGAGCCGTATTCTTTTAAACAACCCATTCTTTTGGGAATTAAACCATTTCTGAGAGAGGGAGAACTTAACCCCACAGAAGGATATGGATCTATTCATGAGGAATCTGCCTCCATGACCCAAACTCCTCTCACTAGGTCTCACTTCCCAACACTGCCATACTGGTGTTCGAAATCCAGAATAATTTTTGGTGAGGGGAAACCATATCTAAACCATATCAATTCCTAAGTAAGTTTTTTTTTTCTTTTCCAATTGAGAATGGAATTGCTCTGGTAGCCTTTTTTGGATTCTTTATTGTTAATGTAAAGAAATGCCACTGACATTTGTTTAATGATTTTTTTTCTTGAGTTTTTTTCTCTTGTAGTATTTTTATCTTACTTTGTTTTGAGAGCAATCCTGGCTTCCTAGAATGAGTTAGAAAATGTTCCCTCCTCTTCACATTGTTGAAAGAGTTTGAGAAAGATTGATGTTATTTCTTTAAACATCAAATAGAATTGACCAGTAAAGACATCTGGTTCAAGAATTTTCCTTGGTGGAATTTTTTTTTTTTTTTTTTGAGGCAGAGTCTTGCTCTGTGGCCCATCCTGGAGTGCAGTGGCACCATCTCGGCTCAGTGCAAGCTCCACCTCCCGGGTTCATGCCATTCTCCTGTCTCAGCCTCCCAAATAGCTGGGACTACAGGCGCCTGCCACCACACCTGGCTAATTTTTTTGTATTTATAATAGAGACAGGGTTTCACTATGTTAGCCAGGATGGTCTCGATCTCATGACCTCGTGATCCACCTGTCTCAGCCTCCCAAAGTGCTGGGATTACAGGTGTGAGCCACTGCACCTGGTCCCTTGGTGGAGTTTTAAATAAATAATTCAATCTCTGTTGGTTATAGGTCTATTAAGATTTCCTATTTTTTCTAAGTTAGCTAATGTAATTTGTGTGCTTCTAGGAATTTGTCCATTTCATTTAGATTATCCAGTTTATTGGTGCATAATTCTTCATAGTGATACCTTATAATCCTTTTTATTCCTGTAAAATTGGTTGTAAAGTCTCCCCCTTCATTTATGATTCTAGCAGTTTTATTCCTCTCTACATTTTCTTAGTCTCTCTAAAGATCTGTCAATTTTGTTATCTTTTGGAAGAATGAACTTTTGGTTTCACTGATTTTTCTCTATTGCTTTTTCATTCTTAATTTTAATTTCCTCTGCTTTAGTATTTATTATTTCCATCTTACTAGCTTTCAATTTAGTTTGTTTTATTTCTTATTTTCTTAACATGTACATTTGGATTATATATTTGAGACCTTTTTTCTTTTTAAATATGTTTACAGCTAAAAATTTTCTTCTGATACAGTTTTGCCAATGCACCATAATGTAGTAGTCTCTTGTTCTGAGATATCACCTGAAGTTTTTTGTTTCAGGACCGAGAGAGTTAAGGATTGTGGACACAAAGTGTGAGGTTGGAGCAAAAGTTTAATAAGCTAAAGAAAAAAGCTCTCTGCTGCAGAGAGGACCCAGAAGAGGGTTGCCATTTTTACAGTTGAATGCAAAGGCTTTTATAAGAAATCAGTGAGGGCTGGGCATCTCATTTGCATAAGGTGCAAATTTCTGGTAGCTCCAGCCCATCCTCCCAGTGCATATGCAGGCCCTTCGCTTGAGTTACTCCATGCTGCTTTTTTACCCTTTCCTGAGCATGTGTTAGGGGACAAAATTTTCCACTGTGGGCATGTCTGACCAAGTCACCTGTGTAGCCTTTCTTATCTGTGCAGCTGTGAACATGTCTTAGACAAGCCTCCCTGTGCAAGTTCTCTCATCTGTGCCTGCAGGCTGTTCTTTTGTTTGAAAGAATTCAACCAAAGACCCACCCTAACTGCCTTCCAAACAGGTTTCTTCCTCTCTCCTCTCTCATTAACACTTTTGCCTCTTTACCTTATATTTGTGGTGTTTTTTTAGTTTTATTCATTTCAAGGTATTTTAAAATTTCCCTTGAAATTTCTTCTTTGGCACATTGCTAGTTTAAAAGTGTATTGTTTATTACCCTCATATTTGTGACTTTTCCAGTTTTTCTTCTGCTATTGATTTCTAGTTTCATTACATTGTCATCAGGAAAGATAATTTTCATTTTTTCAATATTTTAAAATAAATATATTAAGACTTTTCATATGGCCTAACATAATTTATCCCAAAGAATGTTTTATGTGCACTTGAGAAAAATATGTTTTCTGTAGTAAAGAGGAACATTTTCTGTATGTCCTTTAAGTTTAATTGGTTCATAATGTTATTTAAGTCCTGCATTTTCTCGTGGTTCTTCTTTCAGGTTTTTCCATCCATTATTGCAAGTGAGATGTTGGAGAGTCTTACTACTATTTCAGAGCTCTCTACTTTGTCCTTTGATTCTGTCACTTTTTGCTTCATGTATTTTTGGAGCTTTGATGTTTTGTGCATGTATATTTCTATTATTTTACTTTCTTGGTGAATTTGCCCATGTATCAATATATAATGCCCTTATTTGTGTCCTATAACATATGCTGACTAAGATTCTATTTTGTCTGACATTAGTATAATCAACCCTGCTCTCCTTAGGTAACTATTTGCATGGAATATTGTTGTTCATTCTTTCACTTTTAACCTATGTATGTCCTTAGTACTAAAGTGAGTCTCATGTAGACAACAGATAGCTAGATTGAGTGTTTTTAAAAGTCCATTTATAATCTCTGAAACTTTTAAATATTTAATTGTTACATATTTGTACATATTTATGGGGCACATGTAATATTTTGGTACACAGATAAAGTGAGCAATGATCAAGTCATGGTACTTAGAATATTACTTCACCTCAACTGTCATTTCTATGTTTTGGAAGCATTTCAAGTTTTTTTCTTACAGCTATTTTAAGATATACAATACATTGCTGTTAATTATAGTTGTGCTAATCTGCTATCAAACATTAAGATTTATTCCACCTATCCAACTGTATTTACCCATTAACCAAACTCTCTACATATCCCCCTCAAACACAGCAATCCCAGCCTCTGGTAATAATCATTTCCTCTAACTCCATGAGGTCAACTTTTGTGGTTCCCACATACGAGTGAGTACATGTGATTTTTTTTTTTTCTCTGCCTGGCTTATTTCACTTCACATAATGACTTCCAATTCAATCCATGTTGCTGCGAATGACAGAATTTTATTCTTTGTTATGTACAAATAGTATTCCATAGTGTATACATAGTATATTTTCTGTATCCATTTATCTGTGAATGGACACAGATTGATTTCTTATCTTTGTTGTTGTACGTAGTGCTACAATAATCATAGAAGTGATAATATCTCTTTGATATACTGGTTTATTTTCCTTTGGAAAACTACCTAGTAGGATTGCTAGATCATATGGTAGCTCTATTTTTACTTGTTTGAGAAATATCCATACTCTTTACCATATTGGCTGTACTAATTTACATTCCTACCAACAGTGTATAAGAATTCCCTTTTCTTGGGCTGGGTGCAGTGGCTCACGCCTGTAATCCCAGCACTTTGGGAGGCCGAGGTGGGTGGATCACGAGGTCAGGAGAGCGAGACCATCCTGGCTAACACGGTGAAACCCCATCTCTACTAAAAATACCAAAAATTAACCAGGCTTTGTGGTGTGCACCTGTGGTCCCAGCTACTCAGGAGCCTGAGGCAGCAGAATCGCTTGAACCCGGGAGGCGGAGGTTGCAGTGAGCCGAGATTGAGCACTGCATTCCAGCATGGGTGACAGAGTGAGACTCTGTCTCAAAAAGAAAGAAAGAAAAAAAAAAAGAATTCCTCTTTGTCTGCATCTACAGCAGCATCTGTTATTTTTATTTTTATAGTAGCCGTTATAATTGGGATAAGATGATATCTCGTTGTGGTTTTGCTATGCATTTTTCTGTTGATTAGTGATGTTGAGCATTTTTCCAATATCTGACAGATATTTGCATATCTTCTTTTGAGAATTGTCTATTTATTTTTTTGGCCACTTTCTAATGCGTTTATTTGATTTCTTGCTGTTGAGTTGTTTAAGTTCCTTGTGTATTCTGGATATTAGTCCCTTGTCAGATAAATAGATTGCAAATATTTTCTTCCACTTATCGGGTTGTCTGTTCACTCTCTTGATTGTTTTATTAGTTGTACAAAAGCTTTTCAGTTTAGTTCAATTTTCTATTTGTATTTTTTTTGTTGCTGGTGCTTTTGCAGTCTAAGCTATAAAATCTTTGTGTGGATTCATGTTCTAGTGTGTTTTCTCTATGTTCTTTTTAGTAGTTTTACAATTATAAGCTTTATGTTGAAGTCTTTAATCCATTTTGAATAGCTTTTTTTTAATATAATGACAGATGGGGTCTAGTTTCATTCTTCTGCATATGGACATCCAGTTTCTTCAGCACAGTTTATTGAAAAGGGTGTTCTTTCCTTAGTTTTGGTTCTTGGCACCTTCTTCAAAAGTTAGTTAGCTATATATACATAGATGTATTTCTGTGTCATCTATTCTGGTCCACTGGTCAATGTGTCTGTTTTTATACCAATACCATGATGTTTGTTTGAGTATTATAGCTGTTTTAGGTTGTGCTGCTATAAAGGAGTATCTGAGGCTGGATAGTTTTTAAAGCAAATAGGTTTATTTAGCACAGAGTTCTGTGGGTTACACACTAAACATGGAGCCAGTATTTGTTTCTGTTAAGGGCCTCAGGCTGCTTCCACTCAAGGCAGAAAGCAAAAAAGAGCCAGTGTGTGGAGATCCAATGATGAGAAAGAAGGAAAGACAGAGTGGGGGGAGTTGCCATGCTCTTTTTAACAAACAGTTCTTGGGAGAACTCTTAATAAAGCAAGAACATTCTCATTACTGTGAGTATAAAACCAAATCCTTCATGAGGCATATACCCCCATTATCCAAACACCTTCAATTAGGCTTCATCTCCAACGTTTGGGATTAATTTTCAACCTGATATATGGATGGATCAAATATCCAAACCATAGAAATAGCCTTGTCATGTATTTGAAGTCAGGAAGTGTGACGTCTTCAGCTTTTTTCCTTTTGCTCAAGATTGCTTTGGCTATTCTAGCTCTTTTTTATTACATATACATTTAAAAATTTTTCTTTCTTTTTCTGTGACAAACGTCATCGGTATTTTGATAAGAATTGCATTGAATCTGAAGACTGCTTTAAGAAATATGGCTATTTAACAATATTACTTATTCTGATCCATGAGGATGTGATGGCGTTCTAATCTTTTGTGTTCTCTTTCATTTTTTAAATCACTGTTCCATAGTTTTTGCTGTAGAGGCATTTTACCTCCTTGAATACAATTATTCCTGTGCACTATAAACAAACAAAAAAGTATTCAAAGCTCCCCATCCAACTGAATGGACCCCTCCTCTCAGCCAGAGTCTTTCTCAGGTAAACCTGAAACACTAGCCATAATATGAATGGGTGGTCAGACATGCCTTATACTTTCCTCTCTTTTTGAATTTAGGCACACCTGACCAGCATTAACATTAAAACAGAGATCTTAAGACTGCCATAACAGACTCTTTAAGTCTGAAAGGAAACATTTACAATCTATTGTCTCTGAAGCCTGCTACCTGGAGGCTTCATTTGCATAATAAGCTATTTGGACTCCACCACTTCTTAACCAAGACATTACCTTCTACGGATTCTATGTCTTTAGATAAACTCTTTCAACCAATTGCCAATCAGAAAATATTTGAATACCCCTGTTACTTGGAAAACCCAACTTTGAGTAGTCCCACATTTGGGGACCAAACCAAAGTATATCTTTATGTATTGATTGATATCTTATGTCTCCATAAAATGTATAAAACCTAGCCGTAGCTTGACCACCTTGGGCACATATTGTCCTGAGACTGTGTCATAAGCATGTCCTTAACCTTAGCAAAATAAATGTCTAAATTGATTCTTGGATACTTTTTATTTTACAGTATGTATTTTGTAGCTATTGAAAATGGTATCTTCTTGATTTCCTTTTTATAGCTAGTTCATTATTGGTGTATAAAAACACTACTGTTTTTTTATATGGTGATTTTTATTCTGAAACTTTACTAAATTTATTAATCAGATCAAAGTGTTTTTTATGAAATCTTTAGGTTTTTCTAAATATAACATTTTGTCATCTACAGAGAGGGACAGTTTAACCTCATCTTTTACAATTGGGAAGGCTTTTATTTCTCTTGCCTGACTGCTTGGGTATAATTGTAGTACTATGTTGAATAGACCTGGTAAAGTGGGCCTCCTTGTTATTTTCAAGTTCTTAGAAAGAAAAAAATATTTCCACTAAGGGAGGAGACCACCCCTCATATTGTCTTATGCCCAATTTCTGCCTCCAAAGGAAGAAAAAAGTAAGAACTGAAAGGCATAAATGAAATCCACAAGCAGAAAGCCCGGCGCCACACCCTGGGCCTGGTGGTTAAAGATCAGCCCCTAACCTAATCAGTTATGTTATCTATAGATTACAGATGTTGTATAGAAAAGCACTGTGAAAATCCCTATCCTGTTTTGTTCCGATCTAATTACCAGTGGCTGCAGCCCCCACTCACGTACCCCCTGCTTGCTCAATTGATCACAACCCTCTCATGCACACCCAAGGGTGTTGTGCATGAGTTGTGAGCCCTTAAAAGGGACAGGAATTGCTCTCTCGGGGAGCTTGGCTCTTGAGACAGGAGTCTTGCCGATGCCACCGGCCGAATAAACCCCTTCTTTCTTTAACTCAGTGTCTGAGGAGTTTTGTCTATGCTCATCCTGCTACATTTCTTTTCTCTGACTGGGAAGTGAGGTGAATGGCGGATGGTTGAGGCAGTTCCTTAGGCAGCTTAAGCCTGCCCTGTGGAACATCCCTGCGGGGGACTCTGACCAGCCCGAGTGACACGGATCTTGAGAGCACTCCCGGGTAGGCATTTGCCCTGGTGGGAGGCCTCACCAGAGCAGTGTGTGGCAGGCTCCCATGGAGGATAAATGCGGTGGCTGAACACCGGGAAAGAATGAGCACTTAGAGTCCGGACATCTAAAACTTGGTAAGACTAGTCTCTGAAACTTGCCCTCTCCGTTTGAGTGGAAGTGTGGCCTGATCACCCATGGTGTGCCTTTATCAGCACTTTGGTTTTGGTTTTGGTTTTGACTTGGTTTGAATTGATTGACAGGACCAGTCTTGGGAACTTGCCCACTCCATTTGAGTGGAAGCGTGGCCTGATCACCCACGGTGTGCCTTTATTGGCACTTTGGTTTTGGTTTTGACTTGGTTTGAATTGCTTGACAGGATTGTCTTGGGAACTTGCCTACTCCATTTGAGTGAAAGCGTGGCCTGATCATCCACAGTGTGCCTGTACCAGCACTTTGGTTTTTGTTTTTGACTTGACTTGGATTGCTTGATACTTTGGTTTTGGTTTTGACCTGGCTTGGATTTATGGATACTCTGATTTTGGTTTTGATTTTGGTTTGGTTCAAACTGCAAAAGTGTGTGTGTGCTCTTTTTACCCGTTCTTTGTTTTGTGGTGTGCGTGTGGTGTGAGCATGGTGTTTTGTCTCGAAGAAGCATAGGTCAGGCACAAATAAGCCCACTCTACTCGGAACTATGTTAAAAAATTTAAAAAAAGAATTTAAGGCAGACTATGGAGTACTATGACACCAGGAAAACTTAAAACTTTGTGTAAGATAGACTGGCCAGCATTAGAAGTAGGTTGGCCATTAGAAGGAAGCCTGGACAGGTCCCTTGTTTCAAAGGTATGGCACCAGGTAACCTATAAGCCAAGGAACCCAGACCAGTTCCTGTACATAGACACTTGGTTACAGCTGGTTTTAGACCCCCTTCCCCCAACACACAGTGGTTGAGAGAAGAGCAGCATAAGCAGCTGGCAGAGGAAAGGAAAGACCAGCAGAGAGAGAGAAAGGAAAGAGACAGAGAGGAAAAGAGGCAAAGAGAGAGAGGAAGAGTCGGAGAGGAAGAGACGACAAAGAGGGAGTCAAGGAGAGAGAGAGAGAGAAAGAAAGAGATGGGCAGAGAGAGAGAGGAAGAGACAGAGGCAAAAGGAAAGTCAAAGAGAGAGACAAAGTCAAAGAGAGAGACAAAGTCAAAGAGAGAAAGAGAGAGATATACAAGTACTTAAGAAAAAAAAGTGTACCCTATTCCTTTAAAAGCCAAGGTAAATTTAAAACCTATAATTGGTAATTGAAGGTATTCTCCATAACCCTATAACACTCCAATACCACTTTGTCGTCAGTGTAAACAAGCGCGTATTTCAAAAGCACTGAGTCCTTCCTATCGAAAATCCTTACCCCAGTAACCTGCGGATGGCCCAAACACACTTAATCTGTAGCGGCAATTGCTTTGCTAACAAAAAAGTAAAAAAATAACTTTTAGAGGAAACCTCATTGTGAGCACACCTCACCAGTTCAGAAGTATCCTAAGAAATAAAAAAAAAAAGAAAAAAAAAGGGGAGACAGAATTTATATAAAAAGAGTATTATATGGTAAATTCTTGTCCTGAAATAACTGGTTGTTTAAAGACAGAAATATTTGTAATAAGTCAGAAAGTTGAGGCATGTTGAAGAATTGTCTGCGAAAGCCATGAAACAGAAAAATGTTATAAAAAAAGAATTTATGCAAGAAATGTTGTATAATTTAAAAGTAACTAGGCCTCCTGAATGTAAAACTATTGAAAAAAAAAACAGTTTATGTGCAAGGTGTTAAGAAAAGTAAAATGTATCTTTGGTAAAAGGGTTATAAGGAAGCATAAGCATGTACATTTTTACCTACATTAAAAAGTTAAAAAATATTGTTTTGAAGGTTTAAGCAAGTTTTAAAATGTTAATTGTAAAGAAAATTCTGTGTGTAAACAGATTAGCTAAAGTTAAAGAAGTATCATCCAGTTTTTCTGTGAACTGGACATTAAAGTAAAAGCATAACAAGTTTTTCTTAAAGCACCAACCTGCTCTTTCACAAAAATTATAAAATGTTAAAAAGAGTCTATGAAATCTTACCTTTTGGTCAAACATTAAAAATTAGATAAATATGTCTACAAGGTTTTATTAAAATTAGGTTTAACATTAATAACACACTAATATAAACATAAAATTTAGCTTATCTTGTATTAAAATCGTACAAGAAGCATCGTTAAATGTAAAATGGTATTTGGCTTTCTTTGGTTTAAAAACTAATAAAAATAGGTGCTAAAGGATATTTCTCAGTAAAAAGGCACTATAAAGTCCACTGCCAAGGTCCCCACAATTAAAACAAAAGGTCAATTTCTTAAAAATTGTACACTTGGTTTATCTTCCACTTTCCTTTATCTCAAAAACTAAAAGTCTTTTAGCACATGTACCACTCCTAGAATTTCCAGTAAACCAGCACCAGCCTGAAGATCACGTTCTCAACAAAGGGTGGAAAGAAGAAAAACTCGAGCCAGCCTGGGAAGGACCCTACCTTGTGCTGCTAACCACCAAGACTGCTGTTCATACAGCAAAAAAAAAAAAAAAAAGGAAAGAAAAAAAAAAAGTGGATGGACTCATCACACCTGAGTCAAGAAAGCGCCACCCCCTCCAGAGTTGTGGGCCATAGTCCCAGGGGAAAACCCTACCAAACTAAAGCTAAGAAAAATTTAACTCTTTTCTTCTATTCTATTACTCTTTTTTCTTTCCTCGTTCTATTGCTGACCATCTAGTTATTAACATAACCAAGTCAATTTCATCTGAAACTGTTGCATTTAATGCTTGCCTTGTTATACCTTGTGGGGACTTGCCAAGTCAAAGACAGCTCTCTGCTTCAGAAAAGTACTTCCGTCCCTCCTGACTCTCCTCAGACTGGGCATTAGTAAACTAGGACCATTTAATCCAGGGAGATTTTAATAAAGACCCCAGTGCCAACCAGGAGTCTTACTCCCCGATGTAGAGCTTTCATGCCGTAGTTGGTCCAATGTTCTGTGGACCACTAAAGAGCAAGGATGGACTGCCCAACTGGTTTTTGTAATTTCCTAAAACCATATATTCATTTTACTAGAGGATCATAGAAGTTAAAGACTTAAACTTTAGCAATTAAGACAGGATACCAAGATGCAAATGCCTGGTTAAAATGGATCAAATATTCCATCTGCATGCTAAATAAAAGCAATTGCTATGCTTGTGCACATGGCAGGCCAGAGGCCTAGATTGTCCCCTTTCCACTAAGGTGGTCCTCCAGTTGACCAGGTGTGGGCTGTATGGCAGCTCTTTTCCAGGATTCTACAGCCTGGAATAATAAGTCATGCCAAGATCTCTCTGCTATATCCCAAAGTCCGGCACCCTGCAGGTCAGCCCCCGAGGGCCATCCAGCTTCCGTCTCCCAACACTAAGTTCACTTTGTGTCTCTCATGACAGGGAGGAAACTTAGTGTTCCTTGGATATCTGAAAAGATGCAGTGAGCTTAAGAATTTTCAAGAGCTTATCAATCAGTCAGCCCTTGTTCATCCCCAAGCAGATGTGTGGTGGTATTGTGGTGGACCTTTACTGGGCACTCTGCCAAATAACTGGAGTGGCACTTATACTTTAGTCCAATTGGCTATCCCTTTCACCTTGGAATTTCATCAACCAGAAGGAAAAGAAATAAGACATCATAAAGCCAGAGAAGCTCCTTATGGGTCTTTCGACTCTCATGTCTATTTAGACGCAATTGGAGTCCCATGAGGAAGACCAGATCAATTTAAAGCTTGAAATCAAATAGCTGCAGGATTTGAGTCAATATTTTGGTAGGTGACAGTTAATAAAAATGTAGATTAGATAAACTGCATCTATTACAACCAACAACAATGAGCTTTTCATGAGTTAAAGGAAAAACTCATGTCGGCCCCAGCCCTGAGACTACCTGACCTGAAAAAACTCTTTACACTCTATGTGTCAGAAAGAGAAAAATGGCAGTTGGAGTTTTAACCCAGACTGTGGGGCCCTGGCCAAGGCCAGTGGCCTATCTCTCAAAAAACTATACAGGGTTTCCAAAGGCTGGCCCTCAGGTCTAAGTGCCCTAGCAGCAATGGCCCTGTTAGCACAAGAAGCAGATAAACTAACCCTTAGGCAAAACCTGAATATAAAGGCCCCCCATGCTGTGGTAACTTTAATGACTACCAAAAGACATCATTAGTTAACAAATGCTAGATTAACCAAGTACCAAAGCTTGCTATGTGAAAATCCCAGCATAACCGTTGAAGTTTGCAACACCTTAAACCCCACCACCTTGCTCCCGGTACCAGAGAGCCCAGTTGAACATAACTGTGTAGAGGTGTTGGACTTGGTTTATTCTAGTAGGCCCAACCTCCGATACCATCCTTAAACATCAGTAGACTGTCAGCGGTATGTGGACAGGAGCAGCTTCGTCAACCCCTGCAAAGTGACTCTGAAGAAGACGACAAGCCCTGCTCCAGTCACACTCAGAAGCTAACTGGTCCACGCATGGCTGAAGAATGAGAAAACTCATTGCAGGACTCATTTTCCTTAAAATTTGGACTTTTACAGTAAGGACTTCAACTGACCTTTCTCAGACTGAGGACTGTTCCCACTGTATACATCAAGTCACTGAGGTAGGACAAAAGGTTGCTATGGTCCTACTATTTTATGGTTATTATAAGTGTACTGGAACTCTAAAAAGAACTTCTTTGTATAATGTTATTCTATACAAGGTATGTAGCCCAGGAAATGACCAACCTGATGTGTGTTATGACCCATCTGAGCCTCCTATGACCACAGTTTTTAAAATAAGATTAAGGACTGAGGACTGCTGGGGGCTCATAAAGGATATGAGTAAAGCGCTAGCCAAAACAGAAGAAAAAGGGGTGCCCAAACAAGTCACCTTAAAATTTGATGCCTGTGCTGTCATTAGCAGTAATAAGTTAGGAATAAGGTATGCTTCTCTGAATTAGAAAAGAGGCTATATAGCAGAAAATAAGTACATCTGTCATAAATCAGGACTTTGTGGAAATAAATATAAATACTGGCCTTGTGTCATTTAGGCCACTTGAATTAAAAAAAAAAAAAAAGAAAAGGATCCAGTCCACCTTTAGAAAGGAAAAAATGGCCCTTCCTGTACTAAAGGACAATGTAACCCCTTAGAGCTAGTAATAACCAATCCCCTTGATCCTCACTGGAAAAAAGATGAGTGTGTGACCTTAGGAATCGATGGGGCCAGAGTGGATCCTCGAGTAACTATCTTGGTTCAAGGAGAAGTTTACAAATGCTTTCCTGAGCCAGTGTTTCAAACTTTCTATGATGAACTAAATGTGCCAGTACCAGAAATTCCAGGAAAAACAAGAAATTTGTTTTTGCAATTAGCCGAGCATGTAGCCCAGTCTCTCAATGTCACTTCATGTTATGTATGTGGAGAAACTGTAATAGGAGATCAATGGCCATGGGAAGCCCGAGAATTAGTACCTACAGACCCAGTTCCTGATGAATTCCCGGATCAAAAGAATCACCCTGATAACTTCTGGGTCCCAAAAGCCTCAATTATTGGACAATATTGCATAGCTAGAGAAGCAAAAGAATTCACTCACCCCATAGGATGACTTAATTGTCTGAGACAGAAACTGTATAATGGTACCACAAAATCAGTCACTTGGTGGGGTTCAAATCACACAGAGAGAAATCAATTTAGTGAATTCCCAAAGTTGCAAACCGTGTGGACCCACCCAGAGTCCCACCAGGACTGGACAGCCCCCACTGGATTATACTGGATATGTAGGCATAGAGCTTATGCCAAATTTCCTGACAAGTAGGCAGGTAGTTGTGTTATTGGCATTATTAAACCATCGTTCTTCCTACTGCCTATAGAAACAGGCAAACTCCTGGGCTTCCCTGTCTATGCTTCCTGCAAAAATAGAAGCATAGCTATAGGAAATTGAAAAAAATGATAAATGGCCCTCTGAGAGAATCACACAATATTATCGGCCTGCTACTTAGGCACAAGATGGCTCGTGGGGATACCAGACCCCCATTTACATGATCAACTGAATCATATGGTTACAAGCTGTCTTAAAAATAATCACTAATAAAACCGGCAGAGTCTTGACTATTCTGGCCCGGCAAGAAGCTGAAATGAAAAATGGTATCTATCAAAATAGATTAGCTCTCGACTGCTTGCCAGCAGCTGAAGAAGTCTGTAGGAAATTTAACCTTACTAATTGCTGCCTACACTTAGATAATCAAGGGCAAGTAGTTGAAGACATAGTTAGAGATATGACAAAACTGGCACATGTGCCTGTGCACATGGTTCCCAGCACTAGGAGGATTTAAAACTCTTATAATAAGAGTTATAATAGTAACAGGAACCTGCTTACTGCTCCCTTGTTTGCTACCTGTACTTCTTTAAATGATAAAAAGCTTCATCGCTACGTTAGTTCACCAAAATGCTTCAGCACAAGTGTACTATATGAATCACTATCAATCTGTCTTGCAAGAAGACATGGTTAGTAAAAATGAAAGTGAGAACTCCCATTATTAAGTGAGAGTCCCAAAGGGGGGGAATAAGAGAGGAGACCACCCCTCATATTGTCTTATGCCCAATTTCTGCCTCCAAAGAAAGAAAAAAGTAAGAACTAAAAGGCAGAAATGAAATCCACAAGCAGAAAGCCTGGCACCACACCCTGGGCCCGGTAGTTAAAGATAGACCCTTGACCTAATCGGTTATGTTATCTATAGATTACAGACACTGTATAGAAAAGCACTGTGAAAATCCCTATCCTGTTTTGTTCCAATCTAATTACCAGTGCATGCAGCCCCCAGTCACATACTCGCTGCTTGCTCAATCGATTATGACTCTCATGCGCACCCCCTTAGAGTCGTGAGCCCTTAAAAGGGACAGGAATTGCTCACTCAAGCTCGGCTCTTTAGAGAGGAGTCTTGCCGATGCCCCCGGCCGAATAAACCCCTTCCTTTTTTAACTCAGTGTCTGAGGAATTTTGTCTGTGGCTCATCCTGCTACACCACTTTTCCCCATTCAGTGTGATGTTAGCTGTACATTTGCCATATATGGCCATTATTATGTCACAATATGTTCCTTCTATACCGAGTTTGTTCAGAGTTTTTAATCATGAAGGGATGGTTAATTCATTCAAATATTTTTTGTACCTATTGAGATGATTATGTTTTTTGTCATTCATTCTGTTGAGGTAATTTACCACATTTATTGATTTGTATGATAAACCATCCTTGCCCACCTGGAATAAATTTTATTTGATCATGACGTGTTATCTTTCTAATGTGCTGTTGAATTCCCTTTGCTTGTATTTTGTTGAGGATTTTTTTTCTATATTTATCAGAGTTATTGGTCTATAATTTTTTTTGTTTATATCTAGTTTTAGTATAAAAGTAATTCAGGCATCATATAATCAGTTATGGAGAAATTGCTAATATTTAACTTTTTTTTTTTTTTTTGAGACAGAGTCTTGTTCTATCCCGAGGCTGGAGTGCAGTGGCGTGATCTCTGCTCACTGCAAGCTCTGCCTCCCAGGTTCATGCCATTCTCCTGCCTCAGCCTCCCTAGTAGCTGGGACTACAAGCGTCCGCCACCACACCTAGCTAATTTTTTGTATTTTCAGTAGAGATGGGGTTTCACCGTATTAGCCAGGATGGTCTTGATCTCCTGACCTGGTGATCTGCCTGCCTTGGCCTCCCAAAGTGCTGGGATTTCAGGCATGAGCCACCAAGCCTGGCCAATATTTAACATTTTTTAATAATTTGAGGAAAATTGGTAAAATTGGTGTTTTTTTTTTTTTTTTTTTTTTTTTTTTTTTTGATGGAATGTCCCTCTTGTGCTCTTGTTGCCCAGGCTGGAGTGCAGTGGCATGATCTTGGCTCACTGCAACCTCCGCCTCCCGGGTTCAAGTGAGCCTCCTGAGTAGCTGGGAATACAGGTGCCCGCCACCACACCAGGCTAATTTTTGTACTTTTTTTTTTTTTTTTCAGTAGAGATCAGGTTTTGCCGCGTTGGCCAGGATGATCTTGAACTCCTGACCTCAGGTGATCTGCTCGCCTCGGCCTCTCAAAGTGTTGGTTTTACAGGTGTGAGCCACCATGCCTGGCCATTTATTTTTTATGAGTGTGGTAGAATTTGGCATCAAAGCCATACAGTCCAGGGCTTTTCTTTGTTGAAAGTCTTTCTAATACTGATTCAAACTTGTGACTCACTATTTGTCTGTTCACATTTTCTATTTATTTTTTCCTCACTCAGTCTTGTGGATTGTATCTCTCCAGGAATTTATACATTTTCTGTTTTTCAGTTTGTTATTATATAGTTGTTCATAATAGTCTCCAATGCTGATGAAAAGAGTCAAACTCTGTAAAATATTTAAACAGATTTATTCTGTTTTAAATGGACCATGATACAGCCTTTAGGAGCTCCTGAGAACGTGTGCCTAAGGCCGTTGGGGTGCAGCTTGATTTTACACGTTAGGAAGACATGAAACGTCAATCAAATACATTTAAGAAGTACATTGGTTAGGTCCAGAAAGGCAGGACAACTAAAAGTGGGGACTTCCATGTTATAGGTGGATTTAAACTTTTTCTAATTAGCCATTTGTTGAAGGAGTTATCAATAGAAAGGAATGTCTGGGTTGCAATAAGACATTGTAGAGACCAAAGGTTTAGCGTGCAGATAAAGCCTTTGGCTAGCAGGCTTCGGAGAGAATAGATTGTAAATGTTACTTATCAGACTTAAGATCTGTGTTGATGTTAATGCTGGAGAGGTATAATGAGGCTTGTCTGACCCCCACTTCCTGTCATGGCCTGAACCAGTGTTTCAGGGTAGAGTGCCCTTGACAAGGAAGAAGACCATTTAGATGGTTGGGAGGGGGAGTTCAGAAATTTATTTTTGGTTTACACGGATGACATTTCGTATGTTGTGACATCAATTGTGATTTCTGGTTTTGTTTGGGTATTTTCTCTTTCTTGGTTGGTGTAGGTAGTGATTTGCCAATTTGATTTTTTATTATTTTTTCCAAAAAAGCAGCTGTTCATTTCATTGAATCTTTATATTGTATTTTTAGTCTCTACCTTCAATTAGTCTGCTCTGATTCTATTTCTTTCCTTCTACTAATTTGATGTTGGGTTTGTTCTTCCTTTTCTAGCTCCTCGAGTTGCATGATTAAATTGTTTATTTGAAATTATTCAACTTTTATGAAGTAGGCATTTCTTGCTATAAGCTTTCCTCTTAGCACTGGTTTTTCTGTATCCCTTAGGTTTGGAATGTTGTATTTGCATTGTTATTTGTTTCAAGCATCTTTTTGATTTCTGTCAGTTTGTTCATTGACCCAATAGTCATTCAGGAGTATAGTGTTTAATTTCCAAAGTTCTTGTTGTAATTGATTTCTAGTTTTAATTCATTGTCATCTGTAAAGATACCTTTTATGACTGAATTTAAAAATTTGTTGAGACGTGTTTTTTGGCCTAATGTATGCTCTATCTTGGAGAATGTTCCACGTGTCAAAATAAACAGCAGCAGGTGCCGCTGTTGAATAAAATATTCTCTAAATGTCAGTTAGGTCTATTTGGCCTAAAGTGTACTTTGAATGCAAAGCATTTTGTTAATTTTCTATCTAATATGTCTAATGCTGAGAGTGGGGTGGTGAAGTCTCTGACTACTATTTGAGTCTCTATCTCCACTTAGATATGGTAATATTTGCTTTATGTATCTTGCTGCTCTAGTGTTAGGTGCATATATATATAATTGTTATATACTCTGGCAAAATTGTATAAAAACCTTCTTTGTCTCTTTTTACTATTTTGACTTAAAGTCTGCTTTATTTAACATGAAGATAGCTACTACTGCTTCCTTTTGGTTTCCATTTGTGTGGAATTTATTTTTCAATTCCTATACTTTCAGTCCATATGTGTTTTTACAGGTGAAGTGAGTTTCCTATGGGTACCATAGGTACCATAAAGAAGTTGGGTAATACATATATATATATATACACATATATATACACATATATATATATGTGTGTGTGTGTGTGTGTATATATATGTATGTGTATATATATGTATGTATATATATGTATATGTATATATATTCAGCCAATATATATCTTTAAATTAAAATTAAATCAATGTAAATTCAAGGTTATTATTGATATAGCAGAACTTATTCTTGTCATTTTGTTAATTGTTTTCTGGTTGTTTTGAATATTCTTTTTCTCTTAATTCCTCTCCTGTTGTTTATGATTTTGGTTTGGTGGTTTTTGGTAAGTGGTAACATTTGAGTCCTTCCTCTTTATTTGCATGTGCTCTACCAGTGTGTTGTATACTTCAGTGTGTTTTCAGGATGATAGATATCCTTTTGCTGCCAGGTGTGGGATTTCATTAAGCATTTCATGTAGGGCCAGTGTAGTGGTAATGAATTCCCTTAATTTTTGCTTGTCTTGGAAGTAATTTATTTCTTCTGAATTTATGAAGGCTTACTTTGATGAGCATACTATTCTTGAATAGCAGGGTTTTTTTTTTTCTTTTTCTTTCAGCAGTTTAAATATGTCATCTCATTTGCTCTTGACCTGCATGGGTTTCTCCTGAAAAATTCACAGTGTGTCTGACGAGGATTCCTTTATATGTGAGTAGATGCATTTATCTTGCTGTTTTTAGAAATCTCTGTCTTTGACTTTTGACAGTTTGACTTGGAAAAAAACTTTTTGAGGTGTATCTATTTGGGGATCTCTGAGCTTCCTATATATGGCTGTATAAATTTCTAGACTTCAAAAGTTTTTAGGTATTATTTTGTTAAACAGACTTTCTATGCCTTTGCCTTTCTCTTCACCTGTGGAACACTCAAAATTTGAATATTTGATTACTTTATGGTGCCCCATATGTCAAATATGCTTTATTTATTTTTTATTCAGTTTTTTTTGGTGTGTAATTTCAAAAGATCTGTCTTCAGGTTCTATAATTCATTCTTCCAGTTGATTTAGTCTAATTTTGAAGCCATCAAATGTATATTTTGCATTTATTGAATTCTTTAATTCCAGGGTTTCTGTTTGCTTATTTTTAAATTTATAATATTTATCCCTTTGTTGAATTTCTCATTCATATCTTGAATTGATTTTCAATTTTTTGTGTTGTTAATATGTCTTCTCTTGTATCTCACTGAGCTTTTAAATATCATTTTGAATTATTTTGACATTTCATACATTTCTTTTTTTATTGAAGCTTGTTATTTGAGAATTATTTAATTCTCTCGAAAGTGTCATGAGTTTGAATTTTTATTAGAGAGTTGAATCATTTGACATTTAGAGAAGTGTTAATTTGCTATTTGCTTCTTGTATGTCTTATGCTTTTTGCTTAATTTTCTATTGCAGCCTCCTTTCGTGTTAATACAATTTTGTAGTGATGTCTTTATTCCTTTTTAATTTTTTAATAAATATTCTGTCTATATATTTATGTTTACCATAGGGATTACATATAATATCTTCATGTTATAAGAATCCTCTTAAATTAATATAAACTAATTACATACAAAAGCTCTTCTCTTTTACAGCCCCTTATCCTTCGCGGTTTATGTTTTTGATGTCACAAATTACATCCTTATGTATAGTGTACCTATCAATGCATTAATAATTTTTTGCATGTTTCTTTTAAATCTCTACCAAAAAAGTGGGGTCCAACCCAAAATTACAATACTACATTGATGGATGGATATTAGTTATATATCCGATTTATATGTATATATAAAAATAGACTTTATGGATATTATATATATATTATATATATGTTTATATATGCACATTTGCCCATGTATTTACCTTTACAAAAGCTATATCCTCATATATCTTTTAGTTACTGTCTAGCATCTTTTAATTAGAACCTGAAGAATTCTGTTTAGCATTTCTTGTAGGGCACCTCTAGTGGTCATATGCTTTCTTGGTTTTGTTTGTTTGAAAATGTCTCATGTCTTTCTCATTTTATATTTCTTTCTCCAATTTTATTCATCAGTGTTTTATAATTTTGAGTACACAAATATTTCACAGCTTTGGTAAAATTTATTCCTATTTTATTTTTATGCTAATGTAAATGGTATTGTATTCTTTCTTTTCTTTTTTTTTTTTCCATTGAGATTGAGTTTTACTCTTGTTGCCCAGGCTGGAGTTCAATGGCGTGATCTTGGCTCACCACAACCTCCGCCTCCCAGGTTCAAGTGATTCTCCTGCCTCAGACTCCCAAGTATCTGGGATTAGAGGCAGGCACCACCATGCCCAGCTAATTTTGTATTTTTGGTAGAGACGGGGTTTCTCCATGTTCATTAGGCTGGTCTTGAACTCCCGACCTCAGATGACCCACCCGCCTTGGCCTCTCAAAATGCTGGGATTACAGGTGTGAGCCACTGTGCCTGGCCTGGAATTGTATTCTTAATTTCCTTTTCACATTCTTAATCATCACTGTATAAAAATGCTACAGGCCAGGTGCAGTGGCTCATGCCTGTAATCCCAGCACTTTGGGAGGCAGAGGTGGGCAGATCATGAGGTCAAGAGATCGAGATCATCCTGGCCAACATGGTGAAACCCCATCTCTACTAAACATACAAAAATTAGCTGGGCGTGGTGGTGTGTGCCTATAGTTCCAGCTACTCAGGAGGCTGAGGCAGAAGAATCCCTTGAAACCGGGAGGTGGAGGTTGCAGTGAGCCAAGATCGCGCCACTGCACTCCAGCCTGGTGACAGAGCGAGACTACCGTCTCAAAAAACAAACAAACAAAAAAACAAAACAAAACAAAAAACTACAGATTTTGCATGTTGATTTTGTATCCTGTAAATTTACTCAATCTGTTTATTATTTCTAACAGGTTTTTGATGGAGCCTTTAGGATTTTCTCTATATATAATCATGTCATCAGCAAACAAGGAAAATTTAACTTTGTCCTTACCAATTTTGATGCCTTTTATTCATTTATTTTGCCTAACTGTTCTGGCTAGTACTTCAAGTACTATTGTAAATAGAAGTGGCGTAGAAGTGCTGATTAGACTTCCTTGTCCTGTTCCTGATTTTAAGAAAAACTCAAATTTTCATTATTGAGTATGAGGTTAGCTGTGGGTTGTCATATATGGCCTTTATTGTGTTGAGTTACATTCATTCTGTACCTAATTTGTTGAGAAGTCTTATCATGAAAATATGTAAAATTTTGTCAAAATTTACTGCTAAGTCCATTTGGTCTAAAACAGTTCAGTACAGTGGCTCCTTTTTCATTTTGTGTTTCACTAATCTACCTGTTGTTAAAGTGTGATATTTAACTACCCTACGATTATTGCATTGCAATCTCTCTCTCCCTTCAGATCTAATATTTGCTTTACATATTTATGTGCTGTGAAATCGGTTGCATCTATATTAAAAGTTGTTACATCACCTTGATTTTTATTTATATTGACCTTTTTAAATTTTTAGTTTTTTTACTTAATGCATATTTTGTCTGTTATAAGTAGCTATCACTACTCTCTTTGGTTTCAAAGTCCATGGAATACATTTTTTCATCACTTAACTTTTAGTCTCTGTGTGTCCTTAAAGTTAAACCTCTTGTAAGCAACATAGAGTTGGGTGTTTTATTGTTTAATCCATTCAGGCCATGGGAAAATTTATTTATATTCAAGGTAATTATTGATAGTAAGAACTTACTGCTGCCATTCTATTCTTTTCTGGCTGTTTTGTAGATCCTTTGTTTCCTATTTCCTCTCTTCATGTCTTCCTTTGTGATTTGATGGTTTTCTGTAATATTATGCTTTAATTCATCTTTTTCTTTTGTATGTCTAATATACATTTTTGCTTTGTAGTTACCATGAAGGTAATGTAAAACATCTTATAACAGGGTTGGCTATACTTATATCAGACCTTAATATTGTCACCTGAATGATCCTTGTTGGCAAGACCTGTGGGAGATCTTCAGTATCTGTGAGGGGTGTCAGTAAACTCATCTGTGTCTCTCTGCCCAGTAACTAGGCTCTAGGGCTGGCAATCATGAAGGTTGCAGCCAGTGATGTGTACATGTTTCACTGCAGAAGCTAGTTGTAATCATGAGCGTTCCAGCACAGGCCACCTAGAGGGCTGGGTTCAGAGGTATGAGTTGAGGCTGAGTATGAGTGCACATGTGGCAGTGCTTGCTGTCAGCTTGCACATGAACGACTGAACAGGCCATCTGAGGTTCAGCAGTAAGATGAAGTCATGTGTGCATGCATGGGCAGCTTCAGGAATAAGCTGGAAGTGTGCACACGTGTGCAGCTCCAGGAGCCAGCTGTGTGTGTAGGCAGTATTTTGGAGGCAGGAGACAAGAGGCATGGCAAGGTGCTTGTTCAAGTTCAACTGTGGGGCTGGGCTGGCAGTGTGCAACAGCCTAGCTTCAGTGGCCAGCCTTGGGTGTGCAAGATGTTGGGGCTAGAGCCTTCAGCAGGGGCCCTGGGACTATCTGTGGGCACAAGCACAGTAGCTGCACTGGGTCTCTGGGACAAAGCACCTGCAGAGGCAGCAGCTGGGGTGACTCCACAAAGGAAGAGTCATGGTTTAGTCACCTGGAAAATACCAATGGATACAGTAGTGAGTCACCTAGTTGGGCTAACTATGGTGAGAGTAGCTCAGGTGGCTCTAGGGAGGGGAGAGGAGGAAAGAGAAAGAAAAAAAGAGAGAGAGAACATCATCTGGTCAGGTATCTGGTGACTGTCAATGTTGCTTGATGAGTCCCTGGGCCCTGGTGACTGCAGCAGCAGCAGTTGTGACTCTGGGTGACTCCAGGAAAAGGGAGTGTCTAAAGTACATGGAGATGGTGAAGAAAAAATACTGCAGGGCCTTTGGTGGCAAAAACTACAGAGGGTTTTCTGCTCTTTTGTTGGCAGTTTTCCTCAGTGGTGAAAGCCGCTAAGCTCCTCTGTAGAACAAGTCAATGATGTTAGTAATCAAGAACACGGAGTAGTTGTGGGCAATGATTGCTGCAGGGGCTGCACATCCACCAGGAGGGTTGTTGAGGTCCTCAGTGGAGATGTCTGCTAGAATCCTGTGCTGAGCAGACCACTAGGGTTCACTCTGAGACTATTCACATGGCCGATACTGATTGAGCCTGTCCCCCTTCTTTTTCTCTGCCATATCCAGATGTCTCAGCCATAGCATTTCTCCCACTGATCTGTGTGGAGTGAAACTGAAGCTGTCATTTGGGCAACATTCCAAAAGCCCGAGGAAGCTGGTTGTACATCCTCCTTTTCTTTTCTGTGCAAGGTGGGCAGGCATGCCAGAGAGTTCCCACTCCATGCTGAGAAGTGCCAGCTTGAGGAATGGGTTAATGCAGGTGAAATGAAATGATTTTTTTAATACTTTTTGTGTGGTTCTTCTCAGTTTTTTTTTCACTGTATTTCAGAGGCTCTTAAGTGGACCCCTAAGCTCTTCCATTTAGTTTTATTCACAACAAATTGTTGCTCTTTGTGGGAACAGGAAGGCTTGATTGCAGACTCCACCATATACTGATGTAATTATTTTCATAAATTTTTAATTACAAAAAAGATTTAAGAATTTTTTTGAACATAAACTCTGGTATGCCATCTGCAATGGAAATCATATTTAGTCTTTGCCTTTAAGAGGCTTTCATGTATTCAATGATTGACATAAGTCAATAGGCAATTACAATACAAATGTGAGTATACAGTGCTACGCAAACACATGAAAGGGACATTTATCATATTCCAATGGATAAGAAAAGGCTTACCTTAAGAAGTGACATCTAATCTGTGAGTAAATGGGAAATGAAGGAAAATCGTTTAGGCAGAAAGAGTGCCATGTTTCAACATCCCTAAGACCAAATGTGGTAAGACCATGGGGATTTCCAGGAATTGAAGTAGTTAAGGATTGTTTTGAGAAGTAAGACTAGATAAGTACCTCTTAATCAGATAGTGAAAGGCCTTGGCTAGAATTTTAGAATTTGGAATTATTCTGACAGTTATGGGAGCTCATTGATAGGTTTTAAACAATTAGACACAAATATTTATTGAGTGCATACAATATATAAGTATTATAATAATTGCTGCGTGAGAATGCAAAGGAACTCTATTATCAAGTTAAAGACAAAAGAGACATGGAAAATAACAAGTAGGTGCTAAAATGTAAGTAAGTGCAAAAGAAGCTAAAAAAAGACATCACTGGGGCCAGTATCAGTCAAAATTTTCTAACTGTCTTTTGTTTCTAGCCTAGTGAACTTTTTGGGAAACATTATTTTCATAGATTTTTAGGCTTACCGTCTGACAATCAGTCATCCACAGAGTCTTTCATGATTAGATACTTCACCACAAGGTGGGAATCTCAAAGGCTTCTTTTATATAGCCAGGGGCTTGGCCTTGGGGCTGTTTTGAAAAAACAGTCATAATAATCTCTCATCATTTATGACTACTATGTGTATTTTTTATGCAGACCTTGGTATTTCATCCTTGTACTAGGTAGAAAATCTTAAATTTTTCCAATTGCCTTTATGTTTATTGGTAACAATCAGTATGATCTACTATACTATGGTGTACTAAACTCACATTCCTGGGAGGCCATATTTTGAAGATCTTTTTTCCTGTTCAAGTTCCATGGGATAAAACACAAATGTATGTCCTTCAATAAAATAATTTTACTTTAAGATATTTATATTGAAGTAAAACTTTTGCACAGGTGCAAAAAGAAATATATTCTAAAATGTTTATTGAATACTGTTTGTGGTAGCAAAAAATGACATAAAACTAAAGTAAAATGGATTAAATAAGTATATTATTTTCATAAAATGGAATATTTATACCTCAGTCAGAATTGAATGAAGTAGTTTGATCTGTTAGAATGAAAGGGAGAAAAGAACGGAACAGAAGCAGCTCAATGGCAACACAGATTTATTGGGAGAAAGACCTGCGGAGAGGGGGTACCAGCTAGTGCCAGAGCCCCCTTCCCGCTTACAGGCTGGACCAGTTACAGTCCCGGGCAGGAGAGGTCTGGGATTGTTGTGAAAATGGGGTGGGGGCGGTGTGTTTGGCTGCTGATAATGAAGGAATTTAGTGCAGCCAGGGGTTAGGCCTGGGACCTGCCTGACAGGATGTTTCTCACAGCTCAGGCCCTGGTGGAATTTTCCACTCTGACCAGTTTGTAAAATGGTAGGGGTCTGCAAAATAGTGCAGTTTGGGCTAACATTCTTATTTCTTACTTTAGTATAAAAAGGAAAAAGGGCGTCGTTGATCATCTGGCTGCTTCCTGCTGGATAGGGGCGTTGTGATTAGGGCCTGGGTTCTGGAGCTTCCGAATGGTTTCCTCGTAGGCTCTGGTATTAGACGTGGCAAAGGTGAAATATATTATCAATGTGTTTTTGCATGCTTGCCTGGATAAAACAATTCAGCCTTTGGGAAATGAAGCGGGATACAAGGTTAAATATGCATGGCCCAATCATTAGTAACAGGAAGAGGAAGATCAGGGGTCCTAGGAAGGGGGCAACCCAGGGTATCCATCTTAGAAGGGATGATCCTTGCCACCAGGAGTCAGCGACTTGATGTCAAAGCTCTGCAGCCCTGTCATGAAGCCTACGAACTGCGATATGAACAATGCCAGATTCATTAACACAGAAACAGCATTCTTCCTGGAGGTATATGCAGGTACCCCCTTTCTCAGTGGTTAGGAGGTCCAGGACTCTCCAGTTTTGAAGGATGACTCCCACGAGGAAGTCTAATTGTCGTTGGAGACTGGTAATGGAAGTGTGCATATCTTCTACGGTGTTAGAAAGGGTTGTGAATAGTGTTTGGTATGAGGTGATTGAGGTGGTTATGCCTGCTATTCCAGTGCCAAGTGCAGCAGTGATGCCTAATCCTGTTAGCAGGGTGATGAGATGTAGAGCCCATTTATTTCTTATGGGTGAAGAGGAGATAGAGGCTTCTACAGAAATTAGAATAGTTTGGTTAGGGGGTAGGATGTTGATGGTTGGAGCCTGAAAGACCAGGGTGCAAGTTCCTGACCAGTTGGCTGGTAGGCAAAGATATCAGTTTGTATCACACAAAAAGAAGAGACTGGGGGTGGACAGGCAGAAGTTGTAGGTGAAGGTAGGTAGCCATGATAGGGTATTTTCGTTTTCCCAAATTGGGTAACTGCCAGCCAGAGCGGCACCTGTAAGGGCCTGATAGGGAGTCTTGGCTAGGGAGTTGATGAAGGCTGTTTGGTTTTGGAGAGAGAAAGAAATTGTCTTTGTCAACCGTTAGCCATTGCTGCCCCGGTGTGGTGGCTGTCAGGTACCAGTCACAGGTGAGGGAATTGTTACATTTTTTCCAGGGGGCACCTTTAAACTGGAGACATAGAGAGCAGAGTTGGCAGCGGGGAAGCCAGGAATTGGATGGAAGGAAAGAAAAGAGGATCCGGTGGTGAGGTGTAGGGATGTGTGGATGGTAGGCGAGCCAGAAAAGCATAACACCTTCTGCCAGGCAGAGGTGGATATGATTTTGTAATTAGGGTGTAGAATTGATGGTCTACAGGGAGTGCAAGGGTAAAAATAAGACCACATAGGGACTGGGGAACCTGTCCCACCATTGTGGCGTGGGCTGGATTAGGGTAGGTTCGGCTGAGACATAAGGGGGGTGGGGATATGAAGGAAGTTTGAGTAGAAATGGTACCCCCATATTGGTGGTTTAGATGATGCTGTGTTGGTTTGTATGGATGTTAGTCCAGAAGCTATTAGGTGAAGGAGGGCAACAGCCCTACCTGAAACCATGCTGAGAGAGCTGAGTTTGAAGGAAAGGTGTTTAGCTGAGTTTCCAGGTTATGAACCGGTTTCAGGAATGAATCAGCCAAGAATGGTATAGCCAAGTAAGAAATGTGTAAGCTCACGTTGGACTGTGTCCATGTAAGTAGGTCAGCCGGAAGAGCCGTGAATCATTGGGTGTGTGTAGAAAGACAAATCCAGCAGTTAGAGGAGAGGGGAGATTGTGACTGACTTAATACGTGGTGTGTGAGGCTGATGAAGGGGGCCCAGCTGTCAGTGATTGGGGGTGGGGACTCAGAATATCCCATAAGCAGAGAAGGCAAAAGGAGAAAAAGGAGATTTGTGTAGGTGTGAAATCCTGGAAGGTGCCTTGCAGCCATAGCTCCTCAATTAGCATGAGGAATTGAGATGGATTATCTAAGGGCGTGGGGAAGGGGTACCAGGAGAGATCTGAGACAAGGTATGAAGTAAAAGATTTAAGATTGGAAGTGGAGAGTGTCATGGGCCAGTGCCTTTCGGATGGGTGACTTCTGGAATTCTTGTTAGGCACAGCGAGGTTGGTCCTGTGGGAAAGGAAGAATATTTCCGGGGTGAGGAGACTTCGGGGTGTGGGCCGGGTGCCTTTTTAAATTTGGAATGGTGTATACAATAGGGAAAGGATGTTAACTTTGCAGCAGCGGGGATGGTGAATATAACCTGATAGGGACCCTTCCATTTTGTTGGAAAGGGGAGGAGGGGTGTGCTACCCAGACCCAGTCTCCTGGCTGTAAGGGTAAGAAAGTGAATTGGGAAGAATCCTCAGGTTTGGGGAGGTGAGTGTCAGTGTACTGTCGGACTAAGTGTTGAGTGAGGTGCAGTGCTGGCCAGGTGTCCTGTAAGGGAGGGGATGGAGCAAAGTTCTGTAGGACGAAAGAACGTCCATACAAAAGTTCAAAAGGACTTAGATTTAGAGGTTTTCGGGGGAGGGCCCTGAGGCACATAAGGGCCAAGGGAAGAAGTGATATTCAGTTTTCATTTTGATCTCTAGGGAAAGTTTGGTTAACTGTTGTTTTAAGAGGGCATTCGCCTGTTCAAATTTACCCGAGGATTGGGGGTGATAGAGAATGTGAAAAACCCATATGATGTTTAAAGACTTAGAAACCTGTTGAGTGACTTGGGAGATAAATGCTGGTCAATTGTCCAGTTGTATAGATGAGGGGAGGCTGAATCAAAGGATGATGTGTGTGAGGAAGGTAGAGGCAATGGTGTGTGCCTTTTCAGTGGTAGTAAGAAAGGCTTCTATCCACCTGAAAAGGTATCTACCATCGTGAGGAGATATCAGACTTTCTTTATGGGGGAACGTATGAGTGAAGTCAATTTGCCAATCCTGTCCCGGCAACTGGCCTTTGGGCCTGAAGGGAGGGAAAAGGAGGTGGTCTAAGGGCCCCTGAGGGGAAGTCTGACTGCAGGCAGAGCAACCTTTAGTGAGGCGGTCCAAGCTGATGGCCATGGTAAGGGAATGTATACAGGTTTTTAGAAATTGGAGCAACGGGAGATAACCCGCATGGAATTGGTTATGGATGTGGGTGAGAACAGAAAGTTTTTGGGTCTTGGGTAGGATGAGTTTGTAGTCTAAGTAAATTCAGCTTTCGTTATGAACAGCCCTGGAGCCAGCAAGGCACCTTTTTCTTCTTGGGTGTATGCTAGGGAAAATGGGCAATAACAATAGTGTTCTAAGGGCTGCCTGCCAGGCTGCCGAATCTGCTAAGAAGTTTCCCTTGGTTATGGCATCTGTAGCCTTTTGGTGTCCCTTGCAATGGATAATGACGGCCTCTAGTGGTAGTTTAGCTGCCTCCAGCGGCTTGTGTATGAGTTTGCCATTTATTATGGCGGTTCTTTTTGTAGTTAGAAAAACCCCTTTCCTGCCAGATTACAGTGTGAGACTGTAGGACATGGTATGCATATTTGGAATTGGTGTAAATGTTGACCCTCTTTCCCTTTGCTAGAGTGAGGGTCTTGGTTAGGGCAAATAGTTCCGCTTGTTGTGAGGTGATATGTGATGAGAGAGCATTGGATTATAGGAGTTTGTTTTCGGCAATGATGGCATAGCCAGCTGCCAGATATGGTTCCTTAAAAGAGCTTCCATCAATGAACCATGTGGGTTCCTTCCGCAAAGGGGCTTCTGAAATGTGTTGGAAAGGGGAGGAGAGGGAGGCTAAGAGGTCTAGGCAAGAGTGGGGGATTCAGAATTGGAAGTACTTATAGGGAGGAGGGTGGTTGGATTTAGAATTTTACATCTCTGGAAGGTGTTAGAGGGTTGCTGTAAGCTGGATGGCAGGAGGAAAAGAAGAGATCAATGGCTCATGGGGTCCCATAAGTTATGGGAAGATGCAATAGTAATGTGCTGGTAGAGGGTGAGTTTTTGTGCCTCTGAGGCCAGCAATGTAGCTGCATCCAGAACTTTCAAGCATGGAGGCCAGCCTTGGATGATAGAGTCCAGTTTTCAGAAGTATGCAATGGCTTCTGGAGTGTTGCCACGGGTTTGGCAGAGAAATCCAAGGGCAAGGCCTTGATTACAATGAACATACAGGGTAAAGGGTTTAATGGAATTGGGTAGTCCTAGTGCTGGGACATTAAAAGGGCATCTTTCAGTTTTTAGAAGTGGGAGTTAATGGGCAAGCTGGGTCCAAATGTTCTAGGATGGACCCACGTGATGCCGTGCAGAGTGGTTTGGTCAACAGGCCAAAGTTAATGATCCACAGCTGGAAGTACCCAACAAGGCCCAAAAAGGAAGGGTCCTTCTTGGTGTGGGGAAGGGGCACATCCTGTATTAGCTCCTTCCATCGGGCTGGCATGGCTCAAGAATTAGGGGTTAGGGTGAGTCCAAGGTTAGTGACTTGGGTTTGGGCTACTTGAGCCTTTGTAGGTAAAACCTGATATCCCTGGCCATAGAGGAAATTTAGAAGTTGGGTGATGTGTTGATGGATAGATCAAAGGAGGGACTACACATAAGGAGGTCATTGATGTATTGAAGGAGGCTGCTAGGAGCAAGGGGAAGCTCGATTAGTTCCTTGGTGAGAGCCTGCCCAAATAGGAGGGGGCTATCCCGGAACCCCTGTGGGAGTACAGTCTGTTAGTTAGGTAGATGTGTGAGTATCTGGGTCTGACCAGGTGAAAGCAAAAAGACTTTGGGAAGCCAGATCCAAGGGAATAGTAAAAAAAAAAAAAAAAAAAAAAAAAAAAAAAAAAAAAGTCCCTTAGATCCAATACAGAGAAGTGTGTGCTAGATGGGGGAATATGGGAGAGTAGAGTATAGGGGTTGGGGGCCACTGGATAGGTTGGTACCTCCACTTGGTAAATGACATGGAGATCCTGGACCAAGTGGTAAAATCTGTCTGTTTTTTTGACAGCCAGGACAAGGGTGTTGTGGGGAGAGTTAACAGGTTTGAGAATCTGAGCTTGTAAAAACTCACAGATAATAGGTTTGAGGCCCCTGAGGCTGGCTGGGCTAAGGGAATATTGAGGCTGATGAAGGAAAATGGAGGAGTCTTGGAAGGTTATTTTGACTGGGATGTGATGTGTGGCTATTGTGGGTTTAGAAACGTTCCACACTTCTGGATTGACAGAAGGTAACAGAGTGGATAGCAAAGATGAGGGGGAGGAGAGGGAAGCATCTGGACAGCAGAGTAAAATAAAAGGGGTAGAATTGCAGGAGGCTAGTCATATGGGGGCCTGGAATTTACTCAGTATATTCCACCCCAAGATAGGGGTAGGACACTAAGGGATAACTAAGAAGGAGTGGATGAAGGGGGTATTGAATAGGTTGCATAATAGGGGACCAGTATGTGCCTAGAGGGGATTCCATTGACTCTCACAATAGAGATAGAAGAACTGAGGAGGGTCAAGAATATTCTGATAAAACTGAGTAACTAGTCCCCAGATCTAAAAGGAAGAGCATGGGCTTACCAAAGACTGACAGCGTTACCCTGGGTTCCGAGGTGGTGATGGCGGTGGGGGCAGCGGACCCTGGGCCCCGTCAGTCTTCAGCAGCCAGGTCTACAATGCTTGCCAGACTGGAACCAGGGTTGCAGGACCTGTTTGAGTTAGAGGTGGTCAAGCGGGGTGAAGAGTCTTGTTGAGTGCAATCTGACTTCCAGTGTCCCTTGATACCACAGATGAGGCAAGGTTTTGAGGGCGGCACAAGATTGGGGCAGACTCTTGCCCAGGGACCCTGTTGGCTACACTTAAAACAGACTCCTGATGGGGACTGTCATGAGGTTGAGGATTTTTGTATGCATTGGGGAATCCTGTTGTATGGCAGCTGACAGCATCTGGTATTTAGCCTGGTCTCTTTTAAGCTTTCGGGTTTTTATTTCTTCCTCTCTATTGTTAAAGACCTTGAAGGCTGCTTTGATTAAGTCTCTTTAGGAGGTTTGAGGGCCATCCTCCAGTCTTTGGAGTTTCTTTTGGATGTCGGGGGCTGACTGGGAAATGACGTGTAAATGGAGGTAGACTCTGTCCTCGGCAGTGTCAGGGCTTAAGCTGGTATATTTAATCACGGTCTCTGAAAGGCAGGAGAAAAAAAGAGTAGGGTTTTTGTCAGGGGCCTTGAGTGATTTCTTTATCTTTTCATACTTGACAGTCGTAAGGGCGGTTTTATTCATGCCAGTTAGGAGGCATGTTATCATATGGCCTAGTTTCTGTCTGTCTGCAGAAGCCACCTGATAATCCCAACTGGGGACAGTACTGGGAATAGCGAGGGTTGTGACTGGGTTATGGGCAGCATCTTGTCCGTGGAGGGTGTCTGCTTGGGCCTGATCCAGATATGTTCCCTGTTCTCCAGGGTGAGGGAGGAGGAGAGGATGACAGAAATGTCATGCCAGGTAAGGTCATAAGATTGAGTGATATACAGAAATTCCTTGTGGAAGGATGTGGGGTCTGTGGAAAAGGAGTCAAGTCTCTTTTCAATCTGAGAGCCATCAGCTACAGAGAAAGGAACATGAACTCAGACTATGCCTTCAGTCTCCATAACATCCCCCAATGGGGGGACTTTAGAGGGCCTCTGGGCCTGTGCCTGGTTTTCAGCAGCAGAAGGGGGCTGAGTATGAGATCAGTTATGGTGGGGAGAGGGTAGAGGAGATGGGGGATAGGAACAAGGGGGTGGGGGAGCCGAAGGGGAAGGAGGAGGAGACGGTGGTGGGAGTGGGGCTGGGGGGCGGGTGGGGATTCGTCGTCTGGATAAAAATCAGAGGAGGAGGAGGAGGAGGGCTTGTCTGGAAGGGGAGGCATTTTGGCAGATTTCTTGTTTAAGAGGAGCAGCTGGTAAGGTGAACAGGACTGATAGAGGGAATTGGCAAAAGCCTGGATATAGAGCATCTTGGACCACTTGCCATTGTGCTGGAGGACATTTTCTAAATCATGTTGAATTTGGAAGTCAAAAGTCCCATCTGGGCCAGCAGCCATCATTGTCCAGCTTATACTGGGGCCAGGCCACATTACAAAGGAAAATAAGGCATTTAGTTTTAATGGAGTCGGCCAAGCCCAGTGCTCGGAGGTTCCAGATGAGACATCTGAGAGGGGTGTCTGGAGGGGATTTCGAGGAGCCCTGCCCCATATGAGTGGCTGGGAGGGTGAAAAATGTGGAGTAGGGGAGTGAGTATCCCAATTCTAACCATGAGAAGGGATGGAGAAGAGCCGGGGTGCCCCCGTAGCTCTTCGTGGTCCCCCAGAAACCAGAGTGGTCAGAGCGTGAGCATTCTGAGGGCATCCCCTGAGAAGGCAGGCCAGGGTCACCCAGTGGTGACCGGGGAATCCTCTTACCTGGCGCTGGGGTTTTCTGGCTAACAGGCAGAAATATGAGAGGAATCCAGAGGGTGGAAAGGGAAACTCACCCACAATTGGAGGCCGGTGTTGGATGCAATGGGAGTGGTCCTTGCCAGAGCCACAGAGAGGAAAGAGGGGGAAGGAGAAAGCGGTGGGAGGATGGGGCCGAGAGAAAGAATTCCTCCGTAGAAAGACGAAAGTGGGCAGGGCTGGGAACCAGGGGCCAATCAGGATTTGGGAATTAGCCCGGGGCGAGCTGCCGCTGCCTCTTCCTTCCCAGGTTGCAAGGAAGTACCTCTCCCTTGTGGGATCTAGACCCCATCCCAGGTTTTGGCACCAAATGTTAGAACGAAAGGGAGAAAGGAATGGAGCAGAGGCAGCTCAAGGGCAACACAGGTTTATTGGGAGAAAGGCCTGCAGATAGGGGGTACTAGCTAGCGTCGGAGCCCCAGTCCTTCTTACAGGCTGGGGCAGTTCTAGGCCTGGGCAGGAGAGGTCGGGGATGGTTGAGAAAATGGGGCGGGGGTGGTGTGTTTGGCTGCTGATAAAGGAAGGAATTTACTGCAGTCAGGGGTTAGGCCTGGAACCTGTCTGACAGGATGAATTTATTGCCCTCAGGGTTTAGGCCTGGGACCTTTCCAACAGGATGTTTCTCACAGCTCAGGCGCTGGTGGAATTTTCCATTCTGACCAGAGTTTGTAAAATGGTGGCAGTCTGCAAAATGGCGTGGCTTGGGCTAACACGATCAACATGCATCAATTTCACAGACAAAATATTGGGCGGAACACCCCAGGATAATACACAAAATGAAACTGTTTTGGTAAATACTGAAAACATGCAAAACAACATAAATGTTATTTTTATATACTAAAATATGTACTAGGATCTTAATAATATACATGGAAAAATAAACACAAGAAGGAGAGGGAAATGGGATTACATTATAGCACAAAAAGTATTTTAATTTCATTTGTAATGAATTATTTGTTTAAAGAGAAGCTAAAGCAAGTATAAAAATGTTATAATTTAATAGTTGGATGGTATGCATTTAGGAATTTATGTTAATCCCTTTACTATTGTGCCTGTTGGAAATATTTCATTATTAATGTTAAATATTATTTTGGAAAGATAAAAAGGTATATTAATAAATTTATAGCGATATAAATACATAAATATGATAAATAATAAATCAATTATAGTAAAATGTTAATATTAGAAGGTTATATTTGGATGTTCAAAACCTAATTCTTTCAATATTTCTGAACATTTAAATATTTTATAATAAAATGTTTGAGTAAAATAATAATGGATCAATTTCTGAAATGAAATGAGCAAATGATACAACAAAGTGAATATTTATTTCTAACAACCCAGCAGTTGTTTGTGTTATCTATAAATCAATGATAGGGTGAAATAAAACCTCTCGGATTGGAACAACAAATATGTGTGGTAAAATTTTGATACTAGCATGCAATTCACTTAAATGAAAAAGAAACACAGAAAATATTTATCCCAATATTGCCAATACAAAGAAATAAAAATGAAAAATAATTAAAAATTGGACAAGCACTAAAAGCAGTATTTAAAAAAGTCTATTTTAAATACCATATAGAAGATGAATCTAAGAAATATACACATACTTTATTTTCCTCAAGATTACTGACTAGAGGTTTTTCCAACGTGCCTAATCCATTTAGACGAGCAAAAATAGTGGTTCTTCTCTGAAAATTATATAACAAGGACCACAGCAGTTAAGCAGAAAAATGAAAAAAAATTCTGAATCTGGGAAACAGAAGGAAGGCATGAAGTTCTCTTGGCTGGGATCAGCTAAATACTGGGTACGAATCCCCAACATGGGAAAGCATGAGTGAGTGCTTCTCTGCAGTTCACTTTTCCACTGGGGAATGGTGAAATCCAGACCACAGGAGAGCACCTTAACTTTCTGAATCCCTAGATCTAACTTGGGTAATGGCCGGGAGCCTATAAGAAGGAACTGCTCTGGGAAGTGTTCCATGTACTTCCTCAGACTTGGGTACCTAAAGAAAAATGACATTCTAGATTTTAGCTCTTAGCAAGCTCTGTGGGGTCAAGGGAGCTTGAGGCAGTGGCAGTCTTTGGCATTAGAGAGACTTGCACTGGGGCACGGACAACTAGGGCTCAAACGGGAGGAGCTCCCACAGCCAGAACAGAGATATGAGTGTAGTGTGGACTCCAGCTACTGGTACCAGAACTGAGCTTCTCTTCTAGGACCAGAGAAGGAGGAGAATTGCCTGGGAGGCATGGTATTGACCAAGTCAGTGACTTCTAATACTAGGGACTTTGTTGGAAACTAGAAGCAAATTGTAGTGACTAGCCAAATATTCAAACTGCTTACCACAATTGGTACAGGAGAGTGAATGATGTCAAGTCTGGAGTGTGAGGGGGAAGCACATTTCACTTCCACTGGCTAAGAATGTGGCACTGGCACCACCCCTCCCTCTCTGTGCTGAGACCTTGATGAAGAAGCAGTTGTCCCTCACCCATGCATTCTTCCAGAGGCCCGAGTACCATGATGCCACCCCCAACAGGGCTGGTGCTTTAATCCACCATTGAGGATCCTGAGTGTAGGTTTCCCATGCCTGGTTCCAGTTAGTTTCAACTCCAACCCAAGGCAGAACATGAACTCATGACCCTGAACATTCCATGGTATCATGCACCACCTGGGCCACTTGAGCAATTTTCTCAGATAAAGAGGTTGGGCATAAACACTTCTGCTATCACTTTAGCTGGCTGTAACCTGCAGGCACCAACTACTGGCATGGAGGTGAATCTGCACAGCCCATTACAATAACAGCTGACATAAGAGCACAACGCTCAGGAATGATAAAATGTTTTTATGACCACTGCTACCTGCATGAGGCATGCCACCTCAGCTGTTCAGTTCAGGAAATCATGAGAGCACTCACCCATTTAGTATACTTGGCATTTGAGAAAGATTACTGGCTTTTGAGAAAGATCATATTAAGGGTATTTAGAAGCAAGGAAATCATACAATCTTTGCCACTGAACACAGCCAAACAGCCTTACACAACATACACCAGAGTCACATCAAGAATAGCCTCCCCCATGAAAGTACATTCAGAAATAAAAAAAGACTAATACTCCAGATATGCAGTGATCAATGTAAAGATACAAGAATCATGAAAAAGCAAGGTATTATGACACTTTCAAAGGATCGCAATAATTCTCTAGCAATAGATTCTAACAAAAAATCCTCAAAATGCCAAATAAGTCAGAATATTGATTTTTAAAAAGCTCAATGAAATGCAAGAAAAAATCTGAAACCAATACAAAGAAATACAAAATCAATTCAGAATATAAACAATCAACTTATCAAGAATATAAATATCTTTAAAAAATCATGTCAAATTTTCAACAATATACCAGAACAAGCAAAATAAAGAATCTCAGAACTTGAAGACAGGTGTGTTGAAATAGCCCATGAAGACAAAAACTTTTAAAAAGAATAAAAAAGAATGAGAAAGGCCTTCAAGACTCATGGGACTAAGAGCTACCAAACTTTCAAATTATTTGTATTCCCAAAAAGGAATAAAAATTTTAAAAATGATATAAAACCTATTTAAAGAAATAATTGATGAAAGCTTCCAGATTATGCAAAGAAATGTAGACATACACATACGGGGGGACCAACAATCTCTTGGAAAATACATTATAAAAAGGAATTCACTATAGCATACTCTCATCAGACTGTCTAAAAAATGTGAAAAAAAGAATTGTAAAATTATCAAGAGAAAAGTATCTACTGACCCACAAGGAAACCCTATCAGACTAAGTGAAAACATACTAGCAGAAAACTTAACAGTCAGAACAGAATGGGATAGTATTATCAAACGCTTAACAAAAAGCTGCAATCAACAATTTTATATCCAGCTAGATTAAGCTTCAAAGAAGAAGAAATAATTTCCAGAGAAGCAAATGCTGAGGAAATTCATCACCACTGCACTAACTTATGAGAAATGCCCAAAGGAATCCTAAACATGGAAATTAAAAGTCAATATTCACCATCATGGAAACACCCAGAAAAAGTAACCTCACAGGTATTATAAAACCATCACATAAAGGATGAAGAGAAATAAATCAAATGGTGATTCAATACAATAACACTAAAGACTAACAGAATTTATAAAACAGCTGGATAATACTTTTATTTATTTATTTATTTTGAGACAGAGTCTCACTCTGTTGCCCAGGCTGGAGTGCAGTGGCGCGATCTCGGCTCACTGCAAGCTCCGCCTCCTGGGTTCACACCATTCTCCTGCCTCAGCCTCCCGAGTAGCTGGGACTACAGGCGCCTGCCACCACGCCCGGCTAATGTTTTGTATTTTTAGTAGAGACAGGGTTTCACCATGTTAGCCAGGATGGTCTCGATCTCCTGACCTCGTGATCCGCCCGCCTCAGCCTCCCAAAGTGCTGGGATTACAGGTATGAGCCACCGCGCCCGGCCTGGAGAATACTTTTATACATTTTTATATTTTTAACAATATGACAGTAACTAAATGTAACATATCATTATTAACCCTGAATATAAATGAATTCAATGCTCCACTTAAAAGACACAGATTGACAAAATGGATTTAGAAAATTATGATCCAACCATATGAAGCTTACAAGAAACTCAGTTTACCTGTAAAGATACATTTAAACTGAAAGTAAAGTGTGAAAAAAAATTATGTACAAATAGAAACAGAAAGCAGGAGTCACTATATTTATATCAGATAAAACAGTCTTTAAATCAAAAACAGTAAAAAAAGGCAAGATAATCATATTATAAAAAATATGGCCAAGTCATCAATTCAGTAAGAGGATATAACAATTCTAAATGTATATGCACCCAAAACCAAAGCTCCCACCATTCATAAACAAATATTAGTAGACCTAAAGAAGAGATATACAGCAATTCATTAATAATGGGGGACCTCAATGCCCCACTTACAGCACTAGACAGATCAATGAGACAAAAAATACAACACGGAAACTTTGGATTTATGTTGAATTTTAGACCAAATGGACCTAACAGGCATTTATAGAACATTCTACCCAACAACTGAAGAATATACATTCATTCTTCTCATTGCACATGGAACATTTTCCAAGACAGGCCATATGTTAGGCCACAAAACAAGTCTTAACACATTTTTAAAAACTGTAATCATATCAAGTATCTTCTCAGACCACAATGGAAAAAACAGAAATACCAAGAGGAAACACTGAAAATATACAAAAGCATGGGAATTAAACAACACACTCCTGAGTATTTAGGTCAATAAAGTTAAGACAGAAATTTAAGAAAATCTTTGAAATGAATACAAATGGAAATATATACCAGAACTTCTGGGATATAACAAAGCGAAGAAAGTTTATAGCAGTAAATGCCTACATCAACAAAGTAGAGCAATCAAAAAATAACAACCTAATGTTACACCTCAAGAAACAACCAAACCAAGAAAAAACCAAACCCAAAATTAGCAAAAGAAAATAAATAAATAAATAAATAAATAAATAAATAAATAAATAAATCAGGGCAGAACTAAATAAACTACATCAAAAACCAAACCAATACAAAGTAATCAATAAAACAAAAAACTCACTCTTCAAAACAAAAAAGGTTTCTTTTTTGTTCTGATAAACAAAACAAAACAAAATAAAACAAAAAGAATTGATAAACAGAACTGATAAACCACTAGCTAGACTAACCACTGCAATTCATAACATACACATAAAAATGATCATCGGATACTCTTTTGAACAACTAAATGCTCACAAACTTAACAACCTAAAGACAATAGATACATTTTGGGACACAACTAACCTCCCAAAAACTGTAAAAAGAAAAAGAAATGGAAATCCAGAACAGATCAACAATGAAGAAGGAGATTGGAATAGTAATAAAAGAAAACCCCAAAAACAAAAAAATCCATACCCATACAGATTCACAGCTGAATTCTACCAAACCTACAAAGAAGAATTAATATGAATACTCCTGAAATTGTTCCAAAAATGTGAGGAGGACAGAATTTCCCTTACTTCATTCTAAGAAGCCAGTATCATCCTGATATATAAACCAAACAAGGACACAGAAAATAGAAACCAGAAAAAGTACAGACCAATAACACTGATGAACATTGAAGCAAAAATCCTCAAAAAAATACTAGTGAACCAAATCCAACAGCACATCACAAAGATACTGCACAGTGATCAAGTGGGTTTTATAACATAGATGAAAGGATGGTTCAATATACACACATCAGTACATGTGATACATTATATAAAAATAATTGAGAATAAAAATCACATGATCATCTCAATATACACAGAGAAAACTTTTCATAAAATTCAGCATCCCTTCATGATAAAATACTCAATAAACTAAGAATAAAAAGAACATAACTCAAAATGACAAAGACCATATACAAGAAATGCAAAACCAACATCATAGTCAATAGAGAAAAGTCGAAAGCTTTTCCTCTAAGAACTTAAATAAGACAAGAATGCAACTTTCACCACTCATATTAAACAGAGAACTAAAAGTCCTAGCCAGAGCATTCAGGAAAGAGAAAGAAATAAAAGCCATCTAAGTTGGACAAGAGGAAGTGATATTATTGCTATTTGCAGATGTTATGCTTATGTATCTATAAAATCCTAAAGATTCAACCAAAAATTTCCTAGATTTGATAAATGAGTTCAATACAGATTTAGGATACAAAAGAAAGGTATAAAAATCAGTAGCCTATTTATACAACAATAATCTTATCTGAGAACAAACTCAAGAAGGAAATTCCATTCACAATATCTACAATAAATGCTCAGGAATATATTTAACCAAGAAGGTGAAAGAAAAACTGCAAAACACTGACAAAATAAATTATAGATAATACAAATGGAAAAACATCTCATGCTCATGAATTGGAAAAATTAATACAGTTAAAATGACCATACTGACCAAAACAATCTAGAGATTAAATCCAATCATGTCAAAATATAAATGTTATTCTTTCACAGAATTAGTAAAACAATAGTGAAATTCACACAAAACCAGAAAAGTGTGTAGATGGCCAAAGCAATCCTAAGTGAAAAGAACAAAGGTGGAGGCATCACATTACCTGACTTCAAATTATACTACAAGGCTATAGTAACCAAACAGCATGAAACTGGTATGAAAATAGATACATATGTTAATGGATCAGAATAGAGGACCCAGAAATAAAGCCACATGTCTACAGCCAACTGATCTCTGACAAAGTTGACAAGAACATACATTGAAGAATGACACTCTTTTCAATCAATGGTGCTGGAGCTCTTGCACTAACACTGAACAGAAAACAGTGGATACTTCCCAGCCCTGAGCAGCCACTCCTGATTGTGGAGCACTGAGACGGCGCCCAGACTTGTGCCTGCCAGAAGCCCACCCTTGAGCCAGCACCATCTCCAGCATGACCACATGCCCCATGAACCAACATCTGAGTCAAAAACTTTGCCAGCATGTCTATAGACACCATCAGGGGCTGCCTGTACCTCCCTCCCACCCTGCATTGCCTTCACCACTGTGGTGAACATTTGCAGAGAGGCAGGCACCCTGGCACCAACTTACCACACTGCTGCAGCTGCTGCTACTGCTGTTGCTGGCATATGTGAATGAGGAAGGATCTGGCTGTAAACATACTATAAAACGCTTTGGCTGACACTACCCATTGGAGTGTAGTGAACAGCAGTGCAGGAGCACCTTGGCCCTCATAGTGCAGTAAATTCCTAAATTCAAGGAGGCAGAGAACAAAGTTGAGACCCAATACAAGTTCCCCACAGTTAGAGAATGCAGTCCAAAAGTTGGGAGGTAAGCGCTGGCCACCTAAAATCTTTCAGAAATGAAGCCAGTTGGCTGTAAGGACTAAGATCTGAATTTTTTTTTAATCTTGTCCAAATTCTTATGTAAGGGATCTGAGGAGTCATGCCCTACAAACTATAAATTATCATCTGATGGGTTTTATTTAACCCTGTATATCGTGACTTACTTTCCAATCTGACTCTGGCATAACCTTATGTGACAAAGAAGAAAATAAAAATATTTTACCCCAAAATGCTTCATCATATTTTGAAATGGCCCTTCAAAACCATCCTTTGTGGGGGAAATTTGCATATGTAAAGACTCTCTAATAATATAGCTAGATCTTTTTCTTCCAGGCCCTCCCAATCCTGAAGATATTAACTGAGATTCTAGCACCTTTTAAAGATCTGAATAGGAAATATTTGTCATCTATTGTCTGTAAGGGCAGCCACTATGAGACTTCAGAAACCTTGGTCTCCATAATCTTTTATCTTAACCTGAACATTTCCTTTCTATTAATCCCAGGTCTTTAGACAAACTCAACCAAGAGTAAACAAGAAAATGTTTAAATTCACCCAAAGCCTGGAAGCCCCTTCTTCGAATTTTCCTGCCTTTCTCGACCAAACCAATGTATTTCTCAAATGTATTTAATTGATGTTTCATGCCTCCCTAAAATGTATAACACCAAGCTGCACCCCAACCATCTTGGACACATGTTCTCAGGACCTCCTGAGGGCTGTATCACAGGCCATGGTCACTCATATTGGGCTCAGGACAAATCTCTTAAAATATTTTACGGAGTTTGACTCTTTTCATCAACGGCTGCATCCAACTTATACCACAATCAAGCCCTCAAAATAATTAGATAGGATAAAATAAAGTAAGCAACAGCAAAGATTGTAGGAAGATAAGCACGGAAAGAAGAGAAAGAATCAACCCAAGAATCCTGAAGACTCAAAAAGCCCAGGTACCTTCTTTCCTCCAAATGACCACATCACCTCTCCTGCAAGAGTTCTGAACCAGGTTGAGATGGCTGAAAGGACAAAAATATAATTCAGAATATGAATAGGAATGAAGATCATTGAGCTACAGGAGTACACTGAAACCCAATCCAAGGAAGCTAAAAATCATGATAAAACAATTCAGAAGTTGACAGACAAAATAGCCAGTATAGGAAATAACATTACTGTCCTGATAGAGCTGAAAAACACACTATGAGAACTTCACAATGCAATCATAAGTATCAATGGCAGAATAGACCAAGTGGAAAGAAAGAATCTCAGAGCTTGAAGCCTATCTTTTTGGAATAAGACAGGCAAACAAGAACAGACATAAAAAGAATGCAAAGGAATGAACAAAATCTTTGGGAGGTATGGGATTATGTAAAGAGACCAAATCTACGATTCAATGGTGTACCTGAAAGAGATGGGGAGAATGGAATCACTTGGAAAACATTTCAGGATATCATCCATGAGAACTTCCTCAACCTAGATAGAAAGGCAAACATTTAAATTCAGGAAATGCAGAGAAGCACAGTTAGACACTTTACAAGAAGATCATCTCCAAGACACATAATCATCTAATTCTCCAAGGTCAAAAAAAAAAAAAAATGTTAATGGCAGCTACAGAGAAAGGTCAGGTCACCTACAAAAAGAAGTCCATTAGACTAACAGCAGACCTCTCAGCAGAAACCCTACAAACAAGAACAGATTGAGGACGAATATTCAACATTCTTAAAAAAAAAAAATTCCAAAACCAGAATTTCATATCCATCCAAACTATGCTTCATAAGTGAAGGAGAAATAAAATCCTTTTCAGACAAGCAAATGCAGAGGAAGTTTGTTATCAGCAGACTTGCCTTATAAGAGCTCCTGAAGGAAGCACTAAATGTGGAAAAGAAAAACAGTTACCAGTCACTAAAAAAACACACTGATGTAAAAACACACCAGTGACACTATAAAGCAACCACACAAATAAGTGTGCAAAATAACCAGCTAATATTATGACAGAATCAAATCCACACGTCAATACTAACCTTGAATGTAAATATGCTAAGTGCCCCAATTAAAAGTCACAGAGTGGCAAGGTAAATAAAGAAACAAGACCTAAAACTATGCTGTCTTCAAGAGACCCAGGAAGTAAGACACAGGAAGACAGACACCTCGTGTTCTCACTTATAAGTAGGAGATAAATGACATGTAAACATGGACTTAGAGTGTAGAATAATACACAATATAGACTCAAGGATGGGGATTTGGCAGATGAAATATTAATTAATGGATACAATGTACATTATTCTGGTGATGGATATACTAAAAGCCCTGACTTCACCACTATACAATATATCCATGTAACATTATTACACTTGTACCCCATAAATTTATACAAATAAAATAAAATGAATACAGTCATACAGCCTACTGGTATGCATGTACACTGTGAAATATAATAACATTATATTATTTTTATTTTTCTATTTTTTATTATTGATATATAACATAAATTTTAGTATTTTAAAATGTGTACTTCAGCAGTTTTCAGTATTTTCACAATGCTGTGCAACTATTACCACTATCTAATTAGAGAACATTTCCATACTCCCATGTTCATTAACATATACTCTCCATCATCTTCATCTCTAAGTCATTGGCAAACATTTATCTACTTTATATCTCCATGAAATTGCCTACACTTGACATCCTTTTTCTTCCAGGGAGCATCTTTTCAACATTCATCCATTTTGGAGCACATATCAGTAATTAATTTATTTTTATGGCCCAATATATTATTGTTTTGCTAGACCACATTTTGTTTAACCATTGATGGACTTTTTTTTTGTGTACAAGATTTTGTTTGAACATATGGTTTCAATTCTTATGGTTATAGAGTTAGGATTAGAATTGATAGGTCACATTGGCATTCTACAGTGAATTATTTTATAAACTGTGAAAGTATTTTCCATAGCAGCTGCACTATTTTACATTCCCTCCTTCAATATATGAGGATTCAAATTTTGCAAATCACCAATACCATTTATTTCCTTATTAAAATATTTATAGCCATCCCAGTGGATATAAAGAATACCTTACTGGTTTGCATTTCCCTATATGATTAATGATGTTGAACATATTTTTGTGTGTTCATTTGTCATATATACGTCTTCTTTGGAGAAGTATCTATTCACATAATTTGGTTATGTTTTAACTGACCAAATTATTTTTGTTTTTCTCTTTTTATTGTTGTTTTAAGTGTTCATTATATGTTATGTACACTAGACTCTAATCAGATATATTGATGGCTTGAAAAGGCTTTCTCTAATTCTGTAGATTGTCTTTTCATGGTAGTGTCCTTCAATGTACAAAATAAATTTTGAAGTCAAATTTATCTATATTGTCATTTCTTGCTTGATCTTTGTGTCATACTTTAAAAAGGTGCCTAATCAAATGTCATTAAAATTTTCATTTTTTATCTAAACATTTTATACTTTTACCTCTCACATTCAAGTCTTTGATACATATGAGTGCAACTCCATTATTTTGTATGTGCATATCCATTTGTTCCAGGACCATTTGTTGAAAAGGCTATTCCTTCCCCATTAAATTGTCCTGGCAATCCTTTTTAAGATCAATTGAATATTAATGCATGGGTTAATTTCTGCACTCTGAATTCTATTATATTACCTTATATAGGTCTACCCTTATGACAGTAGCACATTGTCTTAACTACTATAGCTTTGTAGTAATTTGTGAAAACGGGAAGTGTGGTTCTCCAAATTTCCTCTGCTCCATCAAGATTGTTTTGGCAATACTGAGCCCCAATTTTCCAATTTTATGATTAGCTTGTACGTTTCTGCAAAGAAAAGACTATTGTGGTTTTGAAAGGGATTTCAGAGAAACATAGAGGAAAAGACAAACTTTATTTCCCTCTATGCCCACCTAACACAGCACAGAACACTGCACTTCTATTATTAATATGTGAGGATTATTCCCTCACACACCAAGCAATTCTTCAATGGACACCAACTGGGTATTCCATTATTCAATTCCGACAGTATTTAGTTGGGTTGGATAGTGTCAGATCTTGTGAGATATCACAAGATCATATCTCACAAGATCTAGTGTGCTAAATCTTGTGAGATGGAGCCCTCACAGGTTGAGGCCTCTATCTCACAGGAATGTCCCCGCTTCAACACTAATTGGAAGTAGCAGGTTGTCACCTGTACTTCTGAGTGTCCAGCTATGTATCAGAATTCCCATAGCTCCCAACTTAGGTTTAATTGGGTAGGACAGCTTGTGGAACTCAGGAAACATGTACATTTACTAATTTAGTATTTTTTTAATGGAATGGATTTTTATTTTCTAGAATTTTTTAAATTATACTTTAAGTTCTAGGGTACATGTCCACAATGTGCAGGTTTCTTACATATGTATACATGTGCCGTGTTGGTGTGCTGCACCCATTAACTCGTCATTTACATTAGGTATATCTCCTAATGCTATCCCTCCCTTCTTCCCCCACCCCACCACAGGCCCCAGTGTGTGATGTTCCCCACCCTGTGTCCAAGTGTTCTCATTGTTAAATTCCCACCTATGAGTGAGAACATGCGGTGTTTGCTTTTCTGTCCTTGCGATAGTTTGCTCAGAATGATGGCTTCCAGCTTCATCCATGTCCCTGCAAAGGACACGAACTCATCCTTTTTTATGGCTGCATAGTATTCCATGGTGTATATTTGCCACATTTTTTAAATCCAGTCTATCATTGTTGGATATTTGGGTTGGTTCCAAGTCTTTGCTATTGTGAATAGTGCCACAATAAACATACGTGTGCATGTGTCTTTATGGCAGCATGATTTATAATCCTTTGGGTATATACCCAGTAATGGGATGGCTGGGTCAAATGGTATTTCCAGTTCTAGATCCCTGAGGCATCGCCACACTGTCTTCCACAATGGACGAACTAGTTTACAGTCCCACTAAAAGTGTAAAAGTGTTCCTATTTCTCCACATCCTCTCAAGCACCCGTTGTTTCCTGAATTTTTAATGATCGCCATTCTAACTAGTAGGAGATGGTATCACATTGTGGATTTGATTTGCATTTCTCTGATGGCCAGTGATGATGAGCATTTTTTCATGTGTCTGTTGCCTGCATAAATGTCTTCTTTTGAGAAGTGTCTGTTCAAATCCTTAGCTCACTTTTTGAGGTTTTTGTAGGTTGCCTGTTCACTCTGATGGTAGTTTCTTTTGCTATGCAGAAGCTCTTCAGTTTGATTAGATACCATTTGTCTACTTTGGCTTTTGTTGCCATTGCTTTTGATGTTTTAGTCATGAAGTCCTTGCCCATGCCTATGTCCTGAATGGTATTGCCTAGGTTTTCTTCTAGGGTTTTTATGGTTTTAGGTCTAACATTTAAGTCTTTAATCCATCTTGAATTAATTTTTGTATAAGGTGTAAGGAAGGGATCCAGTTTCAGCTTTCTACATATGGCTCGCCAGTTTTCCCAGCACCATTTATTAAATAGGGAATCCTTTCCCCATTGCTTGTTTTTGTCAGCTTTGTCAAAGATCAGATGGTTGTAGATGTGTGGTATTATTTCTGAGGACTCTGTTCTGTTCCATTGGTCTATCTCTCTGTTTTGGTACCAGTACCATGCTGTTTTGGTTACTGTAGCCTTGTAGTATACTTTGAAGTCAGGGAGCGTGATGCCTCCAGCTTTGTTCTTTTGGCTTAGGATTGTCTTGGCAATGCGGGCTCTTTTTTGGTTCCATATGAACTTTAAAGTAGATTTTTCCAGTTGTGTGAAGAAAGTCATTGGTAGCTTGATGGGGATAGCATTGAATCTATAAATTACCTTGGGCAGTATGGCCATTTTCATATTGATTCTTCCTATCCATGAGCATGGAATGTTCTTCCATTTGTTTGTGTCCTCTTTTATTTCATTGAGCAGTGGTTTGTAGTTCTCCTTGAAGAGGTCCTTCACATCCCTTGTAAGTTGGATTCCTAGGTATTTTATTCTCTTTGAAGCAATTGTGAATGGGAGTTCACTCATGATTTGGCTCCCTGTTTGTCTCTTATTGGTGTATAGGAATGCTTATGATTTTTGCACATTGATTTTGTATCCTGAGACTTTGCTGAAGTTGCTTATCAGATTAAGGAGATTTTGAGCTGAGATTATGGGGTTTTCTAGATATACAATCATGTCATCTGCAAACAGGGACAATTTGACTTTCTCTTTTCCTAACTGAATACCCTTTATTTCTTTCTCCTGCCTAACTGCCCTGGCCAGAACTTCCAACACTATGTTGAATAGGAGTGGTGAGAGAGGGCATCCCTGTCTTGTGCCAGTTTTCAAAGGGAATGCTTCCAGTTTTTGCTGTTTCAGTATGATATTGGCTGTGGGTCTGTCAGAAATAGCTCTTATTATTTTGAGATACGTCCCTTCAATACCTAGTTTATTGAGAGTTTTAACATGAAGGGCTGTTGAATATTGTCAAAGGCCTTTTCTTCATCTATTGAGATAATCATGTGGTTTTTGTCTTTGATTCTCTTTATGTGATGGATTACGTTTATTGATTTGCATATGTTGAACCAGCTTTGCATCCAAGGGATGAAGCTAACTTGATCGTGGTGGATAAGCTTTTTGATGTGCTGCTGGATCCTGTTTGGCAGTATTTTATTGAGGATTTTTACATCTATGTTCATCAGGGATATTGGTCTAAAATTCTCTTTTTTTGTTGTGTCTCTGCCAGGCTTTGGTATCAGGATGATGCTGGCCTCATAAAATGACTTAGGGAGGATTCCCTCTTTCTATTGATTGGAATATTTTCAGAAGGAATGGTACCAACTCCTCTTTGTACCTCTGGTAGTCTTTGGCTGTGAATCCATCTGGTCCAGGACTTTTTTTGGCTGGTAAGCTATTAATTATTCCCTCAATTTCAGAGCCTGTTATTGGTCTATTCAGTGATTCAACGTCTTCCTGGTTTAGGCTAGGGAGGGTTTATGTCTCCAGGAACTTATCCATTTCTTCTAGATCTTCTAGTTTATTTGCGTAGAGGTGTTTATAGTATTCTCTGATGGTAGTTTGTATTTCTGTGCGATCGGTGGTGATATCTCCTTTATCATTTTTTATTGCACCTATTTGATTCTTCTCTCTTTTCTTCTTTATTAGTCTTGCTAGCGGTCTATCAATTTTGTTGATCTTTTCAAAACACCAGCTCCTGGATTCATTGATTTTTTGAAGGGATTTTTTGTGTCTCTATCTCCTTCAGTTCTGCTCTGATCTTAGTTATTTCTTGCCTTCTGCTAGCTTTTGAATATGTTTACTCTTGCTTCTCTAGTTCTTTTAATTGTGATGTTAGGGTGTCAACTTTAGATCTTTCCTGCTTTCTCTTGTGGGCATTTAATGCTATAAATTTCCCTCTACACATTGCTTTATATGTGTCCCAGAGATTCTAGTAGGTTGTGTCTTTGTCCTCATTGGTTTCAAAGAACATCTTTATTTCTGCCTTCATTTTGTTATGTACCCAGTAGTCATTCAGGAGCAGGTTGTTCAGTTTCCATGTAGTTGAACAGTTTTGAGTGAGTTTCTTAATCCTGAGCTCTAGTTTGATTGCACTGTGGTCTGAGAGACAGTTTGTTACAATTTCTGTTTTTTACATTTGCTGAGGAGTGCTTTACTTCCAACTATGTGGTCAATTTTGGAATAAGTGGGATGTGGTACTGAGAAGAATGTATATTCTGTTGATTTGGGGTGGAGAGTTCTCTAGATGTCTATTAGGTCCGCTTGGTGCAGAGCTGAGTTCAATTCCTGCATATCCTTGTTAACTTTCTGTCTCGTTGATGTGTCTAATGTTGATGGTGGGGTGTTAAAATCTCCCATTATTACTGTGTGGGAGTCTAAGTCTCTTTGTAGGTTTCTAAGGACTTGCTTTATGAATCTGGGTACTCCTGTATTGGGTGCATATATATTTCGGATAGTTAGCTCTTCTTGTTGAATTGATCCCTTTACGATTATGTAATGGTCTTCTTTGTCTCTTTTGATCTTTGTTGGTTTGAAGTCCGTTTTATGAGAGACTAGGATTGCAACCCCTGCTTTTTTTTGTTTTCCTTTTGCTTGGTAGATCTTCGTCCATCCCTTTATGTTGAGCCTATGTGTGTCTCTGCATGTGAGATGGGTCTCCTGAATACAGCACACTGATGGGTCTTGACTCTGTCCAATGTGCCAGTCTGTGTCTTTTAATTGGAGCATTTAGCCCATTTACATTTAAGGTTAATATCCTTATGTGTGAATTTGATCCTGTCATTATGATGTTAGCTGGTTATTTTGCTCGTTAGTTGATGCAGTTTCTTCCTAGTATCAATGGGCTTTACAATTTGGCATGTTTTTGCAGTGGCTGGTACTGGTTGTTCGTTTCCATGTTTAATGCTTCCTTCAAGAGCTCTTGTAAGGCAGGCCTGGTGGTGACAAAATTTTGCAGCATTTGCTTGTCTGTAAAGAATTTTATTTCTCCTTCTCTCATGAAGGTTAGTTTGGCTGGATATGAAATTCTGGATTGAAAATTCTTTCCTTAATAATGTTGAATATTGGCCCCAACTCTCTTCTGGCTTGTAGAGTTTCTGCCGAGAGATCCACTGTTAGTCTGATGGGCTTCCCTTTGTGGGTAACCCAACCTTTCTCTCTGGCTGCCCTTAACATTTTTTCCTTCATTTCAACTTTGGTGAATCTGAAAATTATGTGTCTTGGACTTGCTCTTCTCAAGGCCTATCTTTGTGGCATTCTCTGTATTTCTTGAATTTGAATGTTGGCCTGCCTTGCTAGGTTGGGGAAGTTCTCCTGGATAATATCCTGGAGAGTGTTTTCCAACTTGGTTCCATTCTCCCCGTCACTTTCAGGTACACCAATCAGATGTAGATTTGGTTTTTTCCCATAGTCCCATATTTCTTGGAGGCTTTGTTCAGTTCTTTTTACTCTTTTTTCTCTAAACTTCTCTTCTCGGTTCATTTCATTCATTTGATCTTCAATCACTGATACCATTTCTTACATTTGATTGAATTGGCTACTGAAGCTTGTGAGTGCGTCATGTAATTCTCGTGCCATGGTTTTCAGCTCCATCAGGTCATTTAAGGTCTCCTCTACACTGCTTATTCTAGTTAGCCATTTTTCTAATTTTTTTTAAGGTTTTTAGCTCCTTGCGATGGGTTCAAACATCCTCCTTTAGCTCGGAGAAGTTTGTTATTTCCGATCATCTGAAGCCTTCTTTTCTCAACTCATCAAAGTCATTCTCCGTCGAGCTTTGTTCCATTGCTGGCGTGGAGCTGCGATCCTTTGGAGGAGAAGAGGCACTCTGATTTTTAGAATTTTCAGCTTTTCTGCTCTGGTTTCTCCCCATCTTTGTGGTTTAATCTACCTTTGGTCTTTGATGATAGTGACGCACAGATGGGGTTTTGGTGTTGATGTCCTGTTTGTTAGCTGTCCTTCTAACAGTCAGGACCCTCAGCTGCAGGTCTGTTGGAGTTTGCTGGAGGTCTACTCCAGACCATGTTTGCCTGGGTATCACCAGCAGAGGCTGCAGAACAGCAAATATTGCAGAACAGCAAATGTTGCTGCCTGATCCTTCCTCTGAAAGCTTCATCTCAGAGGGGCACCCGGCTGTATGAGGTGCCAGTAGGCCCCTACTGGGAGATGTCTCCCAGTTAGGCTACTTGGGGGTCAGGGACCCACTTGAGGAGGCAGTCTGTCCATTGTCGGATCTCAAACTCTGTGCTGGGAGAACCACTACTCTGTTCAATGCTGTTAGACAGGGATGTTTAAGTCTGCAAAAGTTTCTGCTGCCTTTTGTTCAGCTATGCCCTGCCCCCAGAGGTGGAGTCTACAGAGGCAGGCAGGCCTCCTTGAGCTGCAGTGGGCTCCATCCAGTTTGAGCTTCCCAGCTGCTGTGTTTACCTACTCAAGCCTCAGCAACGGTGGATGCCCCTCCCCCAGTCTTGCTGCCGCCTTGCAGTTCGATCTCAGACTGCTATGTTAGCAATGAGTGAGGCTCTGTGGGCATGGGACCCTCCGAGCCAGGTGTGGGAAATAATCTCCTGGTCTGCCATTTGCTAAGACTGTTGGAAAAGCACAGTATTAGGGTAGGAGTGTCCCGATTGTCCAGGTACCATCTGTCATGGTTTTCCTTGGCTAGGAAAGGGAATTCCCCAACTGCTTGTGCTTCCCGGGTAAGGCCATGCTCTTCCCTGCTTCAGCTCACACTCGGTGGGCTGCACCCACTGTCCGACAAGCCCCATTGAGATGAACCTGGTACCTCAGTTGGAAATGCAGAAATCCCCCATCTTCTGCGTTGCTCATGCTGGGAGCTGTAGACTGGAGCTGTTCCTATTTGGCCATCTTTAGAATTGTAATACAAGATAGCCAAAAAATGCAGCCAGAAAGAGCATTTCTCACCAAGAGACCAGACCATTAAGAAGACTGGCACACTCTGAACAGATCTTCAGAAGGAAGGCACTGAGTATATACAGAGGAAGGATGCAGATCTTGAGCTGAAGGGAAAGGAAGCTGGAAACCCTGCACAGGGCTGGCAAGCAACCGGACTCATTCATGATCCCAGTGGCTCTCCTAGGGAGGTGGTATGTTAAATAGCCAAGAAGTGGCTCAATCTCACCATAGACATCCAGAATCCGAACTGCCAGGGACCTCATGACTCCCATGGACGTTTGAGCTGGCAAGGAGAGCTGCTTGGAGAGGTGGCAGGGACAGGACTCCAGTCTGTGTGAAGCTCAGAGAATTTGACACAGGAAAGGCTGCATGGCCAGTGATGCCCATCTCCCAAGGCTTGGCATGCTCCTCTAGGAGACTTTGGAATTTGTTGACTGTTGGACCTGGACAGAGCAAGAATGTCTTCCCTGTGGGATGGGGCAAATTTGATCTGAGAACCCTCCTGTCTGCCAGCCTCTTCCAAGATCCCTTCCTGGCTGTCCTCGATGGTAGAACAGTCTTGAACACCTGACTTTGGTGCATCCCAGTCACTGCTGCCATATCTTATTCACTGGCAGACTCTGCCTGTCAGAGAGCTTCAGCAGAAGGGTTCCTGCCAACATATACCCACATAAAGCATCCCCCCACCACTTTGCAAGCACACTCACCTGCAGTTTCCCTCTACTACTTTGTTGGTGTACACTCACCTGCAGACACCAACCCCTACTTTGCATTGCTGGTGCACACACAAGTCTGAAACTTATAGCCCTTCTGCCACTGGTGCATGCACATGTGCACTTCACAGCCACAATCCTGACACCACCAGAGCATGAACGTGGACCCCATTGTACTGCTGCTGCCACAAATACAAACTCATGTGAGGAGTCTGCCACATCACCACCACGACAAGCATGCATGCATTGACTCTACTGCACTGCTGCTGGTGAATGCACGTGCATGGATCCCAATGCATAGCTATCTCCCACTCAAGTATGCACACACAAACCCTACCATCCCACCACCGTTGGCAAGTGCATGTGAATGCAGACACCAATGCCACTGCTACAATGAAGTGTTTTTGCTGGCACTGCCTATGAGAATGTTGTTGCCAGCAGATTGAGAAAAACTTAGATGCAGTTGGTTCTTACCTTCAAAGGGCCAAAGAACAATGTCATGTGCCTAGACCCAGGCCGCCAGTTACAGCACATTGCCCAAGAATGCTGAGCTGATCCTTGACCCCTACAATCATCTAGAGAAACAAAGCCAGTCAATCGAACTCAACTTACAACACAGTCAAATCCACAAGGGCATCAAAGAAAGTAAAATGACTATCCAAAGGACAGAAACTTCAAAGATTAAAAGAGGATTAGCCCACCCAGATGACAAAAAAAAAAAAAACAAAAAACAGCCCAATAACTCAGGTATCTCAAAAACTAGCATGTCTTCTTATCATCTCCAAATGACTGTACTAGCTTCCCAGCAATTGTTCTTAATGCTGAAACTGCTGGAATGAAAGACATAGAATTCAGTGTCTGAATAGCTATGAAGATTAATGAGATTCTGGAAGAGTTGAAACCCAATCCAAAACATCTAGTGAATCCAATAAAGCAACACAAGAGCAGAAAGATAAAATTGCCATTTTAAAAAAATCGAACTATCTAATAGAGGTGAAAAACTCACTGTGGGAATTTTATAATACAATTGGAATTGTTAAAAAATAGACCAAGCTGAGAAAAGAGTATCAGAAAAAGAGTATCAGAGCTCAAAGACATGCTTTGAATCAACTCAATGAGTTAAAACTAAAAAAGAAAGAATAATACAGAATGAACAAAACCTACAAGAAATATGGGATTATGTAAAGAGACCAAACTGACAACTCATTGGCATCCCTGAGAGAGAGGAAGAGATCAAGCAACTTCAAAAACATATTAGAGGATATTGTGTACAAAAATACCTGAACCTCACTAGAGAGGTCAACATTCAATTCAGAAAATGAAGAGAACCCTGCAAGACACTATGAAAGATGACAATCCCTAAGATACAGTCATTACATTCTCCAAAGTCAAAGTAAAAAAAGTATTCAAGGCAGGTAGAGAGATGGGCAGGTCACCAAAAAGGGAATCCCATTGTATAAGTCCATTTTCACACTGTTATAAAAAACTGCCTGAGACCGGGTAATTTATTAAAAAAAAAAGAAGTTTAATTGGTTCACAGTTCAGCATGGCTGGAGAAACCTCAAGAAACTTAAAATCATGGCAGGAGGTGAAGGCGAAGCAAGGTACCTTCTTCACAAGGTGACAGGAAGGAGAAGTGCCGAGAAAAGTGGTAAGAGCCCGTTGTAAAACCATCAGATCTCATGAGAACTCACTATCATGAGAACAGCATGGGGGAAACTGCCCCCATGATTCAATTACCTCCACCTGGTCTATTCCTTAACACTTGGGGATGTTGGGAATTATGGGGATTACAATTCAAGATGATATCTGGGTGGGGACAAAAAGCCTAACCATATCACCCATCAAGCTAATAGACTTTTCAACAGAAATGCTACAAGCTACAAAATACTGGGGCCCTATATTCAGAATTCTTAAAGAAAAGAAATTCTAACCAAGAATTTCATATCCAGCCAAACAATGCTTCATAAGTTAAGGAGAAATAATATGCTTTTCAGACAAGCACGTACTAAGGAAATTGAGACAAGCATGTGCTAAGGAAATTCACTATCACCAGATCTGCTGGATAAGGAATCTTTAAGAGAGTTGTAAACATGGTCATAAAAGAATCACACCTGCTAAAACAAAAACACATGTAAGCACATAGTCCACAACCACTATAAAGCAACTACACAATCAAGTCTGCATAAGAACCAGCTAAAATCATGATGACAAAATCAAATCTGTACATATCAATATTAATCTTTAATATAAACAGGTTAAACATCCCACATAAAAGACACAGAGTGGCAAGCTGGCAAAGAAGCAAAACTCAACTATATGCTGTCTTCAAGAGACACATCTCACATACAATGATATCCATAGGCTCAAAGTAAATGGATAGAGAGAAATATACCAAGCAAATGAAAAACAAAACCTAGCAGAAGTTGTTATTCTAATTGCAGACAAACAGACTTAAAACCAATAATGATCAAAAAAGATAATAGACCAACTGAAACAAGTTGGTTCTTTGACAGAATAAAGAAGATTGGTAGATCACTAACTAGACTAATAAAGAAAAGAGATACAAATAAACACAGTCAGAAATGACAAAGGGGCCACTACTGCCAACCCAACATAAATACAGAAAAACCTGAGACTAGTACAAACACCTCTATGTGCACAAACTGGAAAACCTAGAAGGAATGAATACATTCCTGGAAACACACTACCTCCCAAGATTGAACCAGGAAGAAACTGAAACCCTGAACAGACCAATAAGTTCTGAAATTGCATCAATAATAAAAAGCCTACCAACACCAAAAAGCCCTGGACCAGACAGAGTCACAACCAAATGTTGTAAGATATATAAGCAAGATCTGTACCAATGCTACTGAAACTATTCCAAAAATTGAGGAGTGTCTTCTCCCTAACTCATTCTATGAGACTAGAATAATTTGAATATGAAAACCAGGCAGAGCCACAAAAGAAAGGTAAAACTTCAGGCTAATAATCCTGACAAACACAAATACAAAAATATTCAACAAAATACCAGCAAACCAAATCCAGCAGCATATCAAAATGCTAATTCAGCACGAACAAGTAGGCTTTATTTCTGTGATACAAGGTTGGTTCAATACATGCAATCAATAAATGTAATTTATCATATAAACTAAAACAAAAACCACAGGATCACCTGAATAGACACAAAATAATAGAAACACTAAAAGGAAAGTGACATAGAAAAGGGAAGTTAGGTACAAAAACAGCTTGATTGTTTACAGCTTGGTGTTTGCCTTATTTGAGCATGGCTTGAACAGTTGCCTGCCTATGATTCGTTGAAACTCTATGACTGGTACAATAGTAGGTTACAGTCTATTTATACCTCCAGTTAGGTTACAGTTCACCATGTACAGAGAAACCTTCAGGACAAACTTAAAATATGTAAGGAGGCAGTTTTCGGCTAGAAGGCAGTTTTAACAAATCTCCCCTTTCGGTCAACTTCTCAATTTTGAGAAATTGACTACATCTTTAGGTGTTGACATAATTGTCACCATCATAAGTAGACTTATTTGTTCTCAAATCCTAATGATAAATTGAATAAGGGGTATTGTAAGGTAAGAACAAGAAAACAAAACAGTAGGAAAAAACTGATTACCTCTGGTTACCTTTTCATAAGGGTTAAAGCAGAGGGGGCTCACTTATGTCAGAATCTCCTGTTTTCAGGAGAACAACAGCAGCAAAAAAAAAAAAAAAAAAAAAAAAAAAAATCCACCAGTGTCTTTTGGGATCTATCTTCTTCCTTAAAGTTTCAGTTTTCTTACATCGCATTTAGCACAAGTAACCCCACTTTGGTTTGTTCTCCTGGGGCTTAGTGCAGGAGCTTAGTTCAGAATAATGGCCTCCCATAATTGTGGTCAATAATTCCTCCCTTTTTGTCAAGTTCTCACTTAGATGAGCGTGTGACCAAAACTTGGGGCTTTAGCACTACTCTCGATTATCACCATTTTGAATTTCTGGTCTTAGTACATCATTCGTAGCTTATGGTGTCCATATGATTATGCATTTTGAGTTTTTGTTGATCCTGTGAAAGAGATATTTGATATTCTATAGGTGACTGCATGCATGCATTTTAAAATTTGAGCGAATGCATGCACCACCAGACTACTATTATGACTATCACAAGAATAACAACAAAAGTTTGAAGTATGTTCCCTAGCCAGGGTCCCCATGAACCACCCTAATTAAAATCAAATATGTCAACAAATGAACCAGACAAATAGTCTATTCATTTTAACCAAGCAGCCTGTTTGTCAATCCCCTGCAAGTGAATCTCTATAATACCTGTGTGCCACAAGAAGTGTCAGCAACTGCACAGATTCTTCCTTGTTCAGCCAGTAGGTAATCTAGAGCAACTCTATTATTGACCACAACTTTAGCAAGATAATTTACAGAAGTCTGTTTGCTACCATGGCAGTCATAGTAAAATCTGATAAAGAGAGTATTATTAGCATTGAATTTCTAATTATTTCCTCATTTACATTTACACCTGGCCTTGGAAAAAGGGACATAATAATGTCCATCTAGAATGATGAAGGCCTCTTGTTAATGTTCTTTTTGACTTATGATGTCAATTAACAAGAGTGGACCAGTGTTCTATTTCTGACTGATTATGGAGCAACAAATATGCCATTAAAATTCCTAGCCCACACTGGCCTTTCATTTTTCATCCATTAAGGCACAAAGTTGTCCATATATACAGTTGGCTACAAAATACATCACAAATAAAAGTATATCCCATGGGTGCACATGGGCCCTTTTTCTCATTCTATTTTTTCATAGAGACATAAGCAGGAAAAAAATTGAGAGGTAAGAGTCTGATGATGGCAAAGAAGTCTTAATCTGTGATCTTGGAAAATTTGTCCATGTCCACAATACCATCTGCTTCTGAGGAGAACACTCCTGGTTAGCTTTACCTTGAGTTCTCTGATGAACGTACAACATTTATAAAAGTCTGGAGGGGCCTTTATGAGTTGTGAGATGATGAACTAAAGGTTCCTGGTCCTAAAGTTTTGCTGCAGGTGAGTGAAGGGGGGTGCAACGCGTGGGTGGCAAAAGCAGTCTCTCTGATGGATTTACTGAAGACAAAATGTTTGAGCTCTATATTAGAAAAGTAAGATTGTCCTTAGTTGGAGGATCATGGAAAGCTTCCTTTACTTGTTGAAAATACATTTTGGCATAATGTATTAAAACCTTGATGATTCTGCTCAAATCAGAGTTTAGGAGTGGGAGTTACATGAGGTTATACTACTGTGAAGAGAGGTCTTCCAGTGACTATTTCATAAAGGGTCAGTGTATGTTTTCCACTGGAAGTGGATCTGATTGTCATCAGACTGAAACATCTTTAACCAAGATAATTCAGTAGACTCGGTTAGCTTTGCCTAATGCTATTGTGTTTGTAATACCTCATTTCAACTGTTTTCCAAATTATCCAGTGAAATAAGTACCTCTCTCACTAAAGATTTATCCATGCATACCCCAAGAAGAAAACACATTTCCTAATAACCTTTTAGCTATTGTTGTAGAATCAGCCTTCTTGCATAGGAAAGCTTCTATACAACCAGAAAACATACACGAAAATGGCAATTAGTAGGAAAAATAAAAACAAAAGTTAAATAAAATAAAGAATAAAAAGGGAACACAATGTTTAAATCTAGTGATTTTCCCAAATAAACAGAAATGATCAATAGTGAAAAAGTTCTAGAGTTGCAAGAGACCTCAAGGGGTCCTTCAAATAGGGCTATTACCTCATTTATATTTACATTAAGCCATGGAAAAAGGGACAAAACAAATAATGCCCATCCAGAATGGGTATTACCCAAGAGACTTAATCTTTTAGGATAATGGATGGAAAGAAGCTAAAAAACACTCTCATTCTAAAAATACTCCTTAAGCTAATAAAAAGAGCAAATGAAAAATGCAAATGTTTCAAGCTTAAGTAATTGTAGTATTGTCAAAGCTTATTGGAATGGAGATTCAAAAATTTCCTGGGGAGCTTATTCCAGGATTTAAATATTCTTTCTGACCCAACGTTCTCCATTCTATCTAACAAACATTTATACACTATAAACCCATTTTCTCTATTTCTGTCTTCTGGAGAAAAGAAAAATGCCAGTCAGCTACCAGAAGACAATTTACGTGCCTACAGACAGCTGAGCCTTCTTTTCCTTTATAACAACACTCCATGGTAGATAATAATCAAATGCATTATTCAATCTTTTTCTGTCTTGGAGTTTCAATCTCATCTACAGCCTCTAGTGCTCTGAAATCAAGTAAATGACTTCCGGAGTAAATCTCTTTGAGAAATGCTATAAAAAAACTTTCTTATAAATTTACAGGTTAGCAGTAGTCAAAATTGGGTACTTAGGATTTATCATCCCTCAAGCTATTTAGTTGGTATTACATTTAAAAGTTACTGATTCTGCCTACAACCAGAATCAGCAGAGCCTGCCATTCCATTTGCATTGCTTATATGGTCAATTACTGCAGTCATAGGCCAATCCCATTGCAATTTTTCCCTTTTTCTAAGCAGGAAAAGAAATCCCAACAACTTGAGTTGCTTTCATATGGGTATAGAGTCTGGTTCCAGTTAAATACATTATTATGGAACTTATTGAATAAAGGCAAGTATCTCCCAGCTCACAGATTTGACCTTGACCTGCCTCACCTCTCACAATACACAACTGTTTAAGCTTTTTCATATAAAGACAGCCACACAATTTCCTATTTATGTCAACTATTATGTTAAAAACATTTAATTTTATTTAATATATTTTTAACTTGTCTAAATTTTCTAAACATTTTTACATCTTTCCTACCTCGTGAAGAACAAAAGTAGGCACATGAGTATGATAATCCTTTGATCCTTGTATGGAATGGTCACATATAAAGGAGACTATTATTGTAGTGGAACATCTATATCAATGCTATTACTATTAAAGCATTTTAGCAGTAAAAAAAATAAAAGAAAATGGAAATTAAAATCTCTCAATAAATGTTCAAATGGCCTAAGGTTTTGATTATCTTCCCAGGGTTATGGATTTAACAAACCAAACTTTGGTCACAAACCATATTAACCATTTAGAACAGTCACCATACCAATAACTTTAAGATATAATTTGGATCATTTCATTTCTTCTATGATTGAGTCATGGACTGCAGAGCTTTTAATGGAAGCTTTAAAGATTCAGAAAGGACCAGGCAGCTGTTTAGGCTCTGCATGAGTAGATGCTTAAAACTGGATTTATATCCTCTGAAATATCAGTTTTGTTTCACCAGTTCAAGGTCATAGCACTGTATATTAAATAGGTTATCATTGGTAATTTGACTTGGACCACTGAGTTTATTCAAATTGCAGATCTCAACAATCTCAGTACTGTCTTATTTAGCACTAAAATCTGGAAAAATATTTTCTTGGAATTCAATTAATTTTTGTCTTTTGTGGTTAGCAGTTTTATATACCAGTTAATCTCTTCATTAGAGTTCTTGTAATTATTACCCAGCCCAAGCGATACTAAAGTTATTAGAAACTCATAATCAAGAGTGCCTGTCAGGGTCATTTCCATCCTTTCCATGAGCTTTGTTGAAGAAGGATTTTACTTGCTTGTAAAGAGCTTTCAGAAAACATGTCAGAATTAAGCAATTACCTGTAAACAATAGTTAATATGGTCATGGTTAAAGGCACAATTGACAAGAACATCGAGTTATTTCTGTGGTCCACAATAATTTAACATAATAACCATCATTATGACTGATAACCTATACTGAGACATATCAGAATTTTAGGAATATCATACAATTTTGTAATGCATATAATAGCATATCTATAAAGCTATAACTTGGAGATTAAACATTATGTCTTTTTTTGGCAATGCTTCCCATATATTTTAACATATCAAAAAAGGCTATTTGTTACTTCTCTTTTGGAAGCTGCAGTGGCTTTTAGTAATATCCCAAAGTTAAAGATCAAAAAGACTTAATTTTAGAATTTAGTATTTTATTCTGGAAAGTTTGTCAAATACCAGATATTTAGGACTCCTAATATTAAATTAAAAGTTTAAAACACTAATCAAAATGATATCACAGATTACTGTAAAATAATATTCATTTAGTGAAAGCAATAATAAAATGGTTTTTAAGAAGCAAAATCCTTTATTCTTTGATAGAAAACACACTCAGTTTTCCAATCAAAAAATCTATAAAAGTATGAAATAGAATCTGCCTCTCCTTTCCTTTTTTCTTTACTGTAGTTTACTTTAAAAGTGAAAAAAACTCTATCTGATAAATATTACATGAATGTCTTGTTTAAATGAGAAAACAAAATTTTACTTTTATATTAGTTTATTATCAATACTAAAGATAGTTTTGACAAATTGTCATAAACAGATCCATCTATTCTCAGGTTTTGACAACAGATTTCCATAAAACTTTTATAACCTCTTACAAATTAAATTTTTTTATTCCTCAACTTTTTAGACTCCTTTAGTTTTATCTACATTATTTTTCTCCATTTTGAAACATTTAAATAACCTTTAAACTAGACAAAATTATTTTTTCTTTAGGAAAAGCCATATCCTCAAACCTTTTTTGAAAACTTCCTCATGAAAAACACATCTTACTTTTCGAATACTCTCTGCATATAGAATTGTTTCTTATATTGAGTAATTTTAATTACATATATTAATCAAAATTTTGACTCTATCCCCAATTTCCAGTGAAAAACCAAGGAAGTAATTAATTTTGAACTATTTTATACAAGTATTTATAGATGAAAACAATTTCATAAGTTTTTAGAAAGATGTTTCTTCAATTTTTTAATTAACAGGTCTAAATATATTTACCTTTTCTATACCATCTAAAAATTAGATGCCAAAGTATATGAACTGCAACGAAAACATATGTTTAATAATTAATATTTCAGTATTTTCACTAACCCACAATTGACTCAGTTTATGATTATCTATTATTTAATTTAACATGTGTTTAACATTTTAAATTACTAAGAAGAATTTTGAAATGATGACACACATACCCTTCCTAACATCTTCCCCAGTTTTCCTGGTTCCCAAGAAGCTACCTGGCACTCAAGAAAAGGGATGAAGTGCAGGACCTGTCTTGGCTCTAAATTTACATATCAAATACAGAGCTCAGGACAGAGGACAGGTCTGTGAAGAGGATGTCCTGGGGTTGGGGGAGTAGGGAGAGATAGCAGTAGGAGATATACCTAATGTAAATGATGAGTTAATGGGTCACCATTTTGTCAAAGGCCTTTTCTGCATCTATTGAGATAATCATGTGGTTTTTGTCTTTGGTTCTGTTTATATGCTGGATTACGTTTATTGCTTTGCATATGTTGAACCAGCCTTGCATCCCAGGGATGAAGCCCACTTGATCATGGTGGATAAGTTTTTTGATGTGCTGCTGGATTCGGTTTGCCAGTATCTTATTGAGGACTTTTGCATCGATGTTCATCAGGGATATTGGTCTAAAATTCTCTTTTTTTGTTGTGTCTCTGCCAGGCTTTGGTATCAGGATGATGCTGGCTTCATAAAATGAGTTAGGGAGGATTCCCTCTTTTTCTATTGATTGGAATAGTTTCAGAAGGAATAGTACCAGCTCCTCCTTGTACCTCTGGTAGAATTCGGCTGTGAATCCATCTGGTCCTGGACTTTTTTTTGGTTGGTAAGCTATTAATTATTGCCTCAATTTCAGATCCTGTTATTGGTCTATTCAGAGATTCACCTTCTTCCTGGTTTCGTCTTGGGAGGGTGTATGTGTCAAGGAATTTATCCATTTCTTCTAGATTTTCTAGTTTATTTGCATAGAGGTGTTTATAGTATTCTCTGATGGTAGTTTGTATTTCTGTGGGATCGGTGGTGATATCCCCTTTATCATTTTTGATTGCATCTACTTGATTCTTCTCTCTTTTCTTATTAGTCTTGCTAGCGGTCTATCAATTTTGTTCATCTTTTCAAAAAACCAGCTCCTGGATTCATTGATTTTTGAAGTGTTTTTTGTATCTCTATCTCCTTCAGTTCTGCTCTGATCTTAGTTATTTCTTGCCTTCTGCCAGCTTTTGAATGTGTTTGCTCTTGCTTCTCTAGTTCTTTTAATTGTGATGTTAGGGTGTCAATTTTGGATCTTTCCTGCTTTCTCTTGCGGGCATTTAGTGCTATAAATTTCCCTCTACACACTGCTTTAAATGTGTCCCAGAGATTCCGGTAGGTTGTGTCTTTGTTCTCATTGGTTTCAAAGAACATCTTTATTTCTGCCGTCATTTTGCTATGTACCCAGTAGTCATTCAGGAGCAGGTTGTTCAGTTTCCATGTAGTTGAGCGGTTTTGAGTGAGTTTCTTACTCCTGAGTTCTAGTTTGATTGCACTGTGGTCTGAGAGACAGTTTGTTATAATTTGTGTTCTTTTACATTTGCTGAAGAGTGCTTTACTTCCAACTACGTGGTCAATTTTGGAATAAGTGGGATGTGGTGCTGAAAGGAATATATATTCTGTTGATTTGGGGTGGAGAGTTCTGTAGATGTCTATTAGGTCCACTTGGTGCAGAGCTCAGTTCAATTACTGGATATCCTTGTTAACTATCTGTCTTATTGATCTGTCTAATGTTGACAGTAGGGTGTTAAAGTCTCCCATTATTACTGTGTGGGAGTCTAAGTCTCTTTGTAGGTCTCTAAGGACTTGCTTTATGAATCTGGGTACTCCTGTATTGGGTGCATATATATTCAGGTTAGCTCTCCTTGTTGAATTGATCCCTTTACCATTATGTAATGGTCTTCTTTGTCTCTTTTGATCTTTGTTGGTTTAAAGTCTGTTTTATCAGGGACTAGGATTGCAACCCCTGCATTTTTCTGTTTTCTCTTTGCTTGGTAGATCTTCATCCATCCCTTTATTTTGAGCCTATGTGTTTCTCTGCACGTGAGATGGGTCTCCTGAATACAGCACACTGATGTGTCTTGACTCTATCCAATGTGCCAGTCTGTGTCTTTTAATTGGAGCATTTAGCTCATTTACATTTAAGGTTAATATCCTTATGTGTGAATTTGATCCTGTCATTATGATGTTAGCTGGTTATTTTGCTCGTTAGTTGATGCAGTTTCTTCCTAGCATCGATGATCTTTACAATTTGGCATGTTTTTGCAGTGGCTGGTACTGGTTGTTCCTTTCTATTTTTAGTGCTTCCTTCAGGAGCTCTTGTAGGGCAGGCCTGGTGGTGACAAAATCTCTCAGCATTTGATCATCTGTAAAGGATTTTACTTCTCCTTCACTTATGAAGCTTAGTTTGGCTGGATATGAAATTCTGGGTTGAAAATTCTTTTCTTTAAGAATGTTGAATATTGGCTCCCACTCTCTACTGGCTTGTAGAGTTTTTGCCAAGAGATCCACTGTTAGTCTGATGGGCTTCCCTTTGTGGGAAACCCGACCTTTCTCTCTGGCTGCCCTTAATATTTGTTCCTTCATTTCAACTTTGGTGAACCTGACAATTATGTGTCTTGGAGTTGTTCTTCTCAAGGAGTATCTTGTATCTCGAGGAGTTCTCTGTAATTTCTGCATTTGAATGTTGGCCTGCCTTGCTAGGTTGGGCAAGTTCTCCTGGATAATATCCTGAAGAGTGTTTTCCAACTTGGTTCCATTCTCCCCGTCACTTTCAGGTACATCAATCAGACATAGATTTGGTCTTTTCACATAGTCCCATATTTCTTGGAGTCTTTGTTCATTTCTTTTTACTCTTTTTTCTCTAAACTTCTCTTCTCACTTCATTTCATTCATTTGATCTTCAGTCACTGATACCCTGTCTTCCATTTGATCGAATCAGCTACTGAAGCTTGTGCATTCTGAAGATTTCTTTTCTTGTTACTTTGTTGTCTGGCATTGGCATTGTGACTATACTGGCCCCACAGTATATGCTAAGAATTATTCCCTCTAATTCTATGGTTTAGAATAGTTTGAGGAGTAGTGCCATTCATCCTTTAAGCATTTGGTAATATTTTTGAGTGGTTACATCTAATCTCGGCTTTTCTTTGTTGGAAGTTTTTAAGATACCGACTAAATGTCTTTATGCCTTTATGACAGCAGTTTCTGTCATTCTAGGAATTTGTCTATTTCATCTATGTTATTCAATTTGTCATACAACTGTTCACAGTATTTTTTATGACACATTTTATTCTTTTATCATTAATAGTAAAATCCCCTTTTGCCAAGGGTCTCAGTGTGCATGCTGGGGCATTGACTTCAACACTCAGCCAGATGGTCTGCACCTGTTTCTTAGTCTTCACTTTCTGTTTACCTAGATACTCAAAGTCAGCCAGAAGTCATATCTTTGGGCCTGTTCAGGTCTCTGTTTAGCATGCCCACATTTCTATGCATGCATTTGTCTTTTTAGTATCCCCCAAATTGGTTGAAACATTTCCAAGCCCATATGCATTATTCACTCCTCATCTTTTCCTCTTAAGTTTGTTGGACAATCTATTGTTTGCCTAATATCCATTATCTCAGGCTGGAGCAACTAAAACAATTGTATTTAAATGTTTTTGAGTCATGTCCACAGAAAGTGGTTTTTAATACTGAGTCCTAAATCAGGCAAAATAATGACTACATTTTCAAGTTGGGTGTTCCAGGGACAACTAAACATGTTAAAGAGTGACTATTCTTTGGGAATATGGCTTTGAAAGATGTATACCACTGACATGCTCTCTTTAGTATCAATAAGGTGAACTGTTATATTTTCCACGGGTTCAGACAAGCTGGAATATAGGGAATAGTATCAGTAGAAGTTAAAATGGATAAAGCTCCCTATTCTTAATGGTATTCAGCCATTTTTCTCCATTTTATTCCCTAGGTTTCTATACACATTTGATTAATTTACAGAGTTCCTACAGTGTTGATTGTGAGTTTTTTTTCCCTTGCTTTTTTCCCTCAGAGTTCTTAGTCTACCATTTTACTGACATAAATTGTATTCAATTTTTAAAAATCTTTAGCTGCAGGCTGGGTGCGGTGGCTCATTCCTGTAATCCCAGCACTTTCGGAGGCCGAGGTGGGCGGATAACCTGAGGTTGTGAGTTCGAGACCAGCCTGACCAACATAGAAAAACCCTGTCTTTACTAAAAATACAAAATTAGCCAGGTGTGGTGGCACATGCCTGTAATCCCAGTGACTCAGGATGCTGAGGCAGGAGAATCGCTTGAACCCAGGAGGCGGAGGTTGTGGTGAGCCAAGATTGTGCCATTGCACTCCAGACTGGGCAGTAAGGACAAAACTCTGTCTCAAAAAAAAAAAAAAAATCTTTAGCTGCATAAATGACTACACTTCTGCTGTGTTATTGACTTTTCATAAATGTTTTTGTGGTAACTGTTTTTTACCTTGCACCAAAAAAAATAAAATGGAAAAGAGTGATGCACCTCAGTGCACTTTCTTCCCAGTGTGCAGGCCAGTCAGAGGTTCTCTGGGGACCCCTTTATACTTGGCTGTCTCACTCCCCCTCTAAGGAAGTACATCTAACTGCCATTAGAATAAAGATAAGGGTAAGGATGAAGACCAATCTTAACTGCTTCCTGCTGACAGGGGGCGCTGTTTTGGGGAAAACTGCAGTCAGAGCTCCCTTAAAGGCCTATGTAAGGGTTCCCAGCAAAAGGGACTATTCTCTCAGGTTCCAGTTGCATGACCGTTTGTAGTTGATGGCCTAAAGCCAAGAAGAGACAAACCGGGTTATTACAAAACATGTATTAAAATGAAACAAGGGGAGGGGTAAGGACAGCTTAAAAATCCCGAGGCCTTTTACCAGTTGGCATAGGGAGAGGAAGCCTGAAAGCCTGATTGGTAAAACAAACAAACAAACCAACAAACAAACACCTTTACCCTTTTGCTGGCATGTTGGGCTTCTGGGTTCCCTTCCCTTGAGCCCAATCTTAAGCCAACCAGTTTAAGGTTTGGGAAATTAACTCTTTCCAGTTTGGAGGATGCATCTGAGGGTAGTGTCCTATAGTAGGGAGACACAGTTACCTATCAGTGAAGAGAGGACAGAGGAGGAGAATAGAAAAAAGAAGGAGCTTTTCAAAGGAGTCCCAGGGATCAGGATGTATTTGAAATGGGTACAGACTCAAGATGAATGGCTACCCATCTAGAAAGAGGGGAGCAGGCATTCCCAGTTCCCTTCTCTTTCTAGCAGATACCCAGAATGCATTAGGGAGAGAAGGAAGAGCATCCTCTTTCCCTTTTCCGTCCTTGCATCCCCAAGTTCTGGGAACCTTGGCAGGTGCCACCCATGGGTGCCAAAATGGCTTGCAACCATGAAGCAGGGAGGGCCTAGAGAATAGAAATTATCTGCTCTCATCTATATCTCTATGACAACTACTGTCAGTAGCTTTGACGTTCCCTAGACCTCATTTATGCCATGGATACTAGCATTACTTTTATCCATGAAACAAGAGGCTTGGCTTGATTGGCAGGAATTAGCAATGCTCGCCTGTGCTGCACATTTTAACCTCCCTTATCATCTGTCTCTGGATCCCTTAGGTCCAGTTTTCTTCCTAAGGCTTTGACCTGAAGCTTGGAATTGAGTTTGGGAGAAAAATCTGTCTCGGGGGTTTGCGTGGACTCCTATAATAAGCCAAATGCTAAGGTGAAGCTGTAGAATTGAGTCCTCCTTCAACAAGGGAGACAAAAAGATGTCTTGTGACATGACCAGATTAACTGGTGGCTATAGTTATGCTTGGTAAATTTGGGTGCAGGGTGCTTGTATTTGGTTAGCTCCCTTGGTCTTGTTTTCCCAAAAAGGAAAACTCCAAGTGGTGGGCATCCTATTTATTCCCATTACCTGGCAGGATTTGCAGGATAATTGCTCAGAACTTCAGTACTGATCCAGATTTTTACATTACCCATCCCTCTTGTTATTTCTGAGGTGCAGCCAGAGATTGCTGATTGGTTCACAGGAACAAGTAGGGTTAGTTTAAAATGTAGGCAAAACTTAAAAACAACTAGTGAGTTTAGAATTTAATGACAAATGTATGGTAAGTTTTGAAACATAATTTCTTTATATCTAGTTCTAAATTTTGCTAAAAAACTCAAATCATGATAGGGCTAAGTGGTTTGCAAAATAGACTTTAGTCTTATATTTGGCCTGATTATTTGCATAAAGTGCAGCAAGAATAACTATTTCTACATAGGCCCTTTAGATTGGCTTTGAAGAAACTCTGTTCCACAAGGAGTCTCAGATAAGACCTTTTAAAGCCAAGCCCAACCACGTGTTTGTATCCTTAAATACCTGTGAGTTGGGTAATCCTCACCTCTTAAGTTCCCAAGATAAACTTGGAGCTGCTAGGCCTGTTAGAAAGTGACATTTGTTACTGACCACAGGTCAGGAAGCCTGTACAGGGACTGTGTAGGTAAGGGCATGAGGCCAGTTTCTCCCACAGAGCTTTTACCCACTCTGCAAGTTGAGATTGACTCCTTAAAGGGAAGCATATGATTCCAGTCAAAGCCTTGGTAAAATAACCAGTTTCTTCAATTGTGCCCTGTTGCAAAAGAAAAATGGATTCTTATTGCACTGATGCAAACAACTCTATTACCATAAGTTTAGAATACTCACAGATAGTTTCCAAATTATAGAAGAATCAGAGAAAAACAAACATGCTACAAATTTTGTTCACAGGAGTATACCTTATTCAATTATTAAAGGTCATATATAATTCAAAATAGTTTCCTTGATGTTGAGAAACAAAACAAGGATCAGCAATATTCCAAGCAAAAGTTAAAAATATTTGGTTCAGTTTCCTGAGTTCAGTCCACTTAGTTAACTCTTATTTTGCTTGATATTTGTCAACATTTCAGCTCTTAATGAGTGCTCTACATTTTCCTTTATTCCAATGTCACAATGTCCAAAGATATCAGAAACTAGTATTTGAGAGCACCTGTCAATCTTATCACTTATTATAAACCATCTTTTGAAAAGGATTAAAACAAGACAATTGTCTATGTATAACAAAATGTCCAGGGTAATTACAGTTAGAAACACAATAGACAAAGTAGTTTGGTTATCTCAGTGGTTTACAATAACTTAACAACCTTAATTACGGTTGATGGCAGATACTTAGACATTAGAATTTTAGAAATCCCATACAATTTTGGAATATATATTAGTATTATTCACCAAAATATAACAGAAAGGAGATTGAACACCATTTTGGCATTCCCATATACCTAAATATGTTAAATAATCCTGTTTACCCCTCTTTTCTGAACACTCCAGTGGCCCTTCTGGAGCCTCCAAAAAGCCAGGTGTCAGGAAAGATAGTTTTGAAACTGAAGTTTGATTCTGGGAAGCCTGTTAAATAAGTTAGAGGATTAAAACACTCGATTTTACAAAATAAAATTTCAGATTACCATAAATTATTTATTTTGCCAAAATGATGACTCAGAAATTTTAAATAAGTAAATAACCTTTTGTTTTAATGCTCAATTTACATAAAAACCATATAATGCCATTTCGAATTTATGCAATATGTTCACACAGAATTTTGCAAGATTAATTTTTACAATCCTTCCACCACTTGTTTGAACTTTTAGCTTTATCCTTTCTAATTCAAAATAATTCTTCAACCCTAGGCAGAAATTTACATTATAAGAAGATATGCCTTCTTATAGTCTTTAACTAAAGAACACATTTTACTGTTCTTACAAACCTTGCATATAAATCTATTTCCAGTAATCTTAATTACATGTCATAATGGCAAGTCCTAGCAATTTTTACCTTTAATCTAAAACCTGGTAAGTTGTTTTAATTGTGTGCTAGGTGCAGTCAAGGTTTGACTCCTTCCGGCATAATTAAGAGCACAGTTAGTTCCATATGCCCCCAGGCCTTAACAATTGTGAAGCTGGCAAGTTAAATAGTTCTTAAAACCCAAAGGGAAATTTATAACCTTAAAACATTTAGGAAGCTTAGTACCTAACCTGCATAATTTAGTCCATCTATTTATATTTGGATGGCGTCTGCTTTTTATTTCTCAAAGATTAAAGTCACATGAACTGAAAGGTACTACAGCTTTTACCTTCCCTTTAAGAAATATTTGATGCAAGTGCTTGCCTTCCTTTAGGCCTAATTAGAGCTCTTTTTATATAAATTACACACACAACACATATATAACTACACAGACAGGCAGGAGAAAATCCAACCCCCCACAAGATCCTTTTACACAACCAAAACTTTACAGAGAATATAAAAAGTGATCTTTATCATTCCTAGCCTAGCAAAACATCTTCCAAAAGGAAAAAAAAAAAAACTTATTTAAAAGTTAACCGCTGGACAATGTGGAGAAGAAAAAAGGATGCCTGGGGGAAGAGTCTCCTATTCTTATGCAACTGGTTCCTCCACCCGGAAGAAAAGCTTAACTGTTGTGGGATGGAGTTAGACTCCCTGGCTGGGAGATGGGGAGACTTCATAGACATGTGGCAGGGAATGCCAGCAAGCCACCTGGGGTGCTTTGGGCCATGTGTTCCAGCCCCAGCAAGGAGGGGAGGGTGGTGAGGAGCCACTGCTTCCCAGTCTGTCCTGAAAAAGTAAGGAAAGAGCAATGGAAAGGCCCCTGACTCCTGCGAGCAACGGGGTGGGGGCAGTTTGCCTTACCCTCAGACGTCTGAGGATGAAAAGGCTTAGAAATGAGAGGGAAAGAGATTTATTGGTTTGCATCTCCCCTTCTCAAGCCCCACATTGGGCACCAAAGCTGTTGTAGAGCTTTCTCTTTAGTTCAGCTAAAAGCTGGGTTCTTGTCACATGACCATGAGAGATTAGGCTGGAAGACACTTTGAAAAGTGAGAAAAATGAAATTTATTGGGCAAAAATGGAAACAGGAACTTTCAGCAGAGTGAGAGTCCTGCTAGTATATGCTTCCCACTTTGCAGATTGAATATCCGGTTCCCCCCAGGAAGAGGAGGGGCCAGGTTCCTCCCTGCTGCAAATGGTGCAAACTTCCTGAGGCTCCAACCCAGTGTGCATTCCTCCCAGTGCACAGGGTGATCAGAGGTTCTCTGGGGACCCTTTTATACTTGCCTGTCTCACTTTAACATAAGAAAAATATTATAATTTAAATTCTTTGCATTTCATAAGTTTTTAGATTGTTTTCCTCAGTGATTCTTATCTTCAGGTTCAAGAAATTAAATATACTTTAAAATTGTTTGAGTCTTTGTTGCAGACAAGATTGCATGGACTCCTTTCTTGCTGCTTCTCTCCCAAATGTATATTGAGAAACTTTTGCATTAACATGAGGAACAACAACAACAACAACAAACAAAATAAAACAAAAACAAGAAACAAAAAACTCTGAGAAGTGTAAAGAGGAAGGTCAACTGGTTAGGGACCCATGTACTGAAATTGCAACATAATTGGGTGTTTTATAACCTCCAACCAAAAGAAGATGACTCAAGACTAGCATTTTCTGACATCTCAATAAGCAATAGTAGGTTGCAATCTGAGGAGGCTCAACTCTCCACCCAATAAAGCAAATTACCAGCTGACAACAATAGTAATAGCAATAGGACTGGCAAAAAAAAGAAATTCATCAAAACCACCACTGATAATAAGTAGTCAGTGGAAGTGTTCTCTCCAACTGGGACTGAAACTCCCTCCCTCACTGATATGCACCAGGTAGACAGGTGGTATCAGCAAAGAGGACCTTGCCACAACAAGTGACCTGGGCTGAAAAGCCTCTTGTCACAGGCGAGAGATTCCCTTCTCACATCAAGAGAAAATTGGCAACAAGGCTGATTTGGAAAAGGGAATACTGGCCCTATAAGTGGCCTAGTGTAGGAAATCTCTTCATCCCCCCATACCAGAGACTCTTTTCCTTCACCTAGAGATACCTGACAGCCTGAACTGTGGAAACTCTTTCCACCCCCACACGTAGTAGCAAACCAGTTTATAAAAGTATGCCAGAATCTGTATGATACACCTAAACAGAATCATATATTGGTAAAATTAAAGATCTAAACATGACCATGTGTTTCCTATCATAATATCCCAAATATCTATAATAAAATTGAAAATTACCCATCACACCAAATAGCAGAAAAATAACAACTTGTATGACAAAAAACAATCAACACACTCCAAGACTGACAGAAATTGGATGCTAGAATTAATTGGCAAGGACTTTAAATCAGCCTTTAAAAAATGTTTTTAAAAGCAATTACAAGCTATTTTGAGAGAACAAAAAATTAAAATACTTCAGAAAATAAATAGATGTTAAAAAGAACCAAATGTAAACTATGGAACTGAAAAATACAATAAGAGAAATAAAAATAAACTTTATTGGACAGACAAAATAGAAGAGGTAGAATGATAAAAGATAGAAACAGTGATCTTGAAGAAAGATCAACAAAGTAGATCAAATCTTTTTTTTTTTGAGACAGGGTATTACTCTATTGCCCAGACTGAAGTGTAATGGTGCAATCTCAGCTCACTGCAACCTCTGCCTTTCAGGTTGAAGTGATCCTCCCACCTTTGCCCCCCAAGAAGCTGGGACTACAAGCATGAGCCACCGTGTCTGGCTATTTTTTGTAGAGGCAGAATTTCACAATGTTGCCCAGGCTGGTCTTAAACTCCTGAGGTTAAGTGATCCCCCACTTCAGACTTCCAAAGTACTAGGGTTACAGGCATGAGCCATCACACCTGGCCACATATATAAAATCTTAAAAACAGAGGCCAAGGTGGGTGGATCACTTGAGGTCAGCAGTTTGAGACCAGCCTGGCCAACATGGTGAAACCCATTTCTACTAAAAATACAAAAATTAGCCAGGCATGGTGGTGGGCATCTGTAATCCCAACTACTTGGCTGGCTGAGGCAGGAGAATTGCTTGAACCTGGGAGGCAGAGGTTGCAGTGAGCCAAAATCACACCATTGCACTTCAGCTGGGTGACAAGAGTGAAACTCCCTCTCAAAAACACAAAAACAAAACAAAAGACACACACACACACACACACACACACACAGACACACACAACCAGAAACAAATATAATAAAAGGAGAAACTCAAGGACCTTTGGGAAAATAACAAAGACACAACATTTAAACCATCAGTGGCCCAAAAAGAGAGGAAAAAAATTGGGGTTGAAAAATTACTGAAAGAAATAATGGCTGAAAACTCCACAACTTAGAGAAGACACAAACTTACAGATACAAGAAAGTGAGAGAACCCTACAGAAGCAAAAGTAAGCTGAAGGAAATCCTCACAAAAACATAACATAATTAAACTCATAAAAAGTAAAGGCAAAAAATATCTTCAAAATAATTCAAAAAAGTGACAGAACTACCAAATGGTAAATCTGTAAAAATGTAGAAAATCTGAATAAAGTGTTTTCTCTACACTAATTTTAAAAAGGTTTTCTGTCTCCAAGCTGAGTAAGTCCACATGAACATTAAGTAAGAAAAAGTATAAAAGAAAAAAATCTAAGCATAAAAGTGCTATCCATACTTTCAAAATCCTTGGATTCTCTACCTTTAAATTTTATTCAGATTTTGTTCCAAAACAATACAAATGGTTTGAATGTTGACTCCATAAACGTTTACAACCTCTGAAAACTGTTTTAAAAGCCTGAAAGAGCAATGACTTAACCCTTACAGAATAGCCATGGATTTTGAACAAATAGTCAATGTTTACTATGTAACAGTTGCTTTCCCCATTACCCTTTTCTTGGAAGAAATAAACAGCTTCCTTCTGGTTTTACCAGAATGCATCCATTATCTCTTTCCACAATGAAACTAACATAGTTACATAGAGATTACAGATGCACATAAGTCAACAACTCATGCATAATCTTAAAAATGCTAAATTTCAACACAACAATGAAGATAGAAAATATCATCTAAGGTTCTGTCTTATCTCTCTAGCCAAGTAGAGTTACTTTGATAAATTTTGAATTTATTTTTGGGCACGTTTTTACTTATTTTCCAGGAAAACATTCTTAACATGGACAAACTTGAGCACTGCAATATGCTTTGATGTTAATTTTTAAATCATCAGTATACTCTTCTAAAATTGAAAGTCTTACAAATAGGCCTCTTTATCCTTCAGAGAGCCATTTCATCAATACTGAGCTTTTACAAATCAGATTAGAGGTAGAGGTAATTAGCAAAACTACCATTTTGTTCAGTGCCTTACAGATATGATGGGATTAGTTTCAGATCATTACAATGAAGGGAATATCAAAATAAAGTGAGTTACACAAGGTTTCCCAGTGCACATAAACATTATGTTTACATTATACCATAGTATATTAAGAGTGCAATAGAATTATGTCTAAAAGACAATGTATACACTGTAATTTAAAAATGCTTTGTTGCTAATGATTATCTAAGCCTTTAGTTGAGTCCCAATCTTTTTGCTGGTGGAGAGTCTTATACTGATGTTGATGGCTGCTGACTAATCAGCATGGTGGCTATTGAAAATTAGAGTGTCTGTGACGAGGAAATTAAAGAAAGAAAAATAAAATTAAAAAGAAAAAAGAAATAAGCTTTCCTGTATTAGGCTGACTTATCCCAGAGGCAGCAACAGGCACAGCCCAGACCCAAGAAGAGCCTAGATAAACACTATCTGAGAAGCTAAGACACAAAAGAATGTGTTCTAGAGACTCCCAGCACTCCCTCAACATAAGGAAGAAAAAAAAATTTCCTTTCTTTTATAGTATGAGTTTATAAAGATTCCTGATATCTGTAACTAGTAACTTCAAGTATTCCATTTTATCTAAGAAGTACAATGAAAGTCATGAGCTGTCCGAGCAGGCCTGAGCTACAGCCACCTGGGCGCCATAGTGAAGGTTATGAGATAAGCCAGTGCAAGGCTTGTTTGAGCAAGCCTAGATAACAGCCGTCTAGGCTTCATAGATAACAGCCATCTAGGATGTATAGCAACAGTCATGTGTAATCCTGAGTTATGCACCTGTCACAATTTAATTAACTGCCTTTGTTCTGCCTCTGTATCCTTGCTTTTGTGCCAGTACACTTTGAGCCACTGTAAGCTTATTTCAGGCCAGCCCACCCCCTTTTTGAAGTGTGTATAAAGGTTAAGTGCTGTCTTTGTTCTAAGGCCCAGTCCCAAGATGTTAAACCACTAGATCTGAGTGCACTCAATACATCCTCCCACTTTACCCCGAGGTCTCTCTAGTCCTCCTGATTCCCACAACATCTGTGGCAATTTTTCAAAATAAGACACCAATAAAATTTGCCACATAAACTGACTCTTCCTTTCATGAAATGTATCTCCATAGACAGTGATGTTGTTTGATAGCATTTTACCCACAGCAGAACTTCTTTCAAAATTAGAGTCAATCCTCTCAAAATCTGCCCCTGCTTTATCAAACAAGTTTATGTAATATTCTAAATCATTTGTTGTAATCTCAGCAATGTCTGCAGAATCTTCACCAGAAGTAAATTCTAAATCAAGAAACCACTTTATGTGTTCATCCATAAGAAACAATTTCTCATTCATCAAAGTTTTATCATGAGATTGCAGTAATTCAGTCACATCTTCAGGCTCCACTTCTAATTATAGTTATCCTGCTATTGCTACTACATCTTCAGTTACTTCTCCCACTGAAGTCTTGAACTCCTCAAAATCATCTATGAGGGTTGAAATCAGCAACTTCCGAACTCCTCTTAATGTTGATATTTTGATCTCCTCCCTTGAATCAAGAATGTCCTTAATGGGCCGGGTGTGGTGGCTCATGTCTGTAATCCTAGCAGTTTGGGAGGCCGAGGAAGGTGGATCACCTGAGGTCAGGGGTTCATATGTTCTTCTCGACATATGAAAAGGCTCAAGCAACCACACTATAGGAGTGGAAGACTTAAATAGCCCACTGGCAGTGTTAGATAGATCATTGAGGAAGAAAACTTACAAAGAAATACTGGAATTGTACTCAATATGTGACCTATTGAACCTAAGAGACATTAACAAATACTCCAACCACTAAATGCAAATTACACATTTTTCTCAACTGCACACAGAACATATTCTATAATCAGCCACATGCTTGGCCACAGAGCACATCTCAATAAATTAAAAAAAAATGAATTCATACCAAACGCTTTCAGACTACAGTGAAAAAAAATAGAAATCAATATCAAGATCCCGCAAAACTACAAAAGTACATAGAAATTAAAAAAATTCTAAATTAAGGTAAAAATTAAAAATTATTTGAAATGAATGAAAATGGAGACACAATACACCAAAATTGTTGGAATGTAGCTAAAGCAGTGTGAAGAGGAAAGTTTACAGTGCTAAATACAAACATCAAGAAGTTAGAAAGGTCTCAAATGAACAATCTAGGATCACACCTAGAGGAACTTAAAAGGAAAAAAAAAAGAAATTTACCCCAAAGCTAACAGAAAGAAGAAATAACTATAATCTGACAACAACGGAATGAAATCAAGGTGTAAAAAGCTATACAAAAAATCAATAAAAACAATATTTGGTTCTTTGAAAGAGTAAGTAAGATTGATAGACTGATAGCTAGATTAACAAAAAATAAATAAATAAAAGATCCGAATAAGCACAATCAGGAATGACAAAGATGACACTCTAATCCCAAAGAAATATAAAAGATCCTTAGAGACTATTATGAACACTTAAATGCACACAAATTAAAATATCTTGAGGAAATGGATAACAATTCCTCAAAACAAAGAACCTCCCAAGAATGAACCAGGAAGAAAGTGAAAACCTGAAGAGACCAATAATGGGTTTCAAAATTGAATGAGAAAAACAATCAAACAAACAAACAAAACAATGAGAACAACAACAAAAAAACAGGTGCCAACCAAAAAAGGTCTGGAACAGATGGATTCACAGCAGAGTTCTAGCAGACATACAAAGAACTGTTATCAGTTTTACTGAAACTATTCCAAAAAATTGAGGAGGAGGAGGAACTCCTCCTTAGCTCTTTCTATGAATCCAGCATCATCCTGATATCAAAATTTCACAGAGACACAACAAAAAATAAAAACTTTAAGCCAACATTCTCGATGAACATAGATGCAAAAATCCTCAATAAAATGCTAACAAAATGTTAACCAAATCTTTCAGCACATCAAAAATTAATTCACTATGATCAAGTAGGCTTTAGTCCTGGGATGCAATGTTGGTTCAACATATGCAAATCAATAAATGTGATTCACCACATAAACTGAATTAAAAACAAAAACCACATGATCATCTCAATAGACGTAGAAAAAGCATTCAATAAACTCCAACATCCCTTCATGATAAAATCCCTTAATAAATAAAGAAACATACCTGAAAATTATAAGAGCCATATAGGACAAACCCACAGCCAATATTATACTAAATGGGCAAAAGCTGAAATCATACGCCTTGAAAACTGGAACAAGACAAAACTGGAACAAGATGCTTACTCCCACCATTCCTATTCAACATAGTACTGGAAGTCCTTGACAGAGCAATCGAACAAGAGAAAGAAATAAAAGGCATCCAAATAGGAAAAGAAGTTAAACTCTCTCTCTCTTTGCTGACAATATGATTACATACCTAGAAAACCCTAAAGACTCTGCCAAAAGGCTCCTAGAGCCACAAAATGACTTCAGTAGAGTTTCAGGATACAAAATTAAAGCATAAAAATCAGTACCGTTACTATGCACTAATAGTACTCTAGCTGAGAGCCAATTCAAGAATGTCACTTCAATACCATTTACAATAGCCGCAAAGAAAATGAAATACCTGGGGTGCGGGGGTGTTCCAAGATGGCCGAAGAGGAACAGCTCCAGTCTGCAGCTCCCAGTGTGATCGACACAGAAGATGGGTGATTTCTGCATTTCCAATTGAGGTACCGGGTTCATCTCATTGGGACTGGTTGGACTGTGGGTGCAGCCCACGGAGGGTGAGCTGAAGCAGGGAGGGGCATTGCCTAAGCTAGGAAGCACAAGTGGTCGGGGGATTTCCCTTTCCTAGCCAAGGGGAGCCATGGGAGACTACCTGGAAAAACGGGACATTCCCCACCCAAAAACTACACTTTTCCCAAGGTCTCAGCAACCAGCAGACACGGTGATCCTCTCCCATGCCTCGCTTGGCAGGTCACACACCCACGGAGCCTTGCTCACTGCTAGCACAGCAGTCTGAGATCAATCTTCAAGGCGGCAGCCTGGCTGGCGGAGGGGCGTCTGCCATTGCTGAGGCTTGAGTAGGTAAACAAAGCAGCTGGGAAGCTCAAACTGGGTGGAGCCCACCGCAGCTCAACAAGACCTACTGCCTCTAGACTCGACCTCTGTGGGCAGGGCATAGCTGAACAAAAGGCAGCAGACAACTTCTGCAGACTTAAACGTCCCTGTCTAACAGCTCTGAAGAGAGCAGTGGTTCTCCCAGCACAGCGTTTGAGCTCTGAGAATGGACAGACTGCCTCCTTAAGTGGGTCCCTGAAGCCCATGTAGCCTAACTGGGAGACACCTCCCAGTAGGGGCCAACAGAAACCTCATATAGGTGGCTGCCTCTCTGGGATGAAGCTTCCAGAGGAAGGATCAGGCAGCAATACTTGCTGTTCTGCATTATTTGCTGTTCTACAGCCTCCGCTGGTGATACCCAGGCAAATGGGGTCTGGAGTGGAACTCCAGCAAACTCCAACAGACCTGCAGCTGAGAGACACGACTGTTAGAAGGAAAACTAACAAACAGAAAGGTATAGCATCAACATCAACAAAAAGTTCATCTACACCAAAACCCCATCTGTAGGTCACCAACATCAAAGACCAAAGGTAGATAAATCACAAAGATAGGGGGACACCAGAGGAGAAAAGCTGAAAATTCTAAAAATCAGAGTGCCTCTTGTCCCCCAAAGGATTGCAGCGCCTCACCAGCAACAGAACAAAGCTGGACGGAGAATGATTTTGACAAGTTGACAGAAGGAGGCTTCAGAAGGTCAGTAATAACAAACTTCTCCAAGCTAAAGGAGGATTTTTTTTTTTTTTTTAAGAAGGAGTCTTGCTCTGTCGCCCAGGCTGGAGTGCAGTGGCGCGATCTCAGCTCACTGCAAGCTCCGCCTCCCGGGATCATGCCATTCTCCTGCCTCAACCTCCCAAGTGGCTGGGACTACAGGTGCCCGCCACCACACCCAGCTAATTTTTTGTATTTTTAGTAGAGATGGGGTTTCACCGTGTTAGCCAGGATGGTCTTGATCTCCTGACCTCATGATCTACCCACCTTGGCCTCCCAAAGTGCTGGGATTACAGGCGTGAGCCACCATGCCCGGCCGTTAAAGGAGGATGTTTGAAGCCATTGCAAGGAAGCTAAAAACCTAGAGAAAAGATTAGACGAATGGCTAACTAGAAGGTAGAGAAGACCTTAAATGACATGATGGAGCTGAAAACCATAGCATGAGAACTTCGTGACGCATGCACAAGCTTCAATAGAAGATTTTATCAAGTGTAAGAAAGGGTATCAGTGATTAAAGATCAAATTAATAAAATAAAGTGAGAAGACAAGGTTAGAGAAAAAAAAGTAAAAATAAATGAAGAAAGCCACCAAGAAATATGGGACTATGTGAAAAGAACAAATCTATGTCTGATCGGTGTACCTGAAAGTGATGTGGAGAATAGAACCAAGTTGGAAAACACTCTGCAGGATATTATCCAGGAAAACTTCCCCAACCTAGCAAGGCAGGCCCAAGTTCAAATTCAGGAAATACAGAGAACACCACAAAGATACTCCTAGAGAAGAGCAACCCCAAGACACATAATTGTCAGATTTACTAAGGTTGAAATGAAGGAAAAAGTGTTAAGGACAGCCAGAGAGAAAGGTAGAGTTACATACAAAGGGAAGCCCATCAGACTGACAGCAGATCTCTCAGCAGAAACCCTACAAGCCAGAAGAGAGTGGGGGCCAATATTTGACATTCTTAAAGAAAAGAATTTTCAATGCAGAATTTCATGTCCAGTCAAACTAAGCTTCATAACCGAAGGAGAAATAAAATCCTTCACAGACGAGCAAATGCTGAGAGATTTTGTCACCACCAGGCCTGCCTTAAAAGAGCTCTTCAAGGAAGCACTAAACATGGAAAGAAACAACCGGTACCAGCCACTGCAAAAACATGCCAAATTGTAAAGACCATTGATGCAATGAAGAATCTGCATCAATTAATGGGCAAAATAAACAGCTAACATCATAATGACAGGATCAAATTCACACATAACAGTATTAACCTTAAATATAAATAAGCTAAATGCCCCAATTAAAACACACAGACTGGCAAATTGGATAGAGTCAAGACCCATCAGTGTACTGTATTCAGGAGACCCATCTCACATGCAAAGACACACATAGGCTCAAAATAAAGGGATGGAGGAAAATCCACCAAGCAAACGGAAAACAAAAAAATACAGGGGTTGCAATCCTAGCCTCTGATAAAACAGACTCTAAACCAACACAGATCAAAAGAGACAAAGAAGGCCATTACATAATGGTAAAGGGATTAATTCAACAAGAAGAGCTAACTATCCTAAATATATATGCACCCAATACAGGAGCACCCAGATTCATAAAGGAAGTACTTAGAGACCTACAAAGAGACTTAGACTCCCACACAATCATAATGGGAGACTTTAACACCCCACTGTTAATATTAGACAGATCAAGAAGACAGAAGGTTAATAAGGATATCCAGGGCCTGTACTCAGTGCTGCAACAAGCAGACCTAATAGATATCTACAGAACTTGCCACCCCAAATCAACAGAATATACATTCTTCTCAGCACCACATCGCACTTACTCTAAAATTGACCACATAATTGGAAGTAAAACACTCCTCAGCAAATGTAAAAGAAAAGAAATCACAACAAACTGTCTCTCAGACCACAGTGCAATCAAATTAGAACTCAGGATTAAGAAACTCACTTAAAACTGCACAACTACATGGAAACCTAACAACTTGCTCCTGTGTGACTACTGGATAAATAACGAAATGAAGGCAGAAATAAAGATGTTCTTTGAAACCAATGAGAACAAAGACACAACATACCAGAATCTCTAGGACACATTTAAAGCAGTCTGTAGAGGGAAATTTATAGCACTAAATGCCCACAAGAGAAAGCAGGAAAGATCTAAAATCGACACCCTAACATCACAATTAAAAGAACTAGAGAAGCAAGGGCAAATACATTCAAAAGCTAGCAGAAGGCAAGAAATAACTAAGATCAGAGCAGAACTGAAGGAGATAGAGACACAAAAAAACCCTTCAAAAAAATCAATGAATCCATGAGCTGGTTTTCTGAAAAGATCAACAAAATTGATAGACTGCTAGCAAGACTAACAGAGAAGAAAAGAGAGAAGAATCAAATAGATGTAATAAAAAATGATAAAGGGGATATTACAACTGATCCCACAGAAATATGAACTACCATCAGAGAATACTATAAACACCTCTATGTAAATAAACTAGAGAATCTAGAAGAAATGGATAAATTCCTGGACACACACTTTCCCAAGACTAAACCAGGAGGAAGTTCAATCTCTGAATAGACCAAAAACAGCCTCTGAAATTAAGGCAATAAATAATAGTCTACCAACCAAAAAAGTCCAGGACCACATGGATTCATAGCAGAATTCTACCAGATGTACAAAGAGGAGTTGGTACCATTCCTTCTAAAAAATCCCAATCAATAGAAAAAGAGGGAATCCTCCCTAACTCATTTTATGAGGCCAACATCATCCTGATAACAAAACCTGGCAGAGACACAACAGAAAAGAGATTTTTAGACCAATATCCCAGATGAACATCAATGCGAAAATCCTCAATAAAATACTGGCAAACTGAATCCAGCAGCACATCAAAAAGCTTATCCACCATGATCAAGTCGGCTTCATCCCTGGGATGCAAGGCTGGTTCAATATGCCCAAATCAATAAATGTAATCCATCACGTAAACAGAACCAATGACAAAAAGCACATGATTATCTCAATAGATGCAGAAAAGGCCTTTGACAAAATTCAACAGCCCTTCATGCCAAAAACTCTCAATAAACTAGGTATTGATGGGACATATATCAAAATAATAAGATCTATTTATGACAAACCCACAGCCAATATCATACCGAATGGGAAAAAACCAGAAGCATTGCCTTTCAAAACTGGCACAAGACAAGAATACCCTCTCTCACCACTTCTATTCAACAGAGTGTTGGAAGCTCTGGCCAGGGCAATCAGGCAGGAGAAGAAATAAAGGGTATTCAATTAGGAAATGAGGAAGTCAAATTGTCCCTGTTTGCAGATGACATGACTGTATATTTAGAAAACCCTATCGTCGCAGCCCCAAATCTCCTTAAGCTGATAAGCAAATTCAGCAAAGTCTCAGGATACAAAATTAATGTACAAAAATCACAAGCATTCCCATACACCATTAACAGACAGAGAGCCAAACCATGAGTGAACTCCCATTCACAATTGCTTCAAAGAGAATAAAATACCTAGGAATCCAACTTACAAGGGATGTGAAGGACCTCTTCAAGGAGAACTACAAACCACTGCTCAATGCAATAAAAGAGGACACAAACAAATGGAAGAATATTCCATGCTCATGGATAGGAAGAATCAATATCGTGAAAATGGCCATACTGCCCAAAGTAATTTGTAGATTCAATGTCATCCCCATCAAGCTACCAATTACTTTCTTTACAGAATTGGAAAAAACTAATTTAAATTTCATATGGATCCAAAAAAGAGCCTGCATTGCCAAGACAATCCTAAGGAAAAAGAACAAAGCTGGAGCCATCACGCTACTGGACTTCAAAGTATACTACAAGGCTACAGTAACCAAAACAGCATGGTACTGGTACCAAAACAGAGATATAGACCACTGGAACAGAACAGAGCCCTCAGAAATAATGCCACACATCTACAACCATCTGATCTTTGACAAACCTGATAAACATAAGAAATGGGGAGAGGATTACCTATTTAATAAATTGTGCTGGGAAAACTGGCGAGCCATATGTAGAAAGCTAAAACTGGATCCCTTCCTTACACCTTATACAAAAATTAATTCAAGATGGATTAAAGACTTAAATGTTAGACCTAAAACCATAAAAGCCCTAGAAGAAAACTTAGGCAATACCATTCAGGACACAGGCATGGGCAAGGACTTCATGACTAAAACACCAAAAGCAATGGCAACAAAAGCCAAAATAGACTAATGGTATCTAATGAAACTAAAGAGCTTCTGCACAGGAAAAGAAACTACCATCAGAATGAACAGGCAACCTATAAAATGGGAGAAAAGTGTTGCAATCTACCTATCTGACAAAGGGCTAATATCCAGAATCTACAATGAACTCAAACAAATTTAAAAGAAAAAAACAAACAACCACATCAAAAAGTGGGCAAAGGATATGAACAGACACTTTTCAAAAGAAGAAATTTATGCAGCCAACACACACATGAAAAAATGCTCATCATCACTGGTCATCAGAGAAATGCAAATCAAAACCACAATGAGATACCATCTCTTACCAGTTAGAATGGCAATCATTAAAAAGTCAGGAAACCACAGATGCTGGAGAGGATGTGGAGAAATAGGAATGCTTTTACACTGTTGGTGGGAGTGTAAATTGGTTCAACCATTTTGGAAGACAGTGTGGTGATTCCTCAAGGATCTAGAACTAGAATTACCATTTGATCCAGTAATCCTATTACTGGGTGTATACCCAAAGGATTATAAATCATGCTACTATAAAGACACATGCACACCTATGTTTACTGCGGCACTACTCACAACAGCAAAGACTTGGAACCAACCCAAACGTCCATCAATGATAGACTGGATTAAGAAAATGTGGCTCATATATACCGTGGAAAACTATGTAGCCATAAGAAAGGATGAGTTCGTGTCCTTTGCAGGGACATGGATGAAGCTGGAAACCATCATTCTCAGCAAACTATCACAAGGACAGAAAACCAAACACCGCATGTTCTCACTCATAGGTCGGAATTGAGCAATGAGATCACTTGGACACAGGGCAGGGAACATCACAGACTGGGGCCTGTCAGGGGGTGTGTGGCTGGAGGAGGGATAGCATTAGGAGAAATGTAAATGATGAGTTGATGGGTGCAGCAAAGCAACATGGCACATGTATACCTATGGAACAACCTGCACGTTATGCACATGTACCCTAGAACTGAAAGCATAATAAAACAAAAAATATTTATTTCTAAAAATCCACACAAACAACAAAAAAAGAAATACCTAGGAATACAGCTAACCAAGGAGGTGAAAGATTACTACAAAAAGAATTACAAAACACTGCTGAAAGAAATTAGAGATGATATAAATAAACAAACACTTCATGCTCATGTTCAGAAGACTTAATATTATTAAAATGGCCATAGCACCTAAAGCAATTGACAGATTCAATGCTATCCCTATTAAACTACCAACAACATTTTTTCACAGAATTAGAAAAAAAGACTTCTAAAATTCATATGGAACCAAAAAAAGCATCTGGATAACCAAAGCAACTCAAAGCAAAAAAAAAAAAAAAAAAAAAAAAGCTGGAGCAGCACTTTTTCTGACTTCAAACTATACTAGAAGGCTACAGTAATCAAAACAGCATTGTACTGGTACAAAAAACAAAAACAAAGAAAGACACATACACCAAGGGAAGAGAAAACGGAACTGAGATGTAAAGGTGCACACCTACCACCACCTAATCTTCAACAAACTTAAGAAAAACAAGCAATAGGAAAAAGACTACCTATTCAATAAATGGTGCTGTGAGAACTGGCTATCCATATGCAGAAGAATGAAACTGGACCATTACCTACCACCATATACAAAAATTAGCTTGAGAAGGATTAAGGACCTAAATGTAAGACCTCAACCTATGAAAATCCTGGAAGAAAACCTAGAAAATGCCCTTCTTGATATTGGCCTTGGCAACATATTTATGGCTAAGTCCTCAAAATAAATTGCAACAAAAATAAAAATTGATTAAATAAGACTTAATTAATCTAAAGAGCTTCTGCATAGCAAAAGAAACTATCAAGGAAGTAAACAGACAACCTATAGAAGGGGAGAAAATACAAACTATGCAGCCAACAAAGGTCTAATATGCAGAATCTATAAGGAATTTAAACAAATCAATAAGCAAAAAACCACTCCATTTAAAATTGGGCAAGGGACATGAACGGACATTTCTGAAAAAAAAGACATACAAGTGGCCAACAAACATATGAAAATATATCATCATTAATCATAAGAGAATTGCAAATCAAACCATAATGATATGCCATCTCAAACCAGTCAGAATTTATTTTGTGGAAAAATAAAAACATAATACGTTGGCAAGGCTGTGGAGAAAGGGGGACACATACCTTTTTGGTGTGAATGTAAATTAATTTAGCCATTGAGTAGAGCACTTTGGAGATTTCTCAAACAACCAAGATTTGAACCACCATTCCACTCAGCAATTGCATTACTGGGTATATATCCAAAGGAAAATAAATCATTTTACCCAAAGGATGCATGCACCTGTATGTTCGTCACAGCTCTATCCACAATAGCAGAAATATGGAATCAACCCAGGTGCTCATCAATGGTGGATTGTATAAGGAAAACGTAATCCATATACACCATGAAATACTACACAGTCATAAAAAAGAATGAAATCATTTCCTTTGCAGCAACATGGATGCAACTGGAGGCCATTATGCTAAGCAAACTAATGCAGAAACAGAAAACTAAGTACCACATGTTATTACTTATAAGTGAGAGCTAAACACTGGGTACACATGAACATAAAGATGGGAACAATAAACACTGAGAACTACTAGGGTGTGAGAGAAGGGGGAGGGGGAGGGCTGAACAACTACCTTTTGGATAGTATGTTCTCTACCTTGGTGACGGGTTCAGTCGTATCCCAAACCTCAGCATCACACAATAAACCTTTGTAATAAACCTGCACATGTTCCCACTGGTTCTAAAATAAAAGTTGAAAAAAATGATAATTATCCTCCTTTTTGTATTAAGATTATTTTGATTTCAAATGACAGGAAACCCAATCACAAGTGAGCTAAGTAAAAATACTTTTTTTTTTTTTTTTAGACAGAGTCTTGCTCTGTCGCGCAGGCTGGAGTGCAGTGGCCTGATCTTAGCTCACTGCAACCTCTGTCTCCCAGGTTCAAGCAATTCTCATGCCTCAGCCTCCCAAGTAGTTGGGACTATAGGCACATGCTACCATGTCCAGCTAATTTTTGTATTTTTAGTAGAGATGGGGTTGCGCCATGTTGGCCAGGCTGGTCTTGAACTCCTGACCTCAAGTGATTCACCTGTCTCAGCCTCCCAAAGTGCTGGGATTGCAGGCGTGAGCCCCCTTGCCTGGCCAAAAAGATCAAATTTTGTCTCCCTAATTGCAAAGTCCCAGGGAAGACTTGCCTCTGTCATGGCTTGATCAAAGAGATAAAGTGATTACACTTAAACCAAACTGAGAATAAGATTAGTAGTTACGGTACAAGTTTGAAATTTTATGTCACATATATGAGGTCTTGGGTCTCCAATGATTTGCCCTTTACTCACATAGAGAACACTGGACATTCTTACTGTTCCACGGAATCTTATCTGCAGGCCGAAGTCAGTTAATTATTATCTTGTATGGTTCACATCTTGTTTACTGCAAATACCTCACAAATCTATCTTATCATGCCCTCTTTACAAATTGGGATTGGCAGAAATGCGGATAAATATCCTCATTCTGAGTGAACACACTATGGCTGTCTAGTTGAACAAATGATCCTTGTAGCCAGTTTGAACAAGGTGCCATCTCTCTGAGGTATGCTAACGTTCTGATATAATAATATTTTTGGATAAGAAAAATTTCAAATCAAACTGACAAACTTGCTTTTTTTTTTTCACTCTTGTTGCTCAGGCTGGAGTGCAATGGTGCGATCTTGGCTCACTGTAACCTCCGCCTACAAGGTTCAAGTTATTTTCCTGCCTCAGCCTCCTGAGTAGCTGGGATTACAGGCATGTGCCACCACGCCTAGCTAATTTTTGTATTTTTAGTAGAGACGGGGTTTCTCCATGTTGGTCAGGCTGGTCTCAAACTCCCTACTTCAGGTGATTAGCCTGCCTTGGCCTCCCAAAGTGCTGGGATTACAGGCGCGAGCCACTGTGCCCAGTCCGGAATTGCTTTTTTTTTTGAGAATAAAATTTTGAAAGCTGGAAAAAGAATTTCCAATATATGCTACAACTTGCAGAGGAAACAGATATGGTTGTGGTGCAAGCAGTAGCCATGGGTCCAGACCCCTTTATCATCCTTATCAAACTTCCCCAGTCACTCAGATTCTTTTCTGAATTCTATGATGAGCACTGCACTCAAGAGGAGCACTGTGTTAATTAGCAATGGATCTTAATTGTAGGAGGAGTCAGAAAGCACCTTATTTGTGGCTATAAGACAGACAGACAGACTGTCCACTAAATGATGAAAGTGGTGAGGAGAAAAATGAAATCAGATATATAGTTTATTACTTTATAATGTATGATTTAGTTACAGTGGCATAACTTCAGCTAACAGCGTAAAAATAAATGTTGTCCTCCGGTTTGCCCTAGATTCAATAATTAGAATACATTTAACAATTGTACCTGTAATGTAAAACATTGCATTTTTTGCCTTTATACTTGGCCAAACTAGAGATATTTCATTTTCAGTTGACACTGACAGAATAAGGTTAATAAGTTACATAAATAGGACAAAGATATAAAATTCGTAGAGGATTATGAAACATCACAGAAAATTGAATATTAATTTGAAACGTTATTTGATATGGTGTTTTGATGTCATCACAGCAGCTACGTGGCACTTAGAATCTGTGCATCTGGGGGAGGGAGAGCGCGCTGATTGTGGAACTTACCATTGGAACTCAGTGCTGCCCTGTCCCAACAGAAAGCAACACCAGGCAGAACTCACATTGTGTCCACAGAGAAAGCAATTAAACCAGCTCTAGAAATCATCAATCCCAGCAGTAGGAACCTAAGTTCCAGCAAGCCTCTCACCATGGGATAAAATCCTCTGGAACCCTAAACAAACTGGAAAGGCAGTCTAGGAAATAATAATTGCAATTCTTGGGCAAGTCCTGGTTCTGTGCTTGGCTCAGAGCCAGTGGACTTGAGGGGAATATGACCTAGTGGGACACCTCTTGGGTTGCCAAGGTAGTGCTTGTTCCACCCCCTCCTTAATCCCAGGAAGCACAAATAGCAGCTCCAGGAGAAACTCCTTCCCTCTGCTTGAGGGGAGAGGGAAGAGTAAAGAGGACTTTGTCTTGCAACTTGGATACCAGTTCAGCCACAGTAGGACAGGGCAGCAAGCAGAGTCCTGAGGCACCTGCCTCAGGCCAAAGGGGAGTCCACTGCCTTGAATGGAGAATTCCAGGCCTGGCAGCATTCATCACAAGCTGAAGGTAGAGCCTTTGGGCCTTTTTGGTGCCAGCTCAGCTGCAGTAGAAAGAGCACTGGCTAGATTCCTAAGATTTCTGACTGTAGAACCTGGCTCCCTGATGGCATCTCTGGACCTGACTGGGGCTGCGGGGAACTTGCCAAACTGAATGGAAAGACACAAACCTGGCTGGCTCTGCCAACTTCTGATTGCAGAGGCCTAGGACCTTGTGTGAACAAGGCAGTGGTTACCCGAGGCCTTGAGCGAGACCAAGTACCATGCTGGCTTCAGGTCTGACCCATCACACAAGTACCATGCTGGCTTCAGGTGTGACCCATCACAGTCCCAGTGGTGCGGACCACAGTAGTGCTTGTGTCACCCCTCATCCAGCTCCAGGTGGCTAATCACAGAGGGAGAAAGAAAGAGAGAAAGAGAGAAAGAGAGAGAGAGAGAGAGAGACAGAGAGACAGAGAGAGAGAGAGAGAGAGAGAGAGAGACTCTATTTATTTGGGAGAAAGTAAGGGAAGAGAACAAGAGTCCATGCCTGGTAATCCAAAGAATTCTTCTGAATCTTATCTAAGACTACTGAGGCAATACCTCTTCAAGTCTGTAAGAGCCACAGCTTAACTGGGCTTGTGGGGCCTCCTAATGTAGATATGGCTGCAGAAAACAAAAGCTTAGATAACAACACCCAAGTCCCTTTGAATACCTGAAAAGCCTTCCCAAGATGGATGGGTACAAACAAGCCCAGACTGTAAAGAGTACAATAAATACTTAACTCTTTAATGTCCAGACACTGATGAACATCCATAAGACCATCCAGGAAAACATGACCTCACCAAATGAACTAAACAAAGGACCAGAAACTAATCCTGGAGAGACAGAGATAGGTTACCTTTCAGACTGAGATTTCAAAATAGCTGTTTTGAAGATTCTCAACTAAATCCAAGATAAAATAGAGAAGAAATTAAGAATCCTAATAGATAAGTTTAACAGAGATTAAAATAATTAAAAAGAATTAAGCAGAATTTTGAGATGAAAAAATGCAATTGACATACTGAAGAATATGTCAGAGTCTCTCACCAGCAGAACTGACCAAGGAGAAAGAAGAATTTAGTGAGCTTCAAGATAGGCTATTTGAAAATATAGTCAGGGGAGACAAAAAAAGAATGAAGCACACCTATGAGATCTAGAAAATAGCCTCAAAAAAGCACTTCTAAGAGTTATTGGCCTTAAAGAGGTCATTGAGAAAGAGATAGGGGTAGAAAGTTTACACAAATAGATAATAAGAGATAACTTCCCCAAACTAGAGAAAGATATTAATATACAAGTGCAAAAAGGTTATAGGACACCAAGCAGATTTAATGCAAAGAAGACTACATCAAGGCATTTAATAATCAAACTCCCAAAAATCAAGGATAAAAAAAATGATATTAAAAGCAGCAAGATAAAAGAAACAAGTAATATACAAAAACAAGTAATATACAATGCAGCTCCAATACGTCTGGCAGTAGACTTTTCAGTGGAAACCTTATAGGCCAAGAGAGAGTGGCATGCCATATGTAATGTGCTGAAGAAAAACAAAAAAACAAAAAACCTTTTTATCCAAAAGTATTTTATCCACTGAGAATATCCATGAAACATGAAGGAGAAATACTGTCCCAGCCATAGAAAGTAGAAGGATTTCATTAACACCAAGTTTGTCCTACAAGAAATGCTAAAGAGTTTTTCATTCTGAAAGAGAACAAAATTAATGCGCAATCAGAAATCATCTCACAGTGTAAAAATTACTGGTAATAGTAATTACTGGTAATAGTAAGTGCACAGAAAAATACAGAATATTATAACACTGTAATTATGGCATGTAAACTACTTACATCTTAGTAGAAAGACTAAAAAATCAAAATAATAAAAACTTTTCAAGAGAGATAGTACAACAAAATATAAATGGAAACAACACAAAGTTAACAAGTGGAAGAAAAAAGTTAAAGGGTAGAGTTTTTATTAATTTTCTTTTTTCTGGTTTGCTTGTTTGTTGAGGCAATCAGTGTTGAGTTGTCATCAGTTTTAAGTAACAGGTTGTAAGACACTATTACCATGAGGTAACCTCAAATTAAAAAACATACGGTATATTAAAAAATAGAGCAAGAAATTAAAATAAATCACCAAAGAAAATCACCTTCACTAAAGAAAGACAGGAAGGAAGGAAGGAAAGAAGGTAAAGAAGACCACAAAACAACCAGGAAACAAATAACAAAATGGTAAGAGTAAGTCCTTACTTGTCAAAAATCTTAAATGTAAATGTGCTCACCTCTCCAATGAGAATACATAGAGTGGCTAAATGGATAAATAAACAAGACCCAATGATCCCTTGCCTACAAGAAACACACTTTACATATAAAAAACACACAGAGACTGAAAATAAAGGGATGAAAAAATATTCCATGGAAATGGAAACCAAAAAAGAGCACAAATTGCCATACTTAAGAAGAAAAAACTATAAGAGACAAAGAAGGTCACTCTACAATGAGAAAAGGGTCAATTAACTCAGTAAGAGAATATAAGAATTATAAATATACATGCACCCAACACAGGAGCACCTGGTTATATAAAGAAAATATTATTACGCCTAAAGAGAGATAGACTCCAATACAATAGCTGGAGATTTCAACAGCTTATTTTCAGCATTCTGTCATAAAGACAGAAAATCAAAGAAACATTGGACTTAATCTGCACTACAGACTAAATGGACATAATAGATATTTATAGAACATTGGATTTGTGGGCACAGAAAACACATTCTTCTTCTCAGCAGATGTAACATTCTCATGGCTAGAACATAGGTTGCAAAACAATTCTTAAAGAATTAAAAAAATTGAAATTATATGAAATATCTTCTCTGATCAACATGAAATAAAACCAGAAATCAATACCAAGAGGAATTCTGGAAACTATAAAAACACATGGAAATTAAACAATATGTTCCTGAGTGACTGGTGGGTCAATGAATAAATTAAGAAGAAAAATGAACAATTTCTTAAAACCAGTGATAATGATAACACAAGATATCAAAACGTATGGGATACAGTGAAAACAATACAAAGAAGAAAATATATAGCTATAAGTGCCTATACCAAAAAAGTAGAAAAACTGTAAATAACCTAATGAGGTGTCTTAAAGAACTAGGAAAGCAAGAACAATGAAAACTCAAAATTAATAGAAGAAAAAAAGAAATAATAAGGACCAGAGCAGAAATATAATTGAAATGAATAAAAGATCAATGAAATGAAAATTGGATTCTAGAAAAGATAAACAAAATTGACAAACCTTTACCCAGACCCAGAAAAAGAGAGAGAAGGTCCAAATAAATAAAATCAGTGATGAAAAAAAGACATTAGGGGGCGGTTCCAAGATGGTCGAATAGGAACAGCTCCAGTCTACAGCTCCCAGCGTGAGCAACGCAGAAGGACGGGTGGTTTCTTCATTTCCAACTGAGTTACCAGGTTCGTGTGACTGGGGCGTGTCGGACAGTGGGTGCAGGGCAGTGGGTGCAGCCCACTTCGAGAGCCGAAGCAGGGTGAGGCATCAGCTCACCTGGGAAGTGCAAGGGGTCAGGGAATTCCCTTTCCCAGCCAAGGGAAGCCTTGACAGACAGCACCTGGAAAATCTGGTCACTCCCACCCAAATACTGCGCTTTCCCAAGGGTCTTAGCAAACAGCACACCAGGAGATTATAACCCGCGGCTGGCTCGGAGGGTCCCACACCCACAGAGCCTCGCTCATTGCTAGCACAGCAGTCTGAGATCGAACTGCAAGGTGGCAGCGAGGCTGGGGGAGGGGCGCCCACCATTGCCGAGGCTTGAGTAGGTAAACAAAGCAGCCGGGAAGCTCAAACTGGGTGGAGCCCACTGTAGCTCAAGGAGGCCCAACTGCCTCTGTAGACTCCACCTATGGGGCAGGGAATAGCTGCTCGAAAGGCAGCAGAAACTTCTGCAGACTTAAACGTCCCTGCCTGACAGCTTTGAAGAGAGTAGTGGTTCTCCCAGCCGGAGTTTGAGATCTGAGAGCAAACAGACTGCCTCCTCAAGTGGGTCCCTGACCCCTGAGTAGCTTAACTGGGAGGCACCACCCAGTAGGGGCAGACTGACACCTCACATGGCCGGGTACACCTCTGAGACGAAGCTTCCAGAGGAACGATCAGGCAGCAACATTTGCTGTTCGGCAACATTCACTGTTCTGCAACATTCGCTGTTCTGCAGCCTCTGCTGCTGATAACCAGGAAAACAGGGTCTAGAGTGGACCTCTAGCAAACTCCAACAGACCTGCAGCTGAGGGTCCTGACTGTTAGAAGGAAAACTGAAAAACAGAAAGGACATCCACACCAAAACCCCAACTGTACGTTACCATAATCAAAGACCAAAGGTAGATAAAACCACAAAGATGGGGAAAAAACAGAGCAGAAAAGCTGAAAATTCTAAAAATCAGAGTACCTCTCCGCCTCCAAAGAAATGCAGCTCCTCGACAGCAACGGAACAAAGCTGGAGGGAGAATGACTTTGACAAGTGGAGAGAAGAAGGCTTCAGAAGATCAAACTTCTCTGAGCTAAAGGAGGAAGTTCAAACCCATCACAAAGAAGCTAAAAACCTTGAAAAAAAGATTAAACGAATGGCTAACTACAATAACCAGTGTAGAAAAGTCCTTAAATGACCTGATGGAGCTGAAAACCATGGCACGAGAACTATGTGACAAATGCACAAGCTTCAGTAGCCGATTCGATCAACTGGAAGAAAGGGTATCAGTGATTGAAGATCAAATGAATGAAATTAAGCGAGAAGAGAAGTTTAGAGAAAAAAGAGTAAAAAGAAACGAACAAAGCCTCCAAAAAATATGGGACTATGTGAAAAGACCAAACCTACGTCTGACTGGTATACCTGAAAGTGACAGGGAGAATGGAAAAAAGTTGGAAAACACTGCAGGATATTATCCAGGAGAACTTCCCCAACCTAGCAAGGCAGGTCAACATTCAAATTCAGGAAATACAGAGAACGCCACAAAGATAATCCTCGAGAAGAGCAACTCCAAGAACATACTTGTCAGATTCACGAAAGTCGAAATGAAGGAACAAATGTTAAGGGCAGCCAGAGACAAAGGTCAGGTTACCCACAAAGGGAAGCCCATCAGACTAACAGCTGATCTCTTGGCAGAAACTCTACAAGCCAGAAGAGAGTGGGGGACAATATTCAACATTCTTACAGAAAAGAATTTTCAACCCAGAATTTCATGTCCAGCCAAACTAAGCTTCATAAGTGAAGGAGAAATAAAATCCTTTACAGACAAGCAAATGCTGAGAGATTTTGTCACCACCAGGCCTGCCCTAAAAGACCTCCTGAAGGAAGCACAAAACATGGAAAGGAACAACCAGTACCAGCCACTGCAAAATCATGCCAAATTGTAAAGACTATCGAGGCTAGGAAGAAACTGCATCAACTAACGAGCAAAATAACCAGCTAACATCATAATGACAGGATCAAATTCACACATAACAATATTAACTTTAAATGTAAGTGGGCTAAATGCTCCAATTAAAAGACACAGACTGGCAAACTGGATAAAGAGTCAAGACCCATCAGTGTGCTGTACTCAGGAGACCCATCTCACGTGCAGAGACACACATAGGCTCAAAATAAAGGGATGGAGAAAGATCTATGAAGCAAATGGAAAACAAAAAAAGGCAGGGGTTGCAATCCTAGTCTCTGATAAAACAGACTTTAAACCAACAAAGATCAAAAGAGACAAAGAAGACCATTACATAATGGCAAAGGGATCAATTCAACAAGAAGAGCTAACTATCCTAAATATATATACACCCAATACAGGAGTACCCAGATTCATAAAGCAAGTCCTTAGAGACTTACAAAAAGACTTAGACTCCCACACAATAATAATGGAAGACTTTAACACCCAAATTTAAACAAAAGACAGACCAACGAGACAGAAATTTAACAAGGATATCCAGGAATTGAATTTAGCTCTGCACCAAGTGGACCTAACAGACATCTATAGAACTCTCCACCCCAAATCAACAGAATATACATTCTTCTCAGCACCACATTGCGCCTATTCCAAAATTGACCACATAGTTGGAAGTAAAGAACTCCTCAGCAAATGTAAAAGAACAGAAATTATAACAAACTGTCTCTCAGACCACAGTGCAATCAAACTAGAACTCAGGATAAAGAAACTCACTCAAAACCACTCAACTACATGGAAACTGAACAACCTGCTGCTGAGTGACTACTGGGTACATAACAAAATGATGGCAGAAATAAAGATGTTCTTTGAAACCAATGAGAACAAAAACACAACCTACTTGAATCTCTGGCACATATTTAAAGCAGTGTGTAGAGGGAAATTTACAGCACTGAACACCCACAAGAGAAAGCAGAAAAGATCTAAAATTGACATCCTAACGTCACAATTGAAAGAACTAGAGAAGCAAGAGTAAACACTTTCAAAAGCTAGCAGAAGGCAAGAAATAACAAAGATCAGAGCAGAACTGATGGAGATACAGACACAAAAAACCTTTCAAAAAAATCAATGAATCCAGGGCTGGTTTTTTGAAAAGATCAACAAAATTGACAGAATGCCAGCAAGATTAATAAAGAAGAAAAGAGAGAAGAAAGAAATAGACACAATGAAAAATGAGAAAGGGGATATCACCACCGATCCCACAGAAATACAAACTACCATCAGAGAATACTATAAACACCTCTACGCAAATCAACTAGAAAATCTAGAAGAAATGGATAAATTCCAGGACACATACACCCTCCCAGGACTAAACCAGGAAGAAGGTGAATCCCTGAATAGACCAATAACAGGCTCTGAAATTGAGGCAATAATTAATAGCCTACCAACCAAAAAATGTCCAGGACCAGACGGATTCACAGCCAAATTCTACCAGAGGTACAAGGAGGAGCTGGTACTATTCCTTCTGAAACTATTCCAATCAACGAAAAAGAGGGAATCCTCCCTAACTCATTTTATGAGGCCAATATCATCCTGATACCATAGCCTGGCAGGGACGCAGCCAAAAAAGAGAATTTTATACCAGTATCCCTGATGAACATCGATGTAAAAATCCTCAATAAAATACCGGCAAACTGAATCCAGCAGCACATCAAAAAGCTTATCCTCCATGATCAAGTGGGCTTCATCCCTGGGATGCAAGGCAGGTTCAATAGGCGGAAATCAATAAATATAATCAAGCATATAAACAGAACCAAATACAAAAACCACATGATTATCTCAATAGATGCAGAAAAGGCCTTTGACAAAAATTCAACAACCCTTCATGCTAAAAACTCTCAATAAATTAGGTATTGATGAGACGTATCTCAAAATAATAAGAGCTATTTCTGACAAACCCACAGGCAATATCATACTGAATGGGCAAAAACTGGAAGCATTCCTGTTGAAAAGTGGCACAAGACAGGGATGCCCTCTCTCACCACTCCTATTCAACATAGTGTTGGAAGTTCTGGCCAGGGCAATCAGGCAGGAGAAACACATAAAGGGTATTCAATTAGGAAAAGAGAAAGTCCAATTGTTCCTGTTTGCAGATGACATGATTGTATATCTAGAAAACCCCATTGTCTCAGCCCAAAATCTTAAGCTGATAAGCAACAGCAAAGTCTCAGGATACAAAATCAATGTGCAAAAATCACAAGCATTCTTGTACACCAATAACAGGGAAACAGGAAGCCGAATAATGAGTGAACTAACATTCACAATTGCTTCAAAGAGAATAAAATACCTAGGAATCCAACTTACAAGGGATGTGAAGGACCTCTTCAAGGAGAACTGCAAACCACTGCTCAAAGCAATAAAAGAGGACACAAACAAAGGGAAGAACATTCCATGCTCATGGATAGGAAGAATCAATATTGTGAAAATGGCCATACTGCCCAAGGTAATTTATACATTCAATGCCATCCCCATCAAGCTCCCAATGGCTTTCTTCACAGAATTGGAAAAAACTACTTTAAAGTTCATAAGGCACCAAAAAAGAGCCCGCAATGCCCAAGAAAATCCTAAGCTAAAAGAAGAAAGCTGGAGGCATCACGCTACCTGACTTCAAACTATACTACAAGGCTACAGTAACCAAAACAGCATGGTACTGGTACCAAAACAGAGATATAGACCAATGGAACAGAACAGAGCCCTCAGAAATAATGCCACATATCTACAACTATCTGATCTTTGACAAACCTGACAAAAACAAGAAATGGGGAAAGGATTCCCTGTTTAATAAACGGTACTGGGAAAACTGGCTCGCCATATGTAGAAAGCTGAAACTGGATCCCTTCATTACACCTTATACTAAAATTAATTCAAGATGGATTAAAGACTTAAATGTTAGACCTAAAACCATAAAAGCCCTAGAAGAAAACCTAGGCAATACCATTCAGGACATAGGCATGGGCAAGGACTTCATGTCTAAGACACCAGAAGCAGTGGCAACAAAAGACAAAATTGACAAATGGGATCTAATTAAACTAAAGAGCTTCTGCACAGCAAAAGAAACTACCATCAGAGTGAACAGGCAACCTACAGAATGGGAGAAAATTTTTGCAATGTACTCATCTGACAAAGGGCTAATATCCAGAATCTACAAAGAACTCAAACAAATTTACAAGAAAAAAACAAATAAACCCATCAAAAAGTGGGTGAAGGATATGAACAGACACTTCTCAAAAGAAGACATTTATGCAGCCAACAGACACATGAAAAAATGCTCATCATCACTGGCCATCAGAGAATTGCAAATCAAAACCACAGTGAGATACCATCTCAGACCAGTCAGAATGGCAATCATTAAAAATTCAGGAAACAACACGTGCTGGAGAGGATGCGGAGATATACGAACACTTTTACACTGTTGGTGGGACTGTAAGCTAGTTCAACCATTGTGGAAGACAGTGTGGCTATTCCTCAAGGATCTAGAACTAGAAATACCATTTGACCCAGTCATCCCATTACTGGGTATATACCCAAAGGATTATAAATCATGCTGCTATAAAGACACATGGACATGTATGTTTATTGTGGCACTATTCACAATAGCAAAGACTTGGAACCAATCGAAATGTCCATCAATGATAGACTGGATTAAAAAAATGTGGCACATATACACCATGGAATACTATGCAGCCCTAAAAAAGGATGAGTTCATGTCGTTTGTAGGGACATGGATGAAGCTGGAAACCATCATTCTCAGCAAAGTATCGCAAGGACAGAAAACCAAACACCGCATGTTCTCACTCATAGGTGGTTATTGAACAATGAGAACACTTGGACACAGGAAGGGGAACATTGCACACCAGGGCTGTTGTGGGGTGGGGGGAGGGGGGAGGGATAGCATTAGGAGATATACCTAATGTAAATGATGAGTTAATGGGTGCAGCACACCAACATGGCACATGTATACATATGTAACTATCCTGCACGTTGTGCACATGTACCATAGAACTTAAAGTATAATTTAAAAAAAAGAAAAAAAGACATTAAAATTGATACTGCAGAAATCAAAGAATTATTAGATGTCCCTATGAACAACTATACACCAATAAATTGGAAAACCCAGAAGAAATGGATGAATTCCAAAATGCTTATAACCTACCACGACTGAACCATGAAGAAATCCAAAATGTAAGCTGATCACTAAGAAGTAACAAGATAGAAGCCAAAATAAATAGTCTCTCAGCAAAGAAAAGTCCAGGACCTGATGGCTTCACTGTTCAATTTTACCAAACACTTAAAGAGCTAATACCAATCCTACTCAAACTGTTCTGAAACAATGAGGAGTGAATACTTCCAAACTTTCTATGAGACCAGTAGTACCCTGCTACCAAAACCAGAAAAAGACACATCAAAGAAAGAAAACCACATGCTAATATATGATAAACATTATTGCAAAAATCCTCAACAAAATACTAGCATATCAAATTCAGCAACATATTAAAAACATTATTCATCATGACCAGGTGAGATTTATCCCAGGGCTGGAAGGATGGATCCACATATGCTAATCAATCATTGTGTTACATCATATGAACAGAATGAAGGGAAAAAAATGATCATTTCAATTGATGCAGAAAAAACATTTGACAAAATTCAACATCCCTTCAAGATAAAAACTCTCAAAAAATAAGCATAGAAGGAACATACCTCAAGACAATAAAAGCCATAAATGACAGACTGATAGCTAGTATCATACTGCATGGGGAAAAACTGAAAGCCTTTCCTCTAAATTCTGGAACATGAGTATGCCAAATTTCACCACTCTTATTCAACATAATACTGAAAGTCCTAACTATAAGAATCAGAAAAAAGAAAGAGATAAAGGGTGTCCAAGTTGAAAAGAAATAAGTCAAATCACCCTCCTTTGCGAATAATATGATCTTGTATTTGGCAAAACCTAAAGACTCAGCAGAAAATTATAGGAACTAATAAACAAATTCAGTAAAGTTCAAGAATACAACATTAACATAGAAAAATCAGTAACATCTCCATATGCAAACAGTGAACAATGTGAAAAAGAAACCAAGAAAGTAACACAATGTAAAACAGCTACAAATAAAATTTAAAACATTGAAATAAACTTAACTGAAGAAGTCAAAGATTTCTACAATGAAAACTATGAAACTTTGATGAAAGAAGTGAAGAGTATACAGAAAAGGAAATATATTCAATGTCCATGGATTGACAGTATCAATATTGTTAAAATGTCTACACTACCAGAAGCCATCTATAGATTCAATGTAATCCCTATCAAAATACCAATGACATTCTTCACAGAAATAGAAAAAACAACCCTAAAATGTATATGGAAACACCAAAAACTCAGAATATTAAAAACTGTTCTGAGCAAAAAGAACCAAACTGAAGGAATCACGTTACCTGATTTCAAATTATACTACAGAGCCATATAACCAAAACAGCATGGTAATGACATAAGAACAGACACATAAATTAATGGAACAGAACACAGGACCTGGAAACAAATCCAGACATCTGCAGTGAACTCAATTTCAACAAAGGTGCCAAGAACACATGTTATGGAAAGAACAGTCTGCTCAATAAATGTCACTGGCAAAACTGTGCAGAAGGATGAAACTTGATTCCTATCTCTCACCATATGCAAAAATCAAATGAATATGTATTAAATACTTAAATCGAAGACCTCATACTATGAAACTACTAAAAGAAAACATTGGAGAAACTATCCAGTACATTGGAATAGGCAAAGATTTCTTGAGTAATACCCTGTAAGCACAGGCACCCAAACCAAAAGCGGACAAATGGGATCATGTTAAAATTAAAAAGCTTCTGCAGAGCAAAGGAAACAAAGAGCAAAGTGAAGAGACAATCCAGGTTGGGAAAAAAAAAAGTTTGCAATCTCTCCACATGACAAGGGATTAATAATTAAAATATCTAAGGTGCTCAAACAACTCTATTGGGAAAAATCTAATAATCTCATTAAAAAATGGGCAAAAGATCTGAATTTTTCAAAAGAAGACATACAAATGGTAAGGAGGTATATGAAAAGTTCCTCATCATAAATGCTTATCAGAGAAATGCAAATCAAAACTACAATGAGATATTACCTTACCCCAGTTAAAATGGCTTATAGCCAAAAGACAGGTAATAACAAATGCTGGTGAGGATGTGGAGAACAGGGAACCCTCGTACACTGTTGGTGGGAATATAAATTGGTACAGTACTATGGAGAACAATTTGGAGTTTTCTCAAAATACTAAAAACAGAGCTACCATATGATCCGTCAATCCTGTTATAAGGTATATACCCCAAAGAATGGGAGTCAGTATACTGAAAAAATACCTGCACTCTCATGCTTATTGTACCATTTTTCACAATAGCCAATATTTGAAAGCAATCTACATGTCCATCAACAGATGAATATATAAAGAAAATGTGGTAAATATACACAATGGAGCACTATTCAGCCATAAAAAGATTGAGATTCTGTCCTTTGCAATAACTTAGATGGAACTGGACATCATTATGTTAAGTGAAATAAGCCAGGCAGAGAAAGACAAAATTCTTATGTTCTCACTTACTTGTAGGAGCTAAAAATTAAAACAATTGAACTCATGGAGCTAGAGACTAAAACAATGGTTACCACAGGCCAAAAAGAATAGTGCAGTGGAAAGTTAATGGTTACAAAAATAAAGCTAGATAAAATGAGTAAGATCTAGTATTGGATGTCACAACATGGTAACTACAGTCTTCAATAATTTCTTATACATTTTAAAAGAACTAAAAGATTATAACTGGATTGTTTGTAACACAAAGAAAATATAAATGCTTAAATGATTCATATCCCATTTACCCTGATGTGATTATTAGGAAGTGTTTGCTTGTATCAAAATATCTCATGTTCTGCAGAAATATATTCACCTACTAAGTACACACAAACATAAAAAAATTTAAAAAATAAAATAAAAATAACAGTAAATAAAAAATGGGACAAGGACCTGAAGAGACATTTCTCAAATGAAGAAATATAAATGGCCAACTTGCATATGGAAAAAATGTTCTAAATCACTAGTCCGCAGAGAAGTGCAAATTAAAACCACAATGACATATGACCTCGCATTTTTTAGAGTGCCTTTTATCAAAAAGGTAAAAGAATTGTTGACAAGGATGTGGAGAAAAAAGAACCCCTGCACACTGTTGGTGGAGATGTAAATTAGTACAGCCATTATGGAAATCAGTATGGAGGTTCCTCAATAAATTAAAAATAAAACTACTTCATGATCCAGAAGTCTCACTTCTGGGTATATCCAAAGGAAATGAAATCAGTATTTCAAAAGGATGTCTGTACTCCCATGTTCATTGCAGCATTATTCATAATAGCCAAGACATGTAATCAATCTAAGTATCTATTGATGAATAAAGGAAGAATATATTATATATATTAGAATGCATTTTATATTTATATATATGTATACACACACACACACACACACAGTGGAATACTCTTCAGTCTTAAAAAGAGGGAAATTTTGTCTTTTGCAATAACATGGATCAACCTAGATAACATTAGGTAAAGTGAAATAAGGCAGGCACAGAAAGACAAATACTGCATTATCTTATTTGTATGTGGAATCCAAAAGAGTTGAATGCATATAGGTAGTGAGTAGAATGATGGTTACCTGAGACTTGGAGTGGTTACTAGGACTGGGTGTTGGGGGAATTTTTTCAAAGGATACAAAATTTCAACTAGATAGGGAGAATAAGTTTAAGAGATCTATTATATAAAGTGGTTAATATAGCTTTAATGTTTTGAAAATTGTTAAAACAGTAGATTTTCAGTGTTCTCACCAAAAAAATAAGTAGGATATATATATACATTTTATATATATATATATATATATATATATATATATATATATATATATGCATGCTTAATTGAGCCATTCCACTATGTACACATATTTCAAGAGTTCATATTGTATACTATAAATATATTCAATTTTTATTTGTCAATGAAAAAACAAAAACTTCATAAATTTATGAGCTGCTATGGAGGTAAAGGTCTTAGAAAATTTTTAAAAAAGAGATTGGGTAAAATTTTCTTGCTCTAGCTGCAAGAGCATGGCTTTAGGTGTAAAGAGCTGGGAGAAGTACTCTCAATTAGTGAAGAGAAAATGTGAGGTAACTAATGTTTATTTCCATCTTTTACTAAATACTTTAAACAAGGATACACTTCCAATTACATAACAGCTAAACTTGTTATTTACATAATAAATTTTTAAAAACGTAAAAATTTACATTATTACATAATAGCTAAATAGATAATAGCTAAATTTTTTGTACCAAAATGTGTTTTATAATTCACCTTTTGAGGAACTTTATTCTTATCTATATCCAGGATACACTGTGAGGTATCCTCAAAAATAAGTTTTTAAAAATTATTATTATTATTATTATTATTATTTGAGACAGAGTCTCGCTCTGTGGCTCAGGCTGGAGTGCCATGGCGGGATCTCAGCTCACTGCAACCTCCGCCTCCCAGGTTCAAGCGATTCTCCTGCCTCAGCCTTCCAAGTAGCTGAGACTACAGGTGCCCACCACCTCGCCTGGCTAATCTTTGTGTTTTTAGTAGAGACGGGGTTTCTCCATATTGGCCAGGCTGGTGTCAAGCTCCTGACTTTGTGATCCACCTGCCTCAGCCTCCCAAAGTGCTGGGATTACAGGCTTGAGCCACGGCGCCTGGCCTAAAAATTATTTTTTAAAAAACTGCAGCTAATTTAACATCCTTACTCTTTATTCTCATTATATTTTCCTCTTTCTCTATCACAAATTATTACATATATTGACACAATGTTAAATTTTTTTCTTCTCCTTTCTTAACTTAGTGCCTTTTTGTAAAGACAAATTGAAGTTGGAGAGAGAGTAGGACTCTTCAGATTAGATAACAGTATTACAGTATTCACACAACTTAGGTTTAGATACCTTTTATTACACATAAACTGTTATGCTTGTATTTTTGATTAATTTTAAAATGTGGTAAAAAGTAGGAAAAATCACTGATAATCTTTACATATTCAAGATATTTAAGATTGAAAATATTTAGAAGAATAAATTTTGTTTTCAAAGAGATTAAATAAGCCTAAAATAATATATTTTACAGAATTTTTGAGGAATTATATTTATATTTGTAAAAGATTTTAATAGTAAGCTATAGTTAGATAATATATTTCGACAGTAAAGCCACTTTCAAAGAATATCTCAGAGACGCTGGCGTAATTTAAATAGTAACTAAAAGGGCTATGTATTACTTTTCTATGGCTGCTCTAACAATTTATCACAAACTCAGTGACTTAAACAATGCACATTTTTTCTCCTACAGTTTTGAAGGTTAGAAGTCTGAAATCAGCTTCACTGGGGGGAAATCAAAATGTAGGCAGAACCACACTTTCCCTAGAGGGTTTAGGGGATAAAAGACTTTGCCTTTGCAGCTTCTAGAGCTGCATTCCTTGCATTCCTTAGCTAGAGACTCCTTCCTTTGTCTTCAAAGCCAGCAAAATAGCATCTTGCTTCACTGGTAACACACTGTCTTCTGTCTCAAATCTGCCTCTGCCTTCTTCTTATAAGGACACTTATAATTTCATTCAGGGCCCACCCAGATAATTCGGAATAATCTCACCAACTCAAGATCCTTTAATTAATCACATCTGCAAGGTCTCAGTTACCTTATAAGGTAACATGCACGGATTCCAGGGATTAGGACCTGGATATCTTTGGAGTCATTATTTGTCCTACCACAAGCTAAAATCAATTTCTGAAATTCATGTAAAATCTGTTGAAGGCACAGCACATCTCTGAATATAAATGGTTATTTTAATAGTCTTCTAAAATTTTCTTTTAAACACCAATAATTGCAATCTGCTTATTTTTCATGTAGAAAAATATTTTTTTCTCCTAAAATTTGCATTTGAATGATACCTTTTTTTTTGAGAGAGAGGGGCGAGTCTTACTCTGTCACCTGAGCTGGAGATCAGTGGCTCCATCTTGGCTCCCTGCAACTTCCGCCTACATGGTTCAAGTGATTCTCCTGCCTCAGACCCCCACATAGCTGGGATTACAGGCACGTGCCACCACACCCGGCTAATTTTTGTATTTTTAGTAGAGATAGGGTTTCACTCTGTTGGCCAGGCTGGTCTTGAACTCCTGACTTCAGGTAATTCACCAGCCTCAGCCTCCCAAAGTGCTGGGATTACAGGTGTGAACCACCACGCCCAGCCTGAAAGGTACTTTTACACATGTTAAAATCCACAGCTAATTACTCTGTAAATATTTAATATTAAATTGTGACTACCAATTTTAAAAACAAGATAGAAAAAGTTGAAATCATGCATCACATACAAGAAATGAATCCTTACTCTCACAGCCCTTCCACAACTGATGTCAGACTCTTACGTTAGTTTCTTTTTTCTTCCCCTTGATAATTTTCTCTAATCTCCTTTACTATTTAAATTTTCTCAAAACCCACTTCACTCTAATGCCATTATTCCTGTAGATGTTTGTCCTCTGACTACCTCTCCATTATTACTTCCTTTCCTACTTTTTTCATACCTTGCTTTATCCTCATGGAAAACATGTAAATCATTTCAACAAACACTGATTGGGCCCTAACTTTATGCAACTGCCTATCCTAGGGACTTCTTAGGCATAGTAAGGAATAAGAAGTAGCCCTTAAAAGGCTCATGCTATCTCAGAAAGGGAATAAGACAGGTGGAGTCAAAGACTAGAGCAAGCTCTATATAATGCAGGCAAACTCTGGAAGATGTATGATCCTATTGGGAGGATTATGCTTAATTTCAATGTTCATAATCAAATAATTTGTCAGGAGTGGGAATGGAGAGAAATAAAACACAGTAACACCAAGCGTCACTATTCTTTGCATGAACCCTGCCCACCATCTGCTCATCAATATGCTTCTGCCTACAGAAGAAAAGTTAACACTTTTGTAGAAGAATACGAGCTCTTTCAAATTATCAGACTCAGAGAGGCATTAAAGTAAGACAATAATCACATCCTACTCCCCCCTTTTGAGCCATTTATTCAACTATTAAAACTGCTTGGTAGCTATGAAGTAGCTATGAATTAACCTAATAATGTGGCACTGGACACTATATCCCATACCCTATAGCTTAACAATGTATAGCCAATCACTAATCAATGTTATTTTTGTAAACCAGTGAGAATTCCTGACAAACAACTTTGTATCAGCCAACTCCCTGTGCCTCTTCTTTGCCTTTAGAAATCTGCTCGTAACAAAGGCCCAATGGAGCTCCTATCCTAGGTTACTTGGCTCTGAGTTTTCCCAGCAGCTGCCCTTACTTTGTCTGAAATAAAGTCTTTCAATCATATTTTGTCCTTCACTCTCCTTCTTTTAGGGTGACATATCTGGTGCTGTGAGCAGAATTCAGACACCTCTGACCATCTGACATTCCTCCTTGACTCAGCATTTGGTCAGCTCTGAACCTCTTGATTTATTTTGACTCTTTGAGAAAGTATTGAATGTGAAGTGTTGAGGCCTACTGAAATCTGGTCCTTCCCACTTTTTGGTTGAAGGTCTAGACTCTGCTTGAGGTGTTTTTTTCCAAACCTCACTTTCCAAACCTCAAAATTGAGGTTTTCCATCTTTACCCTAAAGGTAAGGTATTTGGGTTACAAGCAAAACAAAAACAAAACTGACTCTTCTGCCTCTGGCTCATGATAGGAGGTCTGGGTCACAGTCAGGCAAACAGCTCCCCAGAGAACTTCAGCCTTTTCTACCTCTGTCCCACGGAAGTAAGGTCTGGGTCAAGGTATTGGAAATTAGGCACTGGTGGTTTCATTTTAATAGCATGCTTTTTAATATTGCAGCAGTTGCTTAGAAATGCAGACCTACCTTTTCATTTGTGACAAATTCCTGTTAGTTCCTAATGGAAAAATGCAGAGGGTGAGTTCTCTTGCCCCAAGGAAAAGAGGAGATTTGCTTCCTCTGGCCCATTTGGGTGCTGCAGGTGACTGAAGACTACACCAAGGTGTCAGGGTCATTAACCATGACGCAACATGAAGTAGCCTCATGGGGCCCTCCCCCCCAGAAGAACATCTTTATGAACTCCCTTTTCTGCTCTTCCATTAGGATATAATATGAGGGACTGGTCCCCTATATGTTGAGTACCCTGCTGCCACCCAGCAGTTAGAAACAGACTAGGATACATAAGAAAGCTATTCATGACTCTTGGGTGACATCTAGAGGAGTGATGTTCATAAGAAGCATACTTCAAACACAAAACATATTCATGACCTTGGTAACTTTTGAAAAGCTCCTAAATTATGGGAAATCAAGCTTCAAACTCTGAACACTCTTTTAAGCAACAACTGCCATTAGAAACACATTTTCCATTTCAGCTCTAACTGCTCCTTCTTCTCCTACCCCTGCATCTTCATATTCTCCTTCATCTGAACTTTCCTGTCTTGCTTTACTTCTTCTAGCATCAGTACCTGAGGGAACTTTCCATGTCTCCGATCCCCTCCCTTAAACTTCCATTCTGGCAGCCTTTTTCAAGGTGTGATTGTACAGCACCTCTTCCTGTACGGAAGAGGTGGGTCTAATACCCCTTGGGCAAAAATTGAATTTAAGAGTGTTATCAAAGGCTTCCCTGACCTGTTCCAAGATTCTATATGGTTTGCAAAAGAATTTGATCTGACTCTTTGAACTTATGAGCCTGGATATTCTGACCTATATCAATTAATTCACATGTTGGTGTCAGAAGGCAAGGCCATTGGGTGGTTAAAAAAGGCAAACTGAAATAATCCTTTAGAGGATTTTCAAAATCAGACTGAAGCAGACCATGAAGGGGTCTGCATTTTGTCCAAGTCTCTCCATGATGCCATTCCCCAGGTCTTTCCTTTAAAAAAATGTATATTGGAAGCGAGTTGAGCAATGTACTCAAAAGGCCAGATGAATCTGTAGTTATTTGGAATGGCAATGAGATAAGCTTTCAACAATATTCCAAAGTGGTTGACACTAGCCTCCAAGATTACCAGAACAATTTTCTCATAAACTCTACTTTCTTCAATTGCTTAAATGAGGACTTGGTTACCTTAGTTAAAAGACACCAGTTTCTTAACTGGGTGAATATACAAACCCATGAATTAGTAAGCTTTCAGAGCAAAATGATTCAGAAAAAAGATAGAATTAATGCCTCAAAGATTATTAATTTGCACCTCAACAACTGGCTAGTTAAACCAGGCCTTTTAAGAAAAGACAAATGCCTCTTTCTAATGATAAAAGAGGTGTCTGCTTCTATTTCAAAAAGTCTGGCCATTTCGGAAAGGATTGTAGAAAACTTAAATAATAGCAGGAACAACAAAAGCACAGGATGCCATAAGATGAATAGGGTTGCTCTGAGGATCAAAATGGGATTTTCCCATTAGGAGAAGTGGAAATGCTCATAAATGGAGAACAGACATGCACCCTCATAGTCACTTTATGTCTTCAACCCTACACCCCTTAAATTGTCCCCTTCCTCAGAGTAATAAACTATACAAACAGCAGGGGTATCTAATCAACCTATGACTGTATATAAGTCCAAATCCTTAGAATTTCATGAAGGCTCATTGAGTAACCTTCATTCCTTTCTGCATGGTCCCTTGGCTCCTATACACCTCTCAGGCAGAGATTTTTTGGAACTTTGCAATACATACATTTCCTTCTCTCAGAAAGGTGAAATGTTAAATTCAGAGTAGAAGGAGCTAATGGAACAATTACAGAATGAGAATTAAACTACTGAGATTATAAAACTACGGATCTGACATATTTTTTCTAAACCAAGAATAGGAAATGGCACTAATGATTTATTGCAAGCTTTGCTGGACCACTTATGGTCCCAATCTTCCATTAACATTAAGATATATTCAACTACTGGCTGGGCGCAGTGGCTCACGCCTGTAATCCCAGCACTTTGGGAGGCCGAGGAGGGTGGATCACGAGGTCAGGAGATCGAGACCATCCTGGCTAACATGGTGAAACCCCGTCTCTACTAAAAATACAAAAAATTAGCCGGGCGTGGTGGCAGGTGCCTGTAGTCCCAGCTACTCGGGAGGCTGAGGCAGGAGAATGGCGTGAACCTGGGAGGCGGAGCTTGCAGTGAACCGAGATCGTGCCACTGCACTCCAGCCTGGGTGAAAAAGTGAGACTCCGTCTCAAAAAAATAAAAAAAAAGATATATTCAACTACCCCCATTAAAGTGAAAGTAAACCTGCTTAAGATTTACCCAATATTAGACAATACCCATTAGGGTCCGAAGCAATGGAAAGAACCAGACCTATAATAAGGTATAATTATTCCTTGTATCAGCCCATATAACATTCTGACCCTTTCCATAGGAAGCTGAACGGGAAGGGCTGGCATTTTCTGTAAGATTTGAGAGCTATCAACAACGCTGTGGTCCCAAGACATCCGATGGTACAAAACCCCCATATTCGTTTGGCAGCAGTCCCTCCTGAAAGTAAGAAATTTACTGTGGCTGATTTGCGCAGTTTTTTTTTTTTTAAAGCATTCCAGTAGAGCCAGAGAGTCAATATTTATTTGCCTTTACTTATGACAACTGCCAGTATTCCCAGACCTTTATGCCCCAAGATTATAATGAGAGCCCTACCAATTTTTCTCAATTATTGAAATCTGACTTGGCTAATGTATATTTCTCAGAGGGATCTATACTTGTCCAATATGTGGATAATCTTTTCCTTTGTTCTCCAAATATGCAAACTTCTAAGGATGATAGCATAAATTTCTTAAAATAATTGGCACCTAAGGGACATAAAGTTTCTAAAAAGCAACTCCAATTTTGCCAGACACAGGTAAAATATTTAGGATATTTTATTTCTAAGAAAGGATTGCTCATAAACCCAGACAGGATTAAAGGCGTCCTGCTTTACTCTAAGCCCTCAACAAAGAAGCAACTTTGAGGATTTCTGGGATTGGCTAGATACTGTTAAAATTAAATACATATTTTTTCTTTAATAGCTCACCCTTTATATACCCTCCTGGAAATGGATCAACCTGATCTTTGTGTTTGGACTTCAGAGAGACTAAAAGCCACATAAGTCATCAATGAACATCTTATAACTAGCACCTGTCTTAGGTCATCCTATTGACAGCTTTTTCTTTCCCCTGTTCATTCATGAAGACAAGGCAGATGCCCTGGGAATACTAACTCAGAAACATGGGGATTATAATGCACCCGGTGGATATTACAGCCGGCAACTTGATGCAGTTGCTAGGATGCCACCTTGCTTAAGAGCAATCTCTGCTACTGCTACCCTCTTTAGATATGGGATCCTCTTTCACCATGTACTTAACTCATACAGTGGAAACACTTCTGAACTTCTTTCATGCCCAACATTACTCTGTTTATATAATAGAGTTGTTTCTTATGCAGGTCTTCTTCTGCCCTCACCTAAGGTTACCATTTCCTGTTGTTATAATATTAACCCAGCCACTCTTTTGCTTTTTCCTACTGACAAGACACCACACTACTCTATCATCCTGACCAACCAAATTCTTACACTTCAACAGGACCTACAAGAAACAGTTATAAATAAAGCTGATGTAATTTGGTTCACTGATAATTCTTATTTGAAAGATAAATCTGGAACTTACAGCGATGTTTATGTCATTGTGTCTCTAACTGGGATTATAGAGAATAATCCTCTTCCAGATGGGGGAGAATAATCCTCTTCCAGATTATTAAATCAGCTCAGCAGGCAGAATTGAAGTAGCCCGTGATTGTGGAATGCTGTGGAAGCAACGTGGATATCTGATCTCATCAAGTCAACCCATCAAAAATGGTCAACAAGTCTCCGACCTCTTTGAAGCAATCCCTGAACCCAAATCATTGGCCATCATCAAAATCTCTGGTTATTCGACATTAGAAACTCCAGAGAGTAAGCACAACCATTTCACTAACACTTTAGGTAAGCATGCAGCCCTGAAGGTTATATCAGGCATGTCTTGAAATGACCTTACAAACTTACTACGCATTTACAATTTTACAAGCACAAATGGGAGCTCCTAAGAAGGAGATAGAGCTCTGGAAAAATAAAGACGGCAAGTTGTCCCCAGAAATGGGCTTATGTTATGGACTTGATGATAGACTGATCTTTCCCTTAAGGCTTCAATTACATGTCTTACAGTATGTTCTTGAGCTCACTCATTGAAATCTAGACAAAATGATAGCATGAGGAAAAAAAATATTAAAAACTATATCCTGCTATTGCACAAACAATGTGTTCTCACTGTACCGTTTGTCCCAAACATAATCCTGCAAATCCCCTTCATGGGTCACAGGGGCATTTTCCTTCAACTTTGGATCCTTTGAGATATTGTAATTGGACTTTATCCAGCTGCCTCTATCTCAGGGTTACCAGTGTGTTCTGGTATTAATTTGCGTTTCTGTCATTGGGGGTTGAAACATTTCCATGCTGACAAGTCATGGCCAAAGTAATAGGAAAAGTGTTATTAGAAAAGTTTTTTTTTTTTTTTTTTTTCCATAGGGAGTTCAATCTGAGCTCCATGGCGACTGAGGAACACACTTCACTGGTCAGGTAATTTTATCTATTTGTAACATTTGGCCTATATTCCATCATTTCTGTTGTGCCCATCACCCCCAATCCTCTGAACTGGTGAAATGAACAAATGATATTAAAAAGCTCAATGCAAAGCTAACAGAAATTTTTAACTTTCTCTAGCCAGCACCTCTCCCATTAGTTCTGCTCAACCTACAATCCACCCCACTCATAAAACGTCAAGTCTCTTTCTTTGAAATAATAACAAGAAGGCCTATGTGGCTAGATAAAAGAGCTTATGAACCTGTACTTCTTAAAGGTGATATCCTCCATTATTGCCAAGGTCTCACAAAACTTCCTACCATAAATTCCAAATTAATAAAGGATTCCTTTCGCAATGAGCTCCAGGGAGATAAAGGTAACAGAGACCATGGCCTACAACCTGGAGATTTTGTTAACTGAAAACAACATCAAATAAAAGATTCCCTGCAACCCCACTGGAAGGGATCATATCAGGTATTGACCAATCCTTGTGCTGCCAAAGTTAAGGGTGTTGACTCAAGGATTCATGTTTCTCATTTTATAAAAGCGGCTCTACCAGAGTGGACATTTTCTATCACCAGACATGCTCAATTAAAGCTGACCTGCAATCTTCCTGATCAGCACCGCAAGTAACTGACATTTGCTGTAGTCTGCTTCTGCTTAAGATACTGGTTCAGGCCTGTATAACCAGTTCCTCATGATTCCAATGATTACTGTGCCTGAAATTTTCATCTCCTTTTTCTGTTGACCGGAATATTATGTTTTTAGGCTGCCTTCATATTGTAGGAATCCTCTCTTGGTGGTTTTGGTAAAATAATCATATATATATATATATATATATGTATATATATATATACACATACACACACATATATACACACACACATATATACACATTTATATACACACACACACACACACACACATATATATTAAGATATAGCATACTAGTCTTATTGTTAATATATGTACTTTAGCAACATGCCCATGATCAAGCTTCAGTTTTTACTGTCCCTAATTAATTGAATTACAGCATGGAGAAATAGTTCTCTGGTTCATATCTCATAAACTGCTATTACATTTGGAAATCTAACAAGATGCTGGGTTTGCCACCCTAAACCACCAACAACTTTCGACGACAGTGACCCATTGCTACATTCTGTCCTAAATGCCACCAGTATTTCTAATTGTACTCATAACCCAATTCAGGGGTCACATAAAACAAAACCAAATAGGTCTGTCTGATTCATTCTAACCTGCCATGTTTCAATTTAACCCATCAGAATCTCACAGTCAAAACAACTGCTGCCTCACTCTGAAATGACAGTGGTAAAAACCATGATGCTGCTAGAATGTTAAAAGAAAAACAATCGCTCCTGCTATCAGGATCCAGTCTTTTCTCTTGATCTAACATTTCTGACCCATGGTTTAAAAATGTCCCAAAACTGATATATTGAAATTATAGTACACTCACCTCTACTCCACTAGGATTTACTTTTGTCTGTGAAGGAGATCACAGACATTTACTTTTGTCTGTGAAGGAAATCACAGACATTTACTTTTGTCTGTGAAGGAGATTTTATATCCATGGATATAAAAATATCTAAGGGCATAGAATGAGGAATAGTAGTGTCTTTTAAAATACTTGGTTTTATATATATATATGTATGTATATATATATATATGTGTATATATATATGTATGTATATATATATGTGTATATATATATGTATGTGTATATATATATGTATGTGTGTGTGTGTATATATATATATATATATATATATATATGGCTCAGAAGAAATCCAATATTGGACTAGTTCCTTCAAACTTTTCTCTGAGCATGACTAATGATCTATTTGAGATAAAGATTCTATTTGAGGGGAACCTGTTAATTATCTGACGGACCATCAAGAAGATAGTTCCATGCATGCTTTTGGAAGAGTGTTTTTGCCTTGGCGGGTTGTTGCTTCCCATTAACACATGATTAGAAGTCTTTCTATAACCTTAGGAAAGATTGCTAATGAAACTGCTACTTCTTCAGCAAATCAAAAAAACCTACTAATTCACTAGCTAAGGCTGTACTAGAAAATCACATTGCTTTATATATTAGCTGAACAGGGATGTATATGTGTGGTGGCAAATATTCTTTGTTGTGTATACATAAACACTTCCTATGAAGTAGAAACTCATCTATGGAAAATTAGAAAAGAAGCCACTTAACTATAGCAAATCTCTAAAGAAGAACCAGCATTTAATTTTCTTCCTGATGTTTTAGTTTGCTCCATGAGGAAATAGTTTCCCTTTTTCTATTTGGCATATAAATTTTCTTGCTGATTATAATTCTTATGTACATTACATTTTTATTATCCAAATTATTAATGTTATGTATTTGTCATTTCTTTTCATTTTCTGAGAAAACTACATTCATGGTTCTCCAAAGAATAGAGATTATTCAGCAAGTGACACCAGCTGTATAGATCAGTGACTTGACAGGTCTCATTTTTTGCCACTCTGTGATACCATCCCAATTTGGCTTTTGGGTGCTTTTCAAAATTCCTTGCTGAGATGTCTCCTTTCCTTCCCTCTACCTAGCATGGAATGAGATTACCAGGGAATGTGCTTTCCCAATGATGAGGGACATCTTCACGCTGGGACTTTGAAAGAACTATCCAGGAATGAGCTTTTCCAGCAATGAGGGACATCTTGACACACAGATTTTGATCATCAATGTTTTCAAGAAGAAACACTTTTTATCAAAAAAGAGAAATGAGTAAAGAAAAGAACTTCTATCTGAGGAATGTGAGCCCTTTCAAATTATCAGGCCCAGAAAGGCATTCAAATGAAATAACAATCACATCCTACTTCCCCCCATTTGGAGCTATGTATTTATCTATAAAAACTGCAAACTCTTGCCACAGGTAGCTACAAATTAATCTAATAATGCTACACTGGACACAATATCCAACACCCTATACCATAAAAATATATAGCCAATCAATAATCAACGTAATTTCTGTAAACCAGTGAAAATTCCTGACGAACAACTTTGTGATAGCCCACTGCCTGCCATTTTTTGCCTTCAAAAACCTGCTTGTAACACAGGCCAAATGGAGCTCATATCCAAGGTTACTTGGGTCTGAGTCTTCCAGGCAGCTTTCCTTACTTTGGCTCAGGTTAACTCTTTCAATCATATTTTGTGCTTTAGCCTCTTCTTTTGGGATTGACACCAGGCAGATGTATCTGAGACACAGAAACAACGTCTCATAGAATCTCATATCTCTGAAGGTTTGTTACATTTTTTACTTATTTCAGTAAAATTTTCAGAAAGTTTTTGGAGGAAATAATTGAGGAGTTTCACTGGAAAACAATGCTTTCCCCAGAGAGCATAAAATAACATCCAGCAACATCTGGCAGTTTTGGCTATATCTCAATGAGCTTTGCTTTGGCATGGCCTCAAGGAAAAACAAATAAAAAGCATTGCTGAGACAACTGCTTAAGGTCGGAGCATTCCAAATGGCAGAGGAAGCCATGATCTGGCCGCTGTGGAATGAAGTATGATGGGAAGAGAGTGATGTGTGTGAGCTCAAGGTGAACTGTCAGTATAATGGCATAGATACACTATCAAAGTGTGCCAAAGATCCATTCCAATAAAAACATTCACTATTGCCTCAATACACCTCAATGCAAACATCCATGCCTCTTTGTATCAGTAGCAGAGGCAGAATTTCCTTTCTATTTTTCCCACTTTTGTTTAAGACACAGTAATTCCATGTCTTTAGGCCTGAATTTGATTCCTTCCTCTTCTTCAACTCTCATATCCAATAAAGTATATTGGAAATCTCTGATTTAAAATACTTTGACTTGTGCTCCCTCTCTTGTGGCCAAAATTCCACTTAGATTGCCTAATAACTGTGCTGATGTTAAAAATGAAGCCCAGATAACTTCTTACTCTATCAGTTGCAATCACTGACAAGCCTGTCTGCAGCTAACTACTATAGAAATGGGAGAGAGCAAGAGATCAGGGAAGAAGACATTGTCTTGGAAACTGCCTCTCTCCAAATATGTGTATATGTATAAAATTGCAAATAACAATTCAAGCAGAAATCCCTAATTTTGAATTCAGTCCAAAGATTCTTGAACAATGAATTGCTCCAAGGCATTGTCATTCCCAATTTCACTGGATTCATATTTAAGTATCCTCAGTTGATATACATAATATTTATCTGAAAGAAACATAAGCAGCTTTTTTACACTAATTGATTTTATGTATTTAATAATCATCTGTAAATGAATATAGATGTTTTATTTAATTTTCATTTCTTTTTATTATCAATTTTGATATTTCATTGTATTAAATGGGTTTCTAGGAATTTTATGTCAAAATATTACTTCGTCCTTCGGGAAATAAGCATCTGAGTTAAGGACTGACTTGAAATCATTGTCAAAGAAATAACTGAGGCTTAAATTAGGAGACGTCTCTAGTGTAAAGAACCTGGAATGAGCCAGGAGATCTGGATTCCAGTTCCTTTTGAGAAGCTAAAACACTGTGTGATCCTGGCCATGTCTCTTAACAGTTTTGGGCCTCAATTTTTCTAAGCATAAAATGAGCATTTCGATAGTATTATTTTTAAAGTTCAGGTGGAGTTTTTCTCTTTTCTACATTCCTCAGTACTTATTTATAACATGCATTAGCATTCAAGTTATTGCTGTCTCTAAGTGCTTAAACTTCCTAACTAGAATATAAATTCCCTGAGGCAGAAGATCTGTACTTCCAGAACACCTTCAGTGTTTAGCAGTATTGGACATATAGTATGTATGGCATACAATCACCCAAGATAAGTGAAATTTAACTGGGTTGGCTTAACTACACAGCTACTGCTTCTCTACTTTTGTCCTCAGTTTTGCACTGTAAAAAAAAAAAAAAAAAAAAAAAACCTTTTTGTGTTTTAGTTCAGGCTATTATGATCAAACTCCAAATGTATTCATGTATACCCAATCCACAAAGCTAATTTACCAACTGGAATCTCAGTTTATTCTTTTAACATGACCATTGTAAGTTCCAAGGGAACATTTTCTGCAAATTACAGCATACAACGGGATGCTTCCTAAAAACAGTTGGCACAGCAGAATACCTGAATATCAGAGAACAGCACTAAGCAATAGGGGCTGCTAGAGCAGCAGGAAAGAACTTAAGAAAAATTATTTTGCTGAGAGAAGGTAGTTATCAGAGAACATATAAAAATTATTTTTCCTCTATGGAAATCAAAGAAATGTAAGATGAAAAAAGAATAGTATATCCTGTTTTAGCTGGTTGTGCTAAGTATAGATGAAGACATACACAGCAGAATTTAGTAGAACTTAGACTCTCTGACAGTTGAGAACAACAGTGAATTTGACAATGTTTTCTAGACCAAGTATATATTTTTGTACTGATGAAGAAATTTTCTAAATCATATTATGCAATAATTTAAAAACAACTGCCCTGATTATTTGCAAACATGGTCATATTCACCTTGGCACATGCCCATTTGAGGAATATTCCCTAATTTAAAAAGAGAAAAAAACCAAACAAATGTAATTTGAATTGACTATAAAAATATCTAGAGAGAAACAGCAGCTACATTAATATTAATTCTAAATTTAAAACAAACTAAACATTCAATCCAGATTTCATTAGTGGTGAGTGGCTTTTAATCTGAGTATTACTTTTGGGTATCTATATCATAAATGTCTTCAGGAACATTTAATCAATGCCTCAATTCCAAAAAGATAAAGCTTCTTTCTATTTTTTTTATGAAAAAAATGCATTACAATACAGTTTATTATATTAGCAGTTAATAGAAAATCTGGTATAGTTGCCAATAGCTTGAAAGACTTTAAAGATAAAACTAAGGGGACAAGGAGCCTTTTAAAAACAGTATCAACCATTCTGGACAGTCAAGAAAAAAAGGTAGTATTTTTTATGTATACAAGACAAAGGTAAGAAAAGAACCTTTTCAAAACAGCAGGACCTTACCTGGGAGCAAAGGAAAGCATATAATATTAGATAGGAACTTTTGCTCATGCTAACACTTTTCAGTCGGTATCTGTGGGGGCACAGAAGCTTTCTTCTTCCATTTGCCTTTCTCTACAGTCTCTTTCCAAAACAACTCATTTTCTAGCAAATTTCAGCTGAATTTTCTTCCATACCTGAAATAATTAAAGACACTGATATTGTAACTTAATATGTGGTAACTAAAGACATGGATATTGACATTGGCAAATCCTGCAATGATTCTGCTCTACGTTGATTTAAGCAATAAATCGTGGCTCCCATAATGACCTTCATTACTCCATCATGTTATTCCATAAGATCCATGTAACTCAGAATGATGGAATGAAGAGAAGAAAGGATAGGAAAAAATACAATGAAATACTAGGTACTTTTGCTTTGTTCGCCATTAGCCTTAGTGCTGCCACTAGGCTTTAATTAAGAGTAATAAGGGAAACGTTCTTAAGTCTGCATTACTCTCACTTAGTAGGAGTGCTTACAGTAATAACCTAAAAAGTTTACTCTGTAAAAGATGTTATGCTACTACATTGGTCTCTTCTCAACAATATTTTCTTTCTGCCTCATGAATACTACCAAGGATGTATGGTCAAATTTCACCTTGTTTAATGGGAATCTTCCTCATATCATCTGATTCCTTTATAAATCCTCTTTAAGGTGCATATGCTTCCATTACATATCAGGAAACAGCTGCCAATTCTAGCTCAAAGGAATCCATTTAGAGTTATGTGAAAACAAAATGTATGAAGATTAAGTTTCCTCTGTATTAAATCTTGAGTGAACAAAAGCAAATATACTCTATTTTGCTAACACTCGCTATCCCTAAGTTCCAGACTCCCAAAGAAGAGATAGAGAATTTTAGAAGGAAACACACCATCACACACTTTTAATCCTAAATGTTGGCACAGTAGGTGGAAAACAAGGAGAATGTGTATCCAGAACCTCCAGCCCCTGGGTCATCTGTTTCCCTGCATGAGAGGGCAAGGGCCCCCCTAGCTGGAGTACAGCAGCCACACACCACTGCAATCAGGACACAAGGCTCTGTTAAAGTGACTGCCCCATTTTCTTAATCCAGTCTATCATTGTTGGACATTTGGGTTGGTTCCAAGTCTTTGCTATTGTGAATAATGCCGCAATAAACATACGTGTGCATGTGTCTTTATAGCAGCATGATTTATAGTCCTTTGGGTATATACCCAGTAATGGGATGGCTGGGTCAAATGGTATTTCTAGTTCTAGATCCCTGAGGAATTGCCACACTGACTTCCACAATGGTTGAACTAGTTTACAGTCCCACCAACAGTGTAAAAGTGTTCCTATTTCTCCACATCCTCTCCAGCACCTGTTGTTTCCTGACTTTTTAATGATCGCCATTCTAACTGGTGTGAGATGGTATCTCATTGTGGTTTTGATTTGCATTTCTCTGATGGCCAGTGATGACCAGCATTTTTTCATGTGTTTTTTGGCTGCATAAATGTCTTCTTTTGAGAAGTGTCTGTTCATGTCCTTCGCCCACTTTTTGATGGGGTTGTTTGTTTTTTTCTTGTCAATTTGTTTGAGTTCATTGTAGATTCTGGATATTAGCCCTTTGTCAGATGAGTAGGTTGAGAAAATTTTCTCCCACTTTGTAGGTTGCCTGTTCACTCTGTCGGTAGTTTCTGGAATACTATGCAGCCATAAAAAATGATGAGTTCATGTCCTTTGTAGGGACATGGATGAAATTCAAAATCATCATTCTCAGTAAACTATCGCAAGAACAAAAAACCAAACACCGCATATTCTCACTCATAGGTGGGAATTGAACAATGAGATCACATGGACACAGGAAGGGGAATATCACACTCTGGGGACTGTGGTGGGGTGGGGGGAGGGGGGAGGGATAGCATTGGGAGATATACCTAATGCTAGATGACGAGTTAGTGGGTGCAGCACACCAGCATGGCACATGTATACATATGTAACTAACCTGCACAATGTGCACATGTACCCTAAAACTTAAAGTATAATAAAAAATAATAATAATATTAATAACAAAAAAATAAAAAATAAAAAAAAAATAAAGTGACTGCCCCAATTTTAACTGAAGCACAGTGGCAGCTTACATTTCATCATTTAGGAAGAGATGTAGACCAAGGGAAGCAGGGAGCCAACAACTTTTACATATTTTCGGTGCTCATGTTAACAGTAAATTCAAGTACTTTAAAACATCCCTATGTCTACAGCTCCCAGCATGAGCAACGCAGAAGATGGGTGATTTCTGCATTTCCATCTGAGGTACCGGGTTCATCTCACTAGGGAGTGCCAGACAGTGGGTGCAGGACAGCGGGTGCAGCACACCATGCGCGAGCAGAGGCAGGGTGAGGCATTGCCTCCACTCGGGAAGTGCAAGGGGTCAGGGAGTTCCCTTTCCTACTCAAAGAAAGGGGTGACAGAGGGCACCTGGAAAATCGGGTCACCCCCACCCTAATACAGTGCTTTTCCGACGGGCTTAAAAAACGGCGCACCAGGAGATTCTATCCTGCACCTGGCTCGGAGGGTCCTATGCCCACGGAGTCTCGCTGATTGCTAGCACAGCAGTCTGAGATCAAACTGCAAGGCGGCAGTGAGGCTGGGGGAGGGGCGCCCGCCATTGCCCAGGCTTGCTTAGGTAAACAAAGCAGGCAGGAAGCTGCAACTGGGTGGAGCCCACCACAGCTCAAGGAGGCCTGCCTGCCTCTGTAGGCTCCACCTCTGGGGGCAGGGCACAGACAAACAAAAAGACAGCAGTAACCTCTGCAGACTTAAATGTCCCTGTCTGACAGCTTTGAAGACAGCAGTGGTTCTCCCAGCAAGCAGCTGGAGATCTGAGAATGGGCAGACTGCCTCCTCAAGTGGGACCCTGACCCCTGACCCCTGAGCAGCCTAACTGGGAGGCACCCCCCAGTAGGGGCAGACTGACACCTCACGCGGCCGGGTACTCCTCTGAGACAAAACATCCAGAGGAACGATCAGACAGCAGCATTAGCAGTTCACGAAAATCCGCTGTTCTGCAGCCACTGCTGCTGGTACCCAGGCAAACAGGGTCTGGAGTGGACCTCTAGCAAACTCCAACAGACCTGCAGCTGAGGGTCCTGTCTGTTAGAAGGAAAACTAACAAAGAGAAAGGACATCCACACCAAAAACCCATCTGTACACCACCATCATCAAAGACCAAAAGTAGATAAAACCACACAGATGGGAAAAAACAGAGCAGAAAAACTGGAAACTCTAAAAATCAGAGTACCTCTCCTCCTCCAAAGGAACGCAGCTCCTCACCAGTAACGGAACAAAGCTGGACGGAGAATGACTTTGACGAGTTGAGAGAAGAAGGCTTCAGACGATCAAACTACTCTGAGCTACAGGAGGAAATTCAAACCAAACGCAAATAAGCTGAAAACTTTGAAAAAAATTTAGACAAAAGTATAACAAGAATAACCAATACAGAGAAGTGCTTAAAGGAGCTGATGGAGCTGAAAGCCAAGGCTCGAGAACTACCTGAAGAATGCAGAAGCCTCAGGAGCCAATGCAATCAACTGGAAGAAAGGGTATCAGTGATGGAAGATCAAATGAATGAAATGAAGCAAGAAGGGAAGTTTAGACAAAAAAGAATAAAAAGAAAAGAACAGAGCCTCTAAGAAATATGGGACTATGTGAAAAGACCAAATCTACGTCTGATTGGTGTACCTGAAAGTGACGGAGAGAATGGAATCAAGCTGGAAAACACTCTGCAGGATAGTATCCAGGAGAACTTCCTCAATCTAGCAAGGCAGGCCAACATTCAGATTCAGGAAATACAGAGAACGCCACAAAGATACTCCTCGAGAAGAGCAACTCCAAGACACATAATTGTCAGATTCACCAAAGTTGAAATGAAGGAAAAAATGTTAAGGGCAGCCAGAGACAAAGGTCGGGTTACCCACAAAGGGAAGCCCATCAGACTAACAGAGGATCTCTCAGCAGAAACTCTACAAGCCAGAAGAGAGTGGGGGCCAATATTCAACATTCTTAAAGAAAAGAATTTTAAACCCAGAATTGCATATCCAGCCAAACTAAGCTTCATAAGTGAAGGAGAAATAAAATCCTTTACAGACAAGCAAATGCTGAGAGATTTTTGTCACCACCAGGCCTGCCCTAAAAGACCTCCTGAAGGAAGCACTAAACATAGAAAGGAACGACTGGTACCAGCCACTGCAAAATCATGCCAAATTGTAAAGACCATCGAGGCTAGGAAGAAACTTCATCAACTAACGAGCAAAATAACCAGCTAACATCATAATGACAGGATCAAATTCACACATAACAATATTAACTTTAAATGTAAATGGAATAAATGCTCCAACTAAAAGACACAGACTGGCAAATTGGATAAAGAGTCAAGACCCATCAGTGTGCTGTATTCAGGAAACCCATCTCACCTGCAGAGACACACATAGGCTCAAAATAAAAGGATGGAGGAAGATCTACCAAGCAAATGGAAAACAAAAAAAGGCAGGGATTGCAATCCTAGTCTCTGATGAAACAGACTTTAAACCAACAAAGATCAAAAGAGACAAACAAGGCCATTACATAATGGTAAAGGGATCAATTCAACAAGAAGAGCTAACTATCCTAAATATATATGCACCCAATACAGGAGCACCCAGATTCATAAAGCAAGTCCTTAGTGACCTACAAAGAGACTTAGACTCCCACACATTAATAATGGGAGACTTTAACACCCCACTGTCAACATTAGACAGATCAATGAGGCAGAAAGTTAACAAGGATACCCAGGAATTGAACTCAGCTCTGCACCAAGTGGACCTAATAGACATCTACAGAACTCTCCATTGCAAATCAACAGAATATACATTTTTTTCAGCACCACACCACACCTATTCCAAAATTGACCACATAGGTGGAAGTAAATCTCTCCTCAGCAAATGTAAAAGAACAGAAATTATAACAAACTGTCTCTCAGACCACAGTGAAATCAAACTAGAACTCAGGATTAAGAAACTCACTCAAAACCACTCAACTACATGGAAACTGAACAACCTGCTCCTGAATGACTACTGGGTACATAACGAAATGACGGCAGAAATAAAGATGTTCCTTGAAACCAACAAGAACAAAGACACAACATACCAGAATCTCTGGGACACGTTCAAAGCAGTGTGTAGAGGGAAATTTATAGCACTAAATGCCCACAAGAGAAAGCAGGAAAGATCCAAAATTGACACCCTAACATCACAATTAAAAGAACTAGAAAAGCAAGAGCAAACACATTCAAAACCTAGCAGAAGGCAAGAAATAAGTAAAATCAGAGCAGAACTGAAGGAAATAGAGACACAAAAAACTCTTCAAAAAATTAATGAATCCAGGAGCTGGTTTTTTGAAAGCATCAACAAAATTGATAGACCGCTAGCAAGACTAATAAAGAAGAAAAGAGAGAAGAATCAAATAGACACAATAAAAAATGATAAAGGGGATATCACCACTGATCCCACAGAAATACAAACTACCATCAGAGAATACTACAAACACCTCTACACAAATAAACTAGAAAATCTAGAAGAAATGAATAAATTCCTCGACACATACACCCTCCCAAGACTAAACCAGGAAGAAGTTGAATCTCTGAATAGAACAATAACAGGCTCTGAAATTGTGGCAATAATCAATAGCTTACCAACCAAAAAGAGTCCAGGACCAGATGGATTCACAGCCGAATTCTACCAGAGGTACAAGGAGGAACTGGTACCATTCCTTCTGAAACTATTCTAATCAATAGAAAAAGAGGGAATCCTCCCTAACTCATTTTATGAGGCCAGCATCATCCTGATAACAAAGCCGGGCAGAGACACAACCAAAAAAGAGAATTTTAGACCAATATCCTTGATGAACATTGATGCAAAAATCCTCAATAAAATACTGGCAAACCGAATCCAGCAGCATATCAAAAAGCTTATCCACCATGATCAAGTGGGCTTCATCCCTGGGATGCAAGGCTGTTTCAATATACGCAAATCAATAAACGTAATCCAGCATATAAACAGAACCAAAGACAAAAACCACATGATTATCTCAATAGATGAAGAAAAGGCCTTAGACAAAATTCAACAGCCCTTCATGCTAAAAACTCTCAATAAATTAGGTATTGATGGGACGTATCTCAAAATAATAAGAGCTATCTATGACAAACCCACAGCCAATATCATACTCAATGGGCAAAAACTGGAAGCATTCCCTTTGAAAACAGGCACAAGACAGGAATGCCCTCTCTCACCACTCTTATTCAACATAGTGTTGGAAGTTCTGGCCAGGGCAATCAGGCAGGGGAAGGAAATAAAGGGTATTCAATTAGGAAAAGAGGAAGTCAAATTGTCCCTGTTTGCAGATGACATGATTGCATATCTAGGAAAACCCCATCGTCTCAGTCCAAAATCTCCTTAAGCTGATAAGCAACTTCAGCAAAGTCTCAGGATACAAAATCAATGTACAAAAATCACAAGCATTCTTATACACCAACAACAGACAAACAGAGAGCCAAATCATGAGTGACCTCCCAGTCACAATTGCTTCAAAGAGAATAAAATACCTAGGAATCCAACTTACAAGGGACGTGAAGGACCTCTTCAAGGAGAACTACAAATCACTGCTCAATGAAATAAAAGAGGACACAAAGAAATGGAACAACATTCCCTGCTCATGGGTAGGAAGAATCAACATCGTGAAAATGGCCATACTGCCCAAGGTAATTTATAGATTCAATGCCATCCCCATCAAGCTACCAATGACTTTCTTCACAGAATTGGAAAAAACTACTTTAAAGTTCATATGGAACCAAAAAAGAGCCTGCATCGCCAAGTCAATCCTAAGCCAAAAGAACAAAGCTGGACGCATCACGCTACCTGACTTCAAACTATACTATGAGGCTACAGTAACCAAAACAGCATGGTACTGGTACCAAAACAGAGATATAGACCAATGGAACAGAACAGAGACCTCAGAAATAACGCCGCATATCTACAACTATCTGATCTTTGACAAACCTGACAAAAACAAGCAATGGGGAAAGGATTCCCTATTTAATAAATGGTGCTGGGAAAACTGGCTAGCCATATGTAGAAAGCTGAAACTGGATCCCTTCATTACACCTTATACTAAAATTAATTCAAGATGGATTAAAGATTTAAATGTTAGAACTAAAACCATAAAAACCCTAGAAGAAAACCTAGGCAATACCATTCAGGACATAGGCATGGGCAAGGACTTCATGTCTAAAACACCAAAAGCAATGGCAACAAAAGCCAAAATTGACAAATGGGATCTAATTAAACTAAAGAGCTTCTGCACAGCAAAATAAACTACCATCAGAGTGAACAGGAAACCTACAGAATGGGAGAAAATTTTTGCAGTCTACTCATCTGACAAAGGGCTAGTATACAGAATCTACAATGAACTCCAACAAATTTACAAGAAAAAAACAACCCCATCAAAAAGTGGGTGAAGGATATGAACAGACACTTCTCAAAAGAAGACATTTATGCAGCCAAAAGACACATGAAAAAATGCTCATCATCACTGGCCATCAGAGAAATGCAAATCAAAACTGCACTGAGATACCATCTCACACCAGTTAGAATGGTGATCATTAAAAACTCAGGAAACCACAGGTGTTGGAGCGGATGTGGAGAAATAGGAACATTTTTACACTGTTGGTGGGACTGTAAACTAGTTCCACCATTGTGGAAGTCAGTGTGGCGATTCCTCAGGGATCTAGAACTAGAAATACCATTTGACCCAGCCATCCCATTACTGGGTATATACCCAAAAGATTATAAATCATCCTGCTATAACGACACATGCACACGTATGTTTATTGCGGCACTATTCCCGATAGCAAAGACTTGGAACCAACCCAAATGTCCAACAATGATAGACTGGATTAAGAAAATGTGGCACATATACACCATGGAATACTATGCAGCCATAAAAAATGATGAGTTCATGTCCTTTGTAGGGACATGGATGAAGCTGGAAACCATCATTCTCAGCAAACTATTGCAAGGACGAAAAACCAAACACCGCATGTTCTCACTCATAGATGGGAATTGAACAATGAGAACACATGGACACAGGAAGGGGAACATCATACACTGGGGCCTGTTGTGGGGTGTGGGGAGTGGGGAGGGATAGCATTAGGAGATATACCTAATGTTAATTGACAAGTTAATGGGTGCAGCACACCAACATGGCACATGTATATATATGTAACAAACCCGCACGTTGTGCACATGTACCCTAAAACTTAAAGTATATTAAAAAAAAAAAACCATAACTACCGTTAAAATAAAAAAAAAAAGAGAAAGTCACTTAGCTTCTCTGGTTACATTTTTTCACATCCGCAAAATTAGTAGAGTAAAATTAGATAGTAATTTTATGGGACTTCGTAGTTTTAATAATCTGTGACGCTCAGACCAGTTTTTCCTAGACCAAATCACAAGAATGCTCATAAAAGCCTTTCGTTGCCTGGAGTTTTGTTGGTAGGCCAGGCTATAATTTAAAAGTTTAATCTGCTTAATAATTTAAGCAATTAAAGTGCATGAACATGTAGTGCTTGGGGCAGGAACACCTGCACTCTCTGACACTCACAACTCTGTGACCATAGCTGAGAAACGGAAATTAAATGACAAAGAAAACCTCTGTGAAACCAAATAGCTCCAGCGTTAAGACCCACAGAATGTACTCAAAAGAGAGCTCTTAGACTAGTCATAAAAACTGGAGTTAATCATGCTTAACGAGTTCTACTAATTAGGTAACTGCTGCCTGAAACACAGAGCAGTGTTAAGAAGAAATTTTGAGATCTTAAGTGGACTCTATGAGAATAGAAACTATGATAAATTGTCATTGTTTGCCATGGACAAGAGCAGACCTATGGTAGCAAATGTGCTCTATATCTTTACATGGAACTTAGTCTTAATTCACAAATAATTCTAGCAAGTTTAATGATTTAATCTGTTAGCATGTAGCAGAATAGAAACCATAATTTAGAAAGTTGGGAGAGGGGTTGCTAAAGTGGGCTCACTAAAAGCTGTGAAAGGCTGCAGCACAAAGCAAGGATACAAACATGATAATTTGTTTTTTCCTTTAAGTTGTAGGATACATGTGCAGAATGTGCAGGTTTGTTACATAGGTTATGTGTGTCATGGTGGTTTGCTGCACTTATCAACCTGTCATCTAGGCTTTAAGCCCTGCATGCATTAGCTATTTGTCCTAATGGTCTCCCTCTCCTGAGCCACCACCCTCCTTACAGGCCCCAGTGTGTGTTGTTCCCCTCCTTGTGTCCATGTGTTCTCATTGTTCAACTTCCACTTATGAGTGAAAACATGAGGTGTTTGTTTTTTTGTTCCTGTGTTAGTTTGCTGAGGGTGATGGCTTCCAGCTTCATCCATGTTCCTGCAAAGGACATGATCTCATTCCTTTTTATGGCTGCATAGTATTCAATGGTGTATATGTACCACAATTTCTTTATCTAGTCTATCATTGATGAGCATTTGGATTGGTTCCATGTCTTTGCTATTGTAAATAGTGCTGCAATAAACATACATGTGCAAAACATAGTAATTATTATAGTCATAGATCAAAGTCACAGAATTGTAACAAACTAGGGACCATCATGTAAGACACATTGGTCCTACAAACCATAGTAAGCTAGGCCTAAAAATGTCAGTCTATTACAATTCAGTTTGATAAGTGATACATATACTGGCGACCCAATGCATATATCAGGACAAAGGTACAGTTATTTTCACTATGTCCTGATAAATAACATCCAAAATCCTGAACCTGATATATTAGGCCTAATTCATCCTCTTCTCCAGATGCCTGTAATCTAAAATCCAGCTATATAAATGCCTTGTTGTTTACAAAATATGGCATTGTTTCTCTCAACTCAGGGCTTTTCAAATATTATTTCTTCTGCCTGTGACATCCTCATTTTAGTTACTAAATCGTAGCTATCCTTCATAACCCAGCTCTAATGGTTGACACCTCTAAGATACATTTCCTGGCACTATTCTGTCACTTCACCACACCCCAGGATACCACACTTCATCCAAGTGTAAGATTATACCTCTTGCCCTCTGCTTCCCTGGCAACCTGTTCAAACCTCAATTGTAGCACCTATAACCTGGTACTGGATGTCTGCTCTTTCTTTCTACATTATTAGCTTATTCAGATTACTCATATTTCTCTTCAGTGCCTAGCCAGCCCAAGATGCTGTATTTCTTAGATAAATTAAAATTTAAAATATCCACAAGGCTTAGAGATTTTCAAGATTTTCTAATATTTAGAAATTTGCCAATATATAAATGACTTGCTATTCAGAGCTTAGCCTGCTGGCCTGTTCAGGATGGCTCAATGAAACTTCCACTAGGTAGTATTTTGCTAAAATTTTTTTCCAATCACTCAAGACTGTTAAAACTTTCTGTACTAAAAAGCATTGTAAGATGCACTTGTACTAATCTGAGCATTTCACAATTGTTCTAAATTGTGGAATTATAATTTAAAGGCAAAATGCATAAATACTTTTTCATTTGTTCAGTCCAAAAATACTTACTGAGTCTCTGTCATGAGTCAGACACTATGCTTGGCCCTAAAGATAGAGTGATCAGAAAGATGGTCATCCATCCTGTCCTCATAAAGATTACCAAGTATTTGCTTTCTCTGTGTACTGAAAAGAATTAACAAAACAATTCTTTCAATATAAAATAGCAAAAAAAAAAAAAACCCTCGAAATACAGTAATGGCACTATTCTAAATTTAAATAGCTCGTTGCCTTTGATAGAATGCTACAAATACCAAAAGGACAATACTATCAGGTGAGTATTACTGGTCCAATTCTGTAGACAATGAAATTGAGGTCATGAAATGTTAAATAACCTGGCAAACATCATAAAGCTGGAAGATGGTGGAGAGTGGACTCAAACCCAGAATTATGTGGGTTCAAGGCCTATTCACATTCCCAATTCTCATGGCCCATTAATAGTTACATGGAAAAAACACTGGGCCATGTATATGTATTAACGTAATGTAATATTTGTAAAGGTGTTTTAAACTTTTTAATTTCTTATTGATACATAACATTTGTACATATTTATGAGGTACATGTGATTTTTTTATATGTATATAATGTGTAATGATCAAGTCAAGGTGTTTGAGGTATCCATCACCTCAAGTATTTATTATCTATATGTATTGGGAAAATTTCCAGTCCTGTCTCCTAGCTATTTTGAAATATACATTGTTGTTAACTATAGTCACACTACTTTACTAAATTGATCTCAAGGAGGTAGAGATTAGAATGATAGATACCAAAGGCTAGGAAGTATGTATGGGTGAGGGGACAGTGAAGAGATGTAGAAATATACAGTTAGATCTTTGTAAAGATTTTTATGTCGTTGATAGTTTCCTTAGAACTTGGTTTAATCTTTACTAATTTACACGTAAAAGATTATAAATAATTAATTTGTTAGAGATACATATTTGCTAAGGCATACAGCTGTTCATACAATTTTTATAAATACATATCTAACAACAGAAAAGAAGGCGGCACAAAATGGCAAAATAAAAGGCTCCACTAATCATCCCTGCTGCAAGGACACCAACTTAACAACCATCTACACATACACACAAAAAAACACCTTCATAGAAAACAAAATTCAGGTGAGTACTCAGAGTACCTGGTGTTAACTTCATATTGCTGAAGGACGCACTGAAGAGATAGAAAAAACAGCCCTGAATCACCGATGCCCACCCTCCCCTACCCCCCAGCAGCAGCTGCATGGTGCAGAGAGCTTCCTGGGGTCGGGGAGAAAGAACACAGCAATTGTGAGGCATTGAACTCAGTGCTGTCCTTTAGAGCAGAAAGGAAAATTGGAACAAACTCAGCTGATGCCCGCACATGCAGGGAGCATTTAAACCAGCCCTAGCCAAAGGGAAATCACCAATCCTAGTGATCAGAACTTGAGTTCCCACAAACCTCGCCACCAAGGCCTACAGTGCTCTGTGTCTCCAAGTAAACTTGAAGGGCATTCTAGGCCATAAGGACTGAAACTCTTAAGAGAGAGCTATTACTGAACTTGGCCCAAAGACAGTGGACTGGAGTAGCTCATGAAATACTGAGACACCAGCTGGGGCAGCCAATGGAGTGCTGGCATCACTCCTTCCCTACCCCAGGCTGCACTGCTCATGGCTCCAAAAAAGACCCTTTCCTCTTGCTTGAGGAGAGGAGAGGCATGAGTAGGAAGGGCTTTGTTTTGCATCTTGGGCACCAGCTCAGCCACAGCAGGATAGGGTACCAATAAGAGTAGGGAGTCCCCCGTTCCAGGCTGTAGCTCCCAGATGACATTTCTAGACATTTCTGGGCCAGAAGGGATCCTGCTGTCTTGAAGGAAAACACTCAGTTCTGGGACCATTCATCACCTGCTAACTGAAGGGCCCTTGGGCCCTAAATAATTAGCAGTGATACCTAGGTACTATGTTGAGGACCTTGGTGAGCCTCTGAGACTTGCTGGCTTTGGGAGGGACTCAGCACATAACCAGCTGTGGTGGCTATGGGGCAAAATCCCTTCTGCTAGAGAAAAGCAGAGAGAAAAAGGGACTTATTCTTGCACCTTAGGTACCAGCATAGCCACAGGGGTTTAGAGCACCAAGTGGGTTCCTGGGGCCCACTGCTCTGAATGGTGAGTCCCAGGCCAGGTAGCAATCACGACAAGCTAATTTAAGAGATCTTGAGCCTTAAGGGAAGATCAGAGGTATTCTGGCAGTACTCTTTGTGGCCTAAGAATGATAGCTACCGAGAGAGGCTCCTCCGCCTTTGGAAAGAGAAAGAGAGTGGGAAGTACTGCATCTTGTGGTTTGAGTCCCAGCTCAGCCTCAGTACTACAGAACATCGGGTAGACTTTGAAGGTTTTTGACTCTGGTCACTGACTCCCAGATGGCACCTCTGGACCTACCCAAGGCCTGGGCGACCCTGCTTCCCTGGAGGAAAGGAAACATCATAAAGCTGGAAGATGGCAGAGACTGGACTCAAACCCAGAATTATGTCTGCCTGGCTGGCTTTGCCACCCACTGACTGTAGAACCCCAGGGCCTTGAAAGAACACAGCCAGTAGCCAGGGAGTGGTTATAGCAGGCTTTGCGTGACACCCAGTGCTGTGCTGGCTTGAGGTCTGAGTCAGCACAGTCATGGTGGTGGTGGCAACAGGGGTGCTTGTGTCACATCAGCCCCAGCTGATGGCTAAGAATGAAGAGATTATCTGTATGTTTGGGAGAAAGAAGAAGAAGGGAACAAGAGTCTCTGCCTGGTAATCCAGAGAATTCTCCCAAGTCTTATCTAAAACCATCAAGGCAGTATCTCTACTAGTCTGCAAGAACTACAGAAGACTGGGCTTTGGATGCCTACTATAGCAGAAACAGCTTACATCACAGTACCCAAGTTTTCTTCAAATATCTGGAAAGCCTTCCCAAGAAGGATGGCTACAGATAAATCCAGACAGTGAAGACTACAATAAATACCTAACTCTTCAACACCCAGACAATGAAGAACATCTAGTAGTATTAACAACATCTAGGAAAACATGACTTCACCAAGTAAACTAAATAAAGCACCAGGGACCAATGCTGGAGAAACAGAGATATGTGACCTTTTAGACAAAGAAATCAAAATAGCTGTGTTGAAGAAACTCAAAGAAATTCAAGACAACACAAAGAAGAAATTCAGAATTCTATCATATATACTTAACAAAGAGAATGAAATAATTAAAAAGAATCAAGCAAAAATTCTGGAGCTGAAAAATGCAACTGGCATACTGAAGACTGCATCAGAGTCCTTTAATAGCAGAATGGATCAAGGAGAAGAAAGAATTAGGGAGGTTGAAGACAGGCTATTTGAAAATACACAGAGGAGAAAAAAGAAAATGAATAAAATACAATAAAGCATGCATAGAGAATCCAGAATACAGCCTCAAAAGGGCACACGTAAGAGGTATTGGCCTTAAAGAGAAGGTAGAGAAAGTGAGGAGGGTAGAAATAGTATTCAAAGGGATAACAAGAAGAAACTTCAAAAACCTAGGGAAAGATAGCAATATTCAAGTGCAAGAAAGTTATAGAACACAAAGCAGATTTAACCCAAAATAGACTACCTCAAGGTATTTAATAATCCAACTCCCAAATGCCAAGGATGAAGAAAGGATCCTAAAAGCAGTAAGGGAAAAGAAACAAAAAACATACAATGAAGCTCCAATATGTCAGGCAGCAGACCTTTCAGTGGAAAACTTATAGGCCAGAAGACAGTGGCATGACATATTTAAAATGCTGAAGAAAAAATCTTTTAACCCAGAACAGTATATCTGGCAAAAATATCCTTCAAACATAAAGAAGAAATAAAGACTTTCCCAGACAAACAAAAGTTGAGGGATTTCATCAACCCCAGTCCTTTCCTACAATAAATGCTAAAGGGAGTACTTCAATCAGAAGGAAAAAAACATTAAATGAGCAAACAGAAATCACCTGATGGTGTAAAACTCACTGGTAATAGTAAGTACACAGAAAAATACAGAATACTATAACACTGTAACTGGTATGTAAGCTACTCATGCTAAGTAGAAAGACTAAACAATGAACCAATCAAAAATAGTAAGTACAATAACTTTTCCAAACATAGTGAGTACAATAAGAAATAAATAGAAACAATAAAAAGTTTAAAAAGCAAGGGAATGGGATTAAAGTGTAGTTTTTATTAGCTCCTTTTCTGTTTGCTTGTTTGCTTATTTATGCAAATATTGTTAAGTTGTTATCAGGTTAAAATAACAGGTTATAAGATAGTATTTGCAAGCTTCATGGTAACCTCAAACCAAAAATCCTACAGTGGAGACACAAAAAATAAAAAGCAAGAAAACTAAATCATATCACCAGAGAAAATCACCTTCACTAAAGAAAGACAGGAAGGAAAGAAAGAGGGAAGAAGACCACAAAACAACAAGAAAATAACAACAAAATGACATGAGTAGGTCCCTATTTATCAATAATAACATTGTACAGGAATGATCTAAACCGTCCAATCAAAAGACGTAAATTGGCCAAATGGGTAAAAAAACAAGACCCATTATTCTGTTGCCCACAAAAAACAAACTTCACATATAAATACACAAATAAACTGAAAATAAAAAGATAGAAATAGATATTCCATGCTGATGGAAAGCAAAAAGAGCAGGAGTCACTATACTTATATCAGACAAAAGAGATTTCAAGACAAACCTACAGGAAGAGACAAAGAAGGTCACTATATAATGATAAAGGGGTCAATTCAGCAAGAGGAAATTACAATTTTAAATATATATGCACCCAACACTGGAGTACCCAGATATATAAAGCAAATGTTATTAGAGCTAAAGAGATAGGCCCCAATACAAAAACAGCTGGAGACGTCAACACCCTACTTTCAGCATTGTACAGATATTCCAGACATAAAAATCAACAAAGAAACATTGGACTTAATCTGTACTATAGACCAAATGGATCTAACACATATTTACAGGACATTTCATCTAAGAGCTGCAGAATATACATAGATCATTCAAAAAGACAAACCATATGATAGGTCAAAAAACAAGTCCTAAAACATTAAAAAAAGATTGATATAATATCAAACATCTTTTCTGAAAACAATGGAATAAAACTACAAATTAATAACAAGGGATTTTGGAAATGATATAAATACATGGAAGCTAAACAATATGTTCCTGAATGACCAGTGAATCAATGAAGAAATTAAAAGGAAATTGAAAAATTTCTTCAAACAAATGACAATGGAAACACAACATATCAAAACCTCTGGGATACAGCAGCAAAAACAGTACTCAGAGTGAATTTTATAGTTATTAAGTGCCTATATCAAAAAAGAGGAAAAATTTCAAGTAAACAATCTAACAATGCATCTTAAAAAACTAGAAAAGCAAGAGGAAACAAACCCAAAATTAGTAGAATAAAAGAACTAATAAAGACTAGAGCAAAAAATAAATAAATAAAATTGAAATAAAAAAAAATCAGTGTGGCTGGGTGCGGTGGCTCACACCTGTAATCCCAGCACTTTGGGAGGCCGAGGTGGGCAGATCACCTGAGGTCAGGAGTTTGAGACCAGGCTGACCAACATGGAGAAACCCCGTCTCTACTAAAAATATGAAATTAGCTGGGTGTGGTGGTGCATGCTTGTAATCCTAGCAACTCAGGAGGCTGAGACAGAAGAATTGCTTGAACCCGGGAGGCAGAGGTTGCAGTAAGCCGAGATCGCACCATTCCACTCCAGCCTGGGCAACAAGAGTGAAACTCTGTCTCAAAAAAAAAGAAAGAAAGAAAGAAAGAAAATCAATGAAAAAAAAGAAACCCTGGTTTCTTGAAAAGTTAAAAAAAAATAACAAAACTTTATCTAGACTAATAAAAAGAGAAATATTCATATAAATAAAATCAAAAATGACAAAGGAGACATTGCATCTGATACTGCAGGAACTCAAAGGATCATTAGTGGCTACTATGAGCAACTATTGGAAAATCTAGAATAAATAAAAAAATTCCTAGACTCATACAACCTACCAAGATTGAACCAAGAAATCTAATACCTGAACAAACCAGTAACAGTTAACGAGATCAAAGCCATAATAAAAATTCTTCCAGTAAACAAAAGCCCAGGACCTGACGGCTTCACTGCTGAATTCAATCAAACTTTTAAAGAAGAACTAATACCAATCCTACTCAAACTATTATGAAAGATAGAGGAGGAGGGAGTACTTGCAAACTCATTGTATGAAGCTAGTATTACCCTGATACCAAGACCATACAAAGACACATAAAGAAAAAACCAACACAGGCCAATATCGTTGATGAATATTGAGGTGAAAATCCTTAACAAAATACTAGCAAACCGAATTCAACAATATATTAAAAAGATCATTTATCATGACCAAGTGAGATTTATCCCTTGGATGCAAGGATAGTTTAACATACACAAATGAATCAATGTAATATAAACAGAATGAAGGATAAAAACCACGTGATCATTTCAGTTGATGCTGAAAAGTCATTTGATAAGATTCAACATCCCTTCATGATAGAAACCCTCAAAAAACTGGGAATAGAAGAAACATACCTCAACATAATAAAACCGCACGATCTCACTCATAGGTGAGAATTGAACAATTAGAACACTTGGACACAGGAAGGGGAAGATCACACACCGGGGCCTGTTGTGGGGTGGGGGGAACGGGGAGAGATAGCATTAGGAGATATACCTAATGTAAATTATGAGTTAATGGGTGCAGCACACCAACATGGCAAATGTATACATATGTAACAAACCTGCACGTTGTGCACATGTACCCTAGAACTTAAAGTGTAATTTAAAAAAAGGAAAAAAAAAGTCATATACAAGAGGCCAACAGCTAGTGTCATTACTGAATAAGGAAAAAACTGAAAGCCATTCCTCAGAGATCTGCAATGCGACAAGGATGCTCACTGTCACCACTGTTATTCAACACAATACTGAAAGTCCTAAGTAAGGCAATGAGACCAGATAAATATATAAAGACATCCAAGGTGGCAATGAAGAAATACAATTATCCTTGTTTGTCAATATGATCTTATATTTGGAAAAACCTAAAGACACCAGAAAAAAAAACTATTAGAACTGATAAATTCAAGAAGGTTGCTGGACACAAGATCACCATACAAGAATCAGTTGCATTTGTACATGCCAACAGTGAACAACGTAAAACAGAAATTTAAAAAGTAATCCCATTTACAACAGACACATAAAATTAAAATAACCAAATGAGTGAGAGATATCTATGATAAAAATTATATAAAACACTGATGAAAGAAATTGAAGAGGGCACTAAAAATGAAAAAATATTCCAGCTTTACAGATTGGAAGAATCAATATTGTTAAAATGTTCATACTACCCAAAGCAATCTCACATTCAATGCAATCCCTATCAAAATACGAATGACACTATTCACAGAAATAGAAAAAGCAATCCTAAAATTTAAACAGAACCATGAAAAACCTAGAATACCCAAAGCTTTCCTAAGCAAAAAGAGCAAAACTGGAGGAATCACATTACAGTACCTGACATCAAATTATACTCCAGAGCCGTAATAACAAAAACAACATGGTACTGGCATACAAACAAACACATAGACCAATGGGATAGAATAGATAACCCAGTTACAAATCCACATACCTACAGTGAACACATTTTTGACAAAGGTACCAAGAACATACACTGGGGAAAAGACAGTCTCTTCAATAAATGGTGCTGGGAAAACTGGATATCCTTATGCAGAAGAATGAAACTAGACCCCTATATCTCACCAAATAAAAAGTCAAATCAAAATGTGTTAAAGACTTAAATCTAAGACCTCAATCCATGAAACTGCTGCAAGAAAACATTGGAGGAAATCACCAGGACATTGGTCTGGGCAAAAAAAATTTCTTGAGCACTACCCACAAGCGCAGGCAAACAAACAAAAAAATGGACAAATGAGATCACAACGAGTTTAAAAGCTTCTGCATAACAAAGGATACAATAAACAAAATTAAGAGATAACCTACAAAATAGGAGAAAATAACTGCAAACTACTATCTGACAAAGGATTAATAACCAGAGCAAGGAGCTCAAACAATTCTACAGGAAAAAAATCTAATAATCTGATTAAAAAATGGGCAAAAGATTTAAACAGACATTTCTCAAAAGAAGACCTACAAATGGCAAACAGGGATATGAAAACGTGCTCAACATCATTGATCATCAGAGAAACGCAAATAAAAATTTAATGAAATATTATTTCACCCCAGTTAAAATGACTTATAGTCAAACAAAAGGCAAGAACAAATGCTGGTGAGGATGTGCAGAAAAGGGAAGCCTCGACACTGTTGGTGGGAACGAAAATTAGTAAAACCACTATGGTGAACAGTTGAGAGTTTCCTCAAAAAACTAAAAATACAGCTACCATGTGATCCAGCAAGCCCACTGCTGGGTATATACCCCAAAGAAAGGAAATCAATATATCAAAGAAATATTTGCATTCTTATGTTTGTTGAAGCACTATTTACAACAGCTAAGATTTGGAAGCAAACTAAGTGTCCATCAACAGATGAATGGATAAAGAAAATGCGGTAGATATACACAATGGAGTATTACTCAGCCATAAAAAGACTGAGATCCTGTCATTTGCAAGAACATGGGTAAAACTTGAGATCATTATATTAAGTGAAGTAAGCCAGGCACAGAAAGACACACAATGCATTTTCTCACTTGTTTGTGGGATATAAAAATCAAAACAGTTGAACTCATGGGCACAGAAAGTAGAAGGATGGTTACCAGAGGCTAGGAAGGATAGTGGGAGGATTTGGGGGAGGTGGGGATGGTTAATGAGTACAAAAATTACTTAGAATGCATAAAACCTACTATTTGATAGCACAACAGGGCAAGTATAGTCAATAATAACTTAATTATACATTTTAAAATAAAGAGTATGATTTGTTTATTTGTATCTCAAAGGATAAATGCTTGAGGGGATGAATACCTCTTTCTCCTTGATGTTCTTATATCACATTGTATGCTTGTATCAAAACATCTCACGTATCCCATAAATATATACACTTACTATGTACCCACAAATATTAAAAATAAAAATAAAAACTTAAGGGGAGGGGCCAAGATATCCAAATAGAAACAGCTCTGGTCTGCACCTCCCAGCAAGACGAACGCAAAAGGAGAGTGATTTCTGCATTTCCAACTGAGGTACCCAGTTCATCTCATTGGGACTGACTAGGTGGTTGGTGTGACCCACAGAGACCAAGGAAAAGCAGGGTGGGGCGTTGCTTCACCTAGGAGCTACACGGGGCAAAGGGACCTCCCTCCCCCAGCCAAGAAAAGTGGTGAGGGACTGTGCTACCTACCAGGGTACCATGATTTTCCCACAGATTTTTGCAATTCATGGATCAGGAGATTTCCTCGTGGGCATAGACCACATGGGCCTTGGGTCTCAAGCACAAAACTGGGCAGACAAATGACAGCCACTCCCACTGGCGGCTGTTAGGCACTGAGCTGCAGGAGTTTTTAAATACTCCAGCGGTGCCTGGAACTCAAGTGAGGCAAGAGAACCATCCACTCCCATGGAAAGGGGGCTGAGACAAATGGCTTTGCTCAGCAGGTCCCACTCCCATGGAACCCTGCAAGCTAAGACCCACTGGCTTGAAATCCCCACTGCCTTCACAGCAGTCTGGAGTCTGCTTAAGAAGACCAAGTTCCTGGGGGGAGGAGCGACCACCATTACTGTGGCTCTAGTTGGTGGTTTCCCCCTGCCAGTGTTAAAGAAACTGGGAGGTTTGGACAGTATTCCCCAAAGTGCAGCACTGCAGCTGTGACAGATCATGGCCAGACTGCTTCTTTGAGACCTAGATCCACCCCTCCTCATTGGGCAAGGCCTCCTTGCAGGAATTCCAGCAGCTCCAGTCAGGGGCTTCGAGACAGACCCTCATCTCCCTGAGACAGAGCACATGGGAGGAGGGATGGCTGCGGTCTCAGGTTCAGCGGATCAAATCTTTCCTGACTGCTGGCTCTGAAGATACCAGCTGATCCTGACAAGGGGGATTCCCACAGCACAGCACACCAGCTTTGCTAAAGGACAGTAAGATTGCCTCCTTAAGCGGGTCTCTGATCCCATGCCTCCTGACTGGGTGAAACCTCCCAACAGGGGTTGCCAGACACCTCAGACAGGAGAGTTCTGGCTGGCATCAGGTCAGTGCCTCTCTGGAATGAAGCTTCCAGAGGAAAAAGCAGGCAGCAATCTTTGCTGTTCTGCAGCCTCCACTGGTGATACCCAGGCAAACAGGTTCTGGAATGGACCCCCAGCAAACTGCAGCAGACGTGCAGAAGAGGAGCCTGACTGTTAGAATCAAAACAAACAGAAAGCAACAACAACAACAACAAAGATCCACAAAAACCCCAATCCAAAGGTCAACAGCCTCAAAGATCAAAGGTAGATAAACTCACGGAGATGAGAAAAAAACAACGTAAAAACCCAAAAAATTTCAAAAGCCAGAATGCCTCTTCTCCTCCAAATAACTGCAACACTTCTCCAGCAAGGGCACAGAAAAAGGCTGAAGCTGACTTGGATGAACTGACAGAATTAGGCTTCAGAAAGTGGGTAATAATGAATTTTTATGAGCTAAAGAATTATGTTCTAGCCCAATGAAAAGAAGCTAAGAACCATAATAAAAGATTACAGGAGCTGTTACCTAGAATAACCAGTTTAGAGAGAAACATAAATGACCTGATGGAGCTGAAGAACACAGCATGAGAACTTCATGATGCAAACACAAGTATCAATAGCTGAATTGACCAAGCAGAAGAGAGAAGACGAGAGCTTGAAGACTGTCTTGCTGAAATAAGGCAGGCAGACAAGATTAGAGAAAAAAGAAATGAAAAGGAACAACCAACACCTCCAAGAACTATGGAAATATGTGAAAAGACTGAAGCTATGACTGATTGGAGTACCTGAAAGAGATGGGGAGAATGGAACCAACTTGGAAAATACTCTTTAGGAGCTCATCCAGGAGAGCTTCCCCAACCTGTCAAGAAAGGCCAATATTCAAATTCAGGAAATCCAGAGAACCCCAGTAAGATACTCCATGAAAAGATCTACTACAAGCCATACTCACGAGATACTCCAAGGTTGAAATAAAGAAAAAAATATTAAGGGCAGCCAGAGAGAAAGGCCAGGTCACCTACAAAGGGAAGCCCATCAGACAAACAGTGGACCTCTCAGTGGAAACCAGAAAAGCCAAAAGAGATTGAAGGCCAATAGTCAACATTCTTAAAAAAAGAAATTCTAACCAAGAATTTCATATCCAACCAAACTAAGCTTCATAAGCAAAGGAGAAATAAAATATTTTTCATACAAGCAAATGTTGAGGGATTTTGTCACTGCCAGGCCCACCTTGCAAGAGCTGCAGAAGAAAGCACTAAAAATGGATAGGAAAAACTGTTACCATCCACTATAAAAACAAACTGAAGTAAACAGACCAAGAACACTATGAAGAAACTACATTAACTAGTCTGCAAAATTAGCCAGCCAGCAGCATCATGACAGGATTAAATTCACACATAACAACATTACCCTTAAGTGAAAATGGGCTAAATGTCCCAGCTAAAAGACACAGAATGGCGAGCTGGATACGAAAACAAGAACCGTTGGTGTACTGTACTCAAGAGACACATCTCATGTGCAAAGACACACATAGACTCAAAAATAAAGTGATGGAGGAAAATTTACCAAGCAATTGGAAAACAGAAAAAAGTAGGGGTTACAATCCTAATTTATGACAAAAATAGACGTTAAATGAACAAAGATCAAAAAAGTCAAAGAAGGGCATTACGTAATGGTAAAGGGTTAAGAAAAACTATCCCAAATATATATGCACCCAATACAGGAGCACCCAGGTTCATAAAACTAGTTCTTAAAGACCTACAAAGAGACTTAGATCCACACACAATAAAAGTGGGAGACTTTAATACCCCACTGTCAGTATTAGATCATCAAGACAGAAAATTAACAAAGATATTCAGGACTTAAACTGAGCTCTAGACCAAGTGCATCTGATATATCTCTACAGAACTCCCCACCCCAAAACAACAGAAGATACATATTTTTTTTTGGTGCCACACAGCACTTACTCTAAACCTAATCACATAATTGGAAGTAAAACACTCCTCAGAAAATGCAAAAGAACTGAAATAATAACAGTCTCTCAGACCACAGTGCAATCAAATTAGAACTCAAGATTAAGAATCCCACTCAAAACCACACAACTGCATGGAAATCGAACAACTTGCTCCAGAATGGCATCAGAGTAAATAATGAAATTAAAGCAGAAATAAAGACATTTTTTGAAACCAATGAGAACAAAGAGACAATGTACCAGAATCTCTGGGATGCAGCTAAAGCAGTCTTAAGAGGGAAATTTATAGCACTCAATGCCCACATCAAAAAGCCAGAAACATCTCCAATTGGCAAGCTAACATCACAGCTAAAAGAACTAGAGAACCAAGAGCAAATAAACTCCAGAGGTAGCAGAAGACAAGAAATAAGCAAGTTCAGAGAGGAACTGAAGGCGATAGAGACACAAAAAAGCCCTTCAAAAAAATGAACAAATCCAAGAGCTGGTTCTTTGAAAAAAAATCAATAAATAGAACACTAGTGAGATTAATGAAGACAAAAAGAGAGAAGATTAAAATAAACACAGTAAAAAAGATAAGGGAGATACCACCACTGACCCCACAGAATACAAACAATGATCAGAAAATACTATAAACACTTCTATGGAAATAAACTGGAAAATCTAGAAGAAATGGATAAATTCCTGGACACAGGCATCCTCCCAAGACTGAACCAGAAAGAAGCTGAATCCCTGAATGAACCAATAACAAGTTCTGAAATTGAGGCAATAATAAATAGCCTACCAACAAAGAAAGCCCAGGTCCAGATGGATTTACAGCTGAATTGTACCAGAGGCACAAAGAGGAGCTAGTACCATTTCTTCTGAAACTATTCCAAACAATTGAAAAGGAGGGACTCCTCCCTAACTCATTTTATGCGGCCAACATCATCCTGATACCAAAATCTGGCAGAGATAGAACAAAAAAAGGAAAACTTCAGGCCAATATCCCTGATTAACACTGATGCAAAAATCCTCAATAAAATACTGGTAAACTGAGACAAGCAGCACGTCAAAAAGCTTATCAACCATGATCAAGTTGGCTTCATCCCCAGGATGCAAGGCTGGTTCAACATACGCAAATCAATAAAGGTGATTAATCGCATAAACAGAACTAAAGAAAACAAAAACACAGGATTATCTCAATAGATGCAGAAAACATCCTTGATAAAGTTCAACATCCCTTCATGTTAAAAACTCTCAATAAACTAGGTATTTATGCAACATACCTCAAAATAATAAGAGTCATTTACGACAAACCCACAGTCAATATCATACTGAATGGGCAAAAGCTGGAAGCATTCCCCTTGAAAACGGGCACAAAAAAAGGATACCCTCTGTAACCACTCTTATTCAGAACAGTGTCGGATGTTCTGGCCAGGGCAATAAGGCAAGAGAAAGAAATAAAGGATACTCAAATAGGAAGAGAGGAAGTCAAAATGTCTTTTTTTTTTTTTTTTTTTTTTTTTTTTTGCAGATGACATGATCCTATATCTAGTAAACCCCATCAACTCAGCCCAAAGCTTCTTAAGCTGATAAGCAACTTCAGCAAAGTCTCAGGATACAAAAACCAATGTGCAGAAATCACAAGCATTTCTATACACCAATTACAGACAAGCAGAGAGCCAAATCATGAATGAACTTCCATTCACAATTGCCACAAAGAGAATAAAACACCTAAAAATACAGCTAGCAAGGGAAGTGAAGGACCTCTTCAAGGAGAACTACAAGCCACTGCTCAAGGAAATCAGAGACAAAACAAGCAGATGGAAAATATTCCATACTCATGGATAAAAAGGGACATGGATGAAATTGGAAATCATCATTCTCAGTAAACTATCGCAAGAACAAAAAACCAAACACCGCATATTCTCACTCATAGGTGGGAATTGAACAATGAGATCACATGGACACAGGAAGGGGAATATCACACTCTGGGGACTGTTGTGGGGTGGGGGTAGGGGGGAGGGATAGCATTGGGAGATATACCTAATGCTAGATGACGAGTTAGTGGGTGCAGCGCACCAGCATGGCACATGTATACATATGTAACTAACCTGCACAATGTGCACATGTACCCTAAAACTTAAAGTATAATAATAATAATAATAATAATAATAATAATAATAAAATATTGTGAAAATGGCCATACTGTCCAAAGCGATTTATACATGCAATGCTATTCTCATTAAATTACCACTGACATCCTTCAAAGAATTAGAAAAATCTATGTAAAATTCATATGGAACCAAAAAATAGCTTGTATAAGCAGGACTATCCTAAGCAAAAAGAGCAGCGTTAAAAGGGAAATCTATAGCACTAAATGCCCACATCAAAAAACTAGAAAGATCTCCGATTGACAGTCTAACATCACAACTAAAGGAACTAGAAAACCAAGAGCAAACAAACCCCAAAGCTAGCAGAAGACAAGAAATAAGCAAGATCAGAGTGTAACTGAAGGAGATAGGGACATGAAAAACGCTTCAAAAAAATCAACAAATCCAGGAGCTGTCTTTTGAAAAAAAAAATGCAAATAAACTAGAAAATCGAGAAAAAATGGACAAATTCCTGGACACATACACCCTCCCAAGACTGAACCAGGAAGAAGCTGAATCCTTGAATAGATCAATAACAAGTTCTGAAATTGAGGCAGTAATAAATAGCCTGCTAACCAAAAAAAGATCAGGAACAGATGGATTTACATCTGAATTATATCAGAGTTACAAAGAGAAGCTGGTACCATTTCTTCTGAAACGATTCCAAACAATTAAAAAGGAGGGACTCCTCCCTAACTCATTTTACGAGGCCAGCATCATCCTGATACTAAAACCTGGCAGGGACACAACAGAAAACTTCAGGCCAATATCCCTGCTGAACATTGATGCAAAAATTCTCAATAAAATACTGACAAACCGAATCCAGCAGCACATCAAAAAGCTTATTCACCATGATCAAGTTGGCTTCATCCCCAGGATACAAGGATGGATCAGCAAACACAAATCAATAAAAGTTATTCATCACATAACCAGAACTAAAGACAAAAACCACATGATTATCTCAATAGACACAAAAAAGCCCTTTGATGAAATTCAACATCGCTTCATGTTAAAAACACTCAATAAACTAGATATTTATGCAACATACCTCAAAATAATAAGAGCCATTTATGACAAACCCACAGCCAATATCATACTGAATGGGCAAAACCTGGAAGCATTTCTCTTGAAAACAGGCACAAGACAAGGATGCCCTCTGTCACCACCATTTTTCAACATAGTGTCGGAAGTTCTGGCTAGGGCAATCAGGCAAGAGAAAGAAATAAAGGGAATGCAAATGGGAAGACAGAAAGTCAAATTATCTTTGCAGATGACATGATTCTATATCTAGAAATCCCCATCATATTCACCCAAAAGCTTCTTAAGCTGATAAGAAACTTCAGAAAAGTCTCAGGATACAAAATCAATGTGCAAAACTAATAAGCATTCCCATACACCAACAACAGACAAGCAGAGAGCCAAATCATGAATGAACCCCCATTCATAATTTCTACAAAGAGAATAAAATACCTAGGAGTACCACTGTCAAGGGAAGTGAAGGAACTCTTCAAGGAGAACTACAAACCACTGCTCAAGAAAGTCAGAGAGAACACTAACAAATGAAAAATCATTCCATGCTCATGGATAGGAACAATCAACATTGTGAAAATGGCCATACTGCCAAAGTAATTTATAGATGCAATGTTATTCCCATTAAACTATCATTGTCATTCTTCCCAGAATTAGAAGAAATTACTTTAAAATTCATATGGAACCAAAAAAGAGCCCATGTAGCAAGACAATCATTAGCAAAAAGAACAAAGCTGGAGGCATCTTGCTACCTGACTTAAAACTATACTACAAGGCTACACAGTAACCAAAACAGTGTGGTACTAGTACAATAGACCAATGTACATAGACCAATGGAACAGAATGGAGAACTCAGAAATAAGACTGCGCATCTACAACCACCTGATCTTGGCCAATCTGACAAAAACAAGCAATTGGGAAAGAATTCCCTATTTAAAAAATGGTGCTGGGAGAACTGGCTAGCCATAGGCAGAATAGAGAAACTGGATCCCTTCCTTACACATCATACAAAAATTAACTCAAGATGGGTTAAAGACTTAAATGTAAAACTCCAACGTATAAAAACTCCAGAAGAAAATCCAGGCAATACCATTCAGAACACAGGCAAGGGCAAAGATTTCATGATGAAAATGCCAAAAGCAATTGCCACAAAAGCCAAAATTGACAAATGGGATCCAATTAGACTAAAGAGCTGCTGCACAGCAAAAGAAAGTATCATCAGGGTGAAAAGGCAACCTACAGAGTGGAAGTAAATTTTTGCAATCTATCCATCCGACAAAAGTCTAATATCCAGAATCTACAAGGAGCTTAAACAAATTTACAAGAAAAAAACAAACCCCATTAAAAACTGGGCAAAGGATATGAACAGACACTTCTCAAAACAAGACATTCATGTGACCAACAAATACATATTTAAAAAAATCTCAACATCAGAGATCATTAGAGAAATGCAAATCAAAACCACAATGAAGTACCATCTCACCTCAGTGAGAATGGTGTTTATTAAAAAGCCAAGAAACAACAATTGCTGGTGAGGTTGCAGAGAAATAGGAATGCTTTTCATTGTTGGTGGGGATGTAAATTAATTCAATCATTGTGGAAGATGGTGTGGCAATTCCTCAAAGATCTAGAACTGGAAATACCATTTGACCCAGCAATCCCATTACTGGGTACATACCTAAAGGAATATAAATCATTCTATTGCAAAGATATATGCACATGTATGGTCATTGCAGCACTATTCACAATATCAAAGACATGGAATCAACTCAAATGCCCATCAATCATAGACTGGATAAAGAAAATGTGGTACATACACATCATGGAATGCTATGTTATGCAGCCATAAAAAGGAACGAGAACATGTCCTTTGCAGGAACATGGATGGAGCTGGAAGCCATTATCCTCTGCATACTGATGCTGGAACAGAATACCAAATACCACACGTTCTTACTTATAAGTGGGAGCTGAATAATGAGAACACATGGACAAAGGGAGGGGAACAACACACACTGAGGCCTGCCAGAGGGTGGGGTGGGGGAGGAAGAGCATTCGGAAAAATAGCCAGTGCATGCTGGACTTAATACCTAGGTGATGGACTGATACGCGCAGCAAACCACCATGGCACATGTTTTACCTATGTACCAAACCTGCACATCCTGTACATGTACTCCGGAATTAAAAATAAAAATAAAACGTTAATCCACCACAATTAAGTAGGCTTTATCCCTGGAATGCATGATTGGATGAACATATGTAAATCAATAAATGTGGTTCACTGCATAAACAGAACTAAAAACAAAACCAACATGATTATCTCAATAGATGCAGAAAAAGTTTTCAATAAAATCCAACATCTCTTTGTGTTAAAAACCCTCAATAAAAAACAAAAAAATAAAGGCATTGAAGAAAAATGTTTCAAAATAATAAGAGCCATCTATGAAAAACTCACAGCCAAAGTCATAATGAATGGGCAAAAGCTGAAAATATTCCCTTTGAGAACTAGAAAAAGGCAAGGATGCCCTCTCTCACCACTCATATTTAACACAGTACTGGAAGTCCTAGGCAGAGCAATCAGTCAAGAGAAAGAAATAGAGGGCATCCAAATAGGAATAGAGGGAGTCAAACTAACCCTGTTAGCAAACATTATGATTCTATTCCTAGAAATCTTTATATTGTGTGTCCCAAAGCTCCTTGATCTGATACAGAAGGTTAGCAAATTTCACAGTATAAAAACAATGTGCAAAGATCAGTGGAATTCCTGTACATTGACAACATCTAAGCAGACAGCCAAATCAAGAATGTAATCCCATTCACAATAGCCACACACACAAAAAAAAAAATCTAGAAATTCCACTAACCAAGGTGGCAAAAGACTTCTACAATGAGAATTACAAAACACTACTCAAAGAAATAAGAGGTGTCAAAAAAAATGGAAAAACATTTCATGCTCATGGAAAGGAATAATCAATATTGTCAAAATGGCCATAGTGTCCTAACCAATTTACAGAGTCAATGTTATCACTGTCAAAGTACCAATGACATTGTTCACAGAATTAAATCAAAGTATTTTAAAATACATATGGAACAACAACAACAACAAAGAGCTTGAATAGCCAAGGCAATCCCAAGCAAAAAGAACAAGGCTGGCGGCATCACATTACCTGACTTCAAACTATACTACAAGGCTACAGTAATGAAAACAGCATGGCACTGGTACAAAAAAAGACACATAGATCAATGGAACAGAACAGAGAGCCCAAAAATATTGCCACGCACCTACAATTATCTGATCTTTAAGGAAAATACACAAGCATAAGAAATGTGGAAAGGACTCTCTATTCAATAAATGTTGCTGGGAAAACTGTGTAGCCATATGCAGAAGATTGAAACTGGACCCCTTAACTCAAGTTGAATTAAAAACCTAAATGTATAACCGAATACTAGAAAAACTCTGAAAGATAACTTAGGAAGTACCATTCTGGACATTCTTGACATAGGACCTAGCAAAGCCTTCATGACAAAGGCGCCAAAAGCAACTACAACAATAACAAAAAAAAATTGTAAGATATCTAATTAAGTTAAAGAGTTTCTGCACAGCAAAATAAACTATTAACACAGTAAACAACCTACAGAATAGGAGAAAATATTTGCAAAGTATACTATCCAGCATCTATATCTAGCATCTATAACAACATACAGCATCTATAAGAAACTTAAACAAATTTACAAAAAAAAAACCAAACAACTTTATTAAGAAAGTGGGCAAAGTACATGAACAGACACTTTACAAAAGAAGACATTCATGTGGCTAACAAGCTATGGAAAAAATGCTCAATATCACTAATCATTAGGAAAATGTAAATCAAAACCACAAAGAGATACCATCTCATACCAGTCAGAATGGCTATCATTAAATGTCAAAAAATAGAAGATGCTGGTAAGGTTGTGGAGAAAAGAACACTTATCCACTGCTGCCGAGAATGTAAACTAGTTCAGCCAGTGTGGAAAGCAGTTAGGCAATTTCTTAAAGAACTTAAAACAGAATTAACATTTGACCCAGCAATCACCATCATTGGGTATATTTCCCCCAAAAGTATAATTCACTCTACCAGAAAGACACATGCCTGCACATGTCCACTGCAGCACTATTCACAATGGCAAAGACATGGAATCAACCTAAATGCCCATTAGTAGTAGACTGGATAAAGAAAATGTGGTATATGTACACCACAGAATACTATGCAGCCATAAAAAAAGAATGAGATAATATCCTTTGCAGGAACGTGGATGCATCTGAAGGCTGTTTTCCTAAGCAAGGTAACACAGGATAAAGAAACCAAATATCACATGCTCTCACTTATAAGTGGGAGCTAATCACTGAGTAGATATGGACACAAAGAAGGGAACAATAGACACTGGGGCCTACTTGTGGGTGGAGGGTGAGAGGAGGGTAAGGATTGAAAAACTACCTATTGGGTACTATGTTTATTACCTGGGTGACAAAATAATTTGTACACCAAACCCCTGTGACATGCAATTTACCTATATAGCAAACCTGCACATGTGCTCTCAAACCTAAAGTAAAATTTAAAAATATGTTCTTCTTTCTGATAAATGCATGATGAGGAATTTTCAGATGAAGAAAATTCTACATTTTCCCAAAAGGGAAGGCCATATATATGTTCAGAAAATCTTTGGGTGGATTAGCCAAGATTAACCAGATTAACAATGTGAATCTGGTGAGTAGTATCCCATGATAAGCATATTCATTGGTGAGTGGGATAACCTGTTGAGAATATTCTTTGTATTAGTCCTTTTGTCTTTTCTGTAAATTTGAAATACTTCAAAACAAAACACATTTAAAAAACAAGGTCCCTGCTCTTAACATTGTGTTTCTTGAGTAATTATTCTTTTCCTCAAACCCCATTAAATAGATATTAATACACAGGAATAGTTGCAGGTCAGAGATAAATAGGAGATAAAAACATCTGAAATATATTTTGAAAAATGGCTGCATTATCATATCCATTTAACTGATCTGAATAATGATTATTACTAATAACTCAATAATAATTACGATATCATGCTAAGCCAGTCTATGAAATTTATAGTCAAAATTTATTTGATTCGTGTTTTTCTAACATACAGTTCCTTTTGAAATACTACATTGTAAAATTATCTGGAATAATTTTTATTATTAATATAGATTCATATATATTAAGGCATACATACAAGATTTGGTATGTTTCAAAATTATTATAGTGTGGCAAAATCATTGCAGTATATTGTGTTAATGTTCCCAATTATTTGTTACCTCTCCCCATGAAAGGATTATAGTTTCTTGCTCTGTGGATGTCAAGCTTGATATTGACATATGTCATGTTTATGTTTTAAGAGGCATTGCATGAGTCCATCATTCTTTTCATTCTACAAATAGCTTGTCTCAGATTTGGGGGCTCCTCCAAACTAGATCCTGGAACAAAAATGATGCAGGGAACACCTCCAGAGCTAACAAGTAACATGTATAAGAAGCAAATCTTTGTTGTTGTAAGTCACTGAGCTTTTAGGGCTGTTTGTTCTCAAAGCACAAAATAACAAAAACTAATAATAACATAATACTAATCATGGTAACACCTATTTTAGAATATATTTAGAAATTATGTATTACATTCATATTGAGAACTGAAAGAAATTCCAGACTCTTCAAGTTTAGATTTAAAATACATAAAAATTCTTTGCTAGATGTGTGGGGCATGAGGGGGATTGTAAAGTCACATTTCAGGTTCAGATCACTAGGAAAAGACTTTTTACCAAACTACACTTTTTTAAAAATTATACTTTAAGTTCTGGGATACATGTGCAGAACGTGTAGGTTTGTTACATAGGTATGCATGTGCCATGGTGGTTTGCTGCACCCAGAAACTCGTCATCTACATTAGGTATTTCTCTTAATGCTATACCTTCTCTAGCCCCCAACCCCTCGAGAGGCCCCTGTGTGTGATGTTCCCCTCCCTGTGTCCATGTGTTCTCATTGTTAAACTCCCACTTATGAGTGAGAACATGCAATGTTTGGTCTTCTGTTCCTGTATTAGCTTGCTGAGAATGATGGTTTCCAGCTTCATCAATGTCCCTGCAAAGGACATGAACTCATCCTTTTTTATGGCTGTATAGTATCCCATGGTGTATATGTGCCATACTTTCTTTATCCAGTCTATCATTGATGGGCATTTGGGTTGATTCCAAGTCTTTGCTATTGTGAATAGTACTGCAATAAACATACGTGTGCATGTGTCTTTATAGGAGAATGATTTATAATCCTTTGGTTATATAACCAATAAGCGGTTGCTGGGTCAAACGGTATTTCTGGTTCTAGATCCTTGAGGAATCGCCACACTGTCTTCCACAATGGTTGAACTAATTTACACTCCCATCAACAGTGTAAAAGTGTTCCTATTTCTCCACATGCTCTCCAGCATCTGTTTTTTCCTGACTTTTTAATGATCGCCATTCTAACTGGCATGAGATACTATCTCACTGTGGTTTTGATTTGCATTTCTCTGATGACCAGGGATGATGAGCCTTTTTTCATATGTTTATTGGCTGCATAAATGTCTTCTTTTGAGAAGTGTCTGTTCATATCCCTTGCCCACTTTTTGATGGGGTTGTTTTTTTCTTGTAAATTTGTTTAAGTTCCTTGTAGATTCTGTATATTACCCCTTGGTCAGATGGATAGATTGCAAAACTTTTCTCCCAGTCTGTCGGTTGCCTGTTCACTCTGATGATAGTTTCTTTTCCTGTGCAGAAGCTTTTTAGTTTAATTAGATCCCATTTGTCAATTCTGGGTTTTGATGCCATTGCTTTTGGTGTTTTAGTCATGAAGTATTTGCCCATGCTATGTCCTGAATGGTATTGCCTAGGTTTTCTTCTGGGGTTTTCACAGTTTTAGGTCTTACGTTTAGGTCTTTAATCCTTCTTGAGTTTATTTTTGTATAAGGTGTAAGGAAGGTGTCCAGTTTCAGTTTTCTGCATATGGCTAGCCAGTTTTCCCAACACCATTCATTAAATTGAGAATCCTTTCTCCATTGCTTTTGTCAGGTTTGTCAAAGATCAGATAGTTGTAGATGAGTGGCATTATTTCTGAGGCCTCTGTTCTTTTCCATTTGTCTATGTATCTGTTTTGGTACCAGCACCATGCTGTTTTGGTTACTGTAGCCTTGTAGTATAGTTTGAAGTCAAGTAGTGTGATGCCTCCAGCTTTGTTCTTTTTGCTTGGGATTGTCTTGGCTATATGGGCTCCTTTTTTGGTTTCCTATGAAATTTAAAGTAGGTTTTTCTAATTCTGTGAAGAGAGTCAATGGTAGCTTGATGGGGATGGCATTGAATCTATAAATTACTTTGGGCAGTGTGGCCATTTTCATGATATTGATTTTTCCTATCCATGAGCATGGAATGTTTTTCCATTTGTTTGTGTCCTCTCTTATTTACTTGAGCAGTGGTTTGTAGTTCTCCTTTAAGAGGTCCTTCACATCCCTTCTAAGTTGTATTCCTAGGTATTTTATTCTCTTTGTAACAATTGTGAATGGGAGTTCACTCATAATTTGTCTCTCTGTTTATCTATTATTGGTGTATAGGAATGCTTGTGATTTTTGCACATTTATTTTGTATCCTGAGAATTTGCTGAAGCTGCTTATCAGCTTCAGGAGATTTGGGGCTGAGACGATGGGGTTTTCTAAATATACAATCATGTCATCTGCAAACGGGGACAATTTGACTTCCTCTCTTCCTACTTGAATATGCTTTATTTCTTTCTCTTGCCTGATTGCCCTGGCCAGAACTTCCAATACTATGTTGAATAAGTGAGAGAGGGCATGTTGAATATGGTGAGAGAGGGCATCCTTGTCTTGTACTAGTTTTCAAAGGGAATGCTTCCAGCTTTTGCCCATTCAGTATGATATTGGCTGTGGGTTTGACATAAATAGCTCTTATTATTTTGAGATACGTTGCATCAATACCTAATTTATGGAGAGTTTTTAGCATGAAGGATGTTAATATTTATTGAAGGACTTTTCTGCATCTGTTGAGATAATCATGTGGTTATTGTCATTGGTTCTGTTTATGTGATTAAGTTTATTGATTTGCATATGTTGAACCAGCCTTGCATCCCAGGGATGAAGCCCACTTGATCATGGTGGATAAGCTTTTTGATGTGCTGCTGGACTCAGTTTGCCAGTATTTTATTGAGAATTTTCGCATCGATGTTCATCAGGGATATTGGCCTGAAATTTTCTGTTTTTGTTGTGTCTCTGCCAGGTTTTGGTCCCAGGATGATGCTGGCCTCATAAAATGAGTTAGGGAGGAGTCCCTCTTTTTATATTGCCTGGAATAGTTTCTGAAGGAATGGTACCAGCTCCTCTTTGTACCTCTGCTAGGATTCACCTGTAATTCCATCTGGTCATGGGTTGTTTTTTGGTTTGTAGGCTATTAATTACTGCCTGAATTTCAGAACTTGATATTGGTCTATTAAGGGATTCGACTTCTTCCTGGTTTAGTGTTGGGAAGGTGTATGTATACAGGAATTTATCAATTTCTTCTGGATTTTCTAGTTTATTCACATAGAGGTGTTTATATATTCTCTGATGGTACAAACTACACTTTTGAGGTAAATGCTTGTGAGGTATATGGGAGTCATCAACTTTGAGGGAATCAGAGTACAGGGAACTCAAATTTCACAATGAATTATTTGAAAAGACTTTTAAAAATCTATTCTGTGGGACATATGTAACTTATAAATTGTCCTAATTCCCTATAACTGGAAATGAATTTTGTTTTTCCACTTTAATGTGAAAGACCCTAATTTTTATGACATCCTTTATAAAATCTTACTTTGAGACAAATGGAATTAAAAGGTTATTATGATAGCAATATGTTGCTATGTTAATAGTATGCTTGGACCATTATGAACAGGCCTAACAGTTATGAAGACTGACAACAATGTGCTGGCTACAAGGACTTCACAATTTGTAAAGGTAGCCTGGACAAAAATACAGTTTTAAACTTTATTCTTTCATTCTTAAGTTTCATGGTACATGCCTATAATAAGATGCTAAAAGAACAAATCCTACTTAGAAGGAAATTTAGTGAGTACATTTACATACTCTTAAAAAATGTCTTGCGCAACTTTTAAAAAATGTATTTTAAATACAAAATAATACATAGGATAAAAATCAAATCATACCTAGATATACAAGGGGAAAATGTGAAAGCCTCATTTCAACTCCGTCTGATCTGAATCCTATCCCTCAGAGGCAACCACTTTTAAACGTTTGGAACATATTTATCTATCCACTTTTAAACGTTTGGAACATATTTATCTATCTGCCTGCAAATACACACAAATAAATAAGCTTTTTCCTTCTTGAGTGCTATCAGACTATACATTTGGTTCTATGATTTGCTTTCTTTACTAGTCGATATAACAGACATCTTTCCATGTCACTACACTACTACTACTCCTCCCTCATTCTCTTGCAACATTTTTTTTTTTTTTTTTTTTGAGACGGAGTCTGGCTCTGTCGCCCAGGCTGGAGTGCAGTGGTGCAATCTCAGCTCACTGCAAGCTCCGCCTCCCGGGTTCACGCCATTCTCCTGCCTCAGCCTCCCGAGTAGCCGGGACAACAGGCACCCGCCACTACGCCCGGCTAATTTTTGTATTTTGAGTAGAGATGGGGTTTCACAGTGTTAGCCAGGATGGTCTTGATCTCCTGACCTCGTGATCCGCCCGCCTTGGCCTCCCAAAGTGCTGGGATTACAGGCTTGAGCCACCGCGCCCGGCCATTCTCTTGCAACATTGTATAGTATTGCAGTGGGAATATCTCCACAATGTATTTGACCATTTCCTGTTGATGGGAACTTAGGCTATGTCAAATATTTTTGCTTCTACCAACCATGCCGCAACGAACATTCTTATACATTATCAATGTAGAGTATTATAAAAATATCTATCTCCCAGAAGTAATGGCTATTAAATCCTCAACGAGATCCAGATAATTTGGTTTCCTTGCTTGAAAGGGACAAATATGCAGAGATGCCTCCATGACCACTCTTAAGCAGCATATTTATGATTATGATGATGGTAATGAGGATGATAATGGTAACTAATATTTGCTGAATACCCAAATGTCTGGCACTTTGCATTTATAAACTTATTTACTTGTCACAAAAAAGCCTGTGAGGTTAGCAATGCCGTATTTCCTCAATTCTAAGATTCACATCTTTTGAGATTTTTGGATTAGGGATGCTGAATTGATAAGTATAATGCAAATATTACAAAATTCGAAAAAAAAAATCCAAAACCCAAACACTTCTTGTCCCAAGCATTTCAGATAAGGCATACTCAACCTCTATTTACTGGTTGTGACAGCATATAGTATTGCTCTCATTTCATAAATGAGGAAACAGATTCAGAGAAGTTAAGTACTCTATTCAACATCAGACATTTAGTAAATGACAATAATGGGACACTCACCCAGGCAATCTGACGTGAATTTGTACTTTTAACTCCTTTTCCTGAAGTGCATGAAGTTATAGTAACAAGGTAGAACAAATGTTGAGCACCAATCCCCCATGCATACACCACACACATCAAAATGTAGCACTGATTATAAATATCTAGAGGATTTATAGATGGTTTTTATTTACTTATATTCTTCTGCAATTTTCCAGTTTTCTACATTGAATTAGTTTTTTAACATATTGTAGGAAGTTTTGAACTCATACAAAACTAGAGAGAATAATAATCATGAACTCCCCCATATATCCATTACTGAGCTTCAACAATGATTAATTCATCTATTCCTGGACCCATTAGCCAACACTTATTATTTCCAAGCAAATTCCATGCTTCATATTATACCATATGTAAATATTTCTGAATTAATCTCTAAAGACAATGATTTTTAAAAACCATGATCCTATTATCTCAGGTAAAAATTAATAATAATTATTTAATATCATCACATATCCAGTGTTCAGATATCCCCAATCATCTCATTTTTTAATCTTTCAATATTGAGATAATTTGTCTTAGGTGAAAATTGCAAAAATTTTGTAAAAAATAGTGCAGAACTTTCTTGAATACTCTTTTCTGCTTCTCCTAATATTATCTGTAGGATCATAATTTAAAATACTACTTAAATCAGGAAATTAACATTGAAACAGTACTATCAACTAATCTACAGATCTTATTAGAATTTCAGCAGTTTTCCCACTGATTTCCTTTCTATGGTTCAATTGCAATCTGGGATCCTATATTGCTTTTAGTTGTCATACCTCCTTAGCCTCCTCCAGTCAATGACAGCCCCTCAGTCTTTCTATATCTTTCATGACCTTGACACTCTGAAATAGTATGGTATGCCAAGCAGTTATTTTCACAATGTCTTTGTAAAAATAAATAAACAGTGGTGTTGCCTCATGAGTGCATTTTGGCAAGAACACCATGGATGTGATGTTATTTCCTTCTCGGTGCATAGTATCACAAGGCGCACAAGGTTCACATGTCTTTTATTGGTGACTGGTGATGATGACTTTAATGATTTGGTTTAAAGTGGTTTCCACCAGTTTTCTCCATTGTAAAGTTACTATATTTTCCTTGCAATTAATACGTATCTTATGGGGAGACAGTCTGAGACTACACAGATACCCTATGTCTCATCTTTCCACCCACTAATTTTAGCATCCATTGACGATTCTTGTCTGTAATAAATGTTACAGTGGTTTGTGCTTAATGGTGGCTATTTCTATCACTTTTGCACATTTTTAATTGAAATTCATCTGCAAGAAGAGCTGTTTCCCAAATCTTAACTTTATTATTCATTTATTTATTTATTATATGACTATAGATTTATGGGTATCTATTGTATTATATTATAATCCAAGACTATTACTATTTACTTTTTTGTTCAAATTATCACAGATTTGTTGACTGGGAGCTCCTTCAAGCTTTGTCCGTGTCTTTTCAACATGCCCCCATCATTTATTTATCCTTCCTTACATTTTGGCAACATAAGATGTTTCTGGCTACTCTTGTTTTGTTTCCTGCCCCAGGCTTGAAATTAACCATGACTCCAAAAAGCCCTAATTATTTTTATTGTAAAAAAAATTTAGAAACCACAATCCAGGCATTAAGTATGATCACAGCTAATGTTTTGTCATTGTTTCTAGGTCCTCTCAGTGAACAAAGCTAGGAAATATATGTATGTATACACCCACACAAATATCCACATCTACATTTATTTCTATATCTATCCTTATGTGTGCACATGTGTATATATTGATATATACATATTTACATATTGATAATGTTCTTACATCTATATTTATATATACAGATATACACACATTTATACTGATATCTCTGATTCTAATTCACATAGCTCATTTTAGCCTTCTCCCTTTCCCTTGTTTGTAACTCCTTTTATGAAACCTGTTATTACTCACAACATTTGTTCAGTCCTAATATACCCATTAAGTAATTATAAAATTGTTAACACACACCATTGTAAAAAACAACTTTCTTCACTAGAGTACAACTGCTGTGTACATTTATTTTTGTCTTTCTTTAGACTTACAGTATGCATTTTTAATAGTACTTTCCATAGTTACTTAGGTTAGCTTACTTTTTTTCTTCCCCACTCACTTCAGTGTGGTTTTATTACTCATTTGTAATATAGCTAGGTTCACTTGTAATGAATTGCATTGAACTTTTGTTTCTTGCAAAATCATGGTTGATTTTAATTATTTGTTTATTTTTGGAGGGTATGTGAAACATTCTCATGGCTCTGTTACAGCTACACAAAAAAGTATATTCACAAAACTGTTGCTCCCCGTCATTTCTACCACTCCCTTCTCATTCTCTCATTCTTTGTACCTCATACACACTAACTACCTGTAGCCTCTCATTAAGTCTCTGGCTTCCTGTATTTCTTTTGCACAATTAAGCAGATATATGTACATATTTTTACACCTCCTTCATCACATGAAGGATAACATATTACAGATATTCTTTTGCCTTTAACACTTTTAATTTAATGATATGTTCCAGAAATCACTCCATATTAGCTCATAATGATCTTCCATTTTCTTTTTTACAGCTTCATGCCACCACACTGTATGAATGTGTCACAGTGTATATGGGTATTTATATTGTTTTCAATATTTTGTAAATATAAATAATGTTGCATATTCACTGAATAACTCTGTGCATATTCACTTTTGTATTGTTGAAAGTGTATCTACAGGGAAGACTTCTAGAAATGGGATTGGTAAGCCAAAAGATAAAGCTGTATTATTTGTTAGGTATAGATAGGATAGATATAAAAATAAATGTAGATGTGGATATTTGTGTGGGTGTATACATGCATATATTTCCTAGCTTTGTTCACTGAGAGGACCTAGAAGCAATGCTTTCAAAAGCATTATACTAGCTTGCATTGGCACCAGCAATGTCTTATCTGTCTTTAACAATATGCTTGCTTAAATCAGGATCCAGATAAGCTCTATACATTGCAAGCAGTTGATACGTTTCTTAATTCTCTTTTAATCTGTAGGTGTTCTGGACTACTCCAATCCCTGTCTGTCTTTTTTTATTTAAATGTATTTGTCTAAAAACCCATATCTGCATTGCAGAGTTTCCCACAGGTTGGATTTTTCTGACTGCATTCAATGATGTCATTTGTCATGTAATTCTGTGCTTTGCATTTCCCATAAATTATTAAATTTAGAGGCTTGATCAGATTTGAGTGAACTTTTCTGGCAAAAATATTTCATAGAAGGTATTGTGTACCTTACTAAAAGGCACCTTGTGACTGGCAACCTAAAAATTTTTTAAACAGTTTATTATGTACCTTAAAGATGTATTTTTAAGATGAGGAAAAAAGTAAAGAAAAATATTTTCTATATGTGCCACCACATATAAGCTATTTCAAAAATAATTTATTATTATATTTCATCTGGTAATAAAATTGACATATATTCATCTCAAAAAAAATTGTGAGTAGAACAGTAGATGCTGCTAGACAACATTAGGATGGCTTCCTGGCTCATAAGGATTACCTAATGGTTATGTCTATGTTATTTAACCTGCCTTCACAGCCACCTGTGACTCAAGCTGGGTAATCAGAATCTCTTCACTGGAAATTTAAAACTTGGAGACACAGAGAGAGAAATCATGTTAATAGCAGCACTTTAGAAAACAAATATAGAAAATTATTGTTGCTAACATCCTTGGACAGAGAAGTGCCCTATTCCGGCTTGGGTATTCACTCCTTTGATTCTGAGAGCTAATTAGAACTTCCTCTACCTGACACCAAATCTGCCACTACCTTGATCTTGGACTTCCCAACTTCCAGAACTGTGAAAAATAAATTTCTGTTCCTTATAAGTCATTCAGTTTGTGGTACTTAATTATAGCAGCCCAAACAAACTAAGACATCAACAAAAAAGAACCTTAACAACTACAATGATACCAATCATTGATCAGAGATGAAATAATTTACCCAAGATGCTATGGGATAGTAATGGGAATCAGATCACCTAACACCCACTAAAAGATTGTACACAACAGGTCCTTCATTATCTTAGTTCCGTAGTATCTTGTCATTTTGGAAATATATCTTCTCTGATGCTAACATGGAAGGTAAAATAAGGGGTCAGAAAACTAAACAAGATAGGTAGTAAACCAGATAAGCTTCTTCTAATACCACAACTCACTGCACAAAACAATAAAGCCCATAAATAACATCATTGGGTACAGGCTATTTCTGGCCCTTACTTTTCTAAAAGATCTCTATGCTAGTTATTGAACAGATAGTTGCACTCCCAGGTTTATTGCAGCACTATTTATGATACCAAAGATATGCAATCAACCTAGGTGTTCATCAGTGGATGAATGGATATAGAAAATATGGCATATATACACACACAATGAATTATTGAGCCACAAAAAATAATAGAATCTTGTCATTTACCATAGCATAGCTGGAACTGGAGGACATTATGCTAAGTGAAATAAGCCAGGCAAACAGAGATAAATGTCACATGTTCTCATATATGGAAACTAAAAAATTCACCTTATGGAGGTAATGAATAGAATGGTGGTTACCAGAGGCTAGGAATTGCAGTTGGGTAGGGGGAGATAAAGACAGGTGGTTAATGGGAACAAAAATACAGTTAGATAGAAGGAAGATCTAGTCTAGCGTTCAGTAGTACAATAGGGCCACTAATAGTTAACAACTATTTATTGTACATTTCAAAAAAAGCAGAAGAATAGATTGGAATGCTCCCAACACAAAGAAATAATAGTTGATTGAGGTGATGGGTATCCCAGTTACCCAGATTTGATCATTATTCATTGCATGCTTGTATCAAAATATCACATTTACCTCATAAACACATACAACTATTATGTATATATAAAATTAAAAAATTAAAAATAATGTATGCTAGTTATGCTTTTCTGTTTAGGCCGAAGTCATCTCTTTTATGACAGGAAGATGGGAAAGGAGTGCAATCGTTGAAAGTTAATTTATTTCAAACCCTTTACACAGCTTCTTCATTCATGCCTCACAATATCTTGAGAATTAGGTAGCCATTATTCCCATTTTACAACTGATAAAATAGAAGTATTGCTAGGCCTGGCATGGTGGCTCACACCTGTAATCACAGCACTTTGGGAGGCCCAGGCAGGTGGATCACTTGAGCTCAGAATTTTGAGACCAGCCTTGGCAACATGGTGAAACCCCGTCTCTACAAAAACAAACAAAAATTAGTTGGGCATGGTGGTGGGTGCCTGTAGTCCCAGCTACTCAGGAGGCTGAGGTGGGAGGACTGCTTGAGCCCGGGAGGCAGAGGTTGAAGTGAGCAGAGATTGTGCCACTGCACTTCAGCCTGGGCGACAGAGTGAGACTTTGTCTCAAAAAAAAAAGTGAAATAATTTTTCCAAAGTAATCCATCAAATAATTCATAGAGCAAGGAAATGCATTACAATGTCCATTAACATAAATACATGTACTGAAAACTGAAACAATCAAAGTGGTCATTCATAAAATGGAAAAATAAATTGTGGTAGAGTTACACATTAGAAACAGTACAGTAGGGAAAATAAATTAACTGTTAATAAAAGTTATCAACATAAAGCTCCCAACCATATTTTGACTAAAAACAAGTTGAGAAGAATATATACAGTATACCATTTATATTAGATTTTAAAGGAAGTAAAATATATATTTCTGAGATATAAATGTACATGTGGTAAAAAATTTAAAAAATTATTCATAGAAAAAATAAACCCCAAACTCATGATTGGAGTAATGGAATTAAGGAAGGTTACACAGAAGATCTCAGCTGTATTGATCAAATTTTTACTTGTTAAACTGAGCTAAGGCTACAATGGTATCGGTTGAATTTTTCTTTACAACCTTGTGTATTGCTTAATATGTAATACTTTAAAAAAGAAAGTAAATGGTATCTGGAGTATAAAAATTAATGTTGAAATAAATGTACATGGATCTTTAAGAAAAAAAAGAAAGAAAGAAAGTTGGGGAAGGACGTTGAGAAGGAAAGCAGAAGTGGGGAGGAAAAACAAATGCTACAATTCCACTACCCAGAGATTTTCATTGCTAGTTGTTTTGTTCATAATTTCCTATAGCATTTTTTCTGTTCATATAGAAGTATGTATTCACATATATTGTAAAGAAATATTTGATAATATTATGACTACTACTAGAAAACCTATTTTGTAACTTATTTCACAGGCACCAAATCAGTGCCATTTAAAAGGGCTGTATTCTATCCAATCATATTGTTATACCACAATTTATTTTACCAATTCACTATTGATGGGCATTTAGATTATTTCCAAAGTGTGCTATTACAAATAATGCTGCAATTAACACATTATATGTGTATGTGCATACCTGTGTGTATTTTCAGTAGTAACTGTGTTGAAAAAAAATTCCTAAGGGTAGAATTTCTAGGTCAAAGACTAAGAGGTTTTCAAGTTTGTTACATATGCCAAATAGCCCAACAATAAATGATTATACTAATTTACACACTTAATACTGTAATTGAGTGCCAGTGTCCCCAAACTCTGCACAACACTGGGCATAAACAATCTTTTTATCCCCTTGTCAATCATAATCTGCTATTCCGTTTTTTCATGTGCATTTATTAGTGAAGCTGAGTCACTTTTTAAACGTTTACTCACCATACTTGAATAACTTCTTCTGATTTTTTTGCCATTTTGTTAACATTTTTGAAGTTTTAATTATTATGGATATATAATAGTTGTACATATTTATGGGGTACATGTGATATTTTGATTAGAACATACAATGTGTAATAATCAAATCAGAGTAGATGGTATAACCATCACCTCAAGCATTTATCATTTCTTTATGTTAGAATCATCTCAATTCCGCTTTTTAGTTATTTTGAAATACATAATAAATTATTGTTAACTATAGTCGTCCTATTACGCTACCAAACACGAAATCACAAATACCAGGAAAGTTAACGGAGAACTGGATCAGGAGCCAAAATGTTTACATTCGAATTAAGGCTCTGGATTAATGAAAATGCGTAACCAGGAAAAGAAAGAACAAGAATAATGGGGACATAGAGGGTGAGAGAGGAGAAAAACGAGAAGAAAAAGCCATGTAAGGAAAAAGAATTTGCGCCTCAGGGTCCCCCTCCCCCTCTGCCCTGTTCCAGACACCTATTCTCATTCCCGCACTCCTACCCCTGGCGTCCTGCTAGCTGGTCTGGCTTCCTTCCCTCTGGAAAAAGGCAAATTATTCAATAAAGGGAGGATGAGTCCTAGCTCATCCCCACTTCTTGTCTCCTGCCGGGTGTTCAAATACAACTTACCACGCAGTCACCGCCATCCAACTGCATGTCACTCTCCACTTCGCCACGGTCTGAACTCTTGGCCACAAGATCTAAGCCTTCCGGATGCCCCAGCCAGTTCAGGCTGCTGGTCTCTTGTCCCTAAGCCTTTGCCGAGGTAGTCGGCTTACTTGATGCCAGCACACCAGGCCCCCCACCACCCGCTGGAAGCACAGGCCCCAGCTCAGGTCAGGTTCCGGAACCTAGCGTCCCCAGGTTCTCACGTGACTTAGTTTCCCAGGCAATAGCGCTTTTCTCCCGGATGTAGCAGTCAGCTGAAATGGAGAGAGTGCTTCTTAAAGTTAACCCTCAAACCACCATGGCCAGTGAATGCAGAATAAGCCCGCTGAGAGTTTCGTCTATTTCTATGGCATTATGCTGGAAATTATAAAGAAAAGGGATGAAAAAAACTGGAGACTTTTCACCAACAACAACATACAGATCTGTATTATTAGGATTCTTAAAATGAGTATGTGTTGTTTTTATAATTAAACTAACAAAAGGAAAATAAATAATGATGAATAATTAAAGCGGGATTATGTATACAACAAAACCGTATGATTACAACAGCACCTTATGTAGCTTTGAAAATAGGTAATGCTTCATGAGAGAAGTTATAGCAGTGTGCAAATATCAATTCAGACCTTAAACAAGAAGAATATACACACCAAAAGAGATTTCTTTAAACAAAATCTATGCTGTATGTGCCCTATGATTGTCACAGGGCTTAGAACCTGATATTCGGCTATGCATTCCTGTCAGAAAGAGCATGTTGCAGCCATGTCAGAACCAACCAAGGTCAAGAATTTCTTGTGACCAGTCGTGAAGTCCCTGAAGCAAGAAACAGAGAAACCCATGCTGGTAAGAAATGAAGAGACTCAGACCCTGCAGAAAGATTAAGAATAGCGATCGAAGACGTTAACTTGGTTGCAATCTGGCTCTGCCCTTTACAAAGTTATGCGACCTTTTTCATCTGTTAATTGCTTGTTGTAAATATTAAATTAAACAAGTCAATGTGTATAAGGCATTTAAAACAATGTCTGGCAGTGAGAAGACCTATTTGATAAATAAATAAAATATGGACACAGACATTGCAGCATAGGAATCCCTCAATCAGGAATCCTAGGTCTCCAAGAACACTGGTGATACTAATTTAGCTGTACAAGAAGGAGGTGTCCTGTGTGGGTGACATAAATATTTCAGGGTTTGGAGAGAAACATTCCTACATTTTTTATTTAAGAAAACAACACACCAAGGTTGTTTAGAAAGGCAGAGTGGACTCTGAATCCATGCAGCCTAGATTTGGATCCTAGCTCTGCTATTATCTGCGTTATTAGCTCAAGTTATTTAAGCCTTCTGTGCCTCAGTTTCCCCATAGGTAAAATAAGGATAACAGTACTAATTTCATAGGTTTGTTGTGAGACAGTAACATATTAAATAAACTTACAACGACTGCCACATAAGTACTATATAAATATTGATTAAAAGTAGTAATAAGAGACAAAAAATATTGGAAAATTAAGAAGTAAACCCACAAGGAACTACTGTCTCAGCCTAAAGTAAATCAAATACATGACCACTGCCAGAGACCTTGTCAAGGTATTTCAGATAAGAAAATCTTGTCCAATGATGTTATCGTGAAGCTGATAAGATTGTAATGTCCTTGGAAAACAAAGGTAAGCCCCTCAGAAATCTAGAACAAGTATGCTTACAACATAAAGTGTAATCCAACCTGACTAAGATGGGGAAATGATAACCTGAGCTACTAGAGTTGGAGCTGGGGCCAGTGAACTACAGCTCAAGGGCCAAAGCTTGTCTACTATCTGTTTTTGTTTGATCAGAGGACAAATAATTATTTTTACATATATAAGTGGTTAAAAAATTAAGAAACAAATATTTCATGACATGTACAAATTATATAAAATTTAAATTTAAATGTTCAAAAATAAAGTTTTATTGGAACACAAACACATTCATTTATATATTGTCTATGTCTACATTTACACTATAATGACAGTGTTCAGTACTTAAATTAGACATTAGAGCAACAACATAAAAGGATTTTAGGTCTCTGTTACCGTGGAGTCATCACACCGACCATGGATAAATTATCCTCAGACTGTCACATATTATTTTGAGTATTTTTATAGCAGTTGAATTAATCTGTATTCTGACCTGTACAGAGTACAGGCAAGTTTATACAATTGATTTGGCTTTCTAGATGAATGGGTTTAGATGATATTTATTTAAAGCTTTGCAAGATTCTGCTCAAAGCAATTCAGCCCAAATTCATCAACTACAAATTAGTCATTTTAAAAATCATTTTCGTGAGTTTTGTTCCAAAAGCGATAAAAATGACTAATCACCTAAAATACCCTAGTATTACTAAATTATTCTCTACCTCATGTTGTTTTATATACAAGATTAATTGCAAAACCTTAGCCATCAAAATTTTCAGTGAGAAACACATGTAATATTAACATAATGAAATAATTACCATTGTTATATTTAACAATTTGTAAAACAATCCCAAGTTTGTTTAAACCTATAATGGTTTCTGCAAAGAAAGGCCCCAAGACAGTCACTAAGGCATGCAGTAGGTGTTAACTAAAGACTTGACTGACCTGATTTCCTGGGTGTGTAATCATTTCTACAATAAGTAGGTACCATGTAGGGTGAGGTGGTCGTAAAGCGGAATGTTTGCCTATTATACCTAGATAGCTATCCATGTGTGACTGATAACCAGATAGTCGAGGGAAGATAATTATCCCCCTTCTGAAAGAAGTATGAAAGATTCACTAAGCAAGTAATCAGATAAAAATTAAAACCAGAAAAAAATAATATATCCACATACTACATTTTTCAGCTAGATCTAACGAAAGAATTGGGGTTGTAATAATTTTGTAGATTTAATTTTTTTTAAGTTTTACTTTAAGTTCTGGGATACATGTGCAGAAAGTGCAGTTTTGTTACATAGGTATACATGTGCCATGGTGCTCTGCTGAACCTATCAACCCATCATCTAGGTTTTAAGCCCCACATGCATTAGGTATTTGTCCTAATGCTCTCCCTCCCATTTGCCCCCACCCCCTGGCAGGCCCTGGTGTGTGATGTTCCCCTCCCTGTGTCCATGTGTTCTAATTGTTCAACTTCCACTTATGAGTGAGAACATGCATGTTTGGTTTTCTGTTCCTGTGTTAGTTTGCTGGGAATGGTGGCTTCCAGCTTAATCAATGTCCCTGCAAAGGACATGAACTCATCCTTTTTTATGGTTGCATAGTATTCTATGGTGTATATGTGCCACATTTTCTTTATCCAGTCTATCATTGATGAGCATTTGGGTTGGTTCCAAGTCTTTGCTATGGTAAATAGAGCTGCAATAAATATATGTGTGCAGGTGTCTTTATAGTAGAAATGATTTCTAATCCTTTGGTTATATACCCAGTAATGGGATTGCTGGGTCAAATGGTATTTCTGGTTCTAGATCCTTGAGGAATCACCACACTGTCTTCCACAATGGTTGAACTAATTTACACTGCCACTAACAGTGTAAAAGTGTCCCTATTTCTCCATATGCTCTCCAGCATCTGTTGTTTCCTGACTTTTTAATGATCACCATTCTAACTGGCGTGAGATGGTATCTCACTGTGGTTTTGATTTGCATTTCTCTAATGACCAGTGATGATGAGCTTTTTTTTCATGTTTGTTGCCTGCATAAATGTCGCCTTTTGAGAAGTGCCTGTTCATATCCTTTGCCTACTTTGTGATGGGGTTGTTTTTTTTCTTGTAAATTTGTTTAAGTTCTTTGTCGATTCTGGATATTAGCCCTTTGTTAGATGGATAGATTGCAAAAATTTTCTCTCATTCTATAGGTTGCCTGTTCACTCTGATGATAGTTTATTTTCCCATGCAGAAGCTCTTTAGTTTAATTATATCCCATTTGTCAGTTTTTGCTTTTGTTGCCATTACTTTTGGTGTTTTAGTTATGAAGTGTTTGCCCATGCCTATGTTCTGAATGGTATTGCCTAGGTTTTCTTCTATGGTTTTTATGGTTTTAGGTTTTATGTTTAAGTCTTTAATGCATCTTGAGTTCATTTTCATATGAGTTGTAAGGAAGGTGCCCAGTTTCAGTTTCCTGCATATGGCTAGTCAGTTTTCCCAACACCATTCATTAAATTGAGAATCCTTTCTCCATTGCTTTTGTCAGGTTTGTCAAAGATCAGATAGTTGTAGATGAGTGGCATTATTTCTGAGGCCTCTGTTCTCTTCCATTTGTCTATGTATCTGTTTTGGTACCAGCACCATGCTGTTTTGGTTACTGTAGCCTTGTAGTATAGTTTGAAGTCAAGTAGTGTGATGCCTCCAGCTTTGTTCTTTTTGCTTGGGATTGTCTTGGCTATATGGGCTCCTTATTAAATAGGGAATCCTTTCCCCATTGCTTGCTTTTGTCAGGTTTGTCAAAGATCAGATGGTTGTAGATCCACATACTACATATTTTTTAAGGCAAAAGTTATTAAAAACCTCTACTGTAGAAGAATCACATCAGCAAAATGGTAGAGTAGGTAGCTTTAAGTTTGTATCTGCCCACAAAATCTCTGAAAAATAATTAGGAACTGTCAGAACCAACTTTGTAAAAACCCTGGGAAATAGTCAAAGGTTTACAGCCAAGCAAATGCTGAAATAAAAATGATAAAAATCAAAAAGACAGGAAGATTTTTGGCATTTTTACTTGCTCTTTCCACCTTCTTCCATGGCACAGTAGCAGTCTTGAAGAGGGAAGCCCACATGCCCAGACTAGGACCCTGATCCCTGGTTCCAGAAGGAGCAGAAAATACTTTGTTTGCAAATTATTTTGTTCCAATTTGTCTGGGGGCTAACTTAAGGATTAAAACAAGGTGTTCATCTTTGCCTTTACTAACCTGGAACTCAGGCCAGAAAAGCAGTGGGCAATGCTTAAAACACCACCAACTGAACCCAAAGGCTCCTGAAACAAAGATTATAGTTGAGACATGCACTATATTATCTACAGCCTGAAAGCAAAACCTAGGAAGAGTTTCTCTGTAAAATATTTGAAAACAATAACATTTATGAGTAATTTAAAAGATGATGCACATGCCCCAGGAAAGAGACATATGCAGAAAACACCAGGGAAGTTTTCACATTGGGCTGATCCCTGGGCTGAGTGAAAACCTGGCTAAGTGTTAAAGAAGTGCCCAGGCACAGAACTAATCTACCAAGATTGGGGGGTGGGGGTTTGTTTTTTTTTTAGCTCCTCACATTCAAGGAGAGCTCTATCAATACACTAGCTGAACTCAAGCAAAGAAACAGAGACTTCAGTGACCGCACAAATCAAGGAATATAGTCCTTACAAAAAAAAAATTCTCGGAAAATCACTAATCAAATGACTGTCACAATCTTCAACAATCAGAAAAATAACAAACCCTAGGAAAGGGGGAGGATCTGATTTGCAGAGATACAACATTATAATATTCAAGTGACTAGTTTTCAACAAGAAAAGACAAGGCATACAAAGGAACAGCAAAGTTTGGCCCATTCAAGGGAACACCATAAATTGAGAGAATTTATCTTTGAGGCAGCCAATGTAGATCTACTAGAAAAAGACTTTAAAATAACTCTCTTAAATATGCATAAAAAGCTAAATAAAAACATGGAAAAATAACTACATTAAATTAGAGAAATAATGTATGACCCAAATGAGAATATCAATGATGTGACAGACACTATAAAAACAAATAAAAATTGTGATGTGAAAAACTACCATAACTGAAAGAAAAGTTATTAAAAGTAGATTTAAACAAGCAGAATCAGTGAACCTAAAATAGGACAATTGAAATTGAGTTTGAGGAGCAGACAGAAAAAAATGAAGAAAAGTGAATAAAGCCTAAGAGGCTTGCAGGATGCCATCAAGCAGACAAACATATGCATCAGGAGAATAATAATAAGAGAAGAGGGAGATAGGGTAAAAGAATATTTGAAGAAATAGCCAAAAACTTGCCAAATTTGATGAAAGACATGAATCTATGAATTCACAAACCTCAAAAAATCCAAATAAGATAAACTTAAATAAACACCATGAGACATATTATAATCAAACATGTAAAGTCAATAACAGAATCTTGAAAGGAACAAAATAGAAGAGACTCATCATGTAAATGGATCTTAAATAAGATAATCAGCTGATTTCTCTGCAGAAGTCTTGAAGCTGAGAAGACAGTGGAATCATATATTTAATGTGCTGAAAGAAAAGCAAATGGTTGACTAAGTATTCTATGTTCAGCAAAACTATCCTTCAAAAAATTAGAGAAGTTAAGACATTCCCAGAAAAACAAATGCTGGACTAGTTCATTACCATTGCATTTGCCCTACATAAAATGCTGATGAGAGTCCTTCAGACTGAAATGAAAGAACTCTAGATAATAAATCAAATTCATATGAAAACATAAAATTTTCTAGTAAAGATAAATATATGAGCAAATATAAAAGCCAATATTGTATTTTTGCTTTGTAACTTCAGTTTAAAATTTTTTTTCTACAGAATTTTAAGGACAATTAAATATAAATGTATATTATTGGGTCATAATGTATAAAGATATAATTTATAAAAATCACAACATAAAAAAGGGATAGAATGGAAATTTTAGGAGCATAGTTTGTATATGCTTTGGAAGTTCAGTGAGTAACAATTTGAACTAGATTGTTATAAATTTAGGATGTTAAATGTCATTTATATGCCAAACAAAATTGTTTGATTTAAAAATTATATGCAACAGAATGAGAAGAAAATCAAAATGCTTTACTACAAAAAAACAAGTAAACACAACAGATGTCAATAATGGAAAAATAAAGACCAAAAAATGTATAAGACAAACTTAGAATCAGTATCAAATGCAGATATAAGTTCTTTCCAATTAGTAACTACTTTAAATGAAAATTAATTAAAATTTTCAATCAAAAGGCAGACAAAGGCAAAATGGGTTTACATTTAAAAATGATCAAACTATATCCTCTCTACAAGAAACTCACTTTAGATCCAAGGACACATTTAAGTTGAAAGTAAAAAGATAGAAAAATACACTCCATTCAAACAGTAATGAAAACAGATCTGTGGTCACTATATTAATGTTAGACAAAGCAGAATTCAAGTGAAAAATTGTTATGAGAGGAAAAGAAGGACAATATACATACATAAAGTGGTGAATTCATGAAGGTATAACAATTATAATCATACAAGCACTAAATAACAGACTCCCAAAGTATATGACACCCTCACATTGCCAGAATTGCAGGTACAAATAGATAGCTGTGCAGTAAGAAATTAATAGTGAAAGAAGACTTGAACAACAGTATAAATCAACTAGCCCTAAAAAACATACTCAGACTACTAAACTTGAAAACAGCAGAACACACATTCTTCTCAAGTGCACAAGAAGAATTCTCCAGGAAGAACCATATGTTAGGCCAAAAAATAAGTACCATTAAGTTTTGAAATGTCGAAGTCACACAAAGTATCTTTATCAACAACAGTGAGATAAGGCTAGAAATCAGTAACAGAAGGAAAGCTGGAAAATTTACAAATATGTGGAGATTAAACAATACACCCTTAAATCATCAAAGTATTAAAAGAGAAATAACCAGAATAATTTACATATACATAGAAAAGAATTAAAATGAAAACATAGCATACAAAAACTTTAGGGATGCAACCAAAGCAGTGCTCAGAGGAAAATCTGTACTTTAAATTACTATATTAAGAAAGAAGAACAATGTCATGTTAATAATCTAACTTTACACCTTGAGGCACTAAAAGTAGGGAGGCTGAGGCAGTGAGACAACTTGAGATCAGGAGATCGAGACCAGCCTGGCCAACATGGTGAAACCCCCGTCTCTACCAAAAATACAAAAATTAGCCAGGCATGGTGGCAGGCACCTGTAATCCCAGGTACTCAGAAGGCTGAGACAGGAGAATCGCTTGAACCTGGGAGGTGGAGGTTGCAGTGAGCCATTGCACTCCAGCCTGGGTGACAAGGTGAGACTACATCTCAACAAAAAAAAAAAAAAAAAAAAAAAAAAAGATCAGAGTCAATTGTTGGTTCCTTAAAAAGATAAAAATTGACAACACATTATAGACCATAGAAAGATAAAATTGATTATATGGGAAAACTAAAAACAATTGTATGCCAACAAATTAGATAATGTAGATAAAATTGACAAATTCATGGAAAAACACAAGTTGCTGAATCTGACTCAAGAAGTATGGAATTTGAATATACCTATAAGAGATAAAGAGATTGAATCAGTACTCAAAAACTTTTCCATAAAGAAAAGCCCAGTTTATGATCGCATCTCTGGTGAATTCTACCAAACACTTAAACAGTTAATAGAAAATCTTCACAAAATTGGCCAAAATTTAGAAGAGAAGGGAAGATTTCTGAATTCATCCTGAGCCCAATATTACACATATACCAAAACAAATCAGACATTACATGAAATGTTCAAATGTATATCTCACCTAAATACAGATGCACAAATCATCAACTTAATGCCAACAAACTAAGTCCAGCAGCATATTAAATGCCAAATGAAATTCTTCTTAGGAAGGCAAAGTTGGCTTAACATCTGATAATCAATTAATGTAATGCATTATATCAGTAGATTAACAAAAAACACAAATGTGCCTCAATGGATGTAGGCAAAACTTTTAATAATATCCAAATTCTTTCATTATAAAATTAGCCAACATAGTAGAAATAAAAATGACTATTGTCATCCTGCTAAATGACACATACAAAGAACCCATGGCTAACATCATAACTAATGATAAAAAAACTGAATGTTTTTCTCTGAATTCAGGAACAGGAAAAGGAGGTCTGCTTTCATTATTTCTATTTTACATTGTACTAGCATCTCTAATAAGATAAATTTGTAGAAATATGAAATAAAAGGCATGTAAAATGGAAAGGAAAAAATAAAACTATATCTTCCCTAATTTATAATGACATGATCTGTTATGCAGAAAATCATAAAAAATCGACTAAAGACCTCTTAGATATAATAAATGAGTTTTTCAAGGTTGCAGGATGTAAGTTCAATACAAAATATTCTATTGTATGTCTATACAGTTGCAATGAACAATCCAGAAATGGAATTAAGGAAAGCAATTCCATTTACAATACAACGAAAATAAATAAAATACTTAGGAATAAATTTAACAAAAGAACTGAAAAACCAATCATCTGGAAACCACAAAATAATGTTTACAGGAATAAAAATACCTAAACAAATGAAAAGACATTTTATACTCATTTATTGGAAGAATTAATATTTTCAAGATGGTGATTCACCCCAAAAGGATATACAGACTTGACACAATCCCTAACAAAATTTCACATTGCTTCTTTGCAGATATTGGCAAGCTGATGCTAAAATTTATGTGGAATTTTAAGGGTCCCAAAATAGCAAAAATAAGCTTGATAAAGAACAAAGTTTGAGTACCCACCTGATATACTGATTTCAAAACTAATTCAAAGTTACAGTAACAAAGACAAGATGCAATTTAAATCAGAGGAATAGAATTGAGTGTCCAAATATAAGCCTTCACATTTCAGTCAATTTATATCTAAATGCTCTGAAAACAATTTAGTGGGGGGAAAAGAGTTTTTAAAAAATGGTGCTAGAGAAACTAGGTATCTATATGCAAAGGAATGAAGTTGAGCTCTTACCTCGTACCATATATATGCTTTTAGTAAAAATGGAACATGGACATGTATATAAGGGTTAAAACTATTAAACTCTTTTAAATTATCAAGGTTGTACATTTGGGGTCTTTTGATTAAGGAATGGGTTTATAGACAACGTGCTAAAAGCCAATAAAAGAGAAATTCTAAAGACAGATACATTTGATTTCATAAAAATTAATAACTTGTGTCCATCAAAGGGAATTAGCACAAAAGTAAAATGGCACACCACAGAATGAAAGAAAACATTTGCAAATTATATATGTATATATGTGTGTGTATATGTATATTTGTTTGTGTTTGTATATATAATGTTATATATGGACTTGTGTCAGGAATATATAAAAATGGTTAGAACTCAATAATTAAAATATAAACTACCAAATACTTAAATGTGCAGAAATCCAAATAGACATATCTCCAAAGAAGATATAAAAATGTTCAAAAACAAAAGAAAAAAATCTCAAAATCATTACATAACAAAGAAATACAAACGAAAATCACAATGTGATACCTCTTTACACTCATTAGGATGGCTATAATCAAAAAGAAATATAATACCCAGTGATGAGATGGATGGGAAGAAAGTAGAACCCACTTGCACTGCTGGTAGCAATGTAAAATGTTGCAGCCAGTTTAGACAACGGTTGGGCAGTTCTTTAAAAATTTAAACATATCGTTTCAGTATCACCTTAAATTTCACCCTTGGGTATATACCCAATAGGTATGAAATCATATGTTCCCACAAAAACTTGTACACAAATATTAATACCAGCATTATTTATGGTGGCCAAAAAGTGTCCATCAACTGATGAATGCATAAATAAAATGTAGTAAAACAATAATATTCAGTAATCAGTATAGATGAATTTATTACTGATACAACTTGGTTGAACCTTAAAAACCTTATGTTAAATAAAGGAAGGAAATAACAAATACACGTGGTGTATGATTCTACCTGTATAAAATATCTAGAAAAGCCAAATATGTAGACAGAGAAATGATATTAGTTGTTGCCTAGGGCTTCATTGGTGGTAAGTGTGCGAGTGTTGAAGGAGAAATAGAGTGTGACTCTGAGTGGTTGTAAGGTTTCTTTTATGGGGAACCAAAATATTATAAAATCAGGCTACAGTATTGATTGTGCAATCCTGTGGTTGTACTTAATACAAAACAGTATGGTACACTTTAAATAGATTAATTTACAGTATGACATATCTCAATGAAGCTGTCATCAAAAAAAATTATTGCAAAATATTTTCAAAATGTTGAGGGAATTTTATGATATGTGGGCATCCTGCCCTTTAGAAAGAATGTTCTCTGTAGGTAGTAACCACCTGTTACAAACACTGGATGCAATAATATTTTCAAGCATAGGGAATATTTATTTTAAGACCCATAAACAATTTTTTAGAAGCATTATCTGTAAAACATGTTTATAACATCTGTATAGCTTGAAATTAATAATAAAATAATCATGAACATTTTTAAAGTAGAAAATTTTACCAAACTATATTCCACAAGATATACAAATGATAATATATACTTGAATTTATTCCAGAAATGCAAGTTTGTTTTAACATTTGAAATTCAAACATTATGATTTACCACACTAACAGGCTAAAAAAGAAAAAGCACATGATCACTTCAATATGCCACAAATTTACATGACAAAATTTACTACATATTCATGGAAAAATTTTCACCAAAGAAAGAATAGAAAAAATATTACAAATATTGATGGGCATCTACCAAAATCCTATGGAAAACATGATAATTAATGTGAAAGACTGAGTGTTTTTTCACTAAGGTTAGGACCAAGCCAGGAAGACTTTTCTCATCACTTCTATTAAATATTTTACTTGACTTTCTAGACGGTTCAATCAAACAAGAAAATAAAGAAAAAAATAAGAGAAAGACATGAGAGAAGAAAAGACAAGAAAGATAGGCACATATGTAAGAAAGAAAGAAGTATCACTGTTCCATTTGCAGATATTATTATTATTACCAAGAAAATTCCCATGAACCTCTGAAATGAATACTATAACTTATAGAATGTAACAATGTTGCATATTACAAATTCAATATATATAAATTAATTATATTCTTAGGTACTACCAGCAAACAACTGGAAAACAAAATGACAAAATATTTCTACTTGCAGTAGCACTCATCTGTGGGAAGACTTGCTTGATGAAGAATGGCCACAAACTTTCAATTTATAAAAAGTGCAATATCTGCAAAGTGCAATAAAATTAGATATGCTGGCACGTGTATCTCAAGTCATTACTTGTGAATCTCAAACGCACACAAATTTATTTTGTAGAAGGAGAATAGTATGAGAAATTTACACCAATAAATTATGTATCCTAGATAACATAGACAAATTCCTAGAAATGCAAATTACCACAATTGATTCAGGAACAAAGAACCAAACACTGCATATTCTCACTCATAGGTGGGAATTGAACAATGAGAACACATGGACACAGGAAGGGGAACATCACAAACTGGGGACTGTTGTGGGGTGGGGGGAGGGGGGAGGGATAGCATTAGGAGATATACCTAATGCTAAATGACGAGTTAATGGATGCAGCACACCAGCATGGCACATGTATACATATGTAACTAACCTGCACATTGTGCACATGTACCCTAAAACTTAAAGTATAATAATAATAAAAAAATCGAACACATCTATAAACAGTTAAAAAAATTGGAAAAACAATTAAAAACCCTCCAATGGAAAATAATGCAGAAACTGATGGGAATATGCTATTAAAGATCCTAAAAAAGACTTATAATAGGTTGAGTCTAGCAACCTATGAAAGAATTACACATTATAACCAAGTAGAAATTATCTAGGGGTAAAGATAGTTCAACATACAAAATTCAATGAATATAATGCACCACATTAATAGTAGAAAAGAAAAAAAGATAATTTCAATTGATGCAGAAAATGTATATGACAAAGTCCAAAAATCTTTTATGAAAAAACACCCAACAGTTAAAAATAGAAGGAAATTTCTTGAAACTGATTTTGAGCATTCACAAAACATCAAGAGCTAATTATGCTTAATTGTAAAAATAGACAATGTGTACAATCAAGAACAGAATGGAGATGACAGCCTTTACCACTGCTACTCACCATTGTGATGGAAGTTCTAGCCAGAACAATTAAGGAAGAAAAAAAAAATAAAATACATTAAAATTGAAAAAAAAAAAGCAGCTAAACTATTTGCAGATAACATGACCTTATATGTAGAAAATATGAAGGAATTCATAGACTATTAAAGCTAAAAACAAATTCTGCAAAGGTGCAGGATACAAGATCATCATATAAAAGTCAGGAGGTATTTCTATAAACTAGCAATTACCAGTCTGAAAAGGAAATTAAGAACACTATTTCACTTAAATATCATCAATAAAATGCTTACGAGTAAACTTAACCAAAGAGGCAAAGACTTTTACAATGAAAACTACAAAACATTGCTAGAGAAGTTAAAGAAAACATAAGTAGATTAAAAGATATCCCATGTTCATAGATTGGAAGCAATATTATTAAGATGTCAATACTACTTACAGTATACAGATATCTGCAAATTCAACATAATTTCTATCAAAATCTCAATGATGTTTTATTCCAGAAATAGAAAAATTCATCCTAAAATTAATATCAAAACTTAAGGAACCCAGATAGCCAAAACAATATTGAAAAATAAAACCCAATTTGGAGGACTTACACTTCTTGAACTTCAAAACTTACTATAAAACTTCAGTAATCAAAACATATAGACATACACATATAAAGACAGACATATAGACAAATGAAATATAATGAAAAGCCCAGATATAAACCCTTGAATATATTGTGATTTTCAACATGGATGCCAAGACAATTTAATGGGCAAAGCACAGCCTTTTTAACTGTCATTTTGGTATTGGAACAACTGGATATACACATGCAAAAGAATAAATTTGAATGCCTAAACTACACCTGCTAGGGCTTGAATATTTGTCTCCTATGAAACTCACAGTTGAATCTTATTCCCAAATGTAATAGTGTTGGGGAGTGGTGTCATTGAAAAGTGATTGGGTCATGAGGCTTCTGCCTTCATGAATGGATTAATCCATTCACGGATTAATCAATTAATGGGTTATTGCAGAAGTGGGTTAGTTATCACAAGAATGAGTCTAATATAAAATCCAGTTTGCTTCTCAGTGCACCTCTCTTGTCCTATAATGGCTTCCACCATGTTATCACACAGCATGAGGTCTTCACCAGCGGTCCAGTAGATGCAGCCATTCAATCTTGGACTCCTCAGCCTCCAGAACTGTGAGTCAAAATAAACCTTTTTAAACATAAATTCCCTTGTCTTAGGTATACTGTTATAGCTACAGAAAATTGATTAGAACAGAAAATTGGTACCAGGATGTGGGGCTGTTGCTAATAAAAAATATGGCATAAAGAAAATGTGGTACATATACACCATTGAATACTATATAGCCATAAAAAGGAATAAGATCATGTACACTTCAGGGACATAGATGAAGCTGAAAGCCATTACCACCAGGAAACTAATGCATGAACAGAAAACCAAACACCACATGATCTTGCTTATAAGTGGGAGCTGAACAATGAAACACCTGAACATAGGGAGGGGAAAAACACACACTGGGACATGTCAGGGGGTGGGTTGAGGGGAAGGAGAGCATTAGGAAAAATAGCTAATGCATTCTGGGCTCAAAAGCTAGGTGATGGGTTGACAGGTGCAGCAAATCACCATGGAACACGTTTACCTATGTAACAAACCTGCACATTCTGCACCAGAACTGAAAATAAAAATAAATACCTGAAGATGTGAAAAGAGCTTTCAAACTAGGTAATGGGTAGAAACTGAAAGAGTTTGAAGGAACAGGTTAGAAAAAGCTTGGGTTGCCATAAATAGAACATTGAGGATAATTTTGGTACAAGTTCAGGATATGAGAGACTGGAGAAAGTCTGAATCTTCATAGAAATTACTTACACTGTTGGTGGGACTGTAAACTAGTTCAACCATTGTGGAAGACAGTGTGGTGATTCCTCAAGGATCTAGAACTAGAAATACCATTTGACCCAGCCATCCCATTACTGGGTATATACGCAAAAGATTATAAATCATGCTGCTATAAAGACACATGCACATGTATGTTTATTGTGGCACTATTCACAATAGCAAAGACTTGGAACCAACCCAAATGTCCATCAATGATAGACTGGATTAAGAAAATGTGGCACGTATACACCATGGAATACTACGCAGCCATGAAAAAGGATGAGTTCATGTCCTTTGTAGGGACATGGATGAAGCTGGAAACCATCATTCTCAGCAAACTATTGCAAGGACAGAAAACCCAACACTGCATGTTCTCACTCATAGGTGGGAATTGAACAATGAGAACACTTGGACACAGGGTGGGGAACATCACACACCAGGGCCTGTTGTGGGGTGGGGGGAGCAGGGAGGGATAGCATTAGGAGATATACCTAATGTAAATGATAGGTTAATGGGTGCAGCACACCAACATGGCACGTGTATACATATGTAACAAACCTTCATGTTGTGCACATGTACCATAGAACTTAAAGTATAATAAAAAAAAATACTTGTAAGGCAAGTACTCCAGGAGATAAATAAAAACTGAAAAATAAAAAAAGAAATTACTTAAATGGTCATAACCAGAATGCTGATAGAAATGTGGACAGTAGAGTCCATTCTGAGGAGGTCTCAGATGGAAGTGAGGCACAAGTACTGGAAACTGGAGTAAAGGCTATCCTTGCTATGTAGTGACAAACAACTTAACAACTTGAATGAATTTTGTCTGTGTTTATGGACTTTGTGGAAGGCTGATATTAAGGATGAACTAGGATATCTGACAGAAGAAACGTCTAAGCAGTAAAGTATTCAGCCTGCTGCATACTGACTGTTGGCCACTTACAATGAGATGTTGGAGCAAAAGAATAGTTCACGGACAGAATTAGTGATTGAAATGGATGCAGAACAGAAAGATGTGAAAAATTCATAGCCTGGCCATGTAAAGAGCAAAACAGTATGTATATGAGAACAAAACAAGGGTGTGGCTGAGAGACTGGTTACTAAAGAGATTAGCATGAATAGAAGGGAGCTAGGTGCTAATCATCAAGACAACAAGAAAATGGCCCTGAAGGCATTCTAGAGATCTTTGAGGCTGCCCATTTTATCCTAGGCCCAGAGTTCTATGAGGGAAGAATGCTTTTCTGAGATGGTCCCAGGGCACTCTCCAATCTCCATCCCTGTTGCCCAGGGATGACTCAGGACTCTACTTCATGCATCCTGGCATAGCACTTTTCAGCAAATCCTGCTGTGGTTCAAGTGGCCTCAGGTGTAGGTCAACTTGCTGCCCTGAAAGATATAAGCCATAAGCCTTTGTGGCACTATGGTATGGCACAAGTGGACCCAAATGTATCTTGAGAGGGTGCAAGCAGTAACCTTAGGCTATGTCCACATGGTGCTAACATTTCAGATGTGCAGAATGCAAGAGCTGTGGGGCCATGATAGCCTGTACCTAGATTTCAGAAGATGTACTTAAAAGCCAGGGGGCCCAGGGAGAGACTTGTCCCAAAGCAGAGTCACCACTCAGGCCTCCCACAAGGGCAAGGCTGAACAAAAAAGTGGGGTCAGAGCCAGAGCCACCGTCAATATCCCAGAACTGTGGAGCCACTGGAAGCATGCAAAGCCATTCTGGGAGATCTAAAGTATGGGATGAGCTCAGAAAAGCCATAGAGGTAAGGTTGCTCAATGTCTTGAGTTTCAACTTTCTCATATGTGTGGGCTGTGAACATGCACACAGAACCCAGTGATCCTGTCCCCCTCTGTCCCCCTCCCCCTCAATGCCCTCCTCCCTATGCTGTCACCACTGTTGTTGCCAGTGCCTGCAGGGAGGCTGGCAGCCCCAGACACACTAGTGCCCCACCCCAACTGATGAGGGTGCACCTCAGCATGCTGTTAATGGTGCTTGCACATGCAAATGAGAACAGATTTTGCTTCCACCACCCAAAGAAACACTTTGGCTGGCACCACCATTCAGAGTGTTGTGACCAGCAGCCCAGGAACATCTTGACCCATCGAGTGCATCAGGTTTTTATACCTGAGGCGACAGATACCAAAGCTGGGGACCTGATATTTTCCCCTCAGAGTTAGAGCATACAGGTCAGGAGTGCTGACCTGAATCTTGGGCCCCTCCAAATCTACCACAAATGAAGGCAGTCAGCTGAATCTAACTTATACCACAATCAAACCTGCAACGACATCAAAGAAGATAAAACTGAAAGAAAATCCATCCAAAGGACAGCAACTTCAAGGACTAAAGGAACATCATCTGACAAAGATGAAAAAGAGCCAGTGCAAGGTCTCTGGCTACTTAAAAGTCCAGAATGTCTTATAACCTCCAGACAATAACACTAGTTCCCCAGCAATGGTTCTTAACCAGGCTGAGATGCCTGAAATGACAGAAATGGAATTCAGAATATGAATAGGAATAAAGATCATTGATATTCACAAGAAATTCAAAACCCAATCAAATAATTCTAAGAAATACAATAAAACAGTACAGGAAATAAAAGATGAATTTGTCATTTTAAGAAAGAACCAAACTGAGCTAATAGAGCTGAAAATCCCACTTTAAGAATTTCAGAACACAACTGCAACTATTAACAGCAGAACTGACCAAGGTGAGGAAAGAATCTCAGAGCTTGAAGACCTGCTTTTCAAAGTAACTCAGACAAAAATATAGAAAAACAATAAAAAGAATGAACAAAATCTCTGAGAAACATGGGCTTATGTAAACAGACTAAACTATGACTCATTGGCATCCTTCAAAGAAAAGGAGAAAAAGTAAGCAACTTGAAAAACATATTTCAGAACACTATCCATTAACATTTCCCCAACCTCACGAGAGATGCCAACATTCAAATTCAGAAACCCCTATGAAATACTACACAAGAAGATCATCCCCAAGACACATAATCATCAAATTGTTCAAGGTTGAAATGAAAGAAAAAATGTTAAAGACAACTAGAGAGAAGGGGGCAGGTGACATACAAAGGGAATCCCATCAGGTTAACAGCATACATTTCAGAAAAAAAAAAAAAAAACCTACAAGACAGGAGAGAATGAGGACCTATATTCAACATTCCTAAATTCCTAAAGAAAAGAATTTTTAACCAAGAACTTCATATTCAACCAAACTAAGCTTCATGAGTAAAGGAGAAATAGGATCATTTTCAGACAACCACATGCTGAGGGAAGTTGTTACCACAAAACCTGTCTTATAAGAGGTCCTTAAGGGAGTGCTAAACATAAAAAGAAAAAATCATTACCAGCCACCACACAAACACACTTAAGTACACAGACCACTGAGACTATAAAGCAAACACACAGACAAGTCTAGATAATAAACAGCTAACAACACAAGGACAGTGAGAAATCATATCTATACTAAATTTGTTTTTTGATTTTCATCAACTTTTATTTTAAGTTCCAGGATACATGTGCAGGATGTGTACATTTATTATGTGGTTTGCTGCACAGATCAACCCATCACCTAGGTATTAAGCCTAGCATCCATCATCTTTTCTTCTTGATGCTCTCCATCCTCCTGCCCCCACCAAGAGTCCCCAGTGTGTGTTATTCCCCCCATGTGTCCATGTGTTCCATCATTCAGCTCCCACTTACAAGTGAGAACATGTTTTGTTTGGTTTTCTGTTCCTGAGTTAGTTTGCTGAAAATAATGACTTCCAGCTCCATACATATTCCTGCAAAGGACATGATCTCATTCCTTTTTGTGGCTGCATAGTATTTCATGGTAAATATGTGGCACATTTTCTTTATCCAGTCTATCATTGATGGGCATTTGGGTTGATTCCATGTCTTCGCTACTGTGAGTAGCACTGCAGTGAACATACATGTGCATGTATCTTTATAATAGAATAATTTATATTCCTTTGGGTATATACCCAGTAATGGGATTGCTGGGTCAAATGGTATTTCTGTACTAACTTTGAATGTAAATGGGCCAAATGCTCCAATAAAAAGGCTTAGGGTGGCAAGATGACATAGATTACTTTTTCCACTGAATTAGTAAGAGTTATTTAAAATAAAATATACTCATACAATTTATATTTGCATGTTCTAACTTATAAGTGGAAGTTAAACATCAGGAACATATGGACACAAAAAAGGGAACAACAGACACTGAAACCAACTTGAGGGTGGAGGGTGGAGGAGAGTGATGATCAAAAATTATCTATAGGCATATTACCTGTGTGGTGAAACAATCTGAACACCAAACACCTGTGACACACAATTTACCAATATAATAAACCTGCACATGTACCCTTGAACCTAAAATAAAAGTTAAAAAAAGATGGGACTACTGTTTTTTAAAAAAATGTTCATAGGAACAGTAGTCACAATTGCTAAAAGGCAGAAAAAACCCAAATGTCCATCAATAAGTAAATGGATAAATAAAATGTTGTGTATACATACAATGGAATATTAGTCATAAAATGAAATGAAGTAGATACTACAATATAGACAAACTGCTAAAACATTTTTACATGAAAGAAGACAAACACAAAAGTTATATATTGTATAATTCCATATATGTAAATAATTTGCAGAATAGGTAAATTTCTAAAGTTGGAAAGCAAACTGATGACTCTCAGGAGATGGGAATAAAGGGAAATAGGATGTTCCCACTTAATGGGAATTGTGTTTCCTTTGGGAAGATGAAAATATTTTGGAACTAGATAGAGGTGGTTGTTGTACAAAAATGTGAACATACTAAATATCACTGAATTGTACACTTTAAAATGGTGAATTTTGTTAAGTGAATTTCTCCTAAGCAAAAAATAATAATTTACTCACCAAAAAATCATTAAAGAAGGAGTTGAGATTCTAATAAACATTTTAGCTACTTCTACTTCTTATGTATCTTCTGAGATGATAAACTTATGGGGTCATGTTTATTTTAAAGTTATTTGATTAAGGTGTCCAGGCTATTCCACAAATTATGTGATCCCAATGAGCTACCCCCTCTTAATTAAGGTAATGGAGTGGAAATCCTTTTTGTTGCACTAAGAGGCCCAAGTCTGTAAATAACATTGATCAGGGGACCTGCAAATCTGCATTATATAGAGAAAAGAGGTTGAGCTTTTTGAAGGTAGAAGGACAGAGAGAAAAAGTGAGGAAATTAGCACGTATTTATTTAAATACTTTAGGTACAACACCTCATTTAAATCCCCTAACAACCTTCTGAGATAAGGTGCATTTTACCTGTTCTAAAGATACAGAAATTGAGGTGCTAAAAGGTTGAGCAATTTCCACAATTAGAATGTGTCAGGAAAGGATTCAAACCCAAGTGTGTCACATTTTGTAGCCTGTTTTATTTCTACTATGCAACTCCTCTTCTTGAGTTTTGACTTCTGTTTATGCCTATGGTCCAAGAGGAAATGAATAAAAACATTTTTGTGTGAATATCAGGGGAATCTGCCCCCAATGATCCAACGTGAGTTCTTTTCTATTTTCTCTAAGTGTCAGCCGGTCTGAGAAATAAAGGGAAAGAGTACAAAAGAGAGAAATTTTAAAGCTGGGTGTCTGGGGGAGACATCACATGTTGGCAAGTTCCGTGATGCCCCCTGAGCCATAAAACCAGCAAGTTTTTATTAGCAATTTTCAGAGGGGAGGGAATGTACGAATAGGGTGTGGGTCACAGAGATCACATGCTTTAAGGGCAACAAAAAATCACAAGGCAGATGAGCAGGGCAAGATCACAAGTTCAGGGCAAAACTAGAGTCACTAATGAACTTCCATGTCCTGCTGTGCACGCATTGTCATTGATAAACATCTTAACAGGGTGCAAGAGCAGAGAACCGGTCTGACTAAAATTCGCCATGCTGGAATTTCCTAATCCTAGCAAGCCTGGGGGCACTGCAGGAGACTAGGGCGTGTTTCATCCCTACCTACATCTGCATAAAGGCAGACACTCCCAGGGCGGCCATTTCAGAGGCCTCCCTCTTGTTATTCACTACACTGTATTTGGTTTTTTGGTCCCTCCAATGAACTATAAGAAAATGTAATGTATTATATCAGGTTCATCACTATCTCCCCAGGACATAGCACAAAAAGCATTTGATTTTTTTTTTTTTTGCTTGAGTTAATAACTGAATGGATTTTATTCAAAATTGTATACATATATTTTAATGACTATGTAACATTTCATCTTGTTGTGATGTATGATATGAGGTGAGAGTAATTTTCCATTTTTCTTCAAATGGCTAACCAATTCTCCCACTCTGAGTTATGCAGCATCCCTTTCCACCTCCATTAATAATAAAGGGGAAATCCTGGTTCTTCGACTTAGAGGCCTGGGTTTTATAATCATGCAAATTATAAGGCTTCCAAGGCACCATAGTGTAGGAAAAACAGGATGACTAGGTTACAGCCCAGCCATTCTCACAGGTGAGGGAGTTGAGCCAGAAATCAGTAGCTTTTAAAGCTCTCCTGGTGATTCCAGTGTGTGGCCCAGTTTTTAAATGTCCTATTATACTGTATTGCATAGCATTTACAATATCTGGCAATATATTATAGAATTAATCTTCATTGAATATCTTTCCTAGCAAATGTAAAACTCATGGGGACAGAGATTTTGTCTCTTTGGTTAACTTATATATCTTCAAATATCTAGGACAGTAACTGGCACACAGTAAATTCTCAATAAATACTTATTGACTGAAAATAAACTCAAATCTCATTAGAAAATGTATTAGTGTGAAAATGAACAAAAATATGAGTAAATATTTTTCCACAAGATATACACAAGTAGCCAATAAACATATGAAAAGATTATCAATATCATTACTCATTAGGGAAATGCAAATCAAAACCACAGTAAGATGTCACCTATACACTTGAATGGCTATAATTTAAAAGATAGATAATAACAAGTGTTGTTGTGGATATGGAGAAATTAGAATCATCATACACTGCTGATAGAAATAAATGTAAAACAGTGCAGCTGCTTTGCAAGACAGTATGACAGTTCTTCCAAAGATAAACACAGACTTATTTAATTCAGGAATTGCACTCCTTGGTATTTAACACAGAGAAATGAAAACACATATCCATACAAACAGTTGTACATAAAAGTGCTTAGTAGCATTATTCATAATAGCCAAAAAGTGAAAATAGCACAAATGTCCATTACCGGACAAACAAATAAACAAAATGTGTTATATCATAAAATAGGATATTATTTGGCAAAAAGAAATACAATATTTGTAAATGCTACATGCTACAACCTGTATGAATCTTAAAATCAAAAGTCAGACAGAAAAGGCTACATATTGTGTAATTCTACTTATGTTAAATGTCCAGAAGAGTCACATTCATGGAGACAGACAGTAAATTTGTGGTTGCCTGTGCTTCATAATGGGGTGAAAATTGGGGGGTGAATGCTAAGGGGGTTCAAAGTATATTCTTGTTTTTACGGTGATTTCAAGAAGTTTAATGAAATTCCAAGACAAAATGTGATGAATTTCTACACATATACAATATGCACATGTGGGTTTACAAATTTTAATTAATAAGTCGTTTCACCTCAGAGACCAGAAAAACATGATCAAAAAGAAACTGTGAGTAACAACCCATAATGTAGTTCACCACAATGGGACCCACCCTTTTCTTAGCCTATTGTTAGTAATATTACAATAAAAATAACTGCATTCTTCTATGTTTTTCTGTTAAAATAATCTCATAAATGTACAATGCTATTATTAGTTTCAAAGACTAATATAAATTCACTCTATTTTTCAACAAATAAAATGATTAATTTAAAAGCACACAATGTCATGATGAAAAACACAAGCATTTTAGTAGCAAGGACTTGATCAGATAAGAATTTGTTTTCTTGTTAAACATTCTAAAGCCAAGTAAAATATTCATTCTTATAATATATCTATAATATTAGACTAAGGAATAGGCTACATATAGGTCTAAAACACTTTGGTTTGTAGTTTTTAAAAAGAAGGCTTTTATAAATAAAAAAGAGGCACAATTCACATAGGAAAAAGAGGAACATGAGAAAATGCAATTATTTTCACACAGATCCACATGCATGAACACTTTTTATTATAGGAACTGTATTGTGAAGAAACACAACAGGCTGGAACTTTCACAGAATTATTGAGATTGAGCTAAGATAATCTGATAGGGAAAGATCTAAGCAAGGTGACCTTGGAGAAGGAGCCATGTTTCCTGGACTGATAACTGAGTGTCACCAGATCTCCTCTTCACTGTCCTCATTCTGGGGAGTGAGTCTCCAATCCAGAGTGTCCTGAATTCATGGGCACTCATGAATTCATATAGAAAGGTAAACATTTCTACAGATCCATTCTCTTTCCATCATGACGAATACAATTTTTGGAAAGATGATAGAATATCAGAGGCTGCAGCTCAATACATGTGGTCAAAGCAAAACAGGATAGAAAATTCCAGTCATTCTGATTTGTTGCCTAACTTACCCATCTTTGCCCTTGATGCTGGGACCCGGGAGAGCAGTGGCACCTTCAGGGTTGGCTGGCTCCACTGTGATGAGGTGGATAACAAGGACCCAATGCCACATCTCAGCCCTAACTGTGTGGAGCAGCCTGGGACACAGCCCATGCCTATCTGAGACACCAGTGCTGACTCCAGCCTCTGAAGAGCACTTCTTCAACCTCATCCATAGAGTTATACTTCTATCAAGTTTTGTTTTATACACAAAAACATATATATCAACATCTATATGTATACAGTAATTCTACTAAACTAGAAATTCTGCTACCCTAAAGTATGACTTTCTTGTATAATTCATTTGGTTATAAAAAACACACAAAGAGGATGAAGAGATGATTTAGGAGCCAGAGATGATTGTTCCCTGGAAAGTCCATGGAAGAAAGCTTTAAATGAGCAGTAACAAAAAAGAAGGGGGAAAGTGAAAGGGAGAAGGGAACCAGTTGACTTGAAGGCAACGTAAACAGGAATATCTATTTGGATCAGGGTGTGGGGTGTGCTTTCTGTTCCATTGAGAAGTCACAGAAAACTACCAAGGATGGACGCGGTCAAGCCAATTTCTACTTACCAAGTTCTTCCTTATAAATTGAGAGAAACTTTTTAAACAATAACAGTCAATCCACTGACCCTCAACCCAGCGAACGACTCTCTTACAGGAAGGCAAGACCACCACTCTCAAGGCTAAGTGAGCCCTTCTTGCTGGCTCTCAAGCTTCCTAGGAGTCCTGGGCGCCTGAGTATGGGGCTGTGGTGACAGCAGGGCAGAGGCAGAGGTAGCCACAGCAACAGTGACCCAATGTAATGAGGGAGTGGTAGTTCCAGGAGAGATTCGTTTGGAGATTGGTTGAAATAAGACTAGAGAGAGCAAAGGCAGAATCCTTTTTCTGATACAACATACATTTTGAATTTTTAAAAAGTCAATTTTCATATTTCTTAAAAATATGGGTAGCATCCAACGACAGTGACACAAAATTCATTTGGTTAATTCATGTGAAGGAAAAAAGTACAAATAGGAAAGTGGGAGTATGATTAGGTGGGGTGAGATAGAAAATATTTTATAACATATTTACAAAAAAAAATTGTCATAACACACTGTCAATGCAGTTCACAGGGATAAAGCAAATTAGTGATTTACTTTTTTAAAAAAGCTTCCTAGTTCCAGGAGTTTTGCATTTTTCAAGGTCTTATCTGCTAAAGGAATGCCCTTTAGGTCACAGCAGGTTCTCTGCAGTTTGGTTGTGGCATAAGAGAAAACACAAAATGAACCAAAACCCTTAGGTAAACTGGCATTACCTTAAGGGTAAGTCTGTTCCTGTGTAACAGCAGGGCCCTTTCCCATCTCTGAAGCAACTCTTTTGTTACAAACATGTCTGTTTACAGCTAACCTCAATGGACCATGCTAAGCTACCCTTCAGTCTCTGCCTCATTTTCCTGCTCACCAACACTGGCCATCTAGGAAAGGAAGCTAAGGTTCCCCTCCCACCCAACCAGGCTTTGAGTCTAAGTTTGACAATGAGTAAAACATAAGCATAGCCTATTACGTTGATTTTGTTTAAAGGAGAAAATGAACAAATGACAGCAGATATATGAAAAATCCTGACAGTGACCATGGGAACAGAGTTAGCACAAGGGCAGGGCACTGGCAGGGAGAAGGCTTGCTAGCCCTGTGTTCACCACGGCTGCATCTGCAATGATTGTTGGTAGGGGAATGGAGGTGGGGGATGTTGACTGCATTCCCATGTGCTGGAGGGACAAGTAAAGCAAATACCCACCCATGCAGTAAGGCACACCAGCAAAGTGGTGTGGGGAGTTGCCATGGGCTCAGGGGAAACTGCAGTACGGGGAGAGCATGTGTGGGCTGGTGTACAGCCATAGGGGCCGCCTCGCTGGAGCTTTCTACTGCTTACTAATGGTCTGCTGGCACAGAAGGCATGGTGTGGGCCCCCAGGGTACCTGAGACTGTCCTGTGAGAAGGTATTGCCAGGCTGGAATCCCGGGAAAGGCCAGAAAACCAAGGGATGCTCAGGTCGGACCAGCCCTGTCTGATGTGCATGACCACCTTGCAAAGATCAAGTCTGACAGTTCCCCTAGGGCTAAAGTCTTCTTTTTTTTTTTTTTTTTTTTTTTTTTTTGATGGAGCCTCACTCTGTTGCCCAGGCTGGAGTGCACTGGCAGGATCTTGGCTCACTGCAAGCTCCGTCTCCTGGGTTCACGCCCTTCTCCTGCTTCAGCCTCCCGAGTAGCTGGGACTACAGATGCCTGCCATCACGCCTGGCTAATTTTTGTGTATTTTTAGTAGAGACGGGGTTTCACCGTGTTAGCCAGGATGGTCTTGATTTCCTGACCTCGTGATCCGCTTGCCTCGGCCTCCCAAAGTGCTGGGATTACAGATGTGAGCCACTGCGCCCGGCCGAGCTAAAGTCTTTTATGGGAGCAAGTAGAGCCTAGAGGGATTGCCATCCATGGCCATGCTCCACTATAGACACTCCCACACCAAATCCGCTGGGCTCCATCCACATCAGCTGGCTTGCTGCCCCTCCGCTTCTCTAAAGTAGCAGCTCTCCCTGCCATCTTAAGTGTTCATGGTAATTGAGGGGTTCCCTCCTTCTGTGGATCCAGAAGCCCGAGGCAAGAGCAGGTTGCTCCTTGCTAGTTAAACTCACCTGTTTCCCCAGAGCTGTTGTGGTTCAACATTGAGTCTCAGTATGTGGTAGCCTATGCAGGGTTCCCAGTTTTCTTCCCCTTCAGCCCGGCTTCTGTGCCTTCCCTCCATCCTCTCTTGGCATGTTCCCTCTGAAGATCTGTTAAAAGCACGCCAGTCATGTTTTTAACAGACTACATCACCTCTCAGTCCCTCTGTGGGAGCTGTTCTACTTGTTTGTGTCTAATTGGCCACGTCACTCTCCCCTCTGATTCCATTCTTTTTTATGACTGAATAGTATTCCATTTGGCATATATACTATATTTTCTTTATCTAATTATCCATAGAGGAAACATAGGTTGATTTCATGTCTTTGCTATTGTGAATAGTGCCAATATAAGCATACACCTGCAGGTAACTTTTTCACATAATGATTTATTTTCCTTTGGGTAGATACACAGTAGTGGAGTTGCTGAATCAAATTGTAATTGTATTTTTAGTTCTTTGAAAAATCACCAAACTGGTTTCCATAGAGTTTATACTGATTTGCATTGTCCCAACAGTATATAAGCATTTCCTTTTATCCACATATTTGCCAACATTTGCTATTTTTGACTTTTTAATAAAAGCCATACTGACTATGATAAGACGATATTTTATTGTGATTTTAATTTGCATGTCTCTGATGGTCAGTGACATTGAGCATTTTTTCATATACCTGTTGGCCATTTCTATGTCTTCTTTTGGAAAATGTCTATTATTTGCCCACTTTTTAATGAAAATTTTTGGAAGTTTTGATTGAGTTGTTTGAATTCCTTGTATATTCTATCAGAAAAACATCCCATGCTCATAGATAGGAAAAATTAATATTGTTAAAATGACAATAGTGCCCAAAGCAATCTACAGATTCAATGTAATACCTATCAAAATACCAACATCATTTTTCACAGAATTAAAAAAACCAATTTTAAAATTCATACGGAACCAAAAAAGGACCCAAATATTCAAAGAAATTCTAAGCAAAAAGAACACAGTTAGTGGCATCACATTACCTGACTTCAAATAATGCTACAAGGCTATAGTACCCAAAACAGCATGGTAGTGGAATTAAAATGGACACATAGATCAATGGAACAGAATAGAAAATCCAGAAATAAAGCCACTCATATTTACAGACAACCTATCTTTGACAAAGTCGACAAGAATATACACTGGGAAAAGGACACCCCTTTCAATAAATAGGTTTTGGAAAATGGGAAAATTGGGTTGCCACATGCAGAAGTATAAAAGTGGACCCCTGTCTCCCAAAATATATAAAAATCAACTCAAGAAGAATTAAAGACTTAAATGGAGTACTAGAATAAAACCTAAGGAAAACTCATTTGTACCATGGTCTAGGCAACAAACTTATGACTAAGACCTCAAAAGCAAGCCGACAAAAACAAAAATAGTCAAATGAGCCTTAATTAAACTAGAAATTTTCAGCTCAGCAAAATGAATAATTAACAGAGTGAACAGAGTATCTGCAGAATGGGAGAAAATACTTGAAATACATGCATCATGGAGTTTTTGTACTTCATCTCTGTAGATATTCATTGCAGACACATTCATTCGTAATTACCCAAAAACTTTATTATTGAGAGCCTCCTGTTTTATTTAAACAATGTATTCTTTTAGAATATCTTGCCATAGTCATGTGACTCTCTTCCCTTCCAAGCTTTGGAAATATCTGCTTCCTCAAGTCTAGGACAGACTTCTGGTTATAACCTACTCCTTTGTTGTTTTAAAATCCAAAATAATATGATTATTTCTCCTAAGACTCCTCATACTTGCATTTCATTCAGACATTTTTCATTTTGGTCAGCATTACATTGAAAATCATTCCTATTATTATCACTACCTCTACCTTCTGATAAATGAGTTGAAACTTCTCAGCTGGACCATAGCTGAATTCATTTTCTATTCTCCAAATTTTCTTATATGTCTCACATGTTGCCCTTTGCATCACCTGCATTTATCACTTTTATTTTTGTCCCATATTCTACAATATTTAAGCAAGCTTTCAAGATGCTCTTAAATAGATGTAGTGAAAGAAGTATTCCTGCTGTTACATAACAGAATTTATTTATACTTATTGAGATTTTTCCTTACTCTTTTTCACCTGCAATATCTGGAGTACATGTTCTAATAATTTCTTCTCTATATTTCTATCTAATATTTTGATTTATTAACTCATTATTCTCTCCATCTAATACAAGCTCCATATTGTCACTAGAAATGTATTCCTAGAACCCAAATATGTTAAAATTATACTTTTTATAAAAATCACTCAGCAACAGCCTATCACACACAGGATAAAATTCAAAAAATGTTCCATGGTTACACAATGATTTGTGATCTTCTATTTTATGTGAAAAATTACAGAACTTTCTTCCATTCTGACTTTTGCAAGAAGACAAGAAGAAAGATTGCTACAAGTGTAGCTTAAGCAAATCACAGGGAACAGTAGATACTTTTCTTTCTCTGGTTGTCCTTCCCTTAGGTCTAGACATCAGCCTTTTCTTACTTTAAGGAACATTTACTTTTACTGACAAAATTATAATTGTATATATAGATACACATATATATTTAAGTACATTGTGATGGTTTAATATATGAATGCAATGTGAAATAATTTAATCAAGTGATTTAACATATCCATTGCATCACTTACCTGACTATTTTTCTAGGGAGAACATTTGTAATTTACTCTTATTGTTTTGAAATGCACAATACATTATTATTAATTATAGTCACCATGCTGTACAATAGGTCCTAAAAATTCATTTTTTCCATCTAACTGAAGTTTTGTATCTTTTAACTAACGTCTCCCCATGACTCAACACTGCTCCTAACTTTGGCAACCATCATTCTACTTGCTACTTCTGTGAGTTCAACTTTTTTAGATTCCACATATAAGTGACATTATGTGATTTTTGTCTTTCTGAGTCTGGTTTATTTCCTTTAGCATAATTTTCTTCAAGTTTATTCTTCAAGTTCATCCATGTTGTCATAAAGACAGAATTTTCTTCTGTTCTAGGATGAGTAGTATTCCATTGTGCATAAATAAAACATTTTTTTGGTCCATTCATCTATTGATGGACAGTTAGATTGATTCCATATCTTGCTTATTGTGAATAATGCTGTCATAAACATAAAAGTGCAGATATCTTTTAGACATGGCCATTTCATTTTTTGATATATACCCAGCAGTGAAATTGCTGGAGCATACAACAGTTCTATTTTTATTTTTTTTAAAACCTCCATAATGGCTGTACTAATTTACATTTCCACCAACAGTATGCAAGTGCTCCCTTTCCTCCCCATGTTGATCAACACTAGTTATTTTTCATCTTTTTGATAATAGCCATTTATACAGGTGTGACATAATATCTCACTGTGATTTTAAACTGCATTTCTCTAATAATTAGTTATGTTGAGCATTTTATATATATCTATTGGCTATTTGTGTGTCTTCTTTTGAAAAATGTCTATTCAGATAATTCAGTCTAGAAAACAAATAACATGAATCAAAAAGACATTAGCACTCTTGATCTGATGGTAGGCATCCCAGAAGTCAGCCAAATTGAAAAATATGGGGTTGACAACATGAGACCCCTCTTTTATTATTTATTTATTTAACTTTTAGGTTCTGGGGTACATGTGCAAGTTTGTTACATAGGAAAACTTACATCATGGGGGTTTGTTGTACAGATTATTTTACCACCCAGGAATTAAGCCTAGTACCAGTTACTTATTTTTCCTGATCCTCTCCCTCCTCCCACCCTCCACCCTCTGAATAGGCCCCAATGTGTGTTGTTCCCCTTTATGCATCCATGTGTTCTCATCATTTAGTTCCCGCTTATAAGTGAGAACATGTGGTATTTGGTTTTCTTTTCCTGCATTAGTTTGCTAAAGATAATGGCCTCCAACTCCATTTGTGTTCCTGCAAAGGACACTATCTTAGTCTTTTTTATGGCTGTATAGTATTCCATGATGTATATCTACCACATTTTAAAAATCCAGTCTATCATTGATGGGCATTTAGGTTGCTTCCACGTGATTACTATTGGGAATAATGCTGCAATGAACATACATGTGCATGTATATTTATAATAGAAAAATTTATATACCCTTGGGTGTACACCCTGTAATAGGATTGCTGGGTTGAATGGTAGTTTTGTCTTTAGGTCTTTGAGGAATCACCACGCTGCTTTCCACAATCAACTAACTAATTTACACCCTCGGCAACAGTGTATAAGCATTACTTTTTCTCCACAAACTTGCCAGCTCTGCTGGTTTTTGACATTATAATTTTAGTAATAGCCGGCCAGGCACGGTGGTTCATGCCTGTACTCCCAGCACGTTGGGCGGCCGAGGTGGGCGGATCACTTGAGGTCGGGAATTAGAGACCAGCCTGACCAACACAGAGAAACCCCATCTCTACTAAAAATACAAAATTAGCAGGGAGTGGTGGTGAATACCTGTAATTCCAGCTACTCGGGAGGCTGAGGCAAGAGAATCACTTGAACCCAGGAGGTGGAGGTTGCCGTGAGCCAAGACCTTGCTGTTGCACTCCAGTCTGGCCAACAAGAGCAAAACTCCATCTCAAATAATAATAATAATACTAGTAATAGCCGATGTAACTGCTGTCAGTATCTCATTGTAGTTTTGATTTGCATGTCTCTAATAATCACTGATGCTGAGCTTTTTGTTTTCACCTTTGTTGGTCTCATGTAAGTCTACTTTTGAAAAGTGTCCATTCGTGTTATTTGCCCAGTTTTTAATGGGGTTGTTTGACTTTTCTTGTAGATTTGTTTAAGTTCCTTATAGATGCTGAATATTATACTTTTGTCAGATGCATACTTTACAAATATTTTCTCCCATTCTATAGGCTGTCTGTTTAATCTCTTGTTAATTTCTTTTGCTGTTCTTTTGGCATCTTTGTCATAAAATTTTTGCCCATTCCTATGTTCAGAGTGATATTGCCTAGGTTGACTTCCAGGGTTTTTATAGTTTTGGGTTTTACATTTGTCTTTAATCCATCTTGACTTTTGTATATGGTATAAGGAAGGGATTCAGTTTCGATCTTCTGCATATGACTAGCCAGTTATCCCAGCACTATTTATTAAATAGGGAGTTCTTTCCCCATTACTTGTTTTTGTCAGGTTTGTTGGAGATTAGATGGTTGTAGGTATATAGCCTTACTTCTAGGCTCTCTATTCTGTTTCATTGGTCTATGTGTCTGTTTTTGTACAAATACTATACTGTTTTGGTTTCTGTAGCCCCATAGTATAGTTTGAAGTCAAGTAGCAAGATGCCTTCTTCTTTGTTCTTTTTGCTTAGGATTGCATGGCTAGTTTTCTTTTTCCATATGAATTGTAAAATAGTTTTTATCTAGTTCTGTGAAAAATGTCATTGGTAGTTGGACAGAAATAGCATTGAATCTATAAATTACTTCGGGCATTATGGCCATTTTAACAATATTAATTCTTTCTATCCATGAGCATGGAATGTTTTCCTATTCATATCATCTCTGATTTATTTGAGCAGTGTTTCGTAGTTCTCCTTTTAGAGGTCTTTTGCCTCCCTGGTTAGCGTATTCCTAGATATTTTATTCTTTTGCCCCAAATGCCAACTTTTAACAGTTTTATTCAGCATATTTCTGGAGTTCCTAGCCAGAGCAATTAGACAAGAGAAATAAATAAAGGGCATCCATTTAGAATAATGGCTTTCAGTTTAATCCATACACTAAGGGGCCGCACTTCACCAATGTGGAATACATACATGTAAGATATTTGCACTTGTACCAAACATATATATATGTATATATATAACATATATACATATATACAACATATATATACGTATATATAACATATATATACGTATATACAACATATATATACGTATATATAACATATATACGTATATATAACATATATACATATATAACATATATACATATATATAACATATATACATATATAACATATATACACATATATAACACATATACATATATAACATATATACATATATAACATATATATAACATATATAACATATATATACATACACACATATATGTATACATGTTGACACATGTATATATGTATACGTGTGTGTATATGTGTGTGTGTGTGTGTGTGTGTGTGTGTATAACAAATATATTATCTTACCCCAGGTCAAATGACTTTTTTCAAATAGACAAATTATAATGAATGCTAGTGAGGATGTGAAGAAGAGGGAACACTCACCCAGTGTTGGTGGCAATTTAAATTTGTATGGTCACTATGGAGGAGAGTATGGAAATGCCTCAAAAGCTAAAAATAGAACTATCATATTCTCTATCTATATATCTATATCTATATAGACAAAGAGAGAATATATATAATTAAATGACAAATTATTCTTGTTTGGAAATGATATAATCTTATATTTAGGAAAACTAAAAATCTACCAAAAATTAGAACTGAGAAATCCAGTAAAGTTGCAGGATACAAAATCAACACAAAAAAGTGAATAGCGTTTCTATTTACAAACAGCATACAACCTGAAAAAGAAACCAAGAAAGCAATCTCATTTGCAATAACAACTAAAATTAATTATCTGAACATAAACTTAATCAAAAAAGTTATATATCTAAATGATAAAAAATAAAACACTGATGAAAGAAATGTAAAAGAAGAGAAGAAGTAGAAATACATTCCATGTTCACAGATTGAAATAATCAATACTTTTTAAATGTCCATACTACTTAAAGCAATCCTTGCATTCAATACAATCCCTAACAAAATACCAAATACCTTCTTCATGGAAATAAAACAAACAATCCTAAAATTCATAGGCGACCAAAAAAGATCTAGAATCGCCAAAGCAATCCTGAGAAAAGAATAAGAAACCTGGAGGCATCACATTACCTGACTTCAAATTATACTATATAAAACCATAGTAACCAAAACAGCATGGTACTGGCATAAAAGTAGACATATAGACCAATGGAACAGAATAGAGAACACAGAAATAAATCCATGCATTTACAGTCAATTCATATTTGACAAAGACACCAAGGCCGCACATTAGGAAAGGACAGTCTGTTAAATAAATGGTGCTGGAAAAACTTGACATGCATAGGCATAATAATGAAATTAGAACCCTCTCTCTCAGAATATACAAAAATCAAGCAAAAATAGATTGAAGACTATAGTGTAAGACCAGAAACTAAAATACTATGAGAAACAAATATTGTGGAACTCTTTCTAGATATTGGTCTAGGCAAAGATTTCTTGAGTAAAACCTAAAAAGCACAGGTAACAAAAGCAAAAATGGACAACAGGATTACATCAAGCTAAAAATACTCTGTACAGCAAAGGAAACAACAAAGTGAAGAGACAACCTACAGAATGGGAAACAATTTTTGCAAAGTCTTCAACTAATAGGGAATTAATAAACAGAATATAAAAGAACTCAATTTAATAACAAAAAGCCATGAATAATCTGATTTAAAAATGGGCAAAAGATCTAAATAGACTTTTCTCAAAAGAAGACATACACACGTTGCCATCAAGTATGTGAAAAAATGCTCAAAAGCATTAATCTTCAGAAAAAATTGTAAATTATAGCCACAATGAGATAGCATCACTGTCTGGGTTAAATGACTTTATCAAAAAGAGAAATTCTAACAAATATTGCTGAGGGTGAGAAGAAGAGTGAACACTCATTTAATGTTCGTGGTAATTTAAATTAATATGGCTATTGTGAAGGAGAGTATGGAAGTGTCTCGAAAAAGTAAAAATAGAGTTATTATATGATTCATGAATCCTACTGCTGGATCTATGTTCAAAAGAAAGAAAATCACTATATCGAAGACATAGCTACACTCAAGTGCTTATTATAGCACTATTCACAATAGCCAAGATATGGAATCAACCTAAGTTTCTATGATTGAATGAATGGATAAAAAATGTGAAATATATACATGGTGAAACATTATACAGTCATAAAGAATGAAATCCTTTTATTTTCAAGAGTATGGCTGGAATTGGAGACTATTATGTTAAATGAAATAAGCCAAACACAGAAAAAAATATGAAGTATCACCTTTTTACTCATATGTGGAAGCTAAAAATTTGATCTCATAATGGTAGAGACTAGAAGGATAGTTACCAGAAGTTGGGAGAAGTAGTGGGAAGGAAGAATATAGAGGTTTGGCTTAATGAGTACAAAAATACAGTTAGATAGAAAAAAATAAGATCTAATGATTTGTGGTAGAATTGGACAGCTAAAATTAACAATCATTTATTGTACATTTTAAAGTAGCTAGAGAAGGAGATTTGAAATGTTTCCACCACCAAAGAAAAGTAAGTGTTTGAGGTGATGGATATTTTATTTGCTTGATTTGATCATTACATATTGTACACTTATATCAAAATATTACATGTATTGCATAAATATGTACAATTATATATCTATAAAAATTAAAATAAAAAGTTTTAAGAGAAACTTGCAAGCATCTCAAAATCAAACAGAAGAATATTTTCTTTTTGATTTTTATGAAAGAAATTATAGTTTGTAAAACAAATTTTAATTTTTGATTCTTGTGGATACATAGTGTATATGCATATGGGGTTCATGACATATCTTGATACAGTCATATAATATGTAATAATCACATCAGGATAAATGGTGTATACATCACCTCAAATATTTATACTTTTTCTGTGTTACAAACAATCCAATTATACTCTTTTAGCTATTTGAAAATGTAAGATAAATTATTGTAGACTGTAGTCACCCAGTTTTGCTATCAAATATTAGATCTTATTAATTCAACCTAACTATATTTTTGCACCCATTAACAATTCCTTTTTCCCACCTACTACCATTCCCAGCCTCTCGATATCATTCTTCCAGATCTTCATGAGTTCAATTATTTTCATTTTTGGCTCCCACGAATAAATGAGAAGAAACAAGTAATGTTTGTCTTTTTGTGCCTGGGATATTTCACTTAACATAATGACCTCCAGTTCAATCCACGTTTTTGCAAATAACAGGATCTCATTCATTTTTATGGCTGAATAGAAATCCATTGTGTATATGTATCATTTTTTCTTTGTTTTTAAACTTTTTTTTTAGGCTCAGGGGTACATGTGAATGTTTCTTATATAGGTAAACTTGTGTTACAGGGGTTTGATGTATATATTATTTTATCCCTCAGGTATTAAGCCTGGTACCCAATCGTTATTATATTATTTTCTGCTCCTCTCCCTTCTCCCATTCTCTACCCTATGATAAGCCCCAGTGTCCATTATACCGCTCTTTGTTTCCGTGTGATCTCATTATTTAGTTCTTACTTATAAGTGAAAACATGCGGTATTTGGTTTTCTGTTCTTGCATTAGTTTGCTAAGAATAATGAACTCTCCATCCATGTTCCTTCCAAAAATATGATATCCTTATGTTTTATGGCTGCATAGTAGTCCATGGTGCACATATATCACATTTTTTAACCAGTCTTTCATTAATAGGCATTTAGGTTGATTTCATGTCTTTGCTGTTGTGAATAGTGCTGCAATAAACATACACATGCATTTGTTTTTATGTTAGAATGATTCATGTTCAGTTGGGTATATATCAAGTAATGGGATTGCTGGTCCAAATGGTAGTTGTGTTTCTAGGTTTTTCAGGAATCACAACACTGTTTTCCACAATAGTTGAACTAAGTTACACTTCCACCAACATAACTGTTCCCTTTTCTCCAAACCTTGCCAGCACCTGTTTTTCTTTTTTTTTTTGACTTTTTAAAAATAGCCATTGTGAGTTGTGTCAGATGAAATCTCATTGTAGTTTTGATTTGAACTTCTGTAATGATCAGTGATGTTGAGCCTTTTCTTCATATGCTTGTTGGCTGCGTGCATGTCTATGTCTTTTTTCAAAAAGTGTCTATTCATGTCTTATGTTTACTTTTTAATGAGGTGCTTTACTTCTTACTTGCAAATTTCTTTAAGTTTCTTATAGATGTTGGATATTAGACCTTTGTCAGATAGATAGCTTGCAAATATTTTCTCTTACTGTGTAGGTTGTATGTTTTATCTGTTCATAGTTTCTTCTGCTGTGCAGAAGTGCTATAGTTTAATTAGATCCCATGTCAATTATTGTTATTGGTTTATTTGTCATGAAATATTTGCCCATTCCTATGTCCAGAATGGTATTGCCTAGGTTGTCTTTCAGGGATTTGAGAGTTTTTGGTTTTATACTTAAGTCTGTAATCCATCTTGAGTTGATTTTTTTTTTATTATACTTTAAGTTTTAGGATACATGTGCACATTGTGCAGGTTAGTTACATATGTATACATGTGCCATGCTGGTGCGCTGCACCCACTAACTCATCATCTAGCATTAGGTATATCTCCTAATGCTATCCCTCCCCCCTCCCCCCACCCCACAACAGTCCCCAGAGTGTGATGTTCCCCTTCCTGTGTCCATGTGATCTCATTGTTCAATTCCCACCTATGAGTGAGAATATGCAGTGCTTGGTTTTTTGTTCTTGCGATAGTTTACTGAGAATGATGATTTCCAAATTCATCCATGTCCCTACAAAGGACATGAACTCATCATTTTTGATGGCTGCATAGTATTCCATGGTGTATATGTGCCACATTTTCTTAATCCAGTCTATCATTGTTGGACATTTGGGTTGGTTCCAAGTCTTTGCTATTGTGAATAATGCCGCAATAAACATACGTGTGCATGTGTCTTTATAACAGCATGATTTATAGTCCTTTGGATATATACCCAGTAATGGGATGGCTGGGTCAAATGGTATTTCCAGTTCTAGATCCCTGAGGAATTGCCACACTGACTTCCACAATGGTTGAATTAGTTTACAGTCCCACCAACAGTGTCAAAGTGTTCCTATTTCTCCACATCCTCTCCAGCACCTGTTGTTTCCTGACTTTTTAATGATTGCCATTCTAACTGGTGTGAGATGGTATCTCATTGTGGTTTTGATTTGCATTTCTCTGATGGCCAGTGATGATGAGCATTTTTTCATGTGTTTTTTGGCTGCATAAATGTCTTCTTTTGAGAAGTGTCTGTTCATGTCCTTCGCCCACTTTTTGATGGGGTTGTTTGTTTTTTTCTTGTAAATTTGTTTGAGTTCATTGTAGATTCTGGATATTAGCCCTTTGTCAGATGAGTAGGTTGCGAAAATTTTCTCCCATTCTGTAGGTTGCCTGTTCACTCTGATGGTGGTTTCTTTTGCTGTGCAGAAGCTCTTTAGTTTAATTAGATCCCATTTGTCCATTTTGGCTTTTGTTGTCATTGCTTTTGGTGTTTTAGACATGAAGTCCTTGCCCATGCCTATGTCCTGAATGGTAATGCCTAGGTTTTCTTCTAGGGTTTTTATGGTTTTAGGTCTAACGTTTAAGTCTTTAATCCATCCTGAATTGATTTTTGTATAAGGTGTAAAGAAGGGATCCAGTTTCAGCTTTCTACATATGGCTAGCCAGTTTTCCCAGCACCATTTATTAAATAGGGAATCCTTTCCCCATTGCTTGTTTTTGTCAGGTTTGTCAAAGATCAGATAGTTGTAGATATGCGGCATTATTTCTGAGGGCTCTGTTCTGTTCCATTGATCTATATCTCTGTTTTGGTACCAGTACCATGCTGTTTTGGTTACTGTAGCCTTGTAGTATAGTTTGAAGTCAGGTAGTGTGATGCCTCCAGCTTTGCTCTTTTGGCTTAGGATTGACTTGGCAATGCGGGCTCTTTTTTGGTTCCATATGAACTTTAAAGTAGTTTTTTCCAATTCTGTGAAGAAAGTCATTGGTAGCTTGATGGAGATGGCATTGAATCTGTAAATTACCTTGGGCAGTATGGCCATTTTCACGATGTTGATTCTTCCTACCCATGAGCATGGAATGTTCTTCCATTTGTTTGTATCCTCTTTTATTTCCTTGAGCAGTGGTTTGTAGTTCTCCTTGAAGAGTTCCTTCACATCCCTTGTAAGTTGGATTCCTAGGTATTTTATTCTCTTTGAAGCAATTGTGAATGGGAGTTCACTCACGATTTGGCTCTCTGTTTGTCTGTTGTTGGTGTATAAGAATGCTTGTGATTTTTGTACATTGATTTTGTATCCTGAGACTTTGCTGAAGTTGCTTATCAGCTTAAGGAGATTTTGGGCTGAGACAATGGGGTTTTCTGGATATACAATCATGTCGTCTGCAAACAGGGACAATTTGACTTCCTCTTTTCCTAATTGAATACCCTTTATTTCCTTCTCCTGCCTAATTGCCCTGGCCAGAACTTCCAACACTATGTTGAATAGGAGTGGTGAGAGAGGGCATCCCTGTCTTGTGCCAGTTTTCAAAGGGAATGCTTCCAGTTTTTGCCCATTGAGTATAATATTGGCTGTGGGTTTCTCATAGACAGCTCTTATTATTTTGAAATACGTCCCATCAATACCTAATTTATTGAGAATTTTTAGTATGAAGGGTTGTTGAATTTTGTCAAAGGCTTTTTCTGCATCTATTGAGATAATCATGTGGTTTTTGTCTTTGGCTCTGTTTATATGCTGGATTACGTTTATTGATTTGCATATATTGAATTAGCCTTGCATCCCAGGGATGAAGACCACTTGATCATGGTGGATAAGCTTTTTGATGTGCTGCTGGATTCGTTTTGCCAGTATTTTATTGAGGATTTTTGCATCAATGTTCATCAAGGATATTGGTCTAAAATTCTCTTTTTTGGTTGTGTCTCTGCCTGGCTTTGGTATCAGAATGATGCTGGCCTCATAAAATGAGTTAGGGAGGATTCCCTCTTTTTCCATTGATTGGAATAGTTTCAGAAGGAATGGTACCAGTTCCTCCTTGTACCTCTGGTAGAATTCGGCTGTGAATCCATCTGGTCCCGGACTCTTTTTGGTTGGTAAGCTATTGATTATTGCCACAATTTCAGAGCCTCTTATTGGTCTATTCAGAGATTCACCTTCTTCCTGGTTTAGTCTTGGGAGAGTGTATGTGTCCAGGAATTTATCCATTTCTTCTAGATATTCTAGTTTATTTGCATAGAGGTGTTTGTAGTATTCCCTGATGGTAGTTTGTATTTCTGTGGGATCAGTGGTGATATCCCCTTTATCATTTTTTATTGCGTCTATTTGATTCTTCTCTCTTTTTTTCTTTATTAGTCTTGCTAGCAGTCTATCAATTTTGTTAATCCTTTCAAAAAATCAGCTCCTGGATTCATTAATTTTTTGAAGGGTTTTTTTTGTGTCTCTATTTCCTTCAGTTCTGCTCTGATTTTACTTATTTCTTGCCTTCTGCTAGCTGTTGAATGTGTTTGCTCTTGCTTTTCTAGTTCTTTTAATTGTGATGTTAGGGTGTCAATTTTGAATCTTTCCTGCTTTCTCTTGTGGGCATTTAGTGCTATAAATTTCCCTCTACACACTGCTTTGAATGAGTCCCAGAGATTCTGGTATGTTGTGTCTTTGTTCTCATTGGTTTCAAAGAACATCTTTATTTCTGCCTTCATTTCGTTATGTACCCAGTAGTCATTCAGGAGCAGGTTGTTCAGTTTCCATGTAGTTGAGCAGTTTTGAGTGAGATTCTTAATCCTGAGTTCTAGTTTGATTGCACTGTGGTCTGAGAGATTGTTATAATTTCTGCTCTTTTACATTTGCTGAGGAGAGCTTTACTTCCCGGTATGTGGTCAATTTTGGAATAGGTGTGGTGTGGTGCTGAAAAAAATGTATATTCTGTTGATTTGGGGTGGAGAGTTCTGTAGATGTCTATTAGTTCCGCTTGGTGCAGAGCTGAGTTCAATTCCTGGGTATCCTTGTTGACTTTCTGTCTCGTTGATCTTCTAATGTTGACAGTGGGGTGTTAAAGTCTCCCATTATTAACGTGTGGGAGTCTAAGTCTCCTTGTAGGTCACTCAGGACTTGCTTTATGAATCTTGGTGCTCCTGTATTGGGTGCATATATATTTAGGATAGTTAGCTCTTCTTGTTGAATTGATCCCTTTACCATTATGTAATGGCCTTCTTTGTCTCTTTTGATCTTTGTTGGTTTAAAGTCTGTTTTATCAGAGACTAGGATTGCAACCCCTGCCTTTTTTTGTTTTCCATTTGCTTGGTAGATCTTCCTCCATCCTTTTATTTTGAGCCTATGTGTGTCTCTGCACGTGAGATGGTTTTCCTGAATACAGCACACTGATGGGTCTTGACTCTTTATCCAATTTGCCAGTCTGTGTCTTTTAATTGGAGCATTTAGCCCATTTACATTTAAAGTTAATATTGTTATGTGTGAATTTGATCCTGTCATTATGATGTTAGCTGATAATTTTGCTCATTAGTTGATGCAGTTTCTTCCTAGTCTCGATGGTCTTTACATTTTGGCATGATTTTGCAGCGGCTGGTACCGGTTGTTCCTTTCCATGTTTAGTGCTTCCTTCAGGAGCTCTTTTAGGGCAGGCCTGGTGGTGACAAAATCTCTCAGCATTTGCTTGTCTGTAAAGGATTTTATTTCTCCTTCACTTATGAAGCTTAGTTTGGCTGGATATGAAATTCTTGGTTGAAAATTCTTTTCTTTAAGAATGTTGAATATTGGCCCCCACTCTCTTCTGGCTTGTAGGGTTTCTGCCGAGAGATCTGCTGTTAGTCTGATGGGCTTCCCTTTGAGGATAACCTGACCTTTCTCTCTGGCTGCCCTTAACATTTTTTCCTTCATTTCAACTTTGGTGAATCTGACAATTATGTGTCTTGGAGTTGCTCTTCTCGAGGAGTATCTTTGTGGCATTCTCTGTATTTCCTGAATCTGAACTTTGGCCTGCCTTGCTAGATTGGGGATGTTCTCCTGGATAATACCCTGCAGAGTGTTTTCCAACTTGGTTCCATTCTCCCCATCACTTTCAGGTACACCAATCAGATGTAGATTTGGTCTTTTCACATAGTCCCATATTTCTTGGAGGCTTTGCTCATTTCTTTTTATTCTTTTTTCTCTAGACTTCCCTTCTCGCTTCATTTCATTCATTTCATCTTCCATCACTGATACCCTTTCTTCCAGTTGATCGCATCGGCTCCTGAGGCTTCTGCATTCTTCTCGTAGTTCTCGAGCCTTGGTTTTCAGCTCCATCAGCTCCTTTAAGCACTTCTCTGTATTGGTTATTCTAGTTATACATTCTTCTAAATTTTTTTCAAAGTTTTCAACTTCTTTGCCTTTGGTTTGAATGTCCTCCCGTAGCTCAGAGTAATTTGATCGTCTGAAGCCTTCTTCTCTCTGCTCGTCAAAGTCATTCTCCATCCAGCTTTGTTCCATTGCTGGTGAGGAACTGCATTCCTTTGGAGGAGGAGAGGTGCTCTGCTTTTTAGAGTTTCCAGTTTTTCTGTTCTGTTTTTTCCCCATCTTTGTGGTTTTATCTACTTTTGGTCTTTGATGATGGTGATGTACAGATGGGTTTTTGGTGTGGATGTCCTTTCTGTTTGTTTGTTTTCCTTCTAACAGAGAGGACTCTCAGCTGCAGGTCTGTTGGAGTACCCTGCCGTGTGAGGTGTCAGTGTGCCCCTGTTGGGGGTTGCCTCCCAGTTAGGCTGCTCGGAGGTCAGGGGTCAGGGACCCACTTGAGGAGGCAGTCTGCCCTTTCTCAGATCTCCAGTTGCGTGCTGGGAGAACCACTGCTCTCTTCAAAGCTGTCAGACTGGGCCATTTAAGTCTGCAGAGGTTACTGCTGTCTTTTTGTTTGTCTGTGCCCTGCCCCCAGAGGTGGAGCCTACAGAGGCAGGCAGGCCTCCTTGAGCTGTGGTGGGCTCCACCCAGTTCCAGCTTCCCGGCTGCTTTGTTTACCTAATCAAGCCTGGGCAATGGTGGGCGCCCCTCCCCCAGCCTCGCTGCCACCTTGCAGTTTGATCTCAGACTGCTGTGCTAGCAGTCAGCAAGACTCCGTGGGCGTAGGACCCTCCCAGCCAGGTGCGGGATACAATCTCGTGGTGCGCCGTGTCTTAAGCCCGTCGGAAAAGCACAGTATTTGTGTGGGAGTGACCCGATTTTCCAGGTGCCCCAGGTCTGTCACCCCTTTCTTTGGCTCAGAAAGGGAACTCCCTGACCCCTTGCACTTCCCAAGTGAGGCAATGCCTCGCCCTGCTTCAGCTTGCGCACAGTGCGTGCACCCACTGACCTGTGCCCACTGACTGGCATTCCATAGTGAGATGAACCCGGTACCTCAGATGGAAATGCAGAAATCACCCGTCTTCTGCGTCGCTCACACTGGGAGCTGTAGACTTGAGCTGTTCCTATTCGGCCATCTTGGCTCCTCCACATCGAGTTGATTCTTGTATGTGGTATAAGGAGGGTGTCTGGTTTTGACTTCTGCATATGGCTAGCCAGTTATTCCAGCACCATTTATTGAGTAGGGAGTTATTTTCCCATTGCTTGTTTTTGTCAGGCTTGTCAAAGATCAGATGGTGGCCTTATTTCTGGGTTCTCCATTCTTCTCCATTGGTCTATGTATATTTTCGTGCTGCTACCATGCAGTTTTGGTTACTGTAACCCTGTAGTATAGTCTTAATTCAGGTAGTGTGATGCCTTTTTCTTTGTTCTTTTTGCTTAGACTTTGCATGGGTATTTGGGCTTGTTTTGTTTTATATGAATTTTAAAATAGTTTTTATCTAGTTCTATGAAAAATGGCTTTGGTAGTTTCATAGGAATAGCATCCAATCTATAAATTTGGCAGCATAACCATTTTAATGATATTGATTCTTTCTGTTATACAAATGAACATAAAATTTTTTTCCATTTGTTTGTTGATATGGTTTTTCTCTGTGTCCCCACCCAAATTTCATCTCAAATTTTAATCCCCACAGGTTGAGGGAGGGACCTGGTAGGAGGTGATTGAATCTCCAGGGTGGTTTTTCCCATGGTGTTCTCATGATAGTGAGGAATTTCTCATTAGAGCGCATGGTTTTAAAAGTGGCAGTTTCCCCTGTGCCCTCTCTCTCTCCTGTTGCCTTGTGAAAAGAAGGTGCTTGCTTTTCCTTTACCTTCTGCCATGTTTGTAAGTTTCCAGAGGCCTCCCAGCCATGTGAAACTGTGAGTCAATTAAACCTCTTTCTTTATAAATTACTCAGTCTCAGGTAGTACCTTTATGGCAGTCTGTGAACAAACTAATAGAGAATATTCGCATTGGGTTAGCGGGTTATTCTATAAAGATGACCTGAAAAGGTGAAAGTGACTTTGGAACTGGGTAATGGGCATAGGTAGAAACAATTTGGAGGCCTTATAAGAAAACCAGAAAGATGTGGGAAAGTGTGGAACTTCCTGGAGACTTGTTGAATGATTTTGACCAAAATGCTGATACTGACATGAACAGTGAAGTCCAGGTTGAGGTGGTCTCAGATGGAGATGAGGAACTTCTTTGGAACTGGAGCAAAGTTCACTCTTGCTATGCAAAGAGACTGGTGGCATTTTGTCCCTGCCCTAGAGATCTCCAGACTTTTGAGCTTGAGAGAGATGATTTAGGGTATCTGGTGAAAGAAATTTCTAAGCAGCAAAGCAGTCAAGAGGTGACCTGGCTGATTCTGAAAACATTCAGTCATATGTGTTCACAAAAAGATTATCAGAAACTGAAACTTTTATTCGAAAGGGGAAAACAGCATAAAAGTTTGGAAAACTTGCAGCTTGACCATGAGGTAGAAGAGAAATACCAATTTTTTGAAATAAATTCAAGCTGGCTGCAGAAAATTGCATAAGTAACAAGGAACCAAATGTTAATCACCAACACAATGGGGTAAATGTCTCTAGGGCATTTCAGCGATCTTCATGGCAGCCTCTGCCATCAGAGACCCAGAGGCCTAGGAGAAAAAAAAGTGCTTCATTGGCTGGGCCCAGGGCCCCAATGCTTTGTGCAGCCTCAGAACTTGGTACTCTGCATCCCATCAGCTTCAGCTCCAGCCATGGCTAAAAGGGGACAACATACAGCTCAAGGTATTGATTCAGAGAGTGTAAGCCCCAAGCCTTGGTGGCTTCCATGTGCTGTGGGGCCTGTGGGTGTGCAGACACAACAGTTCAGTTTTGGAAATCCCTGCCTAGATTTCAGAGGATGTATGGAAACACCTGGATGTTCAGGCAGAAGTCTGATGCAGAGGTGGAGCCCTCATGAAGAACTTCTGCTAGGACAATACAGAGGGTAACTGTGGGGTAGAAACCAATATCTTGCACCATGCATCTGGAAAAGCCACAGGCACTCAAAGACAGCCCATGAAAGCAACTGTGGGGAATGTACCCTGCATAGCCACAAAGGTGGAGATGCCCAAGACTTTAGGACCCCATCCCTTGCATCAGTATGTCCTGGATGTAACATAGAGTCATATGAGATTATTTTGGACCTTTAAGATTTAATGAATTACCTGCCAAATTTCAGACTTGCATGGGCCTGTGGCACCTTTGTTTTGGTCATTTTCTCCCATTTAGAATGGGAATATTTACCCAATGCCTGCAACCCCAGTGTTCTTGAAAGTAATCAACTTGTTTTTTATTTTGCAGGCTCATAGGCATAAGGGACATGCCTTGTCTCAGATGAGATTTGGTCTAGGACATTTGAGTTAATGCTGGAATGAGTTAAGGCTTTGGGAGACTGAAGGGAAGGCATGACTGGTTCTGAAATGTGAAAAGAACATGAGATTTGAGAGGGAGAGGCCATGGGTGGAATTATATGGTTTGAGGATTATAAAAAAGTCAGGAAACAATAGATGCTTTGAGGTTGCAGAGAAATAGGAATGCTTTTACACTGTTGGTGGGAATGTAAATTAGTTCAATCATTGTGGAAGACAGTGTGGCAATTCCTCAAAGATTTAGAACCAGAAATACCAGTTGACCCAGCAATCTTATTACAGGGTATATACCCAAAGGAATATAAATCATTTTATTATTAAGATACATGAGCATGTATGTTCATTACAGCTCTATTCACAAGAGCAAAGACTTGGAATCAATCGAATTGCCCATCAGTGATACACTGGATAAAGAAAATATGCTACATATACATGATACAATACTATGCAGCCATAAAAAGAAACAAGATCATGTCCTTTGCAGGGACATGGATGAAGCTGGAAGCCATTATCTTCAGCAAACTAATGCAGAAACGAAAACCAAGCACCGCATGTTCTTACTTATGAGTGGGAGCTGAACAATGAGAACACATGGACACAGGGAGGGGAACAACATTGACTGGGGCCTGTTGGCGGGGAGCAGGAGGATGGAGAGCATCAGGAAAAATAGCTAATGGATGCTGGACTTAATACCAAGGTGATGGGTTGATCTGTGCAGCAACTACCATGGCAAACTTTTGCCTATCAGGGAAAAGAGATGATGCATGCTGGGCTTAATATCAAGCTGATGGGTTGATAGGTGGAGCAAACCACCATGGCACTCATTTACCTATGTAACACAACTGCACATCCTGCACATGTACCCCAAAACTTAATTAAAATCAATAAATAATAACAATAAAAAATTTTCATAGCATTTTTATACAGCAACAGTGTTCAATCTCAGAGCCAAATCAAAAATGCCCTCTCATTTAAAATAGCTACCAAAAAATCTAGGGAGACATTTAACCAAGGATATGAAAGATCTGTACAAGAAGAACTACAAACACTGTGGAAAGAAATCATAAATGACACAAACACATAAAAAATTATATGTTCATAAATTAGAAAATTAAATATTATTAAAATAGCCATTCTGCCCAAATCAATCTACAGGTACAATGCTACATGTATCAAATTATCATGTAATTTTTCACAGAATTAGAATAAACTCATTCTAAAATTTATATGGAACCATAAAAAAGTGAGCCTGAATAGCCAAAGCAATCCTAGACAAAAACAAAAACACACAAACACCATAAGCAGTGTTATCACATTACCTGACTTCTAACTGCACCACCAGGACACAGTAGCTCAAACAGCATTTTATTGGTTACAAAAGCAGGCACATAGACAATAGAAGAGGAAGTACCCAGAAATAGAGCCATACATCTATAGTTATCTGATCATTAACAAAGTCAACAAATGTAAGCAATGGCGAAAGAACTCCTTATTCAATAAGTGGTGTGGGGGGCAGTTCCAAGATGGCCAAAGAGGAACAGCTCCAGTCTAAAGCTCCCAGTGTGAGTAACGCAGAAGACAGGTTATTTCTGCATTTCCAACTGAGGTACCAGCTTCATCTCATTGGGGTTCATAGGGCAGTGGGGGCAGGACAGTGGGTGCAGCCCACCGAGTGTGAGCTGAAGCAGGGAGAGGCATCACCTCACCTGGGAAGTGCAAGGGGTCAGGGAATTCCCTTTCCTAGCCAAGCGAAGGGGTGACAGATGGCACGTGGAAAATAAGGTCACTCCCACCCTAATACTGCACTTTTCCAATGGTCTTAGCAAATGGCACACCAGGAGATAATATCCCGTGCCTGGCTCGGAGGGTCCGACGCCCATGGAGCCTCACTCACTGCTAGCACAGCAGTCTGAGATCGAACTGCAAGGTGGCAGCAAGGCTGGGTGAGGGGTGCCCACCGTTGCTGAGGCTTGAGTAGGTAAACAAAGCAGCCGGGAAGCTCAAACTGGGTGGAGCCCACTGCAACTCAAGGAGGCCTGCCTACCTCTATAGACTCCACCTCTAGAGGAAGAGCATAGCTGAACAAAAGGCAGCAGAAACCTCTGCAGACTGCAGACTTAAATGTCCCTGTCTGACAGCTTTGAAGAGAGTAGTGGTTCTCCCAGCATGGAGTTTGAGATCTGAGAATGGACAGACTGCCTCCTCAAATGGGTCCCTGACCCCTGAGCAGCCTAACTGGGAGGCACCCCCAAGTAGGGGCAGACTGACACCTCACAGGGCCGGGTACCCCTCTGAGATGAAGCTTCCAGAGGAACGATCAGGCAGCAGCATTTGCTGTTCAGCAATATTCGCTGCTCTGCAGCCTCTGCTGCTGATACCTAGGCAAACAGGGTCTGGAGTGGACCTCCAGCAAACTCCAACAGACCTGCAGCTGGGGGTCCTGACTGTTAGAAGGAAAACTAACAAACAGAAAGGACATCCACACCAAAACCCCACCTGTACGTAACCATCATCAAAGAGAAAAGGTAGATAAAACCACAAAGACGGGGAAAAAAACAGAGCAGAAAAGCTGAAAATTCTACAAATCAGAGCATCTCTCCCTCTCCAAAGGAACGCAGCTCCTCTCCAGCAACGGAACAAAGCTGGATGCAGAATGACTTGGATGAGTTGAGAGAAGAAGGCTTCAGACGATCAAACTTCTTCAAGCTAAAGGCGGAAGTTCGAACCCAATGCAAAGAAACTAAAAACCTTGAAAAAACATTAGACAAATGGCTAACTAGAAAAACCAGTGTAGAGAAGTCCTTAAATGACCTGATGGAGCTGAAAACCATGGTACAAGGACTACGTGACAAATGCACAAACTTCAGTAACGGATTTGATCAGCTGGAAGAAAGGGTATCAGTGATTGAAGAACAAATGAATGAAATGAAGCAAGAAAAGAAGTATAGAGAAAAAAAGGGTAACAAGAAATGAACAATACCTCCAAGAAATATGGAACTATGTGAAAAGATGAAATCTACGTCTGATTGGTGTACTGAAATTGACGGGGAGAATGGAAACAAGTTGGGAAACATTCCTCAGGATATTATCCAGGAGAACTTCCCCAACCTAGCAAGGCAGGCCAACATTCAAATTCAGGAAATGCAGAGAATGCCACAAAGATACTCCTTGAGAAGAGCAACTCCAAGACACATAATTGTCAGATTCACCAAAGTTGAAATGAAGGAAAAAAAGTTAAGGGCAGCCAGAGAGAAAGGTCGGCTTACCCACAAAGGGAAGCCCAACAAGAGATCAGACTAACAGCTAATCTCCTGGCAGAAACTCTAAAAGCCAGAAGAGAGTTGGGGCCAATATTCAAAATTCTTAAAGAAAAGAATTTTTAACCCAGAATTTCATATCCAGCCAAATTAAGCTTCATAAGTGAAGGAGAAATAAAATCCTTTACAGACAAGCATATGACGAGAGACTTTGTCACCACCAGGCCTGCCCTAAAAGAGCTCCTGAAGGAAGCACTAAACATGGAAAGGAACAACCGGTACCAGCCACTGCAAAAACATGCCAAATGGTAAAGACCATCGAGGTTAGGAGAAACTGCATCAACTAACGAGCAAAATAACCAGCTAACATCATAATGACAGGATCAAATTCACATACAACAATATTAGCCTTAAATGTAAATGGGCTAAATGCTCCAATTAAAAGACACAGACTGGCAAATTGGATAAAGATTCAAGACCCATCAGTGTGCTGTATTCAGGAGACCCATCGCATGTGCAGAGATACACACAGGCTCAAAGTAAAGGGATGGAGGAAGATCTACCAAGCAAATGGAAAACAAAAAAAGGCAGGGGTTGCAATCCTAGTCTCTGATAAAACAGACTTTAAACCAACAAAGATCAAAAGAGACAAAGAAGGCCATTACATAATGGTAAAGGGATCAATTCAACAAGAAGAACTAAATATCCTAAATATATAGGCACCAAATACAGGAGCACCCAGATTCATAAAGTGAGTCCTTGAGATCTACAAAGAGACTTGGACTCCCACACAATAATAATGGGAGACTTTAACACCCCACTGTCAACATTAGACAGATCAATGACACAGAAAGTTAACAAGGATATCCAGGAATTGGACTCAGCTCTGCACCAAGAGGAACTAATAGACATCTACAGAACTGTCCACCCCAAATCAACAGAATATACATTCTTCTCAGCACCACATCGCACCTATTTCAAAATTGACCACATAGTTGGAAGTAAAGCACTCCTCAGCAAATGTAAAAGAACAGAAATTATAACAAACTGTCTCTCAGACCACAGTGCAATCAAACTAGAACTCAGGATTAAGAAACTCACTCAAAACCGCTCAACTACATGGAAACTGAACAATCTGCTCCTGAATGACTACTGGGTACATAACGAAATGAAGGCAGAAATAAAGATGTTCTTTGAAACCAATGAGAACAAAGACACAACTTACGAGAATCTCTGGGACACATTCAAAGCAGTGTGTAGAGGGAAATTTAGAGCACTAAATGTCCACAAGAGAAAGCAGGAAAGATCTAAAATTGACACCCTAATATCACAATTAAAAGAACTAGAGAGGCAAGAGTTAACACATTCAAAAGCTAGCAGAATGCAAGAAATAACTAAGATCAGAGCAGAACAGAAGGAGAAAGAGACAGAAAAAAACATTCAAAAAAATCAGCGAATCCAGGAGCTGTTTCTTTTAAAAGATCAACAAAACTGATAGACTGCTAGCAAGAGTAATAAAGAAGAAAAGAGAGAAGAATCAAATAGAGGTAATGGGATGCAAGGCTGGTTCAACATACGAAAATCAATAAACGTAACCCAGCATATAAACAGAACAAACGACAAAAACCACACGATTATCTTAATAGATGCAGAAAAGGCCTTTGACAAAATTCAACAACCCTTCATGCTAAAAACTCTCAATGAATTAGGTATTGATAGGATGTATCTCAAAATAATAAGAGCTATCTATGACAAACCCACAGCCAATATCATACTGAATGGGCAAAAACTGGAAGCATTCCCTTTGACAACTGTCACAAGACAGGGATGCCCTCCCTCACCACTCCTATTCAAAATAGTGTTGGAAGTTCTGGCCAGGGCAAACAGGCAGGAGAAGGAAATAAAGGGTATTCAATTAGGAAAAGAGGAAGTCAAATTGTCCCTGTTTGCAGATGACAAGATTATATATCTAGAAAACCCCATTGTCCCAGCCCAAAATCTCCTTAAGCTGATAAGCAACTTCAGCAAAGTCTCAGGATACAAAATCATTGTGCAAAAATCACAAGCACTCTTATACACCAATAACAGACAAACAGAGAGCCAAATCATGAGTGAACTCCCATTCACAATTGCTTCACAGAGAATAAAGTACCTAGGAATCCAACTTACAAGGGACGTGAAGCACCTCGCCAAGGACAACTACAAACCACTGTTCAATGAAATAAAAGAGGATACAAACAAATGGAAGAACATTCCATGCTCATGGGTAGGAAGAATCAATATCGTGAAAATGGCCATATTGCCCAAGGTAATTTATAGATTCAATGCCATCCCCATCAAGCTACCAATGACTTTCTTCATAGAATTGGAAAAAAACTACTTTAAAGTTCACATGGAACCAAAAAAAAGCCCACATTGCCAAGTCAATTCTAAGCCAAAAGAACAAAGCTAGAGGCATCATGCTACCTGACTTCAAACTATACTGCAAGGCTACAGTAACCAAAACAGCATGGTACTGGTACCAAAACAGAGATATAAACCAATGGAACAGAACAGAGCCCTCAGAAATAATGATGCATATCTACAACCATCTTATCTTTGACAAACCTGACAAACACAAGAAATGGGGAAATGATTCCCTATTTAATAAATGGTGCTGGGAAAACTGGTTAGCCATATGTAGAAAGCTGAAACTGGATCCCTTCCTTACACCTTATACAAAAATTAATTCAAGATGGATTAAAGACTTAATTAAATGTTAGACCTAAAACCATAAAAACCCCAGAAGAAAACCTAGGCATTACCATTCGGGACATATGCATGGGCGAGGACTTCATGTCTAAAACACTAAAAGCAATGGCAACAAAAGCCAAAATTGACAAATGAGATCTAATGAAACTAAAGAGCTTCTGCACAGCAAAAGAAACTACCATCAGAGTGAACAGGCAACCTACAGAATGGGAGAAAATTTTTGCAATCTACTCATCTGACAAAGGGCTAATATCCAGAATCTACAATGAACTCAAACAAATTTACAAGAAAAAAGCAAACAACCCCATCAAAAAGTGGGTGAAGGATATGAACAGACACTTCTCAAAAGAAGACATTTATACAGCCAAAAGACACATGACAAAATGCTCATCATCACTGGCCATCAGAGAAATGCAAATCAAAATCACAATGAGATACCATCTCACACCAGTTAGAATGGCGATCATTAAAAAGTCAAGAAACAACAGGTGCTGGAGAGGTTGTGGAGAAATAGGAACACTTTTATACTGTTGGTGGGACTGTAAACTAGTTCAACCATTGTGGAAGTCAGTGTGGTGATTCCTCAGGGATCTAGAACTAGAAATACTATTTGACCCAGCAATCCCATTACTGGGTATATACCCAAAGGATTATAAATCATGCTGCTATAAAGACACATGCACACGTATGTTTATTGCGGCACTATTCACAATAGCAAAGACTTGGAACCAAGCCAAATGTCCAACAATGATAGATTGGATTAAGAAAATGTGGCACACATACACCATGGAATACTATGCAGCCATAAAAAATGATGAGTTCATGTCCTTTGTAGGGACATGGATGAAGCTGGAAACCATCATTCTCAGCAAACTATCTCAAGGACAGAAAAACAAACACTGCATGTTCTCACTCATAGGTGGGAATTGAACAATGAGAACACATGGACACAGGAAGGGGAACATCACGCACTGGAGCCTGTTGTGGGGTGGGGGAGTGGGGAGGGATAGCATTAGGAGATATACCTAATGTTAAATGATGAGTTAATGGGTGCAGCACACCAATATGGTACATGTATACATATGTAACTAACATGCACGTTGTGCACATGTACACTAAAACTTAAAGTATAATAATAACAAAAAAAGTTTTAGAACAAAGTCTGGAAGAGGAGTGGTTTTATAACCATAAAATCTGGACTTTGCTGGGAAGAAAAGGGTCAAATTAAATGTATATGTATACTAAAAAAAAAAAAAAAAAAAGAAAGTCTACATATCTTGTAAACCAATATTTTCATCAGTGAAAATTTATTTTTAATATAAATTGTACTAATTAATAAAACCACTGGTGTTGATCAAATATAAATATAGCTGAAGAGCTTTTAACAACTGCCTTTGGAGTACAAAATTTCAATTAAATACTAGCTAATGACCCCTGCAGTGTGTTTACTGGGTTAAGGCAATTGGTTGCTCATAGAATATATATTAAAGCTAATCAATATGCACACATATCACTGACTGAAAGAAGAAATAAAATAACAGAATAGAGATACAACTTTCGATTAAATTGAATAAATAATTAAAATTTATCCCAATACACAAAAATAAACAAGCAAGCAAACATAAAAAATCAATTGGCCCAGAATTCCTGGGCAAGATGGCCAAACAGGAAAAACTCTGGTCTGAAGCTCCCAGCAAGATCAATGCAGAAGGTGGGTGATTTCTGCATTTCCAACTGAGGTACCTGGCTCATCTCATTGTGACTAGTTAGACAGTCGGTACAGCACATGGAGGGCAAGCAGAAGCAGGGTGGGTCATCACCTCATCTGGGAAGCACGAGGGGTTGAGGAACTCCCTCTCCTAGCCAAGGGAAGCCATGAGGGACTGTGCTGTGAGGAATGGTGTACTCTGGCCCAGATACTACGCTTTTCCCATGGTCTTCACAACCTGCAGACCAGAAGATTTCCTCGTGTGCCTACACAACCAGGGCCCTGGGTTTCAAGCATAAAACTGGGTGGCTGTTTGGGCAGACACCAAGACAGCTGCAGGAGTTTTTTTTTCCTACCCCAGTGGCGCCTGGACACCAGTGAGACAGAAGCATTCACTCCCCTAGAAAGGGAGCTGAAGCCAAGGAGCCAAGTAGTCTAGCTCAGCGGATCCCACACCCACAAAGCCCTTCAAGTTAAGATCCACTAGCTTGAAATTCTTGCTGCCAGCACAGCTGTCTGTAGTCAACCTGGGATGCTTGAGCTTGGTGTGCGGAGAGGCGTCTGCCATTACTGAGGCCTGAGTAGGCGGTTTTCCCCCCACAGTGTAAACAACGCCACCAGGAAGTTCAAACAGGGTGGAGCCCACCGCAGCTCGGTAAAGCCACTGTAGCCAGACTGCCTCTCTAGATTCCTCCTCTCTCGGCAGGGCATCCCTGAAAAAAAGGGAGCAGCCCCCATCAGGGGCTTATAGATCAAACTCCCATCTCCCTGGGACAGAGCACCTGGGGAGGGGGTGGCTGTGGGGGCAGCATCAGCAGACTTAAACGTTCCTGCCAGCCAGCTCAGAAGAGAGAAGCAGATCTCCCAGCACAGCACTTGAGCTCTGCTAAGGGACAGACTGCCTCCTCAAGTGGGTCCCTGACCCCTGTGTATCCTGACTGGGAGACACCTCCCAGCAGGGGTCAAAAGACACCTCATACAAGAGAGCTCTGGCTGGCATCTGGCGAGTACACCTTCTGGGATGAAGCTTCCAGAAAAAGGAGCAGGCAGCAGTCTTTGCTGTTCTGCAGCCTCAACTGGAGATACCCAGGCAAACAGGGCCTGGAATGGACCTCCAGCAAACTCCAGCAGACCTGCAGAAGAGGGGCCTGACTGTTAGAAGGAAAACATACAAACAGAAAGGAATAGCAACAATGTAAACAAAAAGGACATCCACACAAAAATCTCATCTGAAGGTCGCGAACATCAAAGATCAAAGGTACATAAATCCATGAAGATGAGGAGAAACCAGCACAAAAAGACTGAAAATTCAAAAAACAGAATGACTCTTCTCCTCCAAAGGATCACAACTCCTTGCCAGCAAGGGCACAAAACTGGATGGAGAATGAGTTTGATGAATTTACAGAAGTAGGCTTCAGATGGTGGGTAATAAGAAACTCCTCTGAGCTAAAATAACATGTCCTAACCCAATACAAGGAAGCTAAGAACCTAGAAAAAAGGTTAGAGGAATTACTAACTAGAATAACCAGTTAGAGAAAAACATAAATGACCTGCTGAAGCTGAAAAACACAGCACAAGAACTTCTTGAAGCATACACAAGTATCAATAGCTGAATCGATCAAGTGGAAAAAAGGATATCAGAGATTGAAGATTAACTTAATGAAATAAAGTGTGAAGACAAGATTAGAGAACAAGAAAAAACAAAGCCTCGAAGAAATATGGGACTATGTGAAAAGACCAAGCCTACGTTTGATTGGCATACCTGAAAGTGATAGGGAGAATGGAACCAAGTTGGAAAACACTCTTCAGGATATTATCCAGGAAAACTTCCCCAAACTAGCAAGACAGGCCAACATTCAAATTCAGGAAATACGAAAAACACTACAAAGATACTCCTCTAGAAGAGCAACCCCAAGACATATAATTGTCAGATCCACCAAGGTTGAAATGAAGGAAAAAATGTTAAGGGCAGCCAGAGAGAAATGTCTGGTTACCCACAAAGGGAAGCTCCTCAGACTAACAGCAGATCTCTCTGCAGAATATCTACAAGCCAGAAAAGAGTAAGGGCCAATATTCAACATTCTTAAAGGAAAGAATTTTCAACCCAGAATTTCATATCCAGCCAAACTAAGCTTCATAAGTGAAAGAGAGATAGAATCATTTACAGACAAGAAAATGCTGAGAGATGTTGACACCACCAGGCCAGCCTCACAAGAGCTCCTGAAAGAAGCACTGAATATGGAAAGGAAAAACCAGTACTAGCCACTGCAAAAACATACCAAATTGTAAAGACCATCAACAGTATGAAGAAACTGCATTAACTAACAGGCAAAATAATCAGCTAGCATCATAGTGACAGGATCAAATTCACACATAACAATATTAGCCTTAAATGTAAATAAGCTAAATGTCCCAATTAAAAGGCACAGACTGGCAAATTGGATAAAGAGTCAAGACCCATCAGTGTGCTGTATTCAGGAGACCCATCTCATGTGCAAAGACACACACAGGCTCAAAATAAAGAAATGGAGGAAGATTTACCAAGCAAATGGAAAGCAAATAAAAAAAAAAGGAGAGGTTGCAATCCTAGTCCCTGTTAAAACAGACTTTAAACTAACAAAGATCAAAAAAGACAAAGATGGGCATTACATAATGGTAAAGGGATCAATGCAACAAGAATAGCTAACTAGCCTAAATATATATGCACCTAATACAGGAGCATCCCGATTCATAAAGCAAGCTCTTACAGAACTACAAAAAGACTTAGACTCCCACACAATAATAGTGGGATACTTAACACCTCACTGTCAATATTAGACAGATCAACGAGAGAGAAAATAAACAAGGATATTCAGGACTTGAACTCAGCTCTGGACCAAGCAGACAATAGACATCTATGGAACTCTCCACCTCAAATCAACAGAATATACATTTTTCTTAGCACTATATCACACTTATTCTAAAATTGACCACATAATTGGAAGTAAAACACTCCTCAGAAAATGCAAAAGAACAAAAATGATAAAAAACAGTCTCTCGGACCACAGTGCAATCATATTAGAACTCAGAATTAAGAAAAGCACTCAAAACTGCACAATTACATTAAAACTGAATAGCCTGCTCCTGAAGGACTACGGGGTAAATAACGAAATTAAGGCAGACATAAATAAGTTCTTTGAAACCAATCAGAACAAAGATACTACCAACCAGAATCTCTGGGACACAACTAAAACAGGGTTTAAAGGAAAATTTATAGCACTAAATTTCCACAGGAGAAAGCAGGAAAGATCTAAAATTGAACTCACAATTAAAAGAACTAGAGAAGTAAGAGCAAACAAATTCAAAAACTGGCAGAAGACAAGAAATAACTAGAGCCTCAGAAATAATGCTACACATCTAAAACCATCTGATCTTTGACAAACCTGACAAAAACAAGAAATGGGGAAAGGATTTCCTATTTAATAAATGGTGTTGGGAAAACTGGCTAGCCATATGCAGAAAACTGAAACTGGACACCTTCTTTACACCTTATACAAACATTAACTCAAGATGGATTAAACACTTAAACCTAAGACCTAAAACCTAACCACCCTAGAAGAAATCCTACACAATACCATTCAGGACACAGGCATGAGCCCAGACTTCATGACTAAAACACCAAAAGCAATGGCACCAAAAGCCAAAATTGACAAATGGGATCTAATTACACCACAGAGCTTCTGCACAGCAAAAGAAACTATCATCAGAGTGAACAGGCATCCTACAAAATGGGAGAAAATTTTTGCAATCTATCCATCTGACAAAGGACTAATATCCAGAATCTACAAGGAACTTAATCAAATTTACTAGAAAAAAAAACAAACAGCCCCTTCAAAAAGTGGGCAAAGGATAAGAACAGACACTTCTCAAGAGCAGACATTTATGCAGCCAACAAACATATGAAAAAAAGCTCATCATCCCTGATCATTAGAGAAATGCAAATCAAAATCGCAATGAGATACTATCTCACACCAGTTAGAATGGTGATCACTAAAAAGTCAGGAGACAACAGATGCTGGAGAGGTTGTGGAGAAATAGGAATGCTTTTACATTGTTGGTAGGAGTGTAAATTAGTACAACCATTGTGGAAGACTGTGTGGCGATTCCTCTATGATCTAGAACCAGAAATACCATTTGACCCAGTGATCCCATTACTGGGTATATACCCAAAGGATTATAAATCATTCTACTATAAAGACACATGCACACATATGTTTATTGCAGCACTATTCACAATAGCAAAAACTTGGAACCAACCCAAATGCCCATCAATGACAGACTGGATAAAGAAAATATGGCACATATACACCACGGAATACTATGCAGCCATAAAAGTGGATGAGTTCAGGTACTTTGCAGGGTTATGGATGAATCTGGAAACCATCATTCTCAGCAAACTACCACAGGAACAGAAAACCAAACACTGCATGTTCTCACTCATAAGTGGGAGTTCAACAATAAGAATACATGGACACAGGGGAGGAAACATCACACACCGGGGCCTGTCGGGGGGTGGAGGGCTAGGGGAAGGATACCTAATGTACATGATGGGTTGATGGGTACAGCAAACCACCATGGCACATGTATTCCTACGTAACAAACCTGCATGTTCTGCACATGTATCCCAGAACTTAAAGTGTAATTAAAAAAAAAATCCACCAGGCCCAGATGGTTAAAAAATAACTTTTTTTTTTTTTTTTTTTTTTTTTTTAAGATAGTCTTACTGTGTCTCCCAGGCTAGAATGCAGTGGTGTTATCTTGGCTCACTGCAACCTCCACCTCCTGGCTTCAAGCGATTCTCCCTCCTCAGCCTCCCCAGTAGCTGAGACCACAGGCATGCACCACAATGCCTGGCTAATTTTTATGTTTTTTTATATAGAGACGGGGTTTCACTATGTTGGCCAGGCTGGTCTGGAATTCCTAGCCTCAACTGATCAGCCCACCTCAGCCTCCCAAAGTGCTGGGGTTACAGGTGTGAGGCACCACACCAGCCTAAACAGATAACTTTTAACACACCCTTAAGAAAGTGATAATCCTAATCATATACAAATTGTTTTAGAGAATGAAAGTGTGACAGCTTCCCAACTTATTTTAAGAAAGTAGATCCTTTTAATGATAACCAAACAAGACTAACTCAAGAAGAAAAAATTACAGGAGAATTTTACCCAGTGATATAGAGGAAATGATTCCAAATCATAAAGCAGAGTTAGCAAATATATTCATTTAAATATAAAATAATAATTTTATAATATTTCATATTGTTTATTTTATTATTTATATTAACATTATTTATTATTTATATTATTATTTAAATTATATTATTTATTTATATTTATATTTATATTATCAATTGTTTATTTAAGATTATGTATAGTTACTTATTATTATTTACATTATTTGACATTAATAATATTAATTTTATATTATATTAATAATAATTAATATAAAATATTAATTTCTATATATTATAAATATATATATATTATGCTTGATGCGCATTTTGGAAAGGATAGCCTTTACAATAAATGGTGTTGGTTATCCATTAGGGAAATTAATCTTAACTCCCTCACATCCTATATAAAAATCAATTTCAGATTAATTATAGAATCTAAATCTGAATGGTAAAATAATAAAGCTTTAAAAAACAAACATATATTAGTTAGCTTTTCTGCATAACAACCACAAAATATCAGTGGCATAAACAATGAGCATGTATTTAGCTCTTGGGTCCATAGGACATCTGGAGGTTGGCTGATCTAGATTGGACACAACTGGGCAGCTCTCCTTCAAGCTGCCAGTCTTATAGGACTTGTTGTTCCTTGTTTTGAAGGCAGCTGAGATGTGCTTTACTTATCTCTCCTTTTCTTGCACAAGTGGGCTAGCTGTGGTATGATTTTCTCAGTGTTGATGGCAGAGGAGTGAGAGAGCATGGCCAAATATGTAATTAATTTTCAAGCTTCTGCTTGCATCTCATCTGTTATCATTGAATTGACCAAAGCATTCACATGGCCAGGTCTAAAATCAAGGAACAAGGAAGTGAACTCTGTTCATAAAGGTAGAAAGGGGAAAGGTAGAACAGGGGAATCTAACCTACCACAGTAGAAAAATATCTTCATGACTTTGAGGTAGGCAAATATTTCCTTGAAAGGACATAAAAACTGTTGTGTTAACTATTAAGAAATTAGACTACCCTGAAATTAAAACTGCTTTATTAAAAACATACTATTTATTAAGAGAGGGTCAGAACTTAACATTAATGCCTTAGCAGGAATATCACAAAAGATGATATCCAAATGGCTAATATTAGTCATTACAAAAACGTATATTAAAACTATCATAAATCCACCAGAATTGTTAAAATAAAAAGATAGCTAATACTAAGTGTTGACAAGGGTGTGGAACAAACTACTGCAACACATGACAGTATAGATGACTTTCATAAATATAATGTTAAGCAAATCCAGATACGACAGAAATACACTGCATGATTATGTTCATATAAAGTTCAAAAAAACAGGCAAAATGAATCCAAGTGGTAGAAGTCAGGATAGTATTTACTCTTGGGAGGTAGTGCCTGAAAGTCATCATGGGATGAAAGGCAATAGAGAGTTTCTGGATAATCTTTTTTTAAAAAAATTATTATTGTTTGAGAGTTGTTTAAATTTGATATTTTTAACTTGTGAAAATTTATTCATCTGAGTCCTTATAATTTGTTCACTTTTCTGTATATGTTCTATATTCCAATTAAAGAGTGAGCATAAAAAATACCATATTTCATGACTAAGTTGGGTTTATCTCAGAAACACATGTTTTTTATTGTTGTTGTTGTTTAGTTTTTTTTTTTGAGATGGGGTCTCTCTCTGTCATCCAGGCTGGAGTGTAGTGGCATGATCTCATGTCATTGCAGCCTTGACCTCCCCGGCTGAAGTGATCCACCCACCTCAGCCTCCCGAGTAGCTGGGACTATAAGTACGTGCCACCATGCCTGGCTAATTTTTGTATTTTTTGGAGAGACAGGGTTTTGCCGTGTTTCCCAGGTTGGTCTTGAACTCCTGAGTGAGTTTTTTTTAAAGATCCAGAAAATATTAATATAACTTACCATATTAATACATCAGGAAAGAAAAACATAATATTGTCTCAACAGATACATAAGATGCATTTGGTGAAATTCAATACACATTCTAGATTTTTAAAAAAATACTTAGAAACTTAGAGTGTAAACTTCTTTAATTTTCTTTTAGAAATGTTAATATATTCACATGATTCAAAAATTTTAGAATGTAAAAAGGTGATCAAGTAAAAGTCTCAGACCCACTTCCATATTCTCAGTCTTTTTATCACAAGAAATTACTTTGTCAATCTCTTATGTATCTTTCCAGTTGTTCTGTGTAAATATAAATGTATGTCTTATTACCCCCACTCACTTTTTATACCAAGGCTAACATAATATAATAAACCATTCTATACCTTTTTCCTCCAAAATCATTTATTGAATATTCTATCTTTTCACCACAGACTTATAAAGCTTATTGTGTTATGTGTTTGGTGACCATGTATTTCAGTTTGTTTAGACTAAAGCTAGTGTACATTTGTTGTCACAGCATAATTATTAGTAGTTCCTCACTTCACTTTTAAATAAGTGCTACCATTTATATAGTAAACTATATGATCACATGAGTTCTAGGCCAATTCTGCTTAAGTTTGTTCTTAGGCTTTCTATATTTCAATGCACTTTTTGTCTATGTCTGCACTTCTTCCATACTGTTTGTTTAAATAGGTTTAACTTTTATAATTGTTTTAGATTCACAGAAACTTTGAGATGATAGTGCAGAGAATGTTCTTATATTCGCCAGTGAATTTCTTCTATTAGCATCTTACTTTACTATGATGCATTTGCCCCAGTTAATGAATCAACTTTGATGAATAATGATTAACTAAACTACATACTTCATTTTATTAGTTTTCACCTAATGTCCTTTTTCTGTTTTAGGATCCCATCCAAGATAATACATTATATTTAGCTATCACTCTCCTTAGACTCCTTTTGACTGTGATAGTTCCTCAAACTTTCCTTGGTTTTTGATGACATTAACAGTTTAAAGGAGTACTAGTCAGACACATTGTAGAATACCCATTTATTGGAATTTTTATGATATTTTTCTCATCATTAGATGGGCATTATGAGTTTGGGAAAGGAAGATCACAGAAGTAAAGTGCCATTCTCATAATATCTACTATAGTTTAGATGTTTGTCCCCCAATAAGTTATGTTAAAATTTGACACTCATTGTTGGAGATGAGGCCTACCAGGAGGTGTTTGGGTAATGGAGACAGATGTATCATTAATAGATTGGTGCTTTCCTTATGATAATGAGTGAGTTATTGCTCTATTAGTTCCCACTAGAGCTGCTTGTTAGAAAAAGCCTACCCACCCATCTCTTCCTTTCTCTGATCCCACATGATCTCTGCACACAGCACCTCCCCTTTGACTTCCACCATGAGCGGAAGTAGCCTGAAGCTTTCACCAAATGCCTAATCTTCCAGCGATTGTTATCATGAGTCAAATAAACCTTTTTTTCTTTATATATTACACAGTCTCAGACATTTCTTTATAACAATACAAACGGACTAGGAGAACATCATAACAAGAACACATATAAAAATGATTTGTCACTTTTGATGTTGACCCTGATTACTCAGCTAAGGTAGTGTTTGTCAGATTACCTGTTATAAAGTTAATCTCCTTCCCACCACTTTCCATGCTGTACTGTTTGAAAGAAAATCTCGTAAATTTGTTTGAGTTCATTGCAGATTCTGGATATTAGCCCTTTGTCAGATGAGTAGGTCGCAAAAATTTTCTCCCATTCTATAGGTTGCCTGTTCACTCTGATGGTGGTCTCTTTTGCTGTGCAGAAGCTCTTTAGTTTAATTAGATCCCATTTGTCAATTTTGGTTTTTGTTGCCATTGTTTTTGGGGTTTTCAGCCCTTGCCCATGCCTATGTCCTGAATGGTATTGCCTAGGTTTTCTTCTGGGGTTTTTATGGTTTTAGGTCTAACATGTGAGTCTTTAATCCATCTTGAATTAATTTTTGTATAAGGTGTAAGGAAGGGATCCAGTTTCAGCTTTCTCCATATGGCTAGCCAGTTTTCCCAGCACCATTTATTAAATAGGGAATCCTTTCCCCATTGCTTGTTTTTGTCAGGTTTGTCAAAGATCAGATAGTTGTAGATATGTGGCATTATTTCTGAGGGCTCTGATCTGTTCCATTGGTCTATATCTCTGTTTTGGTAGCAGTACCATGCTGTTTTGGTTACCGTAGTCTTGTAGTATAGTTTGAAGTCAGGTAGCATGATGCCTCCAGCTTTGTTCTTTTGGCTTAGGATTGACTTGGCAATGCGGGCTCTTTTTTGGTTCCATATGAACTTTAAAGTAGTTTTTTCCAATTCTGTGAAGAAAGACGTTGGTAGCTTGATGGGGATGGCATTGAATCTGTAAATTACCTTGGGCAATATGGCCATTTTCACGATATTGATTCTTCCTACCCATGAGCATGGAATGTTCTTCCATTTGTTTGTATCCTCTTTTATTTCATTGAGCAGCGGTTTGTAGTTGTCCTTGACGAGGTGCTTCATGTCCCTTGTAAGTTGGATTCCTAGGTATTTTATTCTCTTTGAAGCAGTTGTGAATGGGAGTTCACTCATGATTTGGCTCTCTGTTTGTCTGTTATTGGTGTATAAGAATGCTTGTGATTTTTGCACGTTGATTTTGTATCCTGAGACTTCGCTGAAGTTGCTTACCAGTTTAAGGAGATTTTGGGCTGAGACGATGGGGTTTTCTAGATATATAATCATGTCATCTGCAAACAGGGACAATTTGACTTCCTCTTTTCCTAATTGAATGCCCTTTATTTCCTTCTCCTGCCTGATTGCCCTGGCCAGAACTTCCAACACTGTGTTGAATGGGAGTGGTGAGAGAGGGCATCCCTGTCTTGTGCCCATTTTTAAAGGGAATGCTTCCAGTTTTTGTCCATTCAGTATGATATTGGCTGTGGGTTTGTTATAGATAGCTCTTATTATTTTGAGATACGTCCCATCAATACCTAATTTATTGAGAGTTGTTAGCATGAAGGGTTGTTGAATTTTGTCAAAGGCCTTTTCTGCATCTATTGAGATAATCATGTGGTTTTTGTCTTTGTTTCTGTTTACATGCTGGATTACATTTATTGATTTTCGTATGTTGAACCAGCCTTGCATCCCAGGGATGAAGCCCACTTGATCATGCTGGATAAGCTTTTTGATGTGTTGCTGGATTTGGTTTGCCAGTATTTTATTGAGGATTTTTGCATCAATGTCCATCAAGGATATTGGTCTACAATTCTCTTTTTTTGTTGTGTCTCTGCCAGGCTTTGGTATGAGGATGATGCTGGCCTCATAAAATGAAGTGGGCGAAGGATATGAACAGACACTTCTCAAAAGAAGACATTTATGCAGCCAAAAAACACATGAAAAAATGCTCACCATCACTGGCCATCAGAGAAATGCAAATCAAAACCACAATGAGATACCATCTCACAGCAATTAGAATGGCGATCATTAAAAAGTCAGGAAACAACAGGTGCTGGAGAGGATGTGGAGAAATAGGAACACTTTTACACTGTTGGTGGGACTGTAAACTAGTTCAACCATTGTGGAAGTCAGTGTGGCGATTCCTCAGGGATCTAGAACTGGAAATACCATTTGACCCAGCCATCCCATTATTGGGTATATACCTAAAGGATTATAAATCATGCTGTTATAAAGACACATGTACACATATGTTTATTGCGGCACTATTTACAATAGCAAAGACTTGGAACCAAGCCAAATGTCCAGCAATGATAGACTGGATTAAGAAAATGTGGCACATATACACTATGGAATACTATGCAGCCATAAAAAATGATGAGTTCATGTCCTTTGTAGGGACATAGATGAAACTGGAAACCATCATTCTTAGCAAACTATCACAAGGACAAAAAAACAAATACCGCATGTTCTCATTCATAGGTGTGAACTGAACAATGACAACACATGGACAAAGGAAGGCGAACATCACACACTGGGGCCTGTTGTGGGGTGGGGGAGTGGGGAGGGATAGCATTAGGAGATACACCTAATGCTAAATGAGGAGTTAATGGGTGCAGCACACCAACATGGCACATGTATACATATGTAACAAACCTGCACGTTGTGCACATGTACCCTAAAACTTAAAGTATAATAATAAAAATAAAAAAAATTCATTTAGCCTAGGTACGTGGTTCATCTTCATTGCCCGCTGTCCTAGATCATAACTCAAAGGCCAGAGGAATTGCCAGCTGGCCCTGGCTTTACTATCTTCTAGCTATATTTTTACTTGGTAAAGAACATTTAGCTCTCTCGGCCCCAATTTTATCATCTGTTAAAAGAGGGAATTTTTTAACAGGTATGTTGTAATGTAAAAATGAGAAACTATATTGTCTGTAAAAAATATCTGAATGAGCTATAAGATACTATACAACAGTAAAATATTGTAATTATTAAAAAAAAAAAAAAGAAAATCTCTGTGTGTATCCCACAACTACGGAGTGGAGCGTTATGCTGCACTTTCTTGAGGGCAGAGTTTCTATGTGTATTATTTGAAAACATATTGCTTAAGTAGCTATAATTTTATAATCCATCTTAATATCTTACTACTGAATTTCAAAAAGCCTTGAAAAATCACTTTACTTTTCCATATAATGACTAGACTAGGTTCGTCAGGTAACATTAACTGTCTTGATCAAAACTGCATTTACTACATAGATGCTTGGAATAGATGTGCCACTACTAAGTCTTTGCAAACTTTGGACTTGTTACCTAGGTGTTTGGTTTCATGTTTTCTATATTTCACAGTTTTCTCTGTGAAAATCTTACATGTTGTTAAATTTATTCCTAGTTTTCAAATATTATTGATACTTTTGTAAATTTTATCTTTTTATTACACTTACTCTTGCTGATGTATAGGAGTGTTACTGATTATATAGATTAAATGTCTAGCAACTTTGCAGAACTAATTCTCTTAGCAAGTAAGTTTGTAAGTCATTGAGCTACTCTTCATGGTAATGATGAATATGAATTTATCATGCTGATCATATGGTGGTGTATTAGTCAGGGTTCTCTAGAGGGACAAAACTAATATATATATAATATATATATAATATATAATATATATAAATTATATATATAATATTTTAAATATATAATATATATATTATATATATAATATTTTAAATATATAATATATATATAATATATATAATATTTTAAATATATAATATATATAATATATAATATAATATATGATATTATATATTATATGTTATATATTATATAAAATATTATATATATTATATATTATATAAAATATTATATATTATATATAATATTTTATATAATATTATATATAATATTATATATTATATATAATATTTTATATAATATTATATATAATATTTTTTATATATATAAGTTTTATATATATAATATTTTATATAATATTATATATAATATTTTATATATATATAAGTTTTATATATATAATATTTTATATATATTTTCTATATATATACACACATAATATTATATATATATATAAATATTTATATATATAGGCTGAGATGGGTGGATCACTTCAGCTGAGGAGGTCAAGGCCGCAATGACATGAGATCATGCCACTACACTCCAGCCTGGATGACAGAGACCCCATCTCGAAAAAACAAAACAAAAAACAACAACAACAACAAAAATGTGTTTCTGAGATAAACCTGACTTAGTCATGAAATATATATATATGTATATACATATATACACATACACATATGTGTACACACATATGTGTATGTGTATATACATATATACACACACATATACACATACACATACATATACACATACATATACATATACACACATACATATACACATAGATATACACATACATATACATATACACACACATACATATACACATACATATACACATACATATATATGTGTATATGTATATACGTATATACATATACACATACATGTGTATATATGTATATACGTATATACATGTACACATATGTGTATATGTATATACATATATACACATATGTGTATGTTTATATATGTATATACATATATACAGATATATGTGAATATATGTATATATGTATATACATATACAGATATGCGTATATGTATGTGCATATGTATACACATATACAGATATGCGTATATGTATGTGTATATGTATATACATATACAGATATGCGTATATGTATGTGTATATGTATATACATATACAGATATGCGTATATGTATGTGTATATGTATATACATATACAGATATGCGTATATGTATGTGTATATGTATATACATATACAGATATGCGTATATGTATGTGTATATATATACATATACAGATATGCGTATATATATACATATACAGATATGCGTATATGCATGTATATATGTATATACATATACAGATATATGCGTATATATGTATGTATATACATATACAGATATATGTGTATATCTGTATATGTATGTATATACATATACAGATATATGTGTATGTATATGTATATACATATGCAGATATATGTGTATGTATATGTATATATGTATATGTATATACAGATATATGTGTATGTATGTACATATATGTATATACATATATAGGGGAGTTTATTAAGTATTTACTTACATATACATAGATATACACATATATATGTGTATATGTATGTACATATATATAGGGGAGTTTATTAAGTATTAACTTACATGATCACAAGGTCCCACAATAGGCTGTCTGCAAGCTGAGGAGCAAGGAGAAGCAGTCCGAGTCCCAAAACTGAAGAACTTGGGAGTCTGATACTCCATGGCAGGAAGCATCCAGCACGGGAGAAAGATGTATGCTTGGAGACTAGGCCAGTCTGTCTTTTCACATTTTTCTGTCCGCTTATATTCTAGCCATGCTGGCAGCTGATTCGATTGTGCCCACCCAGATTAATGGTGGGTCTGCCTTTCCCAGCCCACTGACTCAAATATTAATCTCTTTTGGCAACACCCTCACAGACACACCCAGGATCGATACTTTGTATCCTTCAATCCAATCAGGTTGACACTCAGTATTAACCATCAAAAGTCCACCCCTTGTCAACATGAACCCATACACATCTCCTGAGATTATACATTATCTTCAAATAAAGACAATAATACGGTCATACTTACACCTAACATAACACAGCTATCCTTCATACAACTGGAAATGCACCCAATTCCTACCCAAATACTATTACATAAGGTTAACAATACTTAAATGCTGATGTGAAATCAATAAATCTTATGTCACAGGATAAAAAAGAAAGGAAATAAAATTAAGATACTTTCTTAGTTTAAGTGTATATATGCCTGAACATTTTTTAACAAAAGAAGGAGAAAATACTCATGACAATTACAGTCCTCTTTTCTCTAGCTGTTCACATGGTCATAGCTAGTATTGATAACTACCTTCTTCTATTGCCCATTCTGTATTCCCTGTGACTTCAGCAAGCACCTCAGCAGGTCACGTTTTTTTTCGTGGTGGAGTGACCCAAATCTTCATTCCTGAGGGGTTTTGGACATTTGTAGTCCTGCCTGGATTGGGCTATTGTAGTTTCCCATTGACCTTAGGATCTTCACAGGGCATGGTAATACTAAGAGACATCCTAATGGATTTGCTGTATTCCATGCATACTCTTCCTTACCTCCATTGTGGAGTAGTAGACTGATTTCATCTTGATAGTCTGGGTCAATCACCCCAGCCAACACTGTAACTCCCTTCTAAGCCTGTTGACTTAAAGGTAGGAAGAGCCCAAAGTGTCCAGGTGAGAATTTTAACTTCCAGTTTAATGAAATTTTTGTTGTGTCTCCTGGTGGCAGTGTTTCTCCCTCTGGAACTAAGAACTCTAGGTCAGCAGAATGTAATGTCACAGGTACAGGAAGCAAAATTTTGCTAGTGGATCACAAGGAGTGATGGTGAGTGGTGCCACTTCCATTTCCACCCCTTGATTCCTGGACCCGTGAATCCCGGCTATTGGAGAAACAGTACTATGTATTGGCCACTGATTCAGAGCATACATGGCCTTGTGGAGAACTTTGCCCAGCCCTGCAAAGTATTGTCACTTAGTTGGTATTGTAATTGTGACTTCAAAAAGCCATTCCACAGTTCTATCAATCCAGCTGCTTCAGGATAATGGGGAACATGGTAAGACCAGTGAATTCCATAAGCATGAGACCACTGCCACACTTCTTTAGCCATAAAGTGAGTGCCTTGGTTAAAGGCAATGCTGTGTGGAATACCATGACTGTGGATAAGGCATTCCATGAGTCCATGGATGGTACTCTTGGCAGAAGCATTGAATGAAGGATAGGCAAACCTATATCTGGAGTAAGTGTCTATTCCAGTGATGACAAACCTCTGCCTTTTCCATGATGGAAGAGGTCCAATATAATCAACCTGCCACCATGTAGCTGGCTGATCACCTTGAGGAATGGTGCCATATTGAGGGCTCGGTGTTGGTCTCTGCTGCTGGAAAATTGGGCACTCAGCAGTGAACATAGCCAGGTCAGCCTTGGTGAGTGGAAGTCCATGTTGCTGAGCCCATGCATGACCTCTATCCCTGCCACCATGGCCACTTTGTTCATGGACCCATTGGGTGATGACAGGGGTGGCTGGGGAAAGAGGGTGAATGATATCCACAGAACGGCTCATCCTATCCACTTGATTATTAAAATCCTCCTCTGCTGAGCTCACCCGTTGGTGAACACTCACATGGGATACAGTTATCTTCACAGTTTTGGCCATTCAGAGAGGTCCATCAACATACCTCTTCCCCAAATTTGTTTGCCACCAATTTTCCAATCATGCTTTTTCCAAGTCCCTGACTATCCAGCCAAACCATTGGCTACAGCCCATGAATCAGCATATAATCACACATCTGTCCATTTCCCCTTCCATGCAAAGTGCACAACCAGGTGCAGTGGTCAAAGTTCTGCCCATTGGGAACATTTCCCTTCACCTGTCCTTCAGGCAGGTCCTAGAAAGGGGCTGTAATGCTGCAGCTATCCACTTTTGGGTGGTGCCTTCACATTGTGTAGATCCATCTGTGAACCGGGCCCTAGTCTTCTCTTCCTTTGTCAACTGATCATAGGGAACTTGCCATGAGGCCATCAGTGCAGGCTGGAGTAGAGAAGGCAGGGTGGCAGGAGTGGAGACCATGGGTAATTTGCGCTAATTCCTCATGTAACTTATTTGTGCCTTCAGGACCTGCTCAAGCCTGTCATGTATATACCACTTCCATTTGATGATGGAATGCTGCTGTGCAGGACCCACCTAATGGCTAGATAGGTCGAAAGCACCCAGTTCATGATAGGCAGTTCAGGTCACATGGTGACTTGATGACCCATAGTCAAACGTTCAGTTTCAACCACAGCCCAGTAACAAGCCAAGAGCTGTCTTTAAAAAGGAGAGTAGTTATCTGCTGAAGATGGCAGGGCCTTTCTCCAAAATCCTAGAGGCCTCCACTGTGATTCACCTATGGGGGCCTGCCAGAGGCTCCAAACAGCATCCCTATCTGCCACTGACACCTCAAGCACCATTGGATCTGCTGGGTCATATGGCCCAAGTGGCAGAGCAGCTAGCACAGCAGCCTGGACATGATGCAGAGCCTTGTTCTATTCTGGACCCCACTCAAATCTGGCAGCCTTTCGGGTCACTTGATAAATGAGCTGGAGTAACATACGCAAATGAGGACTGTGTTGTCTCCAAAATTCAAATAGGCCCACTAGGCGTTGTGTCTCTTTCTTAGATGCAAGAGGCGCCAAATGCAGTAACTTATCCTTCACCTTTGAAGGAATATCTTGACAGGCCCCACACCACTGGAACCCTAGAAATTTTACTGAGGTAGAAGGTCCCTGAGTTTTAGTTGGATTTATTTCCCATCCTGTGGCACAAAAATGTCTCACCAATAAGTCCAGTGTGTTTGCTGCTTCTTGTTCACTGGATCGAATCAGCATAATGTCATCAATGTAATGGACTAGTGTGTTATCTTGCAGAAGCCAAAAGCAATCAAGGTCTCTCTGAGTAAGATTATGACACAAAGCCGGAGAGAGTTGATATACCCCTGAGCTAATACAGTAAAGGTATATTGCTGGCCTTGCCAGATGAAGGCAAATTGCTTCTGGTAGCACCTTATGCACAGCAATGGAGAAAAAGGCATTCACCAAGTCAATGGCTGCTATCAGGTACCAGGAGATGTGTTAATTTGCTCAAGCAATGAAACCACATCTAGTCCAGCAGCTGCAATTGGAGTAACCACTTGGTTAAGCTTACAATAATCCACTGCCATTGGCTAAGCTTACAATAATCCACTGTTAATTTCTTTTGGGAACACCCATACAGACACACCCAGGATCAATACTTTGTATCATTCAATCTAATCAAGTTGACACTCAGTATTAACCATTACAGGGGGTGTTCAGAAATGACTCTTATGGTGATAAGGGGTGTTTCATTTCACTCTCCAAGACCCATCTGTCTTCTGCACAGAGCAAATGGGAGAGTTGAACGGGGATGTAGTGGAAGTTAGCACCCCTGTGTATTTCAAGTCCTTGATGGTGGCACTAATCTTCACAATTCCTCTAGGGATGTACTTTTTTTTAATTTAGAATTTTCCTAGGTAGAGGCAGCTCAAATGGCTTCCGTTTGGCCTTTCTCACCATCATAGCCCTAACTGTACCAGTCAGGGAGCCAATGTGGGGTTTCTGCCAGCTGCTAAGTATGTCTATGCCAATTTTGCATTCGGGCACTGGGGAAATGAACAAAGGATAAGTCTAGGGACCCACTAGACTCACTGTAAGTCAGACCCGAACTAAAACTCCATTAATTACCTGACCTCCATAAGCCCCTACTTTAACTGGAGAACCACAATGACGTTTCAGATCCCCTGGAATCAATGTCGGCTCAGAACCAGCATCCAGTAGTCCCTGAAAGTCTGATAATTTCCCTTTTCCCAATGTACAGTTACCCTGGTAAAAGGTCAGAGGTCTCCTTGGGGAAGGATGAGAGGAAGATTCACTGCATAAGTTGTCAGTAATGTAGTGGGGTCCTTCCTCAAGGGCACCTGGCCTTACCTTCATTCAAAGGGTTTTGGGTCTGTAAACTGGGTCAAGTATGGAAAATGATTGAGGTTGTCATGATTCTGTTTTTATAATTCAAATTTGTCTTTTGTCCATTCTACCTAGAAGCTTTCTCCTTATACAAATTAAGGAAGAATGCAGTAGGCTTCCTACCAATTTCACTTCTAGGAATGCCGTGATTAATTAGCCAATGCCAGAGCTCTACATGAGTCAGACTATTCTGATTGCTGCTTCTGTCTCTGCTGTCCGTTATGGTAGCTATGCCCACCTTGCCATTCATTGATAATTGAGTGCCAACACTTGGCATCTGCCACCTCGAGATCCAATTATTCCCATTGTATTTAAATTTTGTAGTTCAGTGACCATGGTTCCGACTGTTAAATCTGACATACAGAGAAGAGCAATTATAGGGCTCTTCAAAGATGCAAGTGCTGCCCTCACAAATCTATTTTGCAAGGCATTGGTCAAGGGTACATCTTCTGGACCCTCCCAGCTGGGATGAGTAGGTCTAAAGTGACTAATCCAGTCCACCATCCCAGTCTCCCTAAGCCTTTGGATCCCTTCCTCTATATTAAACCAAGGGAGATCAGGCACTTCCAGCTCGCTCACCATGGGCCACCTTTTAATCCATATTTCAGCTAATCAAGCAAATAAACTATTAGAATCTTTTTTTTTAACTCCCCAAGCTGCAACACTAAAAGCAGAGTCCCTATTTAATGGGTCAAATCAGTAAATTCAGCCTGATCCAACTCTATGTTCCTTCCACCATTATCCCATACTCTTAATATCCATTCCCATACCTGTTCTCCAGATTTGCTTATATAAATTAGAGAACTCAAGCAGTTCTTTTGGAGTGTAGCCCACTTTCTCATGGGTCACACTCTCAACCTCACCTCTAGAGGCCCACCAGGACTTTACTCTAGTTATAGGTCTAGAAGCAAACAGGGATGTTGTGGGTTGCTCCTGAGGAAAATCAACATTATCTGTCCTGTCAACTGCCTCAGGGGAGGCCATCACTGTGGCCTTAGGCAATGCAGGGTTTATTTCCTCAGACAAAGGTGGAAAGGCTGATGGCAGCATGGGTCAAGGAGGGGATGTTGCCATTACTGGGGATGGGGAAGCTGTTCCTTCTGGCAAAAAGGTTCATCAGAGTTTACAAACTCAGTGTCCTCAGGTTCATCAGCATCCTCCCAAATGTCTCCATTCCAAGTTCCAGGGTCCCATTCTTTTCCAATCAATGTCCTCACTTTAACAGCAGACACCTGGCGAGGCTGTGCATGCACCTTTCATTGCAGGTCAGCCACATGCATGATAAGAGCTTGTGTCTGTTTTTCTCCTATTTCAACTCTTTCTCTAGAGTAGATAAGACTCTCACTAAGGGCAATCTTAGCAGATTGGAGGCTCAGTATTTGCTTCTGAAGCTGGGAGACAGAATCCATTGAGTTCATCATTTTCTTTCATCACTTTGTCCACTCCTTGCCTCTCATGAGCGGTGAATCAGGAGTATCAAATGCATTTATTTTACATTACTCTCTAAACAGTTCACATCAAGGACTATCAGTGTTCTCCATACTATTAGAAGTACAGTCCTTAGCATTTTTGGGCCTAATCATATTAAGCAGTCAACTCCAGAAACCCCAAAACCAAGGAAAGAACTCTATCCTTAATATTGTGTTCCTCTAGAACCACTCCCGTTACCAAAATTTGTATTAGTCATGGTTCTCTAGAGGGACAGAACTAGTAGGATGTGTGTGTGTATATATATATATATATACACACACACATATATATACACACGTATATATACACACACATATACACACACACACACACATATATATATATATGTAAAGGGGAGTTTATTAAAGATTAACTTACATGATCACAAGGTCCCACAATAGGCTGTCTGCAAGCTGAGGAGTAAGGAGAGCCAGTCCGAGTCCCAAAACTGAAGAACTTGGAGTCTGATGTTCGAGGGCAGGAAGCATACAGTATGAGAGAAAGATGTAGCCTGGGAGGCTAGGCCAGCCTCTCTTTTCACATTTTTCTGCCTGCTTATATTCTAGCCATGCTGGCGGCTTATTAGATTGTGCCCACCCAGATTAAGGGTAGGTCTGTCTTTTCCAGTCCACTGACTCAAATGTTAATTTCTTTTGGCAACACTGACACAGACACACCAGGATCAATACTTTGTATCATTCAATCGAATCAAGTTCACAATCAGTATTAACCATCACAGGGGGTGTTCAGAAATGATTCTTATGGTGATAATGGGTGTTTCATTTTAGGTACCGTAAGAGAGAACCAAGTTTATCTTAGAGTGTAAGACCCCCACCATTTGTCTCCCCACTTCTAGTGCCCTTGGAAAGTAGTCAGGGAAGACTGAGACCCGATGCTGCCCTCTTGCTCTCTGCAGGAGGTAAGTGAGATTTATTTCCAGAAATTGGGGAAGCTAGGAATTGGCAAGATGCAGAAGCGACTGCTGAGAGCTAAGTCCTGCTGATTTTGGTGGGGAGAGATGGCAGACTCTAGGGAAAAGGGAAATGATGGTGATAGCAGAGGAAGGGGTTAAATAAGGAGAGCCAAGAAATGGAGAAAGGGGAAAAGTTAGTAAACGAGAGGAGGGTTTAATTATCACTTTCTTCAAATCAAATCCTGGGGGTGGTGGTGGGAGGATCCTGCAGGCCAAGACAGACAGGGCTCACATTCTAATCCAGAGGCCCAACATCTGCTCCCCCTTCCAACTCTACAGATTGGAATAATTATCTGGATCCTTTTAGTAAATAAGCATTTAATTGGAGTGTTTAGTTGCTCTGAAGAAAGGCAGGTAAGGCAATGCCAGAAAGCAACCTCTATTGGGTTTCCCACAGGGAGCATCAGATACCACATAGAGGCCTACTGACAGCAAGGAACATCTACATCCAGGTGACACCATGATGGAAGAAATAGTAAGGTCACTCCACCCACTCTGAGGAATAGATAAGGAAGATAACTACCTCTGAAGAGACAGGACCAAAGGCTTTAGGAAGGAACTGAGAGTTGCAAATTCCTAAGTCATATGGTCTCTGGATGGGTTCAAAAGGCAGCCTTTAAGCTTCCATGAGGGCCCAGGGCCAGTACTGGACTTGCTGCTATAAGGAAAAAGAGCAAGGTCAGAAATGGACCTTTAAGTCTTGTCAAAGGGCTGGGTGACATGAAGGACAGTCCCATCCATAAAGACATTTGACTGCCCCTGGCTACAGGATCAAACATAGTCCTTGTGGTCCACTCTTCCAGAAAACACATGCAAGGCCATAGGTGGCCCATAGGATGCCTGGGAATAGAACAGCAGGGTGGGCAGGTCAAGGCTGGGTTGGGGTAAGCTGCCCCACACCAGGCAAATTCCCTTTATTTCACAATTGGCAAAACACACACACACACACACACACACACACACACACACGAACGAGAGCTATGCCAGGAGGTGTCTTTTTACTTCTTTTATTGAACTCCATAAATATTTTCATAAGGCTTTGTGTCATTACAACATTTTTTTTGTTAAACATTTTTTAACACACAACTTTGACACTTGTTTGACAGAGTCAGTCAGATAAAAGAAACAAAAGAATAAACTGGCAAATGCAGAGCAGCAAGGGTAATCAAAGTCACTGTTGCCCATCCATCCACCCCAGCCCACCCCATCCCCAAAGCACTAAAAGATCACTATTTGGCTTCACACTAGAATTGTTAGAACTCTCTTGTTGCTGTTCTTATAGATCCATTAGAAATATACACATAGAGAGGGGGGGAAAAAGAGAGAATAATTAGATGTCTGTCTTAGGACTCCCCACAGCAGGTCCCATTGAACACACTAGCAAAGCCTTTTGGAGAGCAAATCCTGGCCTCACTGAGTTGAGGAAAAGGGAGCTCAGGGCCATGCGGAAATTACAACATTACAGAATTACTGGGGTTACCATTGCTGTCAGGACATAACAGGTTAGGATACTGAACCCAGGTATTTAATTGGGCTCCCCTTGGGGCTGTTGGCCACTGGTCTGCTTTGATGCTATAGGCTGAGGGAATACTCCAACCAATGGGGAAATGATTTCTTGTTGTTCACAAATTAGTGGCATCAGGTGATGCCAGTGGGTTCAGTAGAGGAGAAGTGCGGGTTGAGAAGTAATATCCCTGATCCTGGAGCCCTGGGCAGAAGCCCCAAGGAGGGAGGAAATGAGAGGGCCTAGTCAAGAAATGTAGGCCCAGAAACTTGTCCAAGCATCCCCTCCCGGTGTGCTGCCAACCCTCGAAGAAGCATGTCAAGGCCAAGCCTAGTAAGGAGGAGTGAGAAGTTGGAAAAAGAGGTACACTGAAGGGAGGCCTGCATAGCTACCAAAACACTCTGCCAGACAGGATATTTTAGCCTGGGTGCTGGGCACCAGGACCCTTGCCAAAGAGGCTTACGTAGTTAGGTCATGTGCTGAACAGTGGTGGCCAGTCCCGAGCCCCGGCCCTCTCCCCAGATCAGGCTCATCCTTGACTTATAATACAAGTCTGACTTGGTTGTGATGGAATATAAACTTAAATAGCTTGTAATTTGATTCCCACAAAGAAAAGATTCCCAGGCTGGGCAATGCCTGGTCTGGATCAGGAGGCATAGAGCAGTAAACATGCTAGCTATGCTGAAGCCTCCACACAGCTATGGCTGCTGCTTGGTAAGCTGAAGTCCTGTCATGATGAAGTCTTCTCCCATGGGGTTTAGGACAGACTCCCAGTCTCCACATTCCTCACTACAGTGGCTTGCTCTTCACAGCAGAGTTCATCCTTATTCCCTTATACCCTTTTTGTTGTTCAAGGTCTATCCATGAAAAGGGCTATGTGTGGAGGAAAAACAGGTACTCCAACATCCATAGGAAGCCTGCCTCCTTGTGAAAGAAGTTAGATTTTCCCAAGCAAAAAGCTGGCCAAAAGCGAGCCTGAGGGTAGCATCCCTGCCTCAGACACGTTATTCAGAGGGAAAATTGCCCCTGGGCCCCTAACTCACTTGCCCCAAATGTCCTGGGATGAGAGGATGTTGGAAACACGGCCTTCTTTGAGTGCCAGAACAGCTTTAACTATATCAATACCAAAAATCCTCCTGTGCTAGGATGGCAGGAGAAAGAAGAAAGAGAGAGGGAAAGAAAGAAGCCAGGGAAGATTGTCCATGCAATCTGTTAACAATGGGAGAAGTCTCACACAATTTTAGGGTGGTAGAAAATGCAGGTACAATACTGTGGATCAAGGCTATCTCTTTCCATTCCCATCCCTGTTCTTTCTTGTAAAAGGTTACTATCAGACTTGGACCCTGTCCAGGTCAATAATTTGAAGGTAGCTGATGATCTTGATCAGGTGGGCTCTGTCTTGAACCCCTCCATACTTCTATCAATGCTGCCCAAACATCTGTAAATGGGAGCAGGGACAACCAGGACACTGAACTGATTGCTGTAGAGATCACTGCCCTAAACCTATCTGGTACTAGGGGGCAGGTAAATCCCTCTCCTGGGAGGCAGAATCTCAACCTCTGCTTCCAGTTCAGATCTTTTGGGCTAAGGGAGAGACAGGCCTAGGGGGAGACCTATAACAAAAGTGACTTGAAAAAAGAGAATAACTCGATCAAACTAACTCCTAGATGCAAAATTGCAACGACCCAGAAGTGCTGCAACATGGGAAACCCCAGTGATAGAAGAAACAGCCTGAATGCAAAATGTTCCCTGAACAGAAGTCCACTCCAGCATCATCATAGTCTGATACTCCCTTGCTTCTGTTTGGTTTTTTGATCCCTTCACAGTACCTAAAACACAGTAAAAGCAATAGGAATACTGAGCAGTTTTGTCACAGGGCACAACAGAGCATGTCCAGACTGGCATGACTGAGGACAGAGGATGCTGAAAAAAGGTTATTTGGGGCAACTGCAGGGCTGAAGGAACATTTGATAATGATTGGCTGAAGGAGAGGAGAAAGGAGCTCATTCCCTTCCTCAATGGAAAGTAAAAGAGGGGAAAAAACCCTGAAACCTCCCAACTCTACCACATCAAATAAAATTAAAAATTCATCAACATCAGTATCATCAGAAAAAAAACAATACAAACACATCTATCGTAATAATGACAAGGCAGTGAATCACTCACAGGGGAGTAAAGAGATTATCTTAACAAGAAAAGCAATGAATAGAAATGTCAACTTCTGAAAGCAAAGGGAAGGGGGACAGGGTAAAAATGGAAAACTTTTAAGACGGAATCACATGTTTGGAAGTCATTGGTACCTCTTCCTACCAACCACATATTTCACTTCCCCAAAACAACAGAAAACACTTTTGTTCCTTATCTCTCTGTGTGTGTGTGTGTGTGTGTGTGTGTGTGTGTGTCTGTGTGTGTGTGTGTGTATGTGTACTCAAGGGTCTCTGTGTGTGTGTGTGTGTATAAATTTCAACAGTGCTTCTCCGAAAAAAGGTCCATCTATAAATATAATTTTATTTACTTTATTTTAAAATTATCTGCCTCCCTGTAGGTATCATTTTTTGAAGGGGGTTAACCTGCTGAAGTTTTGCCAGAATGGTGACTGGCTGCGCTTGGGTTCGGTGAACTCAAAGACCTGCGACTGAGCGATGCCGTCGGGGACCAGGTACTGGCCGTGGTTTAACGGGTCCTGCGGTGGTGGGTAGGAAGGAGGAACTGAGCGGGCAGAGTTGACACCTAGAGTAGATGAGAGATCAAAGGGAAAGGGTATAAGTTATGTAACAAAGGGCTTCTCAAATTACCCAGTGACCACTCTGGGCAGACAACTCAAGGCAGACTGGTTTAGAGAGTGTGAACTGGTTTTACAAATCATCCAAGGGGAGAATTCCTCTTTCAAACAGATTTTGGAATACCATGGCTACTATTGCAACCCTACACACTTCCACATCTAGTCAGGTATCAAAGAAATTTGGGGTATTGCTATAATCTGTTTTACAGGTGAGAACACTGATATCTGAAAAGAAATGTTATACCCAAGGTCACATGGTAAGTTAGCGACAAAGCAAGGGTTAGAACCTACATTCTTTGACTACTCAGTTCAGAGCTCTTTCCAAGACACCAGAATCCCTTATGCAGGGGTTGGTCCTGCAAAGAACCCAACAAACTCTATTTCGCCTTCTCCAGTCCCCCCTGGAAGTTTTAAAAGAGCCTGGTTAAGAACTATTGACTTCAGGACAGGTTTCTAGGAGAAATTTTCTAAAAGCATAAGGTGCAAGTGATTTAGTGTTCTGTCCTGGGTTGAGAGTGATGAACCTGCACTTAATAGAGAATTGACATTAGTAGGTGAAGGAGAAAGTAAACTTACTACCAGAAGGTATAATTCATGGGGAGCAAGGAAGACGGAATATGTGTGTGTCTTTTCAAACGGAATAGCTTAAATGATACTAATATTAAAAACCTTCTCAACATTTGTAGGTAGGTTTGCAACCATCAAAGCAAAATCCACATTAATGGAGGATTCCAGGAACCTGGAGGCCTAAAGTGAAAGTTTAATCCTGATCTACATTCAGAGCAGAATAGGACAAGACATACAGCATATAATTCAGACATGTCAGGAAGGCTTCTCTGCTGCTCCCAAATACCTTCCTCATCTGCTACTCAGGGTCTGAAATTCCAACATTACAGTTACTTTTTTTGCCTTTGCTTGATGACTAAGTCCCTTTGCCTGGAAGTAGTATCATTTAAGCCATCATCAGCCACTGGCACTTCAGTGAGAAAGATCAGAATCTTTTCTAAGAGCTAGTTTTGCAAGGTGGTAAGTGTCAGAAGTATGAGGGTACTGAATGCCAACAGACAATACGCAGATATTAGAGAGGGAATTTTGTTACTAATTTGATTTTTTTTAAAAGCATTTATTTGAAATCATTACAGATTCACATGCAGTTTTAAGAAATAATAGAGATCCTGTGTACTCTTTACCCAGTTTTCCCAATGGTAACATTTTGCAAAACAATAGTACAATAGTACAATATCACAGCCAGGATATTGACATTATAACAGGATACAGTCAAGATATAGAACATTTCCATCATCACAAGGATCCCTGTTGTTACACTTTTATAATCACAATCTCTTCTGGGTATATATCTAAAATAAAGGAAATCAGTACGTTGAAGAGATATTTGCACTCCTATGTTTATCACAGCACTATTCACAATAACCAAGATATGGAATCAACCAAAGTATCTGTCAATAGATGAATGGATGAAGAGAATGTAGTATACATACACAGTGGAATATTATTCAGCCACAAAAAGAATGAAATCCTATCATTTTCAGCAACATGGATGGAACTGGAGCTCATAATGTTAAGTGAAATAAGCCAGGCACAGAAAGACAAATATCAAATGATCTCACTCAAATGTAGGAGCTAAAAAAGTGGATTCCATGGAGGTAGAGAGTACAATGATGGTTACTAGAGGCTTGGAAGGATGGTGTTAGGGAAATGAAGAGAGGTTGGTTAATGGATTCAAAAATACAGTTTGATAGATGGAATAAGTTCTAGTGTTCAGTAGCACAGCAGGGTAACAGTAGTTAACAATAATTTATTGCATATTTCAAAATACATAAAACAGAAGACTTGAAATGTTCCCAACACAAAAAAATGATACACGTTTAAGGTGATAGATATCCTAATTACCCTAATTTGATCATTACACATTGTATGCATATCAAAATATCACATGTACTCAGTAAAGATTTACAATTATTACATATCAATACAAAATAAATTTAAAAATCAATTGGGCATATTTGTGTACATTTATTTCTGGGTTCTGTGGCATTGATCTGATATGTCCACCCTTCTGCCAAAATTACGCTGTCTTGGTTACTGTAACTATATAATGAGTGTTGAAACTGGGTAGATTGATTACTCACATTTTATTCTTTTTCGAGATCATTTTTGCTATTCTAGGGCACTCATTTGATTTTGTGCTGGCCCCAAGGCCTCTGGAGATGGAGTCTGTGCTCATAGCCATGGGGAGCTCTATACTGATCTAGTTAATTAGGTTTATGTACCAGGAATTAGCATAAAACTTTCAAGAAGTTATATATCAATACTTAAAATGAAAGCAGCGTGAAAGACAAAGGTCAAGTGAAAAGGCCTTTCTTGGAGCTAGATCTGGTATTCTCTACTGTTATTTCAGCCAGGTTCCCCCTCTCCCAGAGCAGTAGACTGAGTTGATAATGTCCCAGTGTTACAGATGGTGTTGGAAAGGGACATTAGAGTAGTTACCTATCTAATGACATCCGCATTGGAGACCTCTTAACAATGCCCCTCACTTCCTGTGATGGGTCATTGAAAAGCTCAAGGAAGCCAGCTTTCATGGTTATCTTAAATAATCCCTTCTTGCTCTTCCCATGTACATATTGTAACTACTGAATTCCTACATTTGAGAACCACTTCCACATGTATGGCACTCTTGAGTCTCAAAACATATCAGTTACTACAGCCCTGGACTAGGAGTCTTGAAGACCAAAAATAGAAATAAGGGAGGAGATTTGTAGTAATCCTGGGAGGTTTGAAACTAAATGAAGCTGGGCGCAGTGGCTCACATCTGTAATCCCAGAACTTTGGGAGGACGAGGCGAGGGGATCACCTGAGGTCAGGAGTTCAAGATCAGCCTGGCCAACATGGTGAAACCCCGTCTCTACTAAAAATACAAACATTAGTCGGGTGTGGTGGCAGGTGCCTGTAATCCCAGCTACTCGGGAGGGTGAGGCAGGAGAATCGCTTGAAACCAGGAGGCAGAGGTTGCAGTGAGCTAAGATCACACCATTGCACTCCAGCCTGCACGATGAGAGTGAAACTCCATCTCAGGGAAAAAAAAAAAAAAAAAGAAAGAAAGACAGAAACTAAATGAATTTCTTTGAAGACTTTAGAATTGCTGTTAAAGAAAGAAAACTGTTCAAGTGAATCAGTATTTAGACACTGGGAGACAAGAAAGGCCCTAAAAGGAATGGCCTGGAGATACATAGGGTGGGGAAGGACCTTGACCAAAATGCTTGGCATGAGTTAGCAGGGCTATCTTCTGGTTAACCAACTCCTGGTTGCTTTATAGATATTCCTTTGTTTGAAGTGTTCTCAGTGAAAAGACAATTCAGTCTCAGATATGCTTGAGGAACCCAGGCTTGGATAAAGGAGTACCATAAAGGTCAGTATGGTGGATGTGATGGTTAATAGTGTCAACTTGACTGGATTGAAGGATGCAAAGTATTGTTGCTGGGTGTGTCTGTGAGGGTGTTGCTAGAGATTAACATTTGAGTCAGTGGACTGGGAGAGGCAGACCCATGCTCAATCTGGATGGGCACCATTTAAACAGCTGCCAGCATGGCCAGAATAAAAAGCAGGCAGAAGAACCTAGAAACACTAGACTGGCTTAGCCTCCAAGCCTACACCTTTCTTCCATGCTGGATGCTTCCTGCCCTCAAACATCAGACTCCAAATTCTTCAGCTTTGAGACTCGGACTGACTTCCTTGCTCCTCAGCTTGCAGATGGCCTATTGTGGGACCTGGCGATTGTGTGAGTTAATACTCCTTAATAAACTCATATAAACTCATATATATATATATGTCTCCTATTAGTTCTGTCCCTCTAGAGAACGCTGAAGAATACAGTGGGGGAAGTAGAGGAAATCAGAGTGAGAAAGTTCAGGAGTTGAGAGCGTCCAGGAGACAAGCTGTTAGGACAGTATCCCTTTTGCAGCCTGAAAACTTCAGTTGGCTGGGCTCTTTTCTGCTCACATTTCTGTCTGAGGAACTGGAGCAAAATCTTACCAAGTTCTGTTAATACAGGTCATATCCTTACTGACATTAACTCCAGATTGCTTTCTAACACCATCTCTCACATGTTATTATAGCAATCAAAAGGTTAGGAGTTAATTCCCCACCTTAAATTAACTCCCAACTTTTTGGTGGCTAATTAAGGCTGGCCTCATTCCCTATATAAGGGGAATCACATTCGCATGATGAGGAAAAGAGACAATAAGGGCCTCCCAAGAGCAAGAAGTAATAAGCAGTTGAAGGGGAGGCATGTCTAGTCAGCGGAGCTAGGTGCACTGCTTAACTGGAAATCAGATGTTCACAGGCATTCAGCCTCAATCAAAAGAAGCTTCAATGGAAAAAAAATAGTGCTTTACATGGCTGCTGGAAATTTCAGGAGACTTGAATCTGATCATTTTGGATGGTGACTCATTCAGAACCACAAAGCCCACTGAGAAAGCAGAAGGAAAGGCCTGGGGAAAGTAAGGTCTCATTAAGATTGCCCACACCTGGGGACAGTGAACATGGCTATCAGTAATAGAAGCAGCTGTCAGTAATTGAGGCAAGACAGAAAACCAAACTCTTCTTTCCAAGCATGGGGCTTCATCAGGACCCTGAGATGGAGAGGAGAAAGCAGTGGACTCTGAGTCAAGTCAAATTAAGTTCAGTTACTTCACTCAAAGACCCTCAGCTACCTCATCTGAGAAATAGAGTTAATAGTGTCCAGCTTCTCAGGATTACCATAAAGATGAAATGAAATAACATATAAAGTGACTGACACTGAATAGGTATTCCAATAAGCAGAAGGTAGTTCCTTCCCTTTGTTTGGCTGAGCATGATAGTTTTGTTCTGGTTCATGAGAAAAGAGAAACTAAAGCTTAACTTCAGATTTAAATTGATTTGCAAGGTATTTTTTCTTAAGTACTTTGGCTTGTAGTTAAGAGAAAGAGAATATCTGAATCTTTTGTCTTGGCTTAGTTTGAGATTCTTTATTGTGATTTGGGTCTCCTGATTTGGCACATGCCTCCAGACCGGTGACAGAAAGCTGAGCAATATCTTTATACTTTTTTTTTTTTTTTTTGAGATGTAGTCTCACTCTGTTGCCAGACTGGAGTGCAGTGGCACAATCTCGGCTCACTGCAACCTCCGCCTCCCAGGTTCAAGCGATTCTCCTGCCTCAATCTCCCCAGTAGCTGGGACTACAGGCACTCAGCTGATTTTTGTATTTTTAGTAGAGGCGGGGTTTCACCAAGTTGGCCAGGCTGGTCTCAATCTCCTGACCTTGTGATCCGCCTGCCTCGGCCTCCCAAAGTGCTGGGATTACAGGCGTGAGCCATCATGCCCAAACTATACTTATTAAATAAAGATCATGTTGTCCATTGATCTATAAATTGTTAGTAAAGTTTCCCTTATTTTTAAGTAAAAAAAAAAAAAAGAGGAACAGAGGTTATATTTTTTGCTATACTCAATGAGCTATCTTTGGATACCAATACCCTATACTATTCACTCCTTAGCCTTAAGCATTTAAAACCATTTGCTACCTGTCATCAAGGACACCTAGGGACCTGGATACTCCTCCACCACCCCCAAGTAAACCTCAGCACAGAAATGGGCCTAAGAATATGTAAGCATATAGCTTATGATTCCATAGTCTTTCACAGAGACTGAGTGGGGCAGCTTTACCTTTTTGCTTAGGGACTTTTCTCACAGTCATTGCAGCCTGCCTCTTCTGGTTTTCAGAAATTTCAAAGCCTAAAAAAGAAAAATATATGATTTTTTAAATGAGAAACACACACCCTTACTGAGTGTATAAATGAGTAAACTTTTCTGTAAGAAAGATTTGCTAAGACATATAAAAAATCTTGAAATACAAAAAAAAAAAAAATCATTCCCTTTAACCCAGTAATTTCTAGGAATTTCACTAAGGAAATTTGTCACAAACTTGAACAAAAACTTAGCTACAAAATGCACAACACAGAATAGAGAGCCAAAAAAAGAATTATGAACATGGGCTAAGAGTCTGTTAATGGAGAATCGTTAAATAAAGCATGACATAGGGAAAAAATATTTTGTAACCAAAAGCAAAATTATAAAGAAAAGGACATAATGAGGCAAAAGATAATTCAAACAGCAAATGTATATATAGATTATAAAAGTTTAAGAAGGAGGAAAAAATCAAATGGAAAATAGTAACAAATAAGTAACAAAACACTCGGTTAAGGGGAAAAAAAGGATATACTTACTGTGGAAAGAATAAAAGGTCTTGCTAAGTCCCAGGCAGGATGAGCATACATAGATGCACATCTACATATTGACTAGTATAATTCCCAAACTTCAGGATAAAAAAAAAATCTGACAAGCTTCACAACAGAAAGGACAGCTCACTTAACAAAAAACAGACATCATAATATTACTAGAATCCTAATCTGAAATATTGGAAGGAATCGCCTTCTATTATTATTATTATTTTTTTTTTTTTTGGAGGCAAGGTTTTGCTTTGTCACTCAGGCTGGAGTGTAGTGGCATGATCATGATCATGGCTCACTGCAGCCTTGATCTCTCAAGCTTAAGCAATCCTCCAACCTTAGCCTCCTGAGTATCTGGGGCCACAGGCTCATGCCACCACACCTGGCTAATTGTTTTTTAATTGTTATTTTTTGTAGACACGAGGTCTCCCTGTGTTTACCAGGCTGGTGTTGAATTCCTGGGCTCAAACGATCCTCCCACCTCAGCCTCCCAAAATGCTAGGATTACAGGAATGAGCCACTGTACCCAGTGTAATAGTCTTCTGAATAAACCCTGGATCAAAAGGAAACCATAACTGAAGTTATAAAATATCTAAAAATAAATAAAAAGGAAATTTTATATTAAAACCTCTGAGATACAGTTGAGACTTTATTCAAAGGAAAATATACTCTAAAATGATTTTTTTTTCACTTTTTTTAATATACTTTAAGTTTTAGGGCACATGTGCACAATGTACAGGTTTGTTACATATGTATACATGTGCCATGTTGGTGTGCTGCACCCATTAACTCGTCATTTAACATTAGGTATATCTCCTAATGCTTTCCCTCTCCATTCCCCCAACCCCACAACAGGCCCCAGTGTGTGATGTTCCCCTTCCTGTGTCCATGTGTTCTCATTGTTCAATTCCTACCTATGAGCGAGAACGTGCGGCGTTTGGTTTTTTGTCCTTGAGATAGTTTGCTGAGAATGATGGTTTCCAGCTTCATCCATGTTCCTACAAAGGACATGAACTCATCGTTTCTTATGGCTGCATAGTATTCCATGGTGCATATGTGCCACATTTTCTTAATCCAGTCTATCATTGTTGGACATTTGGGTTGGTTCCAAGTCTTTGCTATTGTGAATAGTGCCGCAATAAACATACGTGTGCATGTGTCTTTATAGTAGCATGATTTATAACCCTTTGGGTATATACCCAGTAATGGGATGGCTGGGTCAAATGGGATTTCTAGTTCTAGATCCCTGAGGAATCACCACACTGACTTCCACAATGGTTGAACTAGTTTACAGTCCCACCAACAGTGTAAAAGTGTTCCTATTTCTCCACATCCTCTCCACCACCTGTTGTTTCCTGACTTTTTAATGATCGCCATTCCAACTGGAGTGAGATGGTACCTCATTGTCGTTTTGATCTGCATTTCTCTGATGGCCAGTGATGATGAGCATTTTTTCATGTGTCTTTTGGCTGCATAAATGTCTTCTTTTGAGAAGTGTCTGTTCATATCCTTCACCCACTTGTTGATGGGGTTGTTTGTTTTTTTCTTGTAAATTTGTTTGAGTTCATTGTAGATTCTGGATATTAGGCCTTTGTCAGATGAGTAGATTGCAAAAATTTTCTCCCATTCTGTAGGTTGCCTGTTCACTCTGATGGTAGTTTCTTTTGCTGTGCAGAAGCTCTTTAGTTTCATTAGATCTCATTTGTCAATTTTGGCTTTTGTTGCCATTGCTTTTAGTGTTTTAGACATGAAGTCCTTGCCCATGCGTATGTCCCGAATGATACTGCCTAGGTTTTCTTCTGGGGTTTTTATGGTTTTAGGTCTAACATTTAAGTCTTTAATCCATCTTGAATTAATTTTTGTATAAGGTGTAAGGAAGGGATCCAGTTTCAGCTTTCTCCATATGGCTAGCCAGTTTTCCCAGCACCATTTATTAAATAGGGAATTGTTTCCCCATTGCTTGTTTTTCTCAGGTTTGTCAAAGATCAGATGGTTGTAGATATGCATCATTATTTCTGAGGGCTCTGTTCTGTTCCATTGGTTTATATCTCTGTTTTGGTACCACTATCATGCTGTTTTGGTTACTGTAGCCTTGTAGTATAGTTTGAAGTCAGGTAGCGTGATAGCTCCAGCTTTGTTCTTTTGGCTTAGGATTGACTTGGCAATGCGGGCTCTTTTTTGGTTCCATATGAACTTTAAAGTAGTTTTTTCCAATTATGTGAAGAAAGTCATTGGTAGCTTGATGGGGATGGCATTGAATCTATAAATTACCTTGGGCAGTATGGCCATTTTCACAATATTGATTCTTCCTACCCATGAGCATGGAATGTTCTTCCACTTGTTTGTATCCTCTTTTATTTCATTGAGCAGTGGTTTGTAGTTGTCCTTGAAGAGTTCCTTCACGTCCCTTGTAAGTTGGATTCCTAGGTATTTTATTCTCTTTGAAGCAATTGTGAATGGGAGTTCACTCATGATTTGGCTCTCTGTTTGTCTATTATTGGTGTATAAGAATGCTTGTGATTTTTGCACATTGATTTTGTATCCTGAGACTTTGCTGAAGTTGCTTATCAGTTTAAGGAGATTTTGGCCTGAGACGATGGGGTTTTCTAGATATATAATCATGTCATCTGCAAACAGGGACAATTTGACTTCCTCTTTTCCTAATTGAATACCCTTTATTTCCTTCCCCTGCCTGATTGCCCTGGCCAGAACTTCCAACACTATGTTGAATAGGAATGGTGACAGAGGGCATCCCTGTCTTGTGCCAGTTTTCAAAGGGAATGCTTCCAGTTTTTGCCCATTCGGTATGATATCGGCTGTGGGTTTGTCATAGACAGCTCTTATTATTTTGAAATACGTCCCATCAGTATGTAATTTATTGAGAGTTTTTAGCATGAAGGGTTGTTGAATTTTGTCAAAGGCCTTTTCTGCATCTATTGAGATAATCATGTGGTTTTTGTCATTGGTTCTGTTTATATGCTGGATTACATTTATTGATTTGCATATGTTGAACCAGCCTTGCAACCCAGGGATGAAGCCCACTTGATCATGGTGGATAAGCTTTTTGATGTGCTGCTGGATTCGGTTTGCCAGTATTTTATTGAGGATTTTTGCATCAATGTTCATCAGGGATATTGGTCTAAAATTCTCTTTTTTTGTGGTGTCTCTGCCAGGCTTTGGTATCAGGATGATGCTTGCCTCATAAAATGAGTTAGGGAGGATTCCCTCTTTTTCTATTGATTGGAATAGTTTCAGAAGGAATGGTACCAGCTCCTCCTTGTACCTCTGGTAGAATTTGGCTGTGAATCCGTCTGGTCCTGGACTTTTTTTGGTTAGTAGGCTATTAATTATTGCCTCAATTTTAGAGCCTGTAAACGAACAAAGCCTCCAAGAAATATGGGACTATGTGAAAAGACCAAATCTATGTCTGATTGGTGTACCTGAAAGTGACAGGGAGAACGGAACCAAGTTGGAAAACACTCTGCAGGATAGTATCCAGGAGAACTTCCCCAATCTAGCAAGGCAGGTCAACATTCAAATTCAGGAAATACAGAGAACACCACAAAGATATTCCTCGAAAAGAGCAACTCCAAGACACATAATTGTCAGATTCACCAAAGTTGAAATGAAGGAAAAAATGTTAAGGGCAACCAGAGAGAAAGGTCGGGTCACCCACAAAAGGAAGCCCATCAGACTAACAGCGGATCTCTCGGCAGAAACTCTACAAGCCAGAAGAGAGTGGGGGTCAATATTGAACATTCTTAAAGAAAATAATTTTCAACCCAGAATTTCATATCCAGCCAAACTAAGCTTCATAAGTGAAGGAGAAATAAAATCCTTTACAGACAAGCAAATGCTGAGAGATTTTGTCACCAGCAGGCCTGCCCTAAAAGAGCTCCTGAAGGAAGCACTAAACACAGAAAGGAACAACCTGTACCAGCCACTGCAAAAGCACGCCAAATTGTAAAGACCATCGAGGCTAGGAAGAAACTGCATCAACTAACGAGCAAAATAACCAGCTAAGATCATAATGACAGGATCAGATTCACACATAACAATACTAACCTTAAATGTAAATTGGCTAAATGCTCCAACTAAAAGACACAGACTGGCACATTGGATAAAGAGTCAAGACCCATCAGTGTGCTGTATTCAGGAAACCCATCTCACATGCAGAGACACACATAGGCTCAAAATAAAGGGATGGAGGAAGATCTACCAAGCAAATGGAAAACAAAAAAAGGCAGGGGTTGCAATCCTAGTCTTGGTTAAAACAGACTTTAAACCAACAAAGATCAAAAGAGACAAAGAAGGCCATTACATAATGGTAAGGGCATCAATTCAACAAGAAGAGCTAACTCTCCTAAATATATATGCACCCAATACAGGAGTACCCAGATTCATAAAACAAGTCCTTAGAGATCTACAAAGAGACTTAGACTCCCACACAATAATAATGGGAGACTTTAACACCCCACTGTCAACATTAGACAGATCAACGAGACAAAAAGTTAACAAGGATATCCAGGAATTGAACTCAGCTCTGCACCAAGCAGACCTAATAGACATCTACAGAACTCTCCACCCCAAATCAACAGAATATACATTCTTCTCAGCACCACACCTATTCCAAAATTGACCACATAGTAAAGCACTCCTCAGCAAATGTAAAAGAACAGAAATTATAACAAACTGTCTCTCAGACCACAGTGAAATCAAACTAGAACTCAGGATTAAGAAACTCACTCAAAACCGCTCAACTACATGGAAACTGAACAACCTGCTCCTGAATGACTACTGGGTACATAACGAAATGAAGGCAGAAATAAAGATGTTCTTTGAAACCAATGAGAACAAAGACACAACATACCAGAATCTCTGGGACACATTCAAAGCAGTGTGTAGAGGGAAATTTATAGCACTAAATGCCCACAAGAGAAAGCAGGAAAGATCTTAAATTGACACCCTAACATCACAATTAAAAGAACTAGAGAAGCAAGAGCAAATACATTCAAAAGGTAGCAGAATGCAAGAAATAACTAAGATCAGAGCAGAACTGAAGGAAATAGAGACACAAAAAACCCTTCAAAAAATCAATGAATCCAGGAGCTGGTTTTTTGAAAAGAACAACAAAATTGATAGACCACTAGCAAGACTAATAAAGAAGAAAAGAGAGAAGAATCAAATAGACACAATAAAAAATGATAAAGGGGATATCACCACTGATCCCACAGAAATACAAACTACCATCAGAGAATACTATAAACACCTCTACGCAAATAAACTAGAAAATCTAGAAGAAATGGACAAATTCCTCGACACATACACCCTCCCATGTCTAAAATGATTTTCTGATTTTGTAAAAATCAAAATAAACAAAGTAAGTATTCAGTCAATGAAAGAGTGGAAAGGATCTAAAATATTCCTTAAATCCTGAAAGTAGGAAAAAGAAGGAAATAAAAGTGAAAATTAAGAAGAAACAGAAATAAACTGCAGAAGGGATAAACAAACCAAAAACACGTTCTTTGAAACGACCAAATGTAAATTAGTACAGCCATTATAGAAAAACAGTAGAAAAGTTCCTAAAAAAATTAAAAATAGAACTACTATATAATCCAGCAATGCCACTGCTGGGTATGTATCCAAAAGAAAGGATATCAATATACCGAGGAAATATCTATGCTCTCATGTTTATCACAGCATTATTCACAATAACCAAAATATGAAATCAACCTAAATGCCCATCAGTGGATTAATGTATAAAGGAAATGTGGCATATATACACGATGTTATATTATTCAGCCATAAAAAAATGAAATCCTGTCATCTGCAGAAACATGGATGGAACTGGAGGATATTATGTTAAGTGAAATAAGATTATTTTCCCTCATACATGGGAGCTGAAAGGTGGATTTCATAAAGATAGAGAGTAGAATGGTGATTATCAGTGGCTCAGAAAGAAAGGCTCAGGTCAATGGAGAGGGGCTGGTTAATAGGTACAAAAACACAGTTAGAAGGAATAAGATTTAGTTTGTGATAGGACAGTAGGGAAATTAGAGTTAATAATAATTTATTGTATATCTCAAAATAGCTAAAAAAAATATTTGGAATGTTCCCAACACAAAGAAAAGATGAGCATTTGAGGTGATGAATATCGCAATTACCCTGATTTGATCATTACACATTGTATACAGGTATCAAAATATCACATGTACCTTAAAAATATGTATAATGATTATATATACATAAAAAAGATCAATACTCCCTGATAAGCCTGATTAAAAGATTAAAGTGAGAAAATAAAAATATATGAAATATTATGAACCCAAAAGAAGAGAGATAACTACAATTATGGAAGATATGATAATTAGAAAATATTATGTGTAGATATATAGCATTAAATTAAAAATCCAGAGGAAATGAACAATTTCCCAGAAAAATAGAAATTATCAAAAGTAATGTACAAAGAGGCAGAAATGTACAGAATCTAAAGAAAACTCTACCATTTTCCTGAAGCATACAGAACAAGATTTTGATGAAAGGAGAGCAGAGCCTTGTCTTAAATGTGAAAACTTAATAACAATGCCAAGCCGTTACATATTAAAAAATTTAATATAATGCCAATCAGAATCCAAATGGGCTTTCTATGCCAGTTTTTACGGCAGTGTTTTTAAACCTAGAATAAATAAATTTGATATTCATATCAAAGAATAAACATCTAAGAACTGCTAAGAAGCAATGATAAGAGTGAATAAGAATTGATTGTACCAGGCATTAAATCTTTCTCAAAATCTACTGTAATTGAAACAGCATAGTCTTGATACAAGAAATGACAAACAGAAGAGTGGAACAGAATAGAAAGTTTAAAAACACATCTAAGTATATATGCAGAGTTACTATATATGAAAAATGGCATTTAAACTGTGTGGAAAATAAATGATTTATTTAATAAATGATGCAGATGCAACTGACTATCCACCTTGAAGAAAAAAATGAGGTCCCCTTTCTCACATCATATAAAAATGTAAATTCCGGATGGATTACTGTTCTAAAAATAAACCAAAAATATATTTTTAATCAGGAAATTTTATAGTTTGGATGGCAAGAGATCTTAAGCAAGATGAAACTAGGGGCCAAAAAAGGAATAATAGATACATTTTTCAAAGTAAAAATTTAAATATTTATAGAAGTAGGCAATATAAACAAACTCAAAAGACAAAAAACAGACTGGTGAAAACGTGAAATTCGTGACTGACAAAGTGTCACATCAACAATATAGAGTCCTTCCAAATTTATGTTAAAAGAATGAGTAAAGGGTATGAGGCAATTCACAAAAGAAATGAAAATAGCCATTAAGCATATGAAAAAAAAAAGGTTCCAACACTTTTTTTCAATTTACTAGTTGAGAAATGGCAAACTGAAACAAATAGATACTATCCAGTGCTGGTGAGGCTATGCGGAAGTGGGTACTCATAAAATTATGCTAGGAGTATAGATTCTACAAATCTTTCAGAATTTAATATGCAAGTATGTATTAAAACTGTTCACATCCTAACATTCAGTCATTCCACTTTAGGGTACAGATCCTACAGGAATAAAAGCATCAGTAAGTAACAATCAGATACGTACATGGATATTTATTGCAGCAATATCTGTAGTGGGAAATAAAGCTAAATATAAAATGAATGTCTAGCAAAAAACGAACAGTCAGCCCTCTGTAACCATGGGTTCCACATCTGGATTCAATCAACTGTGGATCAAAAATATGCAGAAAAAAGCGGCTGGTTGCTTCTTTACTGAACACATATGGATTTTTGCCTTGTTTTTATTCCCTAAACAATACAGTATAACAATTATTTACATAGCATTTACATTGTGTTAGGTATTATAAATAATCTAGAAATGATTGAAAGTATATGGAGGATGTACATAGGTTATATGTAAATACTATATCATTTTATATAAGGGATTTGAGCATCCATGGATTTTGATATGCACGGGAGTCCTGGAACCAATATCCCGTGCATACCAAGAGATGACTGTGGTTATTACATAATATTATGGAATGTTATACAGCTGTTTATAAGAAAAGTGTGATGAATTTATTGATGTGCCCATTCGACTAGACTGTAGTCCTCACTAATGTAGGTGTTGCCATGAAGGTATTTTACAGATATAATCAAAGCCCCTGATACGGTTTGGCTCTGTGTCCCCACCCAAATCTCATGTGGAATGGTAATCCCCATGTGTTGGGGGAGGGGCCTAGTGGGAGGTGATTGGATCATGGGGGGAATTTCTCCCATGCTGTTCTCATGATAGTGGGTGAGTTCTCACGAGATCTGATGGTTTAAAAGTATGTGGCACTTCCCTCTTGCTCTCTCTCTCTCCTGCCACTATGTGAAGAAGATGCTTGCTTCCCCTTTGCCTTCTACTATGATTCTAAATTTCCTGAGGCCTCCCAGTGATGCTTCCTGTTAAGCCTGCAGAACTGTGAGTCAATTAAACCTCTTTTCTTCATAAATTACCCAGTCTCAGGTATTTATAGCACTGTGAACATGGGCTAATACAGGCCCTAATCAGTTGACTTTATATAAGGGACAATATCCTAGATAATCTGGATGGACCTGACTGAATCTGTTGCAAGACCTTAAAAGTAGAGCCTAGGTCTCACACAGAAAGGGCAGAAATTCTACCTGTGCACCACAGCTTTAGCCCATGTCTGTGCCACTTCATCCTTCTCATGAGCTTCTCTTCCTGACTGCCTGTAGATGACAGCTTTGGCCTATGTCCATGGGTTTGAGCCTGCCTGTGATCCTCCATTTCTGACTGCCTGCTCTATGGAATTCTGAGCCACTTAGTCAACATTCACAATCACATAAGCCAATTCCTTGTAATGCAATTTTCAGCAGTGGTATGATATATCTCCTACAGGTTATGCCTCTTTGGTTGAACCCTAACTGATACAAGGGGTTATAGTTAGATTCTATATTATTTATCTGGGGAGTTACTTATGATAAATTAAGTTTAAAAAAGCAACCTACAAGGTAATATATATAATATAATTTTTGTAAATATAAAAGTATTATGTTTGTATATGTTTATATGGACATGAGATAAGTATGGAAAGATGCATACTGCACTGTTAACACTGGTTATTTCATTCAGTATGGAAGTGACAGAGAAGGGGAAGGAATGCTAAGTTTTCTTTATATATTTCCATATTTGTTTAAATGGTTATAATGGTCATGCATTAATTTTATAATTAAAAAGTAAAAGTTTAAAAAAGCTATGATAAAACTATATGACCCTCATAAAATAATGATTAAAAATATGAAGTGATCTGATAGAAATGCTAATGATATAATGATGAGTGAAAATGAGGATACAAAATTATATCTATCCACTATAGAGAGGCAGGTATGGGGAGAGAAAGAAAAAAGATTCAGTCACCTTGATTTTTCTAATTAGACACATAAAAAAGGCTGGAAATATATATCAAAATGTTTATGAAAGTTATTACTGAGTATGTTCATGTGTTTTTTTTTTTTCTTGTACTTTTCTGTTGCTTTTTCCCTAAATTTCCTACAATGGAAGTGATTTACTGTTATTATCAAACCAAAAAAAAAAAACCTCAACATTTTTAAAGATGAACATATGCCTGTTCAGAAAGTAATTTCTAGAAGCTTTTCTATTAGAAGCAGATAAAGTCACAGGTTTATTAGGGCATTGTGTGGGAGACATTGTGTTAGAGCCAATGGGAATGGCAGGGGCCTTCTAATTGATTCAGGGTCTGAACACTAAGACCATTCCTTTAATAACTCTAACAGCCTAGGCAAGGTCAGTGGCTGCTGCTGCTTGCTATTGAGAGAAGTAGCCAGCAACATTTATATGCCACTCCACATCATGTCCCAATGGAGTGTCCACATACTGAAAGCAGTCTGATTCCAATGAGACTCAAAGTGAGTTATTAATTTGCACTCTACCCAAGTTCTGAGGAGAAGACTGGAGTTAGATTTGTCTTTCTGACCATCCTTTCTTACCTCTGGATAATTTCAATCGCCCACATGGAAGGATAAGAGAACCCTTTTGCACCAGGATTCAATGAGTAGGCCCATTTTTCTAGAGACAATTTCCATAAACTTGAGCTTTCAGGCCTTCTAAAGTACAATTTCACTCCCATAAGCAATAGGGCAAAGACAGAAACTGTATGTCTTCTCAGGGAATTAACAAGTCTGGTTGCTTGGTATTTTTTATGACAGAAAGGCAGGACCATGAGCAAGAGACCAGACAGTACTTTATAAGTCACAAAGCTATAGCCAATGGCGTCTAAATCCCACAGTTGGGAAGCAACATGAAAAATATCTCTACTATCTATATCCCCACTGGAAAAGAGAAACAACTTATTGTAAGGCAAAAAAGTATGTTTCAGTGTGATTTGAAATCATGAAAATGGTCATGGTTTTAAGTCCTGTTATATTTTCTATAATTTACTTTAAATACTTCCACACAGAAAGTGTGAAGTGTATGTGCATATTATTTGAATCTACAGTCTAGGGGGATTTAGTTAACATCTGAAGTATCCTAATCAGGAGTACAAACTATATACCTAATGACAGAGAGCTCAGGCTTTATGAAGATTACAGAACAGGTTGTATAACTGATTTTTGTTTATTTGCTAATAAATGTATGTTTGGGAGAATCAAGCCTGAGGCTGGCTTTCAGTGTGATATTCTTAGCTAGTAGGGGAGGACAACCTATAGTTCAAACCTACCACTGACTAATGGAAGCTATTGGTACTTACCAAAAAGAACCTAATAATAAGGAACCACCAAAGTAGCTTAAGTCAGTTTGCAACAGAAATCTTCCCTCTGACTCCAAGAAAATGGAAACCAATTCAAACCTCCTATGTTCTTCATAGCCATGTTCTTCTTTCTACTCTCAGGTCACTTACCAATTTTTTCATCTTCCTGTACCATTTTCCTCTCTTCTCTGAAAGCCCTGAGCCAGCGTATTTTTTCCTCCAGCTTCTTGGCAAAGAACAGATGTATCTCCTCAGTCTCCTTGTTGTGAAGCTTAAAGGCATTCTTCATGCTGACATTGAAGTCATCATCTCTGCCATCCTCAATGTCAACTACCTCATATTTATCCATGTCAATGCGGCCTTTGTAGTACAGGATGTCTCTCCGGATTAGGTCCTAGATGGGAAGGAAGAGGTTTCTTGAAGGTATGTGCACGGCGAGTACTAGAAGAGTTGGCACAGGGGCACAGCAGAATGCTAACACTGTCACCGTTTTGAAGTACCAATGGGGGTTGGTTTGTTCTAAATTTGGCCAGGTTATACTAGTAGTCTGACACTGACAGGTTGGTTAACTAGATGCCCAAAGAAAAAGCCTCTGTCTCACCTCGAAAGATCATTTCAGACACCAGAATCAATCCTTGGACGTGTGTGCAAGTCTGCTGATGGGAGGTAGGAAACAGTAAGCCACATAAACACGGCTAGCAAGGGCTTCTCCTTTTCGAAAACATCAGCAAGCCCACTAGAGGTATGAAATGAGCTGGCTGGTTGCCTGGAGTGTGTTCAAATATCTGTGCAGGCCAGTGAGACCTGAACATCAGAGGGGGACTGAGTAGTAAGAGTAGCTAGGAGGCCACAGACTGCTGGCAAAGGATTACCTAGGGGGGGTCTAACACTTAGCACTCTGGGGATTTTTAGAAAAGGCCCAGTCTGCCAAGAGAAATGGAGGTAAAATTAAATAAAGAAGTTCACATATCAACACAGATGAATGTCACAAATCTTATGGAGAAAAACAGAAGTTGTAGATGGATACAAACAGTATGTCGCCTATTTGTTATTGTTGTTTTGCTCTCATAGACACAAAATTGGATTAATCCTAACCCTAGTCCATGAGACACTCATAATTGGTCCATGCATGGCATTTTTATTTCTCTATTTATTCATTTACTTACTTATTTTAATAATATAAAGTACTGGTGAATCTGCCACCAATCCCAAAGTTACAACTCCAAGGCATCCTCCATCCTAAATCCTATGTTCATCATTTCCATGGTTTCCTTTCTATATAGTTTTACCTCATCTGTATCTGTTACCTTGAAAAACATACAAAAAAATGCCACATAATGTTTAAAGATACATATGTATGTAGAAAATTATAAAGAAATAAGTGACAATGATATATGCCACGTTCCAGACAGTACAGAGCAGAAAACGGGGAGGGGCAAGAGAGGAAGGGGAAGAAAAAGAAGCAGAAGAGAGGGTGGGAAGGAAAACTATTTGTAATGAATTATTTCTTAATGCGGATAGTAAACACGTGGGTACTCATTATATTATTTTTATATCTTTTTGAATGTCAAATATTTCATAAGTTAAAAAGGAAAATAGAGGGATGGAAGAAATGACATATAGGCCTATGGAATGTCAGATCTTATAAATATCTTGGAGTGGCCTTTCAGCCCCTCCTCCTCTTGGCGCTGCCCTCAGCCTCCTCTGAGAACACATCCACTGCTGGGAGATGTGGTATGGCTGAGTCAGGTTGAGGAAGGCCCCTATGAGTCCTGTCCTGACAGATATCTTCGGGCCAGCTCTCCCTCCTCTCTGCTTTATCTGCTCTTTCAGTCAGCTGGACAGAGTCAGAAATGCTCATTAATTTTTATTAGCATTTTACAGTTCAATTAAACCATTTCCATTCTACTGAATTGCCTAACTTGACTCACTTCTCAGCTGTGTGCTCCCTATGAAGGATCTTCTTTTGCCCACTCACATTCCCAATCCTAACTCTTCACATTGTGCGGTATACTGAGATTTTCAGTTGGGCTGGGAAAGGCTACCTTGCAGGATTCCCAGCATAGCAAGGTTTCCCAGCATAGCTCTGTCAACCTCAAAGGCCCAGGCTGGAAAATACAGATGTCGTTGAATTGCTTTTGAAAAAATAACAATCATGTTACTTTTTTCCTCCCATAATGATTGTTCATATAAATAAGAAAAGAATATAGATGGATTCTGATCTATTGGTTGTCCCCAGGATCAAGTTCACAGGAGAGGAAGAGTTCAGCTATACAGAGAGGGCCAATGTTGCCCCAAGCCTATTTCAGAACCTGGGTTCCTTTTACCATGTTCAGTGTGCACAAGCTCAATCCTGGCCAAAAGGATAGAGTGATTCCCATACACTGAGTTCCACAATTCTCAGGAACACTTTTTGAGACACATGTATAAAAAGTGGGCCCTATCAGGCTAATCTAAGTACAAAAGCAGGATAAGCTAGGCAGAATGTATGAATGTAATTTATCTCGATCTCAGAAAGGTTTGAATTGTGCCTTACCATACATAATATAATACATACAAACCTGGAAAGCCAGATCTGAACCACACATTCTCACCGGACCACATTGCCTAAAACAGGCAGCCTCAACTTCCTTGTTGCTAACTTCAGTCCGCAGCCTCCTTCCGCTCCGCCCCCATTCCGAGTTGGTGTGTCATAGTCATTGAGAGCTTTCAACACATTTGCTAGTTCCCAAAAATAGAAAGAATATGCATGATCTTGGAGCTACATTAAAAGCATCAATTGAATCTCCTATTGTTTCTTTAGATATGTAAGGATGACAAGAAGCTAGAGAGAATTTCTGCTTCTGTGGTGGGGAAACAGGGCTAGAGAGATGTGTTACTAAAATTATCCCTTTGCCTGTTCTCCCTGGTCCCCCAGAGGGTTAAATGTGAGTTTTCAGGCGCTAGATTTGTCATAAGCCAAATGTAAAGATGTGATAGGAATAATTAAGAATGACCTACTAGTTGAGGAACTCCAATCAGAAAGAGTAGCTAAGACTATAAGCAGTAAGCAGCATGGAACAAAAGAAAGAGCATGATGTAGAGTCTGAAGCCCTGAGTTTGATGCCTTGCTGCCTAACCTACCAGCTGTATGGTTACGGACAAGCCAGTTAACCTCTCTGAGCCCCAATTTCCTCAACTAAGAAATGAAGACAGTTATCCTTACTCTGTAAAATAGCTATAAAGCTCTAATATAAACATGTCATTTCCAGGACATGAGGCCAGACTTGTCCACCAAATACAGCCCTGAGCTTTCTTGCTCCTGGGCCAGTGTTTCATAGTCCTTAAAACCCTCTTTTGATAAACTTAAAGGAAAAACATCTCACTACCTCCTTTAGCTCATTTAAACTTTCCAAATAATTTAAATATTGTGAGTAAAAATAAGTCAAAGCAAGGGTAACTCTGAATATTTTTTCAATTTACATAGCTGCCCCACTGTCCCTGGAAATTCTATACATCCTTTCAGGACAGGGTGGTATTTGTCACCAAAATAACAGATATATATTTGGGGTCACACTAATAGCTGCTCTCTGGCCCAACTATGCTTCCTATTCCAATCTTAGCCTTCGAGGTCAAACTTACACATTCTTATTCCTGAAATAAACTTTCTCTGACTGCTCAAGCTGATGTGGCTCCCCTTCTCCAAATTCTGACACCAATTGTGAAGGCCCTGACATACCACACACTTGGCACTTAGCCACCATGCTGCTCACAGCTTTTAGTTTGCCTGCCCATTAAAGGCTGTGCCCAGCACTCTATCTTCTTTGGTCTTGCTTCACTTAGGGATTGTCCAGAGAAGAGCAGCTGACAAAGCCCCAGAGTTTCCTCTGGTTGTCCTCTGCACATGGCAAGGGGACAAAGTCCTCTTGAACCCTGGTTGCCTGTGGTCTTGTTGGAACCAGGCTGCCCATATGCCACTTGTTAATGGTAGTCTGAGTGCCTTCACAGGGACACGGTGAGCAGGTGCTCAAAACAGATGCTATTTGGATCATCACAACTTTCCTGCCTAATGAAGTTTATCATTTCCAATAAAATGCCAGCCTTCCTCCTTTTTCCTTGTGCTCGTCTGAATTGGGAGACATTAAGGGAGCTAGTTCCTCCTTAGTAAGACATTGCAGGATATTCTCTACAAATGACAGATGCTGCAATCTGGGGAATGTAACTGTTCAGGATTGTAGCCTGCTTCACTTGTTTGTAAATAAGGTCCTCCCTGCCCCTTTATAGAGGGGACCCTAGTTACTCTTCTCTAGCCTTTTCTCTCCAGATCCTAGGGAAGGTACATGGGGTTTGGACTGGATTTATTTCGCTCACTACTATATTCCAGCATCCTAGAATGCATGCTTAATAATTACATCAAAATAATAAGAACAACAATAATAGCAACAGTGACCCCTTAAATAGCATATATTATGTACCATGTACTGTCCTAAATGCTCTGCATTTATTAACCTAAATAATCCTCCAATGTAGGTACTGTTATAACCCCATCTGATGAGGAACTATAGACATAGAGCAGCTAAGAAGCTTTCTCAGGAATAGAATGCTTATACACTGCTGGTGGGAATGTAAATTAGTACAGCCATGATAGAAAGCAGTTTGGATATTTCTTAAATAACTTAAAAAAGAACTACCTTTTGACCCAGCAATCCCATTATCGGGTATGTACCCAAAGGAATATAAATCGTTCTACCACAAAGACACATGCACGCGTATGTTCACTGCAGCACTTTTCACAGTAGCAAATACACGGAGTCAGCCTAAATGATGATCAATGATAGACTGGATAAAGAAAATGTGGTACATATACACCATAAAATGCCACAAAGCCATCAAAATAAATGAAATCATGCCTTTTGCAACAACATGGATGGAACTGGAGGCCATTATCCTAAGCAAATTAACACAGGAACAGAAAACCAAATACCGCATGTTCTCGCTTACAAGAGGGAGCTAAATATTGAGTACACAGGGACACAAAGAAGGAAACAACAGACACTGGGGTTTACTTGAGGGTGGAAGGTGGGAGGAGGGTGGGAATAAAAAACCACCTATTGGTACTATGTTCATTACCTGCGTGATGAAATCATTTGTGTACCAAAACCCGGCAACATGCAATTTACCTACGTAACAAATTTGAATATGCACCCCCTAAAGCTAAAATAAAAATTGGAAGAAAAAACAGAAATTTTTCCAGGAATAAAAGCTACTAAATGGCAGAGCTTGGCTTTGGGTTCAGGCTGTCCAGCTCTAAAATCTCTGCTTTTGTTTACAATGTGCTATATTGCCTCTAAATAAAAAAGTACTGAATGAATTATTAGTAACACTGCATATATAGTAATAGTATTAATAGCCAACATTCACTAAGTACCTACTATGTGCCAGGTACTACATCTGCATTGTCTCATTTAACCCTCACAACTTCCCTTCCTTGTAGATACACTGTCATTCTCATTTTGCAAACAAGGGCATAATTATAAGCACAGAAAGTTTGCCCAAGGTCATATAGCTCATGGGCGAAAGGAGATTGCCTTCTAGTCTGGCCCTAGCACCCATGCTCTTAACCCCATACTCCACTGTTCCCCACTACCTCAGGTGGTTCTCTCCCAAAGCCTCTTGAGATGACTTCTATCATCAGCCTGATTTGACACTGAGGAAAATAAGGACAAAGTTAAAGAACTGGCCAATGGTTAGAAAAGTTAGTTAAGAGACAGAGTAAAGTTAAGTACTCAGGAGTTCTGGTTTCAAATCCCCTTCTTCTTTCTGCTCCAGCCCCATCTCTGTTGCTATTATTGGATTTATAAGCTGTCCCAAATAGCTCATCCTCCAAGTCTGACCCTTCAGTGCAAGAAGAAATTGTCCAAATGCAGAAACTTCCCTGAACAGAAGTCTTCTGCCCAACATCATTACACGTTGTTTAGTTCTGATCCCCTTGAATATGGTGAAAGCAACAGGAATAAAGAACAGTTATGACACAAGGGACAACAGAACATGGCCAGACTGGCACAATAGGACAGAGGGTGCAGGAAAAGCGGATCTGCTCCTTTCCACAGTAAATAGTCAAAGAGAAAAAAATCCCCTCAAAGCATCAAAATAATTTCCCAAATAATTATATCACGAAGAAAATAATAAAACACATCAAAAACTAAAATAAAAATTCAATGAAACACAGAGGAGCAGAGACTGACAGTATAGATAATACGAAGAAAAAGAACAGAGTCTTATCTGGATTTTTTGGAAGAAAAGTTAAAAGAGTGGTGACAGCAAAAATTAAAGAAGGGGTCACATAATTAGAAGCCACTGGTGACTTTCCCACACACTATAATTGCCATTTTAAAGGTACCTTCACACATGCCCACGTACTCTCTTGCTCTCCTTTTCTCTCTCTCTCTCTCTCTCTCTCTCTGAAACAAGCTACAAGCTGCATAAGTTGTTTAAGCTGTTCTGAGTGGATTAGTCAATCCCAATTCCCAATGTACAAAACAGGCACATTGTTGCATAATTGACTGGGAATTAAGGGAATCTTAACAGTTGGATGAGAACTTAGTGGTGAGGCCACATGCTCATGGAGAGAGATCAGTGTTTCAATGTTTACTATACTATCTTTGGCACATAATAATCTAGCCCATATTTGGGTACATCTAGTGATGGGGACCTCACTACTTTATAAGGCTGTCTATTTCTTTGTTGGAGGTTGGGTAAGATGAGATTAATGAGTACCAGGCACTCTATCAGGCATTTTATATGCATTGATTCCATTTAATCTTCATGACAATCCTGTAGAATAGTTATTCTCACCATTCACAACTGATATAATGGAGGTACAAGAAGGAAAAAGTCACTTGCTTGAAATCATATAGTTAGCGAGTGTTGAAATCAGGATTTGAGCCCAGAATTGTCTGATTACAAACTTTATGTTTTATCTATCACTCCATATGACTTCTGTCTGCAAGGAAACCATGGGAAAATCTGAAATGCAGGAGGACACTCTCTGTCCTGTGCAATCCTCCTATTAACTAATTAAGTTACTGGCAAAATAGAAACTGAGTTTTATAGGATATGACTTGTTCTCAGAAAGCCAAAGATGACCCCTGTGGCCACTGTATCTCTTTCTAAATGTTCACAGGCTGTTTAATAATCAAGTACAGAATTTTGACAAGCTCAATGGTAATAATGACATAAATATTACCAATGTGGAATCTGGAGCCAGCGTATCTGAATGTAATTCCTGGCTCTATCACTCATTAGCTATTTCACCTTGGGAAAATTATATAACTTATCTAGGTCTCACTTTACATATCCTTAACATGGAAATAATATAATAATAGTACCTACCTCATAGGTTTGTTGTGAGGATTAAATTGAGTTAATAAGTGTAAAGTTCTTAGAACAGAATCATAGAAGCACTCAATAAATGCTAGTTCATTAATACTTTATTGTTGATTTCTACTTTCTAGAACATATTATTTTCTGCTTTGAAAACTGGTACATTTTCCTATGTGTAGTCTTCTCACAGATCTCCTGGAACCCATAATTCTGTCAAGATGACCTAGAGCAATTCCACTTGGGACATCATAGAATTATTTCAGTGCTCTGGGATGTATATATTTTTAAATAACATCATACTTAAGTTCTGTTAGACTAGAATCCTTATGAAAGTAGAGCTGGTTGGCACAGAAGAGGGGCTCAATATCTATAGCATGAAAGAATTCAGAGCAGTAAAGTACTCTCTTACAACCTCAGATCCTTTGGGCTTCAATTCCCTTTGAAACAAGTTTATGACTTCTTTTCCTTGATAGAGAAGGAATTTATATTCCCCTGTTATCAGTAAACCATCTGCCTCAAACAGGGGGTTGTCAGACTATCACTTCTTTTTTCTTCATTTGAACATAGCTTTAAAAGTAATTAAAATTAAGCATTTTTAAAAACTAATTTTGACTCATTCTAGGATTCATGAAACTCTTTTGTCACCCCTGTTAAATATTATATCATATGTAAAATATTATATATTATTTAGCCACTTCCTAGGGGTCTTTGTTTCCTCCTTTTTAAATATGAGATCATCAGAAAGCTTAATGTGGCCATATTTCATTATTTAGCATCCTCACCTCCTTTCTTCCTGGTAAAAAGGATTACTGAACTTTCGGACATCCAATTAAATTGTGTGCCTGAGGTGAACAAGGTGACAGCCTCACTCACCTTGGCCCAATCCAGACATTCCCTTCCTTTCCTCCATGGATTCTCTTTGTCAAAGGAATTTTCACCTCCAGAGAGCCTAGTCCATTCCTCCCAGCTCTATCTCAAGAAGAGAGTCTTTTGTAGTAATGGCAAAAGGTCCCTAAACAACCCAGCAGACAAAATACCTTGTCTCTCTGCATACCTTCTTTTGGTCCCATGATCATTTTTCAAAAGTTTATCCCTACTTGTTGAATGGAAAGTCTTATTGTAGATAACAAATGGAAATCTTCAAAACAAACATCAGGTAGTTTTAATGGCCTTTGAACAATTAGGCTATAACTGCTCGTGTTCTGGGAAGCCAGTGTCAAGAACACCCAGGTATATGGAGTTGGTAGCCTTTATACTCCAGACTCTAGGCTGGCTGTGTCTTGGGAAGAAAGCCTATGGTTCTTGTGAAAACAAGAAAGCTCCCTTCTGTGGGAAGCTATGACTGCTTCGAGGTTTCTCTTGTTTTCACCATCCCTGTTATATGCTTCCCCTACCCTGCCAGCTTAGCTGGTTTGAATCCCCAGCCCTGGCTTGACTTCTAGTTTCTTCCTAATCATTGGCTCCCACTATCTGGCTTAGACATGGCTCATTACTCCATCTTGGTCTTCCACTGCCCGTTGAGTTCTAAGTTAAACCCATTGTTTATCTTGTTTCTTCCCCTTTATTCCTGGCTTCTGACTCACTGTTTTATGTTCTGGATCCTGGTCTATCTCTTATAGCCACTGCTTTCTAGAGCCTAGTTTCACAATTTAGTTAAAGTAATCCCAGCCTTGGCTAACAGATGCCAAAATTAACAGGGCCTAGGGGGTGCAGAACTATAAAATAAGCCAGGTTCCTATTTGTTTACTGCCTCTATGGCTACTTGTTCTGAGTGTAAACACCTTAGTGGGAAGAACAGGCACATTAGTGTTGGTGACATGGCTGATATGCTGAGAATTTCCATGGCCACCTAAATTAACCCTCAAAAATCCTACCTCCTGATTTTATGAAAGTCCTGAGAAGAGTTGGGGGAGCTAAAAAGAAGCATTAGTGTTTGGCTGAGTTTCAGATTCATAAAAGTTCTCTGTTTGAGGGTTAGCTCCATACTGAGGTAAGTTATTATCCCCATTAACTGACTGGCTATTGGTTCTAGAGTGGACATTCAGAGCTTATCACCAAACACTGAGGCAGTCTGAACCTAAGCTCAGTGTTTTTCCCCTCAATCCACTGTCAAAGCAAATGGATAAAGATTCAATACAAGATATGGCACACACATACACACACAGAGGACAGGGGGCTTAAAACTGTGTGGTTCATGTTCCAGCCCAGAAAAATGTAACACTATTTACTCTGGTGTTTTGTGACTCAGCACTCCTCTTCAGAGGCATTCACTACTGGGTGAAGGAGAGGACAAAGGGACTAGATGATGGCAAAAGAGCAAAGGGTAGCATGGTGAATTTGTAAAGTCACTCTAAGCATTCTGGTTTCTTCTTCCATTTTTACTTTCCTTGGTCCCCAATTCTTCCCAGTTAGCCCCTGGAGCCAAAACTGGTCTGAACTCTCTACTGTGAGTGAGGAAGTAGGGGTAAGAGTATCCCATAAGGAGGAGTGACGCTTAGAACATATGCTACCCTTCCCAGCCTCACAAAGGAGAAGAGTCCTAGAAACCAACATACACAGAGTTATCCAGAGTCAGTGACAAGAGTAAGACCTCTCCTCTAATGGATTACAAAGAAGGAAGAGTGGAGAAGAGCACGGTTGGGGGTTGTGGGGAACCAGTGCACCTTGTATAGGAAATAGGTAGAGGCATGGAAAAAATTCCTATATCACAAAGGTACCTACCTGTCAGGGCAAAAGTAGGAGGCTCCTCGTTGGTTCCCAGGGCAGAGAGGGGCCACATGGCCAGAGCCATTAGAGTGGAAATGAGGGAAAGTGCTCAGGGAAACTACTATTTACCAACTAAGATAGACATATTTCAATATTTTTTACAAATGGTGCAGACCAGCAGCTCTGGGTAGAAGAAAGTGAGAAGGAGCACCCCAGGGTCATTAGGGCAAAGGGTAAAAAAAATACCAAGACAAAATGCACCGACTTCAGAGTTTTTCACTGCCCACAAGCCAACCCTGCCTGTGACATTCATGCCACATTAGTGTTCCTGATACAGAATTGCTGCCAATCTCCTGTCTGTTTTCCCCCCATCAGTATTTGCCCACTTTGTTGGGAGCCTGGGGATGATGAAGAGGAGGGTCCGGTACCCTGTTAGGTACCCATCTCCCTCAGGGAAGAAGGGGGCAGGGTTACCTTCTTGCAGAGGACCATCTGGTGGTCAAACAGGAAGAAGACCCGCTGCTGGTTGCGGCCGTAGGGCTGGTAGATCCAGGCCATCTCCCCAGTGTAGATCAGCTCCGAGCTCCTGTCTAGGATGTCCTCGCCCTGGGAAGGACATGTGATGATGAGAGGCAGCCAGGCAGAAGGATGGCACCATCACCTGCCTGGAGGCACCCAAGGCTGGGCATAGACTGGGATAGGAAGAGGCCAGAAAGGGCCTGGTAGAGACAGAGGGAGAGAGGGACTCCTGGGACTCCTCAAAAAGCTTTACAGCTCTGTGAGCTAGGAAGACCCATTTTCTTATTCACCCCAAGGCCAAATGTGCCCTGCCACCCGGGACTGCTACAGCTTTTCTACACCAGTTACCCTCTGGTCCTATAAGTTCTCTGTCTGTCTGTCTCTCTCTGTGTCTGCCTCTCTCTCTCTCTCTCTCTCTCTACATACACACATATATATGTGTGTGGAGAAAGAGAGAGAGAGAGATTTTCTTTATATATATATATATACACACACACACACATACACACATATATATATACATACACACACACACACACACACACACACACACACACATATATATATTTCTCCATCTCTCTTCTCTATAAATCTCTTTTTCTGTCCCAGTCTCTCAATCCCTGCTCTGGTCCCTCAGTCTCTTTCTAATACTTGAAGAACAGGCCTTAATCTCACTGCCTCCCACATGAGTAGAAGGAAACGGGAGGACAAGAAGGAAGATGATAACAGAGGGAGAGAAAAAGAACCCACTCCCCTCTTATAATTGTTTTTCCTTCTCCTCTCAGTTCACTAAAATCTACTGATTGAATAAGAAACTTAACTGCCACATGATTCCTTGGTCTGTTATCCAGAAAGCCTAGAACTACTTATCCTCCTTGCTACAAAGAGTCTGACACAAATAGGCACCAAGACACCTAAGTCCTAGCTAATTCAATTCTACAGAGTTTCCAAGTCCTACTCCTTCTTTATGGCAACTCTGATAGGTCAGAAGTATGTTGCAGGTGTGTGTCAGATGTCAAGGTAGACCTGGCCCCTGTCCTCAAGGAGCTTATGTCTTCATGGAGGAGACGAATGCAGGTATGCTCAAAACTCATGAAACACAAGGCAAACCAACACCGAAGTTGTGGGCACAGGGGTGAGTATTCCAGGGCCTATGTGAAGATAGGGACAAAGAGTAGTGTCCCAAGACACAGAAGAATTAATATTTCCTGAGCACCTATATGAGTCAGACAGTGCGCCAGATATTTTCAATCTATCTTATCTGAGACTCGCGATAGCCCTGGGAAGTAGATATTCTTGCTCCCATTTTACAGTTAGAGGTACAAAAAGATCAAGTGATAAGCCAAAGTTGCCCAACTAGTTAGCTACAGGTCCATGACCCAACTCCAACCTCTGGGGCTCCATAGAATATGCTCACTCCTTGTACTATATTATACTGTCTTTAGGCCAAAAAGGCATTGGAGAACCCGTTCCTTCCTCTCTCTCTAGGTGTCAGTTTTCCCAGATGTAGTATGAGGATGATCTTCATGATAGGGCTGATACCTTGATGCTAAGATCTCAGCCTTTCACCCAAAAGCTTCAAGGCAAGGTTAGAGATGGAGACCTTTATACCTCCCAGAAATAATCAGAGGCAAACACAAATCAGGCAGGGTAGTAGGCCAGAGAGTGGGGCATCTAGAAATGGTGTATTCGAGCATACCATTTTTTTCCCCAGTCTAAAGGATGGGAAGGAAAGGGGGAACTCAGTAGAATTATTTTCTAATAATAGAACCCCCCACCCCACTGCCGAAAAAAAGCTTAGAAATACTGCTTCAACTTTAGGCTCCCGACTTAGCCTCAATATTATCCAGGAACTAGGTAAACACTCCTTCTAGAGGGGCTGACATACTAGCACAGAACCTCTGGAGGCCTGATACTGGGAAAGAAAGCCACCAGGTTAGGGAGCAGTACAGCGATTTCCTGCTGGAGGGATGGGAAGCTGAGAGAGGTTCCCACCCTGATGCAGGCTAGGAAGATGTGCTACAGTCCACTTTGAATATGTATGAAGTCCAATAAAGCCATAAAAGAGAGCCAATGCCATAAGAAGATGGTCAGAATGACTTTTAAATATACAATTTACTAAATGTGGATGATACGACCAGGAGGGCTACCCAGTATTATCTGGTCCATCCACTCCACCAGCCAGGGGCATCTCAATTCTACATTTTTTTTTTTCTTTTTTGAGACAGAGTCTCCCTCTGTTGCCCAGGCTGCAGTATAGTGGCACGATCTCGGCTCACTGCAAACTCTGCCTCCTGGCCTCAAGCGATACTTGTGTCTCAGCCTCCCAAGTAGCTGGCATTACAGGCATGTGTGTGACACCATGCCCAGCTAATTTTTATATTTTTAGTAGAGATGATTTTTTGCTATGTTGGCCAGGCTGGTCTCAAACTCCTGACCTCAAGCGATCCACCGACCTCAGCCTCCCAAAGTGCTGGAATTACAGATGTTAGCCACGGTGCCCAGCATCAATTATATTTTAATTACTTGCAACATGTAACTCCACCAATTAGAAAAAAAATTAAAATAATACTCCTCTATGCTCACCAAGCTGACTAACCTTGAGCAACACACGTAGTCTCTCTATAACTCAGTTGCCTCATCATTAACATGGGGATAATAACAGTACCAACTTCATTTGGGTGTTGTGAGGATTATTTAAATTAAAACATATAAAGTGCCTAGAAGGTACACATCACACTATAAGCTCAACATAAGTGATACTTATTTTCTTGACTATTACTGTGTGCCCCAGTTTCCATACCTATCCTGTCTCCTAGTAATATAGCAACCCAGTAAGTGATGTTTTGTTATTACCCCAAAACCAGGGTCAAAGAAATTGGAAGTAATTTGCCCAAAGGGGCAGAACCTAGGTCAGAAGCCCTCCAAAGCCTATGCTCTTATCCACCAAACCACATTAGAATGATGGCCCCCACCCAATCTCCTCCTACTGTCACCAACCCAGGGGAACAACCAGATGCCATGGAAGATTTCTAAGGTGAGAATCTCAAAAGACCTGGGCTCTGAGTCCAATGCTGCTACCAACTCACTCTTGAGTTAGAAACTAGCTTAAACTCTCGCCATCTGTTTCCTCATTTGTAGAGGGGGAATATTAAAACAGTTCCTGTTTGACCCACTTCACATGGCTGTTTGAGAGCGTCAAATGAGTTCATGGAAAGGAGACAGCCCTCTCATTGTTTAGAGATCTCACCCTTGCTTCCTCTGCTCCACTTATATAACACATCTCTTTGTCTTGCCCCCAAAAGTACAACTCCTTCCAAAAATCCCCAACCGTGGGCCTTTGGATCTGTTCACTCCCTCCAGGATTTTGCTCACACTGTTCCCTCTGCTGGAATATGTTTGTCCGCACTAGATGTTCAAGGCCACATCTCATTGATCTCAATATCCTCATTGCCCAGCATAGGGCCTGGCATATGAGGGGAAATGTTCAAAACATAAGTCTCATAATTTCACGTATTTGCTCAAAAACCCTCCAGTGGCTCCCATCTCACTCAAACTAACAGTCAGTCTTATGAAGACAGGATCTGACCTCCAGTCACCTCCCTAACTTCATTTGCTCCCACTCTCTCACTCACTTACTCTACTCTGGGTAGAGTAACAACACTGGCTTCCGTGTTGTTCCTTTAGCACACACTCCTATATTTCAGGGTCTTCGTGTTTGTTTTCCCCTCTGTCTGGAATTCTGTGCCCCAAGAAAACCACATGGTTTGCTCCTTCCTCTCCTTCAGGTCTGTTCTTAACTGTTACTTCCTCAGGTAGTATCCACATTACTCCCTAACCTGTTATCCTACTTTATTTTTCTTCAGAGGCCCATCTACCTGATGATATATGTTTGTTTGTTGCCTCTTTTCCCTACTGGAATATAAATCAATGAGAGTGGAAACTTTGTCATGTTCACTGATGTCTTTGCAGAACCTAGAATAAGGTCTGACACAGAGTACTTGATATTTAAATACTCAATAAATACTGTTTGACAACTAAATCAATAGGTGTGGAATGAACAGTGGCCACCAAAAACTACCCAAAGCTTTCTTGCCAGCTTATCTACCTTCCTTCCTTGGGGTCAGAGCCCGAGCGAAGAGGCCTCACCCCATTCTAATTCTAATTCACCCCATTCTGCCTGATTTCACCCCATTCTAATTATAGGCCAATTGATGTGGGGCTGTAATCTGAGCAGATCCAGGGAAAGGACAAGGGGAATGCCATACTTTTTAACTAGTTTATTTTCAATGCTGCCTACTGACAGGAAGGCAGAGGAGTAACAAATCCATCTAGCCCTACATTTGATCTTCTTGTCCCAGGAGTATGCCTCATCAAGCCACTTTAGCTTTTAAGTAGATGCTTTTGCTGCCTTCATCATGTTGGGTTTTCTTGTTTCCTCCAACTTCTTTGGATTCAGTCATCAAATAGCAAAGTGGAACAGGTCCTTGGGTATTACACAACCAGGCTGGGAGGAGAGGGATCCCACAAAGAGGAAATTACAACCACACACAATCAAGCTCCCAAATATGAGCTACAATGTTAGGTTCCTGCTACAAATCTCCAGAAAAAAAAAAAGATTAAAAAGAAGCTATCCAGGATATGTTACCTTTCCCTTGTTTTCAAGTGGATTAAATGAGTGTGCAAGGTGGCAAAGTGACAGCTCAACCAAACCTCAGCATCATGGAAATTAGAAATAGAAATTTCCCAGAAACTGCAGTCCCTGGGAACAGATTATTCTCCCTGCTGCTCCCGCATACTGCTCTAATGTATTGATTAGTAGAGAGATGACTGACACTTTTACTCATCCATTTGATTTTCAGGAGCCCTGGGGGGTGGGGTAAAAGGAAAGTTACTTCAGGAACTCTAGTCCCTATAGAATGGTAGAGGGCAGGGATAATAACCAGAGTTGGGCAAAGAGACCAAGAATGTTCACGGAATAAGCTAAGAGAAGGGTCAGGCCTTGATATAATGCAGGGCTTCCTGCTCTCTAGCCAGACACTCTGATCTATTGAGCAGACACTAATTGCCTGCATGCTACCCTCCAAATTCCTCTTCAAGGGAGATTAAGCTCTGAAGGTTTCCCCTATGACTCCTCTTTTTCATTTGACAAATGAAGCTGAAATTATCATGCAGATGCTTTTGACAGCCACTCTGTTTGTTCAAACATCTGGGAGACAAGGGGGGTGGCAGAGACAGCAAAATATGGCATCTTTTTCTTGATTTGCACGGTCTGTTCACAGCAGTCCTCGGCAATCTGGCAGAATGTCTCTCCTTGCCTAGACAACTTCTTGGGCAGGTGGAATGCACAAAGAACCTATACCAGGGAACCTGTGAAATTGGGCCACCAATCCTAACCATCATCAAGCCATGGAGCATCCATGTCTCATTGCTTTCTTGGGGAGACTCCCCAGCACTCACCCACCACCTGACTGGGATTTGGATGACCTCCCCAAGGTAGTCTCACTGTCTTATTTAAATATAAACTCTTTACTACATACAAAAAGCAAGTCGCTGAAATATCACAAAGAACAGCAATTGGGCTGTGAGAGGCAGAAGGTTGAAGGAATATGTGGTACCTTACTGAAAACAATACCACACAAGGAATCAGGGGACTAGATTCAAGTTCCAGCTTTGTCACTGACTTGCTGTGTGGCCTTGGTAGGAAATAAACCTCTCTCTGCTTCTCTGTCTTTCACCATCATTGCAAGGTGTTTGAGAGTAAGTGTGTGAGAGTATGTGTACATGTGCATATGTGCATGTGTATACACACAAGAATCGTCAGGGTTGTAGGGGGAGTCCTCTAAGAGCCTTGGTGATTCTGACATTCTAGAAGTCTTTAACACAGGTATGGCAAATATGACAGAAACTTTAGGCTTGGCCTTTGAAATATATCCATCAGGCTTTACTAGAGAAAAGACTTCCTAGAGGACAACTTCGCTGGAACTGGCAAGTTCCACAGTGACCTCAGTCTGACAAGAAGACCATGAAGAATTTTTCTTCTTACAAATTGCTATAGGCTGAATGTTTGTATCCCCATAAAATTCACATGTTGAAACATAATCTCTACTGTGATGGTATTTGGAGGTAAGGCCTTGGGGGATGATGGTCATGAGAATGAGGCAGTCATGAATTAAATGGGAATAGCATTCATAAAAGAGACCCCAAAGAGTTCTCTCATCCTTTCTGCCATGTGAGGTTACAATGAGAAGACAACAGTCTATGAAGAGGGCCCTCACCAGGCACTGAATCTACTGGTTCCTTGATCTTGGACTTCCCAGCTTCCACAATTATGAGAAATAAATTTCTGTTGTTTATAAGCCACCCAGTCTATGGTATTTTGTTATAGCAGCCTGAATGAAGTAGGATGTCAATTTAGATGAAGAAAGGCTTCACCAAGCAGGAGCGTACAAGGGATGTGTGGGCTTACATGAGATTAGAGTACCAATCAATCAGGCTAATAAAGGAGGCAGACACTGTTAGAACTGTGTTTTTGTGGCCCCATTCAGACATACATGCAGGAAATTCCTTCTGAGATGCTGAGTGTTTAAATCATAGCTCAGTGTTATTGAGCTTGGTGCTACTGAAGCTCCCTGAGTAGGCCAGGTAATTTCATGCTATTTTTGGTTCCCCATGGCTCCTGCTCCAAGGACTGATGTCCCAGAGCACACAGGGGAATCAGAAAGTCTTCTAGGCATTGGGAAGTTGGGGAGATGCTCCAGGGAATAGGAAGACAACTGCTGCTGGGCACCTTCTCTTACAAAAAACCCTGCCAACGAGAGAGAATAAGGCCAGCTAATCCACCTTAATTTTAGAGTGTCTTAGAGTTGATGGGCTTGCTAGAAGTCATTTGGTCCAGCTCTCTGCCTTTAATCAGGCAAATGGCCAAAGCAATGCCAACACAAGGAAAAAAGGACCCACAATTTTCTAGTAAGTCTGGCCCAGTGCTGGCTTCTGCTTAAGAGAATGAGGGTCTCTTCATCTAGACAAATTCCTTTCTCTGCAAATCAAAGTGCTGTTCTACTTATATGGGAACATTATCCTTCAAATATAGCCCAAAAGGATGTCAGCTGATCAGAATTGTGGTCTTTTTCAGCAATCTACATTAAGGTAGGACAGAGGTAGCAGAATAAAAGGAAAGTGACTTTTTTCTGGGCCTTGGTTAAGCAGCTGTTTGTGAGGATGATGCTTGGTTCCCTTGGAACGGGCTAAAATACTTTAAGTATTAAGAGAAATACTACCTCTTAATCACTGAAAATGACACTTGAGTTGAGGTCAGTGGAATAGGGAGCAGACCCTACCTCTATATTGTGACCACAAGGCTTAAGATTGCTAATCCCTCCCTAGTAGCACGTCCAGCCTCTCCTATCTTGGTTATTTTAGCCAGCAGACTATCAGATTGCACAACCTGGGCCTGCAAGACATATGTGAAATGTCATTACTCCTGATACTTTTGGTGGGCATCTAGGAAGGGAAGGTCTTTCAGAATTCAGAGAAGTCATGGCTGTCTGCAATGAAATAATCAGGGATTATTTTAAAAACAGATGTGAAAACTGTGGATTTGGCAGGGATGATGGTTGTGGCCTATAGTGTACAGGCCTAATAGAGAGACCTAATAGATGTGCTAGGGTGAGGTGGTATCACCGATAAAAAAAAAAGTATGTTGGCTGTCCTGCATGGTTGGGAACAGGAGAACCAACCTCGTATTCTGTGTCTGGAAGTAAATTAGTATATACTATTTCTTATCTAAGTGTGAATCTGTTGGTCATAAATCCAGAAAGAGCTTTGAAAGGCTACTGAATCAACCCTAATTGTTCCTTGGCAATACCTGAAGAAATGAACCTTTCATTTCTTAATGAGGTATCATCACAAAAATTTCTCCAAGCTTCTTAGAAAGTTATTCAAGTATCCAACACTTCTCATTAGCAAGAAATTTTACCTTGAGTCTAATCTAAATCCTTACTGTTGCTCTTCAAATGTAATTTCTCTTCACCTGTCCTTAGCTAAGATGGGAAGCTTTTGCCAAGCTATTCAGATTTCCCAATACCCTGGTTGGTAAGTTTCCTACCTCCCAGTCTAGGACAGAAGCCTGCCACTGAGCAATCTTGTCAATATTCTCTAAACGTCGCTTGCGTTCGTTGATCTGCTGAGTCACATTTCTCATGACAGCCAAAGCAGCTGCCACATACCTGTAGTCACTGTGAAAACAAAAGAGTGCAAGTTGAACCAACCAATGTGCCAAAGAACCAATGTGCTAGGTGCCAATCTTAACATCCACTCTCCTCTACCTCCTTAGTAACAGAGTCCTGATTTTCAGATGGGAACCCACACCACCTAAAGACTACATTTTCTATCTTTTGTTTCAGCAAAAATGACTATGCAAGTAAGTTTTGTACACTGATATGTAAATAGAAGTGTTGCGTAGTGTAAGAATTAAAGAAAGAGGAGAGAAACATGAAGGATGGCTTTTCAGTCAACAGGGACAGGTTGATTTTAAATAAACCTGAGAGGAGCGGCTGGCCGAGTTAGGTCAGAGCCACACTTTCTTACAGACTAAGAGTTTTTAAGGATTCAGGGTGGGAGACTTTATCAGAGGCATAGACTGCTTTTGCGCCTCTTTGTTGTGCTTATCTGGGAAGAGAGAGTTGTGTGTCTGTTCCCATACATCTTTTTGCAGCTGCAGGCATATCCCCTGAGTCTGCTTTCATCTTCTCTATCTTAGTGCACCTGAAGGAAAAGGAATGTGTTTATTAACGCCCACTGTTTTACTGGGGCCCATTGTATGAGGGTGAAGTTTGGCAGTTACTCAAGAGACTTTCCCCCCTACCTCCTTCTGTGCCTGAGCTCTCTTACTGTCTGCTCTTTCTGGCTGCTTGTAGTTAGAAAAGAAGTGATTTCCTTGAAATGCATGAGGCTAGAAAGGGAGCTGGAACTTGAAGTGGCAGTGTTTGTCCAAGATGACGGTGCTCCTGCTCTATCAGGTAGGCCTTCTGAGAAATCACCTTTAAGGTAGAGAGCATACGCTTCTTTAGCCTTTACTCAATCCTGATGCTTGGAATGTTGATGTGATGGCCGAACCTCTGGTAGCCATCTTGGACCATAAGGACAAGGTCAATACCCTAGGTATAGGATAGTAGATAGCTGTAGGGTGCTCATGTTTCTGATGACCATGAGGCCACCATACCAGTCATAAACTTCAGAATACATACTTCTTTTACATGAGAGACAAATGGACCACTATTTTGTTACATCACTTTTTTTGTGTCCTATCTGATACAGCCAGCCAAGGACCAAGAAGGGAGCCTCACACATGACACAGTATAGACCACCTTATCATCTCTTCCATCATCTATTTCTATGGAGCTTCTGCCCAAAATCACTCTGAAATATCCTCACGTTTGCTTTTGCACAATATAGAAACAGAATGTAGCACAGTGGGTAAGAGCATAAAGTCTGAAGCCAGACTTTGTGGGATCAAATGCCAGTTTTTCTCACTGACTAGCAGTATGGCCTTTGGCAAGCCTCACTCCCTCTCTCATTGACTCAATTTCCTCATCTGTAAAATGGGGAAAAGTATAGTTTATTGAAGGTTTCATAAATTAAATACAATCATCCATGTAAACTATTTTACTCTTGGCATATAACAAATGTTAGCAGTACTATTATTACAAATCAAACATTTCCGTAGTAGAGCCATCACATGGGATGCCTCTTAAAACCCCTAGTCTCAGACGTGTAACCCTTGGCCCCACATCCTGGGACTCTGGATAGCAGACGTGTTGAGAGTTACATATCCTATCCAGTTTTTTTCTGCTGTTCTTTTCTGATTTGCAATCAAATGGCTCTTGGGAAAGGCAGATTGATAGTGAGATCTCAGCCATTCAGTGGGGGCAAAAATAAACTGAGAAGACAAGAGGATGCCTTACAGTTCAGTGTTAACACCTTTCTTTAGAGAAACTGAAAATGCCTTGTGGTCACTAGTCTGCTTAATCTCTCAGTACCATTTTTTAAAAAAGGAAGGAGAAAAAAATAGATGTGCAACAACCGCACATCTTTGCACAACTGCACAACTGCACACCCACAACATTGAATAGTGGGTTGATGGACCAAAGAAAGGCAGAGGAAAGGGACTTCTAATTGCCAGGGCAGATCCTACGTAGTACCTCCTCCTAGTTCACATCCCTCACTCCAATCTGTGATCTGCACACCTGTCAGAGCCATGGCTCTCAAACAATGTTACATTATCACCTCCAGTGAAAGGCTTTTCACTATACTTCCTAACCAGTCTATTCTGTCTCAAGACAAATATGTTAGAAAAGTCTTTATTCTGAGCCTCAGTGAATGTTAGCTATTATCAGTTTTTCTTCTGGATCCCATTGCTGACCCATATTGAGCTTATGGCCAACTAACACTTCCTAAGTCTCTTCAAAACACACTCTAGAAGCTGTATCTCTCTCAGCCTGTCCGTGAGCTATTTATTTCTTATCTTAGACCCAATGGAAACACTCTACATTTGTTTCTGTTACATTTCATTCTTTTACAGTTAGTTGCTCCAATGTATGGGGATCTTTTGGGCTCTGTGACATCACCGAAGTTTCTCCTTGGCAAGATGTCTGAGCCTGACACTTAGAAGGAGGTAGAGTGGTGACAGAAGGGAAGATTGCAGCACAGAAGCTGCTAACATAAGTAAGTGCTCCTGCTCTTTGGACCCATTTTCTGCCCCTGTACCTTTCCTTTCTCTGATTTGAGGAGATCAGTGCTCTAAACCACTTTCTTGGAAGTAAAGCACAGAGCTGTACTGTCCAACATGGTAGCTATTAGCCATATTTAATCAAAATTAAGTAAAATTTAAAATTTAGTTCCTCAGTTGCACTAGCTATGTTTCTTAGTACTCAAGTAGTCACATGTGGTGGGTAACTACTATATTGAATAACACAAATATAGACTATTTGCATTGTTGCAGAAAGTTCTACTGGGCAGTCCTGGCATGACAATGTTCATTTCCTCTACACCAAGACTACTCAGTCATGGATTCCTCACTGTCAGTGTCCCATACTGCCTATTTTTGCCATCTTTAGCTGGCTGCCTTTCTCAAAATGGCTAGAGGGGGAATGTGCCCATCTCTAACCTGTCCTACTAGTTTTAGCAGTCGGCAGGAGAAGAAAGGAATAGCTGTGGTCCAGCCTAACCCTGGTCAAAGCCCTCAGATGAGGTCTGGGCCCAGCCTCTTATTGGGGAGAACAACAGAACAAAGATTTTCTACTTCCAGACATGTCAGCTAGCCTCCCTCTTACATGCAGTCTTCATTCTCATCAACTTAAGGAAGGTAGGGTAGGGAATTATATCAATCATCTGTAAGCAAAGTCAGTATTCTTCTCTATTTATCATTCTTCATCTAATCTTCTCCCTCAGGGGCCATTCTGACTGCCTGTATTTCAGCCCTACCTATCTGAACACCTATCTTACTAAGCTTCCAAGCTGGCATCAGCCTTTAGTTGCCTTCAAATCCGAGCTACTCTTGACATGCATGGCAGGAGCCATCATCTTAATACAGATTCCTGAGACCTGCCAAAAGGGGTTGTCTATGTCGTGGGAGTTGTGCTGGGCCCAACGGGTCACTCTGAGAAAGGGCAGAAATTGATGTCGCCTGACACTGCCTGAGCTACTCTACTGTCACTCTGGAGCGCAAGGGGTGAGAGGAGAGGGAATCAGGGACCTAGATGGCAAGAGGACTTTGAAGCAGGAGTTCCAGTCACAAGGTGAAAGTGTACAGAAATGGCAAATCCCAGGCGAATGTCCTATCTTTTTGGTGCCCACCAAACCCCCAAAAAGCTCTGAGGTTGTTTTGGCCTAAGAAACTAACATAGCTTTGAGCTATGCTTAAAAACTTTTTTCTGGAACTTTTAAGATGAATTATGCCATATATAATTTACCTAGTGAATATTATCAGTCCACAAGTATGATTTAGCTCCATTGCTTGGTCTCCTTGGGGCTAACTTTCAGACCCAGATGCATGAGCCATGGGTGTGGGCCAGTTGGTTTGGTTTACATCTTTGGGTTCGTTTTTGGATTGATGCTGCTTCTCTAACAAATCATATCTTATATGCTTTAGTGGTTCTGGAGCCCTAGGCAGATTTCAGATTTTAACCCAAATATAGTGGCAAAGGACCCTCCTTTTGTGTGAGTAACAAAGCCAGTGATAGCTCTGCCTTCTGTACCCTGTTGGCTATGAGGCAATCAAGAATGTATCATCCTGTTTTGCAGATAAGTTAACAGAAGCTCAGAAAGGGCAAAAGGACATGTATTCTCAATGAGAACCAACAGATAGAGGAAGTTCCCTCATTCACTCCTGACTCCCTCGATCCCTTACCTGTGGTCTTGGGCAGTATACTTTAGGAGCTCAGCCAACTGTAAGGGATACTTGCAGATCTTCTGCACTGGAGTCAAAAGGAAACCATCGATAGCAATGTCAATCATCTGCTGCAAGAGGCGACAGGCCTCAAAGAAGTGCTGGTAGCGGCTGTCCTTCATCAGTTTGGAGAGCTCCATGCAAGCATCCAGGTGGTTGTTACAATACTCAGAGTATATCCAGAATCCATCTTGCTGTGGGAAAAGAAAAAAAGGAAAGGAAAAGTCTACCAAGGACCCCAAAAGAAGTCTTGAAGTAATGGAAAGACAGATCATATTCTTAGGCAGAAATATTAAAATGATAATGAGTCAATTATTCTTAAATTGATTCATAATTTAATAATAAATATCAAAACAAATTATTCAGTAACAAGACAAACTGACTGTAAATTTCTTATAGAAAAATGAGTACATAGGAATAGTAGGGACATTCTGTAAAAGAAGGGTAATAAGGGAACACTGGCCCTAATAAGAGTAAAACACAGCATGGAAATAAAACTCTGGGACTGGATCACAAAAAGCAAGAGATCAGTGACTCTACTTCTGGCAATGACAGACTAAGTTGTTGCAGGCAAACCCTGCCACTGAGAGTAGCTGGAAAAGCTAAAAATATAAATAAATATCTGTTTGAAGGAATCACACAATCCAGAGCCTGATATTATCTCCATAAAATGTCCCTAAGGAAACACAATGTGATGAAGTGTTTAGAGGTAAGGAATCTAAGATGTATGCAAGTTAAAACACTAATGGCTGAGAAAAAAATGTATGAGTGTGTGTATATGTATGTATGGACATATAAATATGTACATAAAGAGAGGGGAAGAGGAGAGAGTCAGGAGAGAGAGGGAGAGCACACTCAAATGATAAGACAAAATGGTAAAATGTTAACAACAGGGGAATCTGGGTATTTTTTGTATGGTTCTTATTTTTCAACCTTTCCATAAGTTTGAAATTAATTCCAAGTAAAGTTTTAAAAAAACTCTATAATTTTTATTATATATTGACAAGTACTTAATAAAAGATAACCTGATACATTAGAATAGAAAATATTTATAAAACCCAAGAGAAACAATAGGCAATAGAAACTGATCAACAAAAAATCAAGATAGAGTTGTTATATAAGGGTTGAAAAACAAGCAAAATAGCACATAAAAAGAATAATATACCATGATCAGGACAGACTTATCCCAATGTAATTTACCACATTGACAGATTAAAGGAGAAAAATTACATGATCGTTTCAATAATGCTGAATAAGCATTTGAGAAAATAAATTTATGACAAAGACATCAGCAAACTAGAAATAGAAAGACACTACCACAATGTAATAAAGGACACCCATGAAAAACGTTAAGCTAATTACTTGGTAAAATATTGAATGCTTGCCCCTAAGATCAAAACAAGACAAAGATGCCTGTTCTCACCATTTCTAGTTAACACCGTACTGTATATCCCGGCCAGTGAAATAAGATAAAAAAGGAAATAGACAGAATATAGACTGAAAAAAGAAGAAATTAAACTCTTTTTTTCAGAGATGACATAATTGTATATGCATAAAATCCTAAGAAATCTACAAAAAAAATACTGGAACCAATTAGTGAATTTGGTTATGTGTCAGGACACAAAGTCAATGTACAAAAATCAACCGTATTCCTGTGTAATAGTAATAGACTATAGGAAATTGACATTTTAAAATACCACTTACAATGGCAGCCGAAAAAATTTTAAATACTTAGAAATCAACTTTTAGGAGAGGATGTCAGTAAGATGGCAGAGTAGGAAATATCGCCTTCCTTTCTTCAGCAAACAACAACAATTTGGTAGCTATCCATGAACAAAAAATAATTCTGGAAAAGCTTAGGGGTCCACTTAAGAAGCCACAGCAATATAGTGAAAGAAAAAGTCAGAAAACAAATACACAAAACGAGTAGGAAAAACAGTTTCATTTTGCTTGCATCACCCCGTCCCCATAGCTGGTACTGCTCATTATGAAACAGCAACTTGGATCTTGGATCTTGTGTCCTACATACAGGGAGGAGACAGGAGTGTACAACCAGCTTCCCCAGCTTTATGGGACACTGCCCTAATGACCAGCTTCAGTTTCATCCCACCCAGATCTCTGAAAAGACAGATATAGCCTAGATGTCTGGAAACAGCAGAGAGCAAAGAATAGGGATTGGTTATATCAGTATCAGCAAAGTAGCAGGAGTCGCAGTGATCTGCCGTGGCCTCTTTGGCACAGGGCCCCAGTAGGCCTCTCTGTCAAGGACCTCAATAGCCCTCATAGCCACTGGGTACCTCCTGTAGATTTTACCTCTCAAGATTCTTCAGTGTTCACAGTCACAGACCCCAGAAGCTTTTTCAGCTTTTCCTGCTGAGAAAACCAACTGCTAGTATAGTATCAGCAGACGCCCTGCAGCTTATACTGCTAAGGGTCCATGGGTTGTTTTTTCTTCCTTTTGAGTTTTAGGAGAAAAAACAAACAAACAAACAACAACAACAACAACAACAACAACAAAAAACATGCCTGAGCCATGTCCCTTCTTCTTCTCTACTTCCTGGAGCCACCCAGAGCTGCCCAACTGCTGCTGTGGTTACTATAGCCCAGTGGGAAGGGGTGATGTAGGCCAACAGCTTTCACATTCTCCAGATCCCTGATCCACCAGAGCTTTCCCTCCCCCATGCCCAGAGCTGCCTGAGCTACTCCTACCACAGGTGCCTTGGCAAAGGGACTCAGCACAGGAGCCTTTGCATTCTCTAGGTACTTAAGCAAGTACTACCTCCTTGGATGCTCTGGCCCAGTGACCCAGCACAGCTACCATGCATGTACCTGCAAACAGCCCTAGGGTCCCAAACTAGGGATTCTAGTCTCACTACCACATGTTACCAAAGCTGACCCACGCAGACAGGCTATCACACAAATTCTTCTAAAGCACACATGGAATACTGTCCAGAATAGACCACATGCTATACCACAAAATAAGTCTTAGCAAATTTAAGAAGATCAACATCATATCAAGTATCTTTTCTGGTCATGATGATATAAAACTACAAGTCAGTAACAGGAAGAAAACTAGAACATTCTTAAATCAGTAGAAATTAAACAACATATCCCTGAATAACAAATGGGTCAAAGAAAAAATCAAAAGGGAAATTAAAAAATATCTTGAGACAAATGAAATTGAAAGCACAACATACCAAATCCTTTGGGATGCAGCAAAAAAAGTTCTAAGAGGGGCGTTGATAGCATTAAAAAAAATCTGAAATAAACAATCTGATATTCCACCTCAAGGAACTAGAAAAAGAAGAACAAAGTAAACTCAAAGATAGCAGAAGGAAAAAAATAAAAGATCAAAGCAGATATAAATCAGAGAACAGAAAAACTTAGGGAAAAAAATCAACAAAACTAAGACTTGGTTTTTAGAGAAAAAGAATATAGGTAAATAAAATTAGAAATGAACATGAAGATATTACAAAAGATGTCTCAGAGATGAAAAGGATTACAAGGGACTATTATGAACAATTATATGACAACAACTTGGAAACACCAGAGGAAATGAATATATTCCTAGAAATATAAAACCTACCAAGATTGAATCAAGAAGAAATAGAGAGCCTGAACATTAACAAATAAAGAGATTGAAGTAGTCATTTAAAATCTCCTAACAACAAAAGATCATAGGACCAGATGGCTTCACAGCTGAATTCTACCAAATACCCAGATAAGAATTAGTAGCAATCCCTCTTAAACTCTTCAATAAATAAATAAATAAATAAATAAATAAATAAATAAATAAAAGAACTAAAGGGAATACTCCCAAATGATTCTAAAGTCAGACAGAAATACAAGAAAAGGGCCAGGCGCTGTGGCTCACGCCTATAATCCTAGCACTTTGGGAGGCCGAGGTGGGCAGATCACAAGGTCAGGAGATCGAGACCATCCTGGCTAACATGGTGAAACCCCGTCTCTAATAAAAATACAAAAAAATTAGCCAGGCGTGGTGGCGGGCGCCTGTAGTCCCAGCTACTTGGGAGGCCGAGGCAGGAGAATGGCGTGAACCCAGGAGGTGGAGCTTGCAGTGAGCCGACATTGCGCCACTGCACTCCAGCCTGGGTGACAGAGCGAGACTCTGTCAAAAAAAAAAAAGAAGAAAAGAAAACTACAAGCCAGTATCACTAATGATCATAGGTATAAAGATTCTCAATAAAATAGTAGCTAACCCAATTCAGTAACATATCAAAAAGATCATACATCATGACCAAGTGGGATTTATCCCTGGGATGCAAGTATGGCTTAACAAATCCAAATCAATTATTATGATACATTACATTAGCAAAAGGAATAATTTAAAAACCACACGGTTATTTCAATAGATGTGGAAAAAGCTTTCACAAAGTTCAACATCCTTTCAGGATAAAATATCTTCACAAATTAGGTATTAATATTAAAAATTTCCTCAGCATAAGAAAGGCCATTTATGAGATGCCCACAGGTAACATCATAATCAATGGTGAAAAATGGAAAGCTTTTCCTCTAAGATCTGGTATAAGACAAGGATGCCCACCCTTGCCAATTTTATTCAAAATAGTACTAGAAATACTAACCATGGCAATCAGATAAGAAAAATAAATAAAATGCATCCAAATTGGATCAGAAGTAAACTAGCCCTATTTGGAGATAAGATGATTATATATGTAGAAAGCCCAAAAGACTCCCTCCAAAAATTAAAAAGAAAAAAACCTGTTAGAAAAAGTGAATTCAGTAAAGATGCAGGATACAAAAAAAAAATCAGTGTACAAAAATCAGTTGCACTCTTTATACCTATAATGATGTATCAAAAAAAGAAATTTTAAAAAATCATATTTATGATACCATCAAAAAGAATGAAATACTTAAGGAATACATTTATTCAAGAAGGTGAAAGATCTGTGCACAGAAAACCAAAACACCCTGATGAAAGAAACTGAAGAAGACACAAAGAAATAGAAAGATTTCCCATGTGCAAGGATTGGAAGAACCAATATTGTTAAAATGTCCCTACTACTCAAAGTGATATAGAGATTCAACACAACCCCTATCTAAATTCCAATGGCATTTTTCATGGAAATAGACAAAAACATATATAAAATTTCTATGGAACCAAACTAGACCCTTGATAGCCAAAGCAACTCTGAGAAATAAAAATAAATCTGGAGGCATCACACTCTTTGATTTCAAACAATATTAGAAAACTATGGAAATCAAAACAGTATGGTACTAGCATAAAAACAGATATACCAATGTAATAGAATAGAGAGTCCAGAAATAAACCGAAGCAAATATAGTGAACTAATTTTTGACAAGAGCACCAACAGGACACAATGGGGAACGTATAGTCTCTTCAATAAATGTTGTTGGAAAAACTGGATATCTATATGCAAAAGAACAAAATTGGGCCCATATTTTAGACCATACACAAAAATCAACTCAAAATGCATAAGAGACTGAAACATAAGAGCTGAAATAATAAAACTACTAAAAGCACTACTGCTGTGCTTTTTTATATGACACCAAAAGCACAGGCAACAAAAGCAAAAAGAAACAAGTGGGACTGCATCAAATTAAAAAGCTGCTATGCAGAAAAAAAAAGTCAACAACATGCAAAGGTAGCCTATAGACTGAGTGAAAATATTTGCAAACTGTAAAGTGGTTAATATTCAAAATATACATAAAGTGGTTAATATATATAAAATATATAAAGTGGTTAATATTCAAAATATATAAGGAACTCACATCACTTCACAGCAAAAAAAAACAAATAAACAAATAAACTAATTAAGAAATGAGCAAAGAATTTGAATAGACATTCCTCCAAAAAAGACATAAAAATAGCCAACAGGTATACGATGATGCTCAACATCATTAATCATCAGGAAAATGCATATCAAAACCACAATGAGAAATAACCTAGCATCTATTAGGATGGGTATTATCAAAAAGATAAGACATAACAAGTGTTGACAAGGGTTTAGAGAAAAGGAGACCCTTGTACACTGTTAGTAGGAATATATATTGGTACAGCAGCCACTGTGGAAAATAATACCTTTAAGATGTTCCCAAAGAAATCAAAAATAGAATTATCAAATTATCCAGTAATCCCTCTTTTGAGTATATGCCCAAAGGAAATGCACTCACTACCTTGTAAAGATATCTGCACTCCCATGTTCATTGCAGTACTATTAACAATAGCCAAGATGTGGAAGCAAACAAAGTGTCCATTAATGGATAAATGGGTAAAGAAACTGTCGGGTGTATATGTATATGTAATATGTTGCCTATATTTTAATAAATTACCTCTATTTTTAATTTATTTATATATATATTACATATACATACAGAGACACAGAATAGAATATTATTCAGACTTTAAAAAGAAGGAGGGAAGGAGATTATGTCATTTGTCACAACATGGAGGAACCTAGAGGACATTATGCTACATGAAATAATCCAGTCACAGAAAGAAAACTACTGCATGATTTCACTTATATGTGGAATCAAAAGGAAAAAAAAAATGAATACATAGAAACAGATTAGGATGGTGGTGACCAGAGGTGAGGGGGTGGGAGAAAATGGGAAGATATAAGTCAAAGGGCACAAAGTTGTAGTTACACAGGAAAAGTCTAGAGATCTAACCTACAGCATGGGGACTAGAGTCAACATTATTGTATTATACACTGGAAATTTGCTAAGAGAGTAAATTTTAGATACTATTACCACAAAAAAGTAACTATGTGAGATGATATGTTAATCTGTTTGACTGTAGTCATCACTTCATCATTTATATCAAAACATCACATTGTACATCTTAAATTTATACCTTAAATATTTTTTAAAACAATCAAATTTTAAAAGGTCAAAATCATACAATGAAAACTAAAAAACAATCCTGGGAGAAATCACAAAAAAATCGAAATAAACAGTTAAATGTTCATGGATTTGAAGACTCATCATATCAATGTTCCCAAAACTGATCCACAGATTTAATGCAATCCCAACCAAAACACTGATAGGGTTTTTGTTTGCTTGTTTTTGGTAAAATTTGGCAAGATTATTCTTAAATTTATATAGAAATACAAATAACCTAAAATAGCTAAAATTGTTTTGAAAAAGAACTAAGTTGGAGGAGTTATGCTATCTGATTTAAAGACTTGCTATGAACCTATATTAATCAAGAAAGTGGGTTACTATTACAAGAATAGTCATATAGATCACTAGAACAGAAGAGTATACCTAAAAATAGATCTGCACATATATGCTTAATTGATTTTTGACAAAGGTGCCCAGGCAATTCAATAGGGGAATCAGTATTTTTTAACAAATATCCATACAGAAACCAATTAACCTTGATCTGTATTTTGTGCCATATATAAAAATTACCACAAAAGGGATCATAGGCCTAAATGTAAAAAATAAAACTATATAACTTCTATTTTTAAAAAAGTAGAAAACCGTTATGATTTTGAGATAGGCAAAGAAAGTAGGAAACAAAAAGTATGACCCATAAAATAAAATAAAGCGATAAACTGGATTTCAATAAAATTAAGATACTCTTAAAACTAAAAATCGAATTACCATTCAATCCAGCAATCCCATTACTGTGTATTGACTTAAAGAAAATAAATCATTATATCAAAGGAATACTGGCACTTGCATATTTACCGCAGCAACATTCATAATAGCAAAGATAAGGAATCAATCTAAGTGTCCATCAACAAATGAATGGATAAAGAAAATATGGTACTTCTACACAATGGAATAGTATTCAGCCATAAAAAGAATGAAATTATGTCATTTGCATCAACGTAGATGAAACTAGAGGTCATTGTCTTAAGTGAAATAAGCCAGGCACAAAAAGACAAATATCACATGTTCTCATTTATTTGGGGGTGCTAAAAAATTTGAACACATGGAGGTAGAGGGTGGAAAAATAACAGAGACGGAAGTGTGAGCAGGTGAGAAGGGAGAACATGAAGATAAGTGGGTTAAAGGGTACAAACATAAGATAGAAGGAATACATTCAATGTTCAATAGCAGAGTAGGATGACTATACTTAAAAAAAATGCATTGTACCCTAAAACCCGACTTGATCACTATGCATTATACATATGTTAAAAATTTCTCACATACTCCATAAATATGCACAACTTAGAAAAGACACAGTTAAGAAAATGAAAGGCTAAGCCACAGACTGGGATATAATGTCTGCAAATAACTTATCTGACAAAGGACTTGTTAACAAAATATATAATTCTCATAACTGAGAATGTCACCAAAATAGCACAGTATATGTAGCTTTACTCTCCTCCACAGAAAACCAAAAAGAACTAGCCACTGCCCAGATTATCAAAAGGAATATTCCAGAACTCAATGACTGAAGTTGTGACAATCCCAGAGGCCACAGAGAACTGAAAAACTGCAAGCAAAAGGTAAAATAGCTCCTTCCCCAAGCTGCCAGGCACTGTGTAGAAAGGCACCCTCAAAATCAAGGTTCCTATAATACTGGAAAAAATAAAAGTGGACAGCTAGCTTCCCCACCATCTTAGATTCCTTTCCAGAAAAATTATTCCTGCCTCAACCTGTAAGAAGCCTCTTGAATGCCTGCAGAGTAAAAAATCCCAAAGGCAGCTAGAGTTAGAGGGTGGGGGTGGGGTTAGCAACACCCAGTGCATGAAACTCCAGCTTCCCTTCATCTGACCTCAAAAAAGACACCAAATCAGAAAGGCTGTTTAACAGCATCACGTTGCAGGAAGCACACTTCATCAGTCCTCTGGGAACAAACCTCCATCCAGCTTTCCCACAGAGCTGGGGTATCTTTGGGATTCCTCCCCATCCAGGATGAGTAGCACTCTGAAATTGAGAAAGACTATGTCAAATCTGGGTTCAGGGTGCCATCTAGTGTTGAAAAGGAGGCAGTGATCTCAGGCTAAGGGAACTAAATAGTCACTCTGCACAAAACCTCTAGACAGACATACTTCTGAAAGACCAAACCAAGCCAGACAGTGAAGACTGGAATAAAGAACTAATCCTTCAATGCAAATGCACAGACATATATCCATAGAAAGAGCAAACAGGAAACCATGACATTCCCAAATAGACAAAATAAGGAGCCAGTGACTGACCCTAATGAGATGATGTTGTGTGAGCTCTCAGATCAAGAATGCAGAATAGCAATTTTCAGGAAACTCAGAAAATGCCAATGTAACACAGAAAAGCAATTCAGAAATGTATTACAGAAATTTAACAATGAAATTGAAATTTTAAAAAATTAAACAGAAATCCTAGAGCTAAGAAATACAATAGTCAAACTGAAAAATACATGGGATGGTCTCAACAACAGAATTGATCAAGCAGAAGAAAGAACCGGTGAGCCCTAAGACTATTTGAAAATACACAATAAGAAGAGAAAAAATAATGAGAAAAATGAAGAACGCCAACAAGATCTAGGGGATAGCCTCAAAAGAGCAAGTCAAAGGGTCATTGGCTTTAAAGAGGATGTTGAGAAAGAACAAAAGGTAGAAAGCTTATTCAAAGTAATAATAACAGAGACTTTTCCAAACCTAGAGAAAGATATAAATATCCAGGTACAGGGTTAAAGACAACCAAACATGTTCAATCTAAATAAGATTACCCTAAGGCATATAATAATCAAACTCTCAAAGGTTAACAGACAAAGAGGGAAATCTTAAAAGCAGCAAGAGAAAAGAAGCAAATAACATATAAAGGAGTTTCAATTCCTGTGGTAACAGAGTTTTCAGTGTAAGTCCTACAGGGCAGGAGGGAGGGGGGCAACATATTCAAAGTACTGAATGAAAAAAACAAAACAACAACAACAAAAAAACCTCCCATACTGTGCCCAGCAGAGCCATCCTTCAAACATGAAGGAGAGATACAGACTTTCCCAGACAGAAGCTGAGGGAATTCATCAACAGAAGATTTGTCTTACATGAACTGCTGAAGCCAGTTGTTCAATCTTAAAAGAACACTAATATGTATCAAGAAAACACCTGAAGTTATAAAATAAACTGGTAAACGTATATAGACAAATTCAGAATAAACTATGCAGACAAATACTGAATTGTGGTGTGTAAACCGTTCACAACTTTAGTATGAAGACTGAAAAAAATCTATCAAAAATAATGACAATTTATTAAGGTCAGCCTGGCCAACATGGTGAAACTCCATCTGTACTAAAAAATACAAAAATTAGCTGAGTGTGATGGCACGTGCCTATAATCCCACCTACTCAGGAAGCTGAGATAGGAGAATCGCTTGAACTCGGGAGGCAGAGGTTGCAGTGAGCCGAGATCGTGCCACTGCACTCCAGCCTGGGAGACAGAGCAAGACTCCATCTCAAAAACAAAACAAAACAAAAAGGCAATTTATTAAGGGATAGGCAATATAAAAAGATGTAAACTGAGAAAACAAAAAGTTAAAATGGGGAAGTAATGGACTTAAATTTTAGAGATTTTAGTTTTTAATTTTTCTTTTGATCAAAGTTAAGTTGTCATCAGTTTATAATAAGATGTTCTAAGCCCCACAGTAACATCAAAGCAAAAACCTGTAAAAGATACACTAACAAAAGCAAATAATTAATACATGCCACCAGAGAAAAATCACTAAACAACAAAGGAAGATAGTAGTAAAATAATGGAAGACAGGAGTTACAAAACAATCAGAAAATAATAACAAAATGGCAGTAGTAAGTCCTTACCTTTCAAAAATAACATTGAATGTAAATGGGACTAAATTCTCCAATTAAAAGAGAGTGGCTGAATGGATTAAAAAAAACAGCATCCAACTATATGCTGCCTTCAAGAAGTTCACTTCTTTAAGTGAATTTCTAGTGAATAAGACACATAGAGACTAAAAGTGAAGGGATGGAAAAAGATACTGCGTACAAATAGAAACCACAAAAGAGCAGCAGTGGCTACACATATATCATACGAAACAGACTTCAGGTCAAAAACTGTAAGAAAAGACAAAGAATGTCATTATATAATAATAAATGGGTCAATTCAGCTACAGGATATAACAATTATAAATTCGCATGCACCCAACACTGGAGCACCCAAATATACACAACAAATATTAGTAGATTTAAACAGAGAGACAGACTACAACACCATAATAATAGGGAACTTCAACACTCACTTTCAGCAATGAACAGATTATCCAGACAAGATATCAACAAAGAAATACTGGATTTCAGTTGTACTATAGACCAAATGTACGTAACTGAAAATAACAGAACATATCATCCAACTGCTGGAGACTACACATTTTCCTCATCAGCATATAGAACATTCTTGAAAACAGGCCATATGTTAGGCCATAAACAAATCTCAACAAATTTTAAAAAGTCAAATTAATATCAAGTGTCTTTTCTGACCACAATGAAACAACACTAGAAATCAGTAAGAAGAGCACTTAAGAAACTGTACAAATACACCGAAATTAAATACATTGCTCCTGAATGATCAGTGGGTAAATAACAAAATTCTTTTAAAAAATAGAAATTTCTCAAAACAAATGAAAATGAAAACACAAGATACTAAAGCCTATGAAATAAAGCAAAAGCAGTACAAAGAGGAAAATTTATGGCAATAAAAGCTTTCATCAAAAAAGAAAAAGAAAGTCTTCAAATAAATAATCTACCAAGTCACTTCAAAGAATTAGGAAGGCAAGAACAAACCAAACCCAAAGCTAGTAGAAGGAAATAAATAACAAACACCAGAGCAGAAATAAATGAAATTAAGGCTGAAAAATACAAAAGATCAATGAAATGAAAAGTTGTTTTTTTTGAAAAGATACTCAAAATCAACAAATCTTTAGCTAGACTAAGAAAAAAAGAATACTCAAATAAATGAAATCAGAGGTGAAAAGGGAGAATATAACTGATACCACAAAAATACAAAGGATCATTACAGAGAATATGAACAACTACAGGCAAACAAATTGGAAAACCTAGAAGAAATGGATAAATTCCTGGATACATATGACGTACCAAGATTGAACCATGAATAAATAGAAAACCTGAACAAACCAATAACAAGTAACAAGATCAAAACAGTAATAAAAAGTGTCTCATCAAAGAAAAGCCAAGGACCTTACGGTTTCACTGCTGAATTCCACCAAACATTTAAAAAAGAACTGATAATAATTCTATGCAAATTATTTCAAAAAAGTAAAGAGGAGGAATACTTCAAACTCATTCTATGAGGCCAGCATTACCCTGGTACCCAAACCAGACAAAAACACATCAAAAAAAGAAAACTACAGGCCAATATTACTGGCAAACATAGATGCAAAAATTCCAAACAAAATACTAGCAAACTGAATTAAACAACACATTAAAAAGATCACTCACGATGATCAAGTGGGTCTCATCCCAGGGACAAAAGTTTGGTTCAACATATGCAAATAAATAAACGTGATACATTACATTAACAGAACCAAGGACAAAACCTGTATGATCACTTCAATAGATGCTGAAAAAGCATTTCATAAAATTCAAGATCCCTCCATGAGAAAAAGACAACAAACTGGGTACAGAAGGAACATGCATCAAAATAATAAAAGCCATATATCACAAACCCACAGCTATCATCATACTGAACAGGAAAAAAATCAAAAGCCTTTCCTCCAAGATCTAGACCAAGACAAGAATGCCCACTTTTACCACTTATGTTCAGTGTAGTACTGCATGTTCTAGCCAGAGCAATTTAGGCAAGAGAATGAAATAAAGGGTATCCATATTGAAAAGGAAGAAATCAAATTATCCTTGTTAGCAGATGATATAATCTTATATTTAGAAAAACCTAAAGACTACCTACACACACGAAATGCTGGAAATGATCAACAAATTCAGTAAAGTTGCAGGATACAAAATCAACATACAAAAAGCAGGTGCACTTCTGTTTGCCAATAGTGAACAATCTGAAAAAGAAACCAAAAAAGCAATCCCATTTAAAACAGGATTTAAAAAAAAATAGGAATAAATTTAACCACAGAAGTGAAAGATCTCTAAAATAAAAATAAAAAGCACTGCTGAAAAAAATTGACAACTACACACAAAAAGGGAAAGATATCCCATATTGATGGATGGGAAGAATTAATATTGTTAAAATGTACTGCCTAAAGCAACCTATAGATTAAATGCAATTAATTAATATTAAATTAATATTGTTAAATTAATATTGCTAAAATATACTACCAAAAGCAATCTACAGATTAAATGCAATCTCTATCAAAATACCAATGACATTCACCACAGAAATGGGAAAAAAATCCTAAGGTTCATATGGACCCACAAAAGACCCAGAATAGCCAAAGCAATCCCGAGCAAAAAGAACAAAGCTGGAGGCATCACACTACCTAACTTCAAAATACACTGTAAAGCTATAGTAACCAAAAAAGCATGGTACTGAAGTAAAAACAGACACATAGACCAATTGAACAGAATAGAGAATCCCAAAATATACCCATGCATTTACAGCCAATTCATTTTCAGTAAAGACACCAAGAACACATATTGGAGAAAGGACAGCCTCTTCAACTTATGTTCTTGGACAAACTGGATGTCCATATGCAAAAGAATAAAACTAGACCCCTATCTCTCACCATATGAAAAAATAAAATCAAAATAGATGAACGACTTAAACGTAAGACTTGAAACTATAAAACTACTAGAATAAAACACTGGAAAAATGCCTCAGGTCATTGATATGCACAAAGACTCTATTGAGTAATACCTCTAAAGCACAGATAACAAAAGCAGAAATACCCAAATGGGATTATATCAAGCTAAAAAGCTTCTGCACAGCAAGGGAAACAATCAACAGAGTGAAGCAACAACATACAGAATGAGAGAAAATATCTGCAAACTATCCATCTGACAAAACATTAATAGCCAAAATATGTAAGTGACTCAAACAACTCAATAGCAAAAAAACACAAATAATCTGATTTAAAAGTGGGCAAATGCTCTGAACAGACATTTCTTAAAAGAAGACATACAAATGGCCAATAGGCATATGAAAAATGCCCAACATCATTAATCATCAGGGAAATGCAAATCAAAATCACAAGGACATATCATCTCACCGCAGTTAGAATGGTTATTATCAAAAAGACAAAAAATAACAAATGCTGAAGAGGATGCAGAGAACAGAGAACTCTCATACACTGCTGATCGGAATGTAAATTAGTACAGCCATTATGGAAAATGGTATGGAAAACTAAACACAGAAGTACCATATGATCCAGCAATCCCACTGCTGGGTATATATTGTATATAGCCAAAAGAAGAAAAATCAATATGTCAGAAGAGATATTTGCACTCCCTTGTTTATCACAGCACTATTCAAAATAGCCAAGATATGGAATCAACCTAAGTGCCCACTGATGGATCAATGGATGAAGAACATGTTGCTATATATACACAATGGAATATTATTGAGCTATAAAAAGAAAATCCTGTCATTTGCAGCAACATGGGTGGAACTGGAAGACATTATGTCAACTGAAATAAGCCAGGCACAGAAAGACAAATATCATATGTTTTCACTCATATGTGAGTAGGGGCTATCAAAGTTGATCTCATGGAGGTGGAGAGTATAGTAGTAGTTACCAGAAGTTAGGAAGGTTGTGGGGAGAGAAGGATGAAGAGAGGTTGTTTAATGGGTATAAAACTACAGTTATATAGAAGAAATAAGTTCTAGTGTTTGATATCACAGCAGTTAACAATAATTAATGGCATATTTCAAAATAGTTATAAAAACAATTGTAGTTAACAATAATTAATTGCTTGTTTCAAAATAGCTAGAAGATTTGGAATGCCCCCAACACAAATAAATGATAAATGTTTGAGATGATGGCTATCCCAATTACCCTGATTTAATCATTACACATTGTATTCATGTATCAAAACACCACATGTAGTCCCAGCAATTTGGGAGGCCAAGGTGGATGGATCACGAGGTCAGGAGTTCCAGACGAGCCTAGCTAATATGGTGAAACCCCGTCTCTACTAAAAAAATGCAAAAATTAGCTGGGCGTGGTAGCACATGCCTGTAATCCCAGCTACTCAGGAGGTTGAGGCAGGAGAATTGCTGGAACCCGGGAGTCAGAAGTTGCAGTGAGCTGAGATAGCACCACTGCACTCCAGCCTGCGTCACAGAGTGAGATTCCATCTCAAAAAAAAAAAAAAAAAACCACATGTACCCCATAAATAAGTAAATTACATATTAATTTTTAATAAAAGAACTCTCAAAACTAAACAATAAAAAAACAAACAATACACTTAAAACGGGAAAAATACATGAATAGACACTTCACCAGTTTTTATATAGATGGCAAATAAACACATGAAAAAATGCTCAACATCACTATACATTGGAAATGTAAATTAAAATTACAATGAGATACCACTACACACCTACATGTTAGAATGGCGAAAATTAAAAAAAAAAATAGTGACTGGCCAGGCACGATGGCTCACGCTTATAATCCCAGTCAGCACTTTGGGAGGCCGAGGTGGGAAGATCACTTGAGGTAAGGAGTTTGAGACCAGCCTGGCCAACATGGTGAAACCCCATCTCTACTAAAAAGACAAAAATTAGCTGGGTGTAATGGCACATGCCTGTAATCCCAGCTACTTGGGACAGTGAGGCAGGAGAATTGCTTGAACCTGGGAGGCAGAGGTTGCTACAAGCCAAGATTGCACCACTGCACTCCAGCCTGGGTAACGAAGCAAGACTCTGTCTCCAAAAAAAAAAAAAAATACTGATAATATCAAGTGTTGATGACCATGTGGAGTAACTTCAACTCTTACGTATTAGTAGTGAAAATGCAAAATGGTATAGAAACTTTGGAAAATAGTTTGGCATTATCTAATAAGCTAAAAAATCTACCATGCCACCTAGCAACCCTAACCCTGGAAGTCCTTAACCAAGAAAAATGAAAACATATATTCTCAAAAAATATTGTACTAGAATGTTCATAGCAGCTTTATGCATTAGAGTTCAAAACTGGAGACAACTCAAATATCCATTAATTTGTGAATAGGTGGTATATCCATGCAATGGAGTGCTACTAAGCAATAAAAAAGGATAAACGAAAGATATATGCAACAGCATGGATGGATATCAAAGGCACTATGTTAAATGAAAGAAGCTAAACATAAAAGATTATATACTGTATGATTTCACATATATGACATTCTAGAAAAAGCAAAATTTCAAATAAAAAGGAGATCAATGTTTGCCAGTAGCCAGGAGTAGGGGCACAGATTGTTTGCAATGTCTAGATAAGAGGACTTTGTGGAGTTATAGAAATGTCCTATATTTTGATTATTATGGTGGTTACACAACTATATACATTTGTTAAAACTCCTTAAAGTATACACTTAAAATCACTTAAAATGAATGAATCTTATTGTATGTAAATTATATCTACGTAAAGCTGATAAAAATGAAATTCTAGAACTAATAAAAGGGTAAACAATTAATTTTAAAAGGTAAAATAATACATTAAAAGAGATAACACACAGTGTTTAAGTGGGGTCTATCCCAGTAATACAATGTTCATTTCACATATGAAAATCATTCAATCCAAATTCACTGCATTAACAGATTAAAGGTAAAAGTATGTTATCATTTCAAAACATAAGTGATTCTTTTTTTTCCCCAGGGGACATTTGTCAATGTCTGGAGACATTTTTGGTTGTCACAACTGGGTAGCAAGGCATTGCTACAGACATCTAGTGGCTAGAGACCAGGAATGCTGTTAAACATCCTACAATGTACAGGGCAGCCCCCGGTTGAGAACCACTATTCTATATTCTACTTTCCCCATTCAATACTATGTTTCTGATATATGTTGCTATAAGGTACATACATCTAGTCTTCGGTTTGTTGCTACATAATACCTCACAATAAGCAAACCCCATCCACTTATATATCTCCCTGGTGATAAATACCTAGGTTGCTTCTAATGGTATTCCAACACATACGACACTGCCATGCAATCAACAACAGCCTTGTATGTGCTCCCTTGTGGACTTCTGTGAGAGTTTCTCTGGAATATACATTCAAGAATGGAACCAGAAGGTCATACACATCCTTAACATTTATAAATACTACCCAGGTGCTTTCTAGAATGGTTGAATGAGTTTACATACCATACAGAAAAGAGTTATCGTATCAGGCCTGAAATTGCTGTTCTCAGAAAAACCTGCTGGAAATATTTCCCCTTGACTGGCATCTTGAAACTTGGTTCTCAAGAGGGTTCCCCCACTATTCCCTGATAAGAGTGGCTCACTGTGTCCAGACTGCCTGTACAAACAATGTGGTTTATGCTAAATACCTGCTTTCCTTCTGGGAGTCTGTAATTTTAGTACACACTAGGCAGAAGGTGTCTACATGATGAGCCCACAATAAGAACCTTGGACACTGAGTCTCTAATGAGTTTTCTTGGCAGACAACATTTTATATGTGTTGTCCCAACTCATTCCTAGGGGATTTATGTGCATCCTGTGTGACTCCATTGGGGGATGGACTCCTGAAAGCTTGTGCCTGGTTTCCTCTGCACTTTGCCCTGTGTGCCTTTTCCTTTTGCTGATTTTACTTCGAATCATTTTGCTATAATAAATCATAGCTATGAGTATAAACATGTTCTGAGTCCTAAACCACATTCAATATAACCATATTCTGAGTCCAAATCACTAAACATAAGAGTGATCTTAGGGAACCCACCCCAACACAGAGTCTCAGAAGTAAAACAGGAATATTTCCAAGAAGGCTTATTTTTAGCTGCATGCTTTTGTGTGTCATTTGAATTTTATATTAAGTGCACATATTAAATCTTTAAAAATAAATACTTTATTAAAAGGGGAAACATGCTGTCAAAACAACTAGGTCACCTGTGAATGAGACTCAGATGATGTCAAAGAACCAGAGAGATCATACAGTGTAACCTCACATTCCAGATGAACAAACCAAAGCCCATGAAGGACTTGCCCAAAGTAACCCAGACAGACACTACAGATACAGGACTCAAATCGTCACTATCCTGTTTCCCAGAGCTCCATCCTCGAAGTCCATGTGTTCTTTTCCTATTTTTGTCACTTCACCTTCTCCAGTGCCCTTCCCATAAATGTCTTGCAGGGACCACTTTCTTACTAACCATGGTCCTTGTTATTTCTCAGATTCCTTGATTCTCTGTGCAGTGAATATTTTGAATTCCTCCCAAAATACTGAGTCTCATGGAAACTTAACAGAAACAAAAAAGGGAAGATGAAGAAAAATTCTACTGGTAACTGCCAAGAAGGAAAGGGAGAGGGGAGGGGAATGGTAAAGAAGGAGAATCCTAGGTTGCTTCTAATGGTACTCCACCACATACGACACTGCCATGCAATCAACAACAGCCTTGTATGTGCTCCCTTGTGGACTTCTGTGAGTTTCTCTGGAATATACATTCGGGAATGGAACCAGCAGGTCATACACATGCTTAACATTTATAGGGCAAATCACAGCACTTTTCTAAGTCCTTGTTTCCTGGCTAGAGACCAGGGGTCAAAATGAAGGCCCAAGAGGAACCCATTCCCCACTGCAGGAAAAAGGAGCTGAACAGAACCAGACAGCTCAAACGCTCCTTCCATTGTTTCCTAACACCTCTCAAAACCCTCCCCAAATGGATAAGATACTTACGTGCTCTAGGAAGCAGGGTCCTATCTCGCTGAGGTGGGGGTCATCATTGTTATACTGTTTCTCCAGGTCTCTCACAAAGCCCATCTGAAATCTGTAGATATCTTCAATGTTCCCAAAGATTACCTTCAGTTGCTCGTCACTGAACATGTCCCTTCTCTTCCGGCACTGCTTCAGATAGCCCTGTAGACAAAGAAAAAGCCTAGGCTGAGGAAGTCCCTGACTTCCAGAAGGCTTTACACTTCCTAAGCACTTAAGAGCCTCATTTTGGTCCCAAGAAGTAGGCATGGAATAATTATTTTCATTTTTCATATGAGGAAACTGAGGTTTACAGAAGGAAGTCACTCCCCCAGTGAGTAATTAGGAAAGCTGGGTTGCCAGCAAAAGTCTTAAGAGTGCAAAGACTCCAAAGTCTTTTCCCTCCATCCTCTATGAAGAAGACCCCCAAAGTCAAATATCCCTTTCCAAGAAGCTGGTTGAGCACATTTTCACAGGTCTTATTAGCTACTGGTTTAGCTGGATCCATTCACATCTCTAAAGTTCTATTCCTTATAGGACCAAACCAAAGGTCTTAATAACATTGACAAAAAATTGGGAACAGAGGCCAGAACAGAAAAACTTCCCACAAGGGAACAGAAATTGACAAAACAAAACCATTTCTTCAAAAAAAAGTTTCCTCATGAACTTTAATGTCAGGAAATAACCAGGAATAATAGTTGTTTATCATTTTAGACTTTCCCTGTTGTGTACATCAAAGTACACATACAATATTTTCTTAGACATTCATGTCTTCACATACTTTAAGAAAATGCATTCATACTATTCACATTATGCAAATATCTGTCAAACCATTTCTCAAAGCAAATTTCTCAACTATCTGAGGTAGCTGGCCAGGAGTGATCATTTAGATGAGCTCAGCCAACAAGCCTATGTGTGCCTGGACATGGTGTTTTTAACAGAACAGGTGTTTAGGACACATTTATAAATTTATATATATATATATAAATTTATAAATATATCATATATATATATATTTATAAATAAATGTGTCCTAACACGTTAATATGTCCTAACACCTAACACATGTGTCTTAAACACATAAATGTGCCCTAAACACATAAAACACATTAATAAAGATAACCACTGATGAAAGAGAAAAAAAGGATGAAAGAGATTCTTGGTCTAGTAAGAAAGCATTGGGGTAACATAAACCAGACTCAAGGCATACTTAAGTCAGGACAAAAACAGCCCCAATCTAAATTGCATCTTCCATTTGGAACCTACTATCATAGGTTTTCACTTGATAGTTACTGTCCTCATTAGAAATCAGTAACACATAAAAATGTTCTTGGTGAGAAGAAATTATAGTCATTTGCTTTCATCAAAAAGCTAAGTGAAATTATCTTAACACTTTTCTTAAGGGTTGAACCCCTAAGGAAGAGTTTTACAGGGACTGATTTACCACATATAGCCCTGTCCCTATCCTCGCTTTGTCTCCCTTAACACAGCTACCAATGAGGTCATCTGGGCACACTCCAAGAAGATCCTCATCCCTGGCTTCAATGTCTTTTACTGACCTCTACAACAAATCTCACTTCCCCTTCCCATATCTGTTCTCACTCTCCAATTTAGCCATTAATTAGTAGGTGTCTTTAAATAGTTGGCAAATTAATAGTCTATGCCTGTGTTGACATCTGTTTAACTAATGATTTGTGCCCTCATTGACTGACATGTTGAAAATTTCCTGCATTCTTTCATATGCAATTTTTGATCAGGAAGAAAATTCCCAGAACACCCTTTTGGCTCCACTACCTTTACAGAGGTTGCTCCCCAAATTCTGCCTCCCTAGAAAGTTTTACATTGACTACCAGAAGGAATGGCAATAAACTCCTGTAGGCCCTTCCCTACCTAATATGTAATTCCCAGAGCCTAGTATGTCTGGGTTGGTCTGTGCCTGTGTGCCTGTCTATCTGTCTCTTTCACCCTACCATCTCTGGACGTGTCTTAGCTACAATGGAGCAGGGAGAGCAGTGAGCATATCATCTCAACATTAAATGGGAGTGAAGGCTTCCTTACCCCTTCTCCCACTTTTTTTTCCCTAAGGCAGGCTGAGGAGCACAGCTGGGGGAAAACAGTAACAGTGGCACATTCAACATATTACTTCTGGGTAAGCAATAGGTACTGATGAGTGACCACAATGAGAGACAGAAGAGGGCAGCGTAGATAGCTCATTTATCTGCTGAGAAGCCAGTTCAGAAAATATTTAATAGTTGTGTCCACTGCTCCTATTTGAAAAGTCTCAGGGAAGAAACAAAACACCATAAAATCACCAGAATTCAACAATGATACTAGAAGTCAACATCAGCATAAAATATAACAGAAATAAAACTAAGAGAGTGATCTTAGGAAAAGACAATGAATAAAGAATTCAGTCCAACTTCCTAAGTCCCTAAATATGTTATTTATTGCCACTCTCAAGGAAATCATTTTCTTTCTATTATATTATGTATGTTATGGCAGGGGATATATTAGGAAGAATGCCCACAGGATGGTAGGACCTTAGAATGTTTTATCAACTCTTATTTTTAAAGCCAATGATAGATTATAAATATATTCTGGTACATTTAGCTTGATGAAATATTACATAGCAGTTAAAATGATAATTAGGAAGACCATGTAGAAACATGGAAAATTGTTTATGATACAATGTTAAAAAGTAGGACATAAAATGGTATATCAGTGTGATTACAACTCTGTAAATATATACACATATGGACAGATTTGAAGGGATTATGCAAAAGTGCAAATAATTCTGTTATAGTTGATGGATTCTGGCTGGTTTTTGTTCCTATTTTTAAACTTCCTCTAATGCTGTTTTTTAATTGTCTTCATGATCAAAAATGGGATAAAAGTCTTTGCCAGAGAGTGTAAAGAAAAGAAAATGCAGCTATAAGAAGGCTGCCTGGAATGAAATATTATCAAGGAAAGAGGAGGGAAGACCCAATGTCTTCTCAAGATCTCCTGCAGCCATAGTATCTAAGATAGTCACTTGCTAAAGATTACAAATAATAGATGTAAACTGCCCTTATCAAAAAAATAAGCGATGAGACATAAGAATATGGGAGTAGCTGGATAACCCCAAAGGGTCACCCTCGACCTCTATACCACACAAGTTTCTGGAAAAAGAAAGGCCAGGAGAAATGATTAGCTCCCTGGAGTCTTGCTTTTTTTATCCCCTTCTTTTGGCTGGCCTGATGGCTATCAAATTTTCCACATCAGTGGTGAACAGAGGGTAGATTAGGGGGTCAATCAATACTTGTCTACTCTCATTCACTCATTTTTGAAGGTATGTAAGTTTAAAATGAGTTGGCAGTGAAATGTGATTGTCAAAAAGCCTAATACCATTTTCAGTTAGAAAAAAGAAGAAATATATTGAGAGGCAAAAATGGGAGAGGCAATTGGAAGGTAGTCATACCACTGCAGGAGAGCAGAATTAAATTTTGAGTCCACCCTCTTTTCAGAGGAACACCAAGAAAATAGCACACAGCCAGAGGGGAGTGAGCAGGGTAGGGAGGGGCCTGAAAAGCAACATCATGAAGAATGATGGAAGACATAAAATTTGTTTGTCTTAGATAACACTCAGGGCCCATTGAAGGCCTGTCACAGGGCAGGGGGAACAAAAGGGGTCTGTGGCTCTTACTGCCAGGTATGCTTTGAACGCCCCATCTGAATGGTAACAGGGAACAGGGTACTATGGCTCAAGGGAGGCAGTTTCCTAGAGCCTAATCTCTGTCTCCTAGGAGTAAAGTGGGCATGGGTGGGAAGGCAGGCCAGAGAGTAGCTAAGATAAATGTGGGTATTATCAAATCAGTCACAACTGGCATAAATTAGCTCTGGCATTGTTATGGTAACAGCAAGGAAAGCTGCCCATCTATTTCACTTTGTTCTTAAACCCACCAGGGCTGATCTACGAGTTGAGACCTAGTGCATTGATCTAGAAGTAATGCCTTGATATGGGATATAAACAATACCCAAGATCTCCAGAAAAGATCCTAGAAACTACCAGAAAATAGGATGAACCAAACAGCCCCTGGATCATCTGGGGTTTAGGAAATTCTTTAGGGAAGGGCCCTCACAAAAAGTTTAGACCTCAGTGTCTCTGTCTCTAAAATGAAGACATCGAAAAAGATGTCCATGGATCCTTTCAGTTCTGACATTCTAGGGGTTTCATATGTCTTTTTTTTTTTGCCTGGAACCTGAGGCCTGATAGGCGACCTGACAAACATCTTGAAGACATTTTTAAGAAAATTAGGAGATAATGACCATGGTTGTTATTCACAGCCGTATCCTCAAAGTTTAACAGAATACCTGGCATATAGTTGCTGCTCAGTTATTTGTCAACTAAATGCTAATTAGTTCTTCCCATGCTGGTGATGATCAAAGGTAAGTTAGAAGCAGAATGTTCAAATTGGTGGTTTTCTTTTATTTCCTTCTTCCTCTCTTTGAGATAGGAAACCCTTTCTTCAAATGAAGTAAAAAAGTTATTCAAAAACAAGAGAATAAAGAAGATACCTGCAACATGGAAAGTTGACAAGGAGTTCATATCTAGAATATACAAGGAACTCTTACAAATCAGCAAGAAAAAAACATAAGAAACTCCATGAAAATGGGCAAAGTATAGGAACACAGCACAGAATGTCCAGACAGAATGGACAGGTAGGGCCTATGGCAGGCAGAAACCCCTGGGCTTGGCATTTTAGGCTGACTAGCTGACTCATATTTTTATCCTAGGATACTGTACAAATATTACTATCTTATACAATGTGTTATCATTTTCTATGTGCCAAGATGTAAAGACTATTGGGATGTATTGAGATAGGCAATTTGCAGAAGGGAAAACCCAAATGGCTAATACGTTTGAAAACCTCAGGCTTAAAATATACCAAATGGAAATGACTTGAAGCTACAGCATGCCTAAGGAAGAATTTCTTGATAGTGAATGGTATGATCACTAATACAGAGTGAGTGAGGAAAGCTAGGCCAGCTTCTCTGGAGGCATTTGAAGACAGAAGGTATTTCATAGGTATCAGATGGCTGAGATTATCTTCCTCAAGAGAAAGCAGACAAGACAGCTTTATAAAGCATCGTTAGCTCTGCTTACTCTTGCCTCAGTTTCCTTGATTGTACTTTGAGTTCTAAGGTTATAAGAGGCAATATCACCAATTGTTGGTCAAGGTGATCTAGAACTAAACTGAAGGTATTTTATACCACTGTCTGGGTTTAGAAAGAAGAATGTAATCTGCAGAGAACTCATTTGAAAAGATTATGTCTCTTACTGACCTCATTGAATAACTTCAATTAAAAACCCCTTTATTTCCTACTTCTTCATTTGTAAAATAAGGGTGTTATAACTTAAATGTTTGTAAAGCACTTTCTGCTCCCAGGAGGGAAAAAGAATGTCCTCTAATAAATAGTGTGACTTTTTTTATATTGAATATAATTTTCCCCCTTTCCCCTTCAACAAGTACAAAAGTAGGAAGTGTTTAGAGCTCTCCCATAACCTACAGAAAGAGTGGTTTATGCCATGTTAACACATCCATGCTTGAGTAAGACATGCTTCCAATGGTACCAAGAAGGAAGAAGCAGAAAATGCAGAAGTAGCCTGGCTCGCTATCACAGTTTTTCTCTAGTGAGGGCATATCTACATCTTACAGAACTAGAGAAAAAGTAAGAGCCAAACAGAACTTAAAGAGCTCCTCCAACCTATGCAATTTAGAGATGGGGTACAAGCCCTAGGGTGAAAAGACTCATCTGAGATTCCCCAGTCAGTTAGTGACCAAGGTAGGTCCTGAACCCAGCACTCCCAATTCTGAGTCTGGTATTCTTTCTGATAAACCATTCGCTCCTCACAGCTTTTGGTTTAAAGATTACACAATCCTGGGCTAAACTACTGTCTTCTGATCCAGCTAGATGCAGCTTTCTCCACTTCCCTTTGATGCCCGTGATTATAGGGTGAGAAAAGGAGATAGCTCCCATTTAAATACTTACCTTCAGCACCAATAATTGTTGAAAAATAAGGAACCAGCAAATTGTCAACAAAAGGTTTGATTGGGTTGGCTGGATTGGAAACTCCTTAAAGCAGGATCATATCACCCCCTACTTTCTGGAAAGACAAATAACTTCCATTGCTGTCCTGAGTCTGTGTCCCATAGGAAGAGGCCAAGATGTGTGGGAGTTGAGAGAAACTTCTAAGGACTTCCACTGGGCTAGTACCTGAGAGCTCTGGGAAAATAATTTTGCTTCTTAGAGATTAAATCTGTTGATCTAGAAAATAGGAATAACAATAACAACTTTTGTCCTGTTTGAAGATCAAATGACATATGATGTGAATGTACTTTGCCAATCAAAGCAGTACATACATGTGAGCAATTATATTTAATTTTGACTTTAAGCAATATTTATCGAGCATCTACTATGTACCAGGCACTGTGCTGGGGGAATATATCAGTAAATCAATAGATGAAAATCCCTGCCCTTCATGGAAAGTACATTCCAGTAGAGGAGACAGACAATAAACAAAATATATAAGTTAAATATATAATATGTCAGATAGATAAATGTAACAGATAGAAATAAAGCAGGAAAGGGGCAGAGGCAGTGCAAGGTTACAGGTTTCAATAGAATGCTTAGAGAAGTCTCAAGAAGATGATATTTGAGCAAAGACTTGAAGGAGCTGAGGATGGGAGCCATGTAAATGTGGGGTGGGGAGGGGAATGCTTTAAGCAGAGGGAAAAACCAGTGCAAAGGCTCTAAGGGAGGAATATATTAGTAATGCTGAAGGAAAAGCAAGAGGCCAGTATAGCTGGAGTAGTAACGAAAGCATAGCAGAAAGGAGCAGGAGGTGAAAGTCATAGAGGCAAGGATGGGTTGACCACACAGGCCCCTGTAAACAATAATAACTTTGACTTTTACTCAGGTAGAAATGGTGAGCCATTGGAAGGTTCTGAGCAGAGGAGTGATATGACCTGACTTAGATCTTGACAGCATCCCTCAGCTACCAAGCGAAGAATAGATTGTACTTAATTTTATGAAAAACACTATGACATTGTAATATAGGTATCATTTTGGAGCAATGCTCCTCAAACTTTAATATGTATTATACATCAAATAGTAACTTTGTTAAAATGCATAATCTGATTCAGTAAGTCTGGGTTGGAGCCAAAGATTTTGCATTTATAACAAGTTTCCAGGTGATGCAGATGCTGCTCTAAAGTACGACACTTTGAGGCTAGAAGTTATGTCCAGGCCTGGCACAGAACAGAATTCCACTAAAAGTTTGCCGAATGAATGAAATGTCAGTGGTTTGATGCTGAATGCCATGTAGCACATTCCGAGGGGGAATTTTTTTAGCATCAGCCATTGATGTGAAGGGAGGAGGAAGAAGAAAAAGACATATGGATGGATGGGTGAATAAATTTAAAAAGGAGGCAAAAAAGAAAATTACCTTTTTCCAAATACAGCATAGGTTATTGCAATATTCTATTTACTTAATTTCCTCAACAAACTTAAGAGATTGCTATAATGAAGCCCATTGGAAAAATAAGAAAATTGAATGTCAGAGGAGTTAAGGGGTATCTTCAAGCCCACAGGGTTAATTAATGACCAAGTTAGAATGTGAAAAACCAGCATTCCATGTCCCCAGACCTCTTGTTCTTTCTACTCTATCTGCCTCATGGCAGGGCAGGGAGTGGGGCAGTGGGAAAAGATAACTTTTAATCTTCCTGAAAGGGGTGAGAAAATGAGTTGAGATAAAGAAAGTTCAGGCACAAAATCCTTGGCCTTGGTGTTTCCAGAGCTATACTGTTCAATGTGGCTGTCATTACAGATATATGGTTACCTAAATTAAAGTTAATTAAATGTAAATACAATTTAAAATTCCATTTCTCAGTCATACCAGCCACATTTTAACTCTTCAACAACCATAAATTGTTGGCTTATAGCTACTATATTGGAGAATGCAGACATGGAACATTTTCATCATTGCAGGAAGTTCCATTGGGCAGTACTGATGTAGAGAAATAAGAACTTTGAAAAATGTTGGAGCTGTACTACTGACTCCACAGTGGACCCTAGGCTGGGGGACAGAAAATAGAACCTAACCCCTCCTCTGGAAGGAAGGAGACAAAAAGATTCAATGCAGAGTTTTCCGAGTCAAGAAGAAAGATATAAGAGAGAATGTGTGTGTGTGTGTGTGTGTGTGTGTGTGTGTGTGTGTGTGTGTTTAATCCTTTTAAAACGCTGCCTTCATTTCCCATTGGTTTTCCCTTCCTGTTCAGTAAAATGCCCTTTAAAAATGCCAACTTGCAGCTACTAAGCTTAAGAGAGTACGAGAGTGAAGGCTCTCATCTTCATTTAGGACAGAGAGATGGAAGGAATGGGGTTAGGGAATGTAGAGAGACAGCTCTTGGGGAAAAAAAGTGACATACTGAAGGAGCCCAGGTTTGTCCATCCAGCCTCCATCTTCTGTGGAGTCCTGTCTCCAAGCTCTTTTCTGCTTAAACTCACAACCGGTGTTCTCCAAGTGAGAGAGTAGGACCAGCAGCATCAGAATCACCAGGGATGCTCATTAAACCTAAAAATGCTCATGCCTTACCTGAGACTGATAATTCATGACTTGGGGGACAAGAGTGAGAGGGCTGCTTAACAAGCTCCCCCAGAAACTCTGGTACATATTGAAGTCTGTGAATCACTGGCTTGGCGGGAGATGCATTTTGCTTTAATGAGTGAGGTTAAGCCCTTACATGAGATGGCTGTAACTGGATCAGATACCAAAAAGATAAAGGTAGAGATGCAGGGGAGAGAAGGAGGAAGACTAAGAAAGGGTAAAGACAGAGAGACAATGAATATAAATGAATAAATATTAAAACTAGACAGAGAGAAAAATGTGAAAAACAGAGATTGAGAAACCCTAAGGAAGCAGTTTTACCTCACTGACCCTAAGGAAGCAGTTTCACCTCACTGAACAGAATCTGGGAGGCTATGTGCCCTTTCCAACATCTTGGGACTGTCACAGGCAGGGCCCAGGAGGGTTGCTGGTTCTTCGTGGAAGTGCCTCCACATGAACCACCATGGTTACCTCACAAATATCCTTGAGGTGCTTGATGTAGTGACGCTCAGTGCTCATTATCTCATTGATGACATTGGCCCGCATCTGGTCCCGGTTCTGTAGTGGCCGCCCCAGACAGAGGCAGTCTGAATTGGGGTCCAGGTGTCCGTTCTGCACATCGCTGGGCCCCTCCTCCACCTCATCCTCCTGGTTCACCCAGAGCTGTGGAAGCAGGCAAAAGAAAAATAATGAGTTAGCTTCCTTCTTTGGGAGGTTTCCAGGCAAGTAGAAAAAGGATGAACTGAACTTCTCAGGTATTCAGAGAACCTTCAACCAGAGACCTGTGCAAGTAGAATTCGAAACCTGGCTCTAGGGTGACTTTTTGCCCTGGGCATGGGTTTAATCTTCTCTAGGTCTCTGGTGACCTATCTGTAAATAGAGTGGAGGGACTAAATTCATTCATGCTGGAGCACATCTAGGTAGCACAACTGGATTTTTAAAAAGGTTAAGCTATACATCTTGAGTGCCACATTTGGATTGCTGTCAAAACACAGCATTTATGCACCTGCAAGTATAGAGGCCAAAGTTAAATACTAGAGTGGGTGTCTTGAAAACAAAGTTTAGTGTTGATTTCTGTGATGGGATATACAAATAATCATCAAAATTTGACTGTAAAGTGCCTTGGACATGCAAAGATCTCTACCTCTTCAAGACTGGGATAGGGATGGGAGAATACTTCCCCACCACATACTAGCAATAGCTATTAATTGGCACCAACTATACACCATTCACTGTGCTAAGAGCTTGCAATATACTGTATTCAGCCCTGCTAGATAGGTACCACTATTATCACCATTTCACAGAAAAGGAGACTGAGGCTCAGAGAAGTTAAGTAATCTATCCCAAGTCGCACAGGAAGCAGAGGAGCTGGGATAGGAGCCAGTCTGTCTCTAGAGCCTATGCTTTTAAACACTGTGCTAGAATCTTTGTGCCTCTGGTTCTAAGGAAGACAGGAAAAGAAAAGGAAAGGGCTTGGGCCAAGGTGGGCAGACAATTATTAGAATCATCAGAAACTGATAAATTCGCTAACAGTTGAGACTGTCCATCCTAAATCATGAAGGCAGTGGGAAGCTAAAAAAAAAAAAAAAAAAAAAAAACCTTTGGGACGGCCGAGTGAGATGTCTCTGGATATTCTAGATGACTTTGACTGAAAATCAAGAAGGCCCAAGAAGATAGCCCTTCCCGCCACCCCCCACAGTCCTAGGAAGTGGGGAAACCATGGGGGCAGGAAGGAAACGAAGGGTGGGCCCGCTTGGCAGAGTGACAAAATCTGTCAGGGGTAATTAGCCAAAGAGCTTGCCAGTTGTCTCAACAGGTTTAATCAATTCTCCATATTTTCCATATTTTCCCTCCTTAAACCCCAGTTTTTTCCACATTCCTGCCTCAAGAAGCTAAAATCACACAATTTAGATGCATCCCTATTTCTGCCATCAGAAAAGCCTTTTAGTGGGTAATCACTCGGGGGGAAGAGGCTTTGGGATAGAACTAGAAGGATGGTAGTTACTTCCCAACTCTGTATATTCTTCCTTCTTTCTTTTTCTCACAGGAGGTGAGGGGGCATGATTACCACTCAGTGAACTTAGAGATGTCACCAGCGTATATCTCACTGAATTGTCACAGGCCAAAGTAAATAGGGCTCACTCTGTTTTTATGTATTTTGTATATACAGCCAAATTTGCAAAATGTATCTCTATCCAAAACCTATCACCCTCTGCAAGTGCTCCATTATAAATATCTTTCCAGCTTCTAAAAGGTCAGCTTTGTGTCTTCAATATGCTAATAGCTGTCCTTTAATGCAATCAGTAAGCAATATGAGAGATAATTATTCAAAAGAATAGACCTGGGCAAAAAAAAAAAGTGATTTAAGGCACTGAAACAAACATCTCATATACATGATGCTGTCTATTTGTACCAATGAAAACCTCACCCTCTTAATAATCCATTAGCTTTTCCCTGCTTCTCACAAAGCAAGCTAAACTCTGCTATGGAAAGGGTAACATAGGCAGGCCTTTAAGGAATAAGAATCATTTCTTTTCTTCTTAGGAGTTTAAGAAAAGTCAGGTCCAAATGTTCACTTTTGGATAGCTGGAATAAGATGAATATTTTGAACAATTCTAGTGGGAATGAAGACAGGATATGAAGGAAAGGGGAAGCAGATGTAAAGGCAGAAATAGAACCACATTTAGGTTCAAGCTATACACCATGACACTGTCGTTCCAAATAACAATGAGAAAAGACGAAGGCAACTGCAGCCAAGTGAAAACAGATTCCTTATAAAGAATTTGGTAGAGAAGTCCTTCTGGTTATAACTAAAGGCCTGTGTAGCAGGGTCCTTCATAAGGAGCTTCTGAGAAGACACCTTCATCTACTCTACTGCAACAACCCCAGAAGCCCATTCCTTAGGTTAAGATGCTGCTTTCATCCCAAAGAACTACTAACAGATTCATTCATTCATTAAATCTATGCCAAGTGTGGATAATGTGCCAGGTATTAGGGATACAACAGCAAATAAAAAAGACAGAAATCACTGCCCTTTATAGAGCTGACATTTGAGGGAAGATGTTTCTTAGCCTAGAAAAAGGTGGCATATAAGGCCTAACTGTTTTTCTCCTGATCCCAGGTTCCCACAAAACATCCCCCGGGCCTAATGATAAGACTTTCTGGTCTAACCTCTAAGTCCTCTGCTCTTGAGAGCTTATCTGTTCTGTACAGAGGAAGGTCTTTGTCTGCATGTATGTCAGAGTGCACTGACACAGGTCAGCCCATATGCTTATCTGCCCTGGTTGAAATATCAGACCAGAGAGCCATTATCAACCCTGCCCAACAATCCGTGCAGGCTAATGTGTACCTTTTCTTCATTGATGCTGCAATTAGCACATATAGATGCCTGGGTGACAAGTAAGAAGATAGACAATGCCTGGAACATGCCAGGTTGAAAGGCTGTCCTGGAAGTCCTCTTAGAGTGCTTAAAGGCTGGGGAAACCAGCCTTTGAACTTCACTGAACTCCGAAGCAAGGCTGATTAATGCAGTTCAATTTAACAAATACTTTGGACCTATTCTGTGCCTAACCACTAACTGTGAAGGACATGAGGATGAGCAAGACAACTCACTCCTCCCTCCTCCTTCTAAACCACGGAGTGCTTTCCAAATTGGAGACAATCTCTGGTCTTTATTACTCCCTTTTCTATTTTCACTGTCATTGCTCTCATACTTTTATACCTGAACAAGTCCCTGGGTGATCCTCTAGCTTTTACCCTTCCCACATACCACTATTAGACCAATTTCCTTGACTATCACATTGACTGGCTAATCCCATAAACCCAAAATCCTTAATAGCTCTCCACTGATTATAAAGCAAGTCCAAATCCCTCACCCTGACATTAAAATATTACCATAATCTGACTCCAATCTGTATTTCCACTCTTACTTCCTACTACTTCCTTTAGGAATATTGGGTTCCTCCCAGACTGGTCTATTTTCCGTCCACAAATATTCTCATCTATGTCCTTTAATCCCATGCTCAAACATAGAAATACTATAGTCCAAAGGCTTTCAAAAACTTCAGCAACAGTAATCCATCCTCTCAATTTCGTAATAAAGAAACTGATACCCACAGAGACAGCCAGGGAGTTAGCAATATACCCATATCTTTAATGTGCATTTTTATTTTGTGCCTTCCATTTTTTTTTCTATTTTTAAAATTATACATTATACAAGAACACATTTGCCTTGCAAAAAGTTAAAATAGAAAAAATAGATTAAAATTATTAAAATCATGGATGAAAGAAGAAATATTACTACCAGTCTTACAGAAATAAGAATTAAAGGGAATATTATGACCAATTGTATGCCAATAAATTACATAACCTGATGAAATGGATAAAGTCCTAGAAAGACACAACCTACAGAAACTGACTCAAGAAGAAGTAGAAAATCTGAGAAGACCTATAACAAGAAAAAGATTTAATAAATAATTTCATTCAATCTTGAAAACTTCCCACATGGGAGAAAAAAAAAAAAAAAAAAAAAAAACCTCAGGACTAGATGGCTTCACTGGTGAATTCTACCAAACATTTAAAAAATAACTAACATCAATCTTTCACAAACCCTTCCAAATAACAAAAATATAGAAATCCTCAATAAAATACTAGCAAACCAAATCCAGCAACATATTAAAAACAAATTGCCCACCTTACCAGATGCGATTCCAGGAATGGAAGGTTGCTTCACATATGAAAATCAGTCCATGTAAATTACACCATATGAGTGAAATAAGGTTACAAAATCCCACATGATCATCTCAACAGGCACAGAAAAGGCATTTGCAAAATCCAACACCCTTTCATGATTAAAAAAAAAATACTAAACAAACTAGAAATAGAAGGGAACTTTTCTCCAAATAATAATGAACATTTATAAAAAATCCATAGTTAATATCATATTTAATGGTGAAAGACTGAAGGCTTTCATCCTACAATCAAGAACAAGACAAGGATATTCACTTTCATCACTTTTATTCAACCTTATACTGAAGGTTCTAGCCAGAGCAATTGGACAAAAAAAGAAATAAAAGACATTGCATCAGAAAGAAGTAAAACTATCTCTAGTCACAGATCATATAACGTGATATACAGGAAATCATAAGGAATCCACCAAAAAAAAACCTTTTATAATGAATAAATAAGTTCAGCAATGTTGCAGGATATAAAAATCAATTATGTTTCTATATACTAGCAATGAACAATCTGAGAGTTAAATTAAGAAAATGATCACATTTAAATAGGAAAAGAAAGAATACATAGGAATAAATTTAACAAAAGAAGTGCAGTCTTATACAATGAAAACTGCAAAGCATTATTGAAAGAAAGTAAAGAAGAACTATATAGAAAAACCTCTCCTATTCATGGATTGGAAGATTTAATGGTGCTAATATAGCAATACTCCTCAGATTAATTCAGATTCAACGCAATACCTATCAAAATCTCACCTGGTGTCTGCAGAAAATTGAAAAACTGGTACTAAAACTCGTATGGAATTTCAAGGGACCTAGGATAACCAAAACAATTTTGAAAAAGGAGAATAAAGTTGGAGGACTCACACTTTCTGATTTCAAAACTTACTACAAACCTACAGTAATCAAGAGAATGGGGGACTGGCACAAGAATAGATATAAAGATCAATGAAATAAAACCAGGAGTCCAGAAATATATCCTACATTCATGCTGAATTGATATTTGTCAAAGGTGCCAGGATTATTCAAGGGGGAAAATATAGTTTTTTCAACAAATGGTGCTGGTACAACTGGATATCCACATGCAGGAGAATGAACTTTGGCTCCTACTTTACACTATACACAAAAATTAAATCAAAATGGATGAAATATCTGAATGGAATCAGATTATAAAAGTCATTAAAGAAAACATAGAGGAAAATCTGTAACATTAGACAATAGTTTCTTAGATATGACACCTAGAACACAAGCAACCAAGCAAAAATAAAGTGGACTTCAACAAAATTAAAAACTTTGTGCTACAAATGATACCATCAATAAAGTGAAAAGGCAACCCAGTAATGGGAAAAATATCTGCATATCATATATCTGATAAAGATGTAGTATTCAGAATATATGTAACTTAACAATAAAGTAACAACTCGCTTAAAAATGGGCAAAATATCTGAATAGACATTTCTCCAAAGAAGACATATAAATGGCCAATAAATACATGAAAAGATGCTCAATATCATTAGCCATCTGAGAAATGCAAACCAAAACCATAAAAAGATACCACTTCACACGTCCTAGAATGGCTGTAATAATTTAAAAGGTCAATAACAAGTATTGACGAGCATGTGAAGAAATTGGAACTCCCACGCACTGCTGGCAGGAATGTAAAATGGTAGAGCTGCTGTGGAAAATATTTTGGCAGTTCCTCAAAAAGTTAAGCATATAGTTACCATATGATTCAACAATTCCACTCGTAGGTGCGTACTCAAGAGAAATAAAAACACATGCTCACACAAATTCTTGTACACAAATGTTCATAGTAGCATTATACATAACAACCAAAAGTAGAAACAACCCAAATGTTCATTAATTGATGAATGGATAAACCAAAATATGGCATAGTTATGTAATAGAATACTATTATTATTGGAAAATTGCTAAGAAAGTACAGTTTTAAATGTTCTCACTACAAAAAATGATAAGTATGCGAGATGATGATATGTTAATCATTCCACAATATGTGTATACA